>NC_000012.12:51210128-52460128 GCF_000001405.40 Homo sapiens
TTTTTGGTAGATATGAGGTCTCACTATGTTGCCAGGGCTAGTCTTAAACTCCTGTCTCCCCAGATTTTGTACATGGTAGTCTTCCATGAGTTTTTCAGAGAACTTGGCAATTTACCATCACTTCTGGGTAGGAACTGGGATAAGCTATGAAAGTCGTTACACATAGAAGCCATTTGCAAAGAAAATAAGAGGAAGAGACAAAATTGAAATGAAAGCTGCACAAGGTGAATCTGGGTGCATTATAGCTTGATACATACATTTCTTGGGGAGAAGAATTTTCCAATTCCAAAGGTCATTAGGCGTAAGGCAGCAGTAGCCAATCTTTGTAGGACAACAAGGCATCTGCTTGAGAGGAGCGTTAAGTCTGCTCATAGTCTTGTTGTGGCGTCTGGCTCCTTGCTGCCAACTATGGCCACTCACAGGGAGTGGCTGAGCAGGGGCAAGCGTCCACTTTGTGACTGTGTTATTAGGAGGATTCAGGTAGTGATAAGGCTTGGGTGATTCTGATATCCCTTTCACCCTTAAAATTTGACGAGCTTTGAGGACCTGGGTCCTCAGTGTCTGGTCCTTTAAGTCAAGGGCAAAGTCAGTCCTGAGACATAGCCTCTAGCCACACCTAAGCCCACTCCAACCCACCCACCAGATTTCATTCAGCCCACCAGAAATCCAGGCAGAGCAGAGTCCAAGACCTCCTTTGTCTCAGATCTCAGACTCCCTTGTCTGTCTCTGTCTTACCTTTAGATGGCTCCTATTACACATGTATGTGATATCAACGTCTCTCTGACAAGTAGACACTCAGCATTTTGACTCTGAGCTGTACCCTGTGTGTTCCCCTTGCTTGGTATCTGTGCAGACTTTCCTCTGGACCTGCTGCCATCTCCTTGTCAGGAACTTTCCAAATTTTTTTTGAGCCTCAGGCTGTGGCTTGGTTCCAGTGACTAGACAGCCCTCTTCAGTTTGCTTTTTGACCATTTCCCCAATGACTGCATAAATAGCACATCTGGATGGCCTCCTTTAAGCCCATGATGCTGTGCAGTGCCCACAGCCTGAAGGCCAGGGAGGAGAGACAATCAGCTGTCTGTTTCAAGAGAAGGAGCTCCTGTCCCCATCCCAGCAGTAGAATCCCAATACATACACAGATCACAGCAGAGCTGCTCTGGTTAAAGCTGGGGAGAGAGCCAGAGCCCACCAAGGGCCCTCTCCTTTGCCTTCTTTCTCCAGTGAGTTGACTTTGAAAAACGCCTGGATCAGGGCTGGCAAGGCACTCTGGTTGGCTAGCAAATGGCTCACTTATCCCTTGCTTTCCTTGCTAACATCTAAAAACGCAGGCAGGGCTGGGCACAGTAGCTCACACCTACAATCTCAATGCTTTGGGAGGCTGAAGGGGGAGGATTGCTTGAGCTCAGGAGTTTGATATCTTCCTGGGCAATGCAGGGAGACTCTGTCTCTACAAAAAATTGAAAAAATAAAATAAACTAGCCAGGTGTAGTGGTACACGCCTATGGTTCCAGCCACTTGGGAAGCTGAGGTAGGAGGATTGATTGAGCCCCAGAGTTCAAGGCTGCAGTGAGTCGTGATCACGCCACTACACTCCAGCCTGCACTCCTTGACAGAGCAAGACCTTGTCCCTAATAAATAAATAAATATACAAACAAAAACCCAAGCAGCCTCAGGGGTAGAAGGAACAGCAAGTGCTAAGGCATTTGCCTACCACCTGAGAATCCAAAGAGGTCCAGGGCCATGCAGGATTTTCAGCGGGGGAGAATGAGCTAGAGGACCTAGTTCTGCCTGTCATTCTCCTCTGGAACTGCTCTGGGCTTAGTGCAACATTCCAAGATACCCAGGAGGAGAACTGGGATATCCCAAACAAATCAGAACTCCCTAGAATAGTCTGAGATCCTATTAGAAGAAATCCTGAAATGCCTTGCCTTTCGTTTTTTTTTTTGTTTTTTTTGTTTTGTTTGTTTGTTTGTTTGTTTGTTTGAGACGGAGTCTGGCTCTGTCACCCAGGCTGGAGTCCAGTGGCACAATCTCGGCTCACCGCAACCTCCGCCTCCCGGGTTCAGGTGATTCTCCTGCCTCAGCCTCCTGAGTAGCTGGGACTACAGGTGCGCGCCACCATGCCCAGCTAATTTTTGTATTTTTAGTAGAGACGGGGTTTCACCATGTTGGCCAGGCTGGTCTCGAACTCCTGACCTCGTGATCTGCCTGTCTCAGCTTCCCAAAGTGCTGGGATTACAGGCATGAGCCACTGCGCCCAGCCAAACCTTTGTTTTTTCAACGCATGTTTCAGTGGCTACTATGTGCTAGGCACTGGGAATTCAATGGGGAAAACACATTTCCCACCTTTGTCAAGAAATCTATAGTCCAGGCCGGGCGTGGTGGTTCTTGCCTGTAATCCCGGCACTTTGGGAGGCTGAGGCGAGTAGATCACCTGAGGACGGGAGTTCGAGACCAGTCTGATCAACATGGAGAAACCCCGTCTCTACTAAAAATACAAAATTAGCCTGGGGTGGTGGCACATGCCTGTAATCCCAGCTACTCGGGAGGCTGAGGCAGGAGAATCGCTTGAACAACAGGGAGGCAGAGGTGAGCCAAGATCGCACCATTGCACTCCAGCCTGGGCAACAAGAGTGAAACTCCGTCTCAAAAAAAAAAAAAAAAAAAAAAAAAGAAAGCTATAGTCCAATATGGGAGTCAAGGAAATAAGAAGGTAACTACAATACAGTATGCTTAAGTTTCATGGTGGGTGAACAGAAAGCAGTAAAGAATCTACAAGAGGGACACCTAACACCTAATGACCTAATGCAGTTGTTTTTTTTTTTCGAGGCGGAGTCTCGCTCTGTCACCCAGGTTGGAGTGCAGCGGCGGGATCTCGGCTTACTGCAACCTCCGCCTCCCAGGTTCAAGCAATTCTTCTGCCTCGGCCTCCTGAGTAGCTGGGACTACAGGTGCGCATCACCGCACCAGGCTGATTTTTGTATTTTTAGTAGAGACGGGGTTTCACCATGTTGCCCAGGTTAGTCAGGAACTCCTGACCTCAGATGATTCACCCGCCTTGGCCTCCCAAAGTGCTGGGATTACAGGCGTGAGCCACCGCGCCCGGCCTCTAATGCAGTTTTATGTGGTGCTTGTTCCCAGGGAGGCCTGTATTTCAGACATGAAATTTTATGTAAAAGAATCTTGTCCTATGTAGGAAAATGGAACTTGTATGGGATTCAGACTTTTAAACTCAGATCCATTTCTGGTTTTATTATCATTTTTTTTCAGAGACAGGGTCTTTCCATGTTGCCTAAGCTGGTTTCCAACTCCTGGGCTCAAATTATCTTCCCACCTCAGCCTCCCAAAGTGCTGGTATTACTGGCATGAGCCACCATACCTGGCCCATTTCTATGGTTTATTTTATTTTATTTTATTTTTTTGAGACGAGGACTTGCTCTTGTTGCCCAGGCTGGAGTGCAGTGGCATGATCTCGGCTAACTGCAACCTCTGCCTCCCAGGTTCAAACGATTCTCCTGCCTCAACCTCCCGAGTAGCTGGGACTACAGGCGCCCACCACCTTGCTCAGCTAATTTTTGTATTTTTAGTAGAGACGGGGTTTCCCCATATTGGCCAGGCTGGTCTCGAACTCCTGACTTTGTGATCTGCCCACCTCGGCCTCCCAAAGTTCTGGGATTACAGGCGTGAGCCACCACATCCGGCCTAATTTCGTTATCTTTAAAATGGTGACTAGGCCAGGCGCAGTGGCTCACACCTGTAATTCCAGCACTTTGGGAGGCCAAGGCAGGAGGATCACCTGAGGTCAGGAGTTCAAGACCAGCCTGGCCAACATGGGGAAACCCCATCTCTACTAAAAATACAAAACTTAGCTGGGTGTGGTGGCGGGTGCCTGTAATCTCAGTTACTTGGGTAGCTAAGGCAGGAGAATCGCTTGAACCGGGAGGCGGAGGTTGCAGTGAGCCGAGATCATGCCATTGCACTCCTGTCTGGGAGACACAGTGAGACTCTATGTCAAAAAAATAAATAAATAAAAATAAATAAATAAATAAATAAATAAAATGGTGATTAAATAGGCAAGCCCTATGGGATTGTTATGATGGTGATATGAGATCATGTAAATGAAATGCTTAGCATGACTCTTACCACAATCATCTTCATTTTTATCTATATGTACATAGAGGTAGAGAGAGGTCAGGTGACTTGACCAAGGGCACAGGAGAGTCAGTGGCAGATTCAAACTTCAAGGCTCTGTCGACCTGCCCCGGACCCCATCCTCCTGACACCACACAGAACCTCCTCTCAGGAAATGGGGGTAAGGCTGATGGGGACTGCTCTGGTCCCCAAGGCTCAGGACACACTGGAAAACAGAGGATCTCAATTCTGCTCCACACCGACGCCTGTCCCCACACCCTGAACCATGAGCAGAGATAACAGTCTTGCCAAGCTGTTGGTAGGCTAACAGCTAGGCACACACAGGCCAGAGAAAGGAAAAAGAATGATGAGGTGACCAAATAAATAGGAGAGTAGAGTCAAGGGTAGTAGCTCACACCTGTAATCCCAGCACTTTGGGAGGCTGAGGCGGGTGGATCACTTGAGGTCAGGAGTTGGAGGGCAGCCTGGCCAACATGGTGCAACCCTATCTCTACCAAAACATAACAAACCCAAACAAACAAATAAAAAATTAGCTGGGTGTGGTGGCGCAGGCCTGTAGTCCCAGCTACTTGGGAGGCTGAGGCCAGAGAATCGCTTGAGCCCAAGAAGGTGAAGCTGCAGTGAGCCAAGATTGTGCCACTGCACCCCATCCTGGGTGACAGCAGAGTGAGAACCTGTCTCAAAAAAGAAAAAAAAAAGAAATGTGAAAAATGAAAAGTAGGTATGTTCCTAGTAGACTGTAAGCTCCAGGAAGGCAGGGATCATGTCTGCTTATCATCATATCCCTGGTGCCTAAGATAATATCTGGTATATAACTAGGTTCATGAATATGGGCTGAAAACAATTGAAGATACGAGGTCACGTCATAGCCACATCACTTAGCCTCTTATTATTTCCTACCTTTTCCCTCAAAACACACACCCTACTTCAAATGTTTTGCCTCCATTTCCAGTACTGGGGCTACTTAAAAATGATTTCAAAGACGTGGTACAGGCCGGGTGTGGTGGTTCACGTCTGTAATCCTAGCACTTTGGGAGGCCGAGGCGGGCGGATTACTTGAGGTCAGAAGTTCAAGACCAGCTTGGCCAACATGGTGAAACCCCGTCTCTACTGAAAATACAAAAATTAGCCAGGCATGGTGGTGTGCGCCTATAGTTCCAGCTAGTTGGGAGGCCGAGGTGGGAGAATTGCTTGAACCCGGGAGGTGGAGGTTGCAGTGAGACCAAGATCGCGCCACTGCACTCCAGACTGAGCGACAGAGTGAAACCCTGTCTCAAAAAAAAAAAAAAAAAAAAAAGAGAGATTTCCAAGGTGTAGTATTGGGTTCTGGAGAACCCAGACCACACTGGCCCCTTCCTAAAGCGCCCGTCTAATTTCTCATTCCAAGCCTTCCTCCTGTGGCCAGTTTCTCCTGCATCCCACTCTCTCTTCTGCCTCATGAACCCTCATTTTGACATGAGGGGTCAAAGGCAGGTTTAAAGGCAGAAGACCCAGCTTGAGTACTGCTTCTACTAGAGGTAATCCCTATAAGCCTCCGTTTCCTTATCCAAAATGGAACCAAATTATAGTAACCACCTCATGGGTTATTGTGAGGATTAAATTGATAATATTTATGGAAGGCACTTAAAACAGGGCCTAGCATGAAGCAAACACTATATATATGTTTGTTATTATCATTGCTATTATTTTGAACTGAAGTAAAGCATGCATATAAAAATGTTTTAAATTATAAAGCATTTTAAAAATGTAAAAGATGGCCAGGCACGGTGGCTCACGCCTGTAATCCCAGCACTTTGGGAGGCCAAGACGGTTGGATTGCCTGAGCTAAGGAGTTCGAGACCAGCCTGGGCAACACGGTGAAACCCCATCTCTACTAAGATACAAAAAAATCAGCTAGACTCTGTCTCAAAAAAAAGAAAATGTAAAAGATTACTCTGATAATTTTATGGTGAGTAAATCTTGGGGACAAGAATATGAGCTTATCCCAAGTTCCTTCAAAATGCAGAAAAACCTTACAGGAGCAAATTTTTTCTGAGTCACTTTTCTTAACTGCCAGCTAGTACTTCCAGGAACAAAACAGAATAAATGGCTACATACACACACACTGACACACAATCACTCTATGGTATTACCTTGTTAGTTTTAATGTTTAGCATCTACTTGTCCACCCCCAGAATAAAAACTCCATGATAGAAGTTTTGTCTGAATTGTTCAGAGCATGGCACTGAGTGGGTATTTTTGTTGAACTAATGAAGAAATGAAGTTCTACAGCAGATAAGCGGAGTACCAGGTCACAGAAGTATCACTTTGAGGACCAGGACTTGAATGAAAATGGAATATATGGAATTATTCCTCAGAAGGCCTCTGCCAGTCAATGGTGGCTGCCTTAGATTGCTAAATAAGGGGCATGGGACACATGTATATGAACAATTGAAGACCAGCCCTCTACTTTTGGAACAAGGAATTTGGGAAGGGCAGATGAGGTTAAAAATCTCTGCAAAGAGCCTCTTTTCTTTGGCCCAGGAATGCTTCCCGAACTCTTCTGATTTCCCCCTGCCCAGCCGCAGAGGCTATTCTGTGAAGGTTTTAGGCTTCCAGTCGGGCTGAGTGGGGTATTCTGCCGCGAAAGTGGAGGTTAGAGGGTATGCTGGGAGCTCCCTTGGCCTTGCCAGGTGAGCCTGCCCAGGGAGCCTGCATCGGGCCCATTATTATGACTATTTATTAATAATAATATCGATATTAAATATTTATGAAGTGCTCATGCTCTGCTAGAAGGTGGCCCTCCCATCACTGACCCACCCTTCCAGCAACGCCTGGGTCCCTACCCCCGGGTCCCACCGGTCGTCCCGGAGTTTGTTCATTCGGGAGAACCGTGACAGGTCACCCTGGCCGCCCCAGCTGGCCCTAACCGCCGGGAACCCAGGCGTCCGTGTTCTCCAGAGAGGCAAGGATCCGCTTCTGGTCGCCACTGGTTCTGTGTACAGAGCGTCCCCTGTGGTCCGCACCCCACAAGGGCTCCAGGGGCAGAAACGGGGAGGGGCCAGGTCGGGGTTCCCCACCGGGTCCACCTGGCGGCCGCCCCCTCCGCTCCAGGTCCAGAGCGGCCCGCGGGCGGGCGAGGGCGCGGCCCCCGGGTGTCTAGCCCCAGCTGGGCAACCGCGCGCTGTCCCGCTCCCGCAGCTCCCCGCCGCCCCGGCCCAGCATCCCGCCGCCCCGGCCCCGCGGCTTTTTTTCTCTTTATCATAAATATATAAATTATGCTAATTACGGGCATTGCATATTAACCAAACCCGAAACCTCCCCTGCCCGGCCCCCTCCCCCTCCGTGCAAACCCCTCCCCGCCCCGGACCCCGCTACTTACCGGAGCCCGAGCCCGAGCCGCCTTCGCCGCGGGTGTCTGGCGGCCACCGATTAGAGATTCATCTCACAGCCCGGGCCAGGGGGCCGGGGCCGGGGCCGGGGCCACGGCGGCCGCCGCCCGCAGACAAAGAAGCCAGTGCGGCTTGGCTGGGCTCGGCTCGGCCCGGGAGCTGGTCGGGACCCGCCGCCGCCCCCAGGCCCCCAGCCTGGGCTGGGCAGAGCCGAAGGGGGCTCCGCAGGCTAAGCCGGGCGGAGAGGGGACGGCCGGGAAGCGGGAAGGGGAAGCCGGGTGGGGGGGCGGTCAGGTATATATTTTTCTTCGTTCCCCCTTCCACGACCCCCCCCTTTTCCCTCCCCCCCTTTTTTCCCTCCTTCTGCTACTTGGATTTTTTTAGCTGCTGCGTCATGAGCATAATTTATGCAAAGAGCTTTGCCGCATGCTGCACCGCCCGCGCCAGCCGCCGGGGGCGGCGGGCTGGGAGGGCGGTCAGGGAAGGGAGGGGAGCACGGGAGCCAGGAGCGAGGGGTGGGGGTGGGGAGGGGACCCTCTGGCCCTGGCCGAGCGGGAGGTCCCGGAGGCTCTCTCCCGGGACAGGGATGGACGGTCAGTGGGTCTGGTTACTCAGCCCCTCCGAGGTGCCGCGGAGGTGGTTTCATTTCGGAAGGTGCCAGAGTAGGAGCTGGAGTCCGGACCCTCCATGCCACATGGCCTTCAGCTGAGGGTTGGGGCGGTGACTCCCGGCCACCGCCTTTCCTCTAGGTAGTCAACTGTCCTCAATGTTGAAAGTCAAGTTTATGTCTATCCCTCCCTCCCTAGAAAGGCGGGGGAACTCAGACATCGCTCAGCCAACGTGGAGAACCTCTGAACAGCTGTGCCCCAGCGCCAAAGCAGCGAAGGGTCCCAGGTCTCTCACCCGGTGGCGGCCGTGGGCTGTGTTGTCTAAAAGCAGATTTCCGGCCTTCTTGTCCAAGTAGACAAGGAAATGTGAACAGAAAGACAAAGTTCAGTGGAATGGTGAAAAACCTCTAGCAGCTTCTTAAGGTAGAGAGGGGACCAGAAAAGGGGTGGATGTGGGTGGCTGAGGGAAAGCAGATTGGAGAAGTGGTGGACAACTGAAAGAGGAAAAAGTTGGAAGACCAAAGTGGAAGCGTGGGAATGGAGAGAAGAACTGGGAAGGAAGGAGGCTCTGTAAATCCAGTGAATGTGGATCCCAATACTGAGGCCACCTGCTGTCATCCTAGGCTGTTCCCCCTCCCACCCTCTCCCGATATTTGGTGGTCTGAGGATAGCTAGAGGTAGATGGGTTAGAGGCAGTGTGAGAATGCAGTTGGAGGCCTCAGTCCTCCCCGGGACTGCTCCGTAAGGCCTCGTGGTGGAAGGGCATTGAATGGCCCGGCCTCGTCGTTAACCTGGCCAGTGGACTAGGCTGTTATCAGCTTGCTGTTTCCATCTGGAAGTGAGCAGGTACTGCTGGCGGCGGATTTATGAGTAACCAATGTATTAGGAGTCAGAATACTTAGGTTTTAGTCCCAACTCTTCCACTAGCCGTCCAGGCAAGTAATTTAACTTCTTCATTACTTATAAAACAAGGATAATATTTATAATGACATTTATAATGACTACTTCATAGGGTTAAGTTTGTGAGCCTGTATGTGAAAAAACTGAAAGCTGCAAGCTCTATACAACTGTAAGGTGTCATTCCTTGTACAATAGTTTGAACTCGTTTTAATGGCCCTGTGAAACTCTACTGCGTGGCTTGATATTACAGTTCTTGGGGTTTTTGTTTGGCCGGTAGTCCCTGTAGTTTCTCTCCCTGGACTGTGAATTCTTTGAGAGCACTGGTTGTGACTTACTCATGTTTGTATTTCCCACTACTCTTTATGTGAAGGAGGGGCTCAGTATTGCTGCTGAACTTTGTCACATGAAGGTTGAAACTTTTCATTTATGTCACTTGGTTTGGTGCTACACATAGATCAAAGGCTTTGGATAGCATGGATATCAGCGACAGTTTGAAGAAAGAAATATGGATGTGATCAGAGGAGTTCAGGGAGACATACATAAAAATGTTAATCACGGTTTTCTTTATGTTGTATACACTTCTGCATTGCTTAAATATTTGATGAGCATATATTACTTTTTGTTTCTGTGTTTATTGGGGCATAACATGTACACAGTATGTGTATACCTTGATAAATTTTTACATGTATATACATATGTACGTGTATGTATGTGTGTATACATATGTACGTGTATGTATGTGTGTATACATATGTACGTGTATGTATGTGTGTGTATACATATGTACGTGTATGTGTGTGTATACATATGTACGTGTATGTGTGTATACATATGTACGTGTATATGTGTGTATACATATGTACGTGTATATGTGTGTATACATATGTACGTGTATATGTGTGTGTACATATGTACGTGTATGTGTGTGTATACATATGTACGTGTGTGTGTATACATATATACACGTGTATAGATACGTGTATACATATATACATGTCTATATATACATGTATATACTCACACACATATATATATCCATGTAATCCCCACCCAAAACAAGATATAGAGCCTTTCCAAGACCTGAGGATTCCCTTATGTACCTTCACCGGCCATAAATTCCCAAAGTAACCATTATTCTGATTTCTGTCACCATAGATTGATTACTTGAGCTGATTCTTGAACTTCTCATAAATGGAATCAGACAATATGCAATCTTTTGTGTTTGGCTTCTGTCACTCAACAAAATTTTTTTTTTTGAGACGGAGTCTTGCTCTGTCGCCCAGGCTGGAGTGCAGTGGTGTGATCTCGGCTCACTGCAACCTCCGCCTCTCGGGTTCAAGTGGTTCTCCTGCCTCAGCCTCCCAAGTAGCTGGGACTGCAGGTGCGTGCCATCACGCCCAGCTAATTTTTTTTTTCTTTTTTTTTTCGAGATGGAGTCTCGCTCTGTCGCCCAGGCTGGAGTGCAATGGTGTGATCTCAGCTCACTGCAACCTCCACCTCCTAGGTTCGAGTGATTCTCCTGCCTCAGCCTCCTGAGTAGCTGGGATTACAAGCACACGCCACCATGCCCGGCTAATTTTTGTATTTTTAGTAGAGATGGGGTTTCACCATGTTGGTCAGGCTGGTCTTGAACTCCTGACCTCATGATCCGCCCACCTCAGCCTCCTAAAGTGCTGGGATTACAGGCATGAGCCACCACGCTCCCAGCTAATTTTTTATACTTTTGGTAGACACAGGGTTTCACCATGTTGGCCAGGCTGGTCTCGAACTCCTGACCTCAAGTCATCCGCCCTCCTCGGCCTCCCAAAGTGCTGGGATTACAGGTGTCGGCCACCACACCCGGCCTCAATATATGTTTTTGAGATTCATCCATGTTGTTGAATGTAGAAGTATTTTTTATTGCTGTGTAGTATTCCATTGCATAATTATACTACAATTTATCCATTCCATTATTGATGGGCATTTGCTTGTTGTTTGGGCCTCTTAGGAATAAAACTGCTATGAGCATTCTTGTACAAGTATTTTGGTGAACATATGCACTTATTTCTTCCAGGTAAATACTGAGGAGTAGAATAGCTATTCTATTTTATTTAGCTTTTGTCCATACTGCTAAATAGTTTTCTATAGTGTTTGAACCAATTTATATCTTTATCAGCAATGCATGAGAGAGTTCTAATTGTTTTACATCCTCACCAGTATGTGGTATTGGTAGTCTTCTTGCAATGAAAGTTTATTACTTTTTGGCTGGGCGCTGTGGCTCATGCCTATAATCCCAGCACTTTGGGAGGCTGAGGCGGGTGGATCGCCTGAGGTCAGGAGTTCGAGAGCAGCCTGGCCAACATGGTGAAACCCCGTCTCTACTAAAAATATAAAAACTAGCCGGGCGTGGTGGTGGGCTCCTGTAATCCCAGCTACTCGGGAGGCTGAGGCAGGAGAATTGCTTGAACCCAGGAGACGGAGGTTACAGTGAGCCGACACGGTGCCACTGCACTCCAGCCTCAGTGACAGAGTGAGACTCCGTCTCAAAAACAAAAAACAAAGTATATTACTTAAAAAATTTTTTTTTCTTTTTTTGCCTGGGCATGCCAAAGACCGCACCTGGCTTTTGTTGTTGTTGTTGTTGAGACAGAGTCTCACTCTTTAGCCCAGGATGGAGTGCAGTGGCACGATCTCCACTCACTGCAACCTCTGCCTCCTGGGTTCAAGCGATTCTCCTGCCTCAGCCTCCCAAGTAGCTGGGATTGCAGGCATGTGCCACCGTGCCCAGCTAATTTTTGTATTTTTAGTAGAGACAGGGTTTCACCATGTTGGCCAGGCTGATGTCAAACTTCTGACATCAGGTGATCCGCCTGCCTCCACCTCCCAAATTGCTAGGATTACAGGTGTGAGCCGCCACGCCTGGCCTAATATTTTATTATTTTTATTTTAAAATTTTACTTTTTTTTGAGACAGAGTCTTGCTCTGTCACCCAGGCTGGAGTGCAGTGATGAGACCTTGGCTCACTGCAACCTCCACTTCCCGGGTTCAAGCTATTCTCCTGTCTCAGCCTCTCGAGTAGCTAGGATTACGGGCATGCACCACGATGCCCGGCTAATTTTTGTATTTTTAGTAGAGATGAGTCTTCACCATGTTGGCCAGGCTGGTTTTGAACTCCTGACCTCAGGTGATCCACCTGCTTCGGCCTCCCAAAGTGCTGGGATTACAGGCGTGAGCCACTGCACCCGACCTATAGTATTTTGTTATAACAGCCCAAACGGACTAAGACCCATCGATACTGATCCACTTTCAGGTTCTTAAACTTCGAGCTCTTTCCTGCCTTCATTGTGTCTGCCTATGCTGTTTCTTCTGCCTCCTCCTTAGCCCATCTTTCAGGCCTTGCCTTATATATGGCTTCCTTCCTCAGAGACATTTTCCCTGCACTTCAGTGTTATTTTGTCTCGTATCACCTTCCCGTTTTCTTAATCACCATGTGTGCTGATGTATTTGTATGTTTATTTTCTATTTAATATGTTTACCGAGTAGGCAGTAAATTCCAAGGCAACAGTCCATTTTGTTTTTGACTGGACATTTGGCACCAAGCCCAGTTATCTGGCACACAGTAGATAATAATTACTTATTGAATAAATGAAGGCTCGGAAAGTTGGGGAAATGTGAGTGAAGGAGAAAACGAAAACGTGCTGGGCTGAGAATCCTGTTGAAGAGTTTTATTTGGCCGGACACGGTGGCTCACGGGTGTAATCCCAGCACTTTGGGAGGCCGAGTCAGGTGGATCCCGAGGTCAGGAGTTTGAGACCAGCACGGCCAACATAGTGAAACCCCGTCTTTACTTTTTTGTTTGTTTGTTGAGACGGAGTCTCGCTCTGTCACCCAGGCTGGAGTGCAGTGGCGTGATCTCGGCTCACTGCAAGCTCTGCCTTCCAGATTCATGCCATTCTCCTGCCTCAGCCTCCCGGGCAGCTGGGACTACAGGTGCCCACCACCACGCCTGGCTAATTTTTTTGTATTTTTCTTTTTTTTTTTTTTTTTTTTTTTAGCAGAGATGGGGTTTCACTGTGTTAGCCAGGATGGTCTTGATCTCCTGACCTCGTGATCCTCCCACCTTGGCCTCCCAAAGTGCTGGGATTACAGGCATGAGCCACCGCGCCCAGCCCCGTCTTTACTAAAAATACAAAAATTAGCCTGGTGTGGTGGCATGTGCCTGTAGTCCTAGCTACTCGGGAGGCTGAGGCAAGAGAATCGCTTGAACCTGGAGTTGCAGTGAGCTGAGACCGTGCCATTGCACTCCAGCCTGTGTGACAGAGTGAGACTCCGTCTCAAAAAAAAAAAATTATATACTGGATGGCTTATAAACAACATAAATTTATTTCTCACAGTTCTAGAAGCTGGAAAGTTCAATATCAAGATGCTGGCTGATTTGATTTCTTCTGAGGGCCTGCTTCCTAGTTCATAGACAGCCATCTTCACATGGCAGAAGCAGGCTAGGAAGCTCTCTGGGGTTCCTTTTATAAGGGCTCTGATCCCATTCATGAAAGCTCTACCCTCATGACCTAATCACCTCCCAAAGGGCCCACATAATACCATCACATTGGGGGCCAGAATTTCAATATATGAATTTTGAGGGGGACACAAACATTTGGTCTCTTGTAGGCTAGGACACCGCAAGAGGTGGGGGAGAATTGTACAAAATGAGGTTGGAAAGGGAGGCAGACACCAAATCAGGTAGGCTTGGCCATATATACCTCTAATCTTTCTAATTGGGACCCTTCTAGCTTTGCAAACTCAAGATTTACCTCCTCCAAGAAGGCTTCCTGTATAATACATACCACATTGTTCTAATTATTATTATTTTATTTTGTTTGAGATAGGGTCTCACTCCTTCACCCAGTCTGGATGTAGTAGTGTGATCTTGTTTCACTGCAGCCTCAACCTTCTGGGCTCAAGTGATCCTCCTGCCTCAGCCTCCCAAGTAGCTGGGACTACAGGTATGTGCCACCATGCCTGGCTAATTTTTGTATTTTTCGTAGAGATGAGGTTTTGCTATATTTTGCCCAGGCTGGTCTTGAACTCCTGGGCTCAACTGATCTGCCAGCCTCAGCCTGCCTAAGTGCTGGGATTGCAGGCTTGAGGCACTGTGCCCAGCCAATATTACTTTTTTTTCTTTTTTGAGATGGAGTCTCACTTTGTCACCCACGCTGGAGTGCAGTGGTGCGATCTCAGCTCACTGCAACCTCCACCTCCTGGATTGAAGGGATTCTCATGCCTCAGCCTCCCGAATAGCTACGATTACAGGCACGTGCCACCACACCTGGCTAACTTTTGTATTTTTAGTAGAGATGGTGTTTCACCATGTTGGCCAGGCTGGTCTCGAACTCCTGACCTCAAGTGACCAGCCCACCTTGGCCTCCCAAAGTGCTGGGATTACAGGCTTGAGCCACTGTGCCCAGCCAATATTACTTTTTAAATTACATTATTGTTCCAATAACTTCACTTTGTAATTTATAGGCCATTCCCTCCCTCCCGTTCTTTCCCTTGCCTTTTCTTTCTTTCCTTTCTCTCTCTCTCTCTTTCTTTTCCAGACAGGGTCTTGCATTGTTGCCCAGGCTGGAGTGCAGGGGTGTGATCATGGCTTACTGCAGCCTCAACCTCCTGGGCTCAAGTGATCCTCCCACCTCAACCTCGAGTAGGTGATACCACAGACACATGCCACCATGCCCTGTTAATTTTTTAATTTTTTGGTAGAGATAGGGTCTCCCTATGTTGCCCAGGCTGGACTTGAATGCCAGAACTCAAGTGATCCTCCCGCTTCAGCCTCCCAAAGTTCTGGGGTTACAGGTGTGAGCTACCACACCTAGTCCTCACTCTGTTTCTTGAGAATATGTATTATTTACCCACTGGACGAATGACAGGGCCATGTATTTTCTCTTTCACCTGATCTCCTCCAAGCACCCAGCATATAAGGGATGCTCTGTTCACAGTAAGAGTCTTCCTGGGCACTGTACCTAGAAAGGTTCTGAAATATTAACAGATAATCCCTGGGGTCCCCTCTTCCCTGGCATGATAACTAAGCCAGTTCCAGGTCTTCAGAAACTTGTCATAGGACAACCAGGTGTTACCAGAATCCATGCATATTGTCCCAAACACCTTCCTTATTTCTGTAGTCAATTTTGTGCCTCCCTCTCTCTAACCAACAGATAAAAGGCACCCACTCCTGCTGCTAAGGCAATAAAGCTAGGGCATTCAGCAGGGAACTCAGGTTGGTCAGCAGAAAAAGAATCTCTCAGCTGTGAGAGAGGAAAGGGAGCAATGCATTTCTAAGGGCGAGTTTTCATAAAACAACAAAGCAGATGTCAGTTGCGGCTGGTCATATTGAAGGCATGTGAAGAGATCGGGCTGCGGAGGAGAAGATCCCTGATGCTGTTAACAATGCAAGGATATCTTAAGGTGAGAAGCCAGAGTTTTTGACAACTTATATGTGACAAGGAGTATGCCTGTGCATGCTCCATTTTTAATAGACCTCCACCTCTTGCCCTGAAATGCGTTTATTTTATTCTACTTACTTTAATTTTAGCAATGATGTAAAACTGTATTGCTGGGCTGCTGTCACTGTCTCTGACAGATCACCCTACCACCTGAAAGGGTAAATATGGGTTTTTTTTCCATAATTTTTGTACAGTAACAACATGAGGAACATTTTAGCTCATAAATTATTTACTAAACCTCACAGGCATAATAGGCCGTGTGCATATTCATCAGGCTATCATCCATTATTCATAAGAAGTTCACTTCAACTGTTAGAAGAAAATGAGGTTGTTGATTGAAATGCTGAAGAAATGTGGGCTTTTGTACTCCCCCCCTTCCCGCTCTCATCTGAGCAAGTCTGGAAGTTTCCATCAAAAAATGATATTACAGGAAAAAAATGTTATTCCTGACAAGTGAATATGTAGATAGAGGGAAAGCAAGCATGAAGTAGGAAATAAATGGGCAGAATCAACCACTATTCATTTAATTCAAATAATGTCCCCTGACCCCAGCTTCCACAGAGTCTGTGCCCAAGGGGACCCCTTTCTTGCAATAAAAGATCGGCTTCTGCAAATCTGGTAGAGTTATTGCATATATATATATATATATATATATATATATATATATATATATATATATATTTTTTTTTTTTTTTTTTTTTTTTTTTTTTTGAGACAGAGTTTCGCTCTTGTCATCCAGGCTGGAGTGCAGTGGCGCAACCTCAGGTCACTGCAACCTCCACCTCCCAGGTTTAAGTGATTCTCCTGCCTCAGCCTCCGGCACAGCTGGAATTATAGGCATCAGGCATCTGCCAACACGCCCGGTTAATTTTTGTATTTTTAGTTGAGATGGGGTTTCGCCATGTTGGCCAGGCTGGTCTCAAATTGCTGACCTCAGGTGATCCGCCCACTTTGGCCTCCCCAAGTGCTGGGATTATAGGCGTGAGCCACCGTACCCAGCCAGTTATTGCTTATATTAACTAAGATACAGGTTGCATCCTATGGCTTAAGAAGTATTTATTCTTATCTTCTTATTTGACCCTCACACCAAGTCTGTGAGGAATAATTTTCCTTTTTCTTTCTTTCTTTTTTTTTTTTTGACAGGGTCTTCTTACTCTGTCACCCAGGCTGGAATGCAGTGGCACAATCATGGCTCACTGCATCCTCTGCCTCCCAAGTTCAAGCGTTCCCCCTGCCTCAGCCTCCTGAGTAGCTGGAACTTCAGGCACACACCACCACACCTGGTTAATTTTAATTTTTTTGTAGAGACAGGGTCTCCCTAAGTTGCCCAGGCTGGTCTCAAACTCCTGGGCTCAAGCTATCCACCTGCCTTGGCCTCCCAAAGTGTTGGGATTCCACTGCGCCTGTGGAATAATTTTGAAGATGAGAAAACAGCCTCAGAAAACTGAGAAAGATGAGCAAACTGAAACTCACAAGTTAAGTGACTTGTCCAATGCCGATAAGCTTATGAGAAACAGAACTAGGACTGGAACCTAAACTTCCTTCCACATCCCATGTTTTGTTTATTTATTTTCGTAGAGACAGAGTCTTGCTATATTGTCTGGTCACAATGTAGGCTTGTCTCAAACTCCTGGCCTCAAGCAATCCTCCCTGCCTCAGCCTCCCAAAGTGTTGGGATTACAGGTGTGAGTCACCATGCCTGGTCCACATCCCGTATTCTTTTTTTTTTTTTTTTTTTGAGACAGAGTTTTGCTCGTCACCCAGGCTGGAATGCAATGGTACAATCTCGGCTCACTGCAACTTCCACCTCCTGGGCTCAAGTGATTCTCCTGCTTCAGCCTCTTGAGTAGCTGGGATTCTCCTGCCTCAGCCTCCCAAGTAGCTGGGATTACAGGCATGAGCCACCACACTTGGCTAATTTTGTATTTTTAGTAGAGACGGGATTTCACCATGTTGCCAAGGCTGGTCTCGAACTCCTGACCTCAGGTGGATGATCTGCCCACCTCAGCCTCCCAAAGTGCTAGAATTACAGGCGTGAGCCACCGTACCCAGCCCACATCCTGTATTCTTAATATTCTGTCTTACTAAGTCCTCTGGATGGTAAAACCCACCATTCCCAAGATAACAGGTATTTCATTGTGTTCTCTATGAACCACTGATTTATTTTCCTTTTTTAATATCTTTATTATTTCTGTGGAATACAAAAGCAATATACGCTTGAAAGCACTAAACAATACAAAGTTCCGTAGAATAGAGAATAACAAACGTCCCAGCTATCGACAGGCAGCATATGGACTGCCGTGACTGCCAATGTCTACAGCCACCTCCATTTCCATAGGAAAAAGTGGGAGATGTGATCAGGTCAGACCCACAGATACAGGTTGAGATCTCGGCATGGTCACTTACTGGTATATAATGTTGGGCAAATTAGCCTCTTTAAGCCATCATTTCCTTATTTGTAAAATGGGGCTAATGCCTACTCTTGAGATTTTTGTGTTAAGTGAGATAATGTATATAAAATCCAGGTGTCAGCATTTTCCTCCATTTTAAGGGTTACTTTTCTTGAGTATATTTGAAGAAGTGGGATGGGAGGCAAGGTTTGTCTCATGCCTTTCCCTCAAGTCTTCTGCTTGACACTGACTTCCATTCTGCCTTGGGCCACTCACTTGCCTGCAGGTCACAGCCTAGAACTCCTGGTGTGGTTCCTCTACATGAAAGGCCCCTAGATTCACAGTGGGACACAGGTGTGAATTCTTTGCATCATGACTGCACAAGGTTGTTCTTTACTAAAGTGTTGGGGGGACAACTAAAGGGAATTACAATAGTGGAAAGTATTAAAACTTTGTGGGTTTTTGTTTTTGTTTTTTGAGACAGTCTCACTCTGTCGCCCAGGCTGGAGTGCAGTGGTGCAATCTCGGCTCACTGCAACCTCCAACTCCCAGGTTCAAGCAGTTCTCGTGCCTCAGGCTCCCGAGTAGCTGGGATTACAGGCTTGCGCCACCACACCCGGCTAATTTTTCTGTTTTTAGTAGAGACGGGGTTTCGCCGTGTTTTGTTTTGAGACAGGGTCTTGCTCTGTCACCTGGGCTGGAGTGCAGTGGCATGACTGCGGCTCACTGCAGCCTTGACCTCTTAGGCTCAAGCGACCCTCTTGCCTCAGCCTCTCAAGTAGCTGGGACCACAGGTGCCCACCACCATGCCCAGCTAAACTTTGGTTTTAACTTTCCCTATAATCTAAGTGAAAAGCCGCCAAGAAGTTTAACCTTTATTACGGAGTGTCAGGTCTACCCTGGCTCCCTGTCCTCAGGTCTGCTTCCCTCGCTAGGAACATCTTCAACCCTCCATTCCTTCCTGGGAAGCCCCAGGCCCTGCCTCTCTCTGGTCCCTCAGCTGTCCCCAGAAACACATTTCCCCAAATCTGACCCATTCAGTCCATATTCAGTCTAGATTCTGGATTTAAGGCTAGAGGGGTGAGAGTGAGTCAGTGACTGTGTATGTGTGTATGTGCGTGGGGCCCGGTGCAACAGGGAGAAGGTGGCACAGCAGCCTTGTGTGAATGAGCTTTGGCATATAGTCCCTCCAAGTAGGACTGTCTCGGGGAGGCTGGTATTCCCTCCAGTCTGAGTAAGACACAGATGAAGCTCTGCTCTTCTGAGTACCCTGGATAACCTTTGGTCTCGAACTACTGGCCTTAAGCAATCCTCCTGCCCCGGCCTCCTAAAATGTTGACATTACAGAGCCACTGTGCTTGGCCTTTTTTTTTTTTTACTTTTTTTAATTTTTAATTTTTTTAGAGTCAGGGTCTCACTTGTCACCCAGGCTGGAGTGCAGTCATGCGATTATAGCTCACTGCAGCCTTGCACTCCTGAGTTCATGCAATCCTTACCTCAGCCACCCTAGTAGCTGGGACTACAGGCCTGTGCCACCATGCTTGGCTAACTGTTTTACATTTATTATGCAGAGCAGTGTTAGTGACTCTCCTACAAGGCTTGCCAGGAATAAGAAATGAGGGTACTTTTTTTTTTTTTTTTTTGAGATGTATTCTCACTCTGTTGCACAGTCTGGAGTGCACTGGCATGGCATGATCTCTGCTCACTGCAACCTCCGCCTCCCAGGTTCAAGTGATTCTCATGCCTCAGCCTCCCAAATAGCTGGGATTACAGGTGCATGGCACCACACCCGGCTACTTTTTGTATTTTTGGTAGAGGCGGGGTTTCACCATGTTGGCCAGGCTGGTCTCAAACTCCTGACCTCAAGTGATCTGCCCGCCTCAGCCTCCCAAAGTGCTGGGATTACAGGCGTGAGCCACTGTGCCTGGGCCTAAGCCATATATCTTATAATAGCTGTTCCCTTAGTTACACAAAGACTAGATAAAGCTTTGAAAAAGTTGCTTCAAAGAGGCCGGGTACAGTGGCTCACATCTGTAATCCCAGCACTTTGGGAGGCCAAGGTGGGCGGATCACTTGAGGCCAGGAGTTAAAGACCAGTCTGGCCAACATGGTGAACCCCATCTCTGCTAAAAATACAAAAATTAGCCGGGTGTGGTGGGACGCACCTGTAATCCCAGCTACTCGGGAGGCTGAGGCAGGAGAATCGCTTGAACCCAGGAGGTGGAGGTTGCAGTGAGCCAAGATCGCACCACTGCACTCCAGCCTGGGTGACAGAGTGAGACTCCATCTCAAAAAAAAAAAAAAAAAAAAAGTTGCTTCTAAGAGAGATTGGATTCTTTCACAAAGCTCCAACTCCTTTGGGCTAGGAAATAGGTTGTTTTGTTCTTCTGGTTACATAAGTGAAGAGCACAACACATAGTAGGTGTTGAATAAAGGTACATAAACAACTATAGTCAACCTAATTAACCGGGACTAGGATAAGCTTGTCCAACCCTCGGCTTGCAGACCACATGTGGCCCAGGATGGCTTTGAATGCGGCCCAACACAAACTCGTAAACTTAAAACATTATGAGATTTTTTGGTGATTTTTTTGGTTTTGTTTTTAGCTCATCAACTACCATTAGTGTTAGTGTATTTTATGTGTGGCCCAAGACAATTCTTACAGTGTGGCTCAGGGAAGCCAAAAGATTGGACACCCCTGGACTAGGGGGCCCAGCAGGAAGAGTCACTATCATTCTGTGAGTCCTCACATCACAGCTTACCCATCTCCAATGTGGCACTTACCAAGTGCTGCTGTAATTTTCCTTTTAGCATCCATCTTGCCCAAGGCACATTAAGATTCATTAGCTGTCGACTGGGCACAGTGGCTCACACCTGTAATCGCAGCACTTTGGGAGGCTGAGGCAGGCTAATCCCTTAGCCCAGGAGTTTGAGGCCAGCCTAAGCAACACGGCGACACCCCATCTCTACAAAAAATACAAAAATTAGCTGGGCATAGTGGCACGCGCCTGTAATCCCAGCTACTCAGGAGGCTAAGGCAGGAGGATGGCCTGAGCTTCTGAGAGCAAGGCTGCAATGAACCATGATCGTGTCACTGCATTCTAGCCTGGGTGACAGAGTGAGACCCTGTCTCAAAAAAAAAAAATGAAAACAAAAAAATTAAAGCTCGGGCACAGTGGCTCACACCTGTAATCCCAAAAATGTGGGAGACCAAGGTGGGCTGATCACTTGAGGTCAGGAGTTGAGACCAGCCTGACCAACATGGTGAAACCCTGTCTCTACTAAAATTACAAAAATTAACCAGTGTCGTGGTGGGACCTGTAGTCCCAGCTACTTGGGAGGCTAAGGCAGGAGAATCACTTGAACCTGGGAGGTGGAGGTTGCAGCGGGCAGAGATCATGTCACTGCACTCCAGCATGGGTGACAAAGCAAGACTCCCTCTCAAAAAACAAACAAAAAAATTCATTAGCCATCATGCTTGGGTTTTCCTCATCCCAACATTATTATTTTAAAAAAACAGCCTTATTGAGGTATTGTTAGTTGACATAAATTGCTCATGTTTAAAATATACACCCGGCCGGCCGGGCGCAGTGGCTCACGCCAGTAATCCCAGCACTCTGGGAGACTGAGGTGGGCAGATCACGAGATCAGGAGATCGAGACCATCCTGGCTAACACCGTGAAACCCCGTCTCTAATAAAAAATACAAAAAATTAGCCGGGCGTGGTGGCGGGCGCCTGTAGTTCCAGCTACTCGGGAGGCGGAGGCGGGAGAATGGCACGAACCCAGGAGGTGGAGGTTGCAGTAAGCTGAGATCGCACCACTGCACTCTAGCCTGGGCGACAGAGCGAGACTCCATCTCAAATAAATAAATGAACAAAATAAAATAAAATATACACCCAGCTGGGCGCGGTGGCTCACATCTGTAATCCCAGCACTTTGGGAGGCTGAGGCAGGCAGATCACCTGAGGTCAGGAGTTCCAGAGCAGCCTGGTCAACATGGTGAAGCCCCACCTCTACTAAAAATACAAAAATTAGCCAGGCATGGTGTCGGGCACCTGTAATCCCAGCTACTCAGGAGGCTGAGGCAGGCAGAAGAATCGCTTGAATCCGGGAGGTGGAGGTTGCATTGAGCCGAGATTGCGCCACTGTACTCCAGCCTGGGCAACAAAGCGAGACTCTATCTCAAAAAAAAAAAAAAAGGCACACCCATGAAACCATCACCACAATCAAGGCAATGAGTATATATTCATCAGTCCCAGAACTTTCCTACATTCCATTTACAACCTCCTTCCTTCCCCTTCTGCTTCCCTTCACAGCAACCATTGATCTGCTTTTTATCACTATAGTTTGTATTCCTAGAATTGTATATAAATGGAATCCAACGGGCACAGTGACACATGCCTGTAGTTCCAGCTACTTGAGAGGCTGAGGTGGGAGGATTCCTTCAGCCCAGTTCAAGGCTGCAATGAACTATGACCACGCCTATGCACTCCAGCCTGGGCAATATAACAAGACCCTATATCTAAAAAAAAAAAAAAAATTCTATAGTATGTATTCTTATTTTAAAAATCTGCTTCCTTTACTGAGCATAGATTATCCATGTTGTTTTGTGGATCCATACTTTATTCCTTTCTACTGTATGGCATTAAATTTGTTTATCCATTTACCTGTTGGTAGACACTTTCATTGCTTCTGATTTTTGGATATGACAAATAAAGCTGTTATAAATATCCATGTATAAGTCCTTGTGTACCCATGTGTTTTCTTTTCTCTTGGGTAAATACCTAGGAGTGGAATGGCTAGATCATGTGGTGTATGGATGTTTAACTTCTAAAGACCCTGCCAAACTGTTTTCCAAAGTGGTTGCACCATTTTGTTCTTTCTTATTATGACCAGCAGTTTGCCCTGACAGAGGTTGCACCATTTAAGATTTTAACCAGAGTGTGTGAGAATTCCACTTCCTCCACATCCTCTCCAACACTTGATGTGGTCAGTCTTCTTTTACTTATTTTTATTTTTTAAAATTTAAACAGAGATGGGGTCTCACCATGTTGCCCAGGCTAGTCTTGAACTCCTGAGCTCAAGTGATCCTCCCAAAGTGCTGGGATTACAGGTGTGAGCCACTGCACCCTGTCCAGTCTTAATATTAGCCATTGTAATAGGGAAGCCAACATTGTTTTAATTTTTTGACTAGGTAAGCATTCACATGGTTCAATGTTTTTGTTTGTTTGTTTTGGAGCATCATCCAGGCTGTAGTGCAGTGGCTTGATCTCGGCTCATTGCAACCTCCATCTTCCAGATTCAAGCGATTCTTCTGCCTCAGGCTCCCAAGTAGCTGGGATTACAGGCGTGTGCCACCACACCTGGCTAATTTTTGTATTTTTAGTAGAGACGAGGTTTCGCCATTTTGGCTAGGCTGGTCTCGAACTCCTGACCTCAGGTGATCTGCCTGCCTTGGCCTCCCAAAGTGCTGGGATTACAGGCGTGAGCCACTGCGCCCAGCCTCATTTTTTTTTTTTTTGAGACAGGATCTTGCTATGTCATTCAGGCGGGAGCCCAGTGGTGCCATTATCTTCACTGCAGCCTCGAACTCTTGGACTCAAGTGATCCTCCCACCTCAGCCTTCCAAGTAGTTGGGACTATAGGTATGTGCCACCACACCAGGCTAATTGATTTACTTTTGTGTGTGTGGAGATGGGGTGTCATTATGTTGCCCAGGCTGGTCTCGAACTCCTGGCCTCAAGTGATCCTCCTGCCTTGGCCTCTCAAAGTGCTCGGATTATAGGTTCAAATATTTTTAAACGTCTAAAAAGTATATAGTAAAAAGTCACTTCCACCTTTGTCTCACATCCTCCACTCCCTCTCCCCCTTATGTAACCACTTTTATAGGTATTTTGTGTATCCTTCCAGAATTTCTTTACTCAAATTCTGATGAATATTCTTGGTTTCCCTGCTCTTTGACATAAAAAGTATCATATTGGCCAGGTGCGGTGGCTCACGCCTGTAATCCCAGCACTTTGGGAGGGCGAGGCGGGTGGATCTCTCGAGGCCAGGAGTTCGAGACCAGCCTGGCCAACATGGCAAAACCCCGCCTGTACTGGAAATACAAAAACTAGCCAGGCATGGTGGTGCACACCTGTAATCCCAGCTACTTGGGAGGCTCAGGCACAAGAATTACTTGAACCTGGGAGGCAGAGGTTGCAGTGAACCGAGATCACGCCACTGCATTCCAGCCTGCGTGACAAGAGTGCAACTCTGTCTCAAAATAAAATAAAAAATAAAATAAATAAAATGTATCACACTAAGTATATGGTTTTGAATCTTTCCCTTTTTTATTTAAAGAACACCTTGGAGTACTTTCTCATTCTCTGTTGCAGCCACATAGTATTTTATTGTATGGATGTATCAAGATTTATTTTTTCTGTTTCCTATTGATAGAAATATGGGTTATTTCTAATCTTTTGCTGTTACAGAAAAGCTGCAATGAATAGCCTTATACATACGTTTCTCGTGAGTGCAAATATATCTGTAGAATCACTCCCATTAGTGGGAATGGTATGTTTGCAAGTTTGATGGATATTGCCAAATTAACCTTATAGGATTTGTACCAATTTTCACCCCCATCACCAACAAATTAGAATGCCTGCTTATCCACAGCCCTGCAAATAATGTTAGCAAATGTTTGGATTTTCGCCAATCTGATAATGATATCGGTGGGGTTTAATCTGCCTTCTGATTACGACCCAGGCTGAACATCATTTCATGTGTTAGGGAGTCATTTGTTTTTCCTTTTCTGTGAACTGTCTGTCTGTAAATGTCATTTGCCATTTTTTTCTAATGGTTGATCATATTCTTACTGATGTCTAAGAGTTCTTTACATGCAGGAAGATTAGCTCTTTGTGATGTAAATTACAAATATATTTTTCCAATTTGTCATTTGACTATATGGAGTTTTGACTTTGTAGAAATTTTGTCCTGACATTAGTCCTGGAACTAGTCCAGTTGTTTCTGCTTCCTGGATATTTCTGGAATCCCCCCATTTCTCTCTACTGTACTGCCTCTTCCCTAGGCCAGTCTGCCATCATCACACCTAAATGACTAAATTTGATTCTAAATGGTATCTCAGACATACGTCCACTCTTGCCCTTTCTTTAACCTATTCTATATTCTTTAGCAACCAGAGGGATTTTTCCTTTTCTTTTCTTTATTTTTTTGAGATAGCCTCTATCACCGAGGCTGGCAGAGTACAGTGGTGTGACCACGACTCACTGCAGCCTCGACCTCCCGGGCTCAAGCAGTCCTCCTATCTCAACCCCTCGAGTAGCTGGGATCACAGGTGCGTGCCTCTATGCCTGGATACTTTTTTAGAAATTTCTTGCCGAGATGGGGTTTCACCACGTTGCACAGGCTGGTCTTGAACTCTTGGGCTCAAAGAATCCTCCTGCCTTGGACTCCCAAATTGTTGGGAATGCAGGCATGAGCCACTGTGCCTGGCCCAGAAGCATTTTTCTAAAAGAAAAACACAAGCCAGGAGCAGTGGATCACGCCTGTAATCCCAAGTTTGGGAGGCCGAGGCAGGAGGATTGCTTGAGGCCAGGAGTTCTAGACTACTCTAGGCAACAAAGTGAGACTCTGTCTCTATAAAAAATTTAAAATTAGCCAGGCATGGTGGCAAGCACCCACTGTCCCAGCTACTCGGGAGGC
This sequence comes from Homo sapiens, assembly GCF_000001405.40. NCBI lineage: Eukaryota > Metazoa > Chordata > Mammalia > Primates > Hominidae > Homo > Homo sapiens. Next base: position 51,235,735 of record NC_000012.12, read on the forward strand.
TGAGGTGAGAGGATGAACTGAGACCAGGAGTTCAACGTTGCCGTGAGCTGTGACTGCACCACTGCACTCCAGCTTGGGTGACAGAGCAAGACCCTGTCCCAATCAATCAATCAATCAAACAAAAACAAGATCATATCACTTTCCTGCTTAACATTCTTCAGTGGCTAACTAGTGCCCTTAACATAGAATCCAGTATCTTCATGTGGGATCTTACATGGGCTCTAAGGCGTCCCTGCAAGGTCTGGCTCACAGTTCTTCAGCGTCAATTTTTTTTTTTTTTTTTTTGAGACAGAATCTTGCTCTGTCACCCAGGCTGGAGTGCAATGGCACGATCGCGGCTCACTGCAACCTCCGCCTCCCAGGTTCATGCAATTCTCCTGCCTCAGCCTCCCAAGTAGCTGGGATTACAGGCACGCACCACCATGCCCAGCTAATTTTTGTGTTTTTAGTAGAGACGAGGTTTCCCCATGTTGGCCAGGCTGGTCTCGAACTCCTGACCTCAAGTCATTTGCCCGCCTTGGCCTCCCAAAGTGCTGGGATTACAGGCATGAGCCACCGCACCCGGATCTTCAGGGTCATCTTTTATCAGTCCCCTTACCAGTATGCTCTGGCTACACTGAACTCTTTCATGCCCTCCCCCTCTATAAGCCTTCTCACCTCTAGGCCTTTGCATAAGCAGTTCCCTCTTCCAGGAACCCTCTTCACTTGCTTAACCTGCTCTCACCCTTCAGATTTCATCTCAGACATCACTTGCATCAGGAAACCTTCCCTGACTACATCAGAATAGAGTAGGTGCCTCACCTATGTGTTCTCCTCACACTCCATGCTGTCTTTATGTCAGCACTAATCATATTATGTGTTCACTTTTCTGTCTCTCCCATTAGGTAGACCATAAATTCCATGAGAGTATGGACTATGCCTGTCTCTTCATTATTATTTCCCTAGTGCCTGTCACAGGGCCTGGCACATAATAGGTGCTCAAAAAATATTTGTTAAATTAATGTAAGAAAGAATGTTTGATAAATGACCAAATAAACATCTTCATCTCATTGGGGAATCTACGAGAATGAAGAAAATGCCAAAGTTTGATCCTGTTCAAGAAAGTAGCTAATTACTACTACTTTTTTTTGTAGAGATGAAGTCTCACTATGCTGCCTAGGCTGGTTCTGAACTCCTGGCTCAAGCGATCCTCCTGCCTAGGCTGCCCAAAGTGTTGGGATTACAGGTGTGAGCTGTTGCACCCAGCCACCATTTACTTCTTAATTCCACCTGCCAGAGAAAGCACTGGCCTGCAACTCTTTCATTTTTGTTAGTAATCTCATTTGGCTCTGCCCTGGTTTTCCCAATGCCCAGGTCCCACTGTGACAAGCAAAATACCCAACAACCTGTAAAGTAGGCCTGACCAATCTGAGGGCAGTTTACATGAGCAGGAGGTAGGCCCAGGAGAGTTCCTGGGTCCTAAGAGTTAACCCTTTAATCATTGGACAATGGAGGTGGCAAGATCGCTTGAGGCTGGAAATTCAAGACCAGCCTGGCCAACACAGGGAGACCCCATCTCTGTATTAAAAAATGAATAGCACGTGCCTGTAATCCCAGCTAGTCGGGAGGCTGAGGCAGGAGAATCGCTTAGAACCCTGGAGGCGGAGGTTGCAGTGAGCTGAGATTGCGCCACTGCACTCCAGCCTGGCGACAGACCAAGCCTCTGTCTCAAAAATAAATAAATAAATAAATAAATAAATAAATAAATAAATAAATAAATAAAAATAAGGCTCGGCGCAGTGGCTTATGCCTGTAATCCCAGAACCTTGGGAGGCCGAGGCAGGTGGATCACCTGAGGTCAGGAGTTCGAGACCAGCCTGGCCAACATGGTGAAACCCCGTCTCTACTAAAAAATACAAAATTTGCCGGTCGTGGTGGCGGGCACCTGTAATCCCAGCTATTCGGGAGGCTGAGGCAGGAGAATTGCTTGAACCCAGGAGGCGGAGGTTGCAGTGAACCGAGATCATGCCACTGCACTCCAGCCTGGGCGACAGAGCAAGACTCCATCTCAAAAAAAAAAAAAAAAAAAAAAAGAAAAGAAAAAATTAAAACTTTTTTTAGAAAGAAAGAAAACCAGCCTGGCCAACATAGTGAAACCCCGTCTCTACTAAAAATACAAAAATTAGCCAGGAATGGTGGCGCACGCCTGTAGGCCCAGCTACTCAGGAAGCTGAGGCAGGAGAATTGCCTGAACCCGGGAGGTGGAGGCTGTGGTGAGATCGCCCCACTGCACTCTAGCCTGGGCAAGCGAGCAAGACTCCGTCTCAAAAAAAAAAGAAAAAGAAAAGAAAACACTTAATCGCTGCCCTAAAGGATGCCATCTTTGCCCTTAAGGATAATTAGGTTAGAAAGAGAAGCCATACATAGAGAAAAATAGAGGTACCATACAGGTCACCTGCAACAGGTGCTAAAAAAAGGAAAGGGCCACAAACACTCCATGGGTAGTGCAGTTATGTCAGTTTCAGTGCCAGGTGTTGCGTACAGCACGGAAAACATAACCCCTTCCTGTACGTGAGAAAGGCAACGACTGTCCTGGGGAAGACAGGGCAGCGAAGATTCCAGTGCAGGTCTCATTCAGGAAAGGATACATGTGAGCTGGAGTGGCAAAATAAATTTTAACAGAGCTGAAGCTTAAGTTGGGCTTGGTGGGGAGGGACGCATGATAAACTAAGGTGTGGGGAGCCGATTTCAGGCAGTGCGACAAATTTGCAGAAATCTAAGCCCCTCGTGGAAGGTTGCCAAGGTGAGGTGACCTTGAGTGAATGCGTGTAGGTGGAAAAAGGTTCCGGGGAATGCTTGCATCGTTCTGCATCCGAGCGTCCAACAGAGAAAAGATCCTGTTTCCAGACAATACCTGCATTTGGTTTTTCTCCAGCTGAGGGACACCGGTAGGGGGGGGGAGGACAGAAACGAGCAGGGGGTGGGGCCAAGGCGAGTGGGCGGGACCGCGCGGACCCTCCCGCGGCCGACTGGAGGCCCGGAGCAGGGGCGGAGTTTCCGGCGGCAGCGCCACTCGGGCGTCGGGTGACGCTAGGCGGACGGACCATCATGTGACACGGAAGTAGCTCCGAACAGGAAGAGGACGAAAAAAATAACCGTCCGCGACGCCGAGACAAACCGGACCCGCAACCACCATGAACAGCAAAGGCAAGGACCGAGGGTGGCAGAGGCCGTCGGGGGGAGTACTGCTGGCCCAGAGCGAGCGGATTCGGAGCCCAGGGTCACCAAACGCCAGGTTTGGGGTGGGCTGCGCCATGCTCCTTGGCCGGCTGCAGTCCAGGGCGCTGCGCCTGACGCCTTCGTCATACCCAAATTACGGCAGCTTGCTGCCTCCAGGCCCTTTCCTCCGTAAACTCTGTGGCGCAGTTTGGAGCTGCGGGCTCGGGTGGTGGGGGGGCTTGACATGATGGGCATCCGCAGGAGCAAATAGAGCGCTAGCGCAGGCATTCGCGTAGGCCAATGGAGAGCCGGCGGAGGCGGGGCGCCGCGCTCCGGAACCCCCAGCGGGGCCGAACTTAACTACTGAATTGCTGGAGTTGGTTCGTGGGCCGGGGCCTGTGAGGTCTCTTTTCCTTCCCTTCGCACCCCCTCGCCCTTCGCTGACGGGATCAGAACTTCTCCCCTTTTCTGTGGTTGTACCAGTGTGTCTGTCGGAACATGATTCCCATAACGCAGGAATAGGTTGAGGGGGTAAAAAAGGAATAGAAAAAAAAAAAAAAAAAAGGCCGAGCGAGGTTGCTCACGCCTGTAATCCCAGCAGTTTGGGAGGTCGAGGCGGGCGGATCACCTGAGGTCAAGAGTTCGAGACCAGCCTGGCCAACGTGGTGAAACCCCGTCTCTATTAAAAAATACAAAAATCAGCTGGGCGTGGTGGCGGGCGCCTGTAATCCCAGCTACTCGGGAGGCTGGGGTAGGAGAATTGCTTGAACCCAGGAGACGGAGGTTGCAGTGAGCCGAGATCGCGCCACTGCACTCCAGCCTGGGCAAAAGAGCGAGACTCCGTCTCAGAACAAACAAAAAACCAAACCTGATCCCCCGCTTTTCCAGTGAGGATATTCCTCCTCACCCCTCAGCCCTGCACCCTTTTCCCAGTCTCACGGTTCACTTCCATCATTCACACCCTTTGTTTGGAAGTCGACCTTGAATAGTAATCTGTAAGGAAAATCAGAACTGCTGTTACCCACGAAGTCTGGGCTGGTTGTAGACAGGCTGTGGAGACTACCTAGAGCAGAGGCACCCTTGATAAGCCAGAACAGCAGCAGGCCAGAACCCCAGACCTGTCCTGCATTCCGGAGGGAACTTGGGCCCAGGTAGACTTAACCCCTTACTTCGGTATGTTAGTAGGAGCAGTGAGCAGTGCCTTTCTTGTCTCGTTAGAATCCAGCACCTTCCATTTTAAGGGTGCAAAGACAATGCATATTTTCTTAGTTCCAGGAATCAGGCCCTCTGGGGCAGACTATTTGCAAATCCCCTTCTGCTTGCTCCCACTAAGTTAGCTACCCGATATGACCTGCCTCATTTTGGTAGCTCTGTGTAGTAGGCAACCTTCATTTTTTTCTTGTCTTTCAGGTCAATATCCAACACAGCCAACCTACCCTGTGCAGCCTCCTGGGAATCCAGTATACCCTCAGACCTTGCATCTTCCTCAGGCTCCACCCTATACCGATGCTCCACCTGCCTACTCAGAGGTGCTTCCAGTTTGCCAGATTTGAACTAGCTGGGAATACTCTTAGGGTGGTCCTTTAGTCCTTAGCTAAATCTGACTTCACATATTTACTCTTCACAAATGCTAACATGAATAATCTAAAACACTATATAATTTGGCAATTTTTGTCGGAGTTGAAAGTGCATTATTTGATGATTTTGTGTTATTTGGCACAGGCTAAGGTGCAGAAGATGAATTTGCGTTCTGTGAGCCCAACATTAGCTATAGCAGAAAGTGATCCAGGAGAATATTGAAGGCCAGTGGAAAGGCAACTTGTATAATCTTACAAAAAGTATAACCTGCATAAGGAGAATTAAGAATTAGCTCATTAAAGAGATCTCAAATAGGAATGTCATAAAGTAACATTTTGCCTTCTCTTCTGCCTCTTCTAGCTCTATCGTCCGAGCTTTGTGCACCCAGGGGCTGCCACAGTCCCCACCATGTCAGCCGCATTTCCTGGAGCCTCTCTGTATCTTCCCATGGCCCAGTCTGTGGCTGTTGGGCCTTTAGGTTCCACAATCCCCATGGCTTATTATCCAGTCGGTCCCATCTATCCACCTGGCTCCACAGTGCTGGTGGAAGGAGGGTATGATGCAGGTGCCAGATTTGGAGCTGGGGCTACTGCTGGCAACATTCCTGTGAGTATGACCTCATCAGAAGAAACTCAGCCCTTGTGTATTTTAACTTTCTGAAATGACTTCATATTCATTCTCTTACCATTTCTGGATGATAGTTGCCAGTGTTGGTACAACTACTGACATCCAATACTCAGGCAGAAAGTGTTTGAGGGGGCAGAACTGTGGCAAGTGAGTAGCATCTCACTGGGGGCTGAGTTAACCAGATTCTTTTGTTTTCATGTCTGTCGAGTCCTGCTTGCTGCTTTTCCAGTTCATTGTGGTACACTGAACTGGTCTAGTAATGCTCCTTATTCATTCCATAAGCATTTACCATTTACTTAATATTTGCCATCAGCATGGTGTTGCACTAGGAACCCTGATAATTAAAAAAGTAGAATGTATAATCCCTAGTAAGTAGCTTTTAGAAAGATATTAACAATTTTAGTTATCATTTTTTCCTACTTAATTCCCCAGTGCGTGGGATTTAGAGCTCAAATGACTGCTCAGTAACTACATGCTAGAGATGAAGTGAATGTGTCATTAGCGAGCCTTCAGTTTTCCAGTAGTTCATTCAAAAACTGTGTAAGGGCGAAGCACGGTGGCTCACCTGAGGTCAGGAGTTTGAGACCAGGCTGGCCAACATGGTGAAACCCCGACTCTACTATAAATACAAAAATTAGCCGGGCATGGTGGCAGGCGTCTGTAATCCCAGCTACTTGGGAGGCTAAGACAGGAGAATCACTTGAACCTGGGAGGTGGAGGTTGCAGTGAGCTGAGATCCCACCACTGCACTCCAGCCTGGGCGACAAGAGCAAGACTCTATCTCAAAAAAATTAAAAAAAAAAAAAATTAAAAATTAAAAACTATGTAGGGACCATGTGGGATTCATACATGGACTGGCACCCTGTCCCTGTTTTGGGAATGTGAGTAGGACAGTGGTTCTCTACCCTCAAAATGACTGTTGGTCTGGTCTGTTCATGTTCAGAAGGTAGCCATAGGCTTCATCTTAGAGCTGGAACCCTTTGAATGAGTGGTAGGCTCCCTTTCCTGTTTGTATCTTTGGGTTCACATAAAGTATAGACCTACTTTAGAACTCAAATTGGTGGCGGAACTAGCTCCTTAAAACGCAGCTGGTTAGCACATTGCCTCATCCTAACAGGCCTCTGCTTCCCCTATGTCCCCTTCGCTTATATTAGCTGCCCTGTGCCCATTCTATCATGTCATTTCCTTTCAGCCTCCACCTCCTGGATGCCCTCCCAATGCTGCTCAGCTTGCAGTCATGCAGGGAGCCAACGTCCTCGTAACTCAGCGGAAGGGGAACTTCTTCATGGGTGGTTCAGATGGTGGCTACACCATCTGGTGAGGAACCAAGGCCACCTCTGTGCCGGGAAAGACATCACATACCTTCAGCACTTCTCACAATGTAACTGCTTTAGTCATATTAACCTGAAGTTGCAGTTTAGACACATGTTGTTGGGGTGTCTTTCTGGTGCCCAAACTTTCAGGCACTTTTCAAATTTAATAAGGAACCATGTAATGGTAGCAGTACCTCCCTAAAGCATTTTGAGGTAGGGGAGGTATCCATTCATAAAATGAATGTGGGTGAAGCCGCCCTAAGGATTTTCCTTTAATTTCTCTGGAGTAATACTGTACCATACTGGTCTTTGCTTTTAGTAATAAAACATCAAATTAGGTTTGGAGGGAACTTTGATCTTCCTAAGAATTAAAGTTGCCAAATTATTCTGATTGGTCTTTAATCTCCTTTAAGTCTTTGATATATATTACTTGTTATAAATGGAACGCATTAGTTGTCTGCCTTTTCCTTTCCATCCCTTGCCCCACCCATCCCATCTCCAACCCTAGTCTTCCATTTCCTCCCGCCAGTCTCCATTGAATCAATGGTGCAGGACAGAAAGCCAGTCAGACTAATTTCCTTCTTTCCTCGCACTTCTCCCCACTCGTCATCTTTTAACTAGTGTTTCACAAGGATCCTCTGAAACCCTCTCTGTGCCCCAAGTACAGATGCCATTACTTCTGCTTTCGTATCTCCTCAGGCAAAAGTGGAGGGTGCCTTATGGGCCCTCCTCATAGGTTGTCTCTGCATACACGAACCTAACCCAAATTTGCTTTGGTGCCAGAAAAACTGAGCTATGTTTGAACAAAGATGTCGTGCAAACTGTACTGTGAACAACAGTTGGTTTAAAATATGAGGGGCAAGGAGGAGGATGCATTTCAAAAGCTTGATTGATGTGTTCAGAGCTAAATTAAGAGGAGTTTTCAGATCAAAAACTGGTTACCATTTTTTGTCAGAGTGTCTGATGCGGCCACTCATTCGGCTCCCCAGAATTCCTAGACTGGGTTAATAGGGTCATATTGTGAATGTCTCACTACAAAATGACTTGAGTCCAGTGAAATCTCATTAGGGTTTAAGAATATTTCAGGGATCCTTAATGTTTTGATTTTTGTTTTCTGAAATTGGATTTTATTTTATTTTATCTTATAATTTCAGTTCATCTAAATTGTGTGTTCTGTACATGTGATGTTTGACTGTACCATTGACTGTTATGGAAGTTCAGCGTTGTATGTCTCTCTCTACACTGTGGTGCACTTAACTTGTGGAATTTTTATACTAAAAATGTAGAATAAAGACTATTTTGAAGATTTGAATAAAGTGATGAAGTTGCATTACACCTCACTGCAAGGATTCTTTACTTAGCTTGTTTTTAGATTTCTTCTATATATATTTTATTTATATCCCATCTAGAATTCAGCTAGGTGCTGCTGCTGCTCTGTTTCCTTTGATGACGCTTTGAAATAAAGGCAGGAGTACAAGCCTAAGACTTGATCATTTCATGAATTCCATTCCAGATGTTCAACTTTTCATCATTTTACTCCAACCTCTTACAAATTTTGGAATTTCGGACCTAAACTTAGAAATGAGGGAACTATTGATTCTCCTAACTTGCTCTAAAGTTTGGCTTGAAGAAAAGGTTCTGGTATAGCAATTTGTATACGTTGAGGATGACCTTTAGTTTCTCCAATGTTCTATGTGGAGAAATACTGAAAACTCATAGAATCTAGGTTGCCAAGATAGATTCCTCAGCTCTTTTATTTATTTTTTGAGACAGGGTCTCCCTCTGTCACCCGGGCTGGAGTGCAGTGGCAGTGTCTGCTCACTGCAACCTCCACCTCCCGGGTTCAAGTGATTCTCCTGTCTCAGCCTCCTGAGTAGCTGGGATTACAGGCACCTGCTACAACACCTGGTTCATTTCTGTACTTTTAGTAGAGACGGCTTCACTGCGTTGGCCACGCTGGTCTCAAACTCCTGACCTCAAGTGATCTGTCTGCCTCAGCCTCCCAAAGTATTGGGATAACAGGCAGTGAGTCACTGCACCCAGCCAGATTCCTCAGCTCTTGATCTTAACTTGGTTGGGTTTGAGCTTGGACAACAGAGGCAATACATTAAGACTTCAAAGGAGATCTAGCTTTAATTCCAAAGTGAACAATATCTGATGAGCTAATAATTTATACCAAAATGTGCCTTTTAAACACAACTTATCTTGAGACTAAAATCCAAGAAGCTTCTTGGCTTGATTCTGAGGATACACTGGGAAAGGTGGTAGGTTGATTTTTTCTGGTTCCTTCTGTATATATGTAGAAGGGATTCTGGGAAATTCTGGCCCTTGCCAGGATGGAGGCTTGAACCAACTCATCTCCCAGGGTACTTTTTTTTTTTTTTTTTTTTTTGAGACGGAGTCTCACTCTGTTGCCCAGGCTGGAGTATAGTGGTGCAATCTCAGCTCACTGCAAGCTCCGCCTCCTGGGTTCAAGCCATTCTCCTGCCTCAGCCTCCCAAGCAGCTGGGACTATGGGCGCCCGCCACCACGCCCAGCTATTTTTTTTATATATTTTTAGTAGAGACGGGGTTTCACCGTGTTAGCCAGGATGGTCTCGATCTCCTAACCTTGTGATCCGCCTGCCTCGGCCTCCCAAAGTGCTGGGATCACAGGCGTGAGCCACCGAACCCGGCCCTCCCAGGGTATGTTTCTAATGATGTTCCCCTGGAACAAGCTTTCCTGCACCATCTTTGTCTCAAATCCCTGAGATAGTTCTGCAAACTTCTAGAACTTTCCTAGGGTTCTTATTGCTTGGAAGAGAACATATGTAAAGGCGTTAAATAGGGAAAAGAAAATGTCAAAAATGTTTAAGCAAAAATAAGTCAAAATGTAGTTACTTCTTGCACATGAGAATCTGATTTCTGTAGCAATGAAAATTTTTAATTTGAATAAAAATCACGTAAGCATGAGGTTGTTGGGGAACACGGAAAGGAAGGGCTCAGATTAGGGGGTGTAGCACATTTATCAGGAGGTAAGATCTCCATAGTCTCCTACCCCTCCTGGCCTGGCCTTTTACTGTGGTATCCAGCCTCTGGGAAGACCTTGTATGGACAGTATCTCCACTGGGGCTATCACTAGGTGACCAGGTAGGGGACAGAGTAGAGCAGCCAATGACCTTAACTCAAAATCTTTTCTCTCCCTTCAACCTGTGAAAAAAGATGACTGGGCACATACTCAGATGTCCCCTGGCATAGCCACATCTTGTTGGCCAGTCACAAACACCAGCTCTAGTAAGAGGGCCTGGTTAAAGATATCATAAACAGCTTTCTCCATGTCCCTGGTCCCTGGAGTCAGTGATGTCGGCATTTGGGACTGCGACCTGGCTGGAGCTTGGATTTGCCCACATCAATCAATGCTTCTCCCTGGCTTCAGAGAAAACTTTCCCATAATAAGCAGTCAACGTGTTAGCGATGGAGCCAGGAATAAGCTCCTTGGGGCCTGGGAGTCATTAGATGAAATATTCCTCTTTCTCGCTGCCCTTGGCCAAGTCACTCTCCATCTGGACGATGGCACTGGGCTCACCTTCTGTAGGTTCATAGGTGACGTAGCTGCCTTTGTTCTTGTACAGGTAAAAGAAGATCAAGATCACGACCGAGAGCAGGGTGAGGAAGACAACGGTGATAACAACTTGGAAAGGAGAGGGAAAATGTAGAGATGTTTCAGGATTGAGGATGTCTCAGTAGTTCCTGGAGTCATCTGATTTAGTCACTGTTTTCGTAAAGATCCTCTTGTTTTCATTAACTAGTGTCCACTTCCATCCAAACCCATGTTCCCCCACCAACCCCAATTTCCATGGCACATAATAGCTGGAGTCTCCTGGTGCTTAAGCTAAGGACACATGCTTTTGATTTCTGACAAAACTGAACTGCCTCCCAAACCAGTTCCTGATTCTTAAAGAAACGGGAAGGAGGGAACAGGAAATGGCTTATCCTAACAGGAAGTGGTTTATCTGATCCTCCCCCTCTTCCTCACCCACTCAACCAACCACATATATCCTCGTCCCTACCCACGTACTCAAGTGTAACGTCCGTATGCATATCTATTTGCGGCCACCTCCCAACCTGTCATTTACTGGTAGTGCCTCTGACAGAAGCCTCCGAGTCTTTTATGGCTGTGTGTGTGTGTGTGTGTGTGTGTGTGTGTGTGTAATATAACTTACAAGCCAGAGTGAGCCCATTAATGGATTTGGTCAGGCTCCCTCTGGAGAGAGATGCCCTTGATCCAGAAGGTCCCTTGGAGTTGGCTCAGAGTCTATTACCTGCAATGAGTGCTGTGCTGGCTCCATCTTCTGGGGACAGGGCCTCAGTGGGCTGTAAAATTGGGGTGGTCATCAGTTCTTCTGGAAAATGTAGAAAAGTGGAAAAGGAAATGGAGTGAATTCTTTTGTTTGAAAGCATATGTTTGGCCTTCAAATTTCACCACCCCACCTTCTTCCCTATTCAAAAGTTTATCATTTAACTCCTAGAGTATATCCAAATAGAAAATCCTAGAGAATAAAGAAGAAAATAAACCACCACCCAAAGACAATATGTTGATGGATTTCTCCCTGCATAATATAGTGATTAAGAGTAGGGGCTATAGAGCCTGACAGACTGGGTTTCAAATATGAACTCTGTCCTTTACTAGCTGTGTGACCTTGGGAAAATTACCTAACCTCTATCTGCAAAATGGAGGTAAGAGTACCTACTTTAAAACGTTGTTGTGACATTTAATAAGTCACTCAGTAGGATAAGCCATTATTAGGAATGCATATTTTTACAATAAGTGAGATCAAATGAGTTGTATGTGTATATATTTACATTATATTATATAGCATGTGCATTTTCTTGCAGCATTCTTACTAATTCTTTGTAAACATTATTTTAACATAATGAAATAGTGCTCCTCTCCTATTAAAAACCCTTTTCTACACTTCCAGGATAGGCCCTGCAATTTGAAAGGTTCTGAAACAGGCCTCTCCTCTACCCTAAAATAGATCCTGCACCCCCTCCTGCTACGGGTTTATTTATCCTTCAGAGCGTGAAAGTCCCACCCTAAAGTCATTACCCAGGGACAGAACATGACAAAATGAGTGGTCTCCAGAAGTCCCTTTTAAGTGTTTACACAGGAAGTCAGGAAGCCCTTCCATTCTTTCCTATTAGCATTTTAATGTAGAGGTTACTGCAGGATAGAGGTCTCCTGGGGAAAACCAGCTGGCTGATCCTGGCAACACCCACAGGAGGCACCCCGACCTGACTGGCATCCCATAAACAGCAACACTCACCCACTGCCTCCTCTTTGCTAGGCCCTGTGCTAGATGAAAGGTCGAGCAAAACAGACACGGCCAGCTTCCCGAGGCTCACCCTCCACTGCACCCCACAGCTTGCACGGTGAGGAGCTGCTGTAAGTGCACTTAGGAAAGTGTGCAGCCGAGGGGCCTGATCTAGTCTTCCAGCCAGAAGCGACCCCCCAAGGGAGGAATATCTGACCTGGGAGCTGAAGCAGGGGTAAGAGTTTACCGGGTAACAGGGATGGGGCACATTCTAGGCAGAGAGAAGAGCCTGGGTCAAAGCTCTGAGACCAGGGGACTCAAAGGCCAGCGTGGCCCGAGCGCGGTGTGAGCATGACTCCCGTCCAGTGCCTGACACGTTCAGGTTTCCATCCACAGCAAGTGAAATGAGGGTATCAGTGGTGGTCTGGTGGGCCTATGCTAAGAGGGGCCAAGAGTGTTGAAGGGTCTTTCCACGCGGGCCCAGGGGAGCCTGATGAACCATCCTCATCTTGCAATACAGAAAGCAGAGGCAGGCTGTCCAGAGCGCTTCCTCTCCCAAGGCCAGGCCAAACCTTTCTCTCTGGTCCCCTCTTTGTCTAGGAATGGTAGTACCCTCAACCACTCTGGCCTTGGGCGAATGGTTACTGTGGTGTTTTACACACACACACACACACACACACACACACACACACTCTCTCTCTCTCTCTCTCTCTCTCTCTCTCTCTCTCTCTCTAGGTTTTCATCCAGTTCCTGGCTCCTAATTCCCACAGCCCGTTAGCCTTGTGTTATGATGTGGGTGTGTCACACCGCAGGAGCGGGCCTCAGGAAACAGCATCTCTCCAGCCTTCTCCTGCCCTTCCCTTCACCTGCCCCAAGGCAGGACTCTAATCTTCCTCTGCCTTTCCCATAGTGGGTCATAAGATCCTCATTCCAGAGGGAGAATTTGGGAAGGGAATGCTGACATCATGAAGCTTCCATTAAAAACCCAAGAGGACTGGCCTCAGAAAGCTTCCGCATAGTTGAACATGGCTGGACATGGTGGCTCATGCCTGTAATCCCAGCCCTTTGGGAGGCCAGGGTGGGTGATTTCCTGAGCCCAGGAATTTGAGACCAGCCTGGGAAACATGGCGAAATCCTGTCTCTACCAAAAATACCACAAAAAAAAAAAAAAAAAAAAAAAAAAAAAAATAGCCAAGTATGGTGGTGTGCACCTGTAATCCCAGCTACTTGGGAGGCTGAGGAATGAGAATCGCTTGAGCCCAGGAGGTGGAGGTCGCAGTGAGCTGAGATCGCGCCACTGAACTCCAACCTGGGGGATAGAATGAGACCCCATCCAAAAACAAAAACAAAAACAAAACCCCAAAAACAACTAGCTGAACATGCAGAAGTTCCCGGAGGGTGACGCACCAGGGAGGGCGTGGAAGCTCCGCCCCCCTCCCCACACCTCACCCTACACATGTCCTCATTTGTATCCTTTGCAATGTCCTTTATAATAAACCAGTAAACACATTGTTTCCCTGAGTTCTGTGAGCTACTCCAGCAAATTAATTGAACTCCAAAGCAGGGGTTGGCAGGGGTGGGAACTCCAACTTGAAGCTGGTTGGTCACAAGTTTTGGAGCCTGGACTTGTGACTAGTGTCTGAAGGGAGCTGCAGCCTTGGGGGCCCAGACCTTGGCCTGTGGTATCTGACACTATCTCTAGGTAGATAGTGTCAGAATTGAATTGGAAGACACCCTCTTGGTGTCTGCTGTGGAACTGCTTGCTTGCTTGCTGGTGCAGAGAAATTCTCAAATATTTTGGGGTCACAGAAGTCTTCTGTGTCAACTGTTGTGAGAGCTGAGGAAAAATGGTTTTAGAGTTTGTCTAGAACAGTTATACATTTTTTTTTTTTAAGATGGAGTCTTGCTCCATTGCCCAGGCTGGAGTGCAGTGGCGCAATCTCGGCTCACTGCAACTTCCACCTCCTGGCTCAAGCGATTCTTCTGCCTCAGCCTCCTGAGTAGCTGGGATTACAGGTGTGTGCCACCATGCCCAGTTAATTTTTGTATTTTCAGTAGAGACAGGGTTTCACCATGTTGGCCAGGCTGGTCTCGAACTCCTGGCCTCGAGTGATCCACCTGCCTCGGCCTCCCAAAGTGCTGGGATTACAGGTGTGAGCCACTGTGCCTCGCCTATACATATGGATTCATTCATCCATTCTCATCTGTTACCCACAGGAACTATATTAACCAACATTGCAGTTCTATTATGAAGATTAAATGAGAGAACATGTAAACATCATATAGTAGCTACTACTTAAATATTATTTAAGGTGACTTTGTTAATATGCTTAGTGATTAAAAGGGCCAGGCATGGTGGCTCATGCCTGTAATCCCAGCACTTTGGGAGACCAAGGTGGGAAGATCGCTTGAGGCCAGGAGTTTGAGACCAGCCTGGGCAACACAGTAAGACTCTGTCTACAAAAAAAAAAAAAAAAAAAATGTAAAAATTAGCCAGGTGTGGTAATATGCGCCTGTAGTCCCAGATACTCATGAGGCTGAAGTGGGAAGATTGCTTGAGCCCAGGGGGTTAAGCCTGCAATGAGCCAGCACTGCATTACTGAATTGTTGGGCAACAGAGTAATGAGACCCTGTCTCAAAAAAATAAATTAATTAAAGGGAGAGTTGCTCTGGGTTTGAATCCTGCCTAAGCATATTACTAGGTGACCTTGAGGAAGTTACTAAACCTCTCTGAACCTGGTTGTTGTTGTTGTTGTGTTTTTTTTTTGTTTTTTTTTTGTTGTTGTTGTTGAGACAAGGATCTCACTATGTTGCTCAGGCTGGAGTGCAATGGTGCAATCTTGGCTCACTGCGGCCTCAACCTCCTGACCTCAAGCAATCTTCCTGCCTTGGCCTCCCAAAATGCTGGGATTATAAGCGTGTGCCACCACACCTGGCAGTACCTCAGTTTCTTGATTTGTGAAATGGGAGTGTGGTGTACAGCTTCTAAGATGGCTCACAATGATTTCTGCCTCCTGGTATTGACATCTTTGAGCATGCCTCTCCTCTGGTATATGGGTTGAACCTGGTGACTTGCTTTTAACAGATGATGGCAAAAATGATGGCATGTAACTTCTGAGATTAGGTTATACAACACTGTGACTCCCATCAAAGGGAAGCCCTGAAGTTTATCTACCTGGTCATGACTTCACACATTTCACCATGCACTTTCCTCCCCAAATCGCCCAGGGCTGCAATCCATCTTCCTACCATGGATCTAGAGTTCTATACAGTTGTTCCTAGTTTTGCTTTCTTTAAACATTTTGAGAATTTAGGATGTACAAAGCATTGAGAAGATTAATGTATATCAGAAGCTTGAAGATGAGTAATTTGTGTTCAATCATCAACAGTAACTTACTTTGTACATTAGGTTTAGTGTGGTAGCTCACGCCTGTAATCCCAACACTTTGGGAGGCGGAGGCAGGAGGATTGCTTGAGGCCAGGAGTTTGAGACTAATCTGGACAATATAGCAAGACACCATCTCTATTTGTTTTTTAAAAATAATATATGGAGGAGGCTGGGTGCAGTGGCTCACGCCTGTAATTCCAGCACCTTGGGAGGCCAAGGCAGGTGGATCGCTTGAGCCCAGGAGTTGGAGACCAGCCTGGGCAACATAGCCAGACTCCCATCTCTACAAAAAAAAAAAAAAAAAAAAAGTTAGCCAGACATGGTGGCACACACCTGTAGTCCCAGCTACTCGGTAAACTTGAGGTGAGAGGATCACTGGAGCCCAGGAGGTCCAGGCTGCAGTGAGCTGTGATTGTGCCACTGTACTCTAGTCTGGGTGACAGAGTGAGACCCTGTTTCAGAAAAAAAAAAAAAAAGAATAAAGGTGGGAGGAAACCAGATGATCACAATTAAATACAGACAGTTGTGCTACAAAGTGCTTCTTTAACATGAACTGGCTCACTGGTGATAGGTAACTTAAGGGAACGATGTCAGTGTAATGCAGAAGTCATGTTGGTTTATATGTGACTTCTTTATTTTTAGTTTATTTTCAGTTATCTATTCTTTAATTTTTTTAAATTGAGCAGCCCCTAGAACCAAAAGAGGTTCAGAGGACTCCCCACCCTCTTTAGCTTTAATGTTTAACATGATCAGAAGCAAGCTTTCTCACAACTAGAGAATATTTTAGCCATACAGGAAGACCTTAAGAAAAAAATTCTACAGAATGCCTTGCTGCGATGCAGCTATTGGTCAGTTTCCACTTATATGAAGCCATCTGGTGAAGCAGAAAGTGCAGATGAAGAAAGGTGCAAAGAAATTTACCTCAATATTTAAACGATGACAAGAAGGCAGACTCTACATCAGATTTTTTTTTTTTTTTCCAGACAGAGTCTCGCTCTGTCACCCAGGCTGGAGTGCAGTGGCGCGATGTTGGCTCACTGCAACCTCTGTCTCCCAGGTTCTAGCGATTCTCCTGCCTCAGCCTCCCGAGTAGCTGGGACTACAGGCGCATGTCACCACGCCCGGCTAATTTTTTGTATTTTTTAGTAGAGACGGGGTTTCACCATATTAGCCAGGATGGTCTTGATCTCCTGACCTCGTGATCTGCCCGCCTCGGCCTCCCAAAGTGCTGGGATTACAGGTATGAGCCACTGTGCCCGGCCTATTATTATTATTTTTGAGGCCAAGTCTCACTGTGTCACCCAGGCTGGAGTGCAGTGGCTTCATCTCGGCTCACTGCAACCTCCGCCCCCTGGGTTCAAGCAATTCTCCTGCCTCAGCCTCCCAAGTAGCTGGAATTACAGGCATGTGCCACCACACCCGGCTAATTTTTGTATTTTTTAGTAGAGACAGTTTTGCCATGTTGGCCAGGCTGGTCTCAGACTCCTGACCTCAGGTGATCCGCCCTCCTCAGCCTCCCAAAGTGTTGGGATTACAGGCGTGAGCCACATCGCCCCCCGAAGGACAATTTAAAAAGCATTATATTTGCAACAAGAACAAAGAAAAAGCTAGGCTTCTTTGGGCCTGAGGGGTCAGGTTGGAGGTAACAGAGAAAGCAGAATTCCCTCAGGCCTTTTCACCTCTGTTTCCTATCAAAGAGAATCATTTTTTTGCACTAAGGAGCAGTGGAGCCTTTGGGGACATGGGGGAAGTGAGCTCAAGAGAAGCAAAGAAACCCAGCAAGCACCAGACTAATCTAAAAGGGACCAGATATGACAGCCAAAGGCACTGCAAGAACTTGTAAATGGGATTTCTGTTGGTGACATAGGAGCTTCTGAGAAAGAGAAAGGGGTCGGGAACCTGAAGGGGCCATGGAAGGAAGGTGGAGTCCATAAAGCAATGGTGAGCTTGATGTGACTCCCCAGCAAAGTTCTAGAACACACTATTACGGCCTGTTTGGGGGGCTTTGAACTCGAAACAGCAAGCATTAGAAGTCAGAATGGGACTACTGAGAGCAAGCTGGGTCAGATAAGCTGCACAGCCTTCTTAGACTGAGATTCCAGGTTCCTAGACAGGGAAATTAAACAGTTAGTTCAACAAGAATTTACTGAGTGTGTACTCTGTGCCAGGCTCTGGGCTTCTATCAGTGAACAACACAGGCAAAAACCCTTACCTTTAAAGTTCCTGCCAGGATTAAACAGAATTACCCAGCAATCTCATTGCTGGGTGGGTATGATCCCGCAATCCCACTTCTAGGTATATACCCAAAAGAAATGAATGGACTTCAACTGATACTTGTATATCATGTTCATAGGAGCATTATGCAATAGCTAAATAAAAGGTGAAATAACCCAAATGTCCAACAGTAGATAAATGGATAAACAAAATGTGGTATATACATACCCTTAAAGAGGAAGGAAATTCTAAAAAAAAACAAAAAACAAAAAAGGAAGGAATTCAGACATATACTACAACATGGATGAACCTTGAGGACATGACACTAAGTGAAATAAGCCAGGCACAAAAGGACAAACATTCCAGCCTGGCCAACGTGGTAAAACCCCGTCTCTACTAAAAATACAAAAATTAGCCGGACGTGGTGGCAGGTGCCTGTAATCCCAGCTACTTGGGAGGCCAAGGCAGGAGAATCACTTGAACCCGGGAGGTAGAGGTTGCAGTGAGCCAAGATCATGCCACTGCACTCCAGCCCAGGCGAAAGAGCGAGACTCTGTCTCAAACAAAAAAAAAGAGGACAAACATTGTATGATTCCACTTATATGATGTGCTTAGAGCAATCAAATTCATAAGACAGAAAGTACTACAGGAGATTGTAAGGGGCTGGAGAAGGGGAAAATGGGGAGTTAATGTTTAATGAGTATAGAGTTTTAGTTTGGGAGGATGAAAAAGTTCTGGAGATGCATAGTGGTGTTGGTGAAGGTATAACAACATGAATGTACTTAATACTGCTGGACTGTACACTTGAAAATGGTTAAAATGGTCAATTTTATGTTATGTATAATTTTACCACAATTAAAAAACCCTCTGTTTATATAATTTACATTTTTAGAGGGGGAAGACAGACAATAAATAAAATAAGGCCGGGCGCGGTGGCTCATGCCTGTAATCCCAGCACTTTGGGAGGCCGAGGCGGGTGGATCATGAGGTCAGGAGTTTGGCACCAGCCTGACCAACATGGCAAAACCCCGTCTCTACTAAAAATACAAAAATTAGCTGGGTGTGGTGGCGTATGCCTGTAGTCCCAGCTACTCAGGAGGCTGAGGCAGGAGAATCACTTGAACCCAGGAGGCGGAGGCTGCAGTGAGCCGAGATTGCACCACTGCACTCCAACCTGGGTGACAGAGAGAGACTCCATCTAAAAAAAAAAGTAAAAATAAATAATTAAATAAGTAAAAGATATGCTATATTAGACGTTAATTAGCGCTATGTAGAAAAATAAGCAGAAAAGAGGATGGAAAGCTGGGATGTGGTTGGAGTTGTGGTTTTAGAGAAGGTTGTCAGGGGAAGCTTTACTGATGAGGTGACTTGAGTGAAGACCTAAAGAAGGTAAGGGAGGCAGTCATGCAAAGAGCTGATTGAGGAACATTCCAGGCAGAGGGGACAGCAAGTTCATGGGAGGGCTGTCCACAGCACTGAAAAACACCCCGGGGCCAGGCATGCTTGGCCTGTTAAATGCACAGTATGGAGGCCCCTGAGTGGGAGTAACGGGGAGAGGAGGAGCAGAGAAAGTCAAGGAGGCCTGTACAACACAGGCCTTGTAGGCCAAGGTAAGGGCTTTTTCAGGGAGTGAGGTGGGAAGCTTTTACAGGTTTTTGGGCAGAGACTGATCAGATTTTTTTTATTATTTATTCACTTACTTATTTTTGAGACAGGGCCTCAGTCTGTCCTCCAGGCTGGAGTGCCATGGTATGATCATGGCTCACTGCAGCCTCCACCTCCCAGGCTCAAGCGATCCTCCTGCCTCAGCCTCTGGAGTAGCTGGGAATACAAGCGTGCACCAACACGCCTGGCTAATTTTGTTATTTTTTGGAGAGACGGGGTCTTGCTATGTTGCCCAGGCTCGTCTCAAAACTCCTGGGCTCAAATGGTTCTCCCTCCTTGGCCTCCCAAAGTGTTGGGATTACAGGCATGTGCCACTGTGCCTGGCCTAGGTTTGTGTTTTAAAGCAATGCTTCTCAAACTTTCTTGTGCATAACAATCTCCTACAGATCTCGTTAAAATGCAGATTCTGATTCAGGAGATCTGAGGTGGGGCCTGATTTCCAAAGACCACACTTGTGAAACCCTGAGACCACCATGTTGAGAGGAACCCCAATCCTGCCTGCTAGAGGATGAGAGGCCATATGGAGGAAAACCAAGCACCCCAGGCTCAGCTGACTGCCAGACATGTGAGGGAGACCATTTTGGCCCTTCTAGTCTAGCAGACCTTCCAGCAGCAATACATGATTGAAACAGGGATTGATTTGAAAGGATCCCTCTGACTACAGTGTGGACAATAGGCTGTGGGAAGGTGGCACACGTGCAGAAGCAGGGTGTACCCTGCACAAGTGCACAGTTGCATCTGCCAAAAGGTGTGCCTTTTTCTTTTTCTTTCTTTTTTTTGAGACAGGGTCTTGCTCTGTTGTCCAGGCTGGAATACAGTGGTGTGATCTCAGCTTATTGCAGCCTCCGCCTCCCGGGTTCACGCAATTTTCCTGCCTCAGACTCCCAAGTAGCTGGGATTACAGGCATGCACCACCATGCCTGGCTAATTTTGTATTTTTAGTAGAGACGGGGTTTCACCATGTTGGCCAGGCTGGTCTTGAACTCCTAACCTCAAGTGATCTGCCCACCTTGGCCTCCCAAAGTGCTGGCATTACAGGTGTGAGCTACCGTGCCCAACCCCTTTTTCTAATTTCCACGACAGCATTGATTGCTTTTGCAGCAGCTCAGTGAGAAAGTGGTGAGATTCTGAATATAATCTGAAGCAAAGACGGACAGGATTGGATGTGGGGTGGAGTCAAGGGTGAAGGCATGGAGTTATGTGAGAGGGGTAAGCCTGCAGGGGGAACAAATTTGGAAGAAACATGATTGCTTACTAGATATCAAAGTTCAGATATGAAGATTAGAATTTGGAGGCCAGGTGCGGTGGCTCACGCCTGTAATCTTAGCACTTTGGGAGGCTGAGGCCAGAGGATCACTTGACCTCAGGAGTTCAAGAGCAGCCTGGGCAACATAGTGGGACCTCAGCTCTATTTAAAAAAACACAAACAAGCCGGGCGCGGTGGCTCACGCCAGTAATCCCAGCAATTTGGGAGGCAGAGGCAGGCGGATCACCTGAGGTCAGCAGTTCAAGACCAGCCTGACCAACATGGAGAAACCCCATCTCTACTAAAAATACAAAATTAGCCGGGGTGGTGGCGCATGCCTGTAATCCCAGCTACTCGGGAGGCTGAGGCAGGAGAATCGCTTGAACCCAGGAGGCGGAGGTTGCGGCGAGCTGAGATCGTGCCATTGCACTCCAGCCTGGGCAATGAGAGCGAAACTCCGTCTCAAAACAAACAAACAAACAAACAAAAAAAACACAAACAAACAAAACCTCCCCCCCACCCAAAAAAAGATATATATATATATTCTTATATATGGTACTAGAGGTTGAAAAGTCATTAGATATTTAAGACCATAGACTGGGTGAGATCACCCAGGAGTAAGTGCAGATAAAGAGAACCCAAGACTGAGCCCAAGGAGACTGGGGAGTAGCAGCCAAACAGCTTTTGCCATGCAGAGATCATAAACGACCTTTACAAGAGAAGTTTTGGTGAAGTGCTGGATACAAACCCGTAATTTAGGGTGGGTTCAAGGAAGAAATGGAAGGAGAGGAACTGAAGGCAGAATATAAATAAATGCTTACACAAAATTTCTCTGTAAAGGTGAGTAGAGAAAGGCTGTGACTGGAGGGGAAAGGGAGTTCAAATTTGTTTGTTTTTCTGATGGGAGAAATGCCAGCATGTTTGCATACAGATGAGAATGACCCAGATGAGAGGCACAATTGATGATGCACAAGAGTCCTTGAAGGGATGAGATCTAGAGCACAGAGGGGCTGGGGGGCTGGCTGCAGACAGCAGCAGAGACAGTGCCATTGGAATAGGAGGAAAAGCAGAGTATATGGGCACAAATGCAGGTGGCAGGTTGATGGTGAGGGTGCGAGCCTTTGGCAGTTCTCTTCTGATAACTTTAATTTGCTCAAGAAAATAGGATCTTAACTGGGCCCAGTGGCTTGTGCCTATAATCCCAGCACTTTGAGAGGCCGAGTGGGGAGAATTGTTTGGGGCCAGGGCCAGGAGTTCAAGACAAGCCTGGGCAACATAGTGAGACCTTTGTATACATTTTTTTTTTTTGAGACAGTCTTGCTCTGTCACCCAGGCTGGAGTGCAGTGGTGCCACCTTGGGTCACTGTAACCTCCTCCTCCCAGGTTATAATGATTCTCTTGCCTTAGTCTCCCGAGTACCTGGGATTACAGGTACCCACCACTACACTTGGCTAATTTTTGCATTTTTAGTAGAGATGGGGTTTCACCCTGTTGGCCAGGCTGGTCTCGAACTCCTGACCTCAGGTGATCTGCCTGTCTTGGCCTCTCAAAGTGCTGGGATTACAGGTGTGAGCCACTGTGCCCAGCCTACCCATTCTAAAGTAAGATCTTAACTGGGCCCAGTGGTTTGCACCTATAATCCCAGCACTTTGAGAGTCCAATGTGGGAGGATCGCTTGAGGTCAGGAGTTTGAGATCAGGCTGAGAGCAACATAGTGAGACCTCCATCTCTACAAAAAAAATAAAAATAAAAATAAAAGCAATAGCCAGGCATGGTGGCACACACCTGTAAGTCCAGCAATTTGGAAGGCTGAGGTGGGAGGATTCCTTGAGCCCAGGAGTTCAAGGCTGCAGTGAGCTATGATTGTGCCATAGCACTCCAGCCTAGGTAACAGACCCTGTCTCTCAAAAAATAAATTAATTAATAATTACAAAATAGGATGTAAGATAATCAGTTGAGAGTGAGGGTAGGAGGGGCTTAAGGAGAACTGAAGGTGCTGCAAGAGTAAATAGCATCAGAAAACATACAACAACATTATTTACAGGCCGGGCACAGTGGTGCATGCCTGTAATCCCAGCATTTTGGGAGGCTGAGGGCAGGTGGATCACCTAAGGTGATGGAGGTTGGGAGTTCAAGACCAGCCTGGCCAACATGGTGAAACCCCATCTCTACTAAAAATAAAAATTAGCTGGGCATGGTGGTGGGCACCTATAATCCCAGCTACTACTGGGAGGCTGAGGCAGGAGAATCGCTTGAACCTGGGAGGCACAGGTTGCAGTGATCTGAGATCGTGCCATTGCACTCCAGCCTGGGCAACAAGAGTGAGACTCCATCTCAAAAAAAAAAAAGAAAGAAAAGAAAAGATTATTTATAATATCCTTGTGGACAAGGCAGAGAAATACAGCCTGGCTATAAGGCCTAAGTGAGGCAGTAATGGGTTGTTAAGGGATGAAGTGATGCCAGTCTAGACAGAGACTCTTTCACTGTGGTTTAACCTTAGTCCTTTTTGAATTGATAGTTATGTCAAATCATGCAAGGGCCAAAATAAGGCCTTTATGTAATTTGAAATAAAAATATTAAATCATAAAGCAAGTATAAGAAAGTCCAAGGCTGGGTGCAGTGGCTCATGCCTGTAATCCCAACAATTTGGGAGGCTGAGGCAGGAGGACTGCTTGAGCCCAGGAGTTCAAAGCCAGCCTGGGCAACATGGGGAGACCCTGTCTCTACCAAAAAAAAAAAAAAAAAAAAAAAAAAACCTGATAGTTGAACCCTGAGGAGGATTCTAGAGGATCACTTCAGTCTGAGAAGTTGAGGCTGCGGTGAGCCATGTTTGCGCCACTGCATGCCAGCCTGGCTGACAGAGTAAGACCCTGTCTCAAAAAATATATATTGAACTTCAAATTCTTTGCAAGATATATACATACATATTTTTGGTCTTATGCTTTATTGGTGCCTTCTACAAAGGCTGAGCTGAATGCCCTTGGGGTAAATGCAGATCCTGCAGACCCAGGGAAGATTCGACAATTTTAAAATTTTTTGTACAGATGGAGTCTTACTGTGTTGCCTAGGCTAGTTTTGAACTCCTGGGCTCAAGCGATCCTCCTGCCTGAACAACACAAAGTGCTGGGATTACAGGTGTGAGCCACTGCGCCCAGCCCTGACAAATTTGTTAAAGGCTTCAAAGCTAGAGGGGCAACTAGTAAACTGATAAACACAGACACATTTCAAATGACTGAAGAAATGCACCAAACTGAACAAGATGAGAATTTAACACATTCCTTGCTCTTAGGTTCAGGAAGCCAACTACTCACAAAGAATGGGGAAGCTATGGCTTAGCAACATCATATATAAAGTACTTATGGGGGGGTCCCTAAAAAAACCACTGACACTGGAAGGATATACTCCAAAACAGCAGCAGGAGTTACAGATAGGTTGTGGAATTCCCAATGATTTTAATTTTCTTCTTTTTTTCTTAGAGACAGGGTCTTGTTCTGTCACCCAGGCTGGAATGCAGTGATGCAATCATAGATCACTGTAACCTTGAACTCCTGGGCTCAGGCAATCCTCCCACCTCAGCCTCCTGAGTAGCTGGGATTACAGGTGTGTGCCACCATGCCTGGCTAATTTTTAAAGTTTTTTGTAGAGAGGGAGTCTTGCTATGTTGCCCACGCTGGTCTTGAACTCCTGGCCTTAAGGTATCCTGCCACCTTGGCCTCCCAAAGTGCTTGGATTACAGGTGTGTGCCTGAATTTTATGTTGTTTTATATGCTTTCCTTTATATTCCGAATTTCTCACAATGATAAAGAATTACTTTTATAATCATAAAAAATTAAAGATTGCTGTTATTTTAGGCACCAGCAATATAAATATGGTCTAATAATGGAGGCCACAGTACTGCTCTACTTTGTACCACGCCTAGACTGCTGAGTTCATCTGGGTGTCATGGTTTCTTTTTTTTTTTTTTTTTTTTTTTGAGACAGGATCTCTGCTCACGACAGATCTTGGCTCGCTGCAACCTCCGCCTCCCGGGTTCAAGCGATTCTCCTGCCTTAACCTCCCAAGTAGCTGGGAGTTACAGGTGTGCACCAGCACAGCCGGCTGATTGTTTTTTTTGTTGTTGTTGTTGTTGTTGTTTTTTGAGACGGAGTCTCGCTCTGTCACCCAGGCTGGAGTGCAGTGGCAGAATCTCGGCTCACTGCAAGCTCCGCCTCCCAGGTTCACGCCATTCTCCTGCCTCAGCCTCCTGAGTAGTTGGGACTACAGGTGCCCGCCACCACGCCCGGCTAATTTTTTGTATTTTTTTAGTAGAGACAGGGTTTCACCGTGTTAGCCAGGATGGTCTCAATCTCCTGACCTCGTGATCCACCCGTCTTGGCCTCCCAAAATGCTGGGATTACAGGCGTGAGCCACCGCGCCCGGCCAATTTTTTTTTTTTTTTTTTTTTTTTGAGACGGAGTCTCATTCTCTGGCCCAGGCTGGAGTGCAGCGGCGTGATCTCGGCTCACTGCAACCTCTGCCTCCTGGGTTCAAGCGATTCTCCTGCCTCAGCCTCCCGAGTAGCTGGGACTACAGGCGCCCACCACCACGCCCAGCTGATTTTTTTGTATTTTTAGTAGAGACGGGGTTTCACCATGTTAGCCAGGATGGTCTCGATCTCCTGACTTCGTGATCCACCCGCCTCAGCCTCCCAAAGTGCTGGGATTACAGTATTTTTAGTAGAGAGGGGGTTTCACCATGTTGGTCAGGCTGGTCTCGAACTCCTGATCTCGTGATACACCTACCTTGGCCTCCCAAAGTGCTAGAATTACAGGTGTGAGCCACCGTGCCCAGCCTTAATTTTTTTTTTTTTTTTTTTCTGAGACGGAGTCTCACTCTGTCACCTGGGCTGGAGTGCAGTGGCTCAATCTTGGCTCACTGCAACCTCCGCCTCCCAGGTTCAAGCGATTCTCCTGCCTCAGCCTCCCAAGTAGCTGGGATTACAGGCACCCGCCACTATGCCCAGCTAATTTTTTGTATTTTTAGTAAACACAGGGTTTCACCATGTTGGCCAGGCTGGTCTCGAACTCTTGACCTTGTGATTTGCCCACCTCGGCCTCCCAAAGTGCTGGGATTACAGGCATGAGCCACCACACCCGGCCTGGGTGTCACAATTTTGAAGTGAGCAGGCAAACCATGTCAGATAAGGAAAGCTTGCAAGAGAAAGCCCAGAGAAAAAAAAGGGAGCCTAGAGCTTGAATTCTGTCTTCTAATATGCCAAGGCATGACCTGTACAAGAGAACTAACAGCAGAAACTGGGAAAGACAGATGTCTCCCCAACAGAAGGAAGAGCAAAACTGGACAAAAGCTACGTAGCATCTTGGAGAGAGAATTCTAGGACAGAATGGTTAGTTGAACTAGCTGAGCATCAGAACCCCTCTCAGCCTTAATTTTTGAATTTTTATAAATGGAAAGTGTTCTATTAGAATTCTCATTAAAATCAAATTTTAAAATAAAAAATCCAGACATACTTAGAATGTCTATCTGGAGAGGAATGATGAAATAAATTACAGGCCATCCATTGTGGAAACAGTTGCTAAAACGAATATGAGATCTACAATATTACTGGGACAGGATACATGGTTAGATGAAAAAAGCAAACTGCCAGGTGGTATATGTAGTAGGACTGCATCTTTGTTTAAAAAAAAAAAAAAAAGTAAATTGGCAGAGTGCAGTGGCTTACACCCATAATCCCAGCACTTTTGGAGGCTGAGGTGGGAGGATTGCTTGAGGCCAGAAGTTTGAGTCCAGCCTGGGCAACATAGCGAGACCCCTGTCTCTCTGTGTATTTTTTTTTAAGTAACTTTAAAAAACCCTATAAATATGCATATATATGTTTGTACATAGAAAAGGTCTAGAAAGCTGTTCTCTGAGGGGCATGTATTACCTTTCAAATAAAAGAACATGCTTGGCAAGGTGGCTTACACCTATAATCCCAGCAATTTGGGAGGCTGAGGCCAGAGGATCACTTGAGTCCAGGAGTTCAAGACCAACCTGGGCAACATGGCAAAACCCTGTCTCTACAAAAAATACAAAAATTAACTGGGCATGGTGGCACGCACCTGTGATCCCAGCTACTTGGGAGGCTGAGGTGGGAGGATCACCTGAGTCTGGGAAGGTTGAGGCTGCAGTGAGCTGTGATTGAGCCACTGCTCTACAGCCTGGGTGAAACTGAGGCCCTGTCTCAAAAAAAGAAAAAAAGGACAAACAACAACAAAATAAACTAAGTTCAGGAAAGCTGGCATAAAAGGAGGAAATGGCTTATAGCTTTTCCCCCATTCTCTCCCGTTTCTACCCCATTTTTTTGTCCAAACAAAGGAATAATTATTAAATAGCACTACAGTCTTTCCAAACCTTCCCTGCTCAGGTTCATAAGATTGAAGGCCCCACCCAAGTCCTAACCAATAGCAAATGACCTTCAAGATCTATTCTGTTCACTTACTCTTTTTTTTGTTAACCCAGATACTGGCTGGCTTCTTTGTGGTCCTTGTTCCCAGCTTGAGCTAAATCTCTTATCACTGAGGCATCAGATCTTTTGCCACCTAAGTCTGCCAGCCTACTTATTTGCTCTAGACCTGCCCAGCAGAGGGCGGCTCCCCGAGTTCTTTCCATGGGAAGCCACCCTGGGACTCGGCCCCCTTTCTTCTGCCTTCTCTTTCATGTGCACCAGCCAGTTGGGTGGAGTGAGACCTTGGGAGCAGTACACCATGACAGAAAGAACACAGGCTTGCAGTAAATCAGACTTGGCGCAAAATCCTGCCTCTGCCATTACTAGCTGTGTGACCTTGGGAAATTTTTTTAATCTTTGAAAATTTAACGGTGACTCATGCCTGTAATCCCGGCACTTTGGGAGGTCGGGGTGAGTGAATCACTTGAGATCAGAAGTTCGAGACCAGTCTGGCCAACATGGTGAAACCCTGTCTCTACTAAAAATACAAAAATTAGCTGGGCATAGTGGTGGGCGCCTATAGTCCCAGCTACTCGGGAGGCTGAGGCAGGAAAATTGCTTGAACCCGGGAGGCAGAGGTTGCAGTTAGCCGAGATTGCACCACTACACTCCAGCCTGGGTGACAAGTGGGAAATTCCATCTCAAAAAAAAAAAAAGAAAAGAAAATTCCTTAACTCCCCTGAACTTCAGTTTTTCCTTCCGTAAAATGAGACTAAAACTTGTTTCATTGGGTTGTGGTGAGGAATAAGTGCAATGAAAAATGCTGCTTTGGGAGGCTGAGATGGGAGGATCACCTGAGGCCAGGAGTTTGAGACCAGACTGGGCAACACAGTAAGACCTTATTTCTACAAAAAATTATTTTTAAAATAAAATAAAGAAAAATGCTAAGTGTCTAATACAGGGTGAGGACAACCTAGGCGGTAGCTGGTGTGATCATTTGGTGGCAAGAGATGAGCTTTACCTGGCACGGTGGGCAAAGCCCACAAGGCACAGTTCCACTCTGCCCTACTTCGAATAGGGCTGACTTATGCACTAGGCACAACAGGCACAGTGCCCTGGGCCCACAATGCTTCGAAAGGCCCATGAAAATGTTTTAAATAATTTTCATTTCTTTTATAATTAGAAGAAGGAAAAGAAACAAAATTTTAGGTCAAAGAAATATTAAGGTTGTTATGCCATTCAATTACTAATTATAAATATTAATTATATTATATTATATTCTTCCTTACACTGATGCAGTTGTAAAATATGATTTTTAATATTTTTTTAAGTGAAGGAGGAGCCCACAAAGACAGAAGTGCCCAGGGCTCAGGAGTCATAATGTGGCCCTTCCTTTCAAGGTTCCTGGAGGATATCTTCTCTAGGAAGTCTTTATAGACTGTGAGGGAGGAATAGGTGGGAAGGTGGGGGAAGAGAAATGCAAGACAGGGGTAGAAGAGAAGAGCTGGCCTTTAGTGATCCCATCATTTAAAGTATAAGCTTTCTTCCTATCTGTGATTTCTATTCTTTTGTCTATTGCTGTCTCTGAACTTACACTTGCTTGGACCCAGTGGATAGGAGACTGTCCTAAATCACTACTTCACTCATGTCACTCGCTGGATCAAGAATGCAGCCAGGTGAGGTGGCTTGCGCCTATAATCTCAACAACTCAGGGGCAGAGGAAGGAGCATGGCTTCAGGCCGGGAGAGTTGCCTGAGCAACATAGCAAAACCCTATCTCTACAAAAAATTTTAAAATTAGCTGGGCGTGATGGTGCACGCCTGCAGTCCCAGCTGCTCAGGAGTCTGAGGTGGGAGGATCCCTCAAGCCCAGATGTTTGGGTCTGTAGTGAGCCAGGATTGTGCCACTGCACTCCAGCCTGGGCAACAGAGTAAGATCCCATCTCTTAAAAAAAAAAAAAAAAAAAAAAGGTCAGGCACAGTGGCTCATGCCTGTAATCCTAGTACTTTGGGAGGCCAAGGCAGGCGGATTGCCTGAGCTCAGGAGTTTGAGACCAGCCTGGGCAACATGGTGAAACCCCGTCTCTACTAAAATACAAAAAATTAGCCGGGTGTGGCAGCGTGTGCCTGTAATCCCAGCTACTCAGGAGGTTGAGGCAGGAGAATTGCTTGAACCCGGGAGGTGGAGGTTGCAGTGAGCCGAGATGGTGCCACTGCAATCCAGCCTGGGTGACAGAGCAAGACTCCATCGCCAGAAAAAAAAAAAAAAAAAGAGAAAGAGAGAGAGGACTGATTCAACGATCAATTTTTTAAAAAAAATTTTTAAAGGATATAAATATACAACTGAACAAGAACAAAACAAATCAACTAAAAAATGGGACAAGACTTGAATAGACATTTCTCCAAAGATATACAAATGGTCAATAAGTACATGAAAAGATGCTCCACATCACTATCACTAGGGAAATGCAAATCAAAACCACAATGAGATACCACTTCACACACAATATGATGACTACCATTAAACAGAAAGTAACAAGTGTTGGCAAGGTTGTAGAGAAACTGAAACCTTTATGCATTGCTGGTAGGAATATAAAATGGTGCAGCTGCTGTGCAAACCTATATGGTGGATCCTCAAAAAAATCAAACACAGAATTACCACATGATATAGCAATTCCACTTCTGAGCATACATCCCAAACAACTGAAAGCAGGGTCTCAAGAAGATATTTGTACACCCATGTTTATGGCAGCATCAGTCACAATAGCCAAAAGGTGGAAGCAACTCAACTGTCCATCATAGATGAATGGATAAACAAAATGTAATATACACATACAACAATATTATTCAGCCTTGAAAAAGTAGGAAATTGTGACATGCTACAATATGGATGAACTTTGAGAATATTATGCTAAGTGAAGTTAGCCAGACACAAAAGGTCTATTGTATGATTCTACTTACATGAAGTACCTAGAGCAGTCAAATTTACATAGACAGAAAATAGAACGGTGTTTGCAGGGAAATGGGGAATCAGTGTTTAATGGGTGTCAAGTTTCGGTTTGGGAAGGTAAAGTTCTGGAGATGGATGGTGGTGAGGAACATGAATTACTTAATACAGTAGTCCCCCCAGGCCAGGCACTGGCCTGTAATCCCAGCACTTTGGGAGGCCGAGGTGGGCGGATCACGAGGTCAGGAGATCAAGACCATCCTGGCTAACACGGTGAAACCCCGTCTCTACTAAAAATACAAAAAATTAGCCGGGCGTGGTGGTGGGCGCCTGTAGTCCCAGCTACTCGGGAAGCTAAGACAGGAGAATGGCGTGAACCCATGAGGCGGAGCTTGCAGTGAGCTGAGATGGCGCTACTGCACTCCAGCCTGGGTGACAGAGCGAGACTCCGTCTCAAAAAAAAAAAACAACAGTAGTCCCCTCTTATCTGCGGTTTTGCTTTCCTAGGTTTCAG
Organism: Homo sapiens; assembly: GCF_000001405.40. NCBI lineage: Eukaryota > Metazoa > Chordata > Mammalia > Primates > Hominidae > Homo > Homo sapiens. Next base: position 51,266,141 of record NC_000012.12, read on the forward strand.
TTACCCGTGGTCAACTGCAGTCCGAAAACATTAAATAGAAATTTAACAGAAAAAGAAAATTCCAGAAAGGAACAATTCATACATTTTAAATTATGTACCGTTCTGAGTAGCGTGATGAAATCTCACACCCTGCTCCATCCTGCCTGGAAAGTGAATCATCCTTTTGTGTCCATGCTATAAACGCTTAGTAGAGTACCACAGCGCTTGTGTTCAAGTAACCCTTATTTTACATGACAGTGGCCCCAAAGCACAAGAATAGTGATGCAATTTGGACATGCCAACAAGAAGTGCTTCCTTTAAGTGAAAAGGTGAAAGTTCTTGACTTAAGAAAAAAAAAAAAAGAACTGTGTACTGAGGTTTCTAAGATCTATAGTAAATAAGACATTTTAAGTGAGAGAGACCATTTTCACATAACTCTTATTACAGTATATTGTTATAGTTGTTCTATTTTATTATTATTGTTAATCTCTTACTGTGCCTAATTTACAAGTTAAGCTTTATCATAAGTATGTATGTACAGGAAAAAACACAGTATAGATGGGGTTCAGTACTATCTGAGATTTCAGGCATCCACTGGGGTTTTTGGAATGAATCCCCTGTGGATAAGCGGGGACTACTCTACCACTGAATTGTCTGCGAAAAAATGGCTAAAATGGTAATACCTGTACTATGTTTATTTTACCATAAATTTTAAAAAAGAAAAAATGGCATGAGCCTGTAATCCCAGCACTTTGGGAGGCCGAGAAGGGCAGATCACTTGAGGCCAGGAGTTTGAGACCAGCCTGGCCAACATGGCGAAACCCTGTCTCCACTAAAAGTATACAAATTAGCCAGGCGTGGTAGCGCACGCCTGTAATTCCAGCTACTAGGGAGACTAAGGTGGGAGAATTGCTTGAACCCAGGGGGCGGAGGTTGCAGTGAACCGAAATTAAGCCACTGTACTCCAGCCTGGGTGACACAGCAAGACTTGGTCTCAAAAATAATAATAATAAAATTTAAAAAATGTAAACAGCTCCCCCTTGCCAAGGTTCTAATCCCTCAGCTAGCTGCCAAGGTATCACCTTTTTTCCCTTGTGGGCAGGATTATTCTGGAGGTCCTCTGCCCACCCGCTTCCTGAACATCCTCCAGGGTAAATCGTCTCTGTAGCTTCACACATGGTATGAGGTATTCTACCTTTATCTAGAGCAGGTACACACGAAAAAGGTATTCTACGTTTCTCTAAGATACCTGCTGCGCCCCTTTGCCTGTATGAACCTTGTCCGTCTTTCAAGGGCAAGACTCAGATCCCCTTCCTCACCCACCCATGAAGCCTTTGCTGACCTATTCCCCCCCCCCACTCCGTGTCCCCCTAACTCTTTTTTTTTTTTTTTAAGACAGGGTCTTGCTCTGTCACCTAGGCCGGAGTGCAGTGGCATGATCTCGGCTCATTGCAACCTCCATCTCCTGGGCTCAAGGGATCCTCCCACCTAAGCCTTTGGAGTAGCTGGAACCACAGGTGTCTACCACCAAGCCCGGCTAATTTTTAAATTTTTTTGTAGAGATGGGGTTTCGCCATGTTGCCCAGGCTGATCTCGAACTCCTGAGCTCAGTCTGCCTGCCTCAACCTCCCAGAGTGCTGGAATTACAGGCGTGAGCCACCATACCTGGCCATTTCTCTCTTTTATCTCTTCTCACCAGACAACTAAAAGTCTGAATTGTGTGCATTACCAGTCACAGAGGACACTGTCTTAGACTTCCACTGGTGGTGTCACTCACCTGTTTCCACATCAGTAAAAGCAGAGAATGCCTGTCCTAATGACAAATGTGACTGTGTATAGGAAGACAAAGGTGTATAGACCAACCAAGGGTTTGTTCCTCTCTCTCCCTAACTAGCACATGCTGAAAACAGTCAATAAATAACTGATAGTTTGTCCGGCCCAGCCTGATGATGAACTAAAAGGTGGGCATCCATTCTCAGAGTGCTGAGCAGTAGTGCCCGGCCTCCGCACACCTTCAGGGAACAATGGGGTTTTGATGCTGGGTCTGTATCACCAGAGGAGTGGAATGAGAAAGCCAGCAAAATCACTTTCAAGGGAAAGATGGGTTTCTAACAAGTACTCAGTGCTAATAACCAACGTGACTGAGTGCTTACGAGATACTACACACTCTTCTAGGTGTTTTATATGGGTTGTCTCATTTAATCTTCATAAATCATAAGATAGGTACTATTTTCCCTATTTTGTGAATGATGAAACCGGAGCTTAGAGGTTAGCAATACTATCTTTAGCAGGTTTTTAAAAAATGATTTCCCTGTTATCTTTGAAGATTCCTTTTCCACATTTAATTACAAGGGTTTCTGCTACATTCTTTGCCATAGCTATAAATTATTAGACAGATGAATGTAAAGCCCTTCCTTTAGGCTTATACAATAATCTTCCTTCCTTCCTTCCTTCCTTCCTTTCCTTTCCTCCCTCCCTTCCTATTTTTTGAGACCGGTCTCACTTTGTTGCCCAGGCTGGAGTGCAATGGCACGATCTCGGCTCACCTGTGCTTCCCAGGTTCAAGCGATTCCCATGCCTCAGCCTCCTGAGTAGTTGGGATTACAGGCGTGCACCACCACGCCTGGCTAATTTTTTTGTATTTTTAGTAGAGATGGAGTTTCACCATGTTGGCCAGGCTGGTCTCAAACTCCTGACCTCAGATGATCCGCCCACCTCGACCTCCCAAACTGCTGGCATTACAAGCATGAGCCACCACGCCCGGCCTCTTTCTTTCTTTTGAATTAGCAATGGGGTCTCACTATGTTCCCCAGGCAGGTCTCAAACACCTAGCCTCAAGAGATCCTCCTGTCTCAGTCTCCCAAAGTCCTGGGATTACCGACATAAAATTATTTGATAAACCGAGGTTACAAAGATTTGTGAAGTCACCATGTCCATGTGACTTCAGATTAAAACCGTACTAAGGGGCACACTCTAGTTCCTGCTTCCTCCCAGGCCCTTCCTGTGTGAGGCAGGCAGAGAGAGGTGGGAGTCTTCCCACCTGGGCTGAGGCTTCCAGGACTGGTCTGGGGAAGGGGATGTTGAACAATTCTTTCTCACTGGGATTAGGAAAGGCCTTCACCTACCTCTTGGAGAAGGAGTAGTCAGGAGGCTGGTCATTGTCACTAGTGGTTGAGTTTCTTGGAGAAGAGGCAGATCTGTAGGAAGAGGGGCAAAGACAGGAATGTAGCGGGTGGGCCCCTATGGCTTTGAGTCCTGGAAGTCCCAGGAAAGCCTCTGGTGCCAGGTTCTCCCAAGTCCCTTCCCCTTTTTCTCTTGTCCTCTTCTGGTTTCCCTGAATATCTCCTCAGGCTCCAGGTACCAACAGCTCTCCACAGGAGCAGGTCTGAGGCCGCATGCAGTTTGACGGGGTGTTACCTTCATACGCTCTCTCCAGGTCCTTTCAATGGGCCACCAAATTTACTTAGATCTCTCAAGGCCTGAGAAAGTCAGGCAAAGGTTCGCAAATCAGCAGCGAACCCAGTTTCGCCAAAGCGCGGTAACAGGTACCCTAGGGTTCCACAGCTAGGAGTTCTGGTGACGCCATCCACCAGGTGTCAGGAGAGGGCCGGGAAGGTCAGGACCCGCGCCCAGGCTCCAGAGCGGAGTGGGCGCAGCGCAGTAGCCGGGCCGGGACCGGGAGGCGACGGCCGTGGGCCGCCTTCTGGCTCGCCTCGGACGCTGGGACGCCGGACTGGCCGCCCCCTCCGGGCCTGCTTTCGCCGTCCAGGGCGCGGTCCGCGCACAGCCTGCCAAGCCTCACTGGGCCCCAGCCCGCGCCCCGCGCCCCGGAGATCCTCGACGCCCCTGCGAACGCGGGGTGGACGCGACGGGCTGGGTTGGTCCTCGCCCCGCGGCCCCGCCCCCGTCCCCGCCCCCGCCCCGAGCCCCCCGCGTTACCAGCACCCCGCGGAGCGCGCTGCGCTGGGGGCGGCCGGTGCGTCGGGGAGCGGCGTTCCCAGCCGCCGCGACCCTCTGCCCCAGCGGAGCGCTGAGCTTCGGCCGCTCCGGGTTTCGGTTCCTGCCACGGCCGAGGTGGCTGCGGCGAATGTGGGCGACCCGGCTCTCCGGCGCCCCCGCCCTTCCCTCGTGCTCACCTTTCCAGTCGGACGGGCTGCTGGTGAAGGGCCGGCGCCGCTCCGCGCGTCCTTTTGAACTCAACGGGGGCGGGCACCGCGGAGTCGCGGAGGCCAGCAGAGGCCGAACGAGGACCCCGAGCGGAGGAAGCCGCGGGTGGCGCGCGGGGTTGGCGCAGAGGCCGGAGGGGGTGGGGGGCAGGCCGACGGGGTGGGACAGGAAAAGCGGAGAGAAACCGCCCTCTGCAGGTCCCCTTGGCTCCCCCGGGAGGAAAGGCAGCCTGCCCTTCTCCGATTGTCACTTTACTCTCCATCCGGAGCCGCTTCCTTTCTCGCCGCGAGGCTCGGGGTTGGGGGGGGACCAGATTGGAGCCGCGGGCTAACTGGGATCCGTCCCATTTCCCTGGGCTTGACGTTCTCTGAATTTTTAGCTAATGTGGAAAGTTACATTTATTTGCATTTGTTTATCGCTTGCTCACATAGGTCTGTGTCCTGAAGCTTGGCAGATGAGCGAACTTAGCCAGCACACCCCCGGCCGTGAAGCAGGGAGGTGAAGCGGGGAGAGCAACGAGCCCCACCCGGGTCTTGCCAGCTGGACGTTCTTGTGGGGCAGCGTTGAGCAGCGGTTAGGAGTGCCGTGGACTTTGGATTCAAACAGCCCCAGCTCTTCTGCTTGCTAGCTGGGTGACTTTGGGCAAATTAACATCTCGAAAATCTGTTTCCTCATTCCTAAAATGCGGGTCTGAAAGTGATCATGCCTGTAAAGCCATCTCATATCCATGGTTCTAGAAGCATGGTGAGCACCTCAATTTGAATAATCAGTGCCATGCTTTAGCTACCTCTTGACTCACTCGTTTGTGGCAGGAAATGTTCCCAAATTAATCAGAAGAATTCAGTGACTAAGAGGATGTAATAGTATATAGCGCAGGCACTGGAATCAGCTCTGCTGTGTGATCTTGGACAAGCTGCTTCTGTTCCGTTTCTCTTATCTGGGGCAATACCTGTCTGAATAGAGTGACTGTTGGGACGAAATAGGTTAGTAAATATGTACTGTAAGGCATTAGAACCTTGCCTGGCACATAGTAAGTGCTCAATAAACGCTAGGTCTTGTTACCTTGGCTTCCCGTTTAGGATTGGAACCCTTGTGATTATTCTTTCCCTCCCAGTGATAGACTTCTGTGCTTACTTCGCACTCCTAGGCGTTCTGTAGGTTTGTAAACCAGTATTTATACAGAAATACTTTCTGTAGAAAGACAGGCATCATCAGATTGTGCATGTTAATCCGGGAACAGACCGAAAGGGAAGGTCTCAGAGGAGAGAGGCATAAAGGGAGAAAACAAAACAAAGTCACAAGCAAAGCAAGAGTAGTTGCTTTTATTCCTAAAGTGTTCATTATAAAAGAAACCAGAGGGCAGGGCACTGTGGCTCCCAGCACTTTGGGAGGCGGGTGGATCACTTGAGGTCAGTAGTTTGAGACCAGTCTGGCCAACAAGGTGAAACCCTGTCTCTACTAAAAATACAAAATCCGCTGGGCGTGGTGGCACACACCTGTAATCCCTGCTACTCTGGAGGCTGAGGCACGAGAATTGCTTGAACCTGGGAGGCAGAGGTTGCAGTGAGGCGAGATCACACCATTGCACTCCAGCCTGGGCAACAACAGCAAAACTCCGTCTCAAAAGAAAAAAACAAACACAAATACAGGAGGAAAACAAACAATAAAAAAGTGATGAAATTCATTTTATATAAATATATTGTGAGAAATATATGTAAATATGTGCATGGGAAAATGCCAATCCAACCAAGAAAGGCAAAGAAAGTGATATGCCAGCTATGCATATGTAACTTAATAAAAGAAAGGTGAGCCTGGCTTGTCCTTAGATAAGAGAATATCCAAGAGAAAAGGAAATTAAAATCCTAGAGGGCTAAATCCAAAGGAGGACAATTGCTGGCATTGACATACTTCTAGCTGTCCACCTTGATCATGAATTCCAGGAGAAGTTCAGATCGTTCTTGGACCTGGGTCTGTCTCTTTCACATTTTCTATTATGTGTTGAAGATTGTTTAGAACTATAGACTCAGCCAGGCGCGGTGGCTCACACTTGTAATCCCAGCACTTTGGGAGGCCGAGGCGGGTGGATCACAAGGTCAGGAGTTCAAGACCAGCCTGGCCAACACAGTGAAACCCTGTCTCTACTAAAAATATAAAAATTAGCTGGACGTGGTGGCAGGCGCCTGTAATCCGAGCTAATGGGGAGGCTGAGGCAGGAGAATCGCTTGAACCCGGGAGGCGGAGGTTGCAGTGAGCCGAGATTGTGCCACTGCACTCCAGCCTGGGCGACAAAAAAAAAAGAAAAAAAGAACTACAGACTCAGAGGCTATCTGGCTCAACTGACTGACTCTACTGATTTGCTGTCACTTTCACAATTTCGACAGTTGTTAGTAATGTTCTTTCAATAAGCATCTTTTTTTTCTCTTTAAAATGTAACTGGTGGGGCGCAGTGGCTCACGCCTGTAATCTCAGCACTTTGGGAGGCCAAGGCAGGCAGATCACCTGAGGTCAGGAGTTCGAGATCAGCCTGGCCAACATGGCGAAACCACGTCTCTACTAAAAATACAAAAATTAGCTGAGTGTGGTGGCGGGAGCCTGTAATCCCAGCTACTTCGGAGTCTGAGGCAGGAGAACCTTTTTGCACCCTGGAGGTGGAGGTTGCAGTGAGCCGAGATTGCACCAACGCACTCCAGCCTGGGCAACAGAGTGAGACTCTGACTCAAAAAAAAAAAAAAACAAGTAACCTTACACCTATAATCCCAGCACTTTGGGAGGCCACAGTGGGCAGATCACTTAAGCCTAGGAGTTTGAGACCAGCCTGGGCAACATGTTGAAACACTGTCTCTACAAAATACAAAAAAAGTTAGACAGGAGTCGTGGCATGCACCTGTGGTCCCAGCTAGTCAGGAGGCTGAGGTGGGAGGATCACTTGAGCCCTGGGGGTGAAGGCTGCACTCCAGCCTGGGAGATATAGCAAGATCCTTTCCCCTCAACCAAAAAAAAGTAACCTTAGGGAGGGAGGTGGGGATGATTAATGGGTACAAAAAAAAAAAAAAAAAGAATAAGACCTTAAGACCTACTATTTGGTAGCACAACAGGGTGACTATAAATAATAACTTAATTGTACATTTAAAAATAACTAAAATAGTGTAATTGGATTGTTTTTAACACAAAAGATAAATGCTTAAGGGGATGGATACTCCATTCTCCATGATATGATTTTATTATGCATTGCATGCTTATATCAAAACATCTCATGAGGCCGGGCATGGTGGCTCACACCTGTAATCCCAGCACTTTGGCAGGCGGATCACAAAGTCAGGAGATCAAGACCATCCTGGCTAACATGGTGAAACCCCGTCTCTACTAAAAATACAAAAAATTAGGCAGGCGTGGTGGCAGGCACCTGTAGTCCCAGCTACTGGGGAGGCTGAGGCAGGAGAATGGCATGAACCCGGGAGGCAGAGCTTGCAGTGAGCTGAGACTGTGCCACTGCACTCCAGCCTGGGCAACAGAGCAAGACTCTGTCTCAAAAAAAAAAAAACAAAAAAACTCATGTACCCCATAAATATATATACCTCCTATGAACCCACAAAAATTAAACATTAAAAAAATAAAAATAGGCCAGGCACAGTGGCTCACGCCTGTAATCCCAGCACTTTGGGAGGCCGAGGCGGGCAGATCACAAGGTTGAGAGATCGAGACCATCCTGGCCAACATGGTGAAACCCCAACTCTAATAAAAATACAAAAATTAGTCGAGCATGGTGGCGCATGCCTGTTATCCCAGCTGCTCAAGACGCTGAGGCAGGAGAATCGCTTAAACCTGGGAGGCGGAGGTTTCAGTGAGCAGAGATCACACCACTGCACTCCAGTCTGGCAACAGGGTGAGACTCCATCTCAAAAAAAAATAATAATAAAAATGAATAAAATGTAACCTTAGAAGGTTTGCTGATACTTGATTTTTTTTTTTTTTTTTGGAGACAAGAGTCTTGCTCTATCACCCAGGCTGGAGTGCAATGGCGTGATATCGGCTCACTGCAACCTCCGCCTCCCGGGTTCAAGCAATTCTTCTGCCTCAGCCTCCCAAATAGCTGGGATTACAGGCGTCTGCCATCAGGCCCGGATAATTTTTTGTATTTTTAGTAGAGACAGAGTTTCGCCATGTTGGCCAGGCTGGTCTCGAACTCCTGACCTCAGGTGATCCACCCGGCTCAGCCTCCCAAAGCGCTGGGATTACAGGCATGAGCCACCACGCCTGGCCTGATACATTATTTATTAATTTTTTTATGTAGTCACATACCTCATTTTATTTTTTGAGGTGGAGTCTCACTCTGTCGTCCAGGTTGGAGTGCAGTGGCTCCATCTCAGCTCACTGCAACCTCTGCCTCCCAGGTTCAAGTGATTCTCATGCCTTAGCCTCTGGAGTAGCTGGGATTACAGGTCCACACCACCAGGCCTGGCTAACTTTTGTATTTTTAGTAGAGACAGGGTTTCACCATGTTGGCCAGGCTGGTCTCAAACTCCTGACCTTGAGTGATCCACCTGCCTCGGCCTCCCAAAGTGCTGGGATTATAGGCATGAGCCACTGCTCCCAGCCAACATACCTCATTTTAAAAGTGTAGTCATACAGAAAAATAGATCCAATATGCACATGCTCAGCACCCAGTTTGGTGTAAAATAAATACTATTGTAAGCAGTGTGCGTATTGTGTTCTCTGGTGTGTGTGCTGTTTATCTGGATATGTCATGTCTCGAGCTCTCTGCATGTCTTACCTAGTCTGTCAGTATGTCCTTCAAACTGCTGGAGGGCAGGGACTGGAGGATGTTCTTGCAATTAATTCTATGTAGAGAGGCATACAGACAGATGATGAATGAAGGCTTGTGGTGGTAAACTACCAGTGTTCTCCAAGGATTAAATGCTAAACCTCAGAAACTGCAGAGGCTGTCCTTTTGTCAATAGACCTCAAGGGGCCTTAGGGGAGGGGACAAGAGACATTCATCTCCACCCAGTTTTATTGGCCTTCAGCCCCACCTTGTGCTGCTGCCAGGATGGCAGTCTTTCCCCTGGACATTACCATTTTGTCAGTTAGGGTAAACAAGCTGTTCCCCAAATGGCACTATCCACCCTAGGTAAGCATATGGGCACTTTCCCCTGCCTCCTCGGAGCTCTCAGTAGGGTTATACACAAAGTGCCAACCTCACAATTTAGTAAAATTCTCCACTTCAGGTGTGCCTCTATTGCAGCAGTTACTGCTTGTCTGCCCCACCAGACTGTAAGTCCCTAGAAGTCTCTGGCTCACGCCAAAGAGGATCAGTCTCCTGAGGAGAGTAGGGAAAGCCCTGGAGAGAAAAGGGTTGAGGGCCTTGTGCAGCTAGGGTCCTCTGTTCCCAGCATTTTCCCTGTATCACTCCCAGCAGTGATTCTGAATGCCAAGGGAGTGGAACATCTTTTATTTTATCTTATTTATTTATTTTTGAGATGTAGTCTTGCTTGGTCACCAGGCTGGAGTGCAGTGGCGCGATCTCGGCTCACTGCAACCTCCGCCTCCTGGGTTCAAGCGATTCTTCTGCCTCAGTCTCCCGAGTAGCTGAGACTACAGGCATGTGCCACCACACTCAGTTAATTTTTTTTTTTTTTTTGAGATGGAGTCTAGCTCTGTCGCCCAAGCTGGAGTACAGTGGCACGATCTCAGCTCACTGCAAGCTCCGCCTCCCGGGTTCACGCCATTCTCCTGCCTCAGCCTCCCAAGAAGCTGGGACCACAGGCGCCCACCACCACGCCCGGCTAATTTTTTTGTATTTTTAGTAGAGACTGGGTTTCACCATGTTAGCCAGGATGGTCTCGATCTCCTGACCTCGTGATCCGCCCGCCTCAGCCTCCCAAAGTGCTGGGATTACAGGTGTGAGCCACCGCGCCCGGCCCACACTCTGTTAATTTTTGTATTTTTATTAGAGACGGGGTTTCACCATGTTGGCCAGGATGGTCTTGATCTCTTGACCTTGTGATCCATCCGCCTTGGCCTCCCAAAGTGCTGGGATTACAGGAGTGAGCCACTGCGCCTAGCCTGGGAGTGGAACACCTTTTAGGAGAGCTATGAAAAAGGACAGGCAGTAGGGCTTTTATAATTTGAAGAACAACTCTCCTCTCAGGGGGAAATGTAAGCTTCTCCTCTCCATTACTGCTGTATGCAGTAGAGATCCTTTGAAGATGATCCTTTTCTTTTTTCTTTCTTTTTTTTTTTTTGAGACTGGGTCTCGCTGTGTTGCCCAGGCTGGCTGGAGTGCAATGGTGTGATCAAAGATCACTGCAGCTTTGATGTGAGCTCAAGATACCCTCCTGTGTCGGCCTCCAGAGTGGCTGGGGCTACAGGCATGTGCCACCATGCCCAGCTAATTTTTAATTTTTTGTGGAGATGGGGTTTTGCTTTGTCACTCAGGCTGGCCTTGAATTCTTGGGCTGAAGCAATCCTCAAGCCTTGGCCTCCCAAAGCAAAGATGATGTTTTTTTTTTTTGAGACGGAGTCTCGCTCTGTTGCCCAGGCTGGAGTGCAGTGGTGCGATCTCGGCTCACCACAACCTCCACCTCCCAGGCTGAAGCGATTCTCCTGCCTCAGCCTCCTGAGCAGCTGGGACTACAGGCGCATGCCACCATGCCCAGCTAATTTTTTGTATTTTTAGTAGAAGCGGGGTTTCACTATGTTGGTCAGGCTGGTCTTGAACTCCTGACTTTGTGATCTGCCTGCCTCGGCCTCCCAAAGTGCTGGGATTACAGGCGTGAGCCACTGTGCCCGGCCAGATGATGCTTTTTAAAGAGTAACATAAGCCTGGCCATCATGGCGAAATCCCATCTCTACAAAAAATGCAAAAATTAGCCGGGCATGGTAGCACGTACCTGTAGTCCAGCTACTCAGGAGGCTGAGGTGGGAGAATCGCTTGAGCTCAGGAAGCAGAGGTTGCAGTGAGCCTGAGATGGTGCCACTGCACTCCAGCCTGGGCAAGAATGAGCCCTCGTCTCAAAAAAAAAAAAAAAAAAAAAAAAGAAAAGAAAAAGGAGTAACAGGATTAGATTTTGGAAAAAATGACTCCCAAATATAAACATGTATTTCCAGCTCCTTAATGAACATATCTACTGGAACATCCTGCAAGGACTACAAATTCCTTGCACCCAATGCTTGTAGGGGACACCTAGAGTTTGTTTTATAGCTTAATCAAGGTATAATTGATGCACAGTAAATTGCACATAAAATATGCAATTTGATAAGCTTTGACACATGTATATACCCATAAAACTATCACCATAATTAAAATTAAGAACATTTCTGGCCAGGCGCAGTGGCTCATGCTTGTAACCCCAGCACTTTGGGAGGCCGAGGCGGGTGGATCACCTGAGGTCGGGAGTTCGAGACCAGCATGAAGAAACCCCATCTCTACTAAAAATACAAAATCAGTCGGGCATGATGGTGCATGCCTGTAATCCCAGCTACTCGGGAGGCTGAAGCAGGAGAATTGCTTGAACCCAGGAGGTGGAGTTTGCAGTGAGCCGAGATAGTACCATTGCACTCCAGCCTGGGCAACAGAGTGAGACTCTGTCTCAAAAAAAATAAAAATAAATAAAAAATTCACCCTCCTTATCATGATCCCCTCCTATCACTGGTCTTCTTCCCGTCATAGGCACTAACATGTCTGGTAATAGTGTCAGTCACAGTTCGCCATTTCCCTGGCCATAGGATGGACACATCATGCAAATTGGGCCAGTTGAATTTTCTCTAAGGGAATGTGGATCTGGAGAGAACACAGTGGCAGAAGGTGGCAGCTGCTGGAGGGGCTGTGCACACATTCCTGATGCAGACATCCAGGGGCTGGCTCTTGTCCTTCCTGCAGCCTGGTTCTTCTTTTGGCTCTATGAGCTGTCTAATATCAACATATCCTTTTATCTTTTTTTTTTTTTTATTGAGACAGGGTCTCACTCTGTTGCCCAGGCTAGAGTGCAGTGACGCAATCTCAGCTCACTGCAACCTCTGGCTCCTGGATTCAAGCAATTCTCAGTGCCTCAGCCTCCAGATTAGCTGTGATTACAGGTTCACAACACCATGCCCAGCTAATTTTTGTTATTTTTTGGTAGAGACGGGGTTTCATCGTGTTGCCAAGGCTGGTCTCAAACTCCTGGCTTTGCCATGAGATCAGAAGCAATCTGCCCATCTCGGTCTCCCAAAGTGCTGGGATTACAGGCATGAGCCACTGTGCCCGGCCCCAACATATCCTTTTCTTTCAGACAGAGTCTCGCTCTGTTGCCCAGGCTGGAGTGCAGTGGTGCAACCATGGCTCACTGCAACCTCTGCCTTCCAGGCTCAAGCGATCCTCCCATCTCAGCCTCCCAAGTAGCTGGGACCACAGGTACATGCCACCAGGCCTGGCTAATTTTTTGTAGAGATGGGGTCTCACTATGTTACCCAGGCTGGACTTGAACTCCTGAACTCAAGCGATCCTCCAGCCTCTGCTTCCCAAAGTGCTGGGATTACAGGTGAGAGCCACCACGCTCAGCCCCAACATATCGTTTATTGCTTAATTTTGTCAGTTTGTCGCTTGCAACCAGAGAACCCACATAAATATACTTCTTTCTGCAGTCATTGTTAAAAGGAAAGACACCACCAAGTTCTAGTCTCTCAAGCCTAACTTAGAATAATTCCTGGCCAGGCGATGGCTCACACCTGTAATCCTAGCACTTTGGGAGGCCGTGGCAGGTGGATCACCTGAGGTCAGGAGTTCGAGATCAGCCTGGCCAACATGGTGAAACCCCATCTCTACTAAAAATACAGTTAGCAGGGCGTGGTGGTGTGTGCCTGTAATCCCAGCTACTTGGAGGCTTAGGGAATCACTTGAACCAGGGAGGCGGAGGTTGCAGTGAGCCGAGATTGCACCATTGCACTCCAGCCTGGGCAACAGAGCAAGACTCCATCTCAAACAAAACAAAACAAAACAAAAGAAAAACACCTCACTTTTCATCATGTGTGCCCTTCTAGCCCGTCACTAAATCTTGCCCATTCTGCTCCTTGCTCAATATTCTGTCTCGTTAAATATCTTATTTTTAACACCCCTCATCATTGTTTCCCTGGTTCCTAGTACTGGTACTCAGTGCTTGGTAGACGGTTGATGCTCAGTAAATGCTTGCAGAATGACTGAACGAATGGTGATATCATCACCTCTAAAAACAAGAGCAAGGATGGAAAGGTTTTGGCATTTATGTGGCATTTATCAAGTTGGCAGGACTTCAGAGCTATTTTGAAAATGTCACAAATATTTTCATATAAAGTAATGATAGGACTTGAATCCAAGACTTCCTTTTTTAATTTTTTCTTTTTTTTTGAGACAGTGTCTTGCTTTGTCACCCAGGCTGCGCAATCTTGGCTCACTGCAACCTCTGCCTCCCAGGTTCAAGCAATACTCCTGCCTCAGCTTCCTGAGTAGCTGGGACTACAGGTGTGCGCTACCACGCCTGGCTAATTTTTGTATTTTTAGTAGAGACGGGGTTTCACCATGTTGGCCAGGCTGGTCTTGAACTCTTGACCTTGTGATACACCTGCCTCGGCCTCCCAAAGTGCTGGGATTACAGGTGTAAGCCACCGTGCCCGGCCTTTTTTTTTTTTTTTCTTTTTCTTTTTAAGACAGAGTCTCCCTCTGTCACTCAGGTTGGCATGCAGTGGTATGATCGTTGCTCCTTGCAGACTCAACCTCCCAGGCTGGAGTGACCCTCCCTCCTCAGCCTCCTAAGTGGCTGGGAGTATAGGTGCGCTCTACCGTGCCTGGCCTAGTTTTTAAATTTTTTGTAGAGATGGGGGTCTATGTTGCCTAGGCTGGTGTAAAACTCCTGGGCTCAGGTTATCCTCCCGCCTCAGCCTCCCAAAGTGCTGGGATTAAAGGTGTGAGCCACCACATCCAGCCCTTTAAAATTTTTTTTAAAAATAAGAGATAGAGGTCTCATCATCTTGCCCAGGCTAGTCTCCAACTCCTGGGCTCAAGCAGTCTTCCCCTGTTGGCCTCCCAAAAGAATCCAGGACTTCTGACTCCAAATTTCATGCCATTTCTAGGATAGGATTTTTTTTTTTTGAGACAGTTTCACTCTTGTTCCCCAGGCTGGAGTGCAATGGCACAATCTTGGCTCACTGCAACCTCCGCCTCCTGGGTTCAAACGATTCTCCCGCCTCAGCCTCCCGAGTTGCTGCGATTACAGGTATGCACCACCACGCCCGGCTGCTTTTGTATTTTTTTAGTAGAGACAGGGTTTCTCCATGTCGGTCAGGCTGGTCTCGAACTCCCAACCTCAGGCGATCCACCGGCCTCGGCCTCCCAAAGTGCTGGGATTATAGCTGTGAGCCACCGCACCCAGCCGATATGATTGTTATTATTATACTTTGTATCCTTTCAGTTTCATATCTTCCTCTCTTGTGCTCAGACCCTTACTCATACCAAGTACTAAATTGTAAACACCAGATATAGCTCTAAAATGTTATTACCCCTTTCCAAGTGTATCTGTTTATCAACCAAAGTGGGGAGTGGGGAGCACATGCAGGATTAAGGAGAAGAGTCTGTGGCCCTTGGTATCATAAAAGAATTACAGTCAGGAGTTAGGGTGAGCTGGGGGTCAGGGATGTGACTAAACCTTTCTGAACCTGGGGCAGAATCAATAACCATACCTAAGTGGAAAACAGTGTGCTGGGTTGCAACAATGCCCTTTGTCAAATAAACAATCCACAGATAGTCAGAATCAGACTTTATTTAACAATCTGAAAATGTGTTCTTCCGGCTTTAAGTCTTGCAAAATGGGTCGTAAGTCAAAGACAGATTTGTTCACTATCCTCTGAGTGTGTGTGGTTATGTCTCTGTATAGGCAAGTGTCTGTGTCTATAGATACTTTTGCTTTTTATAGTGATTAAAGCTCCACTTTAGTTAATGTATAAAGTCTTATTCTAATAATGCTAAAACCAGAATTAAATATTCCCTGAGTCTAATGTTCTCTTCTCCCCAGCCTGCCTCCCTCCATCCCTCCCGTAAGGCTGCTCCTCCGCCTCCATTAATGCCAGGTCTTTAGACAGCACCAGCATTCCTACTGAGAACCCAGGGATGGATGCTGGCTCTTATATCCCTCTGACCTATACCCTCTGGTTGAAGAGCTTCTCTGGCGAGGTTTGGGGCAGGAGGAGTCTTGGTAGTTTCTCTTCAGAGTTGTGGATTTTCACTTGTGGATACCTGGAAAGTAAACATGATTGTGTTAGGTGTTGACCTGCCTTCCCACCAACCACTTATGGAGGGGTTAAACTCAGTTTGCTTCTACTGAATTATACTTCATGTAATGCCACTGGCCTCTCTTGAGGGAGGCAATGTGAAACTGGTTGTTGGGATTATTGCAAGGACTTGTTGCAGATATTGTTCATTACATCATTCACAATATCTTTATGATGATTCACAGGAGAATTTCTTTTTTTTTCTTTTTGAGACATAGTCTTGCTCTGTCTCCCAGGCTGGAGTGTAGTGGCACAATCATAGCTAACTGTAGCCTTGAACTCCAGGGCTCAAGTATTCTCACCTCAGCCTCTGAGTAGCTAGGACTACAGGCGCACACAACCATGCCTGGCTAATTTATTAAAAAAAAAATTTGTTGCCTAGAATGGTCTTGAACTCCTGGGCTCAAGTGATCCTCCCACCTCAGCCTCCCAAAGTGCTGGGATTACAGGTGTGAGCCCCGGCACCTAGCCTCCTTAAGGAATGAGCATTGTGAATTGGGTTAACTGATCAGGTTTTTCTCTTCTTGGATTTTAGAAAGTCTGGAACCAATTTCATGGTCATCCTTAGTAAGCTTATTTTATAGAATGCATTTTTTATACTTGCCTAATTCATGGCTCCATTTTACATCACTATCCTGTCTCATATAATTCTGAGTTTTTCTGCTGTATGTTGTGTATATGTGTGTATGTTAATATAATAAACATATATATATGCAGTTCACATGCTGCATAATGACATTTTGATCAACAATGGACTCTATATACAAAGGTGGTCCCATAACATTTTAATGGAGCTGAAAAATTTCTATTGCCTAGTGATGTGGCAGCTATTGTTAACATTGTAGCCTTTATAACATCACAGCACAACACATTACTCACATATTTGTGATGATGCTGGTATAAACAAACTTACAGTGCTGCCAGTTGTAAAAAGTATAGCACATGCAATTATGTACAGTACATAACACTTGATAACAATAAACAACTATATTACTTGATGTATTTAATATACTATGCTTTTAAAAATATTTTTCTATATATATTATTTTTGAGACACAGTCTCACTCCATTGCCCAGGTTGGAGTGCAGTGGCACAATCCTGGCTCACTGCAGCTTCTTTGTCCCGGGTTCAAGTGATTCTCATGTTCTCATGCCACAGCCTTCCAAGTAGCTGGGATTACGGGTGCGTGCCACCATGCCCGGCTAATTTTTGTATTTTTAGTAGAGATGGAGTTTCACCATGTTGGTCAGGCTGGTCTTGAACTCCTGGTCTCAAGTGATCTGCCTGCCTCAGCCTCCCAAAGTGCTGGGATTACTGGCATGAACCACCACATCAGCCTACAATACTTTTTATTATTATTTTAGTGTGTTTCCTACTTATTAAAAAAAAAGTTCTGCTAATTGGCCAGGTGCGTTGGCTCACACCTGTAATCCCAGCATCCCAGCACTTTGGGAGGCTGAGGCGGGAGGATCATGAGGTCAGGAGTTCCAGATCAGCCTGACCAACATGGTGAAACCCTGTCTCTACCAAAAATACAAAAATTAGCCAGGCATGGTGGCGCCACCGCCTGTAATCCCAGCTACTCAGGAGGCTGAGGCAGGAGAATCGCTTGAACCCAGGAGGCGGAGGTTGCAGTGAGCCGAGATTGCACCACTGTACACTGTACTCCAGCCTGGGCGACCGAGAGAGACTCCATCTCAAAAAAAAAAAAAAAAAAAAGTTCTGCTTATTTAAAAAAAACATTAACTGTAAAACAGCCTCAAGTAGATCCTTCAGGAAGAGGCGTTGTTATTACCAGAGATGACAGGTCCATTTGTGGTAGTGCCCTGAAGACCTTCTAGTGGGACAAAATGTAAAGGTAGAAGACAGTGATATGGGTGATCCTGACCGTAGGCCAATGTGTATGTTTGCGTGTTTTTATTTACTTGTTTATAGACGGTGTCTAGCTATGTTGCCCAGGTTGTATTTGAACTCGTGGGCTCAAGTGATCCTCCTGCCTCAGCCTCCTGCATCGCTGGAACTACTACAGGCACATGCCACAACACACCCAGCTCTGTGTCTTAGTTTTTAACAAAAAAAGTTTTAAAAAGAAACAGAAAAAATACAGAATAAAGCTTACAGAATAAGGATATAAAGAAAATATTTTTTGGCCGGGTGTGGTGGCTCCCGCCTGTAACCCCAGCACTTTGGGAGGCCAAGGCAGGTGCATCATCTGAGGTCGGGAGTTTGAGACCAGCCTGACCAACATGGAGAAACCCCGTCTCTACTAAAAGTACAAAATTAGCTGGGCGTGGTGGCGCATGCCTGTAATCCCAGCTACTCAGGAGGCTGAGGCAGGAGAATTGCTTGAACCCAGAGGCCAAGGCTGCGGTGAGCCGAGATCATGCCATTGCACTCCAACCTGGGCAACAAGAGTGAAACTCCGTCTCAAAAAAAAAAAAAAGAAAAGAAAAATATTTTTTAATGGTGTAGCCTAAGTGTACAGTGTTTATAGTCTATAGGAGTGTAAGTAATGTCCTAGGCCTTCACATTCACTCACCACTCACTCACTGACTCACCCAGAGAAGCTTCCACTCCTGCAAGCTCCACTCATGATAGTGCCCTATACAAGTGTATCACTTTTTATTTTCTATATGCTATTTTTACTGTACTTTTCTATGTTTAGATACACAAATATTAACCACTGTGTCACAGCTGCCTACAGAATTCAGTAAAGTAACATGCTGTATAGGTTTGCAGCCTAGAAGCAATAGGCTATACCATACAGCCACACATAATGACAAAATCGTCTAATAATGCATTTCTCAGAGCATATCCTTGTTGTTGAGCAACACATTACTGTATAATATGACCTTTTTGCATTTAAAAAAAATATCTTAACCTCTTTAACTCCTTTTTGAAATAATTTGAGATTTAATTAAATAAATACCTAGAAGATAGGGCCAGTTTAAGGTCAAGTATAGGAAAATGGGCACGGAGATACCACGAAGTCCCAGTTCATTCTTGTTTCCTCTGATTCCCACCTGCTTGACTGCCCTAAGGGTATGGTTCACTGCCGGATTCCCCTTGTAGCCTGTGGTGAAGATTCCAGCCTTTTCCCAAACCCCTGTCAATCTAATGCCCAATCTATTCTCTGTATATCTGGTCTTACCTCTTCTTGAGGTTCAGGTGCTGTGAGGTTGTTGTTTTCTGGTACCATGGAGACTTGAAGCTGGTCTTGGCCCTACAAAGAGAAGAGTTCTGCCAGTAAGAGGTGGCTCAACCTTTCCAGCCTCTCAGCATAGAAGTGTCTTCTGTGCCTTATACTTTACAAGGGTCTCAGTATTTGTACTATTACAAAGGGCAAAATACAGTGTTGTTTCACCAGAGCCTGAAGGCATCGGGAAAGGCTTTCATCCATCCTCTTTTACAGATGAATAAACTAAGATTCAAAGGGTAAAAAGACTTGCTGGGACAGGAAACCAGGTCTTTGAATTCCTGAGTTGTTTCCATGATCAAACACCATGTAATCTGTGTGACATGGTGTGGATGTGTATCTATAAGGGAGTGCGAGGTCTTAAAATTACTACCTGCCACTTTTAGATGAACCGTCCTCAAGAATGTACTGCAACTCTCACACTTAAGTGATCCTAATTCATGACACGCAGTTAGGAGAAGCAAGTGGTAAAATAATTTCTTTGGGAAAAATTTTAGGTTCTGAGATGGGAACCCAAGGTGTAGGAAGCCCAGTCTAGACCACGTGCAGGGGTGCACACCTGTAGTCCCAGCTCCTTGAGAGGCTGAGGCAGGAGGATCACTTGAGGCCAGGAGTATCAAGGTTGCAGTGCACTATGATTGCACCTGTGAATACCCACTGCACTCCAGCCTGGGCAACATAGTGAGATCATCTCTAAAAATATAAATTTTAAAAAAAAGAAAGAAAGCCCTGCCTAGAAACTGCTATGCTAGGGGAAGACCCTGTGAGGTTTAAAATAAGTTTTTAAAACATGAAATTTAATTTACAAACTATAAATTCATATTTTAAAAACAGAACCAATTTCTTTTTAATTTTTTCTTTCTTTCTTTTTTTTTTTTTTTGAGAAGGAATCTGGCTCTGTCACCCAGGCTGGAGTGCAGTGGCGTGATCTTGGTTCACTGCAACCTCCACCTCCCAGGTTCAAGCGATTCTCCTGCCTCAGTCTCCCAAGTAGCTGGGATTACAGGCGCCCACCACCATGCCTGACTTTTAGTAGAGATGAGGCTTCACTATGTTAGCAAGGCTGGTCTCAACCTCCCAACCTCAAGTGATCCACTCCCCTCAGCCTCCCAAAGTGTTGGGATTACAGGTGTGAGCCATGGCACCTGGCCAACAGAACCAATTTCTAACAGTGTGATAGCCACTTGAAATTCCAAGATTTCTCCTTCAAGGACATTTTCTTTCTTTTTACTCCCTCCTCCCTTTCCAGGTCATGAATTAGCTCAGAGGTGATGTTACATCACCTCCCGGAAAGTTATCAAAACCTTCCATCTCTCTGAGATGATTCAAATGGTAAGCAAGAACAGATTTTTTCCCAGTAATTTTTTTTCAAAAATGGCTATGTTTTTTCCCAGTTATATTTATATTTACCCATTTTTACATGTGACATGTCCATAATTCTGCCTGAGAGAAAATATGATTTATAATGCATCTGCAAGGGAAGTGAGCATACACAGGCTTCAGAGGATTGATGACACGAATAGGCTAGGATCTAAGATGCTCTAGTTGCTTAATTCTACAGGAAAAATATTTCTCCTTAGCTGATGACCAAAGCAATCCCACCAGAGAGGCTAAGAGTAAGGAAATATTATAAATCTAAAATATAAGGAGACAGACTCAGGCGGAAGGAGAGTGTATCCTGTACCTCTTTTCCAGGGAGGACAGTGTTACTAGCCTGTTTCTTAAAATGGTCAGAAAGAGTCTTGGCTCCTATAAACTCCTCCCTTCAAAAAGATGACTCCAAGAATGCAAGCTTGTTTTATCATTCCCCAGAGGCAATCAAAAAGTCACTCTATTACTGTCTCCATCTAAAATCATATAATACATTATAAAATCAAATTGAAATCAATTCAACCATTGAGTTGCTCTTTTCAGTGCAGAAAAATGAGAAGTGGCTATGCTTACCTACTCAAAACCCCGCATCTATCCTGCACTTATTCACTCTCCACATGTCCTGCCTATCTCTCTCCATCAGCACAGCTGCCTCAGACTAGAAACTGACCAAGGAAAAGTCATTTTTATTATTTAAAAAATCTTTTTTTGAGATGGGGTCTCACTCTGTTGCCCAGGCTGGAGTGCAGTGGCGTGATCATGGCTCACTGTACCCTTGACCTCCCTGGGCTCAGGTGATCCCACCTCAGCTTCCCAAGTAGCTGGGGCCACAGGCATGTGACACTACGCCTGGCTAATTTTTGTATTTTTTGTAGAGATGGGTTTTTCCTATGTTGCCCAGGCTGATCTTAGACTCCTGGGGTCAAGTGATCCACCTGCCTCAGCCCCCAACAAAGTGCTAGGATTACAGCCACCTTGGGAGGTTGAGGCACTGCACCCAAATCTTTTTATTAAATTTTTTTTAAAGAGATGGGATCTCACTATGTTGCCCAAGCTGGAGTGCAGTGGCTATTCACAGGTGTGATCGTAGCATACTACAGTGTCGAACACCTGGGCTCAAGTGATCCTCCCGCCTCAGCATCCTGAGTAGCTGGGATTACAGGCTTGCATCAGTGAGCCTGACTTAAGGAAAAGTTGTTTTTTTTTGTTTTTTTTTTTGAGACAGAGTTTCACTCTTGTTGCCCAGGCTGGAATGCGATGGCGAGATCTCGGCTCACTGCAACCTCCGCCTTCTGGGTTCAAGCAATTCTCCTGCCTCAGCCTCCTCAGTAGCTGGGATTTCAGGCACATGCCACCATGCCCGGCTAATTTTTGTATTTTTAGTAGAAATGGGGTTTCACCATGTTGACCAGGCTGGTCTCAAACTCTCGAACTCCTGACCTCAGGTGATCCGCCCACCTCGGCCTCCCAAACTGCTGGGATTACAGGCGTAAGCCACTGCACCCGGCCTAGGAAAAGTTTTTTTTTTTTTTCTTTTTGAGACGGAGTCTCGCTCTGTCACCCAGGCTGGAGTGCAGTGGCGCAATCTCGGCTCACTGCAAGCTCCACCTCCCGGGTTCATGCCATTCTCCTGCCTCAGCCTCCCGAGTAGCTGGGAATACAGGCACCCGCCACCACACCCGGCTAATTTTTTGTATTTTTAGTAGAGACGGGGTTTCACCGTGTTAGCCAGGATGATCTCGATCTCCTGACCTGGGAATCCGCCCGCCTCTGCCTCCCAAAGTGCTGGGATTACAGGCATGAGCCACCGCGCCCGGCCAGGACAAGTTTTACATCTTGCTCTGTTAGGGCCCTCAGTGCTTCATGTGAATCAAGACTGAAGGCCTCTGAAAGATATACTTCTGGAAAAAGAAAAATAAATTTTAATGTACAAAAAAATAGGGCATCATCATGTAGATGACTTAGGCTTTTAGTACCTCCGAGGAGTTAGCTGAGATAAGCTTATTATCCTTTTCCTTGTCTTCCATCTTCTTTGCCTCTCCAGGCTCTGAAGCAACCTGTGAATCAAAGTGAACAATGGAGGAGAGAGTCCCACACCTTCCACCTGGGGGCCATCCCTGTGCCCTTGGTCCATATTAGCTCCTCTCAGATATCAGGAGGCTCCCGAGGTAGCCTTGGTCAGACACAGGCAGTAGTAGGGTGGTGTGATCTAACGAGTGTCAGAAATCTCACACACTTCTCCCGGATATACACATGGCTCATGTGCTAGCCTTCTTCATTGCTCACATGTCACCGCTGACTGCTCTATAAACTTGCAACTCAGCTCCCACTCCCTGTGTCCTTCCCTACTTAATTTTTCTTCATATCACTTATCATTACTAGATTGTAATTTTATTTATTCTTTTTTTTTGTCTGTCTTCCGCACTAAAATATAAGCCTCAGGAAGGCAGGGTATTTTGTTTTGTTCACTGTCATACCCCACCTCCTAGAAAAGTCCCAGGCACACTGTAGGGGCTCAGTAAGTAATTGTAGAATGAATAAATCTTGTTGCCATCTAGTCAGACATTTCACCATAATCCTCTCTACAATGTACCTGACTGGAGATAATCTATCCTAGATCTTTTTTTTTTTTTTTGAGACAGGGTCTTGCTCTGTTGCCAGGCTGGAGTGCAACGTGGCACAATCTTGGCTTACTGCAACTTCTGCCTCCTGGGTTCAAGCGATTCTCCTGCCTCAGCCTCCCGAGTAGCTGGGATTACGGCACACACCACCATGCCCAACAAACTTTTTGTATTTTTAGTAGAGACGGGGTTTCACCATGTTGGCCAGGATGGTCTCGATCTCCTGACCTCATGATCCGCCCACCTCAGCCTCCCGAAGTGCTGGGATTACAGGCGTGAGCCACTGCGCCCGGCCCTTAGCTCTTAACATCAAGGAAAGAGAACTAATTTTCAAGGCGGCCCATCCCATATTTTTTTTGATCAGCCCCTTGTGTCTCCTTTGCCCTTCCACAATACTTTTTTCCCATCCCATTTAAAAAATTGAGCTAATTGTTGAAAGTTCCTCTTGTATTGTTCCAAAATGTATCTTAAAAAAAAGTCTTTATATGTAGTTTCTGCCTCTGCCCTCTGGAGTGTCACAGAACAAGTCAAATCCCTATATGATAGTCTTTCCATATAATGTGACTAGAATATGACTTGAGGCCGGGCACGGTGGCTCACACCTGTAAGCCCAGCACTTTGGGAGGCGGAGATGGGAGGACCACTGGAGCCCAGGAGTTTGAAACCAGCCTGGGCAACATGGCGAAACCCCATCTCTACCAAAAATACAAAAATGAGGCAGGCATGGTGGCATGCGCCTGTAGTACCAGCTACGTGGGAGGCTAAGGAGGGAAGATCACTGGGGCCCAGAGAGGTCAAGGCTGCAGTGAGTCATGATCATGCCATTGCACTCCAGCCTGGGTGACAGAGTGAGACCCTGTCTCAAAAGAAAGAAAGAAAAAAAAGAGTATGACTTGATTTACAGATCCTTCACAGAACTAGTTGCTCTTCAATGGGTTGGCATCTCTCAATTTTTTTTCAAGACTTAAAAATTTTTTTTTGAGATAGGGTCTCACTCTGGTGCCCAGGCTGGAGTGTAGTAGTGCTCACTGCAGCCTCGACCTCATAAGCTCAAGCAATCCTCCTGTCTCAGCCTCCCAAGTAAGGAGCAGCCTTTTCAAAAGGCTGTCCTTTTTGCTTTACTTCCCTCTGTGAGTTCCTGCTTCTAGGTCTTCTCATCAGAGAAGACACACCCTGGAAATTTGCTGCCATTTTTTTTCAGGGTCTATTTACCATAGTCACAGGTATAATGAACTGAAGTGAGACCCACCCTCCTGCCCCCACTAAAGAAGGTAAAGCTCAGGATTCCAACTATTGGTCCTTTATTTTTTTGAATTTATTATTTATTTATTTATTTATTTTATTTTGTATTAATTTTTTTTTAACTTTTTCTTTTTCTTTTCTTTGAGACACAGTCTCACTCTGTTGCCCAGGCTGGAGTGCAGTGATGTGATGTCGGCTTACTGCAACGTCTGCCTCCTGGGTTCAAGTGATTCTCATGTTCTTGTGCCTCAGGCCTTCCAAGTAGCTGAGACTACAGACACCACCATGCCTGGCTAATTTTTGTATTTTTAATGGAGACAGGGTTTCACCATGTTGGTTGGCCAGGCTGGTCTCGAACTCCTGGCCTCAAGTGATCTGCCTGCCTTGGCCTCCCAAAGTGCTGGAATTACAGGTGTGAGACACGACGCCCGGCTTCAACTAAAGGTTCTTTATACTAGGAACTCCCAGAACTTGGAGGAAAAGAAAGAAATTAGTAAGAATCTGCTCATTAACACTACTAGAGATAAGCCCCTTATAGAAGTCAATTACTGGCTGGGCGAGGTGGCTCACGCCTGTAATCCCAGCACTTTGGGAGGCCGAGGCAGGCGGATCACGAGGTCAGGAGTTCGGCACCAGCCTGCCCAACTTGGAGAAACCAGCTGGGCGAGGTGGCTCACCCCTGTAATCCCAGCACTTTGGGAGGCTGAGGCGGGTAGATCACAAGGTCAGGAGATCGAGACCATCCTGACTAACACAGTGAAACCCCATCTCTACTAAAAATACAAAAAATTAGCCAGGCATGGTGGCCGGCACCCGTAGTCCCAGCTACTCGGGAGGCTGAGGCAGGAAAATGGTGTGAACCCGGGAGGCGGAGCTTGCAGTGAGCAGAGATCGTGCCACTGCACTCCATCCTGGGCGACAGAGCGAGACTCCGTCTCAAAAACAAAACAAAACAAAACAAAAAATAAACATGGAGAAACCCCGTCTCTACTAAAAATACAAAAATTAGCCGGGTGTGGTGGCGTGCACCTGTAATCCCAGCTACTCTGGAGGCTGAGGCAGGAGAATCACTTGAACCCAGGAGGCAGAAGTTGCAGAGAGCCAAGATTGCATGACTGCACCCCAGCCTGGGTGACAGAGCGAGACTCCATCTCAAAAAAGCAAACAAACAAACAAACAAAAAAAAGTCAATTACCCTAAAAGTAGATTACTAAATTAATAGCTATGAAGACATGAAACAATCCCCAAAACCAAAAAAGGTGTCCAAGAGTATTCTGACTATAGTAAAGATACCTACATGGAGGTTATAAAAGGATATAAAGACCCTACCAGAGCCGGGTGCAGTGGCTCACATCTGTAATCTCAGCACTTTGGGAGGCCAAGACAGGAGGATCACTTGAGGCCAGGAATTCAAGACCAGTCTGGGCAACATAAGGAGACCCTATCTCTGTTGGCAGAGGATCACTTGAGCTTGAGAGGTCGAGACTGCAATGAGCTGTGATCGCACCACTACACTCCAGCCTGGACGCCTGAGTGAGACCCTAGCTTAAATAAATAAATTAATTAAATTAAATACCCAACCAGAACTACTCTTACCTGAGATGTCATTAAGGTGGGGGAAGTACAAAGTTCTTCAGGGTTCTGATTGTGGATGTTTTCATTTTCTTTGGCCTCAGGAGTTCTTACTGGCTTCTCTGGTGGTTCTGGATTAGGAGAGACCTCTAGGGAGGTCCTAGGACTTGCAGTCCCAGTCCCCAAGGAGGCCCTAGGGCTGGTGGGTGAACCCCCTCCAGAGGCTGTAGGGCTGGAAGGTATGTTCCCTGAGGAGGGCCTGGGGCTTGCAGTGGCTCTGGGTGGAGGAGGCCTACTAGGGGGTGCTGAGGTCCTCTGGATAGAGGCTCTCTTCTTTGGTTGTTCAGATCCTTCACTTGCGGTGCGGGTTCGGAGGACTACTTCTGTGGCAGATGATGAAGGCTGCCCTGAAGGGCTCAGGGCTCCGCCTGGTGATGGAGTTGTGGAGCTGGGGAGAACTTCCTCCTGGGACTTGGCCCTTTCAGTGGTAGGAGAGGGCTGGGCCTGGGCGGGGCCATTGCAGGCTGGTAGAGGCTCATCTTCCTCAGAGGAGCTTGCTTCAGATCCTTCCTTCTCTATTTCCTCCTCTTCTAAGAGCTCCTTGATCTCAGAATTGTCTTCCC
Organism: Homo sapiens; assembly: GCF_000001405.40. Lineage (NCBI taxonomy): Eukaryota > Metazoa > Chordata > Mammalia > Primates > Hominidae > Homo > Homo sapiens. Next base: position 51,292,190 of record NC_000012.12, read on the forward strand.
CTTGGGCTGCATCAGGTGCCAGATCTTCAGTTGCTGAGACAGATTCACTCTCACTCTTCAAGGAAAGTGTAGAGGGACTAGTAGGTGAGGTAAGAGGACTGGAGACTGTAGCTGTTCGAACTGGGGGAGAAATGACTAAAGAGCGCCTGCTGCTGCTAAAAAAGGAAGGTGTTCAGATTCAGAACGGCTAAAAACCAGAAGCAATGTAAATATGCAAAACTTACGATGCATGTAATAAAAAAAAGAATAAAGCAATTTAAAATGTTAGAAAGTTTGCATAATTTACAATAACACTTATACAGTGAAATGAAAAAAGGCCAAAATTTTATCTATATCATGAACTCAATTATGTAAAAATATGTACAGAGAAAGAGACTGGAAAGAAACACTGCAAAATGTCGCAAATATTTCCTCTGGGGCAAAGATTAATGGGTGATATACAGTTGAACTACACAGATTTCATATCTGTGAATTACCTACTTATTTATTTGGAACCCCCAAATCAATACTTGTGGCACTTTCCCAGTCACTATTGGAGATGCCCAAGTGGTGAAGAATGAGTTGCCTGGCACGCACTTTCCAGATGAAGTCTAACAAGGCAATCATCTACCTTCTTGCTTCCGTTCTCAAACTGTAAACAAATGTCCTTTCCACCATGTTTTCCTAACTTTGTGCTTTTTGCTGGTGATTTTGCTACTTTAAATGGCCCCCAAGCTGTAGTGCTAAGTGCAAAAAGACTGTGATGTGCCTTCCAGAGAAAATACATGTATTATTAGGTAAGCTTCATTCAGGCATGAGTTACAATGCTGCTGGTTGTGAGTTCAATATTAATAAATTAATAATATATATTAAATAAGGTATCTTTAAACAGAAACTCACATAAAACAAGGTTATATGTTGGGTGGTTGATGAAAATGTTGTGACCAGGGGCTCACAGAAACCTGTGTTTTGATGTTCAGTGAGTATGGCAACTTTATAAAACAAAACTACCATGAACAACAAGAATCAACTATAACATCTATCAAGTAGCTGCTATGTGCTGGATGCCATGCTTATCCTTGAGCATCCAAGATTAGAATCTAGAATATATCAGCCAAAAAAAAACCACCTTATTTTTATTTATTTTTTTATTTTTTTTGAGATGGAGTCTCGCTCTGTCGCCCAGGCGGGAGTGCAGTGGCGCGATCTCGGCTCACTGCAAGCTCTGACTCCCGGGTTCATGCCATTCTCCTGCCTCAGCCTCCCGAGTAGCTGGGACTACAGGCGCCCGCCACCATGCCCAGCTAATTTTTTTTTGTATTTTTAGTAGAGATGGGGTTTCACTGTGTTAGCCAGGATGGTCTCGATCTCTTGACCCCGTGATCCACCTGCCTCGGCCTCCCAAAGTGCTGGGATTACAGGCGTGAGCCATCGTGCCTGGCACAAAAACTTACATAGATCGATTTTTTTAAAAAAGGTCAACAACCCAATTGAAAAATGGGAAAACGATATATAGGAAAGTCACAGAACAGGAACCTTAAATGGCCAATAACATGAAAAGATGCTCAAGGAAACTAGCAATTATGAAGCTATGATTTAAAACTGCAAAAAAATTCCATTTTATACTCATGAGCTTGTAAGAATGAATAAGTCTGACAATTTCACATGTAGTGAGAATGTGGACTCATGAGGGCTCTTACTCACTGCTGATGGGTGGTAAACTGGAATTATCACCTTGCAGAGCAATATGGAAATATCTCATTAAGGGTCAAGAAGCCCCATGACAGACCTTATGACTCAACAATCCTGCTCCAAGTATAGACCCTAAAGAAACTCTTGATAATATTCACAGGGACAAATGTAAAACATGTTCATCACAACATTATTTATAATAGCAAAAACCTAGAAGACAACTCAAATGCCCCAAACTAGCAGGAGGATAAATAAATCATGAAGTAGGCATACAGTAACAACTATAGAAAGGAAACAGCAGAGCTATTATAACAACATGTAGCAATAACAAAAAATCTTACAAACAACACTAAGAGAACAAAAGAAGTTGCAGAACAATACATACAGTATAAGTCCATTTATATAAAGTTTAAAAACATGCAAAACAGCCGGGCGTGGTGGCTCACACCGGTAATCCCAGCACTCTGGGAGGCCAAGGCGGGCGGATCACGAGGTCAGAAGTTCAAGACCAGCCTGGCCAGTATGGTGAAACCGCGTCTCTACTAAAAATACAAAAATTAGCCGGGTGTGGTGGCATGTGCCTGTAATCCCAGCTACTCTGGAGGCTGAGGCAGGAGAATTGCTTGAACCCGGGAAGCAGAGGTTGCAGTAAGCCAAGATTGTGCCATTGCACTCCAGCCTGGGTGACAGAGCAAGACCCTGTCTCAAAAAAAAAAAAAACAAAAAAAACCCCCCAAAAACATGCAAAACAATATTTTATGTGTGCATGTATGTGTGAAACAATACAGTGTGTGCATGTTACATTTAGTATTACATTTAGTATTTATTTCCATGCGTATTATTTTATGTGTGAAACATACATGCACACATAAAACAACACACATAGAAATGATAAATACTAAATGTAACATAGCGGTTACCTTTAGTGGGGTCAGAAAGAAAAAGTGAGTGGGGAAGGAACATTGGGAACTTCAGCTATATTTACAACAGCCAAGTTCTTAAATTTGATGGTAGGTACATGGCTATTTGTTGTATTATTCTTTATACGTTCGGTTATGTCTAAAATATTTAATTTTTATTAATTTTTTTAGAGACAGGGTCTTGCTCTGTCATCCAGGCTGGAGTGCAGTGGCATGATCATAGCTCACTGCACCCTCAAACTCCTGCACTCAAGTGATCCTCCTGCTTCAGCCTCCTGAGTAGCTAGGAGTACAGTTACGCACCACCTTGCCCGGCTAATTTTTTTTTTCTTTTAATCTTTTTTTGTAGAGATGAGATTTCACTATGTTGCCCAGACTGGTTTCAAACTCCTGATCTCAAGTAATTCTCCTGCCTCAGCCTCCCAAAGTACTGGGATTATAGGCATGAGCCACCATTGTCTGGCCTTGAAATATTCAGTAAAAAGTGGCCGGGCGCGGTGGCTCACGCCTGTAATCCCAGCACTTTGTGAGGCCGAGGCGGGCGGATCACGAGGTCAGGAGATTGAGACCATCCTGGATAACACGGTGAAACGCCATCTCTACTAAAAATACAAAAAAAAAAAAAAAAAAAAATGAGCCGGGCGTGATGGCGGGCGCCTGTAGTCCCAGCTACTCAGGAGGCTGAGGCAGGAGAATGGCATGAACCCGGGAGGCGGAGCTTGCAGTGAGCCTAGATCGCGCCACTGCGCTCCAGCCTGGGCGACAGAGTGAGACTCCGTCTCAAAAAAAAAAAAAAAATATATATATATATATATATATATATATATATATATATATATATATATATATATTTAGTAAAAAGCAAAATAATTTATATAGGAGCATAGTACAAACAACAAACATCATCACGCACATGCACATAAGGGACAGGTCAGGATTCTGGACTGGAGATGAGGATGTTGAATACATTCACACACAGGACAAGCGAAGCAAAAAAGTCTTGGATGCTGCTCACCTTGACAGTCCCTTCACCACAAAGACTTTATTGGAATGTTGCTTCTCCAGTTTGCTCATCACCTCGTAGAGATTGTGGTTCAGCTAGAGCCAATAAGAAAGAAGGGGATGCTAGCCAACTGGGAACCCGAGAGTGGCATATCCCTTCTCCCCTCCCCTTCAGACAGCTTCCCAAAATAAAACCTCCCCCTTTCAATTCTGATGTGAATTCCTCTTCATCTGTCTAGCATTAGAGTCCAGGGTCCTGTCCCGCCACCCCCTCTTCCCTGTCTCTCTGTGTTCTAAGTTCTGCCTCTTCCATCAGACTGGCAGCTGTCTCAAGGCAGGGTCCATAACTGATGTCTGATTTGAGGTTCTAGCTTCTCACAGGTGATCCAGGGAATGAAAACTCATTTTTAGGCCAGGCGCCTAAAAATGTAAAACTCATTTTACAGGCTCATGCCTGTAATCCCAGCACTTTGGGAGGCCGAGGTGGGCGGATCACGAGGTCAGGAGATCGAGACCATCCTGGCTAACATGGTGAAACCCTGTCTCTACTAAAAATACAAAAAAATTAGCTGGGCGTGGTGGTGGGCACCTGTAGTCCCAGCTACTCGGGAGGCTGAGGCAGGAGAATGGCGTGAACCTGGGAGGCAGAGCTTGCAGTGAGCAGAGATTGCGCCACTGCACTCCAGCCTAGGTGCCAGAGCAAGACTCCGTCTCAAAAAAAAAAAAACCAAAAAACCTCATTTTTAATATTAACTAGGCAAATCATACTTTAGCCAAATAAACTATGGAGAGTAGTATGTATAGCTGTTTGTGAATATAACTAATATAAATGTTGTAGTAGCAAAGAATCTTGGAATCCCAGGACTAGAAAAGACTTCATAAATTATGTTATATGGCTGCCTGTCACTGACAGGATTAGTCTTATTTGAGACCAACCACCTGAGAAACTGACTTGTCCTTAAACACTGCCCTCTCCAGTCCCCAGCAACAATAGATAGATATTTCACAATGGGGTTCCCCATTTTAATTTTTCCTTCTATAGGCCTAACCTCCTTTATTCATGCTAAAGCTCAAATTTGGACACACTTACTCAGTTGTTAAGGGAGATGAAGAGGGCCCTCGGATAGTGTATATATGTGTTTCAATACAGTTAAGTACACAATCAAGTGCTCTTATTTCATCATGAGAGAAAAGCCAAAATCTGTGGTGCCAATACGGATATTTAAAGAAATCATGTAAGTCAAGGCTACCTTCATATTTACTAGAAAACACACCTAGGAGCCTCAATTGGCCAGACACCTCTCACCTTGCTCATTTCCCTGTAGAAGACATCCCTCAAGTTGGAAATGTTTTGGAAGATGGTCACATAGCAGCCAATACGACTATTAGGAAGCAAAACCACAAACACATACGAGTAAGGCATGGGAAAGGAGTTCTTTGTTTGAAATACAAAGTAGGACTTAAGCCAAAACCAGCCACCAAGGCTCCTAAATGAAAGCCATCCCGCTGGGCACAGTGGCTCACGCCTGTAATCCCAGCACTTTGGGAGGCCAAGGTGGGCGTATCATGAAGTCAGGAGATCAAGACCATCCTGGCTAACATGGTAAAACCCGTCTCTACTAAAAAAAAAAAAAATTAGCCGGGCGTGGTGGCATGAGCCTGTAGTCCCAGCTACTCAGGAGGCTGAGGCAAAAGAGTCGCTTGAACCTGGTAGGCAGAGGTTGCAGTGAGCCGAGATCGTGCCACTGCACTCCAGCCTGGGCGACAGAGCGAGACTCTATTTTAAAAAATAAAAAAAGAAAGCCATCCCACATCCCACACTCAGGATGTTCTGGGATCTGGATTCGTCAGAGCTGGGCCAGGAACACACGTGATTCTTAGGAGCAGGAAGGCCAGGGGAGACAATATCAGCTCAGGCTGACACCAAAGTTTAACAGTTTCATGGAGTTATCTGATTTGGGCTCTTGAAGGGCTGAGGAGACATAAAAGGGCTTTGAATAATTTTTTAAAGGGCTATATAAATATAAGGCTATCTAATTATAACTATTACAGTAAGTAATTATTCTTTCCCTTTATGCAATACAGGATGACTTCTGCGCCTGTATGTACATTAATGGAATTCTCCTGTAAGTGAATCAAGGAGGTATACTTTTAAAGAAACTGTATTAAATTTCATTTCTAGGCCAGGCACGGTGGCTCATGCCTGTAATCCCAGCACTTTGGGAGGCTGGGGCAGGTAGATCACCTGAGGTCAGGAGTTTGAGACCAGCCTGTCCAACAGGGTGAAACCTGTCAAAAAATACAAAAATGGCCAGGCACGGTGGCTCACGCGTGTAATCCCAGCACTTTGGGAGGCTGAGGTAGGCGGATCACAAGGTCAGGAGATTGAGACCATCCTGGCCAACATGGTGAAACCCCATCTCTACTAAAATACAAAAACTTAGCTGGACTTAGTGGCACGCGCCTGTAGTCCCAGCTACTTGGGAGGCTGAGGCAGGAGAATCGCTTGAATCCGGGAGGTGGAGGTTGCAGCGAGCCGAGATTGTGCCACTGCACTCCAGCCTGGCAACAGAGTGAGACTCTGTCTCAAAACAAAACAAACAAACAAACAAAAACAAAAATTAGTCAGGTGTGGTGGCACGTGCCTGTAGTCCCAGCTACTCAGGAAGCTGAGGTGGGAGAATTGCTTGAACCCGGGAGGCATAGGTTACAGTGAGCCACACTCCAGCCTGGGTGACAGAATGAGACCCTGTCTCAAAATAAATAAATTAATTAATTAATAAAATAAAATAAAAAATAAAATTTCAATTTCATTTTAATTAGGAGTCACATAATGTTTTAGAATACATGTGTTCATTAAAAAGGCTCCATCCTATGTACACTAATAAGTGACAATATAAAATATTCTGACCATAATTCTATTAATGCATCTCTTGTACAATAAAAAGAAAAAAGGATACAAATGGAGTTTCTGCTTAGATTTCTCTTTAAATGTGGAAAATCTGGCTGGGCATGGTGGCTCACGCCTGTAATCCCAGAACTTTGGGAGGCCAAGGCAGGGGGATCACTTGAAGCCAGGAGTTCGAGACCAGCCTGGGCAACATGGTGAAACCCCATCTCTACTAAAAATACAAAAAAAAATTAGCCAGGCATGGTGGCACATGCCTGTAATCCCAGGTACTCGGGTGGCTGAAGCACAACAATCACTTGAACTAGGGAGGTGGAGGTTGCAGTGAGCTGAGATTGAGTGCTACTGCACTCTAGCCTGGGTGACAGAGTGAGACCCTGTCTCGAAAAAAAAAAAAAGGGGGCGGGGCAGTGTGGGAATTTAAATCTAAAACACTTTTATCTACTTACTGTCAAGGCACACAAGGTGCCTTGTGTGAAGCAAAGGCACCTTTTCTGAATTTCAGTCATTACCTATTATAAAGAATAGGCAGCTCCTCTAGTAGTTCTTGGTTCAGATCTTCAAACACAGTCTGGGCTTTGTTGAACTCTTCCTCTGCCTAGGTGGTAAAAGAGACAAGACAATCTCCCTCAATTCTGAACCCAGTACTACAGCATGCCTCCTTCATCCTCTGCATTTTTTTAGGCACTAGGCTTTTTAGGAGCCATCCCTCTTCTTCCCCTGACCATGCCCTCCCCAGCCTCAAGACTCTGACTATCCTTACAGCATCAGTGTCAGAAGAAACAGATTTCCTTTAGGACACTGGATGCTGAATTTATAATTTCCTATACCCATGTTGGCCCAGCCACCTGCTACCACCATGGGGAGAAGGAGAACAGGAAGGGTTTACCAGTTTTTGTTGTTGTTTTTGTTTTACCTTGGCAGTCTTGGCCTCATCTTTCTTCTTGGCATTCTGCACTGCCTCCAGGTGGTGTCGGGCACTGTCATAGTCCACGAGTTTCCGACCCCGCTTGGCAATTCTCTCCTGACCCAGGGTAATGAGAAAGGGTGTGGATACTCACTTTTTAGTGGCCAGGATGTAGGTAACAGAATACCAAACAGAGAGCAAGATTCTTGCATCCTACTATCAAATTTCACTTTCGTTGTTTTTTGCTTTTGTTTTTTTTGAGACAGGGTCTTGCTCTGTTGCCCAGGCTGGAGTGCAGTTGTGCGATCTCAGCTCACTGTAACCTCTGCCTCCCAGATTCAAGCAATTTTTGTGCTTCGGCCTCCCAGGTAGCTGGAATTATAGGCATGTGCACCAAGCCCGGCTAATTTTTGCATTTTTAGTAGAGATGGGGTTTTGCCATCTTAGCCAGGCTGGTCTCGAACTCCTGGGCTCATGTGATATGCCCACCTCGGCCTCCCAAAGTGCTGGGATTACAGGCAGGAGCAACCGCACCTGGCCCAAATTTCACTTTCTAATAGGGTTTTGCGCCCATGGGGTCTCCCTCAGTATCTGGGAAGAATGGGGGAGTCTCAGAGGGAGATAGAGTCCTACAGAGCATGTGGAAATCTGTATTAATTATATATATGTAATAGATATATAATTAAATACATATATATATTTCCACCTCCACCTCCCGCTGTATTAAATTTTAATATTTCCTATGAACCCATTATAAACTGGTTCAGCCTCCAGGAGAAATGGCCTTGAGAATCACATGAAAGTGAAAGTCTGGATTTTTGGGAATTAGTCCCAAATCTGCCATTCATAGCCTGTGGCCAGTGGCAAGGCACATCTCTTTTGGAGCCTCAGTAGCCCCATCTCCCCTTATACAACTGTTATTTGAAAGAGTGAATGCTGAATACAAAGTGCTTTGAAAGCTCTAAAACACAATAAAAGCTATAAATTACTATGACCACTGAGAGAAAGTCTACTCAGCCTTATCCAAACTATAAATTATACCAGTGAGAAGCAAACTATGTCTTTGAACCGTTTCATTCTCTCAGTCACAGAATTTGAAAAGATCTTAGCAATTATCTGGTCCAATTTCCCATACAATACCATGAGGCTTCTCTATAACATCCAAGATAAGAAGTAGTTTGACTTCTGTTTGCACAAAGAACAGACAACTCACTATCTTTGAGTCTATTTCATTTCATTTTTGGAAAGCTTTAACTATTAGGAACTTAAGTCAGCCTCCTTCTAACTTCTTCCTCTGAATCAGCACGGTGCTTGACAGAGTAGGTGTTTAATAAATACTAGAGCCGGGTGCAGTGGCTCACGCCTGCAATCCCAGCACTTTGGGAGGCCGTGGGCGGATCACCTGATGTCAGGAGTTTGAGACCAGCCTGGACAACACAGAGAAACCCTGTCTCCACTAAAAATACAAAAATTAGCTGGGCTTGGTGACGCATGCCTGTAATCCCAGCTACTCGGGAGGCTGAGGCGGGAGAATCCCTAGAACCCGGGAGGCGGGGGTTGCAGTGAGCCAAGACTGCGCCATTGCACTCCACCCTGGGCAACAGAGCAAGACTCCATCTCAAAAAAAAGAAAACAAAAACAAAAACAAAAAAAAACTAGCTGAATGAATAGATGAATTCTAATTCTGCTTTCTGGAACAGAAAGCAGAACAGTTTAGAATAGGTTGAATTCCTATTTTACCTAACAGACTTTCAAATATTTGAAGATAACTATTTGATTGCTCCATGTTTCCTCTTCTATACAATAAACATCTTTAGTGCCATCAGCTGTTTCTCACAGCTAAAAGGGATGCCTCTAACTTGGATCTAATTCGAAATCAGCCCAAATATAGCTTACTGAAATCTAAGTTTATTTTATTTATTTACTTTTTTTGAGACACCAGCCTCTGTCACCCAGGCTGGCGCACAGTGGCATGATCTTGGCTCACTGCAACCTCTCCCTCCCCAGCTGAAGTGATCCTTCACCTCAGTCTCCTAGGGTGGCTGGGACTACAGACACGCACCACCACATGACTATTTTTTTTTGTATTTTTTGTAGAGATGGGATTTTGCCATGTTGCCCAGGCTGGTCCCGAACTCCTGGGCTCAAGTGATTCTCTTGCATCGGCCTCCCAAAGTACTGGGATTACAGGTGTGAGCCACTGCACCCAGCCTTGAAATCTAAGTTTAAACATAAACTTCACACTACTTCCAACCTTCTATCCTAACCTCTTGTCTAACCCTCAACCTTAATCTTTCTCCTAACTTACCCAAACTTCATTCTTAATCGTGAGTTCTAATTCTACTTATAATGCTTAACCCAATATGTTCTCTAACCTGGATGGGTCATCCACAACCCAGCCTTGATTCTGTACATTGAGTACCTTAATTTCACTGAACTGGGCAACATAGATTTCCATGGTCCTTACAGCCTGGTCAGCCAGTTTCTCCTCGTAGTCTTCCCAAAGGAGATCATTATTCTGTAGGATAGAGTCAGAGGCTGGTGAAGGCTCCACTTCCCAACAACAACTGCCTACCAGGGAAATACCCAAATTCTCCCTGCAAAAACCTTTTTTGTAGCACCGTATTTAGAATACCATGTTGGATTCTGGGGACTAGTCAGAGGAAGAAAAGAGACAGCCCCTACCCCAAGGAACTGCTCTATGGGAGTCTGAACATACATTCAGAGATTAAGAACAGGGCACAAGGTCAAAGCCTTGGACTCCAGAGCTTAGATGGGAAAGTTTAAGAGTGTATAACTGCATGAAGTTTGTTTTAAAAAACAACCAATCTTTAGGAGGTAAAACTTCCCATAATGTTTTAAAGAGGAGAAGAGGGTCAAAATTAGAGGGATCCACAGATTAGGGAAAACTTGTTTTTACCTTAACAGTTGTAGCTTCTTCCTACCACCCAGTGACTGAGGCTACACAAATGCACAGTGTGAACTGGCTCCTTTGTTTTCCTATTTTCTTGGATAGAGAAGCTAAGCTGAGGTTGAGATGCAAACAGGAGTAAGTGCCAATAAGTTGTAAAACTCAAGCCACTCTTACCCATACGATGGCCTTCAGCTCCTCATGACCGTCCCACTCGCTGCTGTAGATCTCCTGCAGGGTTTCTGACACTCTTTTTGAACTTTCATGCATCACTGAAAGGAGAGAATTCAGTCCCACCATCATGTTTCCCCAACAGTAGTTGGTGTAATCACATGGGTGACAAATCAGTGGTTCCAATTCAGAAGGACAAACTCAGAAGGTTTAGGTTATATAAGTGAGGAAAGCTGGATGGGGCTGAAAGGAAAAGTCACTCTTCCTCAGCCCACAAAATTCCAGGAGTCAAGAGTAGTCAAATGATAAAATGACAAAAACCTGGGGGTATGGCTATTGTTTTCCACCCCAAACCTCCTAGTAGCTGTATAAATGCCCTCTGGATTCTCCCATGCTGCATTGCCCACCTTTGACTGCACTAAGGAAGTTCTTCAGGTCCTTGTACAGCTTGTGGCCTTCTGCCTGAAAGAGAAAAGTACATTTGGTGACTAAAGAGATTAATATTTCAAAAGATGCTCCAGAGGTCAAAGTCAAAAAGTAGGTTAAGAGCAGAAATCACACCTGGAATTTCTCTAAATATTCACAATTGTTATAAGTCAGCCTTTACTTTCTTTACCAACCTGTTGTAGGTGGTCTCTTTTGTGTTAGTTTTTAAGATGGGTGCTTGCTAAAGCTCCCATTACACTGGCGTCTTCCTTTCAGTGAACAAGAGCCTATACCCAAGTTCCACTGTTGAAAGGTAAGTGTTCTCCATGTAACACTATCTATGCAATTCTCTGGCTTGCACCCTCCTCTCTGGGTAAAGTGCTACCATTTTCTGCAGACACCAGGCCTTCTTCTTTCTCTGAACCCTCACACAGACATTCCTCTCCTCCCCAATATCCTTCTCTGACTTGTCTCACTTTACCCTTCCCTTCCATCAGTCACCTTTTATACTACTCCAAGGAGCCTCATCATTGCTTCTCCTGTTCCACCCCGAATGTCTTCATCTATAGCTCTATCTATCCCTGCTTCCATCTTTGCTCCTGTGTCTGAAATCTCATTTTTTTAGGCTAGGAACCCCAAGTTCAGACAAGGGCTCCTCCTCCCTCTAAAAAAGGAGAGGAAGGTATTATTTAGACTTGGAAGTTCAAATCTCAATCTGGTAGATGAACTGCTTTTGTTATAACTCTGACAAATGTTCATTTAGCCTCTGCTTCCCAATACTTCCAGAAACTGGAAACTAATGTCTTGCCTGAGACAGTATCACTTGATTTTAAACTAGCTCTGTTAAAACTTTTTCTGGCTGGGCGTGGCAGTTCACACTTATAATCCCAGCACTTCGGGAGGCCAAGGCTGGCGGATCACTTGAGGACAGGAGTTCGAGACCAGCCTGGTCAAAATGGTGAAACCCTGTCTTTAGTAAAAATACAAATGTTAGCTGGGTGTGGTGGCGCACACCTGTAGTCCCAGCTACGCAGGAGGCTGAGGTAGAAGGATCGCTTGAACCTGGGAGGCGAAGACTGCAGTGAGCTGAGATCGGATCACGCCACTGTACTCCAGCCTCGGTGACAGAGCAAGACTCCATCTCAAAACAAACAAACAAACTTTTTCCTATTAGTCTTGGGTTGGCCTTCTGTACTCATAGAGTAGATCTAATTTCTCTTCCACACATGCTTGAAGACAACTTGCATGTGCCCTTGACCAAGCCTTTCTCACAGGTTTCCTCAATTGTTCCTTATGGTGTTTAGGCCCTCTTCCCATTTTGGTCTCCTTCCTATGTGTAAACTCATTTTGAAGAGTTGGTTGGGAATTTAAGGCCAGACATCTGACGTTCTGGAACCTGACTTCAGGACTGTGGACTGTAGGGATGGACTGAGAGGTGCAGCCCACTTCAAGGGAACTCTAGGGAGCCAGCCTACAGATCAGAACAGACCAGTTCAGGGGATGTTGTACTTGAAAGCCAAGCTGCATTATTCAGTACACCATAAAATACTTGTTGTGAATTTGTTCATTTGTTAATTGCTGTATTCATTACTTGATAGACTATTGATGATACCAAAAGTGTAAAAAACTGGCCAGGCGCAGTGGCTCACGCCTGTAATCCCAGCACTTAGGGAGGCCGAGGCGGGCGGATCACGAGGTCAGGAGATCAAGGCCATCCTGGCTAACACGGTGAAAGCCCATCTCTACTAAAAATACAAAAAAATTAGCTGGGTGTGGTGGCGGGCACCTGTAGTCCCAGCTACTCAGGAGGCTGAGGCAGGAGAATGGGCATGAACCCAGGAGGCAGAACTTGCAGTGAGCTGAGATCACGCCACCGTACTCCAGGCTGGGCGACAGAGCCAGACTCCGTCTCAAAACAAAACAAAAAACAAAAGTATAAAAAAGTATGGGGCCAGGCACGGTGGCTCACGCCTGTAATCCCAGCACTTTGGGAGGCCAAGGCAGGTGGATCACCCGAGGTCAGGAGTTTGAGACCAGCCTGACCAACATGGTGAAACCCCATCTCTACTAAATATAAAAAATTAGCAGGGTGTGGCGGCAGGCACCTGTAATCCCAGCTGCTTGGCAGGCTTAGGCAGGAGAATCGCTTGAACCCAGGAGGCAGAGGTGGCAGTGAGCCGAGAGCAAAACTCCATCTCAAAAATAAATAAATAAATAAAAATAAAAAATTATGGGAAAGGCTGGGCGCAGTGGCTCACGCCTGTAATCCTAGCAGTTTGGGATGCCAAGGCAGGAGGATCACGAGGTCAGGAGCTCTAGACCAGCCTGACCAATGTGGTGAAACCCTGTCCCTACTAAAAATACAAAAATTAGCCAGGCATGGTGGCACGCACCTGTAATCTCAGCTACTCAGGAGGCTGAGGCAGGAGAATCACTTGAACCCAGGAGGCAGAGGTTGCAGTGAGCCGAGATCGCACCACTGTACTCCACCCTGGGCAACAGAATGAAACTCCATCTCAAAAAAAAAAAAAATGAGAAAAAAAGGAAAATTCAGAAAATTCTATCTAGTGACAAAATTTTTCCTGTGGAAATCTTTGGGGAAAGGTCACTATTTACTTAATTTTAGCAGCAGAAAATTTAGGTCTACTTGGTCAAATCAAAGAAAACTGGACTAGTTATTTCATCCATTTTTTTTGCCTCCAGAGCTCACTGTTTTCTTTCTTTTTTTTTTTTTTTTTTTTTTTTTGAGATGGAGTCTCGCTCTGTCGCCCAGGCTGGAGTGCAGTGGCGTGATCTTGGCTCACTGCAACCTCCGCCTCCTGGGTTCAAGCGACAATTCTCCTGCCTCAGCCTCCTGCATAGCTAGGACTACAGGTGTGTGCCACCACGCCTGGCTAATTTTTTGTATTTTTAGTAGAGACAGGGTTTCACTGTGTTAGCCAGGATGGTCTCGATCTCCTGGCCTCGTGATCTGCCCACCTCGGCCTCCCAAAGTGCTGGGATTACAGGTGTGAGCCACTGTGCTGGGTCTCAGAGCTCACTTCTAAGCTAGTCCAAACTTTTGATCAAACTTCAGATCAAAAGTCCCTCTCAAGGGGCTGAATGTCAGTTTGAAGGGACATGAGGACACAGTCTTAAAGGAGTGAAAGGCACTGTCAGACAGGTACAGAACTGTGATTGTGTGCTGTGTTACAGCAAATGAGGATTAAGAGAACATCATATAAACAATCAAGGAAGTAGGCCAGGCGAGGTAGCTCAAATCTGTAATCCTAGCATTTTGGGAGGTTGAGGTAGGCAGATCACTTGAGGTCAGGAGTTCAAGACCAGCCTGGCCAACATGGTGAAAGTCCGTCTCCACTAAAGATACAAAAATTAGCCAGGTGTGGTGGTGGGTGCCAGTAATCCCAACTACTCGGGAGGCTGAGGCAGGAGAATCACTTGCACCCGGAAGGTGGAGGCTGCAGTGAGCTGCAATTGCGCCATTGCACTGCAGCCTGGGCGACACAGCAGACTCTGTCTAAAAATCAAAACCAATCAAGGAAGTGTCAGATGCTACAGAGACGTTAGAATGCAGGAAGAATTGGTAAAATTCACTGGATTTGGTAATGGGTCACTGGTGACCATGAGAAAGCACTTTCAATAGCATATTGGAGACAGATTCAGTCAGTTAACAAAATTCAGAAACACTCAGCATCTACCAGAAAGGATATCTCACTTCCTCCTTGCTTTTTCATTTATAGAAAAAAGCTTAGATAGCCTAACATGTTAAATGTATACAACATCTTTTAAATGTGGATAAGGGAGGTAGGTAGAGGTTTGAGAATTTTGAAAAGGTGATAATCAAGATTTTAAAGAGCCTTGAAAAAGTTTTGGGGATTATAAAAATGAACAAGGCTTGGCCGGGCACAGTGATGCACGCCTGTAATCCTAGCACTTTGGGAGGCCGAGGCGGGCAGATTGTGAGGTCAAGAGATCGAGACCAGACTGGCCAACATGGTGAAACCCTGTCTCTACTAAAAACACAAAAATTAGCTGGGTGTGGTGGCACACGCCTGTAATACCAGCTACTTGGGAGGCTGAGGCAGGAGAATGGCTTGAACCCGGGAGGTGGAGGTTACAGTGAGCTGAGATCGCGACACCGTACTCTAGCCTGGGCGACAGAGTGAGACTCTGACTCAAAAAAAAAAAAAAAAAATTAACAAGACTTTTAAATTCTTTCTTGAAGGAGAAAAAAGGACTCAATTTTTTACTTCACCATGAAAATTTTATTTCAAAAATAAATACAATAAAGTAATAAAAACTGTTAAATTACCTTGCACAGGCTGGGAGCGGTGGCTCACCCACTATAATCCCACCACTTTGGGAGGCCGAGGCAGGTAGATCACCTGAGGTCAGGAGTTCAAGACCAGCCTGGCCAACATGGTGAAACCCCATCTCTACTAAAAATACAAAAATTAGCTGGGTGTGGTAGTATACGCCTGTAATCCCAGCTACTTAGGAGGCTGAGGCAGGAGAATCGCTTGAACCCGGGGGCACAGAGGTTGCAGTGAGCTGGGATTACACCACTGCACTCCAACCTGGGCGACAAGAGAGAAACTCCGTCTCAAAAAAAAAAAAAATTACCTTGCACAATTTGTACAAATAAAGTTCCTAATTTTTTCCCATTAGTTATCATATAACCTGAAAAATCAGATGAGTAATCAAGGCTACCATGCATAAATGCACAGTGTTGAAAACTAGGGGGTACTCTATCACAGCCCAGAAAATGAATGCCTTCTGCTTTCCACTGCAGCTCACAAAAGCCCCGCTCCATTTCTGTGTTTTAGAATGAAGCCTTTTAGTTACAAAGTTCTCCTTTATGCTCTTGCTCTTTCTTTTGCGAAGATGAAGTATGAGTGTGAGAGTGAGTGTGTGTGTGTGTTGGTGGGGGTAGTGGTATGGAGTGGGGAAGGAGAGAGAAGACAGGTCAGCAACAGGTATCATTTTCTTTCTCTGACCTATCTGTCCCCCCCTGGAATATATCCAGGCTGAATAATCCCAACATCTTTCTCCTTTCCTGACAGATGTGACTCTCATAGTCTTGGGTTCTCGCTTGTCTGGGAGTCAAGAAACTTGACTTTACCACCAACTAGCAAGTTACTCCACTTCTCTGCCTTCCATTTCTTCATCTATAAATGCAGGGTAAGCCAGTTCTAGCTCTAAATCTTATGACTTTATCACTTCTGCTCTCTGAATCCTTGCCGAATTCTTGGCATTGCCATAAAGAGTCTGAGTCAGTCCTTCCCACCCATTATACAAACAGTCCCAACCCTCAGTTAATGAACCACTCACACCAGAAGCTTGTCCTGAGCAGTCAGGAGGACAGAGCTAGGTCTTAAGAGACTGGGGTACTGAGGATGGAGAAAGTTCTTGTCCTGGGGTTCCCTACTTTCTGGAGAAAAATTGGCTCAGACACTCAGCAAAACAAGTGTAAATAGCATGCCCAAGTGTTGAAGTGATCAAGTGTTGAAAGTGCTTGGTTTAATGTAGATCTAGGAGGGAAATACGAAGCTAGATTATTAGATTTGAGTTTAAAGGTAATGAATTGGAAGCAGCTGTCACTACCAAAAATAACAGGTTAAAGTGTTGCTTGAGGAAAATAATCCTTCCTATGTAATACACTGAAGAGAAGGAAAAGCAGGAAGCAAGTAGAGCCTCAGAGAAAAATTACCTATAGAAGAAATGTGATCAGGGCTGGGTGCAGTGGCTCATGCCTGTAATCCGAGCACTTTGGGAAGCCGAGGTGGGTAGATCACTTGAGGTCAGGAGTTTGAGACCAGCCTGGCCAACATGGTGAAACCCCGTCTCTACTAAAAATACAAAACAACAACAAAAACAAAAAAGAAAAGAAATGTGATCAGGAATGTGGGCGAATGGCAAGACTTTGAAATCAGGCTAGGAAGTTTGGTATTGATAGGATAAGCTATTAATAAAAAGTTTACCTGCAAGCTGACTGTGGGTGAGGGATAGGGCACATGACCAACCCGTTCAACTTCTGGAACACTTCACTCACACCTGTAATCCCAGCACTCAAGGAGTCAGAGGCAGGAGGATTGCTTGAGCCTAGGAGTTTGAGACCAGCCTGGGCAACATAGTGAGACCTCGTCTTCACAAAAAGAAAAAAAATCCTTGACCTTGTCCTTTTTCCTCCTGTGTGTCTTTGCCACCCCAGGTCCCCAGGTCAGACGTGACTGTATTGTCACTGTCTTCCTCCATAAACTAAGAGCCTTGAGGGCAGGCAGGTTGTCTCATTCATGCTGAAGTCCCAGCACCAAACACAGTTCCTGGCACACAGCAGGTGCTCATAAAATGTTTGTTAAATGTATTTACCAAAAAGAGAATTTCAAAAGCATGTTCAATCAGCACTTATTATAGGTGTATCATTCTCTCAGTCAAGAAGTTTTTCCTTATTTTTTTTTTTAATAGAGACAAGGTCTCACTATGTTGCCCAGGCTGGTCTTGAACCCCTGGCCCTTCCGCTTCAGCCTCCCAAAGTGTTGGGATGACAGGCATGAGCTGCTGCACCCAGCTAGAAGCTTTTCCTTATTCCCAACCTAACTCCATTTCATTTCTCAAACGTATTTTCCCCGCTTAAGTGATGTTTAAATGGTGGGCTTCCACAGGGAATTCTGAGGGGATTGTCCCATCAGATCTTGTTCTTCCTGATGGCGCTTCTTCTTCTCTTACCTTTTCTACCTACACATCTGCTCTTAGAGAGAGGACAAAGGGACAGAATGGGCCAAGAATCAGAAACCTTCCACAGTGGGTGTTAACTTACTGATTTTTCTTCTTTTCAACCTGGAGTTGGAAATAGAACAGTAAGAAGAGTTGAGAAGAGGCCCAGAGAGGCCTCCTAGTGAGGCACAGTGAAAAAAGCTGAGTTTAAGTCTAAATCCTGGCCCTGCAACTTATATGCTGTTACTTTACTATTAACATCACACAAAAAAGGAGACAACCAGATTTTATGTGTCTCCTGATGGAAGAATACAATAACACCTACTAAGTATTCTTGCCATCAAAACAAAAACCTGAATCTCATCAAGCCTCTAAGTCTATCCATTTATAGAAAATATGGAAGACATAGGAACATATTAGACAATATCATGGGAATTCAATCAGCAAAATATACACTGTAGGAAATTGCAGGACAAACAACCTAGTATCATTAACAAATAAGCTACAAGAAGGGAGGGATTAGAATATAGATTAAGAGATATGACCTTAAATCTAATAAACTTAAACATGTCAGTGAGTTGCTGATTTAAACAAACCATAAAAAGCATGAAGACACAATCAGGGGAATTTGGACACTGACAGGATATTTTGTGATATTAAGAAATGATTCTGGTTTTTTTAAAAGATAGCACTAAAACTTACATTTTAGTGAAATATTTAATCTGAAATATCTGAAAAGATTTGTATGACACTGGTAAGTGAAAAAGGCAAGTTGCAAAATCATATGCATGGAAGAATCTCACTTTAGTAAATCTCACATTTATTTATTGTGGATATACTTAGATATCATACACATACATAGCAAAGTAATTGTAAAGATATAAAATAACATTGTTGTAGTTTAGGAAGATGTAAAATCATAATCGTTTTGTTTATATTGTTTTCTTTTCCTTTTTTTTGAGATAGGGTCTCACTTTGTCACCCAGACTGGAGTGCAGTGGCACAAACAAAGCTCACTGTAGCCTCGACCTGAGACTCAGTCAGTCCTCTTGCCTCAGCCTCTCAAGTAGCTGAGAATACAGGAGCACACCACCATGACCAGCTAATTTTTGTATTTTTTGTAGAGATGGGGTTTTGCCATGTTGCCCAGGCTGGTCGCAAACTTCTGAGCTCAGCACTTTGGGCTGCCAAAGTGCTGGGATTATAGGTGTGGGCCACCATGTTGGGCCTATTATTAATTTTTAAATTCATTTCTTTCTTTTTTCTTTATGTAGGGGCTTTTTTTTTTTTCTTTTGAGACAGGGTCTTGCTCTGTTGCTTAGGCTGGAGTGCAGTGGCACAATCACAGCTCACTGCTCAGTAGCTGGGACCACAGACGTGCACCACCATGCCCAGCTAATTTTTCTTATTTTTTGTAGAGTTAAGGTCTCCTGTGTTGCCGGGTTTGTCTCAAACTCCTAGTCTTAGCAACCCTCCCACCTCGGCCTCCCACTGGGAGGTGTGAGCCACTGTACCCAACCATGTACTTTCTGATTTGTTGTAATGAGTACATATTTTATTTATACTTTATTCATTTTTGAGACCAGGTCTTGCTCTGCTGCCTAGGCTGGCATGCACTGGTATGATCATAGCTCACTGCAGCCTGGAATTCCTGGGGTCAAGCAATCCTCCTACCTCAGCCTCCCAGGTAGCTGGGACTACAAGCATGTGCTACCACACCTGGCTAATTTTTGTATTTTTTTGTAGAGACGGGATCTTGCTATGTTGCCCAGGCTGGTCTTGAATTCCTAGGCTCAATTGATTCTCCTGCTTTGGCCTCTCAAAGTGCTAGTATTACAGCCATAAGCCACCATGCCTGGCCAAGTAAATGTTGTATAGAAAAATATTTTGAGGTGTGATAATGGTATTGTAGTTACATTTTAAAAGAGTTCTATTTTTAGAGATTGATAATGAATTTTTTTTTTCTTTTTGAGACAGAGTATCACTCTGTCACCCAGGCTGGAGTGCAGTGGTGCGATCTTGGCTCACTGCAACTTCCGCCTCCCAGGTTCAAGCAATTCTCCTGCTTCAGCCTCCCGAATAGCTGGGATTACAGGCATGTCCTATCACGCCCAGCTAATTTTTGTATTTTTAGTAGAGATGGGGTTTTACCATGTTGGCCAGGCTGGTCTCGAACTCCTGACCTCAGGTGATCTGCCCGCCTCGGCCTCCCAAAGTGCTGGGATTATAGGCGTGAGCCACTGCACCCGGCCTGATAATGAAATTTTTATAGATGTGTCAATGTTGTTGGAATCAAAATGGAGTCACTAGTGTTAAAAAAAAATCTCTGATAATAGAGCCAGGGAAGGCTATGAAAAGAGCATTCTCATGCTTATTTGCCTGATAAGAATTATCACAAAAGATCCTATGAAAACCACAACCTTGCACAAAGGCCATCACAACCTTATACAAAAAATATTTCTGCAAGGACTTCTGCCCAGCAACTGCCTGTTCAACCTTGGACTGGTGTCACCCTTATTATTGATCTTTGTAGCCAATGATAATTATTTTCAAAGAATCATGTAATCCTTCTCATTTTTTCCTTTGAAAACATGTGTCTTCCTTTACCTCCCTGAATACCTCATAGTTTACTATGGTACACATATTCCCATTGCAATGCTCTATTCCCGCATAAATATCTTTTTCTCTTAGACAGCCTCCCTCTGTTCGTTACTTAGGTTGCCGAATGAAATGATATATCTAGAATTTGTTTCATAATAATCAAGGATAGGAGAAAGTGAGTGGGGACACAGTGAAACATGATTGCCCATGAGTGGATAAATTATGGAAGCTGAGTGATGAGTACATGTGAATTCATTTTACAAGTTTATCTGCCTTTGTACATATTTGAAATATTCCATTAAAAAAAAGTTCATCAGATCTAAGATGGTAAACCAATAACAACAACAAAAAGTTCAAAAGTAAGATTCCCAGGCCCTACTCCCAGAGAACTTGCATTTAAAAATATTTCCCAAATGATTCTGATATACACTCAGCTACTGAATTAGATGATAGCTAATAACCCATTAATATAATTTTAAAAATTATTTTCTATATAATTCAACTGATATTTATATAGTAAAGAATTTGTGGGCCAGGTGCAGTGGCTCATGCCTGTAATCCCAGCACTTCGGGAGGCCAAGGTGGGTGGATCATCTGAGGTCAGGAGTTTGAGACCAGCCTGGCCAACATGGTGAAACCCTGTCTGTACTAAAAATAAAAAGAAAAAATTAGCATAGCATGGTGGCACACACCTGTAATCTCAGCTACTCGGGAGGCTGAGGCAGGAGAATTGCCTGAACCTGGAAGGTTGAGGTTGCAGTGAGAGGAAGGAAGGAAGGAAGGAAGGAAGGAAGGAAGGAAGGCAGGAAGGCAGGCAGGCAGGCAGGCAGGGAGGGAGGGAGGGAAGGAGGGAGGGAGATTTCTCTGTTCCCAAAATGACAGTCAGCAGCAAGAAAAAAGGTAAATTCCTTTATTTTTATTTTTACTTTTTTTTTGAGATGGAGTTTCACTCTTGTCACCCAGGCTAGAGTACAATGGCAAGATCTCTGTTCACTGCAACCTCTGCCTCCCAGGTTCAAGTGATTCTCCTGCCTCAGCCTGCCGAGTAGCTGGGATTACAGGTGCACACTACCATGCCCAGCTAATTTTTTTGTATTTTTAGTACAGACGGGGTTTCATCATGTTGGCCAGGATGGTCTCAAACTCCTGACCTCAGGTGATCCGCCCGCCTCGCCCTCCCAAAGTGTTGGGATTATAGGGGTGATCCACTGCGCCTGGCTGGTAAATTCCTTTAGTTCACCGAGGAAGGATAAGCAACAGGTCACCCTGTAGCCCTTAACCCTAGGGGGAGGGTGGCTTGGTGGAGATGTTTGCCAGTTTGCAGAACTTATTGTTCTTCTGCCACTCAGCCCTCGTGTCTCCTTTCTTCTTCCAAGCTTCCCTCCCCTACCCTCCAGATTACCTGTTGTTGGTAGAAGTTGCTAGCGCTTTGTTCAAATCGTTCATCTTTGGTTTCTACAGCTTTCCCCAATTTCTGCAGCACCTAGGGATATAAGTCAGAAAGGCCCGTAAGGTTATAGTCAAGTCTCTCTTACATGTTGGCCTCATATGACCCTGGCTTCAGTCAAGAATCTCACTTACAACTCAAGGGCTGTACTTATTTATTTATTTATTTATTTATTTATTTATTTATTTATTTATTTTTGAGACGGAGTCTCACTCTGTTGCCCAGGCTGGAGTGCAGTGGCACGATCTCGGCTCACTGCAACCTTCGCCTCCCAGGTTCAAGCAATTCTCCTGCCTCAGCCTCCTGAGTAGCTGGGATTACAGGCGTGTACCACCACGCCCAGCTAATTTTTGTATTTTTAGTAGAGACGGGGTTTCACCATGTTGGCCAGGCTGATCTCGAACTCCTGACCACAAATGATCCACCCGCCTTGGCCTCGCAAAGTGCTGGGATTACAGGCGTGAGCCAACATGCCTGGCCTTGAAGGGCTGTACTCTTACTGGACCAAAAGAATTAGGAATACAACAAACTGCTGAAAAAACAATCCTGTTCTGTAGTTCTTTTCAAATTAGGGGTAGCTCTAGGGGATACGTAGTAGTGAGCTAGAGGATATATATTAATATAAAGCTCAGAAGAAATAAGGTATATCTGGCTGGGTGTGGTGGCTCACACTTGTAATCCCAGCACTTTGGGAGGCCAAGGCAGGTGGATCACCTTAAGTCGGGAGTTCGAGGCCAGGCTGACCAGCATGGATAAACCCCATCTCTACTAAAAATACAAAATTAGCTGGGCATGGTGGTGCATGCCTGTAATCCCAGCTACTGGGGAGGCTGAGGCAGGAGAATCGCTTGAACCCAGCAGGCAGAGGTTGCAGTGAGGCAAGATCGCACCATTGTACTCCAGCCTGGACAACAAGAGCGAAACTCTGTCTCAAAAAAAAAAAAAGAAAGAAATAAGGTATATCTTTCTGAATGTCATTGTTATTATTGTCATTATTTTATTTGAGACAGGGTCTTGCTCTGTTGCCCTGGCTGTAGTACAGTGGTGCAATCACAACTTACTACAGCCTCAACCTCTCTGGGCTCAAGCAATCCTCCCACCTCAGCCTCCCCAGTAGCTGGGACCACATGCTCACACCACCACACCTCACTAATTTTTAAAAATTTTCTGTAGAGACAGGGTCTCACTATGTTGCTCAGGCTGGCTGAACTCCTGGGCTCAAGTGATCCTGTTGCCTCAGCCTCCCAGAGTTCTGCAATTATAGGCATGAGCCATTAGGCTGGCTGGCATTGTTATTATTATTATTATTTTTTTTTTTTTGAGACGGAGTCTCGCTCTGTCGCCCAGGCTGGAGTGCAGTGGCACTATCTCGGCTCACTGCAAGCTCCGCCTCCCGGGTTCACGCCATTCTCCTGCCTCAGCCTCCCGATTAGCTTCGGACTACAGGCGCCCGCCACTATGCCTGACTAAGTTTTTTTGTATTTTTAGTAGAAACGGGGTTTCACCTTGTTAGCCAAGATAATCTCTATCTCCTGACCTCGTGATCCGCCCGCCTCGGCCTCCCAAAGTGCTGGGATTACAGGCGTGAGCCACTGCGCCCGGCCTGTTATTAATATTTAAAGTGGGTTTTTGAGAAGGAAGGAGAAAAGCATTATATTAAAACAAGTATTGTTGAGAAAACTGTAAACTGTGCATGGCTTTTAAGTAAAATGTGAGCCCTGAAGACATTTTTTACTTGAGAGACTGTTTTCAGCTATAGCCATAGGTTCCTCTAGATAGATGAGGTTAGAGAGGTTGGGCAGGGACACTTCTCTCATGGGGGCTTTTGTGGAAAACTTTGAGAGGCCCCGATATAATGCATTTGAAACTCAGCTAGACCTGAATGCTATCCATGTCTATCACCTCTCAACTAGAAAACCTGAGAGCCAAACCGTCATACTGATGTCAGTGCTAATGCAAAAGACATGTGGATGAATAAGACCCAGTCTCTGTTCTCATAGGACCCTCACTTATAAACAGGCAATTACATGTAGTAAGAAAGCCCTGAGTCTTCTGCCTATAACCCCCATCTTGGAAGGAGATACCATCATCCTGCGAAGTCCAAGTTAGAATCTCGGGAGTTGCCTTCAACTACTTCTTCATCCTCTTCATTGAATCCCTCGCCATGTCCATCTCTAGAAACCATCTTATTCCCCTGGTCTCACTGCCACAGCCTTAGTCTAGGCCCTCACTGTTTATTACCTGGCCTGCTGCAATAGGTCTACTATGCTGCTGCTCCTTAAAATCTTCTAATGGTTCCCCATTCATCTGTTCAACAAATTTTTATTAAATGCCCAATATGGGCTAGGCGCGGTGGCTCATGCGCCCGGCCTTGGGAGGCCGAGGCAGGCGGATCACTTGAGGTCAGGAGTTCGAGACCAACCTGGCTAACAGGGTAAAACCCCGTCTCTACTAAAAATACAAAAAAAAAAAAAAAAAATTAGCCGGGAGTGGTGGCAGACGCATGTAATCCCAGCTACTTGGGAGGCTGAGGCATGAGAATCACTTGAGCCTGTGAGGCAGAGGTTGCAGTGAGCCAAGATTGTGTCACTGCACTCCAGCCTGGGTGACAGAGGGAAATTGTCTCAAAAAAAAGAGAAAAAAAAAGTCCAATATGTATCTTTAAGTAATAGTTCAAATTCTAGCATGCATGCAGGTCCCAAGGCTACATTAAGCTTCACTTCTCATACTCCTCCTCTCTGCAGGTCTCCTTTCCTAACACTTTTTTAGTTTCCCAAATAACCCACACTGTTGCTTGTCATAGATGCTGGTCCCTCTTTCTAGAATGCCTTTCCTCACCTTGTCTGCCAGGCAAGTATCTTACAAAACCCAGTTCAACTCCGTATCTTTTGTGATACTTAACCACATCCACTTCATCCCATTGATCGATTATTCACTCCCTTCCAAGTGCTTGCAACTTCTGTATCTTGTATACAGTCCAATTGTTGTTTTATTACTACTACTACTATTATTATTATTATTATTTTGAGACAGAGTTTCGCTCTTGTTGCCCAGGCTGGAGTACAATGGCGTGATCTCAGCTCACCACAACTTCCGCCTCCTAGGTTCAAGCAATTCTTCTGCCCCAGCCTCCTGAGTAGCTGGGATTACAGGCATGTGCCACCACGCCTGGCTAATTTTGTATTTTTAGTAGAGATAGGGTTTCTCCATGTTGGTCAGGCTGCTCTCGAATTCCCGACCTCAGGTGATCCGCCCGCCTCAGCCTCCCAAAGTGCTGGGATTACAGGTGTGAGCCACTGTGCCCGGCCTGTTTTATTATTTCTATTTGTTTATTCTCCTAAACTATAGGCTCCTTAAGGTTTAGGTACTTGCTTTGTTCATTTGGATTTCTCAGTATCCAGGAACTAGATATTTAATAATTGTAACAGGAAGGAGAGTAAGACTGATCTAGGAGAGGATATAGGACTGAATGAGTGGAGCCTTGGAGTAGGATTTTCTAGACTGAAATAGAGTATAGGGGCTAGGCGCAGTGGCTCACGCCTATAATCCCAACACTTTTGGAGGCCAAGGCGGGTGGATCATCTGAGGTCAGGAGTTTGAGACCAGCCTGACCAACATGGTGAAACCCCATCTCTACTAAATACAAAAAAAATTAGCTGGGTGTGGTGGTGCACGCCTGCAATCCCAGCTACTTGGGAGGCTGACGCAGGAGAATCGGTTAAAGGGTTGCAGTGAGCCAAGATTGCGCCATTGCACTCCAGCCTGGGCAACAGAGCGAAACTCTGTCTCAAAAAACAAAACAAAAAATTAAATTAAATTAAATTAAAAAAGAAAAAAAAGGCCGGGAGCGGTGGCTCACGCCTGTAATCCCAGCACTTTGGGAGGCAGAGGCGGGTGGATCACGAGGTCAGGAGATCGAGACCATCTTGGCTAACACGATGAAACCCCGTCTCTACTAAAAACACAAAAAATTAGCCAGGCGTGGTGGTGGGTGCCTGTAATCCCAGCTACTCAGGAGGCTGAGGCAGGAGAATGGCATGAACCCGGGAGGCGGAGCTTGCAGTGACCCGAGATAGCGCCACCGCAGTCCGGCCTAGGCAAAAGAGCAAGACTCCGTCTCAAGAAAAAAAGAAAAAGAAAAAGAAAAAAGAAATAGAGTATAAAGGGTGACAGCAGAAAGAGGATTCCAGTTAGAGACAACAGCATCAGGAAAATCATAGGAGTACACAGCTTCACTAGCTGGTTCAGCATGGCTGTTATGGGGAGTGGTGGGGAATGAAGCTAGAAAGGGAGACTGGAGTTTCATTGTGAAGGGCTTTGAATGCCATGCAAGAGTGCCCAGATCTGGGGAGTGTGGCAGGTTCTGTGGAGAGACTCTGATTCATATCTCCATTCTTTTTTTTTTTTTTTTTTGAGACAAGTCTTGCTCTGTCGCCCAGGCTGGAGTGCAGTGATGCCATCTCAGCTCACTGCAACCTCTGCCTCACCGGCTCAAGCCATTCTTCTGCCTCAGCCTCCCAAGTAGCTGGGATTACAGGTGCCCACCACCACGCCTGGCGAATTTTTGTATTTTTAGTAGAGACAGGGTTTCGCCATGTTGGCCAGGCTGGTCTTGAATTCCTGACCTCAGGTGATCTGCCCACCTCAGCCTCCCAGTGTTGGAATTATAGGCGTGAGCCACTGGGCCACCAGTATCTCCATTCTTAATCCGGGGGTGTGTCTCATTCCTGGAGCTCTTGCTGTAGTGGATAAGATCAAGCATTCTGGAGTTAGACAGATATGGGCTCCTATCTTGGCCTTTCTACTTACTGACTGTAAGTCTTCAGGCAAGTCATTAAAACTTTTGAGCCTCGGTTTACAGAACTCCCTTTCCCCCATTAGATAATATTTATCTCCTTGAGTTGTCAGGAGGATTAAATGATATTTTGCATGTAAATTGCTTTCTCAGAGCTGCCCTACAAAGAGCACTCAATAGGTACTCACTGTCATTATGTTTAGTTTTGCTCCCTTGCCTGTAAATGCTTATATTTTTGGTTTGGCCATATCTGTTTGGTTTGGCCATATCTGTTTTTGTCCGTCTCTAACTGCACCTCACTTGCCACCCAGCCCTGGATGTGCAGTCTGCCATCCTCCCTGGCTCCACCCTTCTCAGCTAACAAAACACTGTTCTCTACCAGAAAGTTGCAAAACCACCTTGTTAGTGGTAAGTGCAGCTCTTAACTTCCTTTCTGCTACCCCTCCCTTCCTTTGTCCCTAATTTGGTTCTTCTTAGGTGGAGAGGACAGAAAAAACAGAAAAGAGAAAACTCAGTCTAGAGTCAGTGTAAGGGATGACTGGGGCAGACCAATCTCCCCAATCCCCAAAAGGCTCAAGGCCAAAAGGCTTGGAGAGTGTGGGGTCGGGGGTTGGGGGGTACTGAGAGAAACTTCCTCACCCTCCAACTCTGAAAGTGAAAAGGTGTTACCACCCTGAAACATACCCCAGTACTCTGGAGCCAAAGTAATTTGTTGCCATAAGCAACAGGTACATGTTAGGGCACTTATACTGTGTCATGGGTGTTCTTCCCAACGAAAGACCCTTGAGGGAACAGGGTGTACAGATGCTAAACAGATGTTTGTTGAAACAATGAATAAATTCTACTTTTGGATCACTTCCTAATGAAAACCCATATAATGCTAATCCCTAAAATCCTGCTTTGAGAATTCTGTCCCAATTTATCTGGCCTGGCAGCTAAATTAGAATATAGATATTTAAGGAGAAAGAGCAAGAGCAAGGCAAAAAAGTAAATGTGGCAAAACGTTAACACTTGGTGAATCTGCATGAAAAATATTCCAGTGTTCATTGATTATTTATAACTTTTCTGTAGATCAGGGTTGGGGTGGAAATAGAGCTTTAAAAAAAATTACTACATATATCTTTGGTGGCTATAGTTCCCTACCATTGCCTCTCCCATAATCATTTATTATATTTTAGTTAATTCCCTCAATTGGGGTAATTTGCATAGGGCCTGGATATTTGATATTATAAAATTTTGCTAAAATTTTTTCTTAGGTGCAGTAAATTTTTGTGGTTATGTAGGAAATCTTTCTCTTTCCTTCCTTCCTTCCTTTTCTCCCTCTCTTTCTTTCTTACTTTCGAGACAGAGTCTAGCTCTATTGCCCAGGCTGGAGTGCAGTGGCACAATCTCAGCTCACTGCAACCTCCACCTCCCAGATTCAAGCGATTCTCCTGCCTCAGCCTCCAAGCAGCCAGGACTACAGGTGTGCACCACTAGGCTAATTTTTGTATTTTTTGGTAGAGATGGGATTTCGCCACATTGGCCAGCCTGGTCTCGAACTCCTGGGATTTCGCCACATTGGCCAGCCTGGTCTCGAACTCCTGACCTCAGGTGATCTACCCACCTCGCCCTCCCAAAGTGTTGGGATTACAGGCATGAGCCATGGCGCTTGGCCGGAAATCTTTATTTTTAGGATATATGATAAAGTAAGCTTTCCTTAAAAGGTCCTAATATACTTTTTCCAGCCTTTGCTCTGACCACTCCCTGTGCTCCAGCTGAGCTGTAGTTCTCACTCCAGTCTCCATGCCTTGCTTATGCTGGCACTTCTCAGCTAGAATGCTCTCTGATCACGTGTCTGAAAAACTACTAATCTCCCATAATTCCTATTTCAAATTCAGCCTCCACTATAAAACCTCTCGATTCTCCCCAATCCTTTTGTCCTCTGAATAGACCTGCATCTCTCAGGTCAGTTATTTTATTATCATTATTCTTTTTTTTTTTTTTTTTTAACTAGATCTTAAGCTTTTGGCAAAGCAAGAATGTCTCTTACCCCTAAATTCCCTGCTGGGTCCAGCCCAGTACCCTGAACAAAGGAGTTTTTCTGTAAATATTTGTGGAATTTAACCCTCTGGGATTTAAGCTGAGTAGATGTCAACAGAGGAGAAGACCAACAAAGGAGTGGTAAACAACGCCCCTTCTCAGGGGGATCTGAGAGGTTTGCCACAGAGAAATCACAAACAGATGGTGAAAGCAGTACTATAGTTGGAAATGAGAAGATGTATCATACTAAAAACACACACACACACACAAACACACACACACACACTCTAAAGCCAGCTTAAATTCAGTCCCATGTTGAGTTTGGGCGGGAAATGGAAAACAGACCAAGAATGTTTCATCCCTATTGTGTTTAATGGTCACCAGACCTCCACTCCCAGCTTTTCAGAGGATGCCTGAACAAAAAGTGTTTCTACTTCTGAGCTCTGTTCCTGAGAGAGGATCAGCAGGAAGTGGGGGAGGCACAGATGTGAGAGTGGCTTATCAGGAACGTTGTAAAGCAGCAGCCTGAGTGAGGTTAGGATTCAGAGGCAGGACACCTGGGTTTCAGTAATATTTCTGCTACCTACCAATCTCTTTTGAGCCTTGTTTCCTTATTTCTAAAACAGAGATGCTAATAACCTGCTTAAAGTGTTGAATAGATGAAGGGAGATGACATCGGTAGAATGTTGGCTCCATAAAGGGAGAGAGAATCACTTTGTCTTTTTTTTTTTTGAGACAGAGTTTTGCTCTTGTTGCACAAGTTGGAGTGCAATGGCGCGATCTCGGCTCACGGCAACCTCCGCCTCCCAGGTTCAAGCGATTCTCCTGCCTCAGCCTCCTGAGTAGCTGGGATTACAGGCATGCGCCACCACACCCGGCTGATTTTGTATTTTTAGTAGAGACGGGGTTTCTCCATGTTGGTCAGGCTGGTCTCGAACTCCCGACCTCAGGAGATCCACCTGCCTGGGCCTCCCAAAGTGCTGGGATTACAGGCGTGAGCCACTGCACCCCGCTGATAATCACTTTCTTATATCCCTGTCTCTGGTCCATAATAGGCGCTTGATATTTGACACATTTCACTATTTGACACATTAGCTATTACTTATTACTCAGAAGATTACATCCAACTGCTTGCAGAAAAAGCAAAAAGTGTTGCAAGGAATTCTTTCATTTTAGTGCAAATTTCTCCCTCTTTATCTTGGTCTCAATAACTTCCCAAGACTCAAGGACTGGCTTCAGGCTGACGGAGCTGAGCTCCCTTCCGGCATCCCAGGCCATTCCCACCTTATCGAAGTTCAACCTTTGCCTACCCTTTTGTCTAGTCTAGGTTCAGAATATCTTGTTTTCTTCATCAGCTGGGAATTCCTCATGGCAGATTTGAGTTTGCTCCTCTTTCTCTACTTCCTCAGGGTTCAGGCCAGAAGAACCTGAGAGACTGGTTCTGTCTTTGGGAAGTATTTGACTCTGAGTCTAATGTGACAGCTTTTCAATTTAGTGTTCTTACCATATTGAGTTTCATCAAGAACATCAACCCTCTCATTTTACAGGTGCAAGATCTGAAGCCCAGAGCAGGACATTATTTAGCCAAGGTTTGGAGTCTATGCTTACAAAGGAGTGAAAGCCCAAAGCAAGGTTTTAGTGTTGACGAGAGGCTAGATGAAGACAGAAGATGCAAGAGTGAAATACAATCAATTGTATGTCTTTTATTTTTATGTATTTATTTTTATTTTTTGAGACAGAGTCTCCCTCTGCTTGAGTGTGGTGTGGTGTGATCACTGCTCACTGCAGTCTTGATCTCCTGGGCTCAAGCAGTCCTCCCACCTTGGCCTCCCAAAGTGCTGGGATTACAGGAGTGAGCCACTGTGCCTGGCTGGTATGTCTTTTTAAAATTACTATCATTCATGAGTGTTTTGTCTTTTAGGGTTTTTTTTTTTTTCAACCACAGTGTGGCCTTCTCTCCAGTACCTCCTGCTCGCCCACACTGTTTCGAGCTAGACCTTCCCATAGGCCCTGCTCTCGGGTCTACCAGATTTGTAAGTCTTCAGAGAGGCTGAAACTAGGATCAAGGTGAAGTTAGGGTAAGTGAAGTAACGAAGTCTGGCTACACGAACTCTTTCCCTTTTCCTCCTCTCTTTCACATGACCTCAAATGATAGAAAATAACCTCCCTTCCATTGTGGTCTCTTAAAGTCAGGAGCTACATCTACATTCCATCAGTTTTCTGCTGATAAATCAACTCGGGAGAGCTGGTTGCCTTTAAGCCTTCCCAGGGCTCAAAGCAGTGCTCCACTTTTAGAAGATAATAGGGATATTTCAGTTGGTAAGCAGAGCTGTTCATCCAAATGCTTCTAAGTCCATCAGCTCTTAGAAAACCAAAACTTCTCCGTTGTAGAAGGCAGGTTGGGCTTAATAAAGAGAGAGAGAAAAAAAGGAAAACCGAAACTCTATCTCAGGTCCTTCTTGTCTTTCTTCCCTCGCTCTTTCTTCTGGCTGACATGTCTTCCCAAACCGCCTTGTCTACTAGAGGGTTGGTAGGTGGAGAGCAGAGGCTCAGGTTAGAAGCAAAGAAAATATTCTGTACAGGTAGAAACAAAAATGCCATCAAAATGTGTAGAGAATGTCCCCACAATTTAGATTGCCAAGCAAGTAATAGATGGGCAGCCCACCTAAGTGCCAGTGCTGGAGCAGGGCTACCTGACACTAACCAAGGACACACTCTGAACACAGATGTGGTTCATCACCCTGGGAGGTGTACTCCCCAACGCCAAAGGGAGGGTAGAAGAAGCAGATTTGGGCTCCTGCTTACGTCAGCTGAAACACCACCCAGAGGCCAGGCAGGGTCAGGTAGGGGGAGAACTATGCAGGATTATTCTAAGCCTTTGGTGGGGGGTGCCTGCTGGCATCCGCTGCATCGCTGTTTTTGGGGAAATTGCCCTCTATGGAAAATTACCCTCCAATTTCATCATCTGTAAAATACCAATTTTGGATTGCTAGCACAAAATTTGATACAAAGGTGGCCACCACCATCACTTCCTTTCTTTCACCTTTTCTGGGTCAGCCTGAGGGTTGTCGAAGGTTCTGCCCAGAGACTGTTGTCTCCCCAGCTTCCCTTATCCTTGCCCAAGATCGGGTGGCGGTCTCCGACCTCTCTCCAATCTGCCAGTTTTCATGGAAGCCCACTCCTCGCTCCCGTTTCCCTGGGAGAGCGGGAGACCCTTCTCGTCAGCCCAGACCCTTCGGGGCCCCTGAGCACCCTGCCCGCCCCTCCTGCCCGGCCGGGCTCGGCCTCGGCCTCGGCTCCCTGTGGGCCAGACAGACAGCGAGGCCCGGCCACCTACCTTCTCCTGGGCCCTGCTAAACTTCTTCTGCACCTGCTTGGCGAAGAGGCCGGCCGCGCCGCCTGCCTTGCCCTCTGCCATCCTGCCAACTCCCTGGGGGCCGCCGCCCTGGCCCCGCGCCCTGTGGTTTTCTGAGGCCCCCGAGGAGGAAGTGCGGGCTCCCGGCATGCCTCGCATCCGGCCCCAGCCCTGAGCCACCTCAGGCCGCCCCTGGCCAGCCCTGAGGCCCGCCCCTCAGCCCACCACTGTCAGCTGGAGCAGGCCGGCTCGGAGGGGCGGGCCCGGGGCCTACCCTCAGGCAGCGCTCGCTCGAGGCCAGCTTCCGAGCTCCAACCCCTGCCCGAAACCTCGGCCTCACTGAACCAGGTCCTCAGTGGTGGGCCCACACTCACTCGCTCCGGAAAGCCAGTTCCCATCACGCTGAGCACTGCAAAGCAACTGCCACCGCAGGGTAGAAAATGATGTGGGTTCCACTCAGCGAGAGGACCTACCATATCGAAAACACGTTTAGGTTCTCTGAGTATGCATGCGAAGCCGCCATGTACACTGCGTTTCTTGCTCCAGGTAGGCTCTAAGCCTGGAACTGGTAGGGATAGAGTGCAGAAAGCAGGCAGGACACCCGAGCCGGGCTTGAAAGAGAGAAACAGGCCGGGCGCGGTGGCTCACGCCTGTAATCCTAGCACTTTGGGAGGCCGAGGCGGGTGGATCGCCTGAGGTTAGGAGATCAGCCTGACCAATACGGTGAAACCGCGTCGCTACTAAAAATACAAAAATTAGCTGGGTGTGGTGGCGCACGCCTGCAGTCCCAGCTACTCGAGAGGATGACGCAGGAGAATTGTTTGAACCCGGGAGGCAGAGGTTGCAGTGAGCCGAAATCGCGCCACTGCATTCCAGCCTGGGCGACAGAGCGACAGTTCGTCTCAAATAAATAAATAAATAAATAAATAAATAAATAAATAAATGAGGAACAACTAAGCTGGAGATAGAAACAGGGTAGGGGGCTGGTTCTTAGGCAAGAGAATGATCACATTGAAAAAAGGCTGAGGAGGATAGTATGGACGCCCGTGCTGAGCATGAGGAGCAAGTTTTTCTAGTTGGAGTACAGTGTACTGGATGGAGGCAGAATGTGAACACAGACACAGATTGTGCAAATTGGGGTGCGGCTGTTGAGATGACAACTATTGTTTCTTTAGGGAGAAGTTCTCCAAAAAATTCCTCCCTGACCTGTTTGAGGGGATAGCTTGAGATTAGGACACTAGGTGTGGAGGAACCACGTACTCAGATTTTACAGTGCAGGTTAAAATTTCCTCAAGGCAGGGAAGAAGGTCAAAATAACACTTCCTAAGGAGTGGAGGGGGAAGATAGGGCCTGACACAAAATTAGAGGCCCTTGTATGCTACTGTGTTCCTCTTCTTTCTCCAAAACAATCATTACTGCACTCAAGGTCAACTGTGTACCAGGCATTGCTGGGTGTTCTGAAACAAGGATGAATAAAATGCAGTCCCTGACCTTAAGATGCTTAATGAAGTCTGGCCGGGCACCACGGCTCACACCTGTAATCCCAACACTTTAGGAGGCTGAGGCAGGCAGATTGCTTGAGCCCAGGAGTTTGAGACTAGCCTGCGCAACATAGCAAGACCTTCTCTCTGCTAAAAATACAAAAATTAATTGGGCGTGGTGGCACACACCTGTAGTCCCAGCTATCAGGGAGGCTGAGGTGGGAGGATCACCCGAGCCAAGGGAGGTGGAGGCTGCAGTGAGCCCTGATGGTGCCACTGCATTCCAGCCTGGGCAAAGCGTGAGGCCCTTTCTCAACCAATAAAGAATAAGTATTAATAAATAAGTACATAAATAAAGATGCTTAAAGTCTGGAAGTGGAGATAGGTGGGTAATCAGGTGATTCTAATGTAATGTGCTTAATTTATTTGTAGAGATGGATACAAAATTTTCTGGGAATAGGTGATTAGGGTTTGTTTGTTTGTTTGTTTGTTTGGAGACAGGGTCTTGCTTTGTTGCCAGGCTGGAGTGCAGCAGTGCCATCAGGGCTCACTGCAGCCTCTACCTCCCAGGCCCAAGTGATGGTCTCACCTCAGCCTCCTGAGTAGCTGGGACTAAGGTGCGTGCATGCCACCACTCCTGGCTACCCAGGCTGATCTGGAACTCTTGAGCTCAAGCAATCCACCCGCCTCAGCCTCCCAAAGGGCTGGGATTACAGGTGTGAACCACCTTGCCCTGCCAGGCGATTAGGGTTTATTCTGGATGTTAGCTTTGGTGATGCCCTGGAAGAGGCAGGGTGATGAAAATAGAAGGACTTGATATTGGATGGGGAGAAGTGGGGAGAAGCATGGAGAATAGCAGTACTGCGGGAACACTGAGAGTAGATGGCAATGCTAACAGGTGTGTCACTGGCAGAAGGAGGCCAGTACCTGTGTCCCTGCCAGGACTACATGGCATCCTCAGCAATGCAACCCAGCCACTGTCTCCTAAGAAACTCTGTTTAGTGCCAATATCTTGCAAACTGAAATTGATGGTCACCAAATCATGTAGTGTTAGAGAAGAAACAACCCTTAGAAGTTAATTAGATAGGGAAATTGAGTCACAGAAAGGGCTGATGACTTGACCACAGCCACCCAGCTCCTCAGTGGTGGAACTGGGATGGGAACAGACTCAGCCTCTTATAGCACATGGAGTGTTCTAGAGGCCTCTGCTGAGCCTGTCAATTCCAGGGTCTGTCTCAGCCAGTTTCTCCTTCTGTAATGTTTAATACCCTAGTCCCTCTTGTCTGGTCTTAAGTGATTGACATGAAAAGCTGCTTCTCATCCTTTTTAGCCTTCCCCTTTCAGTTCCCCCTTTGCTTTCTCATAGGCCACTCTAACAGACTGAGCCCTGGCCAGGATACAGCAGAATTATCAGTTTCCCAGTTCTCTGTGGTTTATAGAACCCTGGATCCGGTTGCCTAATTTTAGTCCCAGCCTTAAAGTGCTGATTCACACTTAGCTTGAGGCCCTATGTTGTTGTTGCCTCTTCCTTTCTGTTCTGCCTCTTCCCCTCAACCCTTTCGTTTCTTTGTTTAGTATCTTCTCTTCTCTCCTTTTTTCTATTCTTAGCTCTCCAGTCTCCATTGTTGTTTTTTTTTTTTTTTGAGACAGAATCTCACTTCATTGCCCAGGCTGGAATGCAGTGGCGCAATCTTGGCTCACTGCGGCCTCCACCTCCCAGGCCCAAGCGATTTTCTCCAGTCTCCTTTCTAATTTGTCACTTTCTTAGTCTGCTGGTATCTGCCCTGCCTCCTAATCTTATACTTCTATCTCTGGTGTATCCTAGTAGTTGCCATCACCCAGAAACTTGGAGTGGGCGTTCGTTTTAGGCACTAAAGGGGGAAACAAAAGAAGGATGAACCCACAGTATACCTGGGAAAGACAGGGCACATTCAGTCACTCAGGAAGTTTTTTGTTTGTTTGTTTTGAGACGGAGTCTTGCTTTGTTGCCCAGGCTAGAGTGCAGTGGCACGATCTCAGCTCACTGCAACCTCCACCTCCTGGGTTCAAGTAGTTTTCCTGCCTCAGCCTCTTGAGTAGCTGGGATTCCAGGCGCCTGCCACTGTGCCCAGCTAATTTTTGTATTTTTAGTAGACACGAGGATTCACCATCTTGGCCAGGCTAGTCTCGAATTCCTGACCTCGTTATCCACCCACCTCGGCCTCCCAAAGTGCTGGGATTACAGGCGTGAGCCACCGTACCCAGCCCACTCGGGAACCTTTTTTTTTTTTTTTTTTTTTTGAGATGGTCTTTCGCTCTTGTTGCCCAGGATGGAGTGCAACGGTGCAATCTTGGCTCATTGCAACCTCCACCTCCCGGGTTCAAGCGATTCTCCTGCCTCAGCCTCCCAAGTAGCTCTGTGCCTTCGAATATAGCAAATATCCACAGGAATAGGGCAGATGGACAGATTAGTGGATACATAGATCCTAAAGTAACCCAAAATGGATAACATAAAGCTACTCCCACTGGGTTTGTGTTGTGGACTGGTAGAGGTAGCAGCAAAGGGAAGACCCAGCCTGCAGATGTGGTGAAATCCAACTTGGATCCTATAACTGCATTTCTTCTAAATCAGTGGTCCCCAACCTTTTTGGCACCAGGGACCCGTTTCGTGGAAGACAATTTTCCACGAACCGGGGTGGGGGATGGTTTCGAGATGATTCAAGGGCATTACATTTATTGTGTACTACATTTCTATTATTATTACACTGTAATATATAGTGAACTAATTATACAACTCACCATAATGTAGAATCAGTGGGATCCCTGAGCTTGTTTTCCTGCAACTAGACGGTCCTGTCTGGGGGTGATGGGAGACAGTGACAGATCATCAGGCATAGGGACCCCTGCTCTGGAGGGCTTAATTACAAATAGACACAGTATGATAATGTATATCTAGTTTTATTTGCTTTTCTATCAATGGCTCAATAGTCTTTCAGAATGTGTTTTACTTTTTGATCGCAAGTCCTACTGCAGATCTAAGAACCATTTTGGGAAGGTCGTTGGACTCAGGAAAATGTTCAGTTGGAGGCGATGACCTGAAGGAAAGACAGTTATGTCCACAGTCAGTAACTCCTGCCTACCTCCTTTCTTGTTTCCTCAGGGCTCCCAGTTAAGTATGGTTTTGTACTGGGTTTATGGGAAGTTGACAGGGTGTGGGGACAGGGAGGCAGGAAGTCAGCCTCAACTGTGATAGGACAGCTCAGTGTTATAGGTACATACCCAGAATACAGTGGCAAAGACAGACCTTGAAATGGCCGTGAGCCAAGATTAATACACAAGGCTCCAGAATGTGTTTGAAGGGTGGAGGGCACAGTGAAATGTGTTGTGTGGCCTTTCCACCAGGTCAGTGTAGGCAGAGCCTCACCTAACTCTCAAGCATTATTTAAGGTGGTAAAACCTGTCAAAAATTAGAGCAGGCCGGGCGCTGTGGCTCATGCCTGTAATCCCAGCACTTTGGGTGGCAGGTGGATCACTTGAGGTCAGGAGTTCAAGACCAGCCTGACCAACATGGTGAAACCCGATCTCTACTAAAAATACAAAAAAAATTTACCAGGTTTGGTGGTGCATGCCTATAATCCCAACTACTTGGGAGGCTGAAGCAGGAGAATCACTTGAACCCAGGAGGCAGAGGCTGCAGTGAGTCGAGATCAAGCCACTGCACTCCAGCCTGGGTGACACAGTGAGACTCTGTCTCAAAAAAAAAAAAAAAAAAAAGTTAGAGCAAATTATCATAATGTCCTTAGAAAGACGTTGTGGGAGAGGAAGTCGGTGCCTCCTTCCCTTGCCTAGGAGTACGCAGGCCTTTCTGAACCTGTTTTTCCCTGGGCTTTGACTTAGGAAGGCACTGATATGTCCCTGATTCAGATTTGATGTTGCCACTGTCTTACCCTAAGCAATAAACAATACAGTGAAGTCTGCTCTGTGGGTATGTGGAGGGGAGGGAATTCAGGATGGCAGCCTTATTGAAGGAAAGTACACCGTGGAAGGAAGGGAAGGGAGTAAACACATGAATGTGGTAAGGAAGATGACGGCTTGCCCAGTCCATCCAACGTTTGTTCCCCAACCCAGCCAGTGCGTAGGTCTCCAGGTGACCCCATTTCAACCCATCATTTGAGAGGACTCACATTATTTATCCAGGAGATGTAAGCAGAGACCTGGGTGAAGACTGTAGGCTTCCTGGAGACATTACAGCCCCGGCTGGACACAAAGCTGGTCACTCCATGGACAGAATACTTGCCATTCACCAAGCAATGGAGGGGGCCCCCAGAGTCACCCTGCAGGGAGGAGAAACAGAATCCTAAAACTCCAGATCTTCGGGCTTTTGCTTGCACTCCCCCCGCCCCCGTCTCTGGTTGTGAAATTCTGTACGGTTTTAAAGCTCCAATGCAAATCTCCACCTCCTTCATGTCCCCACAATCAAAATGAATCTCTTCTTCCTTTCTAAACAACCACAATACTTCTTCTCTTTTGCTGCACTTATTTCATGTTCTGCCTTGTATTTTGGTTTCATAATTTGTTTGTACCTCCTCACACATGTCTATGAGCTTCCTGAGACAAAAACTCTTACCAAGATCTTTCCTCTCCACAATGCTAGCATAGAACTTTAAATATCTAAAGTTCAATCGCTTTTATTGGCTTAAATTGAACCTGGGGTGGCAAAAATAGGGCATTCTAATAATTTCTTTATCCCCAGCATTTAGACCAATGGGTATAATTAGACCAAGTATTTAGACTTGGTAGTCAAAACATGCTAAACTAAACTGGAATGAAGAGGAAAGTGATGTATTAGGTCACATGCTCAACTGGGAACCTGGGTTTATGGAATATGATCTTGCCTCCCTTCTTACTCAGCTTCTAGAATGCCAGGTCCATAATGCCACACATAAAATGGGAAGATACTTCTCTGGAAAAACTGAACAGTCCAAGAGGAAAGACCTAAAGATACTGACATTGGAGGTCCTCCACTAAAATGGCCTAGCCAGATCACCTGACAGAGAATCCACTATTGATGAACCCCATCTAAGGCTCAGAGCTACCAATCAGCCCACCCACTCTGGGTAAAAATACCACCCCCACTCTGAAATAAAAGCAGATGGTTAAGGATCACTAAACATCTAAAGAATGCCTCTAGCCGGGCCCAGTGACTCATGCCTGTAATCCCAGCACTTTGGGAGGCTGAGGCGGGCGGATCACGAGGTCAGGAGATCGAGACCATCCTGGCTAACACGGTGAAACCCCATCTCTACTAAAAATACAAAAAATTAGCCGGGCGTGGTGGTGGGCGCCTGTAGTCCCAGCTACTCGGGAGGCTGAGGCAGGAGAATGGCGTGAACCCGGGAGGCAGAGCTTGCAGTGAGCCAAGATGGCGCCACTGGGCTCCAGCCTGGGCGACAGAGTGAGACTCTGTCTCAAAAAAAAAAAAAAAAAAGGAATTCATCTAATATAAAAATAAAGATTGAAACAAAGAAACAAGGAGCTAAATAAAAAAATGAAGGCAACCAAGACTATGCAGGGAGAAGAAAACAAGCAATAAAACCATAACTAATAGGCTGGGCATGGTGGCTCCACACCTGTAATCCCAGCACTTTGGGAGGCTGAGGCGGGCGGATCACCTGAGGTCAGGAGTTCAAGACTAGGCCAACACAGTGAAACCCCTAAAACTCTATTAAAAATACAAAAATTAGCCGGGCGTGGTGGTACATGCCTGTAATCCCAGTTACTCAGGAGGCTGAGGCAGGAGAATCGCTTGAACCCAGGAGCTGGAGGTTGTAGTGAGCTGAGATTGCACCACTGCACTTCAGCCTGGGCGACAGAGCGAGACTCCGTCTCAAAACAAACACACAAACAAAAAACATGACTAATATGCATCCATGATACAAGAACGGCATACTACTAAACAACATTCAGACAGCAAAAAGAGCCTTTGGAAATTACAGATTTGATAGATTTAGAAATGAGAGACTGGAAGAGTTGGAACATAAGATAGAACAAACAAGATATAGAGAAAACAAGAGGACCAGCTTAGGAGGCAAACATGTGAATAACAGAAATTCTAGAAAGAGAAAAGTGAAAATAGAGTGGGAGGAAATCAACAAATAAACAACATTTTCTGGATCAAAGGTCTGGAGTTTCCGGGAAAACCCACCCATTAAGTATCCCTCACAACGAATGCAAATAGATCCACATAGACCACTAGGTCAAGAGAAGATGATATAGGTCACTTAACAAATTAGTGGAGTGTGTGGGGTTGAATTAATGAAAAACTGACTATATTAAGCAAATGAAAAAGACAATTTTTAACAGACATTGAAAAAATTGAAAAAGTTGTGCAGCAAGGGCTGACCTTGGTGGTTTATGACTGTAATCCCAGCACTTTGGGAGGCTGAGGCAGGAGGACTGCTTAAGCTAAAGCCAGGAGTTTGAGACCAGCCTGGGGTACAAACCGAGACCCCCATCTCTATTAAAATTTTAAAAAATCAGCTGAGTGTGGTGGCATGTGCCTGTAGTCCTGGCTACTCAGGAGATTGAGGTGGGAGGATTTCTTGAGCCCAGAAATTCAAGGCTGCAGTGAGCTGTGATTGTGCTACTGCACTCCAGCCTGGGTGACAGAGTAAGATCCTGTCTCTTTAAAAAAAAAAAAAAAAAGTTATGCAGCAAATGAAAAGTAAACCTAGAATATATTACATGATTTTGTTGTAAATAGCATTTTATATAATCATAGTAAATGCCGAATGTTGATCTAACCAAAATATTTTGAGAGGTTGAGATGGTGATCAGAAAATGTCATGCTTGGAGGGCAGGTATGTATATATAAAAAATAAAGAGAATCACATCTGCCATAATGTCAACACAAAAATAGCAGTGTAAGTATATAATTTTAAAGATGTAGACACCAAAAGAATCAGCTGAAGAGTTGAAAGTGGCCTCCCATGGGGTGGGAGAACTAGAGTAGCTATTCTTTTCCATTATTGAGCCCCATAATCTTATTTGCCAATTTAAGCTTCAATAAAAAGTAAAACTTGGGGCCAGGTGTGGTGGCTTACACCTGTAATCCCAGCACTTTGGGAAGCCGAGGTGGGTGGATCACGTGACGCCAGGAGTTTGAGACCAGCCTGGCCAACATAGCGAAACCCCGACTCTACTAAAAATACAAAAAAAATTAGCCAGGTATGGTGGCTCATGCCTGTCATCCCAGCTACTGAGGAGGCTGAGGCACAAGAACCCAGGAGGAGGAGGTTGCAGTGAGCTGAGATCACGCTACCGTACTCCAGCCTGGGCAACAGAGCAAGACTCTGTCTCAAAAACAAACAAACAAAAGTAAAACTTAAAAAAAACTAGGGAAAGAGACCAAAATTTCAAACTGGGATAATTCTGTGTGTGTTTGTTTTGAGATGGAGTCTCGCTCTGTCGTCCAGGCTGGAGTGCAGTAGTGCCATTTCGGCTCACTGCAACCACCACCTCCCAGGTTCAGGTGATTCTCCTGCCTCAGCCGCCTGAGTAGCTGGGAGTATAGATGTGTAGCCCCACTCCCCGTTAATTTTTTTTTTTTTTTGAGACTGAGTTTCGCTCTTGTTGCCCAGGCTGGAGTGTAATGGCATGATCTCAGCTCACTGCCACTTCCGCCTCCTAGGTTCAAGCAGTTCTCCTGCCTCAGCCTCCCAAGTAGCTGGGATTACAGGCATAAACCACCACACCTGGCTAATTTTGCATTTTTAGTAGAGATGGAGTTTCACTATGTTGGTCAGGCTGGTCTTGAACTCCTGACCTCAGGTGATCCACCCACTGTGGCCTCCCAAAGTGCTGGGATTACAGACATGAGCCACTGAGCCCGACTGTTTTTTTTTTGTTTTTTTTTTTTTAAGACAGAGCCTCTGCCCAGGCTGGAGTGCAGTGGTATGATCATAGCTCACCACAGTCCCAATCTCCTGGGCTCAAGCAGTCCTCCCACTTCAGTATTCCAAGTAGCTGGGACCACAGTGTGCGCCACCTCGCCCGGCTAATTTTTTAAATTTTTGCAGAGACAGGGTCTCCCTATGTTGCTGAGGCTAATCTCTAACTCCTGAGTTTAAGTGATCCTCCCACCTCAGCCTCCCAAAGTGCTGGGATTATAGGCATGAGCCACCACGCCCAGTCAAGGGTAATTACTTTAAAGTGGAACTACCTGTACTCCACCCTAACTGCTATTTAGGAAACGATGTTTTCTTTAGATTATTGTACTCAAAACAAAACAATCTCTTCCACCAAAATTCTATCAGGGATTTGAGAGTATTTCAGGGGCTAGAGGAATGATAGATAAATGAATTGTATATAATACTATTGTCTTGTGCTAATTGACCCGAAAAGAGACCAAGCCTCAGGAGAGAGGGAGGGTGTGGCTGAGGATTTTAGAGCAGAAGGAAGAGTTGGAAAAGAAATCAGTGGGGATGGGTTGATTGAAATGGGAGGTTCTAAGTGAATCCATTCTGAGGAGAAGGGTTGGAGACCCAGAACTGTGAAAGCCCAGAAGACACACTATTTGAGAAACTCCAGTGGGGAGGGACCTGGGGACACAATTGCCTCTGAGAACTGTCAATTTGGAGTGGCAGCCAGAAGAAAAGTACTCGTTTTTTTAGAGCTCAGGGCTTATGGGAGAGCACAGGCATGTGTATTCACTCAGAAAGGTTAAACCTTAGGAGGTTATAGGTGAAGCTGGCTGATGAAGGCCTAGAAGAGGTTGCATTATGCATTAGTCTATTTTCCCCCTTATTCCCATGTAGAGTCCCTGGGATACAGGACTTTTAAATGTTAATACCAGGAAAGTCTAGGGCAAACTAGGATGAATTGGCTACTTTATTTCCATGGTTCTTTGTACTCATACACACAAAAAACTTTTTAATCCTTTTTTTTTTCTTTGAGACAGAGTCTTGCTCTGTTGCCCAGGCTGGAGTGCAGTGGCACGATTTCAGCTCACTGCAAGCTCCACCTCCCCGGTTCACACCATTCTCCTTCCTCAGCCTCCCGAGTAGCTGGGACTACAGGCACCCGCCACCACACCCGGCTAATTTTTTTGTATTTTTAGTAGAGACGGGGTTTCACCGTGTTAGCCAGGATGGTCTCGATCTCCTGACCTCGTGATCCGCCTGCCTTGGCCTCCCAAAGTGCTGGGATTACAGGCATGAGCCACTGCGCCTGGCCTAATCCTTTCATTTTTTATAGTTTCAGCCAGCCTGCCAGCTTCTCTCTCTCCTCCATCTAGTTTGGACCTTGCAGTTGATCTGCAATCCTGTCCTTTTACCCCAATCATGCAGGAAACCGTCTTTGAGTAAAACAGAGTGAATCATATATCCATGTGGTCGTAGTCTGGTCTCCAAACAGCCAGTCAGCAACATCTTGGAGGACTGTCCTCCCATTCACACTAACTAGTCCAGACCCATACAACCCTTTCCCCTTCATTTTCAGCAGTCAAGTTGACTCCTCCTAGTTCATGAGTAACTAGAAGCAATAATGTAGAACACCTGCCAACGTTCGGCTACCAAATCCAGCAAACTTTTCTATGTCTGTGTGCACATCTGGTATCCCTCTTCCTGTTCAGAGCCAGCTCCACCTGTGCTCTTAGTTCCATCTCTTTCTTCTGTGGGATCTTGTGCCATCCATTATTATTATTACCTCTGTCTGACTCTACAGGATTCTTTCCTCTCTGCCTATTTATGCACTCAATTTTCTTTTCTCTTTTTTTGAGACGGAGTCTCACTCTGTCACCCAGGCTGGAGTGCGGTGGTGCGATCTTGGCTCACTGCAACCTCTGCCTCCTAGGTTCGAGCAATTCTCCTGCCTCAGCCTCCTGAGTAGCTAGGATTACAGGCACGCGCCACCATGCCTGGCTACTTTTTTGTATTTTTAGTAGATGGTGTTTCACCATGCTGGCCAGGCTGGTCTCGAACTCCTGACCTTGTGATCTGCCCGCCATAGCCTCCCAAAGCACTGATATTACAGGCGGGAGCCACCGCGCCCGGCCAATTTTCTTCTCTTAGAAGATCCACTCCCTCCATGACTTGCTGTCCTTAAAGCTACCAGACTTTTTTTGTTCTTCCTTTTTTTTTTTTTTTGTCCTCTTTTGAGACAGGGTCTCACTCTGTTGCCCAGGCCGGAGTGCCGTGGTGCGATCATAGCTCACTGCAGCCTCGAACTCCTTGGCTCAAGTGATCTTCCCACCTCAGCCTTCCAAGTAGCTGGGGTTACAGGTGCACGCCACCACATCCAGCTAATTTTTAAAATTTTCATAGAGATGAAGTCTCCCTACATTTCCCAGGCTGGTCTCTAACTCCTGGGCTCAAGCGATCCTCCTGCCTCAATCTGCCAAAATCTTGGGATTACAGGCATGAGCTACTACACCCGGCTGGTTATATGTCTTATTGCCTCTTTATTTCTTACCCTTCGGACAAGCTTCTGCCCTCACCACTCCACTGAAACTGCTCTTGCCAAGGTTACAATTGCCAAAGTGGCCACTTTCAGCTCTTACCTACTGTGGCTTCTGGGTGAATTGTATATTATGTGATATCTGTAAGTACTTCCTGAGATTTCATAATATCCTTATTACCAGGTTTTTATCTTACATCTACTTCTCCTTTCTTAGATCCTAGTGGTTTCTTTATCCTCCACTTATCCCTGAAACACTCAAGTATTTATGTTCTGACAGTTCTTTCCCAACCCACTGCTCTTTTCTCATTGAACAGTTTTTCCCTGGAATGGGATCTGATTTGTTCTCAGTAGGTATCTCTAGCCCAGCTCTTCCCCCAGGCCCCACTTTTTCTATCTAATTTCTTGGCCAG
Organism: Homo sapiens; assembly: GCF_000001405.40. Classification (NCBI taxonomy): domain Eukaryota; kingdom Metazoa; phylum Chordata; class Mammalia; order Primates; family Hominidae; genus Homo; species Homo sapiens. Next base: position 51,336,368 of record NC_000012.12, read on the forward strand.
GCGTGGTGGCTCATGCCTGTAATCCCAGCACTTTGGGAGGCTGAGGTCAGGAGTTCGAGACTTAGCCTGGCCAACATGGGGAAACCCCGTCTCTACTAAAAATACAAAAATTAGCCAGGTGTTGTGGCACATGCCTGTAATCCCGGCTACTTAGGAACCTGAGGTAGTAGAATCACTTGAGCCCGTGAGACAGAGGGGGCAGTGAGCTGAGATCGCGCTACTGCACTCCAGCCTGGGTGAGAGAGGGAGACTCCGTCTCAAACAAAACAAAAAAAACACCAAATTTCTTACTGGTTGCTATACCTGAATGTCCCACTGGGATCTCAGACAAAGGTTGTCCAGAACCAAACTCATCATCTTCTCTCTCAAACTCTGTAAATCTTGTCTCAGGGCAACAGTGCCCTCCCCCAAATCACTTAAACCAGATGCTTGGCTGTTGTTCCAGATCCTCCTCCTTCCCTCCTCCGGTTCCTATCACCACTGCCTTAATTCAGGCCCTCAAATTTCTTGCTTAGATCATTGCAATAGCCCTCTAGGCAATCTCCCTGCCTCTCTTGTCTTCTTCAAAAACATGCCTAAAGAACAATTCTAAAAGGTGAATCTGGTTGTGCTAGTCTCCTGTTTAGAAGTCTTTGATGGCTTCCCAATGCCCAAGAGATAAGGTTCATGTCCCCAAGCCTGGCATTTGAAGCCCTGAGTTGTACAGCTCTTGCTTGCCTCTCTAGTCTTACCTCCTGACATTTCCTAGTATGGTGGTAGCTTCTATTCTAGCCCACGGGTCAGCAAACCTCTTCTGTTAAGGGCCAAACAGTACATATTTCAGGCTTTGCAGGCCATACCGTCTTGATTGCAACTACTTTGTGTTGTACTACAAAAGCAGCCATAGGCTGGGCATGGTGCCTCACGCCTATAATCCCAGCACTCCAGGAGGCCAAGGCAGGAGGATTGCTTGAGGCCAGGAGTTCAAGACCAGCCTGGGCATCATAGTGAAACCTTGTCACTACCAAAAACAAAACAAAATTAGCTGGGTGTGATGGCATGTGCCTGTGATCCTAGCTACTTGGGAGGCTGAGGTGGGAGGATCATTTGAGCCCAGGAAGTTGAGGCTGCAGTGAGCCAAGATGGCACCACTGCACTCCAGCCTGAGTGACAGAGCAAGACCTTATCTCTTCAAAAAAAAAAAAAAAAAAAAAAAGCAGCCATAAACAGTTTGTAAATGAGCAACTGTGACTGTGTTCCAGTGAAATGTTATTTATGGGCACTGAAATTTTATATATTCTTCATGTGTCATGACATATTATTATTCTGATTTTTTTTCCTTACCATTAATAAATGTAATAATTCCAGCCTGGGCAACATGGTGAAACCCTGTCTCTACAAAAAATACAAAAAATTAGCTGGGTATGGTGGTATGTGCCTGTAGTCCCAGCTACTAGGGAGGCTGAGGTGGGAAAATCACTTGAGCCTGGGAGGCAGAGGTTACAAGTGAACCATGATGGTACAACTGAACTCCAGCCTGGGCAACAGAGTGAGACGCTGTCTCAAAAAAAAAACAAATATATATATATATGTATATGGCCAGGCGCGGTGGCTCATGCCTGTAATCCCAGCACTTTGGGAGGCAGAGGCAGGTGGATCACGAGGTCAGGAGTCCGAGACCAGCCAGTTCGAGACCAGCCTTGCAAACATGGTGAAATCCTGTCTCTACTAAAAATACAAAAATTAGCAGATGTGGTGGTGCGTGCCTGTAATCCCAGCTACTCGGGAGGCTGAGGCAGAAGAATTGCTTGAACCCGGGAGGCAGAGGTTTCAGTGAGCTGAGATTGCGCCACTGCACTCCAGTCTGGGCGACAGAGTGAGACTCCATCTCAGGAAAAAAAAAAAACATACACACACACACACACACACACACACACACACATACACATACGCATACATATATATATATATATATAGAAATCAAAATGTAATAACTGTTCTAAGCTCATGGGCCATATAAAACAAGCAGTGAGCTAGATTCGGCTTGTGGACCTCCAGCCGCTGCTCTACTCTAGCCTTAGGGAATGCCCCATAATTCTGTATGTACTCTAGGTTGTTTCTTGGCCCCCTGCCTTTATTCATGCCGTTCCCTCCCTCTGAATGTCTTTTCTCCTTTTTGCCTGGCCTATTCCTATTTGCCCCTCAGGACCCACTACAAATTCTAGTTTCTTGGGGAAGGAAAGTCTTTTCTGGCCCCAGTAGGTAGAGGTAGGTACCTACCCTTGGGCTTCCATATCACCTGTGCACATCCTGATTATTAACACTTAACCACATTGTATTACAATGTTCTATTGTATGTCTGTGCCTCTGGTTTCTTTACTTGACACTGTTTGATCCATCTTTGTAACCTTAGCACTTAGCACAATGCCTGGCATATAGTAGATATATAATGAATAGTTGTTAAACTGCATTAAGAAATCTGGGGTGGGGCATGGTGGCTCACGCCTGTATTCCCAGCACTTTGGGAGGCCAATGTGGGAGGATCACTTGAGCCCTGGAGTCTGAGACCAGCCTGGGCCACAAAGCAAGACCCCATCTCTATATTAAAATAATAATAATAAAAAAAGCTTAAAAAGAGAAATCTGTAAGATAGTTTATGGCTGATTGATCTTGTCAAAATAGAGGAAGGTTATATTTGTTATATATAAGCTATTATAAAATTATTTTGTGCACTTTCCCCTATCAAACTCACCTGTACATACTGCCAGAAATATCACTGGGGTAAAGGGATGGTGGTAGAGGAACTGCAAGAGAAGTAGGACTGATAGGTAAGAGGGAGCAGGGTACTGCTTATACAGCATCACAACCACCTGTCCAGGCTCAGCTGCATCGCTGCCATTAAAAAATCTAGGTAACAAATTTGGCTGGGCATGGTGGCTCACGCCTGTAGTCCCAGCACTTTGGGAGGCCAAGGCGGGTGGATCACCTGAGGTCGGGAGTTCGAGATCAGCCTGAGCAACATGGAGAAACCCTGTCTCTACTAAAAATACAAAAAATTAGCCGGGCGTGGTGGTGCATGCCTGTAATCCCAGCTACTTGGGAGGCTGAGGCAGGAGAATTGCTTGAACCCAGAGGCGGAGGTTGCAGTGAGCCGAGATCGTCCCATTGCACTCCAGTCTGGGCAACAAGAGCAAAACTCCATCTCAAAAAAAAAATCTAGGTAACAAATTCTAAGAACACACACATATACCAACAACAACATATAAATGTTGGGCCACGTACAAACTTTGAAGTGAGGGCATCGAGCAAGATCAATTTTAAGGTTCCTTTCAACTTTGAGTTTCTGCATGTGTAGAATTACCAGCACAGGATCATTCTCACTTAGACGCCAGAGTAGAAAATTGAGTCTGTGTAGGACTAAGAGTAAGTGTCGAATAGGGAGGTGAGGAAGAGGGGTGGAGGGATAGGCAGAGAGTGGCGGGACCTGGGGTGGGACCCCCTGCAAATGTTCACCTGGCATCCAGAGCGAACTCCATCTCCACCAGCACACACCATGGTGTTCTTCACAGTGGAGCCCCAGTAGGAGGAGCTGGAGCAGATGGCGTAGTCCACAGAGGGCAGGTAAGCCTGCTGCAGGGTCTGGGCCAGCTGCCCATTGGCTGAACAGGACACACGGCATTGGCAGTCAGCTCCAGATGTGGTCCAGCAGAAAAACCTTCCACCCCTGCCACACCTTCCCAAACTCTCGTGAAAGCTGAGCTCAGGGCAAACTCCTTCTCTCTCCCTGTTGCATGTGGTGGATCCTCTGTCTTCTCTCTTTATATGGCCGCACAGGACCCTTCCCTCAGGGAGGCAGCCTTGCTTACTGTACCTAGGCTCCAAGCCACCAACCCTACTCCTGCTTCTTTTCACTCGTGGATAACTTAGTTGCACCATGGAATGGCCTTATTTGTGGATGATTTATCTGTCTGTTCTGTTTGCTCCTGCAAGCTCCATGGAGCAGAAATGGGATTGTGCATGCTTGTTTCCATTTCTTTCTTTCTTTTTTTTTTTTTTTTTTGAGATGGAGTTTCACTCTTGTTGCCCAGGCTGGAGTGCAATGGAGCAATCTCGGCTCACCACAACCTCCGCCTCCCAGGTTCAAGAGATTCTCCTGCCTCAGCCTGCCGAGTAGCTGGGATTAAAGGCATGCACCACCATGCCTGGCTAATTTTGTATTTTTAGTAGAGATGGGGTTTCTCCATGTTGGTCAGGCTTAAGCGATCCTCCTTCCTCAGCCTCCTGAGTACCTGGGACTACAGACTCATGCCACCACACTCAGCTAAGGATCCTTAATTTCTCTGGACCTTGGTTTCCTCATGTATAAAATGAAGGGCTGGCTGGCTGCAGTGGCACATGCCTGTAATCCCAGCACTTTGGGAGGCCAAGGTGGGAGGATTTCTTAAGCTCAGGAGTTCGAGGCCAGCCTAGGCAATATAGCGAGATCCCATCTCTACAAAAAAATTTAAAAATTAGCTGAGTGTGGTGGTACATGCCTATAGTCTCAGCTACTCAGGAGGCTGAGGTGGGAGGATCACTTGAGCCCAGGAAGTGGAGGTTGCAGCCTGGGTGACAGAGCAAAACCCTGTCTCTAAATAAATAAATAAATTTTAAAAATGAGGGGCTGGTAAAAAAAATTCTCTGATAAAGTCTTTTTTTGTTCTAAGAGTCCATGAATCTGTCAACTACTTCACAGCCCATTCTTAGCTTGATATAATGCATCAGTTATTGTATCTATGGTTCTTTTAGCTCCTGGTCTCTGGCCATAAGCACCTAGGACCACAGAAAAAGGTGTCTTAGAAGCTCAGCTACCTAATCAAGATCCCCGTGGTGGATTGTGCCAATGTAGGCAACTTACTCTTGGTCTTGCCCCAGCCTGTGATGTAGCAGGGACTGTTGTTAGCCAGGATGGCTCCCTCCTGGGGCAGAACACCCAGCTGGACATAGCTATTGAGGGTAACGCTCTGGGCCAGGCGCAGCAGGGCGATGTCATAGCTGCAGGAGAAAAGGAGACTGCTCACTCATGGGATCAGCTCTTCCCTGAGGTCAGCATATACACTGGCCCTCTCTAAGCATTTGTATCCCCGTGGAATTGGAAAGTGACGACTTTGAAGAAGGACGGGGCTCACTTGCTAAGCCTCAAACTAGAGCAATTACAATTTAACATGTAAACATTCTATGTTTAACAGCAGCATCTGCTGGTGGGACATTGGTATTGCAGCCTAGCTCTGACCTTTGCAACCCCGGGAAGTAGAGAATGGGGGAATCTGAAAGGAGCAGAGTGGCATGATCTTGGTGGCAGAGTTCTCAAACAAGAAAAATGTAAAAGGCTGAGTGGCTCTACAAGCTCAGTAGAATATCCCAATTCCTTGAACCCACCCCCACCTGCACATGCTATAGAATTGACCACCGTTTTAATTATTTATTTTCCAGAAGTTTACAACTCAACTTGCAATTTTCCCGTGTAAGATTCACTTTAGGAAATTTACTTTTGCTGATGGAGTCTATTCTATAATGTGAATAATAAATAATGATAAAACCCCCCATAGAAACAGAACATTAAAATCTGCAGAGAATGGTAATCCACTGTGCAAACCAGCCTGGATCCAACAAATCCTAAAGGTCTTCAAAGACTCTCAAGCCCTCCAGAACGTCAGTTCTCTTTTTCTTATGAGACAGAGTCTCACTCTGTCACCCAGGCTGGAGTGCAGTGGCGCGATCTCAGCTCACTGCACCCTCTTCCTCCTGGGTTCAAGTGATTCTCCTGTAATCAAGCGATTACAGGCACATGCCACCATGCCTGGCTAATTTTTTTTTTTTTGTATTTTTAGTACAGACAGGGTTTCACCATATTGGTCAGGCTGGTCTCAAACTCCTGACCTCAGGTGATCCGCCTGCCTTGGCTTCCCAAAGTGTTGGGATTATAGGCATGAGCCACTGTGCCTGGCTCAGAACCTAAATTCTCAAAGTCCTCCTGGACGAATGAGCCAGCTCATTGCTCCCTCTAGGACATGGTGCCTTCTCTCAGGCTCAGCTGGGCTCCTTAACTAAAGGCCAGGCCAGGAGCCACGGACCAGGTTTCAGGCCATGCAATCCCTCTAGCCCTCTGAAAGAACAGGTGAAGGCAGCCAGTTGTTGGCTAGTCAGGCCTCACCGCCCAGCCCAGGGCCAGCTTGGACTTGCTCCTACCCGGCAGCCACGTTATCGCTGTTCCAGTATGGATGCACCACGATCTTCTGCACACTCACGTACTGCTCAGTGCCATCATTCTGGCTCAGGTTATGGTCTCCAGCCACCACGCGGAAAGTCTTCTGGCTGGCGTGAGAGAAGGAATCCCTGAGTCATCCAGGGGACTCAAACCTTCTCTACCCCACTTAGAGAAAAGTTGAAAAACCATCTTTTTTTTTAATCATTATTATTTAGGAAATTTTTTTTTTTTTTTAGAGATGGGGTTTTGCTGTGTTGCCCAGGCTGGCTTCAAACTCCCAGGCTCAAGTGATCCTCCCACCGCAGCTTCCCTAGTAGCTGGGACTACAGGTGTGAGCCACCGTGCCCAGGTTTTGTTTATTATTTTAGGACAGGAACCCATCTTATCTGGTCTAGGCAGAGGAGGGATATAAGACTCTCCAAAATGAGAAAGTAACAAGCTCTTTCATTCCCTAATTGACTAACTTGTGGAAGTGAAAAAAACTACCATCACTTTGATTTTCTCGGTTTAACATCATAGGCTGAATATCTTGTAAACTGGGAGAGGTGTAGTGCGCATAAATGAAATAATGGCTCTCAGCCACCAAGATTTTGAAGGAAGCATAGACTTTTAGGCTAGTTGTTCTTAAAGCGTGGTTCCTGGGCCGCAGCATGAGCATCACCTGGAAACTTGTTAGAAATGCAAATTATCAGGCCTCACCCTGGACCTACCAAATTAGAAACTCTGCTGGATGGGGCCCAGCAATCTGTGCCTTCCAGGTGATTCTGACACATGCTCAAATGTGAAAACCATTGCCCAAGACAAATAGGAAAAAATAGTCACCAGTCAGACATTGACTAGGCACTTACATATTTACTCAATCCTCACAACATTTCTACAAAGTAAATGTTCTTAGCCCACTTTAGAGATAGGAGAATGGGGGCATAGTTGCCCAAGGCTACATAGCTAGAATTTGGTGGAGCAAGATTTGAATTTGAGTCTCCCTGACTCCAAAGTTTGTACTTTCACCATACTACCTCCCTGCAGGCCCTGAACAGGAAAGGAGCCACTGCCCAGTCCCTGAAGTGCTGTCCAGAGAGGGCAAAATTATATCCTCTTTCAGAAGGTCAGCCCCTTCCCCTTCCAGGGGCCCAGGAAAGCTTGTCTTTGTTTTTCTTACTAATCCACGCAGTGAGCAGCTGTCATCACCCAGTTCTGTCTGATAAGGGTCCCTCCACAGGTGTGATACCGGGAACCTCCAGACCGGTACTGGAGGGAAATCTAGATGGGGAGGAAAGAAAGAAGGGATAGGTTGGTGTTTCTCAAATGGTTTTGCCCCAGGTCGGTTGCAGTGGCTCATGCCAGTAATCCCAGAACTTTGGAAGGCTGAGGCAGGAGGATCAGTTGAGCCTAGGAGCTGGAGACCAGCCTGGGCAACATAGTGAGACCTCGCCTCTACAACGTCAAAAATAATTAAATATAAAAGACTTTGCCTCAAACTACATGTCACCTCCTTAAAGTCCTGCTGTCCTTCAAAACATTCTCTTTCTAGGCTAGAGATGGCAAATAGGTTTCATCTGACCTGCCAATTGCTACTGATTGCTTGGTAGTGGCCACCTGGAGTGTGGCATTGATAAGGGGTGTGTAGATGCTTCTGGGGCCAGCAGGAAGGGATGCTCCATCGCTTGGTGATGTTTGCTGTGTACATGGATGGAGGAGTAAAGGCACACAGTGTATTTGGCATTATCTCTCTAGGTTGTTGCAATGGACCTAGAACCCATTGTAACTCCTTTTTTGGAACTCCTTCTACCTCTGTTCTCCCTTAAAGAGGAACTATAGGCCAGGCACCATGGCTCACGCCTGTGATCCTAGCACATTGGGAGGCCAAGGCGGGTGGATCACCAGGTCAGGAGATCAAGACCATCCTGGCCAACATGGTGAAACCCCATCTCTACTAAAAATGCAAAAATTAGTCGGGCGTGGTGGCATGCACCTGTAGTCCCAGCTACTCAGGAGGCTGAGGCAGGAGAATTGCTTGAACCCAGGAGGTGGAGGTTACAGTGAGCTGAGATAGCGTCACTGCACTGCAGCCTGGTGACAGAGCGAGACTCCATCGCCCCCTCTCCTCCCCCAAAAAAGAGGAACTATAGGCAAAGATTTGCTCCATCACCTAAGCCCAACAGGCTTAGGTCTCCAGAGCTGTACCTTTAGTGTTTTCAAGACATCTCCTGTCTCCCCACTTCAGGGACTACTTAGAAATACCAATGGGAGGCCAGGCGCTGTGGCTCATGCCTGTAATCCCAGCACTTTGGGAGGCTGAGGCGGGTGGATCACCTGAGGTCAGGAGTTTGAGACCAGCCTGGCCAACATGGTGAAACCCCGTCTCTACTAAAAATACAAAAATTAGCTGGGCATGGTGACAGGCGCCTGTAATCCCAGCTACTCAGGAGGCTGACGCAGGAGAACTGCTTGAACCCAGGAGGCAGAGTTTGCAGTGAGCCGAGATCATGCCATTGCACTCTAGCCTGGGCAATGAGAGCAAAACTCCATCTCAAAAAAAAAAAAATACCAATAGGATGTTTGTTTTTATCAGTTCATGTCTCTTCTTCTAGCACCTCATGTTATGTAATAGCTCTACTCCTGAAAACTGGGGCTCAGACTTTTATAAGCTAAAACTCTGATTGCAGTGATATCTTCTCAAAGTGTGGATCTTCATCAGTTAATTTGCCAGGTTTACATATTTAGATCACTTAAATCAGGGCCCAGCTGCCCTGTTAGCAAAGTGGAAACTCTAAATAGCCAACTAAGCAGCATGCTGTACGTGTGTGTGTGTGTGTGTGCGCGCACATGCGTGCAAGCATTGTGACACACACAGTGTGGAGTGGTGTGCGTGTGAGTTTCAAGGTATGTGGAGTCCAAGGTGACTGTCTGGCACCCAGTCTTTCTTGCGTGGCACAAGTGCTGTCGCTGAGAATATAAATGTATCTTGTGTTTGGGTGTGTGCCTTGAAGAGGGACTGTGGTTGGTGTATAAATCCCCTCCTCCAAGCCTTTTGCATTTAGAAAACCACCTAAGCCTGATCCCATCCATCTTTAAAATCGAGAACCTAGACAATTGGAGAGCTGCTTGTTGATAGGGACATGCACAAATACACATGATACCTTATGTCATGCACTGAGCTCTTATTTGGGTGGAAGTCTGGGGCTGGGAAGGAACACCCACCTGAGAGGGCCAGGAATTCCTCCCGGCCTCAGTCCCTCCGACTACGCGGGCATTGGTTTCCGGAAGGTCCTGGGTGCTGTGTCCTTTGTGGGGCAGAAGAAAAGTGAGTGATGACTAAGCATGGGGTCAGCCAGGGGTAGGGGTGGGGGGTGGCGATTGTGCTTTGAGGAATGTTAGCCTTGTCTGCAAATTCACAGTTCCTCTCTAACGAATGAGGGGCCCAGCTGTGAGTTCTCTGAGCCCCTTTTGAAAACAGGGGTGCCTGGGTGCCTTCTGTTTCCCCCAGGTGTTCCCAGAACTCCGGCATGCTATGAAGGACCTCTCTCAAACCACCAGGCTAGGCCCCAGAGGCTCCTTGTGGTCTCCTCTTTGCTCAAGATCACCCTTTGGCCTGAAGAGACCCCCCCCCACTCTTTGACCCCCACCAGCCCCCTAATGCTTTGGCAAGATTCTCCAGGGTTCAGGGCCTGCAGTGCACACCCCAGCCAGGCACCTGCTGAGGAAGTCCTCCTGTCAATGGGGGTGGTGGGGAAGCCCAGGGACCCACCCCACTACCAGATGGGGCTTCTCTCTGCTTTGTGGCCCAGGGACCTGCCACCCAGAGGGGCCTGAATAGCCAGTGGCCCTGACCTTTTCTATCTTGGCCTCCAGGAGAGTAAAGGACGCTCTGCAGGCAGAGCGTCCCACCTGCCCTGGGACAGGGTGCTGGCCTGGACTTAGGGAAAATTTGCTGACCTTCCTGCCCAAGTCCCCCTCCCTATAGACCTCAGGCCACATGATCCACTTACCATAAAGGACCAGGGTTGCGACTGGACCATATCCACTTACCATAAAGGACCAGCATGTTGCCGATGGAGTAGACCACTGCCTTCTTGCTTGGACCAAGCCCTCTTTATACTCCTCTTAGCAGCAAAGCTGACTGTCTTCTTGCCAACTGGCAGGGCTGAGGGTGCAAGGCAGGGAAAATCACAAGTGACATGGAAATACAAATGAAAATATTTCTTTTCAAGTAAACTAATGTATCTGTTATTCAAAGACAGAACAAGGCCAGGGCTGAATTAATCATCTGCTTTTAATTGAAAAGCATCCAACAAACTCTTTTTCAGAAATAAGATGGAGAACCAGGGCTGGTTTTTCTCTAAGGGAGCACCCCTTGTCATCCATCACTCTCTCGTTGTCCTCAGTGGCACCATAAATGCAGAGACTTGCCCTGTGCACTAGCAGCTGGAGGCCAGGGGGATAGTGGAAGAGGGGGGAGTGGTTAGCAAGGGCAAGGAAGACACAGCAACTCTCTCTGCCCAAAGAGGGAGATGGCACATGCCCCCAGGATGCAGGCATAGGTGTAAATGCAGACACAAAAGCCAAATAGATGCAGTGGAGATAATTCTGGGGGAGGAAAGTACTGAGAAACAGGCTTGGGCCCTCTCAGATGGAGAGCCAAGAAGGGGCTCCCAGAGGAGAATATGAGGCAGGGTAGAGGAGGGGATCCTTGGGATGTGAAGACAGTCTGAGGGCTATGAGGGTAGATGGAGGGTGGAGGGCAGAGGGAGAACGAGGGTAGGAGCCGAGGTTCCTGCAGGAGATGAAAGGCTTTGTTCATCACAGTTCGTAGAGGAGAGAGAAGGGAGTTGCGGCCGGGCGCGGTGGTTTACGCCTGTAATCCCAGCACTTTGGGAGGCTGAGGCGGGCGGATCACAAGATCAAGAGATCGAGACCATCCTGGCCAACATGGCGAAACCCCGTCTACTAAAAATACAAAAATTGGCCGGGCGCGGTGGCTCATGCCTGTAATCCCAGCACTTTGGGAGTCGGAGGCGGGCGGATCACGAGGTCAGGAGATTGAGACTACTCTGGCTAACACAGTGAAACCCCGTCTCTACTAAAAAAATACAAAAAATTAGCTGGGCGTGGTGGCAGGCGCCTGTAGTCCCAGCTCCTCGGGAGGCGCAGGCAGGAGAATGGCGTGAGCCCGGGAGGCGGAGCTTGCAGTGAGCCGAGATCGCGCCACTGCACTCCAACCTGGGCGACAGAGCGAGACTCCATCTAAAAAAAAACAAAAACAAAATACAAAAATTAGCTGGGCATGGTGGTGCGCTTCTGCAGTCCCAGCTAATCTGGAGGCTGAGGCAGGAGAATCGCTTCAACCTGGGAAGCGGAGGTTGCTGCACTCCAGCCTGGAGACAGAGCAAGACTCTGTCTCAAAATAAATAAATAAATAAATAAATAAATAAATAAATAAATAAATAAATAGAGAGAGAAAAGAGTTGCAATGTGCCTTGAGGTGGGCAGAGGACCCTTGGGTTGGCCACAAAATGATCAGAGCCACTGCAGGCTCCAGAGCAGAGGACTGTGGGTGCAGCAGTCATGGTAGCAACGCATGGGGTTTGGAATTAGGCAGGGAGAAGCCAGGAACCTAGACAGAAGCAGGACCATCACCTGCCCACCCAGGGCTTTTGTTGCCTAAACACTCCAGAATCCAAGCTTCATGGCTGCAGGGGTGGGAGAAACCTGGAAAATGCTCTTTGAAGGAATCTGCACAGTCACTTTTTCAGTGTCTAGAGCTGTTCAGAGGAGTTGCACTTTGATGCTCAGATAACCTGAAGAGCTTGCTCTCCAGCCTGCCCTCCAGCATTCTGGCACACTCAGGGAAGAGGGGTGAGCTGCGCTAGGGAACCCGGGGCCTCTTTGGTCATTCTCCTCCCGCTTCCCTGCTTCCTCTGGCCTCTAGCCCCAGGATGAGGAGTCCAAGAGGAGGCTTGAGGGCCTCCTGAAGGTTACCTCTTTACATCACAGCAGGGCCAGATCACCTGAGGTCAGGAGTTCCAGACCAGCCTGGCCAACATGGTGAAATCCCGTCTCTACTGAAAATACAAAAATTAGCCAGGCGTTGTGGTGTAGTCCCTGTGCTTGGGAGCTGTAATCCCAGCTCCTTGGGAAGCTGTGGCAGGGAGAGTTGCTTGAACCCTGGAGGTGGAGGTTGCAGTGAGCCGAGATTGTGCCACTGCACTCCAGCCTGGGCAACAGAGCAAGACTCCATCTCAAAAAAAAAAAAAAAAAAATCTTACTCTTAGGGTTAGGCATAGACAATGGCTTAAATTTTTTCTTTTTTTAAGACAGGGTCTCATTCTGTTGCCCATGCTAGAGTGCAGTGGCATGATCTCAACTCACTGCAACCTCCATCTTCTGGGCTCAAGCGATCCTCCCACCTCAGCCCCTCAAGTAGCTGGGACTACAGGTGCCAGCCACCATGCCCAGCTAATTTTTGTATTTTTTGTAGAGACGAGGTTTCACCATGTTGCCCAAGCTAGTCTCAAACTCCTGAGCTCAAGTGATTCACCCACCTCAGCCTCCCCAAGTACTGGGATTGCAGGCATGAGCCACCCGCCCAGCCAGACAATGACTTAAATTTTGAGGCATTGCATTTCTTCTGACATTGCATACCAATTCTAGGAATGAATTCTTTTGAGATAAACACTGGTCGGGCATGGTGGCTCATGTTTGTAATCTCAGCAATTTGGGAAGCCAAGGCGGGAGGACTGCTTGAGGCCAGAAGTTTGGTATCAGCCTGGGCAACATAATGAGACCTTGTCTCTACAAAACATGAAAAAAACATGGTGGCGCATGCCTGTAGTCCCATTACTTGGGAGGCTGAGGTGGGAGGATCCCTTGAGCATGGGAGGTCGAGGCTGCAGTGAGCCATGATTGTGTCACTGCACTCCAGCCTGGGTGACAAAACAAGACCCAGTCTCAAAACAAAACAAAACAAAAAAACAGGCAGAAAAATAAATGTTCGAGGTTGTGGGTTACAGTATAGTTTGTCACAAAGCTTGTTGCAAAATTGGAAAAAAGCTAAGTATTCATCAGTAGAGGAAGACTGAATAAATTGGGTTTAACCCTGCTATGGAATACTATATAGCTTTATTATTTTTTTGAAACAGAGTCTCTCTCTGTCACCCAGGCTGGTGTGCAGTGGCACGATCACAAATTACTGCAGCCTTGACTTTCTGGGCTCCAGCAATCCTCCCACCTGAGCCTCCCAAGTAGCAAATTTCACTTTTTTAAACCTCACTTTTCTAGATCACTTGACTTTTCTCCACAATATTACTTTAAAAAAAACAAAACAAAACAAAATGGAGTCTCTCTGTGTTGCCCAGGCTGAAGTGCAGTGGCACAATCTTGGCTCACTGCAACCTCCACCTCCCAGGTTCAAGCGATTCTCCTGCCTCAACCTTGCGAGTAGCTGGGATTACAGGTGCCCACCACCACGCCCAGCTAATTTTTGTATTTTTAGTAAAGACGGGGTTTCGATATGTTGGCCAGGCTGGCACAGTATTACTTTGGTAATTAAAAATAAGAATAAATTCTGGGACATCTAGCTATTTGTGGCAATGGCCCCAGTACTCTTCATGTGGGAAACAGATCCCCAGAGAGGCCTAGCTCTTTAATGCTAGAGTGAGAGACTCCTAGAGCCGGGAGATAGTAGCACAGGGCTAGCAGCAGGGTTTTAAGAGGTAGGGGCCTTAGGTTAGCTGAGAGTGGTCAGAGGGGTGGGTTTTAAGGAAGAATACGGGTGTTGTTAGGGCCAGGCCAGGCTTGACTAAGGAAAATGCCATGAAGAAGCTAGTTTCTTGTTTGTTTGTTTGTTTTTTTGAGACAGAGTCTCACTCGGTCACCCAGGCTGAAACACAATCTCAGCTCACTGCAACCTCTGCCTCCCAGGCTCAAGCGATTCTTGTGCCTCAGCCTCCCGAGTAGCTGGGATTACAGACGCCTGCCACCACGTCTGGCTAACTTTTGTATTTTTAGTACAGACTGGGTTTCGCCATGTTGGCCAGGCTGGTCTTGAACTCCTGACCTCAAGTGATCTGCCCGCCTCGGCTTCTGAAAGTGCTGGGATTACAGTTGTCAGACATTGGTGCCTGGCCAAAGCTAGTTTCTTGAGCCTTCCCACCACTCCCATCAGTGCCTTCTCCCTCTTCTCCACCACCTCCCTTCCCTAGTCCTCCCCTCATCCCTGAACCCAGACCTCCTCTCTAGACACAGCCTGTGTCTCCCTCCTGCTGCATCTCCCACTCCCTGCGAGTAGCTCTTGGCTGACTGTGCCTGGGAAGTGCTATGCTATTTGGGGGCAGGTGGAACCTTCTTGACACAGCTGGGCACCTTGGTTGGGCTACATCATATGATTAGGCTGGGGAGCTGTTGGGTGATACCATAGACAGTATGAGGGATACTGGGATCCACGTTTGGATATTTAATGCAACCAAGAATAAGGCTAGGGTTAGGCTCCACGACTCCCTGTGGCTTACCGGACCTACCAAAGCCTCTCTCAACTGGGCCCCAACCCACTCTTGTACGGGGCTGAGTTACCCAGTAGGCACAGCAGGTGCAGTGCCCAGGGCCCATAGAAATGTTTTAGCTTCTTTTAAAACCAGAAGAAATAAAGTAAATCCAATCAGCCTGGATTACATTCATCTTTATACCAACATAGTCATAACATTAATTTTTTTTTGAATGGAGCAAGAGCTCCGTGAAGGCTAAAGTGCCTAGGGCCCCTGAAATTCATGATGTAACTCTGATCTTCCAGCTTCTACACCAGTCACTCCCTCACCCCAATGTCCTCTGGGTTTCTCAGACCCACTGGGGCCACATGTCCTCTGTGGCTTTGCTCCTGCCAGGCTGCTGCCTGTGTAACAACTCTGCTTATTGAGCCCTTCCCATCTGAGGACTCATCTTCCGAGGTCTTAGGTCAAACATTGCCATCTTTGTGAGGCCTTATCTGATTCCCTAAGTGGAAGGAATTGCTCCTTCTAACTCATCCAGCACCTCTTGGAGCATCTCCAGGCTTGCTATGATTTGCTTACATTTAGCGTGTGAGTTCCACGGGGACAGGACCTCGTTTGACGTCTCACGTCTCCACGTGCTTGACACAATACATAAGCTAGATTTAGGGCCAGAGAATGTTTGGGGACATGAGACAGTGGCTGTAACAGAACTTTTCAGATGTGTGTGGTTCTTCATAGCCCAAATCAACTGATTCAGCTAAGGGACAACACAGGTAAGAGAACACAACGCGAGTTTCCTTGACCAATGCCAGAAAACCTTTATTTCCACTGAGACCTCTCATCCAATTCTCTTCTTTCCGGGAACTTTTTCCCTTCCCTACTCCAGGTCGTACCCTGGCCACTCCTTTCCTTTTGGCTGGCCAATGTCTCCTCTGTAGGCTCCAGAAGGCTCTCAGGGATGTAGGCGGCCTCCCGCAGGGTTGAGTTGCAATGGGAACAAAGACAGCTGTGGTCCCATAGCACCCTCATCTGGTGACATCCTGCTACTGACAGTCAAAAGAAGCCTTCCCAGATGAAATTTTAGTCCTCTGCGCAGCCATGCTCTTCTTCCAGCAAAAGAGCCATGTGCAGTCGGGTCTGCTCCCCATGGGGGCTTTGATGTGGGCCCAGCAGTGGATCAGCCTTCCAGACACGCTCAACTCTGCACACTCTTCCTGCCGCCTCAGGCTTTCCAGGACCCTCCCGAGCCTTATCAGAGTCCTTACCCTCAGGGCTACTGATACCTTGCTGGGTGACCTTGGACAGATTCACTTACCTGGACTCAGTTTCATAATATGAAAATGATAGGGTTGGGCTACGTGATTTTCACGTTGTGCTTCCAGATTGTTAGAAGTTAGGGGCTGGAAGGCATTACCTGTCCCTCTCTCAATTTCACTCATGCTACTTTGTTTTTTTAATCTACCTTTTATATGGGGCTTAGAAAAAAGGGTTCTGGGACAAACCTGAGAATCACTGGCTCCAGGAGCTTTCTTTTAACACTAACATCCCAGGATTCCTAAGTGTGCTCTCTCCACAATGGCTACCTGGCCCTGTTTTTCCTTTCTTTTTTTTGGAGATGGAGTTTTGCTCTTGTTGCCTAGGCTGGAGTTCAGTGGCGCGATCTTGGCTCACTGCAACTTCCGCCTCCCAGATTTAAGCAATTCTCCTGCCTCAGCCTCTTGAGTAGCTGGGATTACAGGTGTGCGCCACCATGCCTGGCTAATTTTTATATTTTTAGTAGAGATGGGGTTTTACCATGTTGGCCAGGCTGGTCTCGAATTCCTGACCTCAGGTTATCCACCCGGCTCGGCCTCCCAGAGTGTTGAGATTACAGGCATGAGCCACCGTGCCCGGCCCTGGCTGTTTTCCTATGCTCTGTGGAGGCCAGCCAGCTAGAAATGATTAGAATGGAGGAAGAGGGAATGAGAAGGCTGGTGGCGAGTGGTCTAGCGTTCTTGTGGTGCAGCGGAAGGAGCCCTGGCTCAGCATTGAAGAACGAGCCTCAGTCTTGGCTCCAGCCATCTGCTAGCTATGGGACTACAGACAAGCCCCTTTACCTGTGTCTCAGTTTTCGTATCTGTAAAATAGGCACAGTGGTTTCTGTCCTGTCTTTCTCACAGGATTACTGTACAGATAAAGTAAGATAAAGGACACCTGTCAAGGAGATATCTGTAAACAGTTCTACAGACTTCAGGTAATAATAGCAAGGGAGGATCTCTTAGACCTCTGATCTGTCTGTTAGAATATACTTTTTTTTTTTTTTTTTTTCCTGAGATGGAGTTTCGCTCTTGTTGCTCAGGCTGGGGTGCAATGGTGCTGTCTTGGCTCACTGCAACCTCTGCCTCCTGGGTTCGAGTGATTCTCCTGCCTCAGCCTCCCAAGTAGCTGGGACTGCAGGTGCGTGCCATCATGCCCAGCTAATTTTTGTACTTTTAGTAGAGATGGAGTTTCACCATGTAGTCCAGGCTGGTTTCAAACTTCTGACCTCAGGTGATCCACCTGCCTTGGCCTCCCAAAGTGCTAGGATTACAGGTGTGAGCCACTGTGCCCAGCCAGAATATATCATTTCACTGGACTCTGCAGGTGCTTTGGATGATCAAGGAATAGGACATGGCTGTAGAAGTACTTTTCTTCTTCTTTTTTGTTTTTTTTTGAGACAGAGTCTTACCTGTTGCCCAGGCTGGAGTGCAGTGACACAATCAAGGCTCACTGTAGCTTCAACCTCCGGGGAACAAGCAATCCTCCCACCTCAGCCTTCTGAGTAGCTGCGACTACAGGCATAAGCCACCATACCCAGCTTTTTTTTTTTGCCGGGGGGAGGGTGGGCGTAGAGATGGGATCCTCACTATGTTGCTCAGGCCGGTCTTGAACTCCTGGGCTCAAGCCATTCTCCCACATTGTCTTCCCAAAGTGCTAGGATTTCAGGCATGAGCCACTGTGCCCAGCCTGAAGTACTTTTCTTGAACTCAGCATTGCTGCCCTGAACCCTCCCCCAGCTGCCTTCCCTACTTTGGGAGCCTCTATTTCTAGAACAGGAAAACGCTAGGCTAAATATATGTCCTAATGGTCTCTTCCATCGGTGTGAAGGAAAGAAAATGGGCCCAATGTTGTTGCAAGGATTAGGAAGGTCCTGCCTTGCCACCCAGTGGGTTTAGAAATCCATCTTTACGGCCTCCAGAGAAGCTGGTGATCAGGTTCCCAGACATCAGCAATCCTGTTTCCTGAGGAGCTTGTGGGGGCTCTCTCTGGGGATGATCTGGGTCCTAGACAAAGAGCCACAACTGATGGGGGTCACTGGGATTGCAGGGGGCCATGGCTGGCTTTTTGTCCTGGGATGTCAGGCAGGTACCAGATCCTGAGTTCCTGATGAGCTGATCCTAAAAGATGACAAAGCAAAAGGTCAGTCTGGGCCACAGACCTCTTAACGGTGCTACCAGGGACAATGCGATGGGGTGCAATTGACAAAAGCCAAGGGAACCCCACAAGGCACAAAGAGGACACTTCCCCATTCCTTTCCTGCCCTCTCATGAGACACATTCCTGAGTTCCCACCTCTATCTGGTGCCAAATCCCCATCCCTAGCTTCAGACTGAGTGGATGAAATGGTGAAAGACAAGACCATGGGCTGAGAGAAAAATGCTTTCAGGGCCTCCCGCACCCCCAGATGGCCAGGCTCAAAGACCCAGGGCCACTGCTCCACCTCCAATTTTCTGCCTTGGATTATGTTTAGACTGCTCCCTTCCCTGCAGCCTCCAGGTTAGGTTCCTCTTTCCTAAGCTGGGGTGGAGTAGGGAGGCTCACTTGGGGTGCTGGCTTGAGCTCAGCATGGTGGCGGTTACATGGCATATCCTGGAGCAGTGTGGTGTAATGGAAAGAGCCCGTGCTTTCAAGTCAGACCCATCTGGGGCTAAATCCCAGGCCTGCCATTTACTAGTGATGGGTCTTGGGCCAGTCACAGACATGCTGGGCTTCCTCCGGCTCCAGCTCATCTGTAGAAACAGTGACTATTCCTGCTTGGAAAGAGCCTCTGAAAGATTAACTGGACCCAGGCATGTGAGTGCCTAGCTTTGAGCCTAGGACACAGAGGACAAGCAGGAACTATGAATGACTCTTCACCTTCTTCTAATTGGGTTCAGCCTAAAAATGCTTCAGCCATGGCAGAGCTAGCCACGAACCATAACCTGTCAC
The DNA here is from genome assembly GCF_000001405.40 of Homo sapiens. Taxonomy (NCBI): domain Eukaryota; kingdom Metazoa; phylum Chordata; class Mammalia; order Primates; family Hominidae; genus Homo; species Homo sapiens. Next base: position 51,355,303 of record NC_000012.12, read on the forward strand.
CCCATTTTTACATCAGTCATCACCAAATACCCTTTAAGCCTGAAGAACCCTGCCTGTGGCCACACACACACTCACCTACCTTCTACATTGCTCTACTCCACCCCATGGCGTCTCAGGAAGAAAATGAAGAAAATATAGAGGGGCCGATGTGGCCTCAAGTTCTCTTTTTATTTTTTATTTTTCCCAAGATGGAGTCTTGCTCTGTCACCCAGGCTGGACTGCAATGGCACGACCTCAGCTCACTGCAACCTCCGCCTCCTGGGTTCCGGCAATTCTCCTGCCTCAGCTTCCTGAGTAGCTGGGATTATAGGCGCCGACCACTATGCCCAGCTAATTTTTGTATTATTAGTAGAGATGGGGTTTCACCATGTTGGCCAGGTGGTCTCGAACTCCTGACCTCGTGATCTGCCCTCCTCGGCCTCTCAAAGTGCTGGGATTACAGGCGTGAGCCACCACACCTGGCCTCAAGTTCTTGATTCTGAGCTTTCTGGACACTGACTCACCTGGGCCAATTCCCATTCCTCGTCCTTGGGGACCTGGCTATTCTTGCCAGTGAAGTGACAGCTCCCAAGGCCCAGAGCACCCTTGCTGACATGTAGACACAGCTGCTTTGCGATGTTGTGGCGAAGGTCCCTCTGAGTTGTGTACTCAAAGTACTGGAAATCAAGACAAGAGAAGCAGGTGGAGAGTTCACCCCCAGCCTTCCAAAGCCACCTGCCCTGAGCTGTCTACCATGCATGGTCTCCTGGGGAGGAGAGTGAATGTGAGGCCATGCCAAGACTTTACTCATTTATGTGCTGCCTTCAGGATTGTTACCATATCAGGGTTATGCTGGAATTTTATATACATATATATATATGTGTGTGTGTATATATATATGTGTGTATATATATATGTATATGTATATAAAATTCTTTTTTATGAGATGGGGTCTTGCTATGTTGCCCAAGCTGGTCTCAAACTCCTGAGCTCAAGTGATCCTCCCACCTTGGCCTCCCAAAGTGCTGGGATTACAGGTGTGAGCCACTGCGCCCAACCAGTATATTTTCTCTTTTTTTTTTTTTTTTTTTTTTTTGAGGCAGGGTCTTGCTCTGTTGCTTAAGCTAGAGTGTGGTGGCATGATCATAGCTCACTGCAACCTTGAATTCGTTTGTTCAAGCGATCCTCCATGTCAGCTTCCTGAGTAGCTGAGACTGCAGGCGTGTAGCACCACACTCAGCTAATTTTTTAAAAATTTTTTATAGAGATGGGGTGTCTTGCTATGTTGCCCAGACAGGTCTCAAACTCCTAGGCTCATGTGATCCACCTGCCTCACCCTCCCAAAGTGCTGGGATTACAGGTGTGGGCTACCGTGCCTAATCATATTTCCTTTAAATTAGATTAAAATTCAATTTAACTTAGCCTCATTTTAAGTAACATCCGTGAAATCATGTGATATGCTTGTTCTATTTTTGCTAATACATTACTATTAAAATAAAAAATGTTCTCCAGTGCACCACTGGAAATCATCTTGCAGGCCAGTGGTACAGGAAACTGCTGTAGAATGACTGTCTTCACCTACATATGCCAGCGGGCTTGTTCAGTGACCCACACCACTCCTTTCCCCACTCTGGCTCTGTTTTCAGTGCCTCTCACTTACTAGTGCTGGGCACCTAGTTTTGGGGTCACTGGAAGGTGGTAGGATCAGAGTGGTAGCTTCTGGGCAGAGGATGCATTGAAGATAGAAGTTGAGTGCAGGTGATGGGATGTGCTGGAAAATTTTCCACCCTCACCCCTAAATATCCCCCAGCAGCTAGCCTCCTCAAGCCTCCTCTGATGAACAACCCTCCCTCCCATCCCCTTCTCACACCCAGCACCGATGCCTCGTTCTCTCCGGATGTCCCTTATTCAGACCTTGTGTGTGTTATGCCTTCTCCTCCGACTGGAAGCTTCCTGAGGGCAGGGATGGTATCTCCTCCCTCCCAGTCCTCAGGAAAGGACTCTTTAGGGTAGAGAAAAGGAGCCGGTGAGGAGAGGAGATGCTCCGGAGATGGGTGGGCTGCATACCTGGTTGCCGCCAAGGCCGTGGCAGGAGTACATGATGAGGGGCTTCCCCCCGCGGTTGTTCTCACCCACATCCAGGCATTGGTTGGTGCCGAGGTTCTTGATCTGCAGAAGGGTGAGCAGAGAGGGGAAGCAGGATGGCACAGTCAGGAGGTTCCTCATGTGTGGTATGGGGCCCCACTGGAACAAATTCCAGTCAACTGCAACAAATTTGCATGGCTGGATTTCCCCCGTCATTTCTCTCCTCTGTGCGTTAACCCACATGCCTGGAGCTAACAGCAAAGTGAGCTGCAGAGCCCCAGAGGCTGGAAAGGGCAGGACTGAACCCCTCTGTGGGGCAGGCAGGGAACCTCCCAGGATGCCAGGTCCCTGGAAGAAGCCCTCAGCACGTGGGAGTTTCCTTATAAGCAGTGGTTCTCAAATGTGAGCCCTGGACCATCAGCATCACCTGGAGACTCGTGAGAAATGCAAGTTTTCAGACCTCCCCTGAGTCCTTCTGAATCAGGAACTCTGGGGATGGGCCCTAGCGTTTTACCGTGCCTTCCTGGTGATTCTGATGCATGCTAATGTTTCAGGACCACTGCTTGTGGGTTGTTTTGCCCTTTATAAGGTTTTTTGCTATCTCTAGAAGCCCCAACGTGGCCTCTCAGTCCTCCTCCTGGATAAAGGAGGGTGCAGGGCAAAACTCAATTCTTGTTTGTCATCCATCTGTGGGGTCAGTGGTCTTGAACTTCTCCAAGGGGTGCTGTGGTGATGGGCAGGCAGGTTGGTTCTCAAGACTTACGGCACCATAGAAGGTGGGCGTCAGGTCAGGAACAAACATCTCTGGGTAGACATTGTGCAGGTACCAGGAAAAGTTGTGACAGTGCAGTTGTTCCCTCAGCTGCAGTCGTTCCGAAATGTCACCGAAGGATTTCTGTCAATCAAGCCAGCCCCCTAAGGATCAGTTCCACCAGTTTTTTTTTTTTTTTTTAAGAGGGAGTCTCACTCTGTTGCCCAGGCTGGAGTGCAGTGGTGCAATCTCGGCTCACTGCAACCTTCCCCTCCTGGGTTCAAGCGATTCACCTGCCTCAGCCTCCTGAGTAGCTGGGACTACAGTCGCGCACCACCACGCCCAATTAATTTTTGTATTTTTAGTAGAGATGAGGTTTCACCATGTTGGCCAGGCTGGTCTCAAACCCCTCACCTTAGGTGATCTGCCCGCCTCGGCCTCCCTAAGTGCTGGGATTACAGGCGTGAGCCACCACACCCAGCCAGTTCCACCAGTCTTTGACCTTCCTGTCTGGGCTGAAGTAGTGCAGATAGCATGGAGCGCCTGGGGCTACTGTCTCTCATGTTCATTCCCACTCAGGACCTGTTAAAGATACTGGCCCAGCCCTCACATCCAATCCCAAAAACCCCGCCTTAGCTTTGGAGTCCCCTGCTTATCGGTCCATCTCCTGTGACTCCCCAGACAATTATGTCCCACTCCCCAGTGCCGAGGCTCTCAGAGCCATTCCTCCAAAGCCTCCAAAGCCTCCGTAAGAGGCTTTTCCTCCAAATCTCCTTTCCCTCCCTTCCCCTCCAAAGGGATGCAGAGACTCTATGCGTAGGGACAACATTCTCTAGCTTTTGAAACCTATGTGCCTTGTGGCCTTCTCCTGGGCTCTAGCTCACAGGTCCCTGAGGGTGAAGGGAGGCGCCAGATGGTAGAGATGAGGTGGGTCCCAGCCATTAGGCCCATGAACAGGGTCTGGGGGCCGTACTTCTCTTCATCTAAACCTCTCCGAGAACCATTTCCTCTCACCTCTTGGGCCATCTTTGCTGCCTGCAGATTTCTCCTATAGAAAATCTTCTTGTAGCTGTCCATCCAGACCTCTGCCAGGCGCACTTGATTGCGAGCAATGACACTAGTGCCCTTGGGGAAGGTGTGGGGGCTCTTGGTCCGGAACACATGGCCTACGACAGAGCAGGGGATGATCTCCAGCTGGCCCCCACACTGCCACACCTGATGTAAGAGGAGACAGGATGAGGCCTTCAGTGGGCTAGGTGAGACAGTCTCCCCATAAGCAGCTCTATTCTATTCCCAGAGCACCAGACCCCAGGTCCAAGGACTTGGGCAAATGCTGCTCTCTCTCCCTGGGAAAAAGGATACCGACCAGGCTTCTTCCTAGGCCATGACTACACGATCCCAGGCTTTCTGATGTTGGTTCACTCTGACTTAAGCACAGGGAGACTGCAGGGTCCTGTGTTTACCAGGGCCCACTTTAGGGAAAAGCCTGCTGGTTAATTTTTGTTACCTGTGCCTGTATACCTACTCTGAGCTCTGATCACTTGGCTTTTTGACCTGGAAATGTGAGTTTATCAGCTCCCTCAGGTGATAAAAACCAGAGCATCAGTCTGTTAATTAATAGCAAGGATAGTTGGCTGCTAGGTGGCTAGTGGTAGTCACTTGGGCCCTTAGCACACTGGCTGCCTAGGAAGGTGAACAGAGGTCAGAGGCTCATGGAGGAGCCTAGGATTGGGCCGCTGGGAGTTGGGGTGACTGGCAGGTGACCCTTTTCTATGCTGGTGGGCTGGCTGAAGACATCCCTCCCACTGGTTTCTTCTTTTGGGTTTTAGGTGGGAAAGTATGTTGTTATTCATTTTAGTGTGGCAGCAACAGAAATACATAATCGTTATAGTAACAGCAGGCATCAATTACGTGCTTAATATGCATCAGGCACCGTGAGAGGTGACTTCATAAATGAGCTCATCTACTTACTAATTACTTTTCCATGGCATGGAGATTTGTGTAGGTTTCATGGAGAGGCAATCCTTGCTTCCTGACCTAATCCTGATTTGCCTAATTCCTGGAATCTCTCAGAGTTCTGGGGTCCACCAGAGTTGGGGCCACCATCTTCTCTGACTGTTATGAAGGGCTTATTGTACATAGGTAGGGAAACTTCAAAGGTTACCAGGGCATGTGTCCTTTGAACTGGGAAGGGGAGCCTGATTTTTCCAGAAAAAGGATGATGACTGGTTACTCATCTGTTTTTTTTTTCTAGCCCTAGTTGTGAACATACTAACCTGTTTCTATCTTCACCCTAACCCTTTCCCACAGACATCGCAAAAGAGTCCCCAGTCACCAGATGTCCAGTCCTCATTACCCCTATTATTCCTTGCCTCTGAGAAGTTGTGCCCAGTAGTTTGTTTTGAGCTGTCCAGGCTGACTGCCCAAGCCCTACTGCCATGGACAGGGGGAGCAGAAAAGAGGAAGAGACACACTGGGAAATAGCCACCCTTTCTAGTTCAGTTCCAGATGGGATGTCCCTGATGCCACCTCTGCCTGAGAGATGTTTCTCAAGCTGTCGCCTGGGATGTTGTGGTTCCCCCCAAAGCCCTCTTCACTCTCACCCGGAAGGACATTTCCACGTTCTCCCCTCCCCAGATCTCCATCTGATTATCATAGGTACCGATGTGCTCAAAGTAGGACTTGGAGATGGAGAAGAGGCCACCAGCAAACGTCGGGGATCTGGAGAGACAGAGGGAGAAGTGTGTGCATCTTCTGGGAGAGGAGGAGCGGAGCCTGGCGGGGAAAGCTGTTTGTGGACTCCCCTCCTAACCCACCTCCCCCTCCTTTCCTCTTTCTCAGGACGTGCAGCCCCTCATCCACTAACTCACTCATCATTTAGCTTTTACTATGTCCTCTTCCCCTTCTAGGACCAGGTCAAGGAAATATGTAATTATCCTCTAAAAGGCACTCATTCATTCGTTCAACCTAGGATGCACGTAACACTGGCCACCAGGGCCCGTGCTACATGATGGACACACAGAACGGAGAAAGACAGATCCTATTCCCCCAGAGCTCAATCTAGTCACAGAGGTTAAAGCTACCATTAGTTACTTTTTGGCAGCAAAGTGCCTGGAGCCTAGGAGATACTCAACTTTCAGAAGCTGTGTGAAATTGTTTTTGAAAATAGGCAGGATTCAAACCATGAATAAATGAATGAATGAATATTGTCAGCTGGGCTGACTCCATTCTGTTTCAGGGCCCCTGCCCCTCAGGGACTATTAAGCCACAGTTTTAGTAGGCGCCTAGCCCTGGTGATTTACACTGCATGAGAAACTGTAGATTTGGGGAGAAGTTGCCAGTTGCTTTTAACAGAGAAAGCTGATAAAAGGTGCTCCTGGAAACAGTGGAAGGTCAGGTGAGATCAAGCTCAATTTGGGCTACAGGGAACATTTAGAAGGTTATAAAAAGATTCTGGCTTTCAGACACAGGCAGGGAGGTGTGGACTCAAGATAAGATAAATTGACAAAAACATCTAATTCCTAGAATTTAGATACCAGGTTGCTTCGAAGAGGGACTGGGCTAAGCGTTAGGGTATCGAAGCGGACCCGGGGAAGTATAAGCAAGATGGAATGCTGGGGTGGGGGCCGGTGAGACATGGCAGGAGCACAATCATCAGCTGCTGGTTTCTGTTTGGGCCAGCCTGGCATGGCTAGGGCTTTGCTGCCCTCAGTGGGCAGCTTCATGTGGTACAACCAAGCAGAAAGATACAGAACCCCTGTAACCCCAGAACCTATCTAGGTGCCTTACACACAGCTGGGGCCCAATCACTGTTCATTCGCATGATCCATCAAGGTGCCTACCCAGGAATGTGACCCTGGTGTTACCCTGTGGTTGCTCTTGTCTACCTGAAGTTGGCTCCTGCAGCCACTTTCTGGAAGGAATTTCAGTCGTGCTCAGGCTGGCTTCCTATCACTTTGGAAGAGGCTCTGGCCTCTCCCAGGGGTCTTAAACCGGCACAAGTAGCACCCTGAGAGGCTCAGAGAGTGCTGGAACTGCAGAGGAGCACTTGGAAGCCAACCTGCTTCCTCCCCCACAGGCCCTGAGTCTTGTCTTTGAGAAGTCTCCCAGACCGAGAAGTCACTGATGGATTAGCCATGAGGACAAACCCTGCATGGGAAGCTTCACTGTAAATTCACAACCACAGGCAACCTCTAGTAAACACCCTTTATGTCCTGGCCTACCCCTAGAATCCCCCAGGTCCTCTGCCTCTCCTCTTAGGCTCTGGTTGGCTTGAGATGGGAGGCCGGGAGGGGACTGTCAGCAGTCCTCCTGGGGTGGGGGCGCTACATGAAGAGCCTCGGCAAGCCATGCATGCTACCGGGGCATGTGGGCCAAGGAGCACATTCATTCCTCAAACACTGGAGCTTTGTCTTCCAGTTGTATGGCCCTTGGACATTGAAGCCTGCGACGTCAGTGATGGGTGGGGGCCAGGTGCCCTCTTTCTGACTGTGCTGCTGTGTGCCTGGTCACTGGCATGGGGGTGGGGGTGGGGATCTGTTGCAGTGCACACCAAACAAAAGGCAGCTATGAAACAAACATTGGGTCAGTGGAAAGTTCCAATTTCTTTTCTCTCTTTTGCCTTTTCCTTTCCCTCTCTCCTTCTAATGGAGACAGAGCAGCTGGCTGTTCAGGATCTGTGGGATTTCTCCCTGTGGCATTCACCTGAGTTCCTTTCTACTGGGACTCTGAGCAGGTTTTTTTTTTTTTCTTTTTCTTTTTTAAGAGATGGGGTCTTGCTATGCTGCCCAGGCTGTTGTTAAACTCCTGAGCTCAAGCAATCCACCTAATCCACCTCAGCCTCTCATCTAGCTGGGATTACAGGTGTGGGCCACTGTGCCTGGCATGGACAGCATTTTTTAGGATTCTGGGCACGTGGAGAGGAAGAAGCACCAATCCTTTCCTCCTTTCAAACCTTCCCTCTTATCTCTGGCTACTGTATCTCCAACCTCTGCATCCCTCCGTCCTGGATGTATATTCAGTTGAGCCTTAAGTATACTGGCCAGTCTAAGATAACAATGACACAAATAATCCCAAACCACAGGCTACACTAAAAGTCACTCCTCAACTTGGTTTGTCTGAGACAACTGTTAAAATAAACTTACAGTCTCCAATAACACCAACAGGCTGCCTGGAGAGGGGAGGATGGGGTGAGTATAAGAGGGAAAGGTGAGCCCAGTGGGCATTAAACTGTGGGTTGACTTCCAATTGTCTACCCTGCAGCTCAGGGGCTGGCACACAAGAGCCTGTGGGCAAAATCTGGCTGCCTGGTTTTAGAAGCCTCTGGGGCAAAAAATTATTTTTACATTTTTTAATGTTTGTAAAAAAAATAAAAAATAAATAAGATGAAGAATATGCAGCAAACTATATGTGGCTGGCAAAGCCCAAAATATTTATCATCTGGCCCTTCACCAAAGAAGTTCAGGGCAACTGCTACAAACTTCACGCTGCAGAAAATGTGTCTGTTTTCTTTTAGTATATTCTCAGTCTTTTCAAAGACAGTCACCTGGGGGCACATACCACTCCCTCTTATTACAGTGACTATTCCACAATGGCCTCCATCACATCTCTTGCCCCATCTGCAAGCATGGGCCACTCCTTTTATGTGTAGGGAGGAATAAACTAAAGAATGTATAGCCCTTAGTTCAGTGCCTGGCACATGGTAAGTGGTGAATAAGAGCAAACTGTCATGGTGAATAAGAGCAGTGCCACGGTTAGGGCCAGACAGTCCGGGAAGTGTGTCCTTGCTCCACTGTTGCTAGCTGCATGATCTTAGGTCAGTGTTTATCACTATGAGCCTTAGTATTCTTAGTATTGTACCTGCTTCATAGGGAGTGAGGATTAATCACAATATGTCAAGTGCTTGATAGAGCACCTAACAAATGTTGATGTGAGATGGCACAGGTTCCTGGAACTGGGTAGGACTGGGGCCAGGTTGGGGGCTCACCAGGCTGCGGTCCTTACTTGATGGGGTAGGTTTCATCCTTGCGCCTCTGCTTCTCATGTGGAGGAAGTGTTTCCCAGCCGAAGGTCAGGCTCCAGTCAAAGTTGCCTCGGCTATGGACTCTGCCCCTCTGGACGGGCTTGGCGAACTCAAAAGTATTAAGGTCGATGGTGACGATGTCTGGGCTCACCACCACTGTCTTGTCCTCAGCGATTCGAGCCAGGAGGGGCTCCAGCCAGCCGTGGAAGCACTCACCTGCAGGCCCCAACCAGGAGGCAGCAGTCAGGGCCCTGCCCACAGCAGAGCCCAAGCTGCATCCTGGAGGGAATGCCCAGGAGGATAAGAGACAGTCCACCTACTCCTGGGTTACAGGCAGCAAGCCCCACAGCTACAGGGAGCACACAGAATTTCCTAAAACCCTTCTACCACCCCTCTACCCCCAAAGGCGGAGGCAGCTTTGGCAGGGAGAATGGAGGTCTCAGGGGAGTAACATGGTCAACTCAGATGACCCAAAAGCACAGGGAGGCCCTGGATGGTATCTTCCGGGGTTCCAGCCGATCCATTGGCCCAGCCCTCCGGGCCCACGTGTGGATTTCAGAAGAGGGTGTTCCCCCTCCCAGGGGCATCCGCATGTCAAGCTTCAGCCCTAATTGTAGAAGAATAATCTCTTTCATTTGTCTAGCTCCTTGAGATTTTCAGTGAGCTTCTGCACGTATTATTACTTCATTCGGCCCTCAGAGTAATATTTCTGTTCAGTAAGGTTAGTATCCTCATTCCTATTTTATAAATGAGGAAACTGAGGCTGTTAGTGGGGCAGGGTCAGAATGCAAACCAAGAATTCTGACTCCAAGACTAGAGCTTCCCCTAATATATATCACCACTCCTAGGGAAAATATTTCATCCTCCACAACAGTGGGGAAGTGTTTTGGTTTTGGGCAAGAAGGAGGCCTTCCTGGCTCCATGTTGCCCTAGAAGAAAGCCCCAAACAAGCCAGTTCTGTCATAGCAGGAGGCCTCTCTGAGGGGCCAAGCTCAGAGCAAGGTGCAGATGGGAGTACAGGGAGGGATGAATGTCCGGGGCCCCGGTGATCACTGGAAATCACTTCCAGTGATTTTGGGGTCACCAGTTGTTTTAGGGATGTTTGTCTTCTTGATGAAACATCCTTGGGATTGGGGTGAGAAAGGGGTAGAGGCACCTGGAGTGGGTCCCAAGCCTCCTTCACTCCCGGAAGAGAGAACAGGAAGGGGCCTTGGGGAGGCTGTGGCCCTGGCTCATTCTAGCAGGGAGGGAGCCTCCAGGTTACACCCAGGCCGGTGCCCTGGTACTCACAGTGGGCATCCAGGAACGTGAGCACCTCCGCCTGTGCCACGCTGGCCCCCAGCAGCCGGGCGGTGATCAGCCCCTTCCGCTCCTCCTGCCGCACCACCCTCACCACCTGCAGCTGCTTCACGTACTGCTCCAGCTTCTCCTTTAGGTGCTCTGGAAGGGACAGTGTCATTGTGGCCAGTCCACCACTTTGCTGTATACCCAATCCCCTGTGGGCACCAAGCTAGGGGCTCTCAGGCCTCTAGCAGGCCTGAATTTTAAACCCCCAACACCTGCTGTACTGAGCCATTCCACAGAAGCCGGAGCTGGGGAAGGAGGTTAACAGGGAAGATGGGGAGAGGAAGAAAGAAGCCCTGTCTGTGGTCAAAACTGCCTCACCAGGGCTCTGGCTCTGTGGTGCTAGATCCTATGCCTGTTCACCTGGGCACCCTCTCTAATGTCAGGGACAGCACCTCAGAGTTGTGTTTCTGTGGTCACGTATCAAGTACAAACTTTTTGTTGTTGTTGTTGAGATGGAGTCTCATTCTGTCACCCAGGCTGGAGTGCAATGGCGTGATCTTGGCTCACTGCAACCTCCACCTCCTGGGCTCAAGTGATTCTCCTGCCTCAGCCTCCTGAGTAGCTAGGACTACAGGTGTGTGCAACCATGCCTGGCTCATTTTTACATTTTTAGTAGAGATAGCATTTCACCATATTGGCCAGGCTGGTCTCGTACTCCTGGCCTCAAGTGATTCGCCTGCCTTGGCCTCCCAAAGTTCTGGGATTACAGGCATGAGCCACCACGCCCGGCCCAAGTACAAAATTCTGACAGAGGCTCTCAGATGCCTCCCTCAGTTTCTCCACCCTCTCAGCCACCATCTTCCAGAGCTGCAATTCCACAGCTCCATTGCACGGTTGTTTTCCAGTGTCTAGGATTCCCTGTCTCCCAGGCTCTTCACGGTAACGTCGATGGGTGGGCATACACAAATGGTGACTCCTTGCTTGCTGGATCAGCAGCAGGACATCTGACTCTAATCCCCTTTGTAACCTCCTCTGCAGATAGAATTCTTTAAGGTGAAAACATGCCCAGCAGCTTTTTAATTATATTAAGAAAATACTTGCACCAAGCACCTACCACGGACCAGGCACAGTGGCGAGCCCAGCCGGCTTGACCATTTGTCCTAAGGAACAAACCACCCAGAAGCAAGGCTGACCAGGAAACAGGCAATTCCAGGGCAGGTGATCCATGATCTAACAGAGGTAGTGCTGGGGTGTGGGTCCCAAAGAAGGGCCAAATCTCCTGGATTTGAGGAGCGGGGAAAGCTTTTTGAAGGGAAGATGTCTCTACTGAGACCTCCAGCTCCTTTCAAAGAAGAGTTTTAGTTCATGGCCCTGTAATTTAGTCTGAAATCCTCAGAGCATTAACAATAGCTCTATTCTGGCTGGGCACGGTGGCTCACTCCTGTAATCCCAGCACTTTGGGAGGCCAAGGCAGATGGATCACTTGAGCCAAGGAATTTGAGACCAGCCTGGCCAACATGGTGAGACCCTGCCACTATTAAAAATACAAAAATTAGGCCAGACGCGCTGGCTCATGGCTGTAATCCCAGTACTTTGGGAGGCGGAGGCAGGTGGATCACCTGAGGTTGGGAGTTCGAGACCAGCCTGACCAACATGGAGAAACCCTGTCTCTACTGAAAATACAAAATTAGCTGGGCACGCATGCTTGTAATCCCAGCTACTCGGGAGGCTGAGGCAGGTGAATCGTTTGAACTTGGGAGGCAGAGGTTGCAGTGAGCCGAGATTGCACCATTGCACTCCAGCCTGGGCAACAAGAGCGAAACTCCGTCTCAAAAAAACCAAAAACAAACAAACAAAAATTAGCCAGGTGTGGTGGCGCACACCTGTAAACCCAGCTACTCGGGAGGCTGAGGCAGGAGAACTGCTTGAACCCAGGAGGTGGAGGTTGCAGTGAGCTGAGATCATGCCACTGCACTCCAACCTGAGTGACATAGCAAGACTTGTCTCAAAACAAAAAACAAACGAAGAATAGCTCTATTCTGAAGCAGTCCATCTTGAAACATACCGAATTCCAAACCTTACTATGTTTTACTAACTGCCATTTTGGTTTATCTCTGCCACGGTTCTGTTCTGTGCAGAATGGAGTTGCCTGCAGTTTCAGATGTGGGGGACAGATGTGACAATTGTGTGTCCTTTTCCTTTTGGACTGTGGGATCAGCCCAGAGCTTGGGCCTTGCTCTGAATGCAGCATTCTACAAACGGCAGGTCCTGAAATTAAGCAGCTTAGGGGGTTGCATGCAATTGATCTCCCACAAATGCACGCACACAATAACCCAGCACTGAGCTGGAGTGTGTGCCGGTGTGGGTGAGGTAGGTGTCTTCATGGTGACTTCTTTATTTAATCTTCTCTATGATAGTTAACAACTCTATGAAACAGGGAGTATTGTCCCCAGTGTTTATAGATGGGGAAAGTAAGACTCAAAGTGACTAGCCCAGGGTGGCAGAAGCACAAAGGGCAGCAGCAGGATCCTAGCCAGTCTGCATGTGAGGACTCCCCACCTTCTCCCTCCAGGGGAAGTGAGGCCATGGAATTTTTTTTTTTTTTAATTTTTTAATTCTGGAGCAGATTAAGATCAGAAGGCCAAGGACTTAATGCACCTGAGTTTCAAGGTGGTCTCTTGACCACCAGTGAGGCCACGGACTTTTTTTTTTAAATTTTTTTATTCTGGAGCAGATTAAGATGAGAAGGCCAAGGACTTAATGCACCCGAGTTTCAAGGTGGTCTCTGCTTCCTCTCGCAGTCACCCAAGGCCTTGCCATTTCCCTGTGTGTGAGATCCCGGGAGGGAAAGGGAGAGAAAGGGGTTTGTTGAAGCTGTTCTTTAGTCACTGTCCTGGAGAGTGGCGCCTAGGAGAAGGAAAGTCTCTATAATTTGGAATTTCAGCTTTTTCCTTCTTTTTTTTTCCATGTTTTTTTTTTTTTTCTTCTTTTTTTTGGAGACAGAGTCTTACTCTGTCGCCCAGGCTGGAGTGCAGTGGTGCAATCTCGACTCACCACAACCTCCACCTCCTGGGTTCAAGCAATTATCCTGCTTCAGCCTCCCAAGTAGCTGAGATTATTGGCACCTGCCACCACGCCCCGCTAATTTTTTGTATTTTTTGTGAAGATGGGGCTTCACCATGTTGGCCAGGCTGGTCTCGAATTCCTGACCTCAAGTGATCTGCCCGCCTCGGCCTCCCAAAGAGTTGGAATTACAGGCGTGAGCCACTACGCCCCGCCCACTTTTTCCTTCTTCAATCCTACTGGACAGACAGGTGAGGTGATTATGACATGGCGCTCATTTATGAATGGATTCTTCAGGCAGTCATCTGAGGAGGGGGCTGTATCTTACTTAACTCCAGGAATGAGGCCTCTTATCTCTGGGGGCCAGGACCTCAGGAATCAAAATCAGCCTCATGCAGCAGCCTCAGCCCAGCACTCACTCCACAAATGTCTGTCAATGTGCTGCCAGGTGCCAGATGCTGTTCTGGGAAGGGAGGGGCCTGGTCTGGGTCCTGCCCTTTGAGACTCATAGTGCACCTGCAGCCCCGGGTGCTGGCCCTGACAGGAAGGAGGGAGGAAGCCCAGGCTCCTCAGCATGGCTGCTGTGTTTCCCCGAGAGCTTGCCCAGCTCTGCGCACAGGAAGTTCACGGTAGTGGAGATAACCCACGGACAAAACATCATAGGAAGTGGGTTTTGTGGTGAGAGACAGTGAAGCACTGAGCTGTGAACCTCAGGGGGGGCCCCGAGCACTACAAAGCCCTTCTCCCACGCCTTCCTTCCAGTCTGGTGAGGCCAGACCCAGGGATTCTCAGCCTGAGAGGCTTCCAGCCTCTGGCCTCAAGCCCTTCTGGGGAGACAACTCCCCTAAGCAATGCCCCTCGTGATACTCCACCTGTTCCACCCCCAGACCTACTGGACAGACCCAGAACTGAGGAGACTGGAGCTGAGCATAGCTGTACCGGTGAGCCCAGCCACACACTCATGTCCCCGCCGTGACAGCCTTCCAACTTAGGTTCAACACCCCACCACCCCAACCAGCTTCACTCCTCACAACTCAAGTCCACAAGACCCCTGGGATGCCAACACAGACACCGCACTCAGTTCCATGATCTGAAGTATCATGCAGATGGCTCCCAGGGATTCCTTCCTGACCTTGCCATCTTCACTTGGATGTGGAACAAAATGGAAAATTCAACATATGCCCAAAACAGGCTCTGAATTTCCCCTGCAAATCTGCCCCCCAGTCTCCCTCACGTCAGTACACGGTGCCAGCATCCCTCCAGCTGCTCTAACCTGGAAGTCATGCTAGAATCCCCCCTGCTGTCCCCTTCCACAATCAGCACATCTGCAGGTACTGCCAGCTCTCTCTCTCATCCCCACAGTCACTGCTTTTCTGCCTTCTATACCACTCTCCTCAATCTATTCTTGACACGGCAGCTACTGTGAGAAGTAAAATTCTCTCTAAAAATCATAAATCAGATCATGTCACTACAGCGGCTTCAAATTGTATTTAAAAACAAATCCATGGTGTTTCCTTATGGAAAGGTATGATGGTTCCTTAAAAAAAACTAAAGACAGAATTACCATATGATCCAGCAATTCCACTTTTGGGCATATACCCTGAAGAGCTGAAAGCAGAGACTTGGATATTTGCACACCAATGTTCACAGCAGCATTAGTCACGATAGCCAAAGGCAGAAACAGCCTCAGTGTCCATCAGCGAATGAACGGACAAACAAAATGTGGTGTATACATACAATAGAATAGTATTCAGCCTTAAAAAGTAAATTCTGGGCCGGGTTTGGTGGCTCACGCCTGTAATCTCAGCACTTTGGGAGGCCAAGGTGGGTGGATCACCTGAGGTCAGGAGTTCGAGACCAGCCTGACCAACACGGAGAAACCCTGTCTCTACTAAAAATTCAGAATTAGCCAGCACGTGCCTGTAATCCCAACTACTCGGGAGGCCGAGGCAGGAGAATCACTTGAACCCAGGAGGTGGAGGTTGCGGTGAGCCAAGATTGCGCCAATGGGCAACAAGAACGAACTCCATCTCAAAAAAAATAAAGTAAATTCTGACAAATGTTACAACATGGATGAATCTTGAAGGCATTATGCTAAGTGAAATAAGCCAGTCACAAAAGGACAAATACTGTATGATTCCACTTATGATAATCAAATTCATAGAGACAGAAAGTAGAAGGGTGGTTGCCAGGGGTTGTGGGGAGGACAGCGTGGAGAATTCATGTTTAATAGGTACAGAATTTCAGTTTGGGATGACAAAAAATAAGTTATTGGCTGGTTGTGGTGACTCACGCATGTAATCCTAGCACTTTGGGAGGCTGGGAGTTCCAGACCAGCCTGGTCAACATGGTGAGACCCCATCTTATTAAAAAAGGGAAAAAAAAAAGTTCCGGAGATGGTTGCACAATAATGTGAATGCATTTAAAATCAATAAACTGTGGACTGAAACCGTGAAGATGATACGTTTTATGTCGTGCCTTTTACTACATACACACATGAAAAATCCAAACACTGTCGGTGGCTTACGGAGGTCTCACAATTTGGTCCCGCTAGCCTTTTAAAAAATTATTATTATTATTATTATTATTATTATTATTATTATTATTATTTGAGATGGAGTTTTGCTCTTGTCGCCCAGGCTGGAGTGCAATGGTGTGATCTCAGCTCACTGCAACCTCCGCCTCCGGGGTTCAAGCAATTCTTCTGCCTCAGCCTCCTGAGTAGCTGGGATTACAGGTGCCCACCACCATGCCTGGCTAATTTTTGTATTTTTAGTAGAGACGGGGTTTCTCCATGTTGGCCAGGCTGGTCCCAAACTCCTGACCTCAAGGGTTCTCTTGCCTCGGCCTCTCAAAGTGCTGGAATTAACAGGCATGAGCCATGGGCCCGGCTCCTTACACCCACTCCACCAGCACTCTTTCTGCTCCCTGGCTTACTTTGTTTAAGCCACACTGTCTTCTTTCTGCCTCATTAACAAGTCAAGCCTCAGGCCTCTGTGTTGGCTGCTCCCTTTGCAGGGAGTACTAAGAGTAGTCTTTCCTGGCTACTCCGGTGAAAAGAGCTCCCTAATTACTCACTCACTAACCCATTGCCCTGCATTCTTCTTTTTTTTCCCTCTAATTTAGTTAAGCTGGTGGAGTGTGCCAGACAGGGAGGGAACCCTGGCTGCTGACCTAGCCACTCAGGAATGAGGTCTGTGCCCTGGTTCTGACTCAGAGGTGGGGAAGAAAAAGCTCCCCAGCTCAGCACGCGGTCTCCTCCCCCATGGTATCAAATGCCCTTAGACTCACTCTCATAGGGCTACTACTGGGTGCCTGGAGTGGAGGTCAGAGAGCAGGGACATTGTATTTCGGCAGAGACACAGTCCTGTTTGTGTGTGTGTGTAATGAGAGCTGGTTAATCTGATCAAACAGTCAAACGTGTGGGAAATTTTATCCCACTGTGGACGGCAGAGATTTCTGACCATGGATCTGAGGGTTTTTTCCTCCTTTCCTCACTGAACTGAATGTTGCTTAAAGTATCTCTAGCGTCTGAAAGCCCTCTGGGTAGGGTTGTTTATCATAGGGTCCACAAATTCCCTGGAATTAAATGCAAAAATGTGGGTTTTGCATATTATTGTGGGCAGTGGTGCACTATTCTAGGGATTTTAACAGATTCTGAAAGGATGCCAGGACCCAGAAAAATAAGAATGACTAGCTTAGGTTTTTCAGGCAGGTGATTGTTTTGTTTTTGTTTTTGACACAGGGTGTCGCTCTGTCACCCATGCTGAATACAGTGGCATGATCAGGGCTCACTGCAACCTTGACCTCCTGAGTTCAGGTGACCCTCCCACCTCAGCCTCTCGAGTAGCTGGGACTACAGGCACATACCACCATGCCCAGCTAATTTTTTATTTTTTTGTAAAGACAGAGTCTTACTATGTTGCCCAGGATGGTCTTGAACTCCTGGGCTCAAGTGATTTTCCCACCTCAGCCTCCCAAAGTGCTGGGATTACAGGTGTGAGCCAGTGCGTCCTGACCATGCAGATGATTTAGAGATGCTGGAATTGGCCTTTGGAGAGAATTGGCTTTAGAAGAGAGTCCAGGGCAACAAGTCCAGGACAGACAGAGAGAAGGTGAACGTGTATATGGTGGCCTGCTAGGGGCGGGTGCTCTGGAGGGGATACTGGGGCTACTGCCAACTCTGCCCTACTGAACACAGGCTACTCTGCCTGTTAGATGCTGCCTATGCCAGCCTGGCATTATGTCACTTGTCTAGCTAGTCAGAGGAGTTGCCTACCTGGGCACTTGCAGCTCACAGAGTCACAAAGTTTAGGGTGAAAAGTTAACAGTTTAGAACCCCCACGTCCAAGGCTACGGGAGCCCACCTCTTGCATCAGCGTGACCTGGATGTGAGACACGAAGTCAAAGGAAATCACTTTGGAACTTTAAGGCTTAATGAATGCCCTGTTGGATTTTCGATTTGCATGGGGCCTGTAGCCCCTCTGTTTTGGCTAATTTCTCCCATTTCAAATGGTTGTATTTACGCAATGCCTATACCTCCATTGTATCTAGGAAGTGACTTAACTTGCTTTTGATTTTACAGGCTCATAGGGGAAGGGACTTGCCTTGTCTCAGATGGGAGTTTGGACTTGGACTTTTGGGTTAATGCTGGAATTAGCTAAGACTTTGGGGGGACTGTTGGAAAGGCATGATTGTGTTTTGAAATGTGAGGACATGAGATTTGGGAGGGGTTAGTGGTGAAATGATATGGTTTGGCTGTTTCCTCACCCAAATCTCATCTTGAGTCGTAGGTCCCATAATCCCCACATGTGATGGAAGGGACCCAGTGGGAGATAATTGAATCATGGGGCAGTTTCCACCATGCTATCCTTGTGATAGTAAGTTCTCACGAAATCTGATGGTTTTATGAGGGGCTTCCCCTTTTGCTCGGCTCTCATTCTTCTCTCTCCTGACACCTCATGAGGAAGGACATGTTTGCTTCCCCTTCTGCCATGATTATAGGTTTCCTGAGGTCTCCCCAGCCCTGCAGAACTGTGAGTTAATTAAACCTCTCTCCTTTATAAATGAGAATGGACTAATACACTCCAGTACAAGAGATTCAGGTGAAAGAGCTTCCGAAGGATGGGTAGCATAGGGTTAGGAGGAGAAAGATAACGAAAGAACCCAGTTTGAGAGGAAGGACCGCTAATATGCTTGCTTCCATTCCATACAACCTTTCCATTGCTACAAAGATTCCCTAGAGATCACTGCCAAGCTCCTCCCATCTCTGCCAAACTCTTCACCCTTCCCTTTCCAGAAGCCTAATCTATACATTCCTTGTCCACCAGACCCTGTCATTGCATCCCTGATACTTGCTTGCCTTGATTTATTTATTATTTTTTTTTAGAGACTGGGTCTCACTCTATTGCCTAGGCTGGAGTACAATGGTGCAGTCAAGGCTCACTGCAGTCTCAGCCTGCTGGGCTCAAGCAATCCTTCCACCTCAGCCCTCCAAGTAGCTGGAACCACAGGCACATGCCACCGTGCCCAGCTAACTTTTCTATTTTTTATAGAGATGGGGTCTTGTGACATTGCCCAGGCTGGTCTTGAACTCCTGGCCTCAAGCAATCCTCCTGCCACAGCCTCCCAAAGTTCTGGGATTACAGGCATGAGCTACTGTGCTTGGCCTATTTTACTTTATTTGTATCTTTTTTAGAGACAAGGTCTCACTCTGCCATCCATGCTGGAGTGCAATGGTGCAATCACAGCTCACTGCAGCCTCAATTTCCTGGGCTCAAGTGATCCTCCCACCTCAGCCTCCCAAGTAGCTGGGACCACAGGCAAATACCACCATGCCTGCTAATTTTTTATTTTTGTAGAGATGGGATTTTGATATGTTGCCCAGGCTGGTCTGGCCTTGCTTTATAAGTGCTGCCAAGTATCTGTCTTCCCTGGGAAGATGTGAGCTTCCTGAAGAAATGAACTCAACAGGGCTCACACTCAGCCCTTCCTTCCACAGCCCTAGTCCTCTTTTCAGCATCACCCCTAACCTAGAGGAAGGAGGGAGGCTGGGGGAGGACAAGGACAGGAAGCAGCTCTACTGGAGTGGCCCCAGCGCTTACACTGGGAAGTGTGGAGTCAGTTCCTGCCCTCACTATTGGGAGTTTGAGCACAGGAGGTCAATCTGGGAGAGCCCCAGACACCACATGCCTCCTACGAGGAGGGCTAAGCTTGTGGAGACTCTCAGCCTAAAGGTGTCTCAGTCCCACAGCCTTTCCTAGTTCAGGCCCCATCATCTCCTACTCTCAAGTGAGTGTAAGAACTTCCTCTCCAGACTGTGAGTCCTCTGCCTCTCTTCCTGCCGATTATCCTCCTCCAAAGCTGCCATCCTTCTGAAATGAAGTCACAGTACAGATGAAACACTTTCAACGACTCCTTCTTACTTTCTAAATAAATGCTTTTAGCATGACATGAATGTCAATTCAACATTTTTTTTTTTGAGACAGGGTCATGCTCTGGCTCAGCCTCCCGAGTAGCTGGGACTACAGGCACATGCCGTCATGCCAGGCTAATTTTTGTAATTTTTATAGAAAAAAGGTCTTGACATGTTGCCCAGGCTGTCTTGAACTCCTGGGCTCAAGTGATCCACCCGCCTCGGCCTCCCTAAGTGCTGGGATTACAGGGGTGAGCCACTGTCCCTGGCCAATTTAACATCTTTTAAGTCTCATTTCCTAAACAAACCTAAGCTTCAGCCACACCAGATCTCTTTAACAAACACATTCATGTCTTTAGGACTGTGCTTATGCCATTCTCTTGTGGGAATGCCCTTCATCCACTCTTCTCTCTTAGACACTCATCCTTTAAGGCCCAGCTCCAATCTGGCTTCCACTGCAGACCAGCCCTAGCCACGCCAGGCAGAAATGGCACCTCCTGGCTACATACTCCATGGTGCATTGTTCTCGTACCATGAATAAAATGGAATGCATGCTTGTGACACTCTTACTTGATGCCAGCCACTCTGTGGCACATGAATCTCATTTATGACCTATCTCATATCCCTCACCCACCATGTAAGGGACTCAACTGCTCTTTTTTTTTTTTTTTGAGATGGAGTCTCACTCTGTAGCCCAGGCTGGAGTGCAGTAACATGATCTCGGCTCACTGCAACCTCCGCCTCCTGGGTTCAAGCGATTCTCCTGCCTCAGCCTCCCGAGTAGTTGGGACTACAGGCATGCTCTGCCACGCCTGGCTAATTTTTGTATTTTTAGTAGATACGGGGTTTCACCATATTGGCCGGGCTGTCTCGAACTCCTGACCTTAAGCAATCTGCCTGCCTCGGCCTCCCAGAGTGCTAGGATTACAGGCGTGAGCCACCACGCCCAGTCCTTTTTTTTGTTTTGTTTTTTTGAGAAGGAGTCTCACTCTGTCTCTCAGGCAGAAAAGCAGTGGTGCCATCTTGGCTCACTGCAGCCTACGCCTCCCGGGTTCAGGTGATTCTTGTGCCTCAGCCTCCCGAGCAGCTGGGACTACAAGCGCGCACCACCACACCTGGCTAATTATTTTTTGTATTTTGGGTAGAGATGGGGTTTCACCATGTTGGCCAGGCTGGTCTCAAACTCCTGACCTCAAGTGATCTGTCCGCTTCAGCCTCCCAAAGTGCTGAAATTACAGGCTTGAGCCACTGTGCCCGGTCTGCCCCCATTTTTTGAAGAGGAAACAGGTTCAGGGAGGCCAAATGCTTGTCCAAGGTCACAGAGCTAGGAAGGGTCAGAGCTGGGATTTGAATTCCTAGGTGTTGGACTCTGCAGTCCATGCCCTTTCACACCTGTTACAGGTGCATCACTGCCACAGCACTGTGGCTAGTGTTGTAAGAGGCTTCTGGCCGGGCACGGTGGCTCATGCCTGTAATCCCAGCACTTTGGGAGGCTGGAGCAGGCAGATTACCTGAGTTCGGGAGTTCGAGACCAACCTGACCAACATGGAGAAACCCCATCTCTATTAAAAATACAAAATTAGCTGGGTGTGGTGGCACATGCCTGTAATCCCAGCTACTAGGGAGGCTGAGGCAGGAGAATCGCTTGAACCTGGGAGGCGGAGGTTGTGGTGAGCTGAGATCACACCATTGTACTCCAGCCTGGGCAACAAGAGCGAAACTCCATCTCAAAAAAAAAAAAAAAAAAAAGGCTTCTGACCTATGGGGGTTTTTAGTATTTTCAGGGCAGGGTCTGTCTCCTTTGTCATGGCATCCCCTCTGCCTGGGTCAGAGCCAGGCACACAGTACTCAGTAGATGTTTGTGGAATTGAAGGCTGGAAGTTTGGTGAGCAACCCCACTTACCTATCAACAGCTATGGCAAAAAGGGCTGGTTGGGGAGTCTTCAAGAGCAGAAGAGTGGCCCAGCGGGTAGGAAACAGAGGTGAAGGCCTGTCCCTACCCTCTGCCCTGTCTCTCCCAGCATTTCTGAGTTAGGGTTGGCCTTGGCAGCGTTCAGGGAGTCTTGAAGCCAGAGCTGAAAAGCTCTTGGAGCTCTTTGGCTGAGGTGTGAAGGAAGCATGGTCTACCTGCCCCTACCTGACTTCTTCCTGCTCCTGGCCTTTAAGATGAGCTGTGATGTCAGGCAACAGGCTCATGAGGTGGTGCCTGCTCCCTTGAAAGGAACTGCCCTCCTCCTTTGAGTGCCCAGGGGAGACCCCGGCCCCCTCCTCTGGGCCCCTCCAGCCTCACCCTCTGTGCTGGCATCATCCACCAGTATGATCTCCTTGAGCAAGATGGCAGGGGTGGTGTGTAGGACGCTGTACACTGTTCGCAGCAGTGTGGACCAGGCTTCGTTGTGGAACACAATGATCACGCTGGTGGTGGCCAGTGGGGGGCAGCGCCGGAACTTCTGGTCCACACACCTGGAAGTATGAAAGTACGGACAAAGTTCTCCTGGTCCCTGGGAGTACCAGGTGTGGGGAGGGCCCCATCCAGAGACTCCCCCAGACCATCCTCCACTCCTCTGAACCACAGCCTACATTCTCTATAGCAGGTGGGAACAGCTGTTCCCTGTTCCTGTCTTCCCCGGTATCTGCCACCCACCCTGAGCCTTTGCACAGGTTCTAGCCAAACCACTCCAAAATCCATCCCCACAGAGCTGGCTCAGTGCCCCAGCTGTGATGCTGAGGCTCCTCCACCCCCTTCCTTCATCTGCTATCTGCTCTCAGGCTAGGAGTTCCCAGGGCTGGCTCTCTTCCTCCGTAATATGTGAACTGCATAAAATGTAATCCAATCCAGAGGTCCCAGAGGGGTAGGTAATAAAGGCCAAATTTGACATCTGAGAAAAGTGACTATGATTTCCATACTCAATGAGAAGAAAAGGCTCTTCCCTTTACAGCGTACAGTTCCTCTCTAATCCATTTTCTCATTAACTCCCTGTGATTTGACACCACTATCACAGTCAATTTCCTGCAACCTTTCTTCCAACTTCATCCACTCCAGCTACTCTGTGGCACTTGGCCATGCTGCTACCTTCTTGACACTCTATCTCAGGGTTGGGGTGGGAATGTGTGAATCCTGGATCTCAAGGAATCATGTGACCTCACACCCTTTCCTTGACCTCCTCTGCTGGTCAGAGGATTTCTTGGGGACCCTCCAGAGAGATTCCCTGTCTTCCTCCTCTGGCTGCTGTCACACCCAGTGCTCTTCTCTCTGTCTGTTTTTTTTGAGACAGAGTCTTGCTCTGTCACTCAGGCTGGAGTGCAGTGGTATGATCTTAGCTCCCTGCAACCTCCACCTCCCAGGTTCAAGCGATTCTTGTCCTTCAGCCTTCTGAGTAGCTGGGATTACAGGCACCCACTACCATGCCGGGCTAATTTTTTTGTATTTTTAGTAGAGACAGGCTTTCACCATGTTGGCCAGGCTGGTCTTGAACTCCTGGCCTCAAGAGATCCACCCACCTCAGCCTTCCATAGTGCTGGGATTATAGGCATGAGCCACTGTGCCTGGCCCCAGTGCCCTTCTCTGCTGAGGAATTCCTGATAGCTTCAAGTGGCCCCTTGTTCTAGGGCTATCATACTTGGCTCAAGTCTCAAGAACCTCAGGTTCACAGCCCTAAAGACTCACGAAATCTGGGGATGAGGGCTGCCATTTGAGAAAAGGCCAAATAGGGTATAACACTTGACCTGGAAAAGACAAAGGCTAAGTGGGGAAGACACACTGTCTTTAACTTGAGGATCATGGGAATGCAGCCATGGGGGCGTTAGAGGGAGGGGGCTGCCACTCAAAGATCTAAGTGAGATCTCATTGTGCAAGATTGAGGCTATAAACAACTTCAGATAAAGGTTGGAATCAATTCCGGCCTTGTGGGCCTTCACTGGAGGAAACCAGGTGTGAGGATATTCCTAACCACCAGGGTTGCTGTTAAGAAATGCCCACCCCCCCCCCAAACAGCTCAGCATTAGAGTCCCACAGTCTCTGGAGCAGGCCTCAGTAGAGGAGAAAGCTACTGAAACCACAGCTTGGTATCAGGTCTCCCCAGTCACCCCGTGCCAGGTCCTGGTGCCAGGCTGAGTTCCTTCTTCCACATCATCTCACTTTCATAATTGCATTTCACTCTCACAGGTCTCCCTGGGCCTCTGGCCTGACCATAATACCCTTGAATCACAACCCCTGGGATCAGCACAGTTGTTCTGGGAAAGAAGTGAGGCATAGAGGAGATCCTTGCCCATATTATAAAATTCCCTTCAACTCTTTCTCTGGCCCTTGATCTATGGCCCTGGCCATACTAGCCATGCCTTTAGCAAAGCCCTGGTCTCCCCACAAGGACTCTGGGTGCTACTTACTCAGGTGGTCGGGTGTCTGGCCCCAGGGACCTCTGCAGGGAGATCCGGTCGCTGGCAAAGGCATTGAAACAGTGCTTCTTATAGCCTTCTTCCTTTTCCTGGGTCTCCAGGGGGGTCCACTTGCTCTTCTGAAATGCTTTTCCATCTGCCCCAGGGGCATTGGGGTCCTGTGGTGGCCGTTCCCAGAAGGGCTTCAGTTCAGCTGGGGTATAGAACCCAGGGAGGCAGGACTGGTTTATGGAGAACAGAGTCTGCTGGGCTTCTGGAGCCCTGATTTGGAGCTTGGGCATTGAATCTCTAAGGTTGTTCATGGCCTCCAGCATGAGGTCCAGGACGTGATCCTTCCGGCTCACCAGGGACTTCAGCCACGGCTTCTCTGTGGCCTCCTCTCTGCTGCTCACATCCCTATGCAGGAGGAAGAGGAAGAGCACAAAGGCGCAGCCCACCATGGCCAGGCGCAGGGGCATGTGGCGTCTGCGGAGGAGCCTCATCCTCCAGAACCAAGGGGCACCCCAGCTGCGTCAGCTCTGAGTCCTGAGCCCAACCCTGGAGATAGCTTGATACGTTGTGGTGGCCACAAGCTGGGGCCTCAGCCTGAGAAAGGAGGGGACAAGAGAGAGAAGTGAGCCAACACAGGGTAAGGAGGGAGTCGGGTGCTTGGGGTTCGAGGCCAGGCTCTGTTGCTGAGTGGTGGCATCACCTTATTGGCCACAACTTTCCCATATCTACATTTCCTTCATCCATAAAATGAGGAGACCGGAGGCAGTGTTTCTTTCCTGCCCTAAGATCCTAATATGCATGGATCTAGAGTCACTGGAACACTGAAACACTACATGAGATTTAATCATTAAACTCATGAGATTTAATCATTATGGCTTTGGGAAACAACTTGGTATTATCAAGAAAAATTTGAAATGAACACAGCCTGAGCCAGCAATTCCACTCCTCATTTTATATCCCAGACAAACTCTGGTAGATGCAAACCAAGAGGTATGTACAAGAACATTTAAGCCAACACTGACTTAAATGGCAACAAACTGGTAAAACCTTTAAGTCCACTAGCAGAATGAATAAATAAAGTGCAAAATACCCATACCGTGCAGTGCTCTACAGTGATGACCAAGAATGAACCACTTCTCCATGCAACAATGTGGATGTGTTGTTGGGTGAAAAAAGCAAGTGACAAAAGGATACATACAGTATGATTCCACTTATAGAAAATGTAAAAACATGCTAAAATTAAACAATATCTTGTTCTTGAATACAAATATGTGATAAAGCTATAAAGAAAGCTAAAGAAGACTAGCCTGGCCAACATGGTGAAACCCTGTCTCTACTAAAAATACAAAAATTAGCTGGGCGTGGTAGCGCATGCCTGTAATCCCAGCTACTTGGGAGGCTGAGGCAGGAGAGTCACTTGAACCCGGGAGGCAGAGGTTGCAGTAGGCTAGGATCATGCCACTGCACTCCAGCCTGGGCAACAGAGCAAGACTCCGTCTCCCCACGAAAAAAAGAAAGCTAAAGAAATGACATAACCAGTTTCTGAAGATGAAGAAAACGGTACAGGATTAGAGATGGTTAATGGGGGACTTCAAAGTGTTTTTTTCTCAAAGTGGATGGCGGCTGCTGGTGGACTGTAATTCTTTAGACCCTATACGTA
The DNA here is from genome assembly GCF_000001405.40 of Homo sapiens. NCBI lineage: Eukaryota > Metazoa > Chordata > Mammalia > Primates > Hominidae > Homo > Homo sapiens. Next base: position 51,380,951 of record NC_000012.12, read on the forward strand.
TTTTATAAATATTTCTTGGCCAAGCATGGTGTAATCCCAGCACTTTGGGAGGCTGAGGTGGGAGGATCGCTTGGGCCCAGGAGTTCAAGACCAGTCTGCTCAACGTATTGAGAGCCCATCTCAATAAAAAATTTTAAAAATTAGCGAGGCGTAGTGGTGCACACCTGTAGTCCTAGCTGCCTGGGAGGCTGAAGCAGGAGGACTGCTGGAGCCCAGGAGGTTAAGGCTGCAGTGAGCTATAATCGCACCATTGCTCTTCAGCATGGGCGAGAGAGAGATTCTGTCTTTAAAAATAAATAAATAAAAGTTATCTGTAATCTACTCCTATTTAATAAAAAAGAATTTAACAGAAACCTAAGATTTCATGACAAGACATTCCCGGCAGGGCTGGGCATGGGCGTTCACCAGGCTCCACCCCCAGGCATGTGGATCCATGCCCTAGAGGATGAATGCTTGCAGAACTTTCTGTGCAGAGTTCTGGACACATAAGCTCACTGGTTAAGCACTAGACATCAATGGCAAGGGACCTGGGCACAAATTCCAGTTCTTCCTCTTCTAGTAGTAGCACCTACCTCCTAGGGTTGTTACAAGGATTATGCTCCTTCCCCACAAAATTCATGGACAAAGCTTAGCAGTCTCTGCACATGGTAAGTTCCCACAAAGTGTTAGTTTTGATCATTAGCAGCTGTGTGACCCTTGGGTAATTTACTTAATCCCTCTAAGCCTCAATTTCCTCATCTATAAAGTGGGGGCAACTAATACCTAACTCACAGGGTTGTGGGGAGGATTAAATCAGATAATGTAGGTAAAATGTTTGGCAGAGCACCTGTCACACTAAGCCCTCAATAAATGGTATCAACTATTTCTATTATTATGATAAATCCCTGCTTCACTTCCCAGCAGTTATCCTCAAGCACCTGGCCCTTGGCCAAAGCCACGTTCATTACTCCCTGCATGTTTTGCTTAAAAATAACTCTGGTTGTACTATTTAATGCTATTGTTTAAACGCACAAGCTCCTGCCTGTGGAGAGGCCTGGTGTCTGAGACCTTGGGAGTATGTGGCCATCGTGATCTCAAGTGGGGAGGTGGATTCATTCTGGACTGGGGTACAAATGTGGCTTCTTTTATAACATCAGATTCAGCAGCACCGTCAAAAATCAAACAAAAGAAATCTCTTTGAGCATCTATTTTGTATTAACTATTGTCTAGGAGATAGGAGAGATTTGTTTATTCCACCAGTATTTACTGAATAACTGCCTCTACCAGGTACTCTGCAAGAGGCGGGGGACACAGAGAAGTGCAAGGCCAGCCCTCAAGGATCCTACAGTCAATTGGGGGCATCAGATTTTAAACAGAGATTACCCTGTGAGAAGCAGAATCAAAGAGGTACCCTTGAGTGCTGAAGGAGCCGGCATGCAGGAAACTCAGCAAATGGGGGAGGGCAACATCTGTGAAGAAATCTCACGGGGGCAGAAATGGGCCGAACACTAACTGGCGAGTAGGAGTCAGCGAGGCGAGGTGAGCACATTTCAGGCAGAAGGCACAGTACCTGCAATGGTCTAGAGGTGGGAGACAGAAGAGCCAGTCACAGAACTGTAAGCAGTCTGGTATGGCAGGAGTAGCAGAAATTGGGCCTACAGAGGTGGCTGAAACCAAGTCCTAAGGGCCTTGTTCATCATGCTGAGGAGCATTTGCCCTTGACCCAAGGCATGGGGAGTAATAAAGCGTTAAGCTGGGAGCCCAGCATTACAGGAAGAGCAATATGACAGCGGTGGAGGGTATCTTGGAAAGGGACCTGCTTGGCAGCTGGATGACCCATTCGGAGTCTGACCCAGGAGAGTTAGTAGCAGTGTGGATGGAAGAGGGAGGGTATGGTGCCTAGGAAGACCCCCTTGGGTGATGGGGTGGGACAGTTTACCCCGTCTGGTACACAGAGGGACACAAAGGCTCAATTCCTTTCCCCAAGGGATTTGAAAATCTTATTGGAGAACGAGAACTGATAGCACTGACCAGGTGAAGGAAGCACCTGACCAGGGGAGATTCAGGAGCAGGAAAAGGACCTTTCACTGAATACTCTTTTGTACTTTGAACCCTGACTATATTACTTATTCAAAAATGAATAAAATTAAAGCAGAATAGCACAGACAGTAAGAGCTAAGCTGAGAGAGGTAGAGTTCCCTGTGGGTTTGAGGAAGGCTTCGGGGAGGAAATGGGGATTCAGTGTAGCAGGAGTTTCTTGTCACAGAGGTTGAGCTATGCTGGGGCTAGCACAGGGGGATTTGCTTGAGCTAGACACCTCATCAGTTCTGGAACTGTCCCGGCTAAGCCCACACAGAGGCCTGCAGAATGGGGGAGTGTTTGCCATGACAGCTTTGAACCGTCCTGCAGGCTTCGTCTTCCCTGCTACTTTCCATCTACCTTCCCACTCCAGCAAGAAAGAGGGAGCACAGTTAGAAACAAAGGCATGGTAAGATTGTAGTTACTAACTGTTGCCAGTGCTCAAGACTCACCCCCTCCAGGAAGGCCTCCTGACTGATTCACTCAGAATCACCTAGGTTACTCCAACTCTTTCATCCTGGCACTGCCTCGTGGTCCCTCACAGCAGGGCCTGTTTTTGCTTCTTTTATTTTCCCTGGAGAAAGAAATATAGGGTTAAATTGAGCTCTTCCTAGGCATCTAATCTCTCAATCCCATCTGGCTGCCTGAAGCTTTCTCTCTCAAACCTACAGTTCCTCAAGGTACTAACCACATCCTGAACCGAAATGAGACACCTGGGATTAGCCTTGGTGGTGAGGCACTCATTCTCTAGTTTGTTTGCTTAGCATGAGGGCAACAGGAAGAGTCCCTTAGAAGAGACACAGAATCTAGTGCAAGCCACAGGACTTTGGGGTTAAGGATTTCTGCTCCCTGTGTAGGAGATGATTCCCAGAAGTATGGTTAGCAAGGTCGTGGAGGTCGCCCCTCCACCAGCCTTGGAGAAAGAATAGCTGCTATTCTTTGCTATTGTTTCAAGTACAAAGCTTCACGAGATCCGCCCCTGGTGTCTTGTATATCTCCCTCACCTTTGGGCTCCCACACCTGGCCTCCTGCTTTCCTGGCAAGTGTGCCCGCAGCCCCCATCCACTCATTTCCCTCTCGCTGTGGCTCAGCACTTCTTCCCAAGTCTTTTTCCTCCAGCTACCCTTGGGCCTGCAACTCTTTGGACCATCCTTGGCTTTGATCCCGAGATGATGCCAGAAATCCTCTCTGAAAAGCCTGCCTAGATTGAACAAATGGGATTTGCTTCCCTGGCCCCACCGGCCAGAACACAAACTTACCTTCTCTCACTGGTGTAAGGAACTGAGGCTTTACCCAGCCCAGCTTGTATCAAACTGCTGATTACAATCCACTGTGATATTATAAAATAAATTCAGAGTGTTGCAAATTAGCATTCAAAAATTTCTTTAAAAGACCAGTTAGGACCAGGCACAGTGGCTCACACCTGAAATCCCAGCACTTTGGGAGGCCATGGTGGGCAGATCACTTTAGGCCAGGAGTTCAAGACCAACCTGGCCAACATGGTGAAACCCCTTCTCTACTAAAAATACAAAAATTAGCCAGGCATGGTGGCATGTGCCTGTAATCCCAACTACTCAGGAGACAGAGGCAGGAGAGTTGATTGAACCTAGGAGCTGGAGGTTGCAGTAAGCAGAAATAGCACCACCGTACTCCAGCCTGGGTGACAGAGCAAGACTCTGTCTCAAAAAAAAAAAAAAAAAAAAGACCAATTAGCAAAAAGAGACCAGTTAGCTGGGTGTGGTGGCATAGGCCTGTAATCTCAGCTACTTGAGAGGCTGATGCTGGAGGATTGCTTGAGCCCAGGAGGTTGAGGCTGTAGTTAGTTATGATCATGCCACTGCACTACAACCTAGGCAATAGAGCGAGACCCTGTCTCAAAAAATAAAAATAAATAAATTTTAAAAACCCAGAATAGAATGAAAAGAAAATATCAAAGTGCATCATGTATCACATGTAACACAGGCAAGTATTCGTTTTTTCTTTCTTTCTTTTTTTTTGGAGACAGGGTCTCATTCTGTTCCTTAAGCTGGAGTGCAGTGGTGCAATCTCAGCTCACTGCAGCCTTGACCTCCTGGGCTCAAAGGATCCTCCTACCTCAGCCTCTGGAGTAGCTGGGACCATAGGTGTGTGTCATCAAGACCGGCTAATTTTTATTTTTTGGTAGAGATGGGGGTCTCACTATGCTGCCCAGGCTGGTCTTCAACTCCTAGGCCGAAGCAATCCTCCTGCCTTGACCTCCCAAAGTGCTGGGATTACAGGTGTGAGCCATCATGTCCAGCCTGAAAAGTAAACTTTTATTTTAATGTTTGTTTCAGTCTATTAAAGATACACACTGCCTGATACAAAATTAAAATGATAAATTTGTTATTCAAAATTCATACAACTAAAGACAAAAGAAGTTTAAATGATTCCATTTTCAAATGATAGTTTTTATGGTTTGCAGAATTTATGCTTGTAATGTGATTAAATTATAAAACTGCCCTAAGATTTTTGGGATGCCCTGTCACATATACACAGGTACCGGGTCTCGCTATAAAGTATATTTCTCACTTTGGTCAAGTCATAGAAGTTTGAAAGCCAGTGACACAGTCCAAACCCCACAGTTTATATTCTAGCCCCCCTCCAAAAAGCCTTCTCAGATCTCCCAGCAGAATTCATCTCTTCCCTGCTTTGCCCCCTTAGCACCCGATTTTTATTTGTACTCCAGTCTCATCACAGCCCACCCTGTGTTTATGGACTCCTGGACCAGAGAGGCCATGCCATTTCCAGCTTTTTATCACCTACAAAGTCTAGCACAAGTTTTACATATAGCAGGTGTTCCATAAACTTTTTTTTTTTCTCTTGGAGACAGGGTCTCACTCTGTCACCCAGGCTGAAGTGTAGTGGCATGAACACAGCTTTCTGCAGCCTCGACCTCCCAGGCTCAAACAATCCTCCTATCTCAGCCTCCTGAGTAGCTGGGAATACAGAGGTGCGTGCCATCAGGCCTGGCTAGTTCCACAAACTCTTGTTAAATGAGATGAGGTTGGAAGGGTTAAATGTGGAGCACTGGCTTCACTAAATGATGTTCTGAATGAACTTACTGCAAGAAATACTTGACTTACAGGATATTCTGCCATTACACATTAGCTTGCTGTTTTGACTAGGTCTGTCTGTGGGTCTAACACCCTCATTTTATCAACGGCGAGGCCAGAATGGTTAGGTGACTTCTCTAGCAACACACAGCTAGTGGCTCCCAGGAGTAGAACCCGATCTCTCAACTCCTAGACCACTACTCTGTTTACCACACTCATACCCGTGGAGGTTGAGTAGGGAATTTGGGGACCAGGCCTGTCCTCCCTGAGCCTCCCCGACTCCACCCTTTGATCCCCTTCCTGGCATTTGCCTTCCTCCCACTCAAGGATACAAATGCTTTAAAGATGTGGAGACTGGAAGTCCCAGGCAGCCTTAGCTTTTGTGAATGTCAGAGTCAGCCATCCAGAACATGCCCTAGCTTTCCAGGTGGCCTCTTTGTAACAATGTTTCTTTCTATTTATCAGGTGAGCTGGTCACCTCCTTAGACGTGGCAGCAGGAAGCAAGCAGTCCTTACCACAGCGATATTTGCTCAAGTTACTCAGAGGAGGGCTCAATTACAAGTTTCTTTGGAAAGTGATAACTGTCACCACTCTTACCACGGGCACAGGTGTGTGGAGCTAGACATCATATTGGGGAGGGGGCAGGTTAATTTCACACTACTGTTGGGGGAAATGGGGCTGAGAGGCTGTTTGGCCAAATGACCGTCCTTTCTTCCTCATAAGCACTTTCTCTCCATCAAACACAGCACTCATCTCAAGTCCTCTGTACTCATACTGTGAACAGAAGAGCAAATTATCTTCTCCAAAGCCCTCCTCCCACCCCTGACCCTTTTGATCACAGAATGTGGGAGGTTTTTATTTTTCCCCGTAATTACACCTTCAAGACACTTCAGCTTTTCTCCAAGACTCAAGCTGCAATACTGTGGCTTATTTTCCCAGGAAGATACGCTGAAAATTATTTCTGTAGCTAGTCTGTCAAGTTCCCCCAACATATCAAGGTTCATTTTATGTTTGCATAATTTTTTTTTTTTTGAGATGGAGTCTCATTCTGTTGCCCATACTGGAGTGCAGTGGCGGGATCTCGGCTCACTGCAACCTCCGACTCCTGGGTTCAAGCGATTCTCATCCCTCAGCCTCCCGGGTAGCTGGGATTACAGGCGCCCGCCACCACGTCCGGCTAATTTTTGTATTTTTTTAGTAGAGACAGTGTTTCGCCATGTTGGCCAGGCTAGTCTTGAACTCCTGACCTCAAGTGATCTGTCTGCCTCGGCCTCCCAAAGTACTAGGATTACAGGTGTGAGCCAATGCATCCAGCCTGTTTGCATGATATTTTAAGCTTAAATTACCCAAACATGGATTTTCTATTGAAAAACTCAACCCAACTTTGCTCACCACTGTATACCTAGAGCAGCGCTTGGCATGTGGTAGGCACTTGGTTAATATTTGTTGACTTATTCCAAGAAAAAGTCACCAAAAATCAAAATAATATGCCACCAAACAGGAGGTTCAACAGTTCACAGGTTTTTCACTGGAGACCCTGTAGGCCCTTCCAGGTGGGGCAGGGGTGTGCAACGGTTTATCCCTAGGAGTGCAGAAGTGGAGGGAGGGTTCCAGGTGGAGATGAGGTGGGATTCTCTAATCACCTAGAAGCCTTGGTGACAACGAGACTGGGCTTGAGGGGGAGAGTTGGGGGAAAGGACAGAGAAGGGACAGGGAAGTGATGAGAAGGGTGGAAGACAGGAGGGGTATTCCCGAAGGCCTCTTGGGCCAGTCTTCAAATTGGGAAGGGGGCTTAATGGGAGAGACTAGAATTGAATTTTTCCTTTTCTCCTCATCCCCCAGTCTGCTCTTGGCTGCAGAACTTTCACCCGGGGCCACTGGCTACTCAATGTACCATCCCCTGGGCTCAGGGTCTGTGCCCAGCCTCCTCTGCTAGCCAGCCTGCCCAATTTCCCCATTGCTGCCAGAAGCATTGAAGTCCGTGAAACAAGCCAGCCCCTGTCCCACTCTCAGACAGGTCGTTTTTAATCCTGTCTCAATTTCAGGTTCACCCCACACCCGCTCCCAAGTCCTGCTGATTCATTCCCTGCCTCCGGGTTCCTCACTGTCCTTTCTGCTTTCAAAACCTTCATTTGAAATTGGGCCTTTATCAACTAGCATCTGGAGGATCAGCAGGAGCTGCCTGCCAGCCTCCTTTGCCTCGGGCCCCTCTCTCTCTTTCACAATCAGGACAGCCGTATTCATATTCCTTGAGCACTGTTTGACTGTGGCAGAAACACAGAGGGGCTGGCCGGGTTGCTTCCTGTTTGCTGCTCACCCTCAAGCCCAACCAGATGCTTGGCACTCACTGGCTATCTTTTCTTCCTCAAAGCCTTTCCCTTATATTCTTGCTAAGCAAGCCATATTTCTTTTCTTTCAAATTCTTACCAGAGACTCCCCTCTTTCAAGAAGGCTTCCTAGACTAAGGTGCATCTTGCTGCCTCAGTTTCTAGGTGTTATTTGTTCCCAAGTTTCTCTACTACCCGTGCTTTCCTTACGTGGGATTTCCCCACTAACTATCATGGAGAAGGGAGAACCAACAGGCCTAGACGGTAGACCACCTAGATCCTATTTCCTTCTCCTTCCCAATCCTTGAGTCTTGGTCCCCAAACTTCTGTCTCCAGAATGTTCTTCCTGACCAATCTACCTGGCCTTCCAATCCCTGTCGCATCTCTCTGCCTTGAGATGTATGGCAATGCTATTTTGCTAGTCTGTTCTTCATTCTCTATTACGTGCAGAGTTGAGGACTGGGTTGCTTTCTTCCTTCAAATCTCTACCTAGGCCTTAGGACCAAGTTGTTCAGGGTACGAGAGAATAAGCTGACCCCACAGGGCTGTCAGGTGCCACAAAAGTCTTCTAACAGTCCTTCTCCTCCCTGGAGTGAGCTCACCCTTGTTCACCACACAGGCCTTTTACACAGCACAATTACAACATTGAGCTCGACACAGAGACAGGCACTGCCCTGCACTTAACCTCCTGCTTATTCAAATCCTCACTCTCGTTCCTATCAAATGAGAATGAACATTTGGGCTTTCCCAGAAAGGGGCAGAGGACTGTGTAAAGAGCTGAGTTCACCCAAGCTACGGCATGGACACACCCAACCTGGTCTTCAGCATCCCTTCCAGGGCTGAGATGTCGGAACACATCCGTGGGAGCCAGAAAATGTTAAGAAGAATACCATCACCATTTTAAATATTACTGCTTACCATATCAAATCAAGTTACAGTTATCTTCTCTGTTTTACACAGAAGGAAACTGAAGCACAGGGAGGTCAAGTAACTTGACCAAGGTCACACAGCTAGAAATGTGGCAGAGGCAGAATTTGCATTCAGGCCTATGTATCTCCAAAGCCCACTCTCTTAACTATGACATCACATTGTCTTGCATTTGACTGGTGCTTGGAGCTTTGCCAAAACACTTCATATACACCTTCTCATTTGCTCCCCACCCAGGGAGTGTTTATGTGTTTTGGCTAAGATTATATATCGAAGTTAGTGACAGGGCTGAGTCAGCTGCCTGCCTTCATGATACTCACTGCCTCCCTGCACTGAGAGGCCCTCAGCCCTAGGGTTAGCTGCCCCTCCTGGTCCTGAGGTCTGTTCGAGGCAATGGTTGCATGGACTAAGTTCATGCTCATATTTCCTGTCCCCACTTCTTCCAGCTGAACTTGGGCAAATATGTTTCTGACCTCACAGGGCACCTGACACACATCAGGGCCTCCCCTTCTCTGCCCTGAGTTCTTCCATGCTGCTACAGGTAGGAGTCAGCTGTTCCACCCACTGTAGGACTGTGGGCAGCATTACTGAGGTGAGGTCATCTTGAGCAGCCCAGTCTCCTGCACACTTCCCTCTTTCTTTTGAGGGTCTTGTCCTGTTCTCTGCCCTGGTGCCCCTGGAAGCAACTTTCTCTGATTACCTCTGGGTTCCTAAAGTGCATGGCACCATTAAGGAACTGGAGCTAGGGAAATGCCTGCAATGCTACTGGCTCCTGCTAGGCAATTGGAATCAAAGCATATTTCTTTCTTTCTTTCTTTCTTTTTTTTTTTTTTTTTTTTTTTGAGACAGAGTTTTGCTCTTATTGCCCAGGCTGGAATGCAATGGTGCGATCTCAGCTCACTGCAACCTCTGCTTCCCAGGTTCAAACAATTCTCCTGCCTCAGCCTCCCAAGTAGCTGGAATTACAGGCGCCTGCCACCATGCCCGGCTAACTTTTTGTATTTTTTGTGGAGATGGGGTTTTGCCATGTTGGCCAGGCTGGTCTCGAACTCCTGATCTCAGGTGATGCACCAGCCTCAGCCTCCCAAAGTGCTGGGATTACAGGCATGAGCCACCACATGTGGCCGGAACCAAAGCATATTTCAAACCCCTCACCTGACCTGGTTTTCATCATCACATGAATTTCCCTGTCTCATCCTTCTTAACCTTTCCTTTGATGGGAAGGGAGACAGCTCATCTGTCTGGAGCGGAGAATAGGGCCTGTGTGGTGCACACACATCTCTGGTAGAAGGCGCAAAAGTCCTCGAGGCTCTTTGGTGTGTCCAGAACTATGAACCTCACCCAGTGCCTGTAAATTGTGTGTGTGGGCCTGGGGGCGAGCTCAGAGCACAGAGTTAACATCCTTTCTGAGAGTGCTGCAATGGGTTGTCGGCTGCTAGAAGGGGTCTGCTGTAAGCTTTGTGGGCAAACTGACCACCCTCCACCCCCATACACAGAAGAGCCCCATCCTACCCTCTGCAGACGTCTGGGTCTGCGATGATTGGCCCTGGATGCAAGTAAAAGCTGTTTCTCCTTTTTGTCAGCCTGGGAATCTGAACAACTGAGGAAATAGGGAAGTCGGTGACAGTCACAGTCATGAACACCCAGCAGATTCCATTTCCCCACAGCAGGAGGCAGATCCCTTCCCACCCCCAAAAGCCCCCAGGCTCTGGAGGGAATTCAACCAAGCAGGGCTCAGACCGACCTCCACCAGCGAGGCTTCTCCTTGCTGTCCCCTTCTGCTCAGGCGCAACGTGGCAGGGCAGGAGGAAACCTCTCTGCAAGAGTTGCCGTACCAGAGCACATGGGGTGGCCCGATCTGGGGAGACGGGGCACAGAAGGAATGCAGGGCATGGGTGGGTGAGGGGAAGAGGGTGTGGAGCCCTGGCTCTGGCTTGTCCCCCTCTCACCCCTCCAAGTTCCAGAGGTCTGGGCTCCTCATTCATCTCGTAAGCGCCAAGGTGGAGGGGGGTCCTACCGAGGGAGGAGCTACAGGCCACCGCGACCAGCAGAGAGCGAAGGCAGGAGGGACCAGCCTGGCCCAGCCCCTTCATTTTACTGTCGGGGGTAGTGAGGAGGAAGAGGAAGAGGCGAAGGCTGGCGGAGGAGGAGGTGAGAGCGAGGACTCGGCAGAAGCGAGATCCGCCGAAGGGAAGTCCGAGCAGTCGGGGAGCTCAGGGGGGCCCTCCCGGGGAGAGGGTCGCGGGCTCCTTCTGCCGCTTACCTGTCGCGCCGAGGCAAAGCCGCAGCCGCGCCGCGGGGTGGCTCCCGGGTTTCCCCACCGGACGGCCGGGAGGGTGGGACCGGGGCGGGACCTCCCCCAGCTGCACTAACGCGCCCGCCCCGCCCCTCCCTGGCCAGGTGCAGCGGGTCCCGCCGTGTCCTCAGCCTGCTGCGGGCCCGGGAACTCCCGGCGGACCGGCAGAGGGGCGCCCCGGCTTCTCTGCGTCTCAGCCCGCCCCGGGGGTGCGGTCTTTGCGGCCAGGCTTTCAGCGCGGAAAAAGATTGGAGGGTCCTAGTCACCCCAAAGAGGACAGGCATTAGCAGAGCCGCGGGCGGCGGGTGCATGGAACCGGAATGTGCTGCGCGCCAGCCTGGAGCGCTCGGAGCCCGGAGGCCTGCCCCGGAGGGGGAAACGCGGCGGGGCGGCCATGGGCCCCGGGGTCCTGCCCCAGGTTTGCTTCTCATTTGTGCTCCATCCAACAAGAGCTCGTATTCCGTGTGCCATGAACTGTGTCAAGGGCTCCAAGTGCCAGGTATCAGGTGAATCCCAGCCCCAGCAAACTTTAAACCTACTATGATTATTCCGAATGTACCGGGGAGGCAGCTGCTCACACAGCAGAGGGTGTTTCTCAAAGTGGGATCCCCCACCAGCAGCGCCAGTCAGAATCACCTGAGAACTTATTAGAAATTTTGGCCGGGCGCGGTGGTTCATGCCTGTAATCCCAGTACTTTGGGAGGCCGAGGCGGGCGGATCACAAGGTTAGGAATTCGAGACCAGCCTGGCCAACATGGTGAAACCCCGTCTCTACTAAAAATACAAGAAATTAGCTGGGCGTAGTGGCGGGCGTCTGTAATCCCAGCTACTCGGGAGGCTGAGGCCGGAGAATCGCTTGAACTCGGGAGGGGGAGGTTGCAGTGAGCCGAGATCACGCCACTGCACTCCAGCCTGGCGACAGAGCGAGATTCCGTATCAAAAAAAAAAAAAAAGAAAAAAAGAAAAGAAAAGAAAAGAAATGGGCCCCACCGCAGACCTAAATATTCCGAAACTCGGGTTGGGCCCGGCGACTTGTGTTTTAAAAGCCCTCCGGGTGATTTTGTGCATGCTCGACCTTGAGAACCCTGAACAATTAGTGGCAGGGCTGGAATGAGAATCCTGGTAAACCCGCCTCCTAAGCCGGTGTTCGGAATTACCCCGCCAGGGCCCGTGCTGCTCAGTGGTCCTCTCCGGCGCTGCCTCGTGTGCTGCAATCTTTTGGGGCCTTAGCAACAGAGAAGGAGCGCGCATGACTCCAAATAGCCAATAATTTGAAAACTTTCTATGGTAGAAACTTCTACCACTAGTTCAGTTTCTCTTTTGTTTTGATATTTAAATAAATTTGTCTTTCTTTCTTTCTGTTTTCTTCCTCTTTCTGCTGCCCCGCCTCCCTCCTTTTTTCTTTTTTCTTTCTTTCTTACTCTCTCTGTCTCTCCTTTCTCTCTCTCTCTTTCCTTCTTTCTCTTTCTTTCCTTCTTTTTCTCTTTCTTTCTCTCTTTCTTTTCTTTTCTTGCTCTACTGCCCAGGCTGGAGTGCAGTGGAGCTATCACGGCTCACTGCAGCCTTGACCTCCGGGTCTCAAGCTGTTCTCCTGCTTCAGCCTCCACAGATGCATGCCACCATGCCCAGCTAACTTTTTTTTGTAGAGAGGGAGTTTCGCCATGTTGCCCAGGTTGGTTTCAAACTCCTGGGCTCAAGCCATCCTGTTGCCTCGGCCTCGCAAAGTGATGGGATTAGAGGCATGAGCCACCGAGTCCAGCCATGAATTTGTATTTCTAAGACCCTAAGACCTGGGAGCAGGAGCATGAGTGAGTAGATCCTAGCAAGAAGTTCTGACACGCACTGGGAAAGGCAGGGAAGCCAGCCGGGTGTTAACAGGTGAATGAAGAAAGTAATCTTTTTTTCTAACCTGAGACTCCAAGGTAGGTTTGATCTATTCAGAAGGTGAGATGTTCTTTGATGGAGTCAGGAGAGAAGGCCAGCAGAGTGTGGAGAAGAAGAGTTGCCCAGCTACACATGATCAGAGTGACGTGAAGGATGGACATTCTCCCAGGAGTAGAAAGGGGTTCATCTGCTCACTCTTGGCATGATGCCCGACTCCCCTAACTCTAAGCAGCCTTCCACCAACTCCCTTCCTTTCACATTCCAGGCCGTGGGCTTTAAGCTCCTAGAGAGACTTTCTACAGAGCTTCCTTGAGCATCCCTTAGCCCATCTGTAGACCCTCTGGACTCTGATTCCACCTCACTGCCCCAGCTGCTTCTATTCTTGTCATGTGCCTTACTTGACAGCTGTCTTTCTCAGAATGAGGGCACTTCCTGTGGAAGATTGTGGGATGCTGCCCCTCATGTCTCTCTTCTTGGGGCTGAACACTCCCTGTACAGGTCGGACCTACCGTCTTTGCTCTGTCCTTCCTCCACCTCTGCCCTTTGACCCTCAGGGGTTGTGTGATCCTGACGTGAGTCTTGCACCTTAGTCAGGACCCAACCTAACCTGAGGTGAATGGCCCCTATTCCTTCCCAGGACAGGGTCATGGCCATTACCCCCAGCCTGGTGCTCCTGAGAGGGCCGGGCCCAGCTTCCCAAGAAGTAGCAGCAGTCTGCGTTGTGTGTTTCGCATTCCGGAAGCAAATTACTCATCTGATTTTACTTCAGCTGACGCTGATTTTAAATGTGACTTGGAATCCTCAGAATAATTAGCTGCCTAATTTGGAGGTTCATGAGTCCGCAGGATGTGTGACCCACCCCTAATGTGTCATGCACTGAGCTGTTCTCTCCTAACAGGAAGGACGGTGCAGGCTTCCTCTCCACCAAGCCAGGAAGGTTTGCAGATGAGCCACCACAGAATAGTGACTGCAATTTCTGCCTCCGCTGGTACAGGCAACTTTCGAAAAATGGTTTTTTAGGCTGGGAGTGGTGGCTCATGCCTGTAATCCCAGCACTTTGGGAGGCTGAGGTGGGAGATCACTTGAAGCCGGGACTTTGAGTTCAGCCTGATACAGCGAGACCCTGTCTCTACAAAAAATAAAAATACAACAGGCACGGGGGCCCACTTGAGGGTGGAGGGTGGGAAGAGGGAGAAGATCAAAAACTACCTAGCGGGTATTATGCTTATTACCTGGATGACAAAATCATCTGTACACCAAACCCTCGCAACATGCAATTTACCCATGTAACAAACCTGGACATGTACTCCTGAACCTAAAAGTTTAAAAAACATATATGATAGTGAAAAAATGAAAATAAAATTAGCTGGGTGTGTTGGCATGTGCCTGTGGTCCCAGTTACTTCGGAGGCTCAGGTGGGAGGATTGCTTGAGCCTAGGAGTTAGAGGCTGCGGCGAGCTGTGACTGCAATGCTACATTCTAGTCTGGGCAACAGAGCAAGACCATGTCTCTGAAAAAAATAAATAAAAAAAAAACGGGTTTCTGTAAATGAAAAAGTTATACGTAAATGAAATGGAAAATAAAAATGAAAAAGTTATATATGCACATGGTAATAAGTCAGGCACTATGAAAATGTATACAGTGAAAGCTCCATTTCCCACCTCTCTAGACATTGTCTCTATCTCCAGAAACCTTGGGTCCAAGGTCCCGTGCATATTCCTGACTGAAAGTTCCCATAAGCGCTTCTGCAGGACATGTCTAGATTCTGTTAACTGCAAAGACCCAGGATGACCCCTTCTCAGGAAGTCCTATGAATTTCTTTTTTTTTTTTCTCACGATCTTATTTTTATTTCTTGGCTGTTTTAGATTCGGGTTTTGGGTGTTCTGAGTTTCACTTTTCACATGAGTGTGCATCAAGGGTGTTCCCCACCATAAGGCAGGAAACCTGGAGGGGAGCAGAACAGTGGAAGTGTGACAAAGGCAGCTCTGTGAGGCCGTTGACACCAGCCCTGGCCTTTATCTAGTCTCTTCCTTCCACACGGTCCCTGGTGAGGGGATACCCACCTCTGGTGGGGCAGAGTGAGGGAGACCTGCCCTTCAGGGGGAGGTGCTGGCTCCACTTAGCTAGGGGAGTGTGCAAGGGATGCCGTGAACTTGCCAAGGAGGTTAGTAGGGAGGCCAGCTGGTCAACCTCCCTCTGTCCTATCACTACCTCTCATCTCACCCACTCTCCTCTACCCTGAGGGAAACAACGGAGTCTCCCACTCCCTCCCTACCTCTTTGTTTCTTATCTGTGAAGTGCAGTTAATGATACCTGGGGTTGTTAATGAAGCTCAAGTGAGATAACACATGAAAGTGTGAGAGTTGGGTCTTCTAAATTACATCTGCTGCTCTACTTTCCTGCATATTCACATTTACTCCTCATCTCATTCCCATGCTCAGGAGAGAAACAGTTAAAGCGAGAAATATTTTAGGGAACCCAAGCAGAGCTGCTCCTAGTTCTGCCATAATCACTCATGCGCTACAATTCACCCATTTCTGTGTGCCTCAATTTCCTCATCTGTAAAATGGATATGTTATTTTTATGATTGGGTTGTAAGATTAAATAAGCAAAGTGCTTAACCCAGCATCTGGTACACAATAAGCAGTCAGTTGAAATTTGGATGTTAGCCATTATAATATTAGCTGTTTTTCTTCTTTCCTTCCTCCATTCCTCCCTTCAATAAAATGCTGTTAAAGTGCTCCATGTGTTAGCCTCTATGCTAGGTCAGGTGTGGAGATACAAGGATAATAAGTCATGTCTGTCTCATCCAGACACCCATAGTTTGTCAGGGGAGCCTGATGTAAAAATGACTATGAAGGAGCAGGGCTAGGACTAGGGTAAGGCAAGTGAGGGCACTTCTCTTGAGTGCAAAATTTATGGGGGCATCTAAAAACTCAGTAACCAAGATAAATAATACTTTAATGCAATATTTTAAAAAAATCAAAATTAATGCAAAAAATCAGTGATGGACAAAGTATCAAAAATTCAAAATAAAGAATCAGCTGGGCCTGGTGGCTCATGTCTGTAATCCCAGCACTTTGGGAGGCTGAGGCAAGAGGATCACTTGAGCGCAGGAGTTTAAGACCAGCCTGGGCAACATAGTGAGACCCCATCTTTATTTAAAAAAAAAAAAAAGACTAGTTTCCTTCTAAGCCATATTGAAGCCTAAGGAAAAAAGAAAAATATATACCCTCATACATATTTTTCTGTATTTTTTGAATGGTTATTTTTTCCTAGAGCATTAAAGTAGTTGAAAAAACATTTAAAACTTGAAACATAGGTGTATTAAAACTCACAGCATTACTTTAAATATTTTATTTGTTCCAAAATGGAATTTATTATGATTTTACTTCAGCCTTAGTTAATTTTTTTTTTTTTTTTTTTTTTGAGACGGAGTCTCATTCTGTCGCCCAGGCTGGAATGCAGTCGCACGATCTCAGCTCACTGCAACCTCCACCTTCCAGGTTCAAGCGATTCTCGTGCCTCAGCCTCCCGAGTAGCTGGGATTACAGGTGTGTGCCACCACACCCGGCTAATTTTTGTATTTTTAGTAGAGACGGGGTTTCACCATATTGGCCAGGCTGGTCTTGAACTCCTGACCTCGTGATCCGCCCACCTCGGCCTCCCAAAGTGCTGGGATTACAGGCGTGAGCCACCACGCCCGGTCTCAGCCTTAGTTAATTATAATTTATTTAAGATCATCACTTGGTCAAGGGAAACTGTCAAACGTGGCAATCTTACAATTCAAAATGAAATAAGCAAAACAGTTAGTTTTGAAAATATGACTAATGAGTTTGCTTGCCTTAAAGCCAGGAGCTTGTATTTTTCCTTTTGCCTCAAGCTCCAATTTGGCTTAGCATGGCATTGGATTGGGACGTGGACAAAGAACATAAAGAGAACAGAGAGGAGAATAAGAGACAGGGAGAAGGGTTGAAAGAGTCAGGTGGGATGGGGAATATATTATTTTTCCTAATGATCCAAATATCACATTTTCAATGTGCAAAATTTCAGATGCACAGAAAATCACAAAAAAAGAAGACAAGTTATCCATAATTATGTTACCTAGAGATAACCAATGTTGCTATTTTGGTATGATATAGTCTGCTCTTTTTCTATGCATATATGATTTATATGTACATATAAATTTCATCAATTCTAAGGTGCATTTTTAAAAATCTTTAACATATCTGAAATTGGTATGTATCTTAAATTGATGGTGTTATAACTTAGCAGTGTTGGATAATGCCTGTAATCCTAGCACTTTGGGAGGCTAAGACGGGAGGATTGCTTGTGTCCAGGAGTTTGAGACCAGCCTGGGCAACATAGTGAGACCCCTGTCTCTATAAAAAGTACAAAAATTAGCCAGGCATGGTTGTGTGTGCCTATAGTCCCAGCTACTCGGGAGGAGGCTGAGGTGAGACCCAGGAGGTCTCAAACTCCTGAGCTCAAGTGATCCACCCACCTCAGCCTCCCAAAGTGCTAGGATTAAATCCGTGAGCCACTGCGTTCTGCTCGAGTATCCTTATTTTTACAAGTGAGAATTTTATAAGCACAGCAGTTCCCTGTAACTGCAGTCTGAGCCCTTAGCCACTACTTTTTGCAAGTCTGTCTCTCCATTTATTCAAGTTTCTAGTTTATGATCCTCAGAAAAGTTTTCTAGTGTTCTCTCTCCTAATCTTTACAGCTCTTGTTAAAATGATTCCTTGGCATTTTATATTACCTATTTTAGGAGACTCTTGATCAGTCTTTCTTTTGTATAACCGAAGCCTCCTAATATCATACAATTAATAAGTGTTCCTCTCTTGGGGTTGTCAAACTGTAACTATGGACTTTCTACTTAAATCACACAAGATCATCTCCTTAAAAGCAATCAAGTGCCCAAGATCTGTCCTTTCACAGTAGAGAAATTTCACAACTGCAATGAATAAAACATCCAAATGCTTGTAAGATTTTGCTGTGAGAGCTTTTTCTGCTCAAAATTATGATTTCTTATTTAATATCTCTCTTTAAAAGAAGAAACATATGCACATTTAACCTTCTGAAATCTTAATTGGATTTCAATCTGACAGTTGTTTTGCCCAAAGAGAGGTAATAAAAGGGGCTATAAACTAACTCCGCAGAGCAAACAATCCTCCAGCTAAAAGCAAAACCTGTTATCTTCCCCTAAAAAAAGAGAAGTTTCTGTTTCTTTCTTTTTTTCTTTTTTTGAGAGAGAGTCTCGCTCTGTCGCGCAGTCTGGAGTGCAGTGGCCTGATCTCGGCTCATTGCAATCTCTGCCTCCCGGGTTCAAGCGATTCTCCTGTCTCAGCCTCTGGAGTAGCTAGGATTACAGGCGTGCGCAACCACGCCCAACTAATTTTTGTATTTTTGTAGAGATGGGGTTTCACCATGTTGGTCAGGCTGGTCTTGAACTCCTGATCTCAGGTGATCCACCTTCCTTGGCCTCCCAAAGTGCTGGGATTACAGGCGTGAGCCACCACACCTGGCTGAAGTTTCTGTTTTCTTAGACATTTGAAAAATCACAAATTTCATTAGGATTGAAGTCTATCTGATATTAATATTACTTTGGATTGTAAGTAAAGGAGAGGTGATAGAATAACTCATTGGTAGATGAGTCCAGATGTTTAATGTCCTCTTAATATCCTAAAATGTTTGCCTCATTGTTTATTAATTCCCGTGGAATCTTATTTACTTATTTTCAATAGGTGATATGTGCATATGGCAAAAAAAATCTAAAGCTCAAAAGTATAGTGAAGAGGGAGTCTCCCTCCTTCTCCCATCTGCAGTCACCTAGTTTTCCTCCCCAAAGGCAGCCACTGTTACTGATTTCTTTTGATTCTTTCTAGAAACATAGTTCAGAGGAGTCACCCTGATTTTGGCAAGTACTTTAAATAGCAGCTTCTTAATTTTTTTTTTATTACATTGCCCATAATGGTTAAAGTTATTTTAAAAGTAGTCCTCTTACTGAGCTCTCTTTGTGGCTCTGATAGATTTCCAGAGGATTCTCTTGATTTTCTAGGTAGACGGACATATCAGCAGCATTCAATTTTGGCAAAGTGAAAACAGTTTTGGAGTGAGACCTGGGTTGAATCCTGACTCTTCCAGCTGTCTGATCTTAAATCTAGCCTTTAAAACATGTTGGGCCAGGCGTGGTGGCTCACGCTTGTAATCCCAGCTCTTTGGAAGGCTGAGGCAGGCAGATCACGAGGTCAGGAGATTGAGATCATCTTGGCCAACATGGTGAAACGCTGTCTCTACTAAAATACAAAAAATTAGCTGGGCATGGTGATGCGTTCCTATAATCCCAGCTACTTGGTAGGCTGAGGCAGGGGAATCGCTTGAACCTGGGAGGTGGAGGTTGCAGTGAGCTGAGATTGCGTGACTGCACTCCAGTCTGGTGACAGAGCAACACTTCGTCTCAAAAAAAAAAAAAAAAAAAACCATGTTGGCACTGTCCAAAGGTAGCACAGAGGTACGAAGTGGTCCCTCCTCCTGGGTGTGGTGGGTGGAGTGGGCAGAGGCCATGCAGACCCAAGCACTGCCCCTTGGCCCTCTCCTGGGTTTGTTCCACCTGGACCTGCAGATAAATCCAGAGGCCTTTGATCTCAAGGATTTCTAACCACCCAGAGATCAGGAGGAAAGACTGCAAAGGAAGCCCTAAAGTAGAATAACCTTTTCTTTCTCCATGAATGGAATGTAAGTTATGTTTGCTGAGGGCAGATTAAAATAGATTTTATTGTTTGAAATCAGGAATTTACAGAAACTCTTTGAAGAGCTACTATCATCGAAGACCTTTAAATCCCCCACTGTGGTAGTGGGCAAAATAGTCACGTACAATTGTAATGTGTATAGATGTGTATAGGTTTTCTCAGAGTTGGGACCCACTGCCAGGCAGGGAGTTGGTGGTATTTGATGCTGTTGTTTGGGGAGGAGTGGTACTAAGAAAAAAAACCATGGTTAGTGAGGAAAAAACAAAAAACACAAAACACACTCTCAGTTGCCCATAGAGTTATATCAGTTTGATGGGATACCCTAGAACACCTCAGGGGTCTGTGAATCCTTTAACCACTCAATGGAAAAGGTGACTGGGGTATAGATTGTCTAGTTTGTTTATATGACATAACTTTTTTCCAACGGTACTTGAGAGGAGTGTGAATGAACTCCTTTATATATATATATATATATATATATATATATATATATATATATATATATATACATACATACACACACACACACACATATATAAACATATATGTTTATATACGTATATAAACATATATGTTTATATACGTATATAAACATATATATGTATATACATATATATATATTTTTAAACAGGGTCTCACTCTGTTGCCCAGGCTGGAGTGCAGTGGCACCGTCACGGTGAAACGGGAAAGGTTCCCTTGTCCCCCTCACAGGGAGTGCAACAAGGGGAGTGGCTCGCTTCTTTAGGGCCCGGCTGCTGAAATCTCTATGGAACATACAGATGGGCAGGTTGTGGGGTTCAGATCCCACGGCAGCGTCTACCTTTGGACAGTGCCAACATGTTTTTCTTTTGTTTGTTTGAGACGGAGCGTTCCTCTGTCGCCAGTTAGTGTTTACAGCTCCTAGCCCCAGTGGGCGTGTGCTACCGTGTGCTCTTTTAATTTTGCCGTCTGTAGGCGGCTGTGCTAACCAGCTGGATTAGACCCTCTGCCTTATCGCGAGGTTTTCTGTATCCCGGGTTCTTGCCTTGGTGTACCGGAAAAATCAGATCATATGTGGGCTTGGAGAATGAGTGCAAGGTTTTATTGATTTTAAGTAGCTCTCAGTAGATAGGGGAGCCAGAAGGGAGATGGAGTGGAAAGGTGGTTTTCCCCTGAGTTGGGCCGCTCAGCAGCTGGGCTCTCCTCTGACTGCCCCAGGCAAACTCTATGTCTTTCCGTGGGCCGATGGCGTGCCAGCGTGCTGGCATCTGCCACTGCATGTTGGTATGCTCTTCCACCAGTGTATTCCTCTCGATGTCCAGCTGCCTGTGCGTTCCTCTACTGATCTGTTCCTCTTGACGTCCAGCCGCTTGTGTCTCTGCCCGCTCGGGTCTCGGGGTTTTTATAGGCACAGGATAGGACTGTGGTGGGCCACGGTGGTCTTGGGAAATGCAACGTTTGGGCATGAAAACAGAAATGCCTGTCCTCACCTAGGTCCCTGGGCACAGGCCTGGGGGTGCAGCCCTAGCCAGGGACCACCCCCTTCCCTTCCCAGCACTTCCCTGCCCCACTCCCATATCAACTCTTCAATGCAGCCTCAGCCTCCCCAGGCTCAAGCAATCCTCCCACCTCAGCCCCCTGAGTAGCTGGGAGTACAGACATGTGCAACCACACCCAGCTAATTTTTCTATTTTTTTTTGTAGAGATGGGATCTCCCTATGTTGCCCAGGCTGGTCTCAAACATCTGAGCTTAAGTGATCCTCCTCCTTCAGCCTCCCAAAGTGCTGGAATTACAGGCATGAGCCACAGTGTCTGGCCCCTTCGTATCTTAACCACCAGGAGAAACAGACCTGAAGTGATGCCTTGATATATGTGTGTTATGCAAGACTAGAGTAAGATTTGACAGGCATATATGGTTACAACAGGGGGTGAGCTCAGACTTTGAAAAGATATTGGCTTCACTCCCTAATCATCAAGACTTGGAATATCCTGGGATTCAGCTGTTGTTGAAGGGAAACCATTCCAGGTTTGCCAAACAATTGAGTGACTTAAGGGGTGCAAAGCTAGAATGCTTCAAGAATAGAGGGAGAAGAAGCCCTGCTGTGCTGATGGGCTCTCTATGGTGTTATCCTGTCCTGGCATTTGCTACCCCGATAAACTCACAGGTGCTAAATTTAAAGGCTAAAGTGAGGCCTGGCACAGTAGCTCACGCCTGTAATCTCAACACTTTGGGAGGCTAAGGTGCGTGGATCACCTGAGGTCGGGAGTTTGGGACCAGCCTGGCCAACATGGTGAAACCCCGTCCCTACTAAAAATGCAAAAATTACCTGGGTGTAGTGGCGTGTACCTGTAATCCCAGCTACCTGGGAGACTGAGGCAGGAGAATCTTTTGAACCTGGGAGGTGGAGGTTGCAGTGAGCCGAGACCGCGCCATTGCACTCCAACCTGGGGTACAAGAGTGAAACTCCATCTCAAAAAATAAAAAATGAAAGCTAAAGTGGTCAGGGTAGTTGACTCCTAGGCATTTATTTGTCCCTTTGCAATTAATCTAAGCACCATATGGTGATTCCACTCTCCTTGCCAGTGATGGGCAAAGACGGGTGTCTTCTGGGGGTGCTTGTCACTTATCCTGTTCTTCACAGCGTTATCCCATGGCCAGATGCTATGGGAGAGGCATGTCTCAGTATGGGACTGGGGGTCCCTGATAGAATCCCCCCCAGTGAAAGGAGAGACTCTGAGAATGACTGCATGAAGTCCCCCAGTTAGCTGGCAGTTCTGTAGTCATGGGTAAGTTGTTTAGCCTGTTTTCATTTTTTTTTAAAGGACAATTATATAGAGTCTGTTGTGAAATTTAGATTAGGTAATAGGTATAAACTGCTCAGAACAGTGCTCAGAACATAATAAATGCTCTATGTTCAACAAGAACAACAGCAACAAACTCAGAAGCACTCCTCGCTACCGCCGGGGAGACCCAGGATACCTAAACTTTACTGAGTTGGGGCCACTCAAGCCTGAACAGAAGGATCAGTGGAGCCAACATGTGAGTTTCTTGATATGTGCCTGTTACTCCACCAGAAAGCGTTACTTACTCATTTCCAGAGTTTGGGCAGGAGCCATGACAGCCTGTTGATGAGCTTGGCTGAATCATGAAATTTGGCCTGGGTTTGAGGGTGGGCAAGAATGGCCGCTTGGATCCTGCTCAAAGTTCTTTCGTTTTAGGTTTACTCCCAAAGCAGCTGAAAGCAGTGCACAGGATAGAAATGAAACAAGGGTACATTTAGGTGGGTGGCTGCTGCTTCCCATGGCCTCTTGTGTCAACTCCCAAAGAAGCACCCCTCAGAGTCTGCCGATGTTACCATTCAGTGGGGGAGAAAGATGTTTGCCAGACTGGAGCAGCAGATAACGGCAGGTTCACTGCCTTTATACCCCAGCCACATGGCACCCAGAAGGAATAAGAACACCTATTTTATTTAACACCCGGCAATAATTCTGTTAATCAAGCCATGTCACCCAGGTCTAAAGTCTAAGCATTGAGATTCTTCCCATGTCAGCCTTGGGGCAATCATTCCTTATCTGTACTTTTGCCGTAGGCAGGGCGGTTGCTAGCATTGCTAAAAGGCATCCTTTCTGTTGGGCAGATGCAAAGCTATACATTAGGATGCTTGCTTGACAAGCTAAGTGTGTGCAAGGCACAAAAGTTGCACAACCACAGGTGGTGGCAGTGGCTGCAGGGCCCTGGAGTTCCCATTTCTGCTTGGGGCCTGGCACAGTGATCTCTGCCTTAGGGTAGACAAGGGAAGTAGGCTTCACTCAGGGTGAAGTCAGACTTGTGAGCAAATCATAAGACTCTTCCGTGTGGCCACTGTTGCTGCTTGCTGCAACACAAAAGCAGACGCAAATAGGACATCGGGAGCTACATGAAGGGGTTAGATGGCTTTGGAACCCTGGGCTGCCTGGTGAGCATAAAATTGTCAGTCTGTGGAAGTTGACTCCTGACCAAATGCAAGAGAGGCTGGGGAGGTTGACTATGTACAAGGAGAGGCAGAGATTGGGATGGGGCAGTCAAGTACAAAGAACCTGCTTTTTCCTTTAGCATCTTTTAGGGAACTACCTTCCTTTGATTCTTAGTCCATGAAATTCAGATGAGGCCCTCCTCACTCCCTAGCGCCAGCCAGGTGAATCTTAAATCTTGTAGCCACAGTGATTGGTTTAGGGTTAGGCATGTTACCCAAGCCAGGCCACTCAGAGCTTTCTCTGAGACATTTCTTAGGGCAAGCAAAAAAGATGAACTCCTCCCCCCGTCTTTTCTCCTCCATCCCCACATGACCACTGATGGAATCATTAGATGGGAAGTTATGTATGTTTAGGGTGGCTAGTGATCATCTTTGCTATTACATGAGGCAGGAGAGTCAACTTGACCGTGAAGCCAACGCTGAGAAAGCAGAGAAAGATAAAGAATGAGAGGACTCCAGTGATATCTTTTGGACTCCTGGGTCCTGCTGTATCTGAAGTCATTTATTCCTAGACTTCTCCTTTCTTCCACTTTCTTTGCTTTCTCCTCCCTTCCCTGCTTTCTTTCTTCCCTTTTCTTTTGTCTCTTTTTCTTTCCTTATTTTTTTCTTGTTTTGATTGAAATTTGTTTGAGTGTGTTTTTGTCACTTTCAACCAAAAGAATCTGATCAATAAATAATATGATGCACTGGATTAAGTTATTGCTATAAGGGCGTGAAAAGGCTTGAGGTAAAAGGGCTGTCTATGTTCATGAAAATCCAGGTCTGGCAGGGAAGAAGCAGAGAGAAACTGCCAAGAAAAGCTTAGGAAATGATGCTTCTGACTCTCCAGGGAGCAGAGAAAGGGAGTTGGGTGGTGACTCACAGTGGGGAGGTGGGAACACATTGGATTGGAAGGGATGGACCACCCATCCTTGTGGGCTTTATTCTATGAGATGCCCTTGAACCATCCAGTTTCTAGGCAGGTCTTGGAGATCTTGGAAGACCAGGAAACTGGAAGCCTTCCCCCTGGGAGAGAAGGTGATCCCAAGAATAGAGAGGCAAGAGGCTGGTTAGTGTCTGGCCTATTCCAAGCGCTTCAGGACATACTGTACCTCATTCCCTCTGAGCACTGGAGAGGTCACCATTTCTCTGCTTCATTACACCATTAGGCTCAAGCCTGTTGATGTTCTGTGCCTAACCATGTCCCTCATGTTTGCTTTGAAGAGGTTGCACCCAAATTCCCCAGTGGGGGTCTCCACCATTATATATAAATAATACCGCTGTAAACCCCCTTTATGTTCATCTATGGCCATTTTCTTTCTTTTTCTTTTCTTTGTAGAGACAGGGTCTTGCTATGTTTCCCAGGCTGGTCTCAAACTCCTGGCCTCAAGCAATCCTCCCACCTGGGCCTTCCAAAGTGCTGGGATTACAAGCGTGAGCTACCATGCCTGCAGGGCCCCGTGGCCATTTTCTTAGGATAAACTTCTAGAATGAAATGTACCAGGTCAAAGGTTATGAACATTATTAAGGTTTTCGATTCATTCCAGGAAGAAATATTATCTATTACTAGAAAAGAGATGTAAAAAGTTCCAGCCTTTGTCAACTAGGAGAGTGATGATCATCAAATACCACACGTAAGAGGTGACTTGTTTTTCAGAAAAACAGAGCCATGTCATGATGCCTATAATAAATTAAATTAAGGCCATAAAATAGGGTGTGAGTGCAGCAGATCATGTGGCATTAAACAAATTGGACTGTCTGGTTCCCTGGAGATATATAAGACAAACACACCAGAGAGGTGATGTAATGGGGTTATCAGGGCATTTCCTTGAGAGTATCCCAACAGTAGCAAGTGTGGTGGTAGCCACAGTGGCAGAGGCAGCGGTAGCAGCAGCTGTAGTTGCATTTACTTCTGCGTAAGTGGGGTTAGGACCAGAGAGGGAAAAGAGCTAGTCTTTCACTCTCAGGAACTTTTTGTCTAATGAGGGAGATCACCAACTGCAAATAAAATTATCCCGAGGGAGAGATTTTGGCCTGGTATAAATAACATTCTAAGTCTATTCACAGTTGGAAAGGTTAATGCATTTGAAAGCAATGTGGAAGCCATAAAGCATTATTGATGTGGGGTAGAGTGTTAGGTACTAGGGAGTCAGACAAGAAAGACCTGGTCCCTATCTGTAAGGAGCTTCCAGTCCCTGGCACAGTTACTCTAGAATGTGATATGAATGTGTAACAGAGGGGTGTGTGTAGGAGGCCCGGTGGTGGCATGAAGAGGGGAGTGGTTAACTTCACCTGCTGCTTCAGAAGGATTTAGAAGAGGTGACATGACCTGGTTTGTAATGAACGAGTAGAAGTTTGCCAGGTAGGTAAGTGGGAGAGATGCAAATAGAGTGAAGGGCATTTGTGTGACGTTGGTGGCCCCCACAATTTGGGGAGCAAATAACATGCCCCTGTTAGTCCTCATAATTTAGTGCTCCAGGCCCCACGTGCAGCAATATCAGGTCTGTGGCCCTCTGAGGCTTCACCCTCTCCCCCAGATCCTTGAGGTTACTAGTGTTGAGGGGAACTTGGCGCTGGCTGGCAGGGCTCATTGCAGCAGGGGACTGCAGCTAATGAGGAGGAGCCAGGCTAGGCCAGGCAGTTCTCCCTGCAGAAGCCGGGCAACGTTTGAGGCCTGTGAAAGGAAGTGGATACTGGAGTGATATCTTATCCTGGGGGTATGTCTTACTCCATTTGGGCTGCTATAACAAAATACCTGAGACGGGATAATTGATAAACAACAGAAATCTATTTCTCAGTCTGGAGGCTAAGTCCAAGATGAGGGTGCTGGCAGGTTTGGTGTCTGGTGAGGGCTGCTCTCCTCTTCCAAGATGGTGCCTTGTTGCTGTGTCCCGGCATGGAGGGAGGCAGAAGGGCAACCTGACTGACGGGAGGAGCCCTCATGGCCTAATCATCTTCTAAAGGCCTACCACTAATACTGTTGCATTAGAGATTAAATTTCAATATAAATTGCTTGCTTGCTTTTTCGTTTTTTAGAGATGAAGTTTTGCTCTGTTGCCCAGGCTGGAGTTCAGTGGCACAATCATAGCTCGCTGTAGCCTGGAACTCTTAGGCTCAAGCAATCCTGCCTGAGCCTCCCAAGTAGCTGGCACTACAGGCATGCATCACCATACCTGGCTAATTATAAAAAAAATTTTTTTTTTTTTTGGTAGAAATGAGACCTCCCTATGTTGCCAAGGCTGGTCTGAAACTCCTGGGCTCAAGTAATCTGCCCACCTTGGCCTCCCAAAGAGCTGGAATCATAGGTGTGAGCCACCGTGCCCGGCTTCAACATAGATTTCAATATAATTTTGAAGAGACACATTCAAACCATAGCGGGGTGTGTCTCTAAAGCATAGGCTCCTTGCTCTCCAGGAAGTATGCCCCTAACTGAATTGCTCAAAATTGCCTGCATAAACTCTTGGTTTTTCCACCAGACCACTTCCACTGGGTGCTCAGCTGCCTGCCCTGGTGTGGGACGTGCACACATTCTGACCATAGGCATCTGTATTCGTTCCCTAGGGCTGCTATAACAAAGTACCACAAACTGGGTGGCTCCAAGCATGTTTATTGTCTCACAGTGCTGAAGAAATCTACAAGGCCATGCTCCCTGTGAGGTCTGTATGGTAATCCTTCCTTACCTCTTCCTGGCGCCTGGTGGCTGGCTGGCAATTTTTTGTGTTCCTTGGCCTGTGCAGGCAGCACTCCAATTCTCCATCCTCATATGGTGTTTTCCCTGTCGCACTGTGTCTTCACATGTCTGCTTCCCTATAAGGACACCAGTCATATTGGATTAGGAGCCCACCCTACTCCAGTATGACCTCATCTTAACTGATTACACCTGCAAGGACCCTATTTCCAAATAAGGTTATATTCTTAGGTACTGGGGGCTAGGGGTTAGGACTTCACCATATCCTTTTCTGGGGGACACAATTCAATCTATAATGGGTTTTGTTTGTTTGTTTTTGAGGCAGAGTCTCACTCTGTCATCCAGGCTGGAGTGCAGTGGCACGATCTTGGCTTACTGCAACCTCCGTCCCCTGGGTTCAAGTGACTCTCATGTCTCGGCCTCCAGAGTAGCTAGGATTACAGGCGCGTGCCACCATACCCAGCTAATTTTTTGTATTTTTTTTTTTAGTAGCGATGGGGTTTCTCCATGCTGGCCAGGCTGGTCTCGAACTCCAGACCTCAGGTGATCCACCCACCTTGGCTTCCGAAAGTGCTGGGATTACAGACGTGAGACACTGCGCCCGGCCTATAATGGGTTTTCTGAGAGATGTGGTGGTGGAGCTTTGAGATGGCAAAGACCAGTGCTCCCAGTATTTGGAGGTGCTGCTCAGGGGCGACAGCGCAGGAGCATGGTGTTCACCTCTTTCTGCTTGGTGACCCGAGGCTGCCCAGGAGTATGGCTGAGGGGAACTGGGGCTCTGCTGGAGCCACACAGAGTGATGTTGCATCTGGAGGGAAGGGTGGAGTGGAGTCCCTGTCAAGGGAGCCATTGCTGGGCCTCTTCCCTGCTGTTCCTCAAGAAAAGGAAACTGCCAGTGTGATGCGCACTCCAGAGCATTTTCCTTTTAGAACAGAGAAGGAGCGGGGAATGCATCTGACTAGGTACCCAGTCTTGTTTTTGTTTTTCAGAGTTATTCTGGATATTTTTGCTTGCCCATTAATTAAAAAAACCCTGTTCATAATTTTATTGTAATGTCCTGAAATTTAAAGATGAGTGAAAGGAGAATTAGCATATATATATACTTTTTTTTTTTGAGACAGGATCTCACTCTGTTGCCCAGGCTGAGTGCAGTGGCACAATCATGACTGACTGCAGCTTTGCCCTCCCCAACTCAAGCAATCCTCCCGTCTCAGCCTACCAAGTAGCTGGGACTACAGGTACACACCACTACACCTGGCTAACATCTTTAATAAAATTGAGTTTTTCCTACCAGATACACAGTTATTCAATCTATTCAAGAGTCTTTTGTGCTACTCAGTAGTATTTTAATGACTTTTTTTCTTCTAGTTCTTGCACACTATTTGTTGTTTGCTAGATCTTTTCTCTTTGCTTGCTAATATAACAGGAATCTTTTCTCTCATCTTGTTATCTAATCAGTTGTGCTTTGTGTTATAGGAAAGCTGTTGATTTTTGCATAATATTCTTTTGCCTAGTCACTCGCTTCTCTGAATTTTCTTACTATTTGCAGTTGTTTTCAGTTGATTCTGTTAGGTTTTCTAGGTTTACAATAATATAATTTAATCTCTTTCTTTTTGATATTTTTAAAGAGATGGGGTCTTGCTGTGTTTCCCAGGCAGGAGCACAGTGGCTATTCATAGGTGCAATCATAGTGCACTGCAGCCTTGAACTCCTGGACTCAAGGGATCCTCCTGCCTCAGCCTCCCTAGTAGCTGGGACTATAGGTGTGCACCACTGCACCCCTGATTTTTATACATTTTATTTTTTTCTGTTGTCAAGTTCCATTTGTAACCAAATGTAAGTCTGGCTGCTCGCTGCCTGAGAAGCCAAATACTCATGAGGCGAGGTGTGGTGAAGCACCAGCAGTTGAAGAAATGGCTAGGCTCATTCTTCCAAAAAAACCATTTCAACTTTTTGGGCTGAGTAAAGGGATTTAAGAGGAAAATGTGGTATGGGAAATACGTGGAAATGTCGGGTGCGGGTTCTGCATGTCTCGTTCCGATGGCTATCTTGATAATCGCCCCTCCAGGGGCCTGGTTGGCGTCAGTCTGACTTTGGCCTGATGGTGGTGGGCTAATCATTTGTAACCTTCCTGCAGGAGGATTCTGCAGCTGGGCCTCTATGCCTGGTTTATTTCAGAATTGGTCCCTGGAATTTCTAAGCAAGCACATAATTAGATAAGCAAGCACAGTGCATGGGAGTGCCTGGCGGGAAAGGGAGGAAAACAAAGAGTTTTAAAGTACATTTCAAGGCTATATTTTGAGTTTAAAGAAAAAAAGTTTTAAAATGCATCTTGAAGCTGAGATACTCGGTTACACATTGACCTATTCAATCCTTCCCCACCCATCAGGTAACAGTAGTGTTCTTGGGCATCTTTAGCTAGTTTTTTACTTTACTAGGAATATATCTCTATTTTCCCATCAAGTATGATGCTGGCTTTGATTCTTCTGGTTAGAGTCATCCTGAATGCATCTGGTGTTGAAATTAATCTCTTTTTTTTTTTTTGAGATGGAGTTTTCACTCTTGTTGCCCAGGCTGGAGTGCAGTGGCGCGATCTTCGCTCACTGCAATCTCTGCCTCCCTGGTTCAAGCAATTCTCCTGTCTCAGCCTCCCGAATAGCTGGGATTACAGGTATGCGCCACCAGGCCCAGCTAATTTTTTTATATTTTTAGTAGAGACGGGGTTTCACCATGTTGGCCAGGCTGGTCTCAAACTCCTGACCTCAGGTGATCCACCTGCCTCGGCCTCCCAAAGTGTTGGGATTACAGGTGTGAGTCACCATGCCTGGCCAATCATTTTTTAATTAGAGGGGATTTCTTAAAAAACTTTCTTGTCCCCCTTCCCACACTCCATGGTTTGGATTTCCTATCTCTTCGAACAATCTTTCTTTTCTTTTCTTTTCTTTTCTTTTTTTTTTTTTTTTGAGACAGGCTCTCACTTTGTCGCCCAGGCTGGAATGCAGTGGCAGGATCATAACTCACTGTAACCTCAAACTCCTGGGCTCAAGCCATCATCCCACCTCAGCCTCCCAAAGTGCTGGGAATACAAGTGTGAGCCACTGCTCCTGGCCAATCTGTTTTTTTTTTTTTTTTTTTTAAATACAGAATTACCTGTTGAGATTTCAGTTCCTTATACAGAGTTGAGCAATTTTTTTTTATCAATGGAGGTTATTTATTCTCATTACTTATTATTTGCATTTATGCTTTTTCTCCTTCCCTGTCCCTTCCCTATGCAATAATTTGGTTAGTTGATGCTTTAATCTTTTCTGATGCTCTATTGCTTTTCAATTTTCTAATTTAATAATTTCTACATTTATCTTTAAAAAGTCTTTCTTTAGGCTGGGTGCAGTGGCTCACACCTGTAATCCCAGCACTTTGGGAGGCTGAGGTGGGTGGATTATTTGAGCCCCGGAATTCAAGACCAGCCTAGGCAACATAGCAAAACGCCATCTCTACTAAAAATACAAAAAATTAGCAGGGTATGGTGGTGTGCACCTGTAGTCCCAGCTACTCAGGAGGCTGAGGTAGGAGGATCACCTGAGCCCAGGAAGTTGAGGCTACAGTGAGCGGTGATTATGCCATTGTACTCCAGCCTGGATGATGAGAGTGAGACCCTGCCACACACACACACAAGTCTTTTTTAAGTTATTTTGTGGCTCTTTTTCTAACTTTTTGAGTTGGGTACTTAATTCATTTATTTTCATTTTCATATTTATGTATGTAATTATTTAAAGCTGTAAAATATGTTTGGTTCTAGTCTTCTGCAGTGTCAGTTGAAAGAGCTGCTTAAGTGTTTAAGAAGTTCTATTTAGTAGAGTTAAAAAAAAAATTGTTGTCTGGGCATGGTGGCTCATTCCTGTAATCTCAGAGCTTTAGGAGGCCAAAGCCGGAGGATCGCTTGAGCCCAGGAGGTTGAAACCCTTTCTCTACAAAAAATACAAAAATTAGCTGGGCGTGGTGGCATGTGCCTGTGGTTCCAGCTACTCGGGAGGCTGAGGTGGGAGGATCGCTTAAGCCCAGGACTTCCACACTGCAGTGAGCTGTGATGGTGCCACTATACTCCAGCCTGAGTGACAGGGTGAGATCCTGTCTCAAAAAAAGAAAAATTGTTACTGATTTCAAGTTTTATTATCTTATGACAACAGCATGCCTTTCACTCTATCAAAATTATTGAGGGTTTTTTTTTGGCCTAATAATCAATTTTGATAAATATTCCATGAACCATTGAAAAGATGTATTCTTTGTTTCCAAAATATAGAATTTAATATATATCAATTGGATCATATGAATTATGTTACTTGGATGTATATCTTTATTTTTAAAAATGTTCTAGTTGATGCATAATAATTATATATATTTATGGGGTACATGTGATATTTTGATACATGCATACAGTATGTATTAATCAAATCAGGGTATTTAGGATATCCATTACCTTGAACATTTATTATATCTTTGTTTTGGAAATATTTCAAATCTTCTCTTCTAGCTATTTTGAAATATACAATAAATTGTTGTTAACTGTAGTCACCCTACTGTGCTATTGGACACTAGAACTTATTTCTTCTAACTGTAGGCTTTTGTCCATTAACCAACCTCTGTTCATTCCCCACCTGCCCCTGCTCTTCCTAGCCTCTGGTAACTATCATACTGCTCTCTACTTCCATAATATGAACTTTTTTAAGCTCCCATATAAGTGAGAACATGTGATGTTTGTCTTTCTGTACCTGGCTTATTTCACTTAACATAATGATGTCCAGTTCCATCCATGTTGCTGTGAACAATAGAAATTCATTCTTTTTTTATGCTTAATAGCATTCAGTTGTGTGTAAATACATTTTCCTTATTCATTCATCCATTGATGGACACTTAGTTTGATTCCATATCTTGGCTATTGTGAACAGTGCATGGAGATGCAAGTATCCCTTTGATATACTGATTTCCTTTCCTTTGGATAAATACCCAGTGATCAGATTGCTGGATCACATGGTAGTTCTATTTTTAGTTTTTTAAGGAACCTCCATACTGTTTTCCATAATGTCTGTAATAATACACATTGTTACTATCAGTTTATAAGAGTTCCCTTTTCCCTGCATCCTCACCAACATTCGTGTTTTTTTGTCTTTTTGTTAATAGCCATCCTGGCTGGGGTGAGATGATATGTCATTGTGGTTTTTATTTGCATTTCCCTAACAGTTAGTGATATTGAGCATTTTTTTCATATACCTGTTGGCCATTTCTATGTCTTCTTTTGAGAAATATCTACTCAGATCCTTTGTCCATTTTTTCATGGGATTATTTGTTTTATATTTTGCTGTTGAGTTCTTTATATATTCTGGATATTAATTCCTTGTTGGATGAATAGTTTGCAAATAATTTCTCTCATTCTACAGGTTGTCTCTTTACTCTGTTGATTGTTTCCTTTGCAGTGAAAGAGCTTTTTACTTTAATATAGTCCCATTTGTCTATTTTTGTTTTTGTTGCCTATGCTTTTGAAGTCTTAGCCATGAAATATTTTGCCTAGATCCATGTCCTGCAGCATTTCCTGTATGTTTTCTTCTAGTAGTATTTATAGTTCCTGGTCTTACATTTAAGCCTTTAATTCATGTTGAGTTAATTTTTGTATATGGTAAAAGATAGGGTCCAGTTTCATTCTTCTGCGTATGGATAGCCAGTTTTCCCAGCACCATTTATTGAAGAGGGTGTCCTTTCCCCAGTGCATGTTCTTCATGCCTTTGTTGAAAATCAGTCAGTTGGCTGTAAATATGTGGATTTATTTCTGGGTTCTCTATTCTGTTTCGTTGGTCTGTGTGTCTGTTTTTATATCGATACCATGCTGGTTTTGCTTATTCTAGCTCTGTGGTATATTTTAAAGTCAGGTAGTGTGATGCCTTCAACTTTCTTCTTTTTGCTCAGGATTGCTTTGGCTATTTGGGATCTTTTTTGGTTTCAGACAAATTTTACGATTATTTTTTCTATTTCTGTGACGAATGTCTTTGGTATTTTTATAGGGACTGCATTGAATCTGTATATTGTTTTGGGTAGTATGGTCATTTTAACAATATTAATTCTTCCCATCCATGAGCAGGAGATGTCTTTCTGTTTGCTTGTGCCCTCTTCAATTTCTTTCATCAGTGTTTTGTAGTTTTCTTGCAGAGATCTCTTACCTCCTTGGTTAAATTTATTCCTGGGTCTTTTTTTTTTTTGTAGCTATTGTAAGTGGGATTGCTTTCTTTGCTTTTTTTTCCCAGCTAGTTCATTATTGGCATATAGAAATGCTGTTGATTTTTATAGGTTTACCTTGTATACTGCAATTTTACTGACTTCGTTGGTCAGTTCTAAGAGTTTTTTGGTGGAGTCCTTAGGTTTTTCTATATATAAGTTCATGTCATCTGCAAAGAGCGAAAGTTTGACATCCTCTTTAATCTGAATGCCTTTTATTTGTTTCTCTTGCCTGATTGCTCTGGCTAGGACGTACAGTATTATTTTGAATAAGAGTGGGCCGGATGTAGTGGCTTACACATGTAATCCTGGCATTTTGGGAAGCCTAGGCAGGAGGATCACTTGAGCCCAGGAGTTTGAGACCAGCCTGGGCAACATAGTGAGATCTCGTCTCTACAAAAAATCATAAAACGAGGTGGGAAGATCACTTAAGTCTGGGAGGTTGAGGTTGCAATGAGTTGTGATTGTGCCACTGTACTCTCACCTGAGTGACAGAGTGAGATACTACCTCAAAAAAATAGTGGTGAAAGTGGACATCCTTGTCTTATTCTAGTTCTTAGAGAAAAGGCTTTCAGCTTTTCCTCATTCAGTATATTAGGTGTGGATTTATTACATGTGGGCCTTTATTATATGGAGGTATGTTTCTTTTATGCCTAATATGTTGAGAGCTTTTATCATGAAAGAATGTTGGATTTTACCAAATGCCGTTTTAGCATCTATGGAAATAATCATATGGTTTTTGGTCCTTCATTCTGTTAATGTGATGTATATTGATTTGCATATGTTCAGCCATTCTTGCATCCCTGCGATAAATCCCACTTGATTATGATGCAGTATCTTCTTGATGTGCTGTTGGACTTGGTTTGATTTTGTTGAGGGTTTTTTGCCTGTATATTCATCAGGAATATTGGCCTGTAGTTTTCTTTTTTGTTGTTGTTATATCCTTGTCTATTAGGTTGGTGCAAAAGTAATTGTGGTTTTTACCATTGGAAAAAAAAAAAGTCAAATACCGCAATTACTTTTGCACCAACCTAATTTTGATATCACAGTAATGCTGGCCTCATGGAATGAGTTAGAGAGAATTCCCTGCTCTTTGATTTTTTGGAATAGTTTGAGAAGAACTGATGTTAGTTCTTCTTAAGTGTTTGATAGAATTCAGCAGGAAAGCTATCCAGTTCTGGGTTTTTCTTTGTTGGGAGATATTTTATTACTGATTCAATCCTGGTATCTGTTACTGCTCTGTTCAGGTGTTCTGTGTCTTCCCGGTTCAATCTTGGTAGGTGGTAGGTGTTCAGGAATTTATCCATTTCCTCTAGGTTTTCCAATTGTGAGCTTTACTTATGTTTTGTCTTGCTCTGTCACAGGCTGACAGAGGTAAAATAAGCTCTTCTCAGAATAATGTGTGTTGATTCTTTCTTGTATGTCCAGTAAACTTTGTTTTATATCTTTGTTGCTATGTTATTTGTTTACTCAGATATTTATTATATCTTCATTGTAATGTAAACCTTTATTGTTATAAAGTGCCTATCTTGGACACAAATATGGAAATTACAGACACTGGGGACTCCAAAAGGGGAGAGAGTGGGAGGGAGGCGAGCATTGAAAATTTACCTATCAGGTACAGTGTTCACCAGTTGGGTAATGGGCCTACTAGATGCCCAGTCCCCAGCATTACACAATATAACCACATAAAAAATATGCAAATGTACCCCCGAATCTAAAATAAAATTAAATATAATAATATAGTGCCTATATTTGTCTAGTTTAATAATTTTCCCCTTGAAATCACTATTACCAAAAGGTAAGAGTACGACCTCTACTCTCTTCCTTTTTTTTAAATTTACTTGGTATACCTTTGCTCATTCTTTTATCTTTCAAACTTTCTGAGTTACCTTGCTTTAGCCATGATTCATAGGCTGGGAATAATCTGTACCTTTGGCATTTTGCCAGCTTAGGACTAGAGCTGTCCTAATTAGTACCCACTGGCCTGGGGAATTTGCCTGTTTGATGGAGGTCTTTTGTTTTTTTTTTTTTTTTTTTTTGAGAATTTGTGTTTTTGAAAATGTCTCTATTTCACTTTCATTCTCTCCCACCTTTTCTGGCCCTTTATTTCCCAACTTTTAATTGTGAAAATTTTGAAACAAAGAGATGCTAAAACATAAGGACAATAGGCTGGGCACGGCGGCTCTTGCCTGTAATCCCAGCACTTTGGGAGGACGTGACAGGCAGATTGCTTGAAGCCAGGAGTTTGAGACCAGCCTGGTCAACAAGGTGAAACCCCATCTCTACTAAAAATACAAAAATTATCTGGGTGTGGTGGCGTACGCTTGTAATTTCAGCTACTCGGGAGGCTGAGGTACGAGAATCACTTGAACCCAGGAGGCAGATGTTGTGGTGAGCCAAAATAGTGCCGCTGCACTCCAGCCTGAGTGACAGAGTGAGACTCTGTCTCAAAACAAAACAAAACAAAACAAGGACAATGAACATCTGTAAAGCTTCCACAATTGTTAACATTTTGTCATATTTGCTTTATTTCTCCTTATATAGCTATCTAGGCATATCTATCTGTTTCTGTATCTGTAGTGCTGTATCATTCAAAAGTAAGTTGTAGACATCATGGTACTCTACCTTAACACTGCAGCATGCATCTCCTAAGAGTAAGAACTGCTCATGCCTATAATCCCAGCACATTGGGAGGCCAAGGTGGGTGGATTGCTTGAGCTCAGGAGTTCAAAACCAGCCTGGGTAACATGGTGAAATCCTGTCTCTACAAAAAATACAAAAGTTAGCTGGCCACGAGTGTGCCTGTAGTGTCAGCTACTCAGGAGGCTGAGGTGGGAGGATCACTTGCATCCAGGAGTTTGAGGCAAGATCTTATCAACTTGGACGACAGAGTGAGACCCCCTGTCTCAAAAAAAAAAAGAGAAAGAATTGTCTTCTACATAACCACATTACCATCATCACACATGAAAATTAACCATGGTGTAAGTCTTTTCATTTTTTTATATTTGAGACAGGGTCTCCCTTTGTCACCCAGTGCAGTGGCACGATCACAGCTCGCTGCAGCCTCGACCTCCCTTGCTCAAGTGACCCTCCTGCCTCAGCCTTCTGAGTAGCTGAGACTACAAGTGTGCAACACCACGGCTGGCTAGTTTTTGAATTTTTTTTTTTTTTGAGATGGAGTCTTGCTCTGTTGCCCAGGTTGGAGTGCAATGGCATGATCTTGGCTCACTGGAACCTCTGCCTCCTGGGTTCAAGCGATTCTCCCACGTCAGCCTCCCGAGTAGCTGGGATTACAGGCATGCGCCACCATGCCCAGCTAATTTTTGTATTTTTTTTTTTTTTGAGACGAAGTCTCACACTGTCGCCCAGACTGGTGTGCAGTGGGGCGATCTTGGCTCGCTGCAGCCTCCACCTCCCGGGTTCAAGCGATTCTCCTGCCTCAGCCTCCCGAGTGGCTGGGACTACAGGCATGCGCCACCACACCCAGCTAATTTTTGTATTTTTAGTAGAGACGGGGTTTCACTATGTTGGCCAGGCTGGTCTCGAACTCCTGACCTCGTGATCTGCCCACCTCAGCCTCCCAAAGTGCTGGGATTACAGGCGTGAGCCACTGCACCCGGCCTAATTTTTGTATTTTTAGTAGAGACAGGGTTTTGCCACGTTGGCCAAGCTGATCTCTAACTCCTGACCTCAGGTGATCTGCCCGCCTTGGCCTCCCAAAGTGCTGGGATTAGAGGCGTGAGCCACCATATCTGGCTGTAAGTCTTTTTAAACTGTGCATTCCATTGCTAAATTCCAGACTCCTGGCAGTCTGGAATTATAAGGGTGCAAGTGGTTTACTGGAGACAGTAATCCTATCCTGATCATGCCCTGTCTCAGAAAGATAAGAACGAGGGAAGAGATCATAATGGGCTACAAGAATTTGAAGGGCTGTCATGTAGAAGAGTGAGCAGACTTTGCCTTTGGAGTTACAGAGGAGAGCATTTGGAATGAAGAGTGAAAGTTTCAAGGAGGCAAATTGAACCTGGAATGGGGCTGCCAGCCTCATTCGATGGTGAGTACTCTGTGACTAGAGATATCCAGGGAAAATCAGATGGCTCCTTCTCTGGGATGGAGTGGAGGGGAATTGTGTTGGATAGGAACTGGTCTATAGGACATTTAAGTTTCTTCCAAGAATTCTTAGGGGGCAGGGACAAGTTCCGGAGAGACCCAAAACAATATACAAGTTATAGTCTAATTATAATGGCTCTAGTCCATTTTGTCTACCCCAAACAAAGCTGATTATCCTTACATGTGTTTTAAGATTGTATTTTTTCCTCTGCTATTTGTTGGCTAACCATCTCATAGCTCTGGTTTTTGGTAAATCTAGCAAATACTCTTTCTTATATTTTCTGTTGGTTTGTAGAAAGGGCTAAAGAACTCTGCCTTCTTTAAGGAGGGGGCCGGCCCTTTCAATTTGGTAAAATGTTAGAGATAGAAAAAAGATAAGTGAAATAAATTCGCATTCTATCTCTATTCCTTTTTGCCCCAGTCCTAATGTCTGACTGGGTATCTTTTTTAAAATATATATATAACTGCAAAATAAAAGGCCTCAGGGGAAATATCACTGGAAGTAAGAGTAGCTTGGATTGAATTTATATCTATGTCAGATAATGTGCTTCAGTAATAGTTATTTTCAGAACTCCATGGGAGTTTTTTCAGTAAACTAATGAATGGGTGTCACTGACAAGCTTTCCAAAGCGGAAATTATGTGAAAACTCCCATCTTATGGGAAAGGCTAAACAGAGGAGAAACCCTGGGCTTTTGCTGGTGGGGGAGGGGTTAATGTCAGTTCTAAAGAAGATTCACATTTTCATTGTTTCATTGAAGCCAATTCAATTTTATGCAGGAAATGGCTGAATGGAATTATATTTCTAGGAAGCCATACAATTAAGTAGAAAGCATTAGTAGTTCTTGACCCAGCTCTGCTATTAACTGCCCTGGGCAAGTCCCTATACCTAGCTACATTTCCACTTCCTAGACTTCAAATGTTCTATGTACATTTACCAATCCATTGAAGATAAATGAGATAGCAGTGATTACAAATGTCGGGTATTGAATTTGCTGCCACCTTAAAGCTGTCCCAGGCCTATGGGCTAAAAGTGAAATAAGAACTTCCCTACTTAGTATAATACTTAGTATAAAAAGCTCAGGAGGTCTTATCCCTAAATAGATAAGATGTGGAGTGAAATCACTTTAAATAGACCTGATTTATAAGCAGGGTTAGGTTTGGTTAGACATGGATAAGATAAATGTATTGACTATGAATGTGTTCAGCTCTTGTATCAAGGACTTGGCAAGTAGTCCTTGGTTAACACCTGCTGCTTTCAAATTTCTGAATGGCTTCCCATCTGAATCTGGAAGTCCTACAGCTTTTCTCCTCCAGGGCCTATTCTTGACTTGCGGATGACAACCGTTTTTTTTACAGCCAGCTTTTCTGTTTTGTTCTGCTCCCTCTAGAGGTCCCTTCCCCTACCTCTGCCTCTGTCCAAATATCTTAATAGTGATATCAAAGAAGGCAGAAGTCAGGTTTTGCCATTTCACTTGAATTCTGCCCCAGAGCCTCTCTCAGTTTGGAGCAAAGTGTAACTGAGTGTGGTGTAACGAAGTTCTGTGGATGATGTTGATGATGACGAATAGTGGGGAGCGATTTTCACAGCCAGGAGCTTGGCTCTCAGCTTTTGTGGCGCCTCAGACTCTTCCCTGGGATGTGTAGTGTTCCATGCTGGCAGCATGCTGTGAACAATGAAAATTGTATTCTGTAGTCTCTTTCAATATGCTGTGACTTGGCAAGGGCTGAAAGCAAATCATGCACCTGCATAACCTTTTCAGCTTGACAAAGAATCTCTCTCACTCCCCCTCTCGCCCCTCCCTTCCACAGGAAATGCTCCCAGACGACAGCACGAACAAGCCCTAATTAAGTCTTTCCTCAGATCCCGACGTCTTTTCCTCCAACCACATCTTGGGTTTAGATGTGTAAGTAAGAGGAAAGTGGAGAAATAAAAATCAGGTATAAGACACAGCTGGAAATTGGGACCTATTTAATTGCAAGTAAAGCCTAAGACCCCGGCCCTGGTGGCTCTTTGGACAGTTCACATAGAACAAGAGACAGAGTAAACTGATGGAGGAGTTAAGATGCTTTTGATGAAAAAACTGGTTGCAAATTATTTAAGAACATTTTCTCAGACTTTTTGCGTTTCTTATATTTGTGTCTGTCTCTGAATAGAAGAATCTCAATGTCTTTCAGGATATTTAAGGATCATATACGTAAGGTGCCTCATGCTTCCTTGAGAAGTCTATGAACACATCCTTACAATTATATGCAAAATTTTGGGCTTTGTTTACTTATCTGAAAAAGAGAATCCACAGATTTTATAATGTCTCCAGGGAGTTCAAGACCCACCGCTTTCCCCAAAGTTTAAGAACCACTGGTATTATAGAAGAGAAAGAATAGGTCTAAAACAAAATCTGGAAGGATGGCCACGTCAGGAAGCCACAAAGAAAGAGTGGAGCCTATGAAAGTTAGAGAAGGATGAAATTCCCAGGCATCCCCATGGGAGACAGTAGGGTGGTGAAGCTCATGCACTGTGGAATCATTTCATCTGAGCTCACAGTCTAGTGTCTCCATCTATTAACTGTGCTGGCTGTGTGCCCTGGGGAAGTTACCTCTCCAAGCCTCAGTTTTCTAATCTATACAATGGGATGATAGTGCCTACCTCAGAGTTGTTGCAAGGATGAAGTGAGGCTATCCATGTAGCATGCCTCTCTGCCTCCCTATTGGTATGATGTGTGTGTGTGTGTGTGCATGTGTTGTCTCTGCCTCTACACATGTATTTTCCATTTTCTTGTCCACTTTATGCCTCTTTCTGGGCTGACTGAAGATTCAAGAAGGCTCTGAATTCTGTTCTGCTGTTTTTTTCTGATTTCTTTAGAAAAATAATCAGTGTGAGGTGATGTCCTTGGCTGAATACCCCCAGCTCCACTAGGACTTGTCTTCCAGCCAGGCTGAGAGCCATGTGTTTGAGCTTTTCCAACCAGGGTAAGGAGCAGTAGATGTTAGGAGCCTCGTGCTTAGAGCCAAGTGAACCAGCTTTTTCTGGGAAGGAGAGACCAAATCATCCCTGGGAGGATAGAGCCTGTCTTCTGCAGTGCCCCAGATAGCAGCAGCCTTAGCTGCTGCCTCTGTGGCCTACTTCCTTTTGTAATTTGCACAATAGGCCAGAAGATGGGGCTCTTGACCCTGGAGTCAAGGGCCAGAGGCTCTGACTTTTTCCACATTTGTACTGGAGAGAAGTCAGATCCACCAGTCCTCCCAGGAATCACCACTACTTCTCAATTCCTTTCCCTACCCTACCTACTCCACTTCTGCCATGGCTGGGACTTGCCTTCCAGGGGAGTGGGGGATGTGGGCACATCTTTCCTTTGGCCACCATCCTCGGCTCCTGAATTACCACGTTGCTAGAGTCAGTCTTTCTGACGCCCTGCCTCAGGTTTCCCCCTCTAATCCATTCTCCCCTAAGGGCAGATTTTGGAGATGGTACAATTTTTATAGGCCAATACAACATAGTGGTCAAGAACTCTAGAATCAGAGAGCTTGTTCTTGACTCGTCTCCTCAGGTGAATCTTTCCCCACCTCCTCAGAGAAGCTCTCCCTATCCCATGCCAGTTACTCTTGATCACATAACTCTTTATTTACTTAACAGTAGTGATTATAACTAGCGGTTATCTTGTTTGATGACTTGTTTACTTTCTCCCACTTGATTGTAAGGCTTATGAGGCCAAGGACACTGTCTTAATTGCTGTTTTCCCAACACCTAACATAGGGCACGATACATAGGTTCTCAGCAAAAGTGTTTTGAATTAATAGATGAATGATGGAATCCCAGCTTCATGACTGCCTGACCTTGAGTAAGTTGCTTAACTTCACTGAGCCTCAGTTTTTTACCTGTGAAATAGAAAAAGAGTAGAGACATTATGACTATTAAATGACACAATGCATTTATACCACTAAACCCAGGTTCTGGTGTGTGGAAGTTTTCCCTAAAGCCTTCAGCGTCCTGCTTTTTATCATTTAAGAAAAATAAAGTCTGAATGAATTAGCCAGATCTCCACAATTTGATCACAGCCTTTTATTTTATTTATTTTTTATTTTTTTGAGACAGGGTCTCACTCTGTCACCTCGGCTGGAGTGGAGTGGTATACTGAAGCCTCTCCTGGGCTCAGGTGATCCTCCCACTTCAGCTTCCTGAGGGGCTGGGACTGCAGGTGCATGCCACCATGCCTGGCTAATTTTTTTGTATTTTAAAAATAGAGATGGAATTTCTACATGTTGGCCCAAGTTGGTCTTGAACTGTTGGGTTCAAGGGATCCATCTGTCTTGGCCTCCCAAAGTGCTGGGATTACAAGTGTGAGCCACCATGCCCAGCCCACAGCCTTTCTCTATCACAACTATTACCTCCCACTGCTCTTCTCAATAACTTTCTGCTTTGGCCCAAATTGTGGCTACCCTGAATGGGCCATGTGCATTATTATTCTTAAGTCTTTGCCTAAGACTTGAGATGCTTGCTCTTCTTACCTTGGGTCAGCTAAATCTTACCCATGTTTTCAGACTTAGCTCGAATCCATGTCCTCTGTGAAACCTTCCTGAAGATCATTTTCTCTTCTGAATTTTTGCAATCTTCATGGTTTATATAATATTACTCATTAACATATACCCTGTTTCCCTGATAAGCCTGTTAAGCTCCCTTGGAGATATATATTTTAGATTTCTCTGCCTCTACAGTGTTACTTGGGCCTGTTCATTAGTAGGTGTTCAATACATTTTTTATTAGATTGAATTAAAAGCATTCATATTTACTAAGTACTTTCTATGTGCCTGGGATTGGTTGAGGCTCTGTTGAGTATACAGAAGGGCATAAGAAAAATAATCATTGCTTTCAAAGAACTTATAATATTTTAGTAAGCTAAAGTCAACATATAAAGTACTTAAATAACCACAGCATGACAACTGCTATAAGAAAGGTATGAAGTGCCTTGAGAATTCTGGGGAGGGTGAGATGACATCTGTTAGGGGTATCAGGGACAGTAGAATAAAGAAAGGCTTCTTGGAAGAGGGTGGCTTTTGAGATTAACTTTGAAGGATGGTTAAGATTTTGATGGACAAAAATGGGGATGAGGGTAGGATGTGAATTCCAGATTCAAGATGACAGGATTAGTAAAGAGATTGATGGAGTGTGTGGCAATGAACACTAAAACGCAGAGACTAGACAGGAGGCTTATACAGGACATCAGAAATACAATTCTGCTTCAGGGATACTGAAGCCCAACCTTGTTTCCAATTTCAGGACCAACACAAAGGATGGTAAGCAGGGGTGGAAAGTTTTAACATGTATCAGACTACCTTCCCCAACTGTAGCTTCTTTAGGGGCTGAGAATTATTTGCAACAATTCTTCCCCTGACCCCAATTTGGACCTACCTGAAGTCTGGTATGATAGTGCATATAAAACAAAAGGCCCCACGGCCGGGTGCCATGGCTCACGCCTGTAATCCCAGCACCTTGGGTGGCTGAGGCGGGCAGATCACCTGAGGTCAGGAGTTCCAGACCAGCCTGGCCAACATGGTGAAACCCCGTCTCTACTACAAATACAAAAAAATCAGCCGGGCGTGGTGGTGGGGACCTGTAATCCCAGCTACTCAGGAGGCTGAGGCAGGAGAATCGCTTGAACTGGATAGGCGGAGGTTGCAGTGATCCAAGAACACGCCATTGCACTCCAGCCTGGGCAACAAGAGTGAAACTTCGTCTCCAAAAAAAAAAAAAAAACAAAAAAAACAACAAAAAAAAAACAAAAAAAACCCAAAAGGTACCTTTCTTTTTCTTGAGGAGAGAGGGTTGCTTCGATTTTAGCCAGCCTCTCTTTTCTTATAAATCCAAATCAAATTTAATGCATTATTCATGATATTCTAACCTTGTGTTAAGTCAGTAGTTCTGTTGCTAAATAATAGTTTGCCTTAGATCATTTCCTGGAAAAGTTCGAAGCCTTTTTGTGGAATTGCTTCAACAGTCATCCTTAGCTCGACCCTGTCCGTGTGTTTTGCTTCTGACTTGAGACTCAAGAAGAAGACCTAAGTCATAGTGAGACTGTGAGGGAGCCTGACACTGCCTGCCTTCTTCAATTTAATGCTCTTTAATCTGGCCATTAGCTCAAGGAAAAACAATTAATTTTAGAAGGCCCTCTCCCCTCATCCGCAATTACCTCCTCCTGCAATCGCGAAGGATGTTTGCCCGGAATTTAAACATCATCTCCCAAGGAATGAAATCAGAATAGGCAAAACCGACACTTTCCCAGTTTTCAAGGGTCAGGTGCAGCTGCAAATAGAAGCAGAGATTTTCTAGCAAGCAGTTGGAAGGACCTTCACGCCCAGAGGCCCCTGAAGGGAGGGAGGCGGTTTCCAAGGCAACCGGGCCCGGGAGCGGTTGGCTCCCCGGCTCCTCCCCCTCCCCGCGGTAGCCCAGGGTACCGCCGGACAGCGTCCTCCCGTGCTCCGCGCCCTGATTGGCTGCGCAGGCCTCTCGCTGATTGGTTGCGGCGGATGCCTCGCGGGCCGGTGGCTATGGAGGCGGCGGCGGTTGATGGTTGACCGTTGGCTCCGGGGTGGGGGTCGCCGTTCGAGTGATCTGCTCAGACCCGACCAGAGGGCGCGGGCTGCTGATGCTTGGCTTGGAGCCCGTGGGGGAGACCTAGTTCGGCTCCGCCATGCCGGCCGCCGGGAGTAACGAGCCGGACGGCGTCCTCAGCTATCAGGTAGGGCCCCGCCTCCCGCGCCTCCCGCTCCTCCCCGGGGCGCAGCCTCCTCATCCTCTGCCCACCCTCCTTCCTTCTGCCCCCGAGCCCAGGCTTCCCAGGCCGCTCCCTGAGGGCGAGGGGAGGCCAGCCCGGGACACCAGGGGGCGCTCCGGGCGGTTGGGGACCAGGCCAGGGCTGCGAGAGAGTGACCTTGGGCCGAACCTGGGATCTGGCCCATCTCTGCCGCATCCCTTGCGCCGCCCGCCCAGGAGCCCTGACAGCCGGCGGGCGGCGACCTCTTGTTCTCCTCGCGTCTTTCTGTTGGAAGGGGCCGGCGTCTGGCCTCGCGTTGTCCTGCCAGAACGTGGGCAGAAAGGGTAGCAGGGACCTTGCTCTGGTGGGGCACGTCTTCTCTTTGTGTTTTTATTTCTGGGGGTTTCTGGTTCCTCAGTGGTTCAGAGGAAAAGCCAGAAAAGACTCTGGAGGCTGGGACCAATCCCTGATAGGGTGACCCGGTTTGTGACTCCCTCTGCCCCATTGAACAGACACCTGAAAACTTCTGGGTAGGGACTGCAAACTGGGCTGAGGATGTGTGGAGGGGTCAGGAACAGGTGCTTATTTAAGGGAATTAAAAAACCAAGGTTAAGTAACTGGTATTGGAACTGTTGGGGCGGCTAATGTAAGGAAAAGCATTGGACTAAGTGTTAGAGTCTGTAGTTTGAAATCCTACCTCTGCCTCACACAAACTTTGTGACCTTGAGTAAGTCACTTGCCTCTTTGAACCTCAGTTTCCCCAGCTATTAAAATGGGAATAGTTATGTCTGCTTTGCATGCTTCACAGGGTTGTTTTGAGGATCAGACGAAGTGCTGTTTGTGAAAGGGCTTTGTGGAGTAATGTTTATTGTGTGACACTCAGTGAATGAGTGGCA
This sequence comes from Homo sapiens, assembly GCF_000001405.40. NCBI lineage: Eukaryota > Metazoa > Chordata > Mammalia > Primates > Hominidae > Homo > Homo sapiens. The sequence goes on from NC_000012.12 coordinate 51,425,947, forward strand.
GCCCATTGAATTCTCACTCCCCGTTTCCTGTGCAATCAGATGGTGTGGTTTCTGCCTTGGAAAGAGGGTTGGAAGAGGAGGCAAGTCTGAAGTACAGGGCTCTGAAGAGGGTAATGGGCCATCTCAGGAAGGATGACACGTCTTGGAAACAAGTGCCATGTTGACCTCAGGGATGGTTTCCCCGAGGAGGCAGGGAAAATATCCTGAGTTTGCAACAAAATGAGTATCAGACACTGACTCTCTCCTCTTCTTCCTGGTTAATAGTTTGCTACAATTAATAGAAGATACATCCTTCTTTCCTTGCTCTGTCTGAAAAGAACAATATCTAAGATTTTGGAAAATGCATATCTAACCCCCTTAAAGCCTATTAAATGTATTCAATCTCTGTTTGGGATACAATGGTAAGAAAAAATAGGCAATGTTCTTGCCCTCCTGGAGCGTATCATTTAGTGGGGGAGGGGAGAAGTACTATTTTTAATCAAATATCACACAAATAAATATCATAAACTGTGATAAATGCTTTGAAGAAAGATAGGCAGTGCCATAAGCGTGTATAACAGTGGTTCCAGACATGGTCTCAGAGAAGATTTTGCTAAGGAAGAAAATCTGGGCAAAGAGCTAAAGGATGAATAAATGTTAACTGAGGGAAGAGGGGGATCACAGGGCCTGAGAGGCAAAGAGAACAGCTACACAAAAGACCTGTGGCAGAGGGGGACACACCTGGTTAGAGACCTGAAATGAGGCCAGTGTGGTGCAGCAACAAGGAGCGATGAGGGGAATGGTATATGAGATGTGTTCTGGGGTTATAACACACAGGGCCATTTGGAGCCCATGCTGAGGAAGTTGACATTTATCTGAGGAACAAGGGGAAGCCACTGAAGGGGTTTAAGTAGAGGGGAAAGGGGAGAGAGGGGGTCTCTCCTAACCGGGAGAGAGAGAGAGGGCATGAGAGAGTAAATGAGATCATGAACAGATTTTCTTTTTTTTTTCTTTTCTTTTTTTTTTTTTTTGAGATGGAGTCTTGCTCTGTCGCCCAGGCTGGAGTGCAGTGGTGCGATCTCCACTCACTACAAGCTCCGTCTCCCAGGTTCACGCCATTCTCCTGCCTCGGTCTCCGGAGTAGCTGCGACTACAGGCGCCTTCCACCACGCCCGGCTAATTTTTTGTATTTTTAGTAGAGACAGGGTTTCACCGTGTTAGCTAGGATGGTCTTGATCTCCTGACCTCGTGATCTGCCCGCCTCGGCCTCCCAAAGTGCTGGGATTACAGACGTGAGCCACCGTGCCCGGCCCAGATTTTCCTACTGAAAGATTTCTTTGGCTGCAGTGGGGAGAATAGGTTGGAATGGATGTGAGGATACAGTGTCCTTAACATGCAGAATGTTTACAGGTTATATTATTGAGGGCATCATGACCCTTAGGTTTCTGTTAGTGTTCTGTGAAATTAGTAATTCTTGAGTACTTCTGGAGTAGGATAGAAAATATCTCCTTTATATCTAGTTTGTGAAACTTTCTTGGGTGGTAGGGTGAGGAGAAGAAAAGGAATACAATGGGAACAGTAGGACCTCATGAAGGCTGGAGTCAGGTAATAGGCAAATGGAAATTTGAGAGATAGGGAGGAAAAGAGAATGAGGGTAGAAGGAGGAAAGGAAATGGGGATGACTTGGGGGAGAGACAGTCAACTGACTGGCAATGACCAATTAAACCTTCTATGTGCTAACTAGGCTGTGTGGAGATGGGCCTTGTAAAGTGAGCAGATTGTGTAACTTGATGTAAACAGAGAGGTTCCAGACATCACCTCTAAATATCATAAGGCTGTGCTGTTTTGGAAGATGTGAGCTACTGTCCTAGCCTTCTAACAGTTCCCTCTGCTTTCTTTCTTGCCCTTCTGTAAGACTACTCTCCACATGGCAGCCACAGGGAGCTTTTAAAAACACAAATCAGATCATGTCACATCTTATCTTGAAACCCTTCAGTGGCTTCCTGGTGCCTTTTAGAATAAAATCCAAACTCTTTATCATGGCCTACCAAGCCTGAATACAATCAGGCTCTTGTCCACCCTCCCAGGACTGCCTCTCCTCCACTCTCTTTCTTGCACCTCCTCTGGCTTTCTGTTTCTTCAATACAGTAAGTCTTGCATACCTCAGGTGGGTCTTGTGCCTGTCATTCCCTCTGCCCAGGATGCTGTTTTACCCAGGCCTTCTCATGATTCAACTAGAATGTCACTTCCTTAGAGTGGCTTTCTCTGAACCTTCATCCCAGTCACTCTCTTTAAGATGGTCCTGTTTTATTTTCTTATAACATATGACTTACCTGAAATATTCTTCTTTTGGTTTCTTGTTTATTATCATCTCAGTTAGAAGCTTCTTGAGGGCAGGGGACAAGCAGAAAATCTTCTCACCTAGCACAGTGCCTGGTATAAAATTGGTGCTCAATTGCATAAGTGAATGAGCAGCTCTCCCGTATCCAAAGCCAGATGCCTCCCCTTAAGGAGCTCAAGGTCTAGTCAGGATTGGCACAGAGTGACAGATGGCCATTACTTCATTACACAACATCTCTTCCCTCTATGTTGTGCCTTTGCTCAGGCGTTGAAGCTGGAAAATCTTTCCCCTCCTCTCCGCCAAGAATATTCCATTTTAACCTTCAAGGTCTGGCTCCATATCATTCTATTATATTCGTCACTCACTCTCCCCTGCTCACAACACCTACCAAGTACTATCTTCCGTGAACCCTGACTTGTGGAATATACATATTCATCTCTGCTGCTCACCTGACAGCTCCATTTGCTGTTACTGTTAACTTTTATTGAATGCTTGCCATGTGCCAGGCACTATGCTAAGTGTTTTTCATGCATTATCTCACTTAATGCTCTCTATAACCCTGAGAATTATGGAACTTTATTATTGTTTTCCAAATGAGAAAACAAAGATAATAAAGAGGTTAAGTAATTCTTTTATTTTTATTTTTATTTTTTATTTTTTGAGATGGAGTTTCACTCTTGTTGCCCAGGCTGGAGTGCAATGGCATGATCTCGGCTCACTGCAACCTCCAACTCCCAGGTTCAAGTGATTCTCCTGCCTCAGCATCCCGAGTAGCTGGGATTACAGGCGCCTGCCACCACCCCTAGCTAATTTTTTTGTATTTTTAGTAGAGATGGGGTTTCACCATGTTGGCCAGGCTGGTCTCAAACTCCTGACTTCAGGTGATCCACCTGCCTCGGCCTCCCAAAGTGCTGGGATTACAGGCATGAGCTACTCTGCCAGGCATAGAGAGGTTAAGTAATTCTAAGTGCCAGGGTTGCTTGTGGCCCTGCCAGACCCAGGGCTGCATCTCTGCAAAGGATGTGCCCTTAATCACTGTGCATTACTGTGGCTGTGTCTTTGTTGCCTATAACAGTACCTGTCTCTGAATAAGCACTCACTAAGTGTTTGGGAAGGCAGGATGGGAAGAGACTGCAATGAGGGAGGCCAGCTAGGAGGCCATTGGTATAATTCAGGATGAGTTAATGAAGACCTACATTAGTCATCATTTTGATGAGATCTCTGAAGGTGTTTATGGAATTTTTATTTATTTTTGAGACAGGGTCTCACTCTGTTGCCCAGGCTGGAGTGCAGTGGTGTGATCTCAGCTCACTGCAGCGTCGACCTCCTGGGCTCAAGTGATCCTTCCACTTCAGCCTCCCTAGTAGCTGGAACTACAGACATGAACCACTATGTCCAGCTATTTTTTTTTATTTTAATTTTTATAGAGACAGAGTCTCACTATGTTGCCTGGGCTGGTCTTGAATCCCTGGTCTCAAGCGATCCTCACCCCTCGGCCTCCTGAAGTGCTGGGATTATAGGCATGACCACCACGCCCAGCCGGTTATTGAAATTTTAAGAGTCAATGAGCTTTTCATAGGGGGTAGTAATAGAGGAAGGAAGTCAGAAAGCTTTAAGGAAAGCCCCTACTTTGGATTGGAACTGGGGACACCTGGTATCTTCACAGTTCTCCTGATAAGCACTTTCAGAACAAGCAGAAGGAAGTGTTGAAAGAGAAAACTGGTGAGATTGGAACTCTCAGCATTTGAGCCAAGTGGTGCTGGGGACTGAAGGAAAGTTCAGGGAGGGTGAAAATGGTGGATGGGGAAGCAAGTGAATTTGGGCAATTACCAAGGCTTTTATGTGGATCAGGCCTGCTCAGAATGGAAAATTTTGCAGAAATCTTCACAATAATAAACCCTGGTAAGTGGGTGATAATTGAGAAACATGGCTGATAGGAGTAGAGTTACACCCCATGTCTTATGATGGACCTGAAAAAGCTCTAAGACAAGAGTTCTGAAGGAGACCTGGATTCTAGTGCCCAGTGACTGTGGCACATGTTGGAGCTCAGTAAATATTTGCTGAGCGAATGAATGAATGGCTCTACAGGGAGTGCGTCAACTTTTCTGAGGGTCATAGCCAGTTTATGGTAAGCAGTCAGTAAATATTTGCTCATATTATTTAACAAAAGTATCAACTGTAGATAGCAGTTTCTCCTCTCACTACATTGCACATACCCCTCCACCCTCTCCTCACACATACTAGGTATTCTTTCCATGTGAGAGAATTGGGGAACCTGTGGGCATTCTTTTTATCTGGTTTTCCCAGATCTGCTAGAGAGCTTCAGTAGGAGAGATGTGGGCAGACTTGTCAAGCAGAGACTTGAGCAGAGAACTGGGGACAATTCGGACTGCAAATTTACTTCCTTCAAAATCTGTAGATAATCGTCTTAGCTCATGGTTTGCCTTGGCAGGGTAGACAGGGTCATGGTAGTAATCAGGACACAGAAAAGCAATTGTGTCTATTCTAAATCTGCTGCCAGGTAACAGCAACAGATCTTAGATAATGGAGAGGTTGGTTGTTTCCCATAGGTAGTAACAAGTTTACTGGTCCTGGTCTTGGTAGTCAGGAAGTCATAATATATGTATTGGTTTTCAATTTCTGCCATAACAAAGTACCACATATTTGATGGCTTAAAAAACACAAATTTATCCTACAGTTCTATAGTTCAGAAATCTGATACAGGTCTCACTGGACTAAAATCAAAGTGTTGGCGGGACTGTTTCTTTCTGGAGGTTCTGGGAGAGGATCTGTTTCCTCGCCTTTTCCATCTTCTAGAGACTGCCTGCATTCCTTGGCTCATAGTTCCCTTCCTCCATCTCCAAAGCCAGAAACATAGCATCTCTCAGAACCTGCTTTTGTCATCACATTTTTCTCTGACTCTAGTCTTCTGTCTCTCTCTTTCACGTTAAGGATCCTTGTTATTACACTGAGATTACATAATGGTTTTCATAATTTAGGATGATCTCCTTATTGTAAGATCAGCTGATTAGCAACCTTACCTCCGTCTCCAACCTTAATTCCTCTTTGCCATTATAAGGGAACATATTCACAAACTCTAGGGATTAGGATGTGCATCTCTTTAGAGGACTATTAATCTATCACAGTGTAACCTATACTGAACAGGAGTGACTCCAAGTGGGGTTCAGCAAAAGAATCACTGAGAAGCCAGAGCCATTTTGGAATTTTAGGCCCCTAGCAGGCTGCTGAAGGGTTAGAATGGGAAGCTCATGGGTATTCAGGAGCTCATGGCCACTGAGAAGAGGAAGTCTGGAACAGCTGCATGAGTCCTTGTGGAATTTTTTTTTTGTGGCTATAGGGTGTTTTCATTCAGTAAGAAAGTATTTGAGGGCATTGGAGAGTTGGGGACCCGTGGGTCAGATTTGGTGATGGACTCCCCAAAGGGCCAGCATTCTGAGGCTCTGCTGGATGAAGAGGAAGATGGAAGTGAATAAGGAGATGAAGAACTATTGGAGGTCTGGTCAGTAAAGGGCAGTTTGGGGTGCAGGGTTCTGGAGCGCCAAGGATTTAAGAAGGTAATAATGTGGATCTTAAGCTATTCTTACTGTGGGCATTAATCCATGATTAGTCCATCTGACTAAATGGTGAGGTTCTTTGCTTTTGGCAATCTTAGCATACTGACTTACTAATGTTAGTAAGGAACACAGACTTGATTAGAGTTCTTATCTCACTTAGCTTTTGTGAGATCTTAGCCTCAATTTAGAACTGTTTTGAGGATTAAGTGAGGCAACATATGTAAAACACAATGTGAGGTATATAAGTGTATTACCTCGGTTTGCTGATTAGAAACCTTGGAAATGGGCCAGGCGCGGTGGCTCACGCCTGTAATCCCAGCACTTTGGGAGGCCGAGGTGGGAGGATCACAAGGTCAGGAGATCGAGACCATCCTGGCTAACAAGGTGAAACCCCATCTCTACTAAAAATACAAAAAAAAATTAGCCGGGTGTGGTGGCGGGCGCCTGTAGTCCCACCTACTCGGGAGGCTGAGGCAGGAGAATGGCATGAACCTGGGAGGCAGAGCTTGTAGTGAGCCAAGATGGCGCCACTGCACTCCAGCCTGGGCGACAGAGCGAGACTCCGCCTCAAAAAAAAAAAAAAAAAAGAAACCCTGGAAATGGCTGGGTGTGGTGGCTCACACCTGTAATCCCAGCACCTTGGGAGGCCGAGGTGGGTGGATCACGAGGTCAGGAGATAGAGACCATCCTAGCGAACATGGCGAAACCCAGTCTCTACTAAAAATACAAAAATTAGCTGGGCGTGGTGGTGCGTGCTTGTAGTCCCAGCTACTCGGCAGGCTGAAGCAGGACAATTGTTTGAACCCAGGAGACAGAGGTTGCGATGAGCTGAGATGGCGCCTCTGCACTCCAGCCTGGTGACAGAGCGAGACTCTGTCTCAAAACAAACAAACAAACAAAAAACTCTGGAAATCATCTCTATATTTATTGATTTTGAAATGGTTGAATGTATTAGAACTCAATAAACACTTGACTTTTTTGGGGGGGGTCTTGGCAGGGATAGTGGTGGGAGTGAAGTAGAATGTTAATGTATGTACTCTCTGAAAACACTGAAAAAGATGAAAGGGTTCTTTGAGGTAAAAAGTCTGAGACCTACTGCAGGAAAGGAGGTGGGATTCATTTGGGCAGGTCCACCACCACGCAGGTCCAGAGAGGAGCCTCAGGGGAAGTGTGTTAAGAGAGAGAGCTTGAGGTGGGCTCTGCTCCCCACCTTCCCTGTTCCCTGTAGCCTCTGTGGCTGCTTCCAGGAGCTGGGGCCATTATGTAAGACTGAGCTCTGCCCGTGCCTTTTAATTTCCATTTACTGTAAGTGAGAATCTGGTCTGCTACTCAGTTATAATTCATTCATTTTTCAAGGCTCATGACAATGCTTTCTTTCTCAAGCCTTGCCTTGCAATTTCAGCATTTTAATGTGTATTTAACCCTCTTAGTTCTTTTTATCTATCTAGTCCTTGAGGTAGGCACTCAAGTCAATTCACATTTACGTAGTGGGTCATTATCAGTGAACTAAGAGGAAGTTCAGAAAAGAGGATACTCAGAAATAGGGCTTTTTCCTTCCTTTCTTCCTTCCTTCCTTTCCTTTTTCTTAAGCTTATATAATGTGTTTCTCAGGATTCTAATCTTTTCTGAGTCACAAGCCCCTGTGAGAGAATCTGATGAAAGTTATGGACCCTCTCCCAAGAAAAGTGCACATTCACACATATTCCCACAGATCCTCTGAAGCCCATTTACAAGCACCCTAGAAATCCATGGACCACAATTGAGAGATCTTTTTTGCCATAAATAAATGATACTATCAGAGGAAATAATAGCCAATTGGTGAGGAATCTGCAGCAAGCACAGGCCAAAGAGACCTGATGTTCCTTTCTTTTCATTTTTAATGATTTCAAACAAACTTTGTATGTGCCTGAAATTTATGGAACATTTCAAGCATATAGCAAAGTAGAGAGATTTTGCATAGTGAATCATCATGTACCCATGACTTGGCGTCAACAATGAACACACCATCTGTTTTTTTTTTTTTTTTTTTTTTTTTTTGGTTGGTTTTTTTTTGAGACAGGGTCTTTCTCCGTTGGCCATGCTGGAGTTCAGCGTACAAACACGGCTCATTAGAGCCTCCAACTCCTGGGCTCGAGCAATTCTTCCACCTGAGCCTCCAGAGTAGCTGGGACTACAAGCCCATACCACCACACCCAGCTAATTTTTGAATTTGTTGTAGGGACGAGGTTTCACTATGTTGCCCAGGCTGGTCTCGAACTCCCAGCCTCAAACGATCCTCCCACCTCAGCCTTCCAAAGCTCTGGGGTTATAGGCATGAGTTGCAGAGCCTGGCCACACAATCTTGTTTCATCTATGTTCATCTATTCTCCAAATCTCAGACATATTATTTCATGAGTAAAAATTTCAGTGTGTAGCCCTAAAGATTAAAGACTCTTTTAAAACAACGACATAACTGCCAAAACACACGAGATTATTATACTGAAAAAATAGTTTCCTAATATAATCAAATTTTCATTTAGTTGTTTACATTTATGTGAGTACCTTGTAGTTTTTTAAAAAATACTTGTTTTATTTGAATCAGGATTCAAACAAAGTCCACACATTCACATTCAAGCCTGACCTTTCAAATGCTTTTGCTAATGGTTATTGACAGTGGCTCTGTTTTCTTTGGCAAGACAAAGAAAATGGATGAACAATTATTCAGTGAATTTAGGCTGTGGTTAACCAATCTAAATTAAGGAAACTAACAAACAGCAAGAAAGTTTTTCAACCTGAATTTTTCAGATGATTGACCTTGCTCTTTATATTTTGCAGTTACAATTTTAAAGAAATCAATCATCTCTCCTACCCTCCCTCCCTCTGTTTCTCTAGATTCCCACTGTGTTCTCTGTGGTGTCAGGTGTCTGAAGACAGTACCAAGTATTATAATTAATTGATTCCTATCCTCTGGATATTAAAAACCAGTAGGGGAGCCAACATGAATAATTATTCATATATCTAATTATTTATTTATATAGTTTTATGAGAAAACATCTGATCAATTATCAAAGAGTTTATAAAACTAATAAACATTCATTGAAATGTATGGGATACTTACCATGTACTGGACATTGTACTGGGTGCTGGGTAGATATTGATGAATATAAGACCCAGTACCTATCCTCCTAGAACTTTTGAGGGGACAGAATCTGGATTTTGCTGATTGTATTCCCATGGTGTTGTTTTTCAAGGAACTCTGTTTTATTGTACTTTCAGTAAATTGGTATTTGGATTTAGAGGCTTGATCAGATTCAGGGACAATTTATTTGGTAAGATTACCTCATGGGTGGTGATATGGTCTCCCATTAGGAGGCATACAATGTCTGATTGTCTCTCCTTTGTGATGTTAGTGGCTGTTGAAAATCAGTACAATCCATTGGGGATTGCAAAATGATTTTGTTCCATCATTCCCTTTTCATTTAGTCTCTCCCATAATGAGAAGCTTTTCTCATCTACTCTGTGGTACCACTCTATGGTATAATTTATCTAGGAAAGCCCAGATAAATTATTTGCCAGTTTTCAAAGTAATGAGTTGGTTTATTAGTGTTATCCTCCAAATGTGACCAATTAGTTAATTTTAAAAGTGACCTTGTGAAGCCAGGCGTGGTGGCTCGCGCCTGTAATCCTAGCACTTTGGGAGGCTGAGGAGGGAGGATCACTTGAGCTTAGGAGTTCGAGACCAGCCTGGGCAACATAGTGAGACCGCCCGCCCCAACTCCGCCACCTCTCTATTTTAAAAATAAATAAATAAACAAATAAAATAAAAGTGACCTTATGAAGTGAACTCATCAATCTTAACATATTGACATGGTCAATCTGTTGTAGGCATTACCCTACTGATGCTCAAATTGTCCTATTTTTTGGCAAGAGACCCCTTTAAATTGGCTCCTGAGTCCTTTGGACACAATCCTAGTTGTCTTCGAGTGCTTCCTTACTATCTAACATAATAAGATGTTTTAGACTTACCTTGTACATTTCCTGGCTGGGACCTATGACCAGCCATTTCTCCAGGGAGCTCTGATTCCTTTTATTACAAAATGGTATTTTAAGAGACTATAATGTAGGTACTAATTATACTCATTGCTACTGATTGATCATTTTTTCTAAGCCTTTGAGTGGGCAGAGCTAGAAAATATAAATTTGTAAATTTAAAAACATTAAAAATAAAAACGCATTGTATATTATTGTTGATACTTCCAATTCAATTTAGGACTGCATGGCTCTTATTTACCTTTTGTCTTAAAACTGTATCTCCTTTCTCTCTTGCCGAGAATCCCAGTCCTCAGCCGCACTGGGAGTGACAGAATAAATTCACATAGCTACTCATTTGTTTTATCTCACAACACACAACAAGCCTCAGAATACCAACACCAACCCTACAACCAACAATAGGATAACCAAAAAACAGTTTCAGATCTTTTAAAATTCTTCTTTGTCCTTAGAGTATATGCCACTGAGGATGTTCAGTCAGGTTACTATGTTTTAATGTTACTTAGAATAATTTCTCTTGGAATTTATACCATCAATTTGACCTTTGTTTTCATTTTGTTTTTGATTTTGGGGAATTACTTTAAAATTTTTAATTTTACATTATGTAAATTATTTACAAAATAAGGCATATTCAAAAAAGTCTAGTTTCTATCTTTGTCTCTTCCATCTTATTCCCTCCCTCCTCTCTAGGTAACTATTTAAAAAAATCTTTTGTGACTTTTTCTTCTTTTATTTGTTATTTATTTATTTATTTAGTTAGTTAGTTAGTTATTTGAGATGGAGTCTCACTCTGTCATCCAGGCTGGAGTGCAATGGCGTAATCTTGGCTCACTGCAATCTCTGCCTCCTAGGTTCAAGTGATTCTCCTGCCTCAGCCTCCCAAGTAGCTGGGATTATAGGCGTGCACCACCACACCCGGCTAATTTTTGTATTTTTAGTAGAGATGGGGTTTCACCATGTTGGCCAGGCTGGTCTCGAACTCCTGACCTCAAGTGATCCACCTGCCTTGGGCTCCCAAAGTGCTGGGATTATAGGCATGAGCCACTGCAGTCATCCTATTTGTTTTAAAATGTAAGCAAACACTTATGTTCCAACACCCTTTGTTAGATAAAAGGTAGCAAATTATACAGTTTTCTCCATCTTGCTTTTTAAACTTAATATTATATTTTGGAGATTTTTCCATGGTAGTAATAATATATAATTTTAAATGTCTATAAAGCTAATTTAATACATAAAAATCCTAAGTAGATATTAGACTATTTTATTTACTTCCCTAAAAGTTTGTTTATTCCAGTTGGCCTCAAAAACTTTATTTCAATCTTCCCATTGGGAAAATGAATTGCCTTATGTTCAGAGTTGTCTTATTTGGGAGCATAGATGATAACTACAAAATAGTAACTTTGGAACAGTAAGCTGGAAACTTGAGCAGGATCTAGAAGGAAGGTGATATCGTTTGGCTATTTGTCCCCACCAAATATGTTGAAATGTAATCCCCAATGTTGGAGATGGGGTCTGGTGGGAGATGTTTGGGTCATGGAGGCAGATGCCTCATGAATGTCTTGGTGCCATCCTCACAGTAATGAGTGAGTTCTTGCTCTGAGTTCACCCAAGATCTGGTTGTTTAAAAGAGTCTGGGCCCTCCCCTCTCTCTTGCCCCCATCTTGCCATATTATACACCAGCTTCCCTTTTGCCTTCTGCCATGATTGTGAGCTTCCTGACTCTCTTACCAGAAGCAGATGCTAGCACCACACTTCCTGTACAGCCTGCAGAACTGTGAGCCAAGATAAACCTATTTTCTTAATAAATTACCCAGTCTCAGGTATTCCATTATAGCAATGCAAATGGACTAATACAGGAGACGTGGGGATTTAATGTGCTGGAGAGTTTGGGGAAATGGCATGTTAGATGACTAGATGACCTGACAATATGAGCAAAGACATAAAGGTGGGAATGTGCACAGTGCTCTCGGGATCAGTCAGCTTGGCTGGAGTTGCAGGTTTGAGAAGGGAAATAGATTGCCAGGGAAATCAGCTAAGAGTTTTTTTGAAATAATTCAGGGTCTTGTGATTCAGGGTATTGATAGGATAGGTGCCATTATATTCATTCTTTTAAAACGTTTAATTTTTATTTTGAAATTGACAAGTAATATTTAAGTAATATTGTACATATTCATTGGGGTGCATGGTGATGTTTCAATACATGTAATGTATAGTGATCAGATCAGAGTAATTAGCATATCTATCATTTAAAACATTTATTATTTCTTTGTGTTGAGATTACTCAATATCTTCCTTCTAGCTGTTTGAAACTCTATATTATAGTCATCCTACTATAGTATAGAACACTAGAACTTATTCTTCCTATATAGTTGTAATTTTTTATCCTTTAGCAAATCTCTCCCTACACTTCTCCCCCTTGCCTTCCTAGCCTCTAATATTCTCTCTTATACTTCTTACTTCTCTGAGATCAACTTTTTTTAGCTTCCACATATGAGTGAGAACATGCAGTGTTTAACTTTCTGTTCCTGGCTTATTTCACTTAACATAATGTCCTTCAGTTCCATCCATATTGCCACAAATGACAAGATTTCATACTTTTTATGGCTGAATAGTATTCTGCTGTGTATATATGCCATATTTTCTTTATCCATTCATCTGTTGTTGGACACCTAGGATGATTCCATATCTTGGCTATTATGAATAGTGCTGCGATAAACGTGGGGATGCAGATGTCTCTTTAATATAGTGATTTCCTTTCCTTTGGATAAATGCCCAGTAGTGAGATTACTGGATTATATGGTGGTTCTGTTTGTAGTTTTTTGAGGAACCTCCACTGTTCTCCACAGTGGCTGTACTAGTTTATATTCCCACCAACAGTGTATAAGGGTTCTTTCTTCTTCATATCCTTGCCAGCATTTGTTATATTTTGTCTTTTTGATAATAGCCATCCTAACTGGAGTGAGATGATACCTCATTTTGGTTTTGATTTGCATTTCCCTGATGATTAGTGATGTTGAGCATTTTTTCATATATTTGTTGACTATTTGTTTGTCTTTTGAGAATTGTGTATTCATTCTTTTAACAAAGATTTATAGAGCACTGTTATGTGAAAAGTCTGTGCTGGGTGCTAGGATACAGTGGTGAGGAAGATGGACATAGTTCCTTCTTCCTCAAGGAACAGAGGAGACTTTTTTTATTTTTTTTGAGACAGAGTCTCGCTCTGTTGCCCATGCTGGAGTACAATGGTGCGATCTCAGCTCACTGCAACCTCTGCCTCCCAGGTTCAAGTGATTCTCCTGCCTCAGCCTCCTGAGTAGCTGGCACTACAGGCACGCACCACCACACCCAGATAATTTTTTTATTTTTAGTAGAGATGGGGTTTCACCATGTTGGTCAGGCCAGTCTTGAACTCCTGACCTCAGGTGATCACCTGCCTTGGCCTCCCAAAGTGTTGGGATTACAGGTGTGAGCCACCATGCCCGGCCAAGACATTTTATTACTAAGAGAATTGCAGTGTGCTATGAGGGTATATAAATGGTGGACCTAGCTTAGTTTGGAAGTCGGAGTGGGTAATCAGGAAAGGCTTCCAAGTAAGTGTGTTGAGGCTGAGATCAAAGAGATCATCATCTCTTTGATCATCATCAAAGGTGGGGGCAGGTGGTGGGAGTGGCAGGGAGAGAATGGTAGTTCCAGGAAGAGACAGCAGCACTAAGTAAAGAAGGTGGGTGTGGTTCCAGAACTAAAAAAAAAAAGAAAGAAATGCCTAATATGATTTAAAGGGTTGGAGCATGTAGGGAAGAGTGGATGAGAGATGAAAATTAATTTTTTAGAGAAATTGCAAAGGAAGAAAGACTTGGTAAGAAAAGGGAACTAGCTACCTGAAGGCATATGGTAGGCACTCATACATGTGGAATGGATGAATAAGTAACTTTGAAATTTCACCTGTGGGCTAATAAATGATGGTGCCATTGGTAGGAATAAACAAATGAGCACAGGGTGTTAGTTTTGGAAGGAAAGTTAGTTGGGTTTTAGACACATGGTTCTTGAGGTGTGGCATCCTAGTGGCTTATCAATTACTGAACCACAGTTTCAGACTGCAGTTGAAATTGTAAGTCTTAAGTGAGGAAAACAAAGAGTAGAGAGCTCTTTCTTGGAAATTATGGTTAGAGGAAGAAAAAGACTAAGGATGAGACAGAGGAGGCCTGATAAGAGGAGCAGGATGGAAAATTTCAAGGACAGCGTGTGGTAAACAGGCCCAAATGCTGCAAAGAGGCCAAGGAGACCAATCTACACCAAATGGGACAACTTGCTTCACAGCACTTGCAAAATGCCAAAATGTTATACAGAGGTATAGATGGAGTGGGGAGGTGGAAAAGGCATGAGATTTACAGCCACAAGACCTGGGCTCATGACACGTCCTAGTAATCCCAGCTGCTCTGGAGGCTGAGGTAGGAGAATTGTTTGAGCCCAGGAGTTCAAGGCTGCAGTGAGCTATGATTGTATCACTGCAATATAGCCTGGGTGACCCATTCTCTCTCTGTTTTTTTTTTTTTTTAAAAGACCTAGGCTCAGTCCTAGCTCCGCCTTTTATGACATTTGTGACCCTGGGCCATCATTACTTAATGTTCTCTGAGTGTCAGTCTGCTCATTTATAAAATGAGAAAGATAATGGCTACCATATTTGCATCTAAAAGGTATTGTGAAGTTCACATGTAAAAATACAGGTAAACAATTGTGTTTCCCCCGTAAGTATCTCAAAAGGATCTGGCATACACAAGGTTTGTATATTTGAACGAGGTATGTGTATTACTGTGACTACTTATTTGTGTTTAAACAGAGACCAGATGAAGAAGCTGTGGTGGATCAGGGTGGGACCAGTACAATTCTCAACATTCACTATGAAAAAGAAGAGCTGGAAGGTAAGAACTGCCATGCTGTGTGATCAGGGAAATTGGTGAGGGGCAGCCTGGTGTGGGAAGACCTGGCTCTGTGTCCTAACTCTCTCACTAGCTGTCAGACCTTGGGGAAAATCACTTGATTTCCTTTAGCCTCACTTTCCTCATCTGGTAAATAAAAGTGGGGATACTAATACTTGTCCTACCTTACAGGGATATCATTAGGATCTAATTGCCTACATGGGAGATAGTGCTTTGAACACGGTGAAGTCCAATATAAATATTAACAAGTAACCTGTTCTTTGAGAATGTGATGTACTCAGTTCAGTGCGTTAATTCTTGACAACTGCCTGGAAATACAAATAAATACAAAACTTAAAGAGAAAATAAAATACAAATAGTTTTAAAAACTCATTTTGGCTACAAAACCCTATTTTTACCCCATTTCCAATATTTACTGTTTCTATTCTATTTATACCCATTTCTGCCTGGTGGTTTCATCTAAACAAGAGGGAAAACAGGAACACACCTGTGACATACTCTTGAGTTCATAACATCAAAGTTATATAAAAGCCCAGCTGAAGGGGAAAGGAAAGAAGAGGCATTTTGGATGACCCACTCTGTCCAGTTTACCTTATTTCAGCTCTTCCTTTCTCTGCACCTCACCCCC
Organism: Homo sapiens; assembly: GCF_000001405.40. Classification (NCBI taxonomy): domain Eukaryota; kingdom Metazoa; phylum Chordata; class Mammalia; order Primates; family Hominidae; genus Homo; species Homo sapiens. The sequence goes on from NC_000012.12 coordinate 51,441,436, forward strand.
AGCTCCCCACATAACCGTTATGTGGTGTCCTGCTTTCCTTTTTCCCCTGGGGACTAGTTGGTGTGTTAGGAGTTGGACCCACACCTGGCCATGGTTTTCTAATTAGTGTTGATGCTCAGTTTCATTAGAGGAAGGCTCATGTCCAGTATCCAATATAGCTTTAATGAGAAGCCACATTTGGCTCAAAAGCCTTTGTGAAATCTCTGCAGCATCCCCTGCAATGTTGAAGGCTATGATACAGCAACTTTCTGATGCCTGAGACAGCATGTGAAATGTTCTCTCTGTACTGCCTGTTCCCGTGACAGTTTTTTCATCAAAGTTGTACAACCTCCAGAGAAAACTTGTCCTTTTGATGGGGAGAACGGAAGCTGTAGAGGCTGACTCAGCCTCTGGGTCTGTTACCATGAGAACTGACGTGGGTGGCTCTGTGGAGGTCAGTGGTGTTTGGGTATACCAAGGTGAAGTTTTCCAAGTTATTTTGACCAGATGGAAGAAGAGAACATGTGAGTTGCAGCAGTTGGGAGGGAGTGGGAGAAGGAAAGGGTGTGGAATGGAAGGCTAACATTTGTTGAATGCCCCTTGTGTGTTAGGCATTAGATTAGGCACCTTATACAAGTTGTCCTTTTCATCTTCATAGCACCCCAGGCAGGTAGGTATCATTATCCCTATTTTACACATGAGGAAACTGCTCAAGGTCATCGAGCCTAATTGCAGGTGAGGCTGGGGAGAGAATCCTGCTCTTTTCATTCTGCCACACAGCCTGCAAGAGAGGACAGTAACTGTCATTAACCACCCAACCTCAATATCTTGCTCCATCAAATAAAATTTTTGTATGTTGCTCTTGCCTCTTCTTCTGTTCTGATAATCATGTGGTCTCTCTACCCTCTCATTGCATCCTGGGGGCATGTTGCTGTCAGTTTAGTTGTTCTATAGCAAGCACCACTGGACCTTTGCCCTCAGCAAGGAGGTAACCATTTATGAACACTCTTGTCTACTTGGGAGTAGAATAAGAAACCTGAGCAAGCTCTCTTGAATCTTAACAACTGGTTCCATCCACGGAGATCAGCTGAGTAACTGGCGGTGGGAGCAGCTTCTCCAGATGACATCATCTGTTCTTTATGCATGTTCTACTTTGCTAAAAAAGAATGCTGTCTGTGATGACAGCCTTACTAGTGCATAGTGTGTTGGGAGATGGTCCTTTGTACGTAGACTTTTTTGAAAACTAGAATCTTATTTATGTTAACACTTAAAAAAAAAGCATTACACGCAAATGGTGGACAAACTAGAACCAGATCTCAGGCCTGATGTGGTTTCTAGACCAGCTCTGGAGAAGAGAAGAGAGAGTTGGGATTTGCTATAGGGTTGGCTGTGCTGTGGGTTCCACTCAGACTCACTCCGAAGGGCAGCCCTAGGACTCAATGAGGCTGTACTCAGGGTAGTGTTATCTCTTGAAGGCATAGAATAAAACGAGTACCATTTTGATGGAACACAGAAGCAAATTGTGTTCAGATTCAATATGCATGCCATGATATCAGGTTCTGTGGCTGCAAAAAAAATCTCCAGGTCTTTTTTCCCCTTTATGTCATAACTTCTGCCCACATGACATAAACTATAAATCATTGCCTTACCACATTTTATTTATTTATATTAAACAACAACCTCTAGTCCAAGAATATGAGTTTTTTGTTTTTGTTTGATTGTTTTTTGAGGCAGTCTTGCTCTGTCACACAGGCTGGAGTGCAGTGACCCAGTCTTAGCCCACTGTAGCCTTGACCTCCTGGGCTCAAGTGATCCTCCCACCCCAGCCTCCCAAGTAGCTGGGGCTACAGGCACGTGCCACCATGCCTGGCTATCCTTACCCCATTTTAAGAACTATTTCTGAGATTTAGTCTGTGTACATTGTTAGAAACTTTGTAAGTGTGGGTCTTTTGCATAAATTAATTCTATCAGTAAGAGAAGTTGCATTAAGCCATTATGTTGCTTTTTTTTTAATATGTGAGAAGAGTCAAAAGCCAACATCAGAACACGTTCCAAAGATGAACTCAAGAAGAGCAATAGTCCATGATGTGCTTCAGTGGACTTTCCCAGTCCCAGAGGAACAAGAGGCAGTTGCTTTAGTTAGAGGGATGGCTTTTTCCATTTTTTCCTGGCAGATCATTATTCCTGATTAACTACTAGATTAATGAACTCTGGAGTGAGTTTAAGGCCTTCTAATACGTTTTTAACAGAGGTAAGAGCCATTTGGTCATATTTATAACTTCTAAAAAGGCTTACATCTGCTCGACATGTGAGATTCACCTCTGCAGTTATTGACTTTGAGTTAACCTGTAAGCCCAGAGGAGCCGAGCACCCTGTTGTATGTGCTAATGAGCTCTGTGTGAGTGCTGGGTAAGCAGTGTGCGTGTACTGCATTGTACCTTAGTAGGCCCAATCTCCATCTGCAGGGTACGTCAAACCTATGGTTCCTGTCCTGCTTCACATGATTCATTGCCAGTTCACTAAAGATTGCTCTCTGCATGTGTATATGTACTTATTTTTTAAACTATAGACTAAAATTACATCTTTCCCATAATTTTTACTAAATTAGAATACTTTATTTGCACACAGATAGTTCCAAAAGACTAGGTTTGACCTTTTTTGGAAAAAAGAATGACGAGTTAGATGGGAAAAAAATGGGATTTGTGCGAGTTGGTAGGTAGAAGACGGGGGCAAAGAGCGGTTGAATGGCCAACAAAGTGACCACAGAATTAGTTTAATGAAGTCACTGGGTGGCCAGAATCCAGTTAGATGGACTGGATTTTATTGGTGCTATATTCATTTCCTAGTGTCTGTTTGTCATCTTTTCTGCCAATTTTTCTCAGAAAATCCAAATCCTTGCTTTAGAACTCCCAGACTAGAAACTGATGCCTGATTTTCTGACAGCCGCTTGGTCCTTCTTAGCTCTGACCCCCTGCCGAACTTGATTTCATTTCTGCCTGTCTCTCTGATATTTTCAAAAGACAGGCATTGCGATTGGCTAATGTTCGTGATAATTGATTGTACTAAAGTAAGATTTACCTTACTTCCTACAGAACCATTCAAGGCATCTATAGGATGTCTTCACCATTATGCCTCAAACCTACATAGTGGGAATTTAGATACCAAGCAAAACCATATATTATTCACTCAGCAAACATTTACTAAGCCCCTTCTGTAGTCCCTTTCTGCAGTAATAAGTCAGGACAGTGAGAACAATTGAACCATCGTGTCTTTTCTGAAGAATAACCTAGCCTGAAACTTTCATAGGACTCGAACATTAGAACCTGGACTAGCCATCATCTGGACAAGCCTGGGAAGTCATTTGGTCTGGCCTCCTTGTTTTACTTTAATAGTGACAGTGAGTAATTTAAACCAATAACATGAAATCTAATAATGCAGTTTCTAATATCCAATCACTGCCTCCTCAATTTCTCCTTTAAAATTAAATAATACTAGCAGTATACCAGCATGAGCCCAGTGGAAGTATTTGGAATGGGCTCAAGGAGCAAGGAGAAGTAGAGGTTCTAGCCTGGCTAGTAATCCTTTGCGGGGTTTGTAGGGAAGAGGAAACCCATGGTTGGGATGGCTGTATTGAAGAACTGAAAGTCACCTCTCACTGAGGCTGTTCTTAACCTAAGTCCAGCTCTATCTAGCTGTACTAGATTTTACAACACCAGGTCATCATTTTAGAGGCCAAAGTGGTTGTTTAGTTTTAAATTTTGTTTTGTTTTGTTTTGAGGCAGGGTCTCACTCTGTCGCCCAGACTGAGTGCAGTAGTGCGATCATGGCTCACCACAGCCTCCACCTCCTGGGCTCAAGTGACCTCCCACCTCAGCCTCCCAATAGCTGGGACTACAGGCATGCACCACCATGCCTGGCTAATTTTTTATTTTTTATAGAGGTGGAATCTTGCTGTGTTGCTCAGGCTGGTTTCAAACTACTGAATGCAAGTGATCCTCCTTCCTTAGCCTCCCAGAGTGTTGAGATAACAGGTGTGGGCCGCTGTGCCTGGCCAGAAGTGGTTGTTCAGGATCGAATTATGCTTTTTACAGCACATAGATTCTTCATGACCTGCCCCTGCCTGTTTTTCTGTCCTTGTACATCTCCTTTCCTTCCCTTTTCTACCCTGCCCTGGCCCTACTGGCCATCCTTTTGCCCCAGAACCAGCTCTGCACATTCCCACCTTAGGACCTGTGCACTTGATCTTCCCCCTTCTTGGAATACTCTTCTCCCAGGTCTTCTCATGGCCTCTCCTTCTTATCACTTAGATGTCCCCTCTAATCATCTTAAAGTCTCCCTTCTCCATCCTACCCCTTACCCTAGACACGCTAGCATTTTACCTTATTTGGTTCATAGTAATAATCAATATTTAAATGATATATTTTTGTTTTCATTTCTGACCCCCCCCAAGCAGAATATGTGTCCTGAAGACTTTGTTCTGTTCACTATTGTATCCCCAGCCCTTGGGACAGGATCTGGCACAATTACTTGACTCTAGTCTGCTGCTAATGCCACCTGGGTTGGTCTCAGTAGTGTGCTACAGGGATTTCATTAACATACTATAATGGAACATAATGAGTTAACAAATTGTATTTTATTAAGATGGTATTCAATTTAGTATTTTCACGCTATATGCTTTTTATAGTTTATACTGATAATGTCAGGGTCTGGAATCCCACATCTTAGCAGATGACCTCCTCTGGCTCTATATTTCTGTTTCTATGAAGTTGCAAGATGACTACATTATGTTCAGAGATCTGCCTGTTAAAAATGACCTGAGATATACACGAGGCAACAGAGAACTCTCCTGAGACAGGAGGGTAAGAAGTGCGATTCCACCAGATACTAAACATTTTATCCTCCTGCCTCTTAACATTCTAGCAGATCTCTGATCATCTTATCCTCTAATCCTTACTGTTTGTTTTTTATTTTGCTTTATCACTTTGGAATTTGGAAAACAGAGAGGGCAAATAAAAGGAGAGACAAATAGAGAAAGGTGTTAGAATGGCATCCAAGGCACTTTAACCTGACTTGGAAGTGGAGGGCACTATCAAGGAAGTTGAGTGCAGCCTTAGGAAACCCCATTGCTGGGAAAAGAAGAAGATAAAGAGTTGGCAACTCTTCCCACCAAGTCTCCTTCTCGGGGAAGTCTTCCTGATGAAGCTCTCCATTCTCAGGTCAGTTAGGACTTTATCAACCTCCCCATGCCCTGGTGAGTACTTTATTTGTCCTAAACACATTCACTTTGGTTACATGTTCTTTTTGTGGCCCCTTTCAGGTCAGAGTCAGAGGCCCTCTTAGGTGAGATTATGTACTCCTGAGGAGGTCCTAAGGGCTTATGCTCTTCAGGGAGGTACTTAGGAGGTATTTTATTTGCTGAACATTTATGGAACAATGACCATGTGTGAAACACTGTGCTTGATTATGTAGGCATTCTGAGAGAAACGTCTAACTTGGGACACCAAGGAGATTGCAAGAGAAGAGTGCAGAATAAGAGAGATAGCTGCTTAACTTTAACGCAAAATAGAAAAATAAGTACATGAGAACAGCACTAACCAAGGGTGCTGGGAATCTGCCTGCCTGCCTGTCTGTCTGTCTGTCTGTCTATCTATCTGTCTATCTATCTATCTATCTATCTAGAGATAGGGTCTCATTCTGTCACCCAGGCTGGAGTGCGGTGGTAATGATCATAGCTCATAAGCTCATGCAGCTTTGAACTCCTGGGCTCAGGCAATCCTACCACTTCAGCCTTCCAAATAGCTAGGACTATAGGTGCACACCACCACACCTGTCTAATTTTTTTTTTTTTTACACCTTTTGTGGAGATGAGGTCTCACTAAGTTGCCCAAGCTGGTCTCAAACTCCTGGCCTTAAACAGTCTTCCTGCCTTGGCCTCCCAAAGTGTTGGGATTACAGGTTTGAGCCACTGTGCCTGGCCTGGCACTGGGAATTTAAAGGAATGAGGCAGCACATCTGATGGGGGAAATCAGAAAAAATACCAAGAAGGAAGATGCATCTGCAGTGCATCTTGAATAAGTGAGCCAAGCCAGTGTCCAGAAAGCACTGGCACATTTGTGGAATGGCAGTTTGATTCTGGTAGAGAAAAGAGTATGAGGTGATGGTGGGTACAGCAGTCAAGGCCATGAAGAGGAGATGGAGTCAAAACCAGGCCATTTGGTTGCTGAGGTACATGGCAGTTATACATCTCTAGATATTTCCCCCCCAGAATGTTGATTCTCTGTGAGCATGTGGGATTTCCACTTTTTTTTTTTTTTTTTTTTGAGTCAGAGTCTCGCTCTGTCACCCAGGCTGGAGTGCAGTGGCGCGATCTCTGCTCACTGCAACCTCCGCCGCCCAGGTTCATGCCATTCTCCTGCCTCAGCCTCCTAAGTAGCTGGGACTACAGGCACCCACCACCATGCCCAGCTAATTTTTTGTATTTTTTTTAGTGGAGACGGGGTTTCACCATGTTAGCCAGGATTGTCTTGATCTCCTGACCTTGTGATCCGCCTGCCTCGGCCTCCCAAAGTGCTGGGACTACAGGCGTGAGCCACCACGTCCGGCTGGGATTTCCACTTTTTATTTCTCTTGAACTTGTTATTCAGTTCTTGAGAGGTCTTTCATTTTATTTTCCCACTGAATGTATAATTGGTATTAAAAGAAGAAAAGATTAAAAAGGAGATTGAGTACTGAGCATGAAGGTCCTGAATTCATATGGGTGAGCCATGATCAGAGATGTAACTAGGAGGATTTGTTTGCAGGGTTAATTTAATGTGAGAGGCAGGAAGGGGCCCCTGCTTTGTTAAAGTGGGAGTTTTGATGGCCCTAATCTATAGAAAGTACGGTGAGGGAGAAAGGGAATGGAGTTGAAAATCTAAGGTAACGCTCGGTTTCAAGCCTAGGAAATTGAGAGAATGACAAGGCCATGAACAGAAACATGGAATGAGTATAAGACCGATTTGAGATGGAGGATGGTGAGTTTGCTTTGTGACATGTTCAATCATTGTAGATAGAGATTTGAAGGTCATTTGTAGAAGTGAATTTTGAAAACAGAAGAGTGTTTAGCACTAAAAAGGAAGAAAAGGGCCAAGGACAGAAACTTGAGGAGCTTTCCTTTGGTGGCTTGTTGGGGGATGGAGCAGCACAGTCAGAGTAGTGCAAGTGAACCAGGGGAGGGCAGTGGCACCGGAGCTCAGGGAGCCCAGAGCACCCAAGTGGTTTGGATACTGCCTGCAACGTGGTGGGCTCTCAAGAAAGTCTTTTGAACTAAGCTGAGAGAGATGTAAGATGATAGAGATTTGGTGAATGAGTGGTGTGGTGTCCCTAATGAGGGAAGCTTCAGCAGAGACTGGGGTCAGAAGCCATATGCAGAGGCTGTGGAACAAGGAAGTGGTGAGGAAAGGGAGTTAGGTTGTGACTGTTTTTGGAAGTGGTTTGATAAAGAAGGAAAGAGGAAACAGCAGAAGCTTGGGTGGGTAGCACTGCTTGGGAAGGTTTCTTTTTAAGAAGTCAGGAGAAACCTATGGCAGGGATGGATGGAAAGGAGAGACTGAGGATAACAGAAGCAACAGGATACCAGAGGGGTGGGAGACAATGGGATAGAGTCATACTCATTAACATACCCAGCTTGGCAGAGGAGAGCAAGCCAGACTGAGGAAGAGAAGAACTTCTTCCATCTCTTCTCAGGAAAAACTGAAGTGAGGGCTGGGTGCAGTGATTCACACCTGTAATCCCAGTACTTTGGGAGGCCAAGGCAGGAGAATCGCTTGAGCTCAGGAGTTTGAAACAAGCCTGGGCAACATGGCAGGACTTGTCTCTACTAAAAATCAAAAAAATTAGCTGGGCGTGGTGGTACACGCCTGTGGTCCCAGCTACATGGGAGGATCACTTGAACTTGGGAATTCAAGGCTACCATGAGTGGTGATCATAACACCACACTCCAGCCTGGGCAACAGAGTGAGACCCTATCTAAAAAAGAAAGGAAAAAAAAAAAAACTGATGCAAAGTCACCTGCTCTCAGCAGGAAGGAATGTGGATAAGGTTGTGGATTTGAAGACAGTGGCTAAGGATTAGAACAGCTCCTTTGGTGGAAGATGTGGGGAATGGGTCTGAGATCTAGAGTGCTGAGCAGCAGTAACCAGGCAGAAATGGGAGAAGACCAAGGCATGGTGCATTGGGCATGGGAGCATCAGCAGCCCCAAATTCTGGGCTCCAGGTTTGGCAGGAAGGCAAGGGAAAGCCAGGTAGAGGTGACAGAGATCTGGAAATCTGGATCAAAACAAAAGCAGGCTTATAGAAGGAATGAGGCCAGATGTGGTGACTCATGCCTGTAAACCCAGTGCTTTCGAGGTGGAGACAGTAGGATTGCTTGGGGCAATCAGCTTGGGCAACGTGGCGAGACCCCATCTCTACAAAAAATTGAAAAATTAGCTGGGTGTGGTGGTGCACACATGTATTCCTAGCTACTTGGGAGACTGAGGTGGGAGGATTGCTTGAGCCCAGGAGTTCAAGGCTACAGTAAGATATGACCAGGCTACTGCCCTCTAGCCTGGGTGACAGAGTGAGATACTGTCTCAAGAAGAAAAAGAAGAAATAGGAGCAGAGGAACTAGGGAGGGAACACTATTGGGTCACTTATTTTCTCATGTTCCCCTCTCTTTGTACAGTATTTAATGTCTTTTTTTAACCTTAGCCTCACCCTCCTCATGACTTACAACTAGTCTCTTTTAGTACTGTTCTAGATTGTGTATGCTACAATGTAGAAAATAAAATAATGGAAGCTGATCCTAGGATGAATACATCCTAGGCTGCTACAATTTATTCCAGGCATGTGTTAAGCATTTTGCATGCATAACCTTATTTACTGCTTATGAAAACTCTGAGTTTAAATACTAAGCTTTTAATATTTCTTCTTAAAGATGAGTCACAGAGAGATTAGATAAATTGTTCAAGGTCACATGGCAAGTGAATGATGGAATTGAGTTTTGGACCCAGGTGGGCTGATTTGAGCCTTACCTGTGCTCTTAACGACTTTTCTAAACTGCCTCCCTGCCAAGACCTGCCACACTTGTCATAGAGCAACTGTATTGCCTTTTAAAAAAATCACTCAGTCAAATTGTCATTGTCATTGTCATAACAATAACATCTGAATCAGCCTTTACAGTTTGGAAATCACATTATTTCTTTCAGTCTTCACAAGATCCCTGTGAAGTTTGCAGGCATGTGCAGGACAAAGGAAGAGACCTTCAACTCCAAAATCTCTATATCTTTACTCCTGGAAGTCTTTGAAGTTTTGTTGTTCCAGAGCTGTGACCAGACCAAAGAACTGTGATATTTTTTTCTCTTAACTATGCTAGGCTTTTTGTTGTTGTTGTTTTTTAAAACTAAAGGAGTTCTCTCCACAGACCTTCTGCTTCTTTCCAGGTCACAGAACTCTGTATGTGGGAGTTCGGATGCCGCTTGGCCGGCAGAGCCATCGGCATCACCGCACTCATGGCCAGAAGCACCGGAGACGAGGGCGGGGCAAAGGAGCCAGCCAGGGGGAGGAAGGCCTGGAAGCCCTGGCCCACGGTAAGGGCCTTGGGAGACAGGGCGGGTGTCCATGGCCCAGGGGAATGGGGAGGCTGAGGGGACATGTGACTGACATTAGCAGCTGGTCTTGATTCTTGAGCCTTTTTGTAGGATTTCCAAAGCTTGCTTCTAAGAAGAAATGCCTCTAAGAGTCAAAAATATTTTCGTGAAAACTTCACAGTTCCGGGCGGCTGGGACTACAGGCGCCCGCCACCACGCCGGGCTAATTTTTTGTATTTTTGGTAGAGACCGGGTTTCACTGTGTTAGCCTGGACGGTCTGGATCTCCTGACCTTGTGATCCGGTCTCGATATCCTGACCTCGTGATCCGCCTGCCTTGACCTCCCAAGGTACTGGGATTGCAGGCGTGAGCCACCGCACCCGGCCACTGTTTTTAAATTTTAAAATATACAATTAAATTGTTATTTACTATAGGGTTATTTTTATGGTCATAATACAAATTATATGTGAGTATAAATAAAATTCATTTCTAAACTCTTAATATTTTTTCAAAATTGTTATATATTTTTGTTTGAACATGTGGCCTGTCTGCCTGCAAACACACAGACTTTTTGATTCACATAGAGTTAAATATATATTAGTCTAAAGACAAACTTTAGGTGTAAGAAAATTATGGAATAAGTGTGTGTGTGTGAGTATGAGTTTGTACCTATTTTCAGAAGAAAAGAACAATATGGGAATGAAAATCATTTTAATAAGGTGGCTACTATAAAACCAAAAACCTAAAAACTGAAAGCAAATGTAAAAAAAAAAAAGAAAAGAAAACTTCACAGTTCTGACCCCCTAAAATCAATACTATAATAGGTAAAACCCCTTGCTAGAGAATTAGCCAATCTTTTTGATCAAATTCATCAGTTTTCCAGTTTCTCGTGGGTTTTCTTCAAGTGGTCTTCATTCATAAATTTTTCCTCCCATGAAACTACTTCTACAGAGTAGCTTTTTCTCTGAGAATAAAGAAATCTTTTTCTTCTGCATTCGTGGTTGTCTATATATATTTCTAAAGTTGTTAGGTAAGGAAGAATGCTATTTCTGTTCTAAGTGTGAGGCTAGAGCAGACCTTTCTCTTTGGTTGATTTCCTAGACACACCATCTCAGCGTGTTCAGTTCATTCTTGGCACCGAGGAAGATGAAGAGCATGTGCCTCATGAGCTGTTTACAGAGCTGGATGAGATCTGTATGAAAGAGGGAGAAGATGCTGAGTGGAAGGAAACAGCCAGGTGAGGCCCTAAAATGGCCTGCATCAAGATCTGCTTGGGTAGGCAAGTGTGTACCCTTCAGCAAGTGACAGGCCTGCCTGCCTTATTTCTTCTTGGGAGAAGCTGTGACTGACATGGGGACTGACATTCCAGTGTCTCCTGTGGAGAATTTTGGTGTTGGCATCTTTATGATGTCTTTGGTGTTACCTATGCCAGTTGACCTGGAGCATGGGATTGGTGAAATAACATGGGATATTCAGGGGGGCCCCTCTCATTTGTTTGGGGCTCAGAGTAAGTTTATGGGCTATCTTGGTATTATTATAGGTCTGACTTAGAAGATGTAGACAGGGCCACCTTGGTGGGGACCTAGTTTAGCAGACATAGCATAGGTCCAGACTTCTTCTGCAGGTGAACCACAGGGTTCAAATTCACCAGCAGTCACAGAGTTTTTGAGACTTTAACTTCCTCTGGGACAATTCAAGCTATCTAGAGACCCTTGGGATTATATCCAGCCTGACTGTAGGCTTCCTGAAGTGGTTGTAGAATAATTATGCTTCTCTGAGACTCAAATCCCAGAAGAGCCCTCAGGATAACCAAGGACATGTCTAGGGTCCTCTAGTAACTGACCAGTGAACCTTACGGATGATGCCTGAGCTTTGGGGAAGGAGCGAGATGGGTAATTAGCAAAGCATGGCTTCAGCTCTCACTGAAACAGCTCTTGCTGGGTGCCTGCTGTATTGTGAATGTTATGGGCTGAGAGATTCAAACAGGCCAATTGACCTGGTACCAAGTGAAAAGGCAATTAGTCTTTTGTTATTCCATCTTGGCAAACTTCTAAAGGTCACACAGGACAATGATAAAAAGAAAAATATCATTTTATTAATGTGGTTTGTCAGTGTATCCAAATGATATAGATTAAATCTATTTTTTTAATTGTACAGGTAATGCATGCTCATTATAGAAAGTTTAAGAATAAAGATAAGCAAAAAGAAGAAAAAAATTATCTGTAATTCCACAACTGCAGGGTTAATGAGGAATATAATATTTGGTGTCTTATACATGTATGTATTTGACTTTTAGAATTTTCTTTAAATAAGAATGGAATTAAACTATACTCAATCTTGCAGTGTTCTATTACCTGCTTTTTTCACTTATCAATGTACCCTGAACATACAGATTAGATTTTACAATGTTCAGTATGACTATCCAGATATCTTCCTCTGTGGCTCACATCGAAGATTCTCTCTTAAAAATTCCTCATTTTCTATCTTTGGCATCTAGTTATTTGTAATGCTTTCAGGTGGCTGAAGTTTGAAGAAGATGTTGAAGATGGGGGAGAACGCTGGAGCAAGCCTTATGTGGCAACCCTTTCATTGCACAGCCTGTTTGAGCTAAGGAGCTGCCTTATTAATGGAACAGTCCTCCTGGATATGCATGCAAATAGCATAGAAGAAATTTCAGGTAAGGTTGGGGAAGGGAAAACAGAGCAACTTTCTTATAAATTTAAGAAGTGTGGGAAAAAAGGAGTGTGGCGTGACAGAAAGAATACAGTGGGTTGTGTGTCCTTGGGCAAGCCACAACCTTCCTGGCCTCAATGTCCTTGGCTGTGGGAAGGGTTTCAGGCTAATAAACGACTCTACCTACTTCACAGGTGTATTATGGTATTCAAATGACATGGTGTTAAGTTTCCATTTGTCTGTTTATTCAGCAAATGTTTTATTTTGTATCTGCTATATACTTGATAATGTGCTAGGCATGGGGTTATGAATAAAGTTCCCTCGGGTGCAGTGGCTCACACCTGTAATCCCAGCACTTCGGGATGCCAAGGTGGGTGGATAACTTGAGCTCAGGAGTTCCAGGCCAGCCTGGTCAACATGGTGAAACCCTGTCTCTACAAAAAATACAAAAATTAGCCAGGCATGGTGGCTCATACCTGTAGTCCCAATTATTCAAGAGGCTCAGGCACGAGGATCACTTGAGCCTGGCAGGTCAAGGCTGCGGTGAGTCAAGATTGTGCCACTGCACTCCAGCCTAGGTAGCAGAGTGAGTGTAGGGGTGGGTTGCCCCTACACACCTGTGGGTGTTTCTCATAAGGTGGGACGAGAGATTTGGAAAAGAAAAAGACACAGAGACAAAGTATAGAGAAAGAAATAAGGGGACCCGGGGAACCAGCGTTCAGCATATGGAGGAGCCCGCCAGCCTCTGAGTTCCCTTAGTATTTATTGATCATCTGTGGGTGTTTCTCAAAGAGGGGGATGTGTCAGGGTCACAAGACAATTGTGGGGAGAGGGTCAGCAGACAAACACGTGAACAAAGGTCTTTGCATCATAGACAATGTAAAGGATTAAGTGCTGTGCTTTTAGATATGCATACACATAAACATCTCAATGCTTTACAAAGCAGTTTTGCTGCCCGCAGGTCCCACCTCCAGCCCTAAGGCGGTTTTTCCCTATCTCAGTAGATGGAGCATACAATCGGGTTTTATACCGAGACATTCCATTGCCCAGGGACAGGCAGGAGACAGATGCCTTCCTCTTGTCTCAACTGCAAGAGGCATTCCTTCCTCTTTTACTAATCCTCCTCAGCACAGACCCTTTACGGGTGTCGGGCTGGGGGACGGTCAGGTCTTTCCCTTCCCACGAGGCCATATTTCAGACTATCACATGGGGAGAAACCTTGGACAATACCTGGCTTTCCTAGGCAGAGGTCCCTGCGGCCTTCCGCAGTTTTTGTGTCCCTGGGTACTTGAGATTAGGGAGTGGTGATGACTCTTAAGGAGCATGCTGCCTTCAAGCATCTGTTTAACAAAGCACATCTTGCACCGCCCTTAATCCATTTAACTCTGAGTTGACACAGCACACGTTTCAGAGAGCACGGGGTTGGGGGTAAGGTTATAGATTAACAGAATCTCAAGGCAGAAGAATTTTTCTTAGCACATAACAAAATGGAGTCTCCTATGTCTACTTCTTTCTACACAGACACAGTAACAATCTGATCTCTCTTGCTTTTCCCCACAGTGAGACCCTGTCTCTTAAAAAAAAAAAAAAAGTAAAAGAAAGAAACGGTTCCTACCTTCAAGGAGCTCGCCTTCAAGTGGGGGAAATAGCCATGGAAATAACAATTAAAAAAAGTGCAACGACAGAGACATGCTTGATAATAATTAGAGAAAGGGGCAACTGGAAGTTGTGTGGAAAAAAGGAGTAAAGAGAATTAAAGACTTTAAAATATAGCATCTAGGGCAGATATTCAGGAACTTGAGCCAAAGTGCCCCTACCTCTTCAGTAAGATGTGAAGGGGAGATATCTGATTGTTCTTCCTGATGTGATTGAGTGTTAAGTTATTATGTTTGGGGCCTGAATGGAGAAACACCTGGATGCATGGGGGAGTTTTCTCTTGAATTGGTTCTGTTTGGCTGGACAGGTTAAGAAATATTTCTCCAAATCTTTCTCTATTTCAAGTATCCAAGTCATTCTGTCTCTCTGGGATCATAGGAGGACCCAGGGGAGGGGTAAGCACTGATGGGACATTGGGCCCCCCTCTTTTTCAGGGAGGTACCCCAGAAGTATCACTCTGACTGCCTGGGAAAAATGAAATTCTCATGTTCATCATTGGAGTCACATTTTGCTAACTTTTGACTATTTGTCTGAAATCCCATGAATGTTCCTTAAAAGGTTGTTTGTTAGGGAGAAGAATCCCTGGGAGCTATTGAAGCTGTTTAAAACTCTTTGTAAACAACAGCAGTCACGGGAGAGTTTTGGACAGGGTAATGATCAATCAGATTTTGCATATTAGAAAGATAATGATGGCAGCAATATGGAGGGTGAGTTGATGGGAGAAATGCATTAGGCTATTGCAGTAGTTCAGGTGAGATCACCTGCACTGTGGGCAGTGTCAGTAAGGGATGGATAATTTTTCTTCTGATAACTTTAAGTGATAAGAGAGACAGGAGGTGATAGATAGAGGGAGACATGAGGTGGATGTTCTTTTTTTTCCCCCAAGATGAAGGGTCCTGAAGCATGATTATAATATAGGGGGAAGGAAACAATGAATATAAAGGTTAAAAATACAGAAATATGGCTCTTCAGCTTGAATATTAAATAGATTTTCCTCATTTATTTCTTCTAGTACTTGAATAGTCATGAATAGAATTAGAAATTGAGGATAGGTTCAGATTTTTGGGAGGCTTTTGAAGAAGTGCATAGGACTGAAGTAAAAGTGCTATGATTCTTCACATCAGGTACCTAATATGTTCATAATATTTTAGGGATACTGATAGGTAAAGTGCCTAAAAGGAAATCAGCACTGTATATCATCTCATTTAATTTCCTGTAACAACCTTTTAACAGATAATATGAGCTCCATGTTACAGATGAAGAACTGAGGTATAGAGAGATTATATACCTTGCTCAAGATCACACAGCTAAAAAGTGGTAGAACAGGGAAACAATGTGGGCCTTTAACTCCAGAACTCATACTGATAACTGCTATGTTTACTGCCACTTAACACTAGGTATTGAGATTTTTTTCCTCCTCAAATCTGTTGGGCTTGATAGGTTTAAATGTGATGCTTGGTGGTAATTGTCTGGGGTGAGTGGTTAGTTAACTTAATTTTTCTTATAGATTTCTCTTCTAAATAGCCCTTTGGAGTTCTACAGTTATAGTTCTTCTTGACAATTACAGCAATGTTAAAATCTTGGAGGAAGGAAATGTAGGGGAAATTTGGCAGATGACAGAACAAAGCAGGTAATAATGTGAGCTTTCAAATTATACAGTCCTCAATTTGAATCCCAGCTGTGCAAACTGCTAGATGTAAGACCTTGGAGAATTTTCTAGCATTTGGGCCTTAATTTCCTCATTTGTAAAAATTGTTGTACTAGTGCTCAATAGTTTCTATGCCCAATAAGAATAATTTGTTACATGAATAAAGTATAACTTTTCACAGTCACTATCATCAAATGGCACTTTCAGACAGGAAGCTGAAATTGCACCTCAATGACCCTAGTGGAGCTGCTTCCCCCTACTCCATGCCCTTTACCCCACTCCACCTGATGTTGGCCTTCTTGGGTTCATTAACCCTCAATCTGAGTGTTCATGTGAGTGCCTGCTTTCCAGACCTGATCCTGGATCAGCAAGAACTGTCCAGTGACCTGAATGACAGCATGAGGGTTAAAGTGCGGGAAGCCCTTCTCAAAAAGCATCATCATCAGAATGAAAAGAAGAGAAACAACCTCATTCCCATTGTTCGCTCCTTTGCTGAGGTTGGCAAGAAGCAGTCTGATCCTCATTTGATGGATAAACATGGTAAGATTATTAGGTGATTTTTCTCTCTTTATTAATAAGACATTGGGAACTAGTTGGAGATGCTGACTTACTAGGGGTGGGGGCTGTATTTGTCTAATATGTTTCCATGTCCACTTAGGCACTTAGTACTTTTTGGAGACTGGTAAGATTGGTGGCTGGGACTGGTGCTCATCTCTCTCTCACGGCATTCCTCAGATAGGTCTCAGCGGACCCAAGGTGAGGGACTTATGCCCCAGGGTGGCCTCAGAACTGATGTAGCTTTTGAGAGATAGCCACATTGGGGACAATTTGAGACCCGAGAAGGTAAACTGGAGCTTTTTAGGAGCAAACAAATATCTTAGATTAGGGAGGCAAAATACAGTAGAGTAGGCTCTGGAGTCAGACTTGTAGGCTTGTGATTGTGGCTTTACCACTCACAAAATGTATGACTTTGGGCACTCTACTAAGCCTCTTTAAGTCTCACTTTCTTACCTATAAAGTAAGAGTAATAATAGGACCTACTCCACCTACTCCATTTATTGTGAACTTCAATGAGTTAATCCATGTGAGGCCCTTAGCCAGATGCATGGTGGATTATAATCACTCAGAATTTTGGCTACTGATTGGTTCCTTTTCCTGTGGCCAGGAAGGGTCTCATCTACATTTATTTCCTGGTCTCTACTCATAGTGAATCACCATGTGCAGGGGATATGCCTGGGAATCTATATTTTTGAAAAGTTTTCCATAGGGGTCTCTCATATGCATGTCTGGTGAAGGATTACTGCCTTAATAGAGAAATAAAAGAGGGTCATAAATGTGTTCAGAAAGAAGGTGCAGAAGTAGCAAGAGCTCTGTCCTTTCCTTACCACTAACTAGTAGATAAGGAGAAAGATGTGTGTGGGTCTTGACTTCGTAGTCATCTTAACCTCTTTTCTAGATAGGCTTTGCAGGAGAAGGCAGAACCAACTGATGATGGGTGGGATGTGTCAGAAGGGGAAAAGGGCAGGGACTCAGGATTTTGTTTTATTTTCTCCAAATAGGTCAAACCGTGTCTCCTCAGTCTGTTCCAACTACAAATCTTGAAGTAAAAAATGGAGTGAATTGTGAACATAGTCCTGTGGATTTAAGCAAGGTGAGCAGAGTGGTGGGAAGTTGGCTTCAAGGCCTAAGGTTCCTTTTAGTGGAATCCAGAGTTTAATTGCTGGAATCTGGGTAAGGTTTAGTGTTTCAAGACTCTTTCCCTAAGACTAGAGCCCTTTCTGCATAAAAGGGGGCCCATCTCTGCATGTCTTTTCCCTTCTCCTTCAGCCTGGATGAAGCTGACTCAACAGTTTCTTTCTCCAGATTCAACATACTGAAAACTGGGACTAGCTGCTTAGAATCTTCCCTAAAACAGATCTCTTGATTTTTCAATTATTTTTTTGGTACCTGCTCTCCAGCAGTTCCTTCTCACCCCCAGGGGTTTTGCCAAAACAATATTTTGGATATCTATTTAGAGACAGATGTCTCCTAAAACTAACTCTTGGTTGAAGCTCTCCTTGAGGACTGTGACTTTGGTATCTGAGGCCTTCTGTAGCAGCAGTGTCTCACTGCAGCTTATGGTCCAAGCCTTGGTCTCCCTGCCTCCAGCCTCTCCTTGCTCTGGTCTATCTTTGACACTGTGTTTCTAAAACACAGATAGTGTCATATCACTTCCTCTGCTCATAAGGCTTCCCATTTTATTTGGAAAACCTGAAACCCCCGACAAAACATTTGAGTGTTTAAAAAGGGAAAGAATGTGACCCAGAGCTTCAGAAACATTTCTCTTGGAGGAAGCTTGGGGGAATGGGATTGAAATCAGAATACCTGATTTTAAAATCCGAACCTATACCTTAAAAGCTCTGTGGTCCCGGGCAAGTCAACTTCACCTCTCTGGGTTTCAAATACTTCATTTTTTTTTTTTCTTTAAGTGGGACGAATACAATCTGTCATATCCTCCTTCTGGGGTTTTTGTAAGGATCAAATAAAATAAGAAAACATTTGCTAACCATAAAATGACATATGAGTGTAAGATATATTTTAGGTGATGGGGCCAGGTGCAGTGGCTAACGCCTGTAATCTCAGCACTTTTGGAGGCTGAGGCGGGTGGATCACATGAGGCCAGGAGTTTGAGACTAGACTGGCGAAAATGGCAAGACCCCATCTCTACTAAAAATACAGAAAAATTAGCTGGACATGGTGGTGCATGCCTGTAATTCCAGCTACTAGGGAGCCTGAAACACAAGAATTGCTTGAACCTGGCAGCAGAGAGCTGTGAGCTGAGATTGCGCCACTGCACTCCAGAGTGGGTGATGTAGTGAGACTCTGTCTCAAAAAAAAGTAAATAAAAAATTTAAAAACGATATTTAAGGTGGTGGTTCCCAAGTTGTCAGATGTTTCTTTTGGACTTTCAGGTAGACCTTCATTTCATGAAAAAAATTCCTACTGGGGCCGAGGCCTCCAATGTCCTGGTTGGAGAGGTGGATATTTTGGACCGTCCCATTGTTGCCTTTGTGAGGCTGTCTCCAGCTGTTCTTCTCTCAGGCCTAACAGAAGTGCCAATCCCAACAAGGTAAAGGCAAAGATAAAACTCATGCATTCTATCCAAAATTCAAATTTATGTAGTGCTGGTAGAAGAAACCACTTAATACTGAAATTTAGAATTAATTAATTTTAGGAATGGTGTTTACAATTCAGCAGAAAAGCCAGATGTGCTGGTGTGTGCCTCTAATTCCAGCTACTAGAGAGGCTGAGGTGGGGGATTACTTGAGCCCAGGAGTTTGAGCCTGCAGTGAGCTAGAATCCTAGGATAGCACCATGGCACCCCAGTGTGGGTGACAGAGTGAGACCCTGTCTTTTTTAAAAAAAAAATCAGCAGTAATCTCAGAAAATTGAGGTATATTTGATTAACCACCATGAAGAGGAATTCTGAGATTTATTTCTAAGGCTATGACTGCACAGTATCTATAGCCTTGGAAATAGAGAATTGAAGACCATTCAAAGGACATAGCAAGGGCCAATAACTTGTTAAAATAGGAAGCCAAGTCTTATCTTCTCAGTTCTGTAGAGCCATATTCCAGGGGAACGTCTCTGAATAAAGGTATTTGTTTCCCTTTGCACAATTCTGGCATGGTTTGTATGGTTTGCAGATATGCAAACATTTGTTCAAAAGGCTATTCATGCGCTCTGAAGGTGGTGATGCTGGTGATTCAGAGCCCTGCTACTTACAGAGAGTATTCAGATGTCCAGAACACATTTAGACTCCTCTGTAAGGCTTGATCATTTCAACTTCCTTATCCCTCTCCTCTCCCCATCATTTTCTGATTAGAACAATAAGTGGAATTCAGACAACCTTGAATTTGCACCACAGTGCCATGTTTTGAAAAAGCATCTTTTCTACAGCTAGGAATTGTGTCTATGGAAACCCTAAGAAATGTAATCACATTATTGAATGATGCCGCACAATAGCTTCCAATGCCCATAGTGGAGCTATTATTAGGTCAAGGCAACTCAAAGTGCTCCTTCATTACTGTCTTCTTTTTTTTTTTTGAAGGTACAGTGATGATTTATGTACGATAAGAGAGAGAAATCTTATACTGTTTAGAGAGGACTAATGGCACTTCTTTATATTTACTTACATAATTTCCTCCTCTGTGTGTTTTGCCAGATTTTTGTTTATCTTATTGGGTCCAGTAGGGAAAGGTCAGCAGTACCATGAGATTGGCAGATCCATGGCCACCATCATGACAGATGAGGTATGTGCAACTTTTGCTTCAGTCTTCCATCTCATAAATATTTATTGAATATTTACTCTGTGCCAGGCAATATGCTAGTTATTGGGGATAAAATACTTTCCATTGCAATATCTGCTGGGAAGTAGTTCAGGGTACTTCTCTGAGAGCCCAGTGTGGAAGGACCAAGCTCTAGAGGATTTTTCTTCCTATGTTATCTCTCCTTTTTTGAGTAATCAAGAATGCAGAGAAATCTTTTTCTGGGGAAACTATTATTGCCAAGTAGGATATATAGAGAAATATATTAAGGTTGGCTTAACTTTCAAGAGAAGATGGTTAATTAAATACATTCAAGCTATTTACATAAAGAAACCTCACTCCTGTTCCACTAAATGAGACCAGTTTGTATAAGGTCATGGGTGTGACCTCAGGCAGTGTAGTGTGAATGTCTTGACTAGTCTGTACCAAAACAACCAGATATTTTGACATTTTGACATTGAACCCACAGTGCATACTCTGGTAAGGACTGCACTGCTCGGTAAGCTGCAAAGTAGGGCTTTCAAGGCATATGCCTTAGGCGGCAGAGGGAGGTGTGGCCTGTTTTTTATCAGCTTTCTTTGATTGAGAGGCTTAATTCAGGAAGGACCTTCATTAGTAATTCCATCCAGTGTTTCCAACCTTTAAGATCAAGAAAATTTCCCTCTCAACGTGGGAAAGCTGATTAAAATTTTTTTTTTCATATATCTTGCCTTTCCTTCCATCCTTTGTGGAGATAACATAATTGTACAACTTTAGACTCATGTCTTATCTCTTCTTATACTAGCAGACATGTATTTAGTTCTTTTAATGCATCTCATTTCCACGCTTGTTTTTTAAATCCTTTTATCCTTGCACTTCTCTAAGTGCTAAAGTTTTCTGCATCTCAGATCCCCGTGACAGAGATAAAAATCAACAGGTTGTATTCATTTTTCACCATATCCATTGGTGATTGTTTCATGTAAAGTTACTTTTAACTTTCCTGAGGGTTTTCTCTTCTCTGTAGATTTTTCATGACGTAGCATATAAGGCAAAAGAGCGAGATGATCTCCTGGCGGGGATTGATGAGTTCCTAGACCAGGTGACGGTGCTCCCTCCAGGAGAGTGGGATCCCTCCATTAGAATTGAGCCACCCAAAAATGTCCCTTCCCAGGTAATGTATGCACATCAGCCAATGTGGCTATTGTCACTTACTGACTGCCCACCATGGACAAAGCAAAGACCATGTGGGTATATGCTAAATATATCAAGATGCAGCTCTGTTTTGGTGCACCTAGAATATCAAAACAATAATAAAAATGAATCTGGGCTGGGTGTGGTGGCTCACACCTGTAATCTCAGCACTTTGGGACGCCGAGGCAGGTAGATCACCTGAGGTCAGGAGTTTGAGACCAGCCTGGCCAACATGGTGAAACCCCATCTCTACTAAAAATACAAAAATTAGCTGGGCGTGGTGGTGGGTGCCTATAATCCCAGCTACTTGGGAGGCTGAGGCAGGAGAATCGCTTGAACCCGGGAGGCGGAGGATGTAGTAAGCTGAGATGGTGTCACTGCATTCCAGCTTGGGTGACAGAGCGAGACTCCACCTCAAAAAAAAAAAAAAAAAGAATTTGCATAGCATAAATTGGCTCAGGTGTGATGGGGTCAGTCAGGATTACCTGGGAATGAATTTTAAGCCAAATTTTGAAGGAATAATGTGAAATAGAAGAGAGAAGGGAGAACATTTCTTGTGACTACATTGTATACAAGTCATCAAATGAAAAAAGCAAGTTGTATAGAGAGAGCAGATAGAATGTCTGATATTTTTCTGACATATTAGAGATGGGAAAGGAACTCCTACTGTGTATTAGACAGCAGCCAGGTGCTTTATATATGCAAATTCAGCCTTCCCAGGAACATCCCTCAAAAGATATTGTTATCTCTAGTTTTACAAAATGAGGAATAAAACTGTCTTCTAGGGCAAGATTTTAAGGTAAAGTAAGATTACACAGAGGCAGATATGAAACTGGAACTTAGGTCATATCTAATGCCAAAGCCCCATTTTTCTCTTTCTAGGCAAGGCTTAGTTAGGAGTCAGGTACTATGGAACAGGAAGAGAAATTATGGGGTGTGTGTGTGTGTGTGTGTGTGTGTGTGTGTGTGTGTGTTTCGGTAAAGTCAATAAACTGCATCAAGTCAGTAAGTGTATTTGAAAGCTACAAACACGGGCATTTTTGGTTGCTTTTGGGTTATCCCATTCCCACTCCCTGCTGATAGCAGGACGAAAAGATAGATGTTACCTTTACTAATTTTGTGGTCTTCTGTTAAAAGGAGAAAAGGAAAATGCCTGGAGTTCCAAATGGAAATGTTTGCCACATAGAACAGGAACCACATGGGGGTCACAGTGGGCCAGAACTTCAGCGCACTGGGCGGTAAGTCCTGGGACGTTTCACAGCGATGCTGCTTATTGGGTAGAAGTTATGCAAAGGAATGAGGCATCTTCTTTCTTTCAGCCTACTTCTCTGTGGTGGGAATTTATTGGCTGAAGAATGACTTTTCAAATGGAACCACTGACTAGAAGTATTATGAATATATCAAATATCGTATTCATTCATTCAAGTTTCTCAAATCACCTACCATGTTTTGTCTCACCTCCAGTCCTTCCTACCATTGTTCCCTCTGATTTGAACACTCTTCCCTTTCCTCATCTCCTGGCTAACTCCTACGTACCCTTAGTCTCGGTTCTTGTGTCACTTCCTTTGGAAAGCCTTCTAGGACTCTCTCTGGATGAGGTTAGGTGTTCCTGCTATGTAATATCACAGTATTGAGCTCTGACCCTCCCTTCCCCACATTACAGCCTTTATCATACTTCATTATTATTGGTTGATCTATTGTCTTTTCTGCTAGGCTGTTTATTCCAAAAGGGCAGAGGCTCTATTATATTCCTAGGACCCAGCACAGTGCCCTGAACAGAGTAGGCTCTCAATGTCTGCCAAATGAATGAATATTTTTAGAATAATGTCTGTTCTGTAGCATGGAATGGACTAGGTATGATAAATGTTGAGTGATCATTTTAGGTTAAGAAACTCCCTTAGGGTAGGAAGATAGGTACTATTTTAGGTGTGTGTGCCTCAGAATAGGCAATCTACTCTTCTAGGCCAACATTTTAAGGACAGATGTCCAAGGAGGAGGTAAGTGAGGGAAGCAGGTCCCCAGAGTAGGAGGTTTTATTCCCTAGGTCAGAAGGTGGTAAACGAGAATGATATTTTGGGTTAGTGTGATATCCAGGGGTGTCCCCAGAGAAGGTTGAGACTATGGCTCTGTCTCTGTTAAGCTGTGCTGTGTCTAAGAAGGTTCTGCTGGGTAGAGATTCTCAGGGCAGGACTGAGATCATGGAAATTAGCTTTTATGTCCTCTAACCCCTTGCTTTCTTCTTTTCTGCCTCCTTGCTTGAGGTTGCTTTCCTTACTCTTCTATCCTCAGCACTCTACCCAGTGGAAACTCAGAGTTGTTTTGGAATTGTGGAAAGCATTTTATTTTTCCAATCTTGGAAATTCAGGGAGAAACCAGGAGAGGAGACAGAAACAGGAGAGAATGGCACTTGACTAGCAGTGTCCTGCAGAGAAGCATGTTTTCTGGTAGGAAGAATGTATTGGAGGGTAGGGGAAGATAGCTGTGCTCTGGGAGGGAGCATTGGTGGAAAGAAGGAGTCCTTGCAATGGAAGGGCCACTGAAAAGGGGAAGCAGCCTTCCCTTTTTAAAAAACATTTTCTTTAAAGTTGGGAGAGATCTGAATTGGGTGGGGAGGCCTGGTATTGAGAGGCAGTTCAAGGGAAGCATATGTCCTCAGAAGGGGTTCCAGGATTGAGACTGTCCTAGAGGAGGTGGTAATTTTTTTCAGGAAAAGGTTTTGAGTATGGATTTGATATTTCAAAATTATAATTTATCTTTTGGATATAAAGGGTGTCCACACTTTAGGAACTTAGAATTTGAAAGTAGTAGAATTTAGGGCAACAAGGTTTTCCTCAAACCAATATCTGTGCAGAGATGAGATTTTAGGTTGCTCTTTGTGCCAAAGAAAACAAATAGATTAGCATCCCAGGCTTTGTGAGAGGTGGTCACTTATAATCAATTCCACCTGAGGGTTTGGGAGACCATTATATTGGATCTCAACAGTTATAAGATCTTGGTAATGGTGTCTGATGTCCCCAAGAAAATCCCATATTGCCAGGATCATCATATTCTTATTCACAAACCGCAAGTATCTTAACTCACAAATTCAAATGGAGTTTGAAGGAGTTCTCCCATAATGTCATGTCAGGAACTTCTGGAATTGACAAAGCTAAAAGGAAGCTCTGGGCTCAGAGCTTAGCTCTGCTTGATATGGGAGATGCTTCCTCTTTCTGAGCTTCTGTCATTTTTCTTAGAGCCCTTAGTAAAGGGCCTCAAGCCATATGACCTTCCTCCCATTGTAGCCCCTTAGGCAAGGTGACATAATGGCTGCATAGAGAATCACATTTCCAGGCCAGCTCTGGCCTCTTTCTCAGTCTCAAATTATGTGGGAGGTAAATGTGAGTCTTTTTTGTATATGGACATCCTATAAGTTTCTGTACTTTCCTGGACTGCACAAACTAAAACCACATTAGTCTGGGTTTTATAATTTTTCGGACTATTAGTTGTGTTTCTTGGAGATGCAAAACTGCTTTATGCTTGTCATGTTGCACAACCTTGGAGCAAGACTTGGATAACATCTTACGGAATGTTATCCTTGTTGGATGGAGAAGTATTTGAAGGCAGGGTGAAGTAGACTCTAAGAAGATGGGAAAGGAGACAAAATTGAAATGGTACTCTGAGTTCTGTATGATCTGACCCTCCAAGCCAGGGTTAAGACAGATCTTAAACCTCCCTGATATTGACTAAGGCAGGGATGCCATAAGTAACAAAGAAGGAAATATGACTAGAGTGTTCCTAGGCCGGAAGCTCCACAGCAAGGAGGGTGCTCTGGAAAGGGGTTTTTCAGGGTATATTTCTGTCCCTTATTGGGGATGCCACTTTTGGGAAGGGTTAATGGAAAAAAGAATCAGGAGCTGCTATCTCGATGATCCCCCCACACTTCAAACAGGTTTCTTCCAAAGTATACCAGACAAATGGATGGCTGGCCTGTTTCTAAAGCCCTCCAGGGAAGGGCTCCTTAAGTCAATGCTCCAGAGCCTAGTGACCCTCTACGCGGGTAAGTCCTCTCTTGCATCAAACTTAAATTAAACTCATATCCCTGTGTGCCTCCTGCCCCAGAAAACTTGAATGTGAAGGGCAGTGTTGAAAGGGAAAGGAAATCCCAAGTACAGAAAGAAGCATCCATGCCTGATGAATATCTGTTGTAGATGTGCAATCATAGTCTGATTTTATGCATGAATGAGGTATGAGGCTGACTCCATAAAGTGTTCAGAAATTATTTTATTAATTTATAGTTATACCATCCATATGAGCCTCAGATCTTTCCCCGCCTTTTAATAACTGCTAGACAGACAGATGTCTTCCCTTTCTATGGCTTCTTAGAAATCCATTTCACATAAATCTTTTGTCTGTTGCTCACAGACACTCCTGTCCTCCTGTGTCTAGGGGCTGAGTATTCATTGCAGCATCTCAGGTAGCCTCAGAGTATGTGTGTGTGTGTGTGTGTGTGTGTATGTGTGTATGTGTGTGTAGGGGGTCACTATTATGCAGGGATATTTTCTCACAGAATTATGCTTTCCAGAGGAAGGTGACTGGTAATGAAGAGGTAATAATCGCATGGTAATAAGATGCTATGTTAGCTAAGAACCCAGGAATACTTGAGTCTTGCCCCAGATAAATTATTGCTGCCTGCAAGGTTATTGAGGGGCTATTTACCTAGAGGAGAAAGCAAGACAAAGTGACACTTTATTACTAACTGAAGCATTGGTCCCAAACCCTGAAGCAGAATTCATGATTTAGGCTAGACCATGTAGATAGCTTCTTTACCTGAGCTAGGTTTGCCAGATAGGCTAAAACTAAGGCAGGTCACAAGGCTGGCTTTGCTTCTCTTCCCTAAGCCCAGACCCAGATTATGATGTTACTGCTGTAAGCTGAGGAAAGGTGAATCCCAACTATACCCACCAGAACCAGAGGAAAAGAGCAGGTGGGTGTCTGTCCTGTGTCCACCTGGATACCCATTATACTAGCTAGATGAGAGAGAGTGTTCCAGGAGAAAGAGCTGGCTGGATCTTCTCCCCTAGCATACAGATCCCAGGCCTCCTCATACTCCTCCAGGCTTCTAGGTGACAGAAGGAAAGAAAGAGCTTGCCAAGCCTCCTTCCGTGAGAGAGTAGCTTGTGTGTTTTTTAAAAATAGCTTTTTATTATAGAAAATTTCAAACATATAAAAAAAAGGGAGAATAGTTTAATGAACCCCCATGTACCCATCAACTATTACCAACATTTTGCCAATCTTGTTTCATCTATTTCTTCTCACTTAATTTTATTTTTATGTTTTCTAGATTATTTTAAACCAAATCACCGACATACATTTTACCTGTAAATACTTCAGTATGCATCTCTTTAATTAGGACATTAAAAAAATTATCATGCCATTATCAAATCTAACAAAATTAACAATCATTCTTTACATTGTCTAATGCTCAGTTCTTATTAAACTTTTTATGATTGTGTTAGCAACATCTTTTTAGAGTTCATTTGTTTGACATAGGAGTCAAAGTTTGCATTTGGTTATTATGTTCCCATTCTGTAATAGTCCCTTTTCCTTTTTTTCTATGCCATTTATTGGTAGAAGAAGCCAGGTGATTTGTGCTATAAAATGCCGAGTGGCTCTTTTTGTTATTCACCTGACAGCCCTCACCCTGGTGCAGTGACTCCACTCTTAGAAAAAGTGATTGAATTGGGAACACATCTCCTCCTTAGGGATATTTTGGTCTTGGTCTGTCTCATCTTTGAGAAGAGGAGAGGGGCCCTGAAGTCCTGCCACCAAGTCCTGTTGATTCTACCTCCTGATTAGCTCTTGAATCCATCCACTTCTCATCCTAATCTATGCTCCATTCATTATACTACCACAGAGTGGTCCTTCCAGAATGTATGTTTGATTATGTCACTCTTCTGTTTATAGTTCTTCAGTAACTTGACATGCTATTAGGATAAAGTTTTAATTCCTTAAAACCATTTCTGGCCGGGTGTGGTGGCTCATGCCTGTAATCCCAGCACTTTGGGAGGCCAAGGCGAGCAGATCATGAGGTCAGGAGGTCGAGACCATCCTGGCTAACACGGTGAAACCCCGACTCTACTAAAACTACAAAAAAATTAGCCGGGCATGGTGGCAGGTGCCTGCAGTCCCAGCTACTCGGGAGGCTGAGGCAGGAGAATGGTGTGAACCCAGGAGGCGGAGCTTGCAGTGACCAGAGATGGCGCCACTGCACTCCAACCTGGGCAACAGAGTGAGACTCCGTCTCAAAAAAATATATAAAAATAATGAATAAAACCATTTTTTAAGGCCTTTTTGACTTAGCTTCTCCAGCCTTGTCTATTGGCATTCACCCTTCACACTGTATTATCCACTCATATCTCTCAGCACCTTGATCCACCAAGCACTCTCACCTCTAAGTGTCACCCATGTTGGCCCCTCTGCCTCATCTGCTTAACTCCCAGTCCCTGCCTGAAGTCATGGCTGAAATGCCCCTCCCTGCTCTATGCCACCATAGCACCCTCACAATACTGCCTGTCTCCTGCACTAGACTTGGTCCTGGAGAGCAGGGCTGTTCATGTCTTGCTCATTGCCGCATCTCCAGTACCTGGCACAGTGCTTGGCACCAAGTATCTGCTGCTACTTGTCAATTGCATGAATGAATTATTATATACATTTCTCACAAGTAAGGGGGGTAGTTGTTCAGAGTAAGAAAGTACATGTGATAGGGGCTTTTTTATCTAGAAAACATTTAATAAAACTAGTAATTTTAATACCTTAAGTTGGTTTTGCACATTTCCTCCTAACAGCTCAGAATTTAAAGTCTGAAGCTAATACTTGCTTTCGTGTTAATTTTTTTGAACTTTTTATTGAATGGATAATACGCATATCTAAATTAATTCTTTGTATGTTTAGGATATTCATTCAAATTTACCTAAGTCATACCCTTGGTTGCAAAGAGACTCTCTGCTGACCTAAGAGAGTTATCTGTACTGGGGTCAAACTGAAGCCAAAGTCTTACCGCTGAACAGAGCACATTTGAAATGCTTTCAAATGTGTGCTGTTTACATGCTTTTAGGGAAGACGGACTGTGTTAGAAGCCTGTCTGTTGTGTTTCCACAGGCTATTTGGGGGCTTGGTGCTGGACATCAAGCGGAAGGCCCCCTGGTACTGGAGCGACTACCGAGATGCACTCAGCTTACAGTGTTTGGCTTCCTTTCTGTTCCTGTACTGTGCCTGCATGTCACCTGTCATCACCTTTGGGGGACTGCTTGGAGAAGCCACTGAGGGACGCATAGTAAGGACTTTTAACCACTTCTAATGATCCCAAACAAGACCTAAAATATTGTGGCGGCAGCCAGGTCCACTGTGGGGGAAATTACTTGGTCTAGGACTGAAGAGATTGGATTTTTCCTCTGAATTACCATGGTCTTCTGACATCACACCAAAGAGCAACACAGTCCTCTCTTTAGAACAGACTCTTCTGCTTGAACATCAGCTTCAGTAGCTGGTTGCCCAGTTGAATTTTCTGTTGCCTCAGTGATGGAAAATGGATATATTGATGCCATTTCAAAATAAGATTTAAAATGACTCTGTATGTGAGCTTGTAGTGTGAATGGTATCACTGTGCTTTCTGTATATTTTCAAATACTGAATTGAGTCACTGAAGAATAGGAGTTAGTTAAGGAATCATGTGTCAATGGAGCTGGGCACCTGAATTATTAAAGTAGTATCTGTTTACAGGAGTATTACATGGTGTGTACACATCACTCTTGCTAAGATGAAATACAAGCAAATGGCCATCAAGGCACACAGGAGAGCAAAGTCAGGAATGTAGCTAAGCCAACATTACTCTGTACTGATGGGCTATGGACTCAGTGATGACTTTTTTTCCTCTCAGAGTGCAATTGAATCCTTGTTTGGAGCTTCCATGACTGGGATTGCTTATTCCTTGTTTGCGGGACAGGCTCTCACCATCCTGGGAAGTACTGGACCAGTGCTTGTGTTTGAAAAGATTTTGTTCAAATTCTGCAAGTAAGACATTTGTTTTTCTGAAAACTCTAACCAGATTTAGTGATTATGCTGCCAGGATTAAATGTCAGGGTTCTACTCAGTACAGACAGGCAATATCATTTTGGATTGTAAGAAACCTGAAAGGAGACCATCATTTGGTCTGTTGTCCTGCCCCCGGGTAGCACCATACCCAAAATAGCAGATCTCCTATTGTTAAAGAGCTTGATTAATATTCCTCAGCCATTATTGAAGTCTTGACTTTTTATCTTTAAAAAGACTTTCCCTAGCTAATTCAAACTTCTCCATTTCCATTGTGAGTCAATTTTTAATTTGGCCTAATATCCTCCCCCTGCTGTTTTTTTTTGTTTTGTTTTGTTTTTTTGCTATTGATAGTGGGGCACAAGAGTGCTCTGGTTTCCCTAATTTTCCTATACAATCTTTTCTTTTTTCCTTTTATATTTCAAGTAGCAGCTCATGGGACTATGGCCAGCCCCTTTTTTTCTTAACTGCAAGAATAAGATCATAATTACATTAGGTAGTAATGGCAGGAATGTATATGAGACAATTTCTTTTTTTAGTTTTCGTATCCTTGCGCATATCCTGTGAGGCAAATCTGTATCATAACTGTGCCAGAGCACTATTTAGAAGGAAAATACAATCAGAATTAGGGATAAACTGGGTTCCAGTGCTTGTTTAGATGAAATGAATTAACCACATTTCTGACTCCTTGTCTCTTAATGCCATCCATCCATGCGTTCTGATGAACTTTGGTCTTGTTTCAGAGACTATGCTCTTTCATACCTCTCCCTGCGAGCTTGTATTGGACTGTGGACCGCTTTCCTGTGTATTGTCCTTGTGGCAACTGATGCCAGTTCCCTTGTCTGCTACATTACCCGTTTCACTGAAGAAGCATTTGCCTCCCTAATTTGCATTATTTTCATCTATGAAGCAATAGAAAAACTGATTCACCTGGCAGAGACCTACCCCATCCACATGCACAGCCAGCTGGACCACCTTAGCCTCTATTAGTAAGTGTGCTTTCTGCTTATTTTTAAAAATTGAGCAAAGGGCCTGAGTTTAATTGCTGATGTAGAGTGCTAGGCAGTGCTTACAGCTTCTGGTCAAGAAGTGTCTTGCCCTTTAGGAAACGGATCTCAGATACAGACAAGGAGTATTGGAGGGCTGCCAGAGGAGAACAATCAAAAGTGTTGACAGAGAAGATCGACTAGAAGTGAAACACGAAGGGGACTCAAGAAATGCTTTCCAGACCATGTCTTTTGGTTCTAGGCACTGAAACAAAAATGGGCTGCAAATGTAGCAGGGAGAATTTGAGTTAGTTATGGGGAGGAACTTCTTTTTGCAAGGACTTTGTGAGCCTCTGGACTATGTTATCAAGTGAGAGAATGGACTCTGTCCTTTGTTGAAATGAAGGACTCTCTTTCTCTGAAAGTATGTACAGGCAACTCTTAGGAATTATTAGGTGAAGATATATTAATCATTCCTTTCAGATCCAGAAGTGTCTCACACTGTATCATAAAGATCCAGGAGCCTACTTACTTCCTAGATTTCAACTTAAGAGATTATGATTTCTTTATGTGTTCAATATGGTTTGGATCACTTGGAAAAGAAACACGGTACCTGGCTGTGTTTTCAACCATCTAGGACACTCTGGTCCTATAAACATTTCTTCTCTGGAATAGTATTCTCCAAATTATGACTAAAGATCCTCTTCCCTTAGCTCTGTACATCAAGTTCTGGCTGTACAGTTCTGATGTGGAGGATCTGGTTGTGAAATGAACAACTTCAGTCTGAAACTGTCTCAGAAGAGAGAGTACACTTTCTGGAGGCATCTGCGGACCAGCGACAGATACACTTTCATCTATTCTAGTTATTCACTCATTAACCTTTTAAAAATCAGAATTAATAAAAAATTTATTAGAACTTTATTTTACTAGAAAGTAACAATGATTAGGGAGTATCATCTTCAAAGCCTAGTGAATTGGCTCCTATTGGCATTAGAGTTCTCATTTCTGTAAGGTTGATTCTTTGACCTCTTTTTATCATTATTTTCTTTGTTTAACAAATATTTATTGAGCACCTATTATGTACCAAGCACCATTTTAGGCCTTGGAAACGCAGTGGCAAACATGACAAAGGATCTGTCTTTATGAGGCTTATATCTGAGAAGACAGGCAAAGTGACCAGCCCCGGATTGAGTAGACTTTGGTTCCAGAAACAAATTCTTTGTTAATAAAGCTCAAGATGATATTTTTTTTTAGTTGCATTCTACTGTTATTTCATATGGTGCTGATGTGAAGCTAGAACTCCTTAACTCTTTAAATGATTTTATGTTAATATGTATGTAATTGATTTTTAAAAAATAGAGTTTATTTTTTAAAGCAGTTTTAGGTTCACAGCAAAGTTGAACAGCAAGTACAGAGAGTTAGCATATACCCCCTACCCCAGCACACACACAGTCTCCCCCAATATCAATATCCCACACCGGAGTGGTAAGTTTGTTACAATCAGTGAACCTACACAGACACATCATTGCCACCCAAAGTCCATAGATTACATTAGAGTTGACTCTTGGTGTTGTACATTCTATGGATTTTGATAAATGTATAATGACATGTATCCTCCATTATAATATCATACAGAATACTTTCACTTCCTTAAAAATCTCCTGTGCTCTGCCAGTTGCTCTCTCCCTACCCCCAACTCCTAACAACTACTGACCTTTTTATGTCCTTATAGTTTTGAATTTTCCAGAATATCATAGTTGGAATCATACAGTACGTAGCCTTTTCAGATTGGCTTCTTTCACTTTGTAATATGCATTTAAGGTCCTCTGTTTTTTCATGGCTTGGTGGTTCATTTCTTCTTAGTACTGAATAATATTCCATTGTCTGGATGTACCACAGTTTAATTATTTGGAATTGATTTTTTTAAACCTAAGTATAGGGCTTTATAGCTTTCCCTATTACTTTTCGTTTTGTCAATTTCTTCCTATTATTCTAACCTGTCGAGAGCTTTTTGAATTTTAATTCAGTCATGCCGTATCTTAGAAGGCATGCTTATTAAATTCACAGACCATACAAAGTTAGTGGTGTTGGCTGTGTCAGTTGACCATATTGGGAGCCAGGTCAGGCATGAAGCATGCTGGGACTGGGAGGCAACATGGTGGCCAATGGCACAGGTGTGGTCTGGTCTGGTCTGGTTTGGCTGGAGTAGGAGGCCTGGGGAAGCTAATGGAGTTTCTAGGTCTGGCTCTACCATGAGCGGCCAGGGAATGGCCAAGGTAGTGGGGTATTACCAAAGATAACTCAGTGTCAGAAAGTGCTTACATCACGATTCCAGGAGACTCTGACTTTTAGAACAAGAGCATGACGAAGGGTATAGAGAATAAGATATTCAGGCTTGGAAGAAGTTATTGAGAAGTAAGTGGGATATCGAGACCTCCTTGCTATGTAGACTAAATTTCATAGCAAGAGCCTAAGAGATAGAAATCGGGCAAAAACAAAAAAACAAAACAAAAACAAAAACAAAAAACAAAACAACCAATCAAGACTCATTCTGGGCACATCAGATGCCAAATGTGGTTATCAGCACAGTTTAATCCAAGACCCATGGGCTGATTTGAGTCAAACTTTTGTAATGACTGACTGAAAAATTAGAATGTGATGGGGCCTACAGAGGGGCCTCAGCTCCTCAGGTCTGAAGTATGCAAAGAAGCAGCAAGGCAGCTCCTGACAGCCTTTAAACCAGTTGTTCTAAAAACATTTAACTGAGTATTTGGCTGTTTTCCTCAGGAATCTTTTTAATTTTTCCCCTCAGCTGCAGGTGTACTCTGCCAGAGAATCCAAACAATCACACCCTCCAGTACTGGAAGGACCACAACATCGTGACAGCAGAAGTCCACTGGGCTAACCTGACTGTCAGTGTAAGTCTGGGAGCTGCCAGATGTCCTAGCATTGTGACCACAGGTTTAGGAGGGACTTCTAAGTGAAGGGGAGGAGTAGCCCTTTGGCCAAACTCTGGCATTTACCGAAATAAAGCTTTTTAAAAAACAATTCTTACTCACTTTCTTTTATCCTTTCAGAATTTTTCTTGTATGTTAAGGGAGAAGATTACCCTTCTCTTTTCTCCCCCCTACATCCTACCCAGTGACCCTGCACTAAGGATAGGTGGGGATGAAACCATGCAGGACAGGGGGCAGATCCAGACATGTAGGGTTGAAGAATGTTCAAGTTTGGAGGTCCTCTGTGATAAGAAAAATATAAGTTGCCAGGGTCCTTCCAGAGCCTTGGAAGTAGTATTGTTCAGAACAGTTCTATGTCTTAGGACCATAAGTAACCACCCTACTTGAAAGTGGCCTGTGCAAGACAGCACCCCGCAACTGCATAAAGGTCAAGGGGATGCTGCTTGCAGCCTCTGCTCCCAACAACCATGGGATGACAATGAGTGGTGGACTCAGTAGGAAACAGCTATTTATTTGGTTGTGTCTGCCTTTCATCACCCAGAATGCTTATTCCTCCAGGAATGCCAGGAGATGCATGGAGAGTTCATGGGATCTGCGTGCGGCCATCATGGACCCTACACTCCTGATGTCCTCTTTTGGTCCTGTATTCTCTTTTTCACCACCTTCATCCTCTCAAGCACCTTAAAGACGTTTAAGACGAGCCGTTATTTCCCAACCAGAGTAGGTAGCATGTTCATGCATTTCTTTCACGTTAGAATCAAATATAACAGAACCTTTTCTCAGCCTTCATGCTGCTTATGGGGTTGATTGGCCAGGTGGAGAACTCCGGATGTCCTGATGAGCCACACTGGCATTCTCTCCTAGTGTCTGGCAGCCTCTTTCATAGATCTGTGGTTGGGAATGAAGGGTTAATACTTAAAACCTTTTTGGTTTACAAGTGCCAGTTAAGGTTAAGGTGGTAGTGATGGTTTTTTAAAAGTTATTAAGTCTTATTTCCAGAATGCTGTTACGTTTCATTTCCAGAATTCTGAGACACTTAACACACAATAGCTACAGCTGGCTCCTGAATACAGTAAATTGTCATTGTGACCTTGGATACTTTAGGGGACCCAAAAATCTTCTCCCAGGGATGGCTTTTTTAATAGCTTATGAAATCACTGGCGACACTGACTGCAGCAACCAGCATGCTCCTGACTTAGTTTGTATGACTGTTTGAAACCTCAGCAACCTTTCCATGATGCAGATAGCATTGTTTGTATTATGAGCAAGGCTTTTGCCAGTTTTGGCAGGGCAAGATTAGAGGCTGAGTGTGGAGTAGCTACATGGGCCATTTCTTTGAAAGGGAACTTGAGAAGGTGGAGAATGGCTACTGGGACCTCATCACAGAAAGTTAACACTGAAAAGAATAAGTGCATGAATTATTTACATCCTTCAGTCACATGGAAACATCTATAATAAATGACCATTACATTTGCCATATCAAAAATATAAAAGGAAGGTGGGTGATCTACAGTGACCACAAAGTTTGTGCCACAGAAGGGCCCCCTGAAGGCCTGGGTTACATGTACTTTTACCACAGTATACCAAGCTAAACCTCAAACATACGAATCAGTGAGAAGAAGCCACATACCTTTTTAATTTGCCAAAAAGTTAGAACAGCCAGATATGAAGAAATACATTGTGTATTTGTAGTTTATTTAAAGAATACACTCATGCTGGGCGTGGTGGCTCACACCTGTAATCCCAGCACTTTGGGAGGCCCAGGCGGGTGGATCATCTGAGGTCAGGAGTTTGATACCAGCCTGGCCAACATGCTGAAACCCATCTCTACTAAAAAAACAAAAGTTAGTTGGGCATGGTAGCACATGCCTGTAATCCCAGCTACTCGGGAGGCTGAGGCATGAGAATCAATTGAACCCAGAAGGTGGAGGTTGTAGTGAGCTGTGATTGCACCACTGCACTCCAGCCTGGGCGACAGAGTGAGACTCTGTCTCAAAAATAAAAAAGTTAAAAAAAAAAAGAGCACAGTCATTTGATGCCTTCTGATATAGAACTGAGAAGAAATTCATATTAGTGATGATACACTATTGTAGATAGTTTTAATAAATGTTTAAGGAGAAGATAATATAAAAAAGGGTGTTCATTTTGCTGGCGAGAGATCTACCATCAGTACATCAAAAATGGGGATGTGCTCCCAGTCCTCTATTGGGGGATAGGTGCTAGTGGCCTTCAGAGAAACCTATTTATGTGGCCAGTGGTGTGGCCTTACCTGCAGTAAATAAAAAACCTTCTTGGTGTTTCATATAGAAAATCAGCCATTGGGCGGGGCATTATTTACGGCATTTTTTTTTCATTGCACACAATAATTTCTGACCTATACATGTATAATACAGCATTTTCTTGTTTTTCTTTTTCTTTTCTTTTTTTTTTTTTTTTTCTGAGATGGAGTCTTGCTATGTTCCCCAGGCTGGAGTGCGATGGTACAATCTTGGCTCACCACAACCTCTGCCTCCCGGGTTCAAGTGGTTCTTCTGCCTCAGCCTCCAAAGTAGCTGGGATTGCAGGCACTTACCATGCCTGGCTAATTTTGTATTTTTAGTAGAGACGGGGTTTCTCCATGTTGGTTAGGCTGGTCTCGAACTCCCAACCTCAGGTGATCCGCCTGCCTCAGCCTCCCAAAGTGCTGGGATTATAGGGGTGAGCCACCATGCCCAACCAATACAGCATTTTCCATAAAATATATTTTTAATTTAAATCATACAAAAATTCATAATATGATTTTGTGAATGTGTGTGAAAGTGTGAGACCTTTACATTTCACTACAAAACCTGTGATGGTTTGGTTTTTAAAGGCTAAACGGTTGGTATTAAGCAAGTAAATATTTTAATGAAACTATAACTCAGGAACAGTTTAAAATATTAGTTTCCCACTTAGATTTCAAGGCATAAAAAGGGCTGAGTTTATCCCTTTAAGTGCTGTCAAGAATTCACTTGGGTTTGTGATATTTGGTGGTACAATGCCAAATGCCCACAGCAGCATTATATTGTACTTTGCCAAAGGTAGACAGAGGAATTCTCTATTTCTCAGCAGTCGTTTCCCCAAAAAGTATAATGTTTATTTTTAGTTAAAATAGTCTTGTTTTACCATACCACATGATGACTCCCTGGAAGTTATCATGTGAAGTTCCCCAAATTAGTATTTTCTCATCTCTGAGCTCTTTGCCTGACTCCATTTCTACATTTTTCAGGGGCCAGAGGCTCATCTCTGCCATTTTTCCATGTATCGCCTCCTGATTTGACTTCACTGATTATCTGCTGTGACTAGCAGTGTTATTTTGGATACTTTAAGAATTTCAGATATGGCCAGGCATGGTGGCTTACATCTGTAATCCCAGCATTTTAAGGGAGGCCGAGGTAGGTGGATCACCGGAGGTCAGGAGTTTGAGACCAGCCTGGCTAACATGGCAAAACGCTTTCTCTACTAAAAATACAAAAATTAGCTGGGCATGGGCCGGGCGCAG
The DNA here is from genome assembly GCF_000001405.40 of Homo sapiens. Taxonomy (NCBI): domain Eukaryota; kingdom Metazoa; phylum Chordata; class Mammalia; order Primates; family Hominidae; genus Homo; species Homo sapiens. The sequence goes on from NC_000012.12 coordinate 51,478,007, forward strand.
TGGCTCACGCCTGTAATCCCAGAACTTGGGAGGCCGAGATGGGCAGATCACGAGGTCAGGAGATCGAGACCATCCTGGCTAACATGGTGAAACCCTGTCTCTACTAAAAATACAAAAAATTAGCTGGGCATGGTGGCGGGCGCCTCTAGTCCCAGCTACTCGGGAGGCTGAGGCAGGAGAATGGCATGAACCTGAGAGGCGGAGGTTGCAGTGAGCCAAGATCGTGCCACTGCACTCCAGCCTGGGGGACAGAGCGAAACTCCGTCTCAAAAAAAAAAAAAAATTAGCTGGGCATGCTGGCAGGTGCCTGTAATCCCATCTACTTTGGAGGCTGAGGCAGGAGAATCACTTGAACTCGGGAGGTGGAGGTTACAGTGAGCCGAGATCACTCTACTGCACTCCAGCCTGGGCAACAGAGCGAGACTCCATCTTAAAAAAAAAAAATTACAGACGCAAAGAAACTTTATATGATATTATAAAAGACAATCCTTTCCATTTTGGTTTATTTCAGTATTTTAGTTGCAACCTGGGATTAAATTGGAGTTTCAAATGTGATGAAAAGTAGAATGATAACATTCTGTAATTTTCCTACTGCTCTGCACCAAATTCCAGAGTCTCTGGAGTTTGTATTTCAAATTACTCAGTCGAATGAAACAGGATTTATTGCTGTCTGCTTAACATATATTTGTTTGGTTGAAAGGATTTTTCCAGAAACTGTAGGAAAATGAAGCAGAATCAACTGGGTGAAATATAGCACAAACATTGGATTAGGATGTGGTGAATTGTGAACAATCAGGATTCTGGTTGTGACTGGGGCCCCTGTCTCATAGGAGCTTAATACCATGTGAGCCAGGGACGCAGTGTCCAAGGCCCATGGCCTGGAGACCTGGATGCTGGCTGTGGACCTTGGGCAAGTCCCTCATCTTCCCTGTGCCTCATCTGCACAATGATGTGATGACACCTGCCATCTCTTTCCAATTATGCTTCAAGGATGCAGTGAGATTTGATATGATGACCCAAGAGTAGAAGGTGGTGTGCCATGGTGTGTCCTAGTTTAGCATGCTCCCTGCCTTCTCTTCTCTGACATTTTATTCAATTTGGGAACAGATGGGATTGGCAGGAGGGGAGCTCATGGTGTAGTAATACTCTACTAAAGTGTGCCTATTGGTATTACCTTCTAATGTTGAGTTGGATTTCCTAAAGCAGCCCACTTTGTTACTGAAGTTGCTGACTCCTGTGGAAATCCCCATACTAAGCAGCCTTACAAAATCCAGTCCCCATAGAATAATGACTCCACACAGGCGTCAAAAATGGATTGTCTTCAATTATGTTACAAAGCAAACACCTTTTTGGGGGATGGAGGATGATTGGGTGTTTGGATTGAAATGTAGACAAAGGGGCTGTGTGCGGTGGCTCATGGCTATAATCCCAGCACTTTGGGAGGCCAAGGTGGGTGGATTGCTTGAAGCCAGGAGTTCCAGACCAGTCTGGCCAACATGGTGAAACCCCATCTCTACTAAAAATACAAAAATTAGCTGGGCGTGGTGGTGCATGACTGTAATCCCCACTACTGGGTTGAGGCACGAGAATTGCTTGAGCCCAGGAGGTGGAGGTTGCAGTGAGCTGAGATCGTGCCACTGCATTCCAGCCTGGGCGACAGAGTGAGACTTGGTCTCAAAAAAAAAAAAAAAAAGAAATGTGGACAAATATAGCTAGCAAGTGTATTTTGAGCAAAATACATATTTTATAATAAAATTTTATAAATAAACTTTGTAAAATCAATGGTATAAAATCAATATTTAAGATTATAGGCTATATGTTACTTAATTTCATTAAATAGAAAAAGAAATTCAGCCCTTCTGATGCCTAAACATATTGTAAGAAAGTGTACTATGGCTGCCCTTTTTTCTGTCTCACGAAACAGAGGGCTGTTTCTACAAGGCCAAGTTTTGTATAAATGGAATTTTTTTTTTTTTTTTTTTCAGATGGAGTCTTGCTCTGTCGCCTGGCTGGAGTGCGGTGGTGTGATCTTGGCTCACTGCAACCTCCGCCTCCTCCCGAGTAGCTGGGACTACAGGCACGCACCACCACAGCCAGCTAATTTTTGTATTTTTAGTAGAGACGGGGTTTCCCCATGTTGGCCAGGATGGTCTCAATCTCTTGACCTCGTGATCTGCCTGCCTCGGCCTCCCAAAATGCTGGGATTACAAGCATGAGCCTGGCCAAGTGCTATTCTTTATTTCAGATTGAGAGTTGGGAAAAACTGGAGCAAATAATGGATTTCTTTCTTGCTTAAAATGTATTTATATGTATGTCTTATTATATACAAGGCAGATTTCCCTGGAATAAAAGTCTAGAATGTGCTGCTTAATTTTACACATGTGTGCAGGCAATATTATCTGTGAGTGAAAAGTGGAATAATACGTGGATTGGGTCAACTGATTATCAGCTTGTTAGGAGTCCTCTGTGTGAGACATGGTGGTATAATTGTGAAGTTCTCACTGTATGTGGATGTTCATGTGAAAGATAGTACTTTCTTCCCGTAAATATCTTTTGATTTCCATTTGTATGGAATCCCAATGAATGTATCTTTGGAAAACATAATGTGTCAAAATTTGTATTTTGTTCATTGATCTAAATGCCCGTGTAACTAATCAGAAATCCAATTTGGCTCAGATTGGGAATTTTCTTTTAAAGGAAAAAAATTTACAGAAAAGACTACTGGAAGAATCATGTTCAAATGACATTTCACATCAATGTTTCTTCAATATTTTGGAGTTGACTTGGTTGTTTTCTCCTACCTACAATAGAATGTGCCTGCTGTTTCTCTGTCGCTCACTTTGGGCTTGCAGGAAGTACAACGGGAATAGCCTGAGCTTCTTGCTCCCTGTATAATTTATTCACTTTACCTGAACTGCCTTACCTGCAGTTCATAGTGAGAACACCTGGGCTTGTAACTTGCCTCCACTTTTAAGTGTGATAGGGCCAAGTTGCTTTACCTCTCTGGGCGTTTTTCTTTAAAACGAATGGGTTAAACTAGATGAGCTCAGAAGTCCCTTCCTGCCCTAACATTATCTTCTATTTTTATTTTCCTGTGGTTACTACTATTAGGGTCAGACATGTGAAATGTGAGGGACCATTTAGAGATTTAGATGTTATATTTTTGGATTATTACAGAGTATACACCCAAGTTTAGGACCTGTGTCATTTTTAGTGTCCCCACCCCGTTTCTATTTCTGTTCCATTTGTCTTTACTTTCTTTGTAATCATCTCATTTTTTTTCCACTCTTGAAACTCACAACTTTCCAGTCCATGAGCAACTTTGCTACCATCCCCCTCAAAAACAAATCTATTTAAAACACCCTCCTAGAAAAGCCTCTGAACCACCTTCAGCTAAATCTGTAACGTTTATAGAATATTTTAAAATCTTAATTCAGCTAGAGTTATGATCCCCAAGCAAGTGCTGACGAAGCTATCACAGAAATGATGTCTTTTTCACCTTGTAGGTATCATTGTTGCTAAATCACATCAGTACAGGCCTTCTGTGGGGAGACAGCAGGGGGCAGGGGCAGGACTAGGGGATGGGAGTAGATAAAACTGTGATTCTATCCTTTACTTTAGGTAAAAAATCCTAGGTTATGAAACAAGGTTCTGGGCCAAGCACAGTGGCTCAGGCCTGTAATCCCAGCACTTTGGGAAGTTGAGGCGGGCAGATCGCTTGAGCCCAGGAATTTGAGACCAGCCTGGGCAACATGGCAAAACCCTATCTCTACAAAGTATATATAAAAAAAAAAAATTAGCCAGGCGTGGTGGTGTGTGATAGTAGTCCCAGCTACTCAGGAAGGCTGAGGTGGAAGGATCACTTGAGGCCAGGGAGGTCAAAGCTGTAGTGAGCTGTGATGATGTTACCGCACTCCAGCCTGGGCAACAGAGTGACACCTGCTCAAAAACAAAACAAAACCAAAAAAAACAAAGTTCTCTACTCTTAAGTTGGTATATAAGATGACCTGCACAGTGTCACAGAGATTTCCCACTCAGTAAATCACTCTGAAAGAGTTTGCATAAGATTCTGTAGATTTGCAGTATTTAATGTGGATAGTCAATAGCTACATGTGGCAAATGGCCACTTGAAATTTGGCTTGCCAAATTGAGACTGTACTGTACACATAAAATATATACCAGATCTTGAAGGATTGGTACCAGAAAAGAATATAAAACGTTTCATCAATATTTTATATTGATTACATACTGAAATGACAATATTTTAGATATATCGATTAAATAAAATAATAATTTGATAAATATAATTATTTCACTTATTTTTATATTTTTTATGTGGCTACTAAAAAATTTAAAATTAGACATAGGGGTAACGTACTTCTTTGTTTTTTGAGACAGAGTCTCACTCTGTCGCCCAGGCTGAGTACAGTGGCACAATCTCGGCTCACTCCAACCTCCACCTCCTTGGGTTCAAGTGATTCTCCTGCCTCAGCCTCCTGTGTAGCCGGGATTACAAGTGTGCACCACCATGTCTAGCTAATTTTTCTATTTTTAGTAGTGACAGAGTTTCACCGTGTTGGCCAGGCTGGTCTCGAATTCCTGACCTCAAGTGATCCACCCACGTCAGCCTCCCAAAGTGCTGGGATTACAGGCGTGAGCCACCGTGCCTGGCCTGGCTAATGTAATTCTATTGGACATGCTACTCTACACTTACATGGTTTGGGGTAGGCAGTGAAATACCATAGGTAGAAAAGGTAATTCAGTGAAGCATCCAAATAGACAGAAACAACACAAATATTTTTGCTGGAGTCAGGAGCACTATGTGGCACAGAACACCTCCCAGAAAGCAGAAAATTTTTCTGCCTGAAAACCAATGTATATGTAAGACCCCAAGTAAAAAACAAAAGCAAATGAGCCCCAAACTGTCTTCCCTCAGCTTTGCCTGGGAGCTGCTATCTTTGCACTTATTTTTCTAGCATCAGGATATTAGCCACATGAGGGAGCCAAGCATATTTGTCTCATTTTAGGCATCATTCTTTTGTGGTTCCCCCCACCCCAGGTATTGTTGAGTCTGTCCAAAGCTGGGTGAGATACCACACAAGTCTTGCTTCCCTCAGTGTGCTGCTTCTCTCGGCCTTGGTGGAGGCTGAGCCTGTTGCCGGTACCCACCAGCCCAGTAGGTTTTGATGCTGCCTCCTGAAAGAGATTGTATTTGTTTCGTTTTGCACTAGTCACAGTTGTTGTTTAAACTACATCAAATTTGGGGGGAGAATATTTGCCTGTGATGGAAAGAGAGATAGATGAGTTATTGCTTCAAGTGTTTTAAAATAAAAGCTATTCTCACACACAAAAAAAAAAAAGAAAGAAAAAGAAAAGAAAGGGAGCTCAAATCAGGAGGAAATGGTGGTTTTTCCTGTAAGTGAGGTTTCAGCCAGACACATTTTCTTTTTCTTTTTTTCTTTTCTCTTTTTTTTTTTAAGTCAGTAGTGGTTTATTAAATGGTTGTATCACATCTGGAAAACATTATTCAAAACATTTATTCAGCATACTTCCTGTTCATATTTTAGAAGATGTAAAGCAATGAAATTTGCTCTAAATAAATGGCATTTTTTTTGCCATTATTTGGCATCTTGCCAGGTTACTTTTTACATCCAAGTTCAAGTGATATTTTGTTCTCAAAATAAAATAATTTTCAAGGTTTGGAAGTATAATGCGAAAATTTTAACAGGGATTCTTTTTTTTTTAATTATACTTTAAGTTCTAGGGTACATGTGCACAATGTGCAGGTTTGTTACATATGTATACATGTGCCATGTTGGTGTGCTGCACCCATTACCTCATCATTTACATTAGGTATATCTCCTAATGTTATCCCTCCCTGCTCCCCCCACCCCACAACAGGCCCCGGTGTGTGATGTTCCCCATCCTGTGTCCAAGTGTTCTCATTGTTCAGTTCCCACCTATGAGTGAGAACATGCGGTGTTTGGTTTTCTGTCCTTGTGATAGTTTGCTCAGAATGATGGTTTCCAGCTTCATTCATGTCCCTACAAAGGACATGAACTCATCCTTTTTTATCAGCCAGGCACATTTTCAATACAGGGTACATAAATGGGAGGACTCAGTTAATTAGATATTTAGTGTACACCCATATATGACTAGAACACATTCTTAGACTTCAGTGAGCCTACATGGCAGTCACGGGAGGTACATATTAAGTAAGTTCTGGGTCTTTGTTTCCTGCTAGGACAAATAGTTAACAAGTGGCTGTTCTGTACTGACTACTTGCTCAGGCCTGGGTTAAGTGCTAGGGAGGTGCAACAGAAACTTAAAAGATAGTATCTGTCATCAGATAGGAAGGAAAAACACATGAAACAATCAGATGCTATATGCAAAGTAGTAAACAGTTGGATGTCCCCTGGGATGTACGTGCCGTAGGAGTTCAGAGGAGAAAAGGGCCACTGGGCCCCAGGATGGTCAAGTGGGCTTCATGTTGGGGATGGGGAGGCAGTGGATACTCAGAGAATTTATATTGCATTCAGAGAAGAACTAACAAAACCATGGAGGAGGAACTGGAAACCTTGGGCTTCAAAGCAAAGTGAAGTCAGGCTAAGGTACCGGTGATATTACGTGTGGCTAAGATATGTTTTGCTCTCACTCTTTTGGAAGCTTAGATTAAGGCAGGCACGGGTCATTTGCCAGGTACTGTATTTTATTAAAGCCACACTATAAAGTGAGGCAGTCCTTTTATGATGGATCCTAAATTGGATGGGAATCTCCAACAAAATAGAGATATGTGCCATGGAGGAAAATAAAGCAGTAAAGAAGTACAGGAAGTGCTGGGGTGGAGGGAGGTGGCCAATTTTAAGTGGTATCATCAGAGAAGAGCTCAAAGAGAAGGTGATATTTGAGTTGAACCTAAAAGACGTGAGGGAGCTGCCCAAGAGGTTACCTGGAGGAAAGGCATGTTAGGTAGAGGCATGAACAAGTACAAATACCCCGAGGTGGGAGTGAGCTTGGCATGTTTAAGGAAACAGCAACGCAGTCTGTGTGTTTGGAGCAGAGTGGGCAAGCAGGAGAGCAATAAGAGCTGGGGTGGGAGATGTGATGATGCCAATTGTGTGGCCCTCATAGGCCAAGAAGGCCTTTTGACCAGAAGCCATTTCAGGGTTTTGATAGAGGAGTGACATGACCCAACTTATGTTTCAAATAATTACTCCAGTGACTGCATTTAAAAAACACTGCAGGGCAAAGGCAGAAGCAAGTTAGGAGGCTGCTACCATTACCTGAACAGGAGCTGGTGGTGACTTGGATCTGGGTGGGAGCAGTGGCGGTGGTAAGAAGTGATCAGACTCGGGATATGTTCTGAAGGGAGAGCCAATAGGACTTGCAAATAGACTGGCTATTGGGTATGAGGGAGAAGTGGAGTTGATGCTGCTGCTGAGGTTTTTGGCTAGCACTGAGGACCTTGGCTGATCCCAGAAAATCCAAGTTCTCAGAACTAGAGTCCCAACCTGGCCCTAAATGTCCCAAACAGAACTCTTCAGAGGATGGTCTGGGTTATGTTAGCATTTGTCAGAGGGTTCATTCTCCCTCATCATATCCACACTTTATGAGCATCAGTTGGGCAATTAACATATTCCTGTTGTTTAAATTTGCTTGCATTAATTCAACTGTAAGATGAAAACATTCTTCTGAGGATTTTTAAGCCTTTTACAATACTAACCTCTTTTCTACTGTATTTAACCTGCCAAAACATGTGTCCACTTCTTTCTCATGCCAGGTACGCTCCATGGTGAGTGACTTTGCTGTTTTCCTCACTATCTTCACAATGGTGATTATTGATTTTTTGATTGGAGTCCCATCACCAAAGCTTCAAGTTCCCAGTGTGTTCAAGGTAAACAGATCTCAGAGTACTTGGTGCACTCATGTAATTTCATACATTCTGATGCCAAGTAAATTTCAAAGGCCTTTTCATATCCTAATCCTGAGTTTTACAGTCCCCTAAATCTGAACCTTGCTCCTCATACCTTGTCATGTAGAAAAGCAAACTTCAGACTTGGTTGAATTCAAGACAGAAAAGCCAGAGAACAGAAAAACCAAGGTTGTTTAATGAATGAAAAGTATTATTATTATTGTTATTAATACCACTTACTGTTCTTAATATGTTAATATTTAAACAATGGAATGTGCACATTTACATAAATATATTCAAGACACTGTGGAAACATGGGTCTCTGGAACAAGCCTCGTTAACAGCACTTTCATTGAGCATCAGCTGTATAAGGGCACTGGGAAGAATGAAAAAGGTAAAGGACTTGGCCTGAACCTTCAAGGATGGTGCCCCTTCCTTGAAGGGGGAGAATGGAACTGAGAGGAGCCTCATCAGGAGTCTAGGGCCCCTGCCGGAGTAATCATGACATCTCTTTCGAAATCATCTCAATCTGATTTCATTGTTTGTATAACTCTCTCTAATATATGGTATTTTTCAAGAAACTATACAAAAAGTCAAACAAATGATCAATACATGGGGACTCCAAATAGATTTCAGTTTGGGAGCACTGACTAAGTAGACAAAGAAGATAGAAAAGCTGAGCTCAGTTCTATAGAGCCCCATAGGGTGAGGGGAGAGAAAATCTGTGCGTACTCAGTGACTTTAGAAGAATTATGAAGGAGGAAAGTGGGAGAAGTTGGTGAGGAGAAGGCCGACAGGAATAAAGGCAGTCCCTGACTTGCAAATGCTCCCTTCAGTTGTCCCTTTCCTTTCTCTTTTTTCTCTCTACCCATGAAGTAGGCCTGTTGAAATACCTTCTTCCATATTGTCTGAAAATTTTTAATTTTGTTGAATTTGCTGAAATGCCACCAGTTGGAAGTTTATGGACTAACCAATCCCTCTTGTAAGTATAATACCTTCTAGAATATGGCATTCTTGCCTTTGTGTGAATGAGCACAATCAGCTTTCTCTCTAATACCTAGCTGAGATCAGTGCTGCAGGAGGAATGGATTTTGTCTAAAAATAGGTAATATGGGAACATTAAGCGGTCCTTGGAAAGGTTCCAAAGGGATAGGCCTAAGATAGTCAGAAGGCACTGAATTTCTGGGACATCTGTGAAGAACGCCTCTGGGAGGTAGGACAGGGGAGAAAGGGAAACGGGAGAATGTCAAAGAAAATGTTGCTCATGACAGGCTCCATTTTCAGGAGGCAGAGAAGAAGTTTTCTTCTTTTTGTCTCTCCCTATTGTATCACATGGCACTCAACTCCCAAGACCCAATCTGAAGGCTAGTACTATTACTAGGGGTATCACGTCATTAAGGGTTTATTTAATAAGTTTTTGTGTTGGTCTGAGAACTTAACTACCACTTAGAACATTGTTGTTAGGGAAACATAGATTCTGTAAACTTTTAGAAGCTAACCCATTCATAATTTTGGACTTGGTGGTGTTATTAAAGAGTATTTGAATCCTAGAGTCATGACTAATAAGGAACCAAATCAAATATAACAGTCTGTGCTTTGTTTCTTGAATTTGGGTCAACTCTGGTCCAGTTGGTATCCCTGGCCTTTTATCCTCTAGCACCACTTGCCAAAAAAGGGCGAACTTGTCTTCCTCAGAGTACACTGCAGGGGTGGGGTAAGGATCTAGGTGAGTTTAGATATGTTGTGAACACCCCAGTAAGATTTATAAACAGTTGTATTACAGGGGCATTGGAGAGGATCCTAGGTCAAACAAACCCCCAACTTTAGCCGTCTTAGGCTCCTTCTCAAGTCTCTGATGGCTGGACCCCTGTTTCACTATTGATGGGAGAAGCCCCTTGGAGCAATCCAGTCCATTCAAAGCCCAAGAGATTCCATGCAGATGGCTCCACTTTGCCTTTATTTATGCTGTAGACACACATTATGTGGCTCTGGAGAGAAGTCGTAGGAGAATAGTCTAAGTTATTTATATTTGTCTTTAGAAGTCATTAAATTTTTTTGACAACAGATACAGTTGTTAATTATATTTTACTTGGGTTAATGTTGAGATACACTTGTTTTCTCTCTACACAGAGGTTTGGAAAGTAAGTGGAAGGAAGTGCAAGATTAATGAATATTTCACAAGAAATTAATAATTGAAGATTGACTGTTTCAAAGGGGATTCGGAACTATTACTGAGCAAAAGGGGCTTGCTGCCCAATGTGCTAGAAGCCAATACTATGATACCAGGTTTTTGAGAGAAGAAAAGTTTTTTATTTCAAGTTTACTAACAAGGAGACAGGAATTCAGCTCAAATCTGTCTCCCTGCACTGGCTTTACTGCAATAATTAGAAAATGTTTAGGGGGTGGATTCTGGGATAGTAGGTTATTGGTAGAAGGAAAGGGGAGGTCTGGAAAGTCCTCAGGCATTCATAGTTATCTCTTCATGCTACCTCTGGGTCCCCTGTGCCAAGGGGGTTTCAGCAAGTTGTTTCTTTTCTTATCTACCATCCTGCAAACCCAAGAATTTCTGTTAGTCATTGGTGTCTTTAACTCTTTGGGAAATGGTTTCAGAACAAGGTCATAGATTTCCTAAGGAGTTGCTGTATTTCATGCCTTTTTTTTTTTTTTTTAAGAACCTCACTCAAGAATAAAAAGAAATATGGATATTGTGATCCAGTTTGATATGTTTTACCCCAATGACTATAACTTAAAATACAAAAATAATATATTTTCCCCCTTAGCCAACAAGGGATGATCGCGGATGGATTATTAATCCCATTGGCCCCAATCCCTGGTGGACTGTGATAGCTGCAATTATCCCAGCTCTTCTCTGTACTATCTTGATATTCATGGATCAGCAGATCACAGCCGTCATTATTAACAGGAAGGAACATAAGCTCAAGGTAAAAAGAGGTTCTGACCTAGAAGGCTGCTGTGGCAACCTGTTACATTTTCGTAAAATTTTAGGGTAAGCACATCTAGACCAGAAATTGTAGAATCTCATAGAAGAGGTTCATAAGGGGTTTCCATTCTTTAATAACAAAGATTTCTTTGGAGATTAGAGTGGAACATGGTTGTATGGTATGAAAGCAACGTGGACTCCATTACTCTCCTCTCACACCTGTGGGGAAGGTGATTGGGTAGAGTTCCTGGTGATCCCTATATAGCTATATGCTTTGGGTCAAGCAACTGTACAGCTTGTCTTCCTGAGGTTCAGGTGGGGGCCTGGGCCACTGTTTCCTAGAGGCAGGTATTCTCCCACTGGTGTCTGTTACTATAGTTTCTAGGCCGAAACTGGAACCCTAGGATCCTAGGGAAGTAACAGAGCAGGCAAGCAATATCCAAATCTGTCAAGGATCTGGGGGTATGTGGTAGGAAGCCAATAAGGACACTTACCTCTAACTCCCATAGTTTCTACCATCTAGAATGGTCAAGATGTGGCAGGGTGTCTGGTTAATCTTCCAGAGAAGAATGGATCTTTGAATGTGTAAGACTCAGAGTCAGCTGGAGGCACTTGGAAAAATAATCAATATTGGCATATATAGGACAGGCTAAGATTCCCCTTTTTCTTCTTTGTTTCCTCCTAACCAGGAGGGGCTACAAGACTCCTCTTGGATCCCTGAACCCCTTCCTTCTTATCCATACACCCCTTCATGCTTTGGGCCTGAGACCCGTAGCTCACTGTTCTATGCCCTACTACAGCTAGCCTACTGATGGTGACAAAGACTCTGTTTCCCCACAGAAAGGCTGTGGCTACCACCTGGACCTACTGATGGTGGCCATCATGCTGGGTGTCTGCTCCATCATGGGCCTGCCCTGGTTTGTAGCTGCAACTGTCTTGTCCATCACACATGTGAACAGCCTCAAGCTAGAATCTGAATGCTCTGCTCCTGGAGAACAGCCCAAGTTCCTGGGCATCCGAGAACAGAGAGTGACAGGCCTTATGATCTTTGTGCTGATGGGCTGCTCAGTCTTCATGACGGCTATCTTAAAGGTAATCATCCTTTCAGTCATTCAGCAAATATCAAGGGCCTGATTTGTGCCAGGAATCCTGCCAGGTGCTGGAAATACAGTGGTGCCAAATACTTACAAGTATAAATCCCTGCCCTGAAAGAGTTTATTCTAGAGGGATAAGACAGATAACATGTAGTTAAGAAAATTAGTTAAGAAACAAACATGATAACTACAGAATGTGAATAGTGATATAAAGGAAATACACAGTGCTTTCTGGCACTATAGAGAACTGAGAGGGGTCTATTTTAGTAGGATGGTCAGAGAAGGCTTCTCTGAGGAGATGCTATTTAAGATGAGGTGGAGGCCAGGCGCGGTGGCTCACACCTGTAATCCCAGCACTTTGGGAGGCTGAGGTGGGTGGATCATGAGGTTCGGAGATCGAGACCATCCTGGCTAACACAGTGAAACCTCGTCTCTACTAAAAATACAAAAACAAAATTAGCCGGGTGTGGTGGCAGGTGCCTGTAGTCCCAGCTACTCAGGCAGGAGGCTGAGGCGGGAGAATGGCGTGAACCCAGGAGGCGGAGCTTGCAGTGAGCCGAGATCATGCCACTGCACTCCAGCCAGGGCAACAGAGCGAGACTCCATCTCAAAAAAAAAAAAAAAAAAAAAAGATGAGGTGGAGCCATGCCATGGATGGTGGGACATGGCATGGAAGGAGGGGAGAAAAGCAGTCTAGTCAGGCCCTTAGGTGGGAAAGAGTGATATGTGTTCTACGAAATATCAGGGCCATGTGGCTCATGGGCATTGAGTCAAGACAAGAGCACAGTGCAATGAGAAGGAAAGAGAGGCAGGGGCAGATCATGTAGGGCCTTGTCGACAGTGGGCAAGGTAACCTTTGAAGGGTTTTAACAGGAGAGGGACATGATCCAGCTAGTTTAAAAAGATCACTCTGGCTGAGGTCTAGGGAAGAATAGAAGCAGACAGACCAGTGAAGCTGTTGCAGGTGACAGATGATGGTGGCTTGGATAAGGAAGCTGGTAGCAGGGACAGATAAAAACGCATGGCTTCTGTATAGCTTGGAGGCAGACCCAAAGGTCTCAATTGTTGACTGGATGTGGAATGGGGTGAGGAAAATAGAAAAATCGAAGAAACCTGTTAGGTTTCTGACTTGACCATCTGGTGGAGTGTGATGGCATTTATTAAGATGGAAAAGATTGTATGATTTTTGTGAGGGGTGGGGCTGTGATCAGATTTGGAGTGAGATGTCTGGGAGTCATCTAAGTGAAGAGGCTAGAGGAGGGTTCTGGACTAAAATATAAATTTGGGTATAAATTTGGGAGTCAACAGCACATAGGTGGTATTGAAAGCCGAGGGAATAGATGAGAGAACTCAGGGAAAAGAGACGACGTAAAAGAGAAGTGGGACATAAGAGCAGAGTTAGAGGTTGGATAGAAGAAGAGGTAGCAACAGAGTCTCAGAAGGAGCTGCCAGAGAGGTGGGAGGAAAACTAGGGGGATGTGGTATTAGGGAAGCCAAGTAAGGAAAATGTTTCAAGAAAGAGGGATTGGGTAGACACGTCTTGGAAAATGAAGACTAAGCTAAGGCCATTGGATTTAGCAACATTGGAGGCCTCAGGTTATCTGACAAGAGCAGAGTCAGTGGATTGCATTAGTTTCTGCTGCCTGTGGGTGATTTAGAAGTAGAAGCAAAAGCAGAAGCTGACCATGATAAAAATCATTTTGTTCTGAAATGAAATGATTACATGTAAGTTAAATTACAGGCCTCCATGTCTGGCTCTTCCTCCACCCCTGTCTGGGGATGGGCAGACACACACACACACACACACACACACACACACACACACCCCTCTTTAACAGAAATGATGCCTTTTAAATCTTCCACAATCTCAAAAATCTTCCAAATCCTTAGGGATTTAGTGCATTTTAACATGGAACTTTTTTACTGACCAGTGACTTGAGGCAGGAGTTGGGGGTATCTTATCAGAGAAGGAATTCAGTGGAACTATAGAGTAGAAATCCAATTATAGGTGGCTAAAGAGTGAATAGGAGATAAGGAAGTAAGGACTGCAGGCAAATCTTTCAAGAGGTTTTTCTGCGAAGCAAGATGGAAAAATGGCAGTGGCTAGTATGAGAAGTGGGGCTAAAAGAGAGGTTTTTTTTGTTTTGTTTTGTTTTTGGTACAGATAGAGGATACTTTGAACATTAAAAAAATGTTTTGTGGGTGGAAGGCCTGCATCTGGGAGATTGGGGTGAGAAGGAAACTTTACGGCTGTATTCCCAGGTGCCAGCCATTCTGGAGCACTGCCTTGTCTCCCTTGCCTCCTCTTCCCTTTTTTTTGGCAAATCTTCAACCACCCCAGCCTGTACCACAAATGCCCTTCAAGGGTGAGAACTGAGAGGGATGGGAAGGATTTCTGAACCATCTTCCTGTCCCCTCACTTTCCACTCAACCTTACCACCCACCTCTCCTGACACCCCTTTCCCACCTCATATTCCCTGTCCCCAGCCCAACTCCCACTCCCACCTGGTTGAGGCACCATCTGGAAGAGCCTAAACGTTGCTGCTTCTCCAAGATAGAACCATGAAGGCGCGGCAGTGGCCATCCCTGGGCTTTCCCCTAGCTGCTTCAGGACAATTCTCTTAGGACAACTATTCAGTAGTTCACAAACAACATCGAATTGGAATGTCTAATCACTCTACAGCTGGAACATAAAATCCAATGGGGGATTTTCTAATTTTTTGTTTTTTAAAATTTTACTTTAAGTTCTGGGATACATGTGCAAAACGTGCAGGTTTGTTACCTAGGTATACATGTGCCATGGTGGTTTGCTGCACCTGTCAACCGATCATCTAGGTTTTAAGCCCCACATGCATTAGGTATTTGTCCTAATGCTCTCCCTCCCCTTGCCCCCCACCCCCCAACAGGCCCTGGTGTGTGATGTTCCCCTCTCTGTGTCCATGTGTTCTCATTGTTCAGCTCCCACTTATGAGTGAGAACATGCAGTGTTTGGTTTTCTGTTCATGTGTTAGTTTGGAGGGATTTTCTAATTCCACAAATTAGATTTGAGAATATTTATATAGTCCCAAAAAAACTAAATTATAGTCCAATTTAGTTTTCAGCTCTGAGACTTTCCTTGCCTTGATTCTATAGGCCCAATTTCCCTACCTCAGAGTCAATCTGAAGATTACCTAGGTTGATAGACATGACGTGATCAGAAAGTCATGTTCAAATACTGTGTGGATGTTCAAGTGCAGTATAATAATGTCGGTGTTTCCCCCCAGACCATTACCTCTTTGATAAGATACGTCCCCACTCTTGCCCTCAAGCCACTGGTCAGTAAAAAAGGAAGCTTTTTTGGTTCACGTTAAAATACATCAAATCCCTGAGGAGATGATTGTGAGATTACAGAAGATTTAAAAGGCATTATTTCTATAAGAGAGGGGTGCGTTTGTGTGTGTGTGTGTGTGTGTTTGTGTGTGTGTGTGTATGTGTGCCCATCCCCATGGAGGAGGAAGAGCCAGATGGGTGAGATGGGAAGTCTAACTTACATGTAATCATTTCATTTCAGAACCAAATGATTTTTATCATTGTCAGCTTCTGCTTTTGCTTCTACTCCTAAGTCACCCACAGGCAGCAGAAACTAATGCAATGTGTCTGCAGCTATTTTGTGACTTTGTTTCATTCTTGGAGATTTAAAAGTGTATATAGTTTTGAGTGTGCTATGATACCAAATTTAATTTCTGGCCTTTCTTGTCCTTTTGTCTTCAGTTTATTCCAATGCCAGTACTCTACGGAGTTTTCCTTTACATGGGAGTTTCTTCACTACAGGGAATTCAGGTATTGTATGGTTCAGCCAGGGCAGTTTCTTCTCACTGCAAGTTTGCATGTCCTGTCCAGGGAGGGACAGCTCCCCAAGAGAAGCACAACCAGTTCTTGAGAAAATTGTTTCCTAGTCTTGCCACTTAGGCTATTTTAGACATGTATTTGGATATAGGGAGAAAAACAGCCATGTTGGCAGGAGAGTACAGAGACTTCCAGGGTGGTCTGGCTTGATGTCATGGCTCCAGTTATTCATTAATTATTCAACAGACAATTTTTTTTTGGCATGTATTAAACATTAGTTGCTTTGCCAGGTGCTAGTAAACTTGGATCTGAAAGGTTGATCAAGAACCAAACTGGCTTTCACTCATGGACAGATCTAGGTTAGTGCCAGGCTAAAGTATAAAAATGGGGTGTTTAACTTTGGGAGAGGGTTCATTGGCAGAAGAGATAGGGGAATAGTGGGAGTTGCTCCTGGTAAGGAGATGTCACTTCTTGTTATACTCTGCATTTTTCCATCCATCAACTATTGCTCTAAGTCTTTCAAAAAGAAAAATCAGGAGCTTGTCATTGATAACTTGGGTATTCCAGATAATATAATAACTTAGGCTGATTATTCTTTGTTTGAATGGAATGTCCTATGGCCATTCTTTTTTTTCTTTTTTTTTTTTTTTCCTATGGCCATTCTTACATACTGAGTTCTACTATGAACTTGGGCAGGTTATTTAATCTCTGGTTCTCTTTTTTCCTTATTGTAAGGATGATCATTTTTTATATATCTAGGATGTTATGAGGTTTTATTTTATCTTTTCACTATAAATAATCAATGAATGGCTCCAAACTCCTAAAACAAGTAAGAAATTTGGTTTTGATAATAAGCAAAAAGATGTAATTGGTTTATTTTGTTTTCAACACCCCCTGAGAAAGAGCTCTCTTAGGAGACACAGTGTGGGATAAGAGAAAGAAGTTTGAACCTAGAATTAGAAAAGATGGATTCAAATTTTGACTTTGCCACTTAATAACCTTGGCCAAATTGCCTGGTCTTTTAAAGTCTCAGTTTCCATTTCTGTCCAGAGGAAATGGTGTTACCTACCTTTCAGAGCAGGTAATGTAAGAGATATGAATTGGTCTAACAAAGCTTCTGACCCAGAATGCCCTCCTGAAAATAAATGCCAGTTCCTTCCTTTCAGTTCTTTGATCGTCTAAAGCTCTTTGGGATGCCCGCAAAGCACCAGCCAGATTTCATCTACCTGCGGCATGTGCCGCTGCGCAAAGTGCACCTCTTCACCCTCATCCAGTTGACCTGTCTCGTCCTGCTCTGGGTCATCAAGGCATCTCCAGCTGCCATTGTTTTCCCAATGATGGTGAGGTGGTTTTTAAAAAATAAATTCTTATTATCATTGTTATTTTTTAGTGGTAAAATATTATAACTTTAAAATTTACCATTTTTAAGTGTACAGTTGAGTGGCATTAAGTACATTCACATTGCTGTGGAGCTATTACCACCCTCCAGCTCTGGAACTTTTTACATCTTGCAAAGCTGAAACTCTGCACCTATTAAACACTAAATTTCCATTCTCCCATACCCTCAGCCCCTGGCAACCACCATTCTACTTTCTGTCTCTATGTATTGATTATTCTAGGTACGTCATATAAGTGAATCACAGAATTTGTCCTTTTGTGACTGGCTAATTTCTTTTCTTTCTTTCTTTCTTCTTTTTTTTTTTTTTTTTTTTTTGAGATGGAGTTTCACTCTTGTTACCCAGGCTGGAGTGCAATGGCATGATCTCGGCTCACTGTGACCTCCACCTCCCAGGTTCAAGCGATTCTCCTGCCTCAGCCTCCCTAATAGCTGGGATTACAGGTGCCTGCCACCACACCCAGCTAATTTTTTTTGTATTTTTTTTAGTAGAGACGGGGTTTCACTGTGTTGGCCAGGCTGGTCTCAAACTTCTGACCTCAGGTGATCCACCCGTCTCAACCTCCCAAAGTGCTGGGATTACAGACATGAGCCACTGCGCCCAGCTTGTGACTGGCTAATTTCATTTAGCCTAATGTCTTCAAGGTTCATCCATGTTGTAGCATGTGTCAGAATTTCCTTCCTTTTTAAGATTGAATAGTATCCCACTGTATGTAAATACTACATTTTGTTTATCCATTCACCTGTCAATGATACTGTTGTAAATATGGGTGTACAAATATCTGTTTGTGTCTCTGTTTTCAGTTCTTTGGGGTATATGCCAGGAGTGGAATTGCTGGATCATATGGAAATTCTATCTTTAATTTTTTTCTAATCCTCTAGATCCACACCCTCCTGGTGGGTTTCTCAATTTTGTCAGGCTACATATAAGGGTTTGTATTCGTGTGTTACGTTCATGGGTTAAATAAATAGCAGATTACTGGGAACTCCTAGAAGGGATCCTATCAATTCCAGATGTATTAGGAAAGTAGTCACTAAATTAGAGAGAAATGTACTTGAATTTAATAAGCCTGATTTGCCTCATTCCTTGTCCAGTCACCAATTATAGCTGATGAACAGCAGTCCACCCAGGCAGGATTAATTCTTTGTTTTCCTTTGGCTAAAATGGCCCTCATGGAAAGAAAGTGGAGCAGCAGTTGAGATGCCCTGGACATACCTTTATCGGGGAAATCAGCTGTCAGATTTTAGGCGAGTCACTTTCTCTCTCTGGGCCTCAGTTTCCTCATTTATAAAGCGAGTGTCAGGCCAGGCCAGAGGGCAAAGACAAAAACCACTAGAGACAAATGATGCAGGCCCAAAGCAAGGATTTGGGTAGGGGAATGTATAGGCAAAGGATCAGAGGGAATAAAGATGATCTTCTAAGAGAACCCATCATCCCACTGTGAGGAATGCTTGGGTGGCTGTGGCTGGTCCCACCATGGCCCAGCTCCAGCAGAGGCTTTCTACCCACCTGCTGTCCTGTAGCCTTCCTGCTGACCCCTAGCCATCTGCAGATGATGTGCTCATCTTTTCAATGACAGAATCCAGTTAGCTGCTCTCTAAGTTGTAGAGCTGTTATGATAGTTAAAATACTGTATGTAACACATGTTACCTGGCACAAAGAAAGCATTCAATAAATGGTGACTGTTAGGATTATTATGAGTTTGATTTTGCTTGAAATGTCCTAGTCTGCTGTGAAAATAAGGCTTTGCTTTTAAGTCCAGGAAGGAAATTAGTCCCTTTAATTCACTTTTTTTTTTAATTTTTCTTCAGGTTTTGGCCTTGGTCTTTGTCAGGAAAGTCATGGATCTCTGTTTCTCTAAGCGAGAGCTGAGCTGGCTAGATGATCTCATGCCTGAAAGCAAAAAGAAGAAGTTGGATGATGCCAAAAAGAAGGCCAAGGAGGAAGAGGTCATAGTCCTTGCACCAACTGTATACCTGGGGGCCTCAAATTACAGAACATAGGAAGGGTCATGTGAAAAGTCAGCATGTCTGGAATCCCGAGGGTTATATTTAGGAGCTGGGAAGATTACCCCCAAAGATGTTCTCAGCTAAGAATGGATTAGGGATTCTTGCTTCTGTCTGTTCTTAATTTTTGGGTTTGACAACCACTTATTTTTTCCTTTGTTTACAATCTACTCACCAGGCTCATACCTACAATGTGAACATACAGTATGCCCTTATTAGCAGATTCAATGGCTCACATTCTTTCAAAAGGTCTAATTTGACAAATACATAAGACCCATTATTTCCTAGAATGTTTGTAATATATCTAATTGCAAATGGTGCTGTGGTTGGCACCATGCAAAGATAACTTGCATAGGACTTTCTGTCTTTTTTCATTTCCCTCAGCACTTGGCATCTTGTCATCTACACAATGGACCCTCAATAAATGGCCTATATGTGCAAAGAAAGAATGTGTAGCAAATGAAAATACCAGACCAAGAAATGAGTGAGCTGGGAAGTGTTTCCAAATACAGTTAGTGCCTAAAATAGTGTCCTTTGAAAAAACTTTTAAAAGACTTTTTTTTAGGCCAGGCATAATGGGTTATCCCTGTAATTCCAGGGCTTTTGGGAGTTGAAGCTGGAGGATTACTTGAGGCCAGAAGTTTGAGACTAGCCTAGGCAATATAATGAGACCCTGTCTCTACAAAAAAAAAAAGAAAAGAAAAGAAAAAAAATCAAAATAATTAGCTGGATGTGGTGGCACATACCTGTAGTCAGCTACTTGGGAGGCTGAGGTGGGAGGATACCTTGAGCCCAGGAGGTTGAGGCTGCAGTGAGCTGTGATCATGCCACTGCACTCCAGCCTAGGCTGAGTGAGATCCTATCTCAAGAAAAAAAAAAAAGATGACTTTTTTTTCCCCTAATATCTTGAACTTTAAAAATCTTGTATTTCTAAATAAGCTTCAACAATTATAAAATATAAAGTCAATGGAAGAAAACTTTAAAGAGAATATTGATAGAATTCACTACATAAAATGTGATGCTTTCAGGCATCCAAAACTCTAATCAAAATTTTAAAATAACAGATAAGTTGAGACATGTTAATATCCTTACTATTCAAATAATTCTTATAAATTAATAAGAATAATATGAAATTGAAATGAGCAATGGACATATATAATTTACGAAAAAGAAGTACAAATGACCAGTTGCCTTATGACAAAAATTTCATTCTCACTAATAATCAAAGAAATGATTGTGCAGCATCTGGATTTTATGAAATGAAAATAAATATTAAAAAATAAAAAAGAAATGAAAATTTAAGCAAGGAGAATACTTTTTTACTTGTCGAATTGGCAAAGATTTTTAAAAGATAAAAACAAGTGTTGGCAAGACTGTAATTGAAATTGGCTTCTCATACACTAAAAATAGTAATATAGGCTGGGCGCGGTGGCTCATGCCTATAATCCCAGCACTTTGGGAGGCCGAGGTGGTTGGATCACCTGAGGTCAGGAATTTGGGACCAGCCGGGCCAACATGGTGAAACCCCGTCTCTACTAAAAATACAAAAATTAGCTGGGCGTGGTGGCAGGCGCCTATAATCTAGCTATTCCGGAGGCTGAGGCAGGAGGATCGCTTGAATCTGGGAGGCGGATATTGCAGTGAGCCGAGATAACACCACTGCACTCCAGCCTGGGTGACAGAGAGAGATCCTGTCTCAAAAAAAAAAAAAAAAAAAAGAGGCTGGATGTGGTGGCTCACGCCTGTAATCCCAGCACTTTGGAAGGCTGAGGCAGGCAGATCACCTGAGGTCAGGAGTTTGAGACCTGACCAACATGGTAAAACCCTGTCTTTACTAAAAATACAAAAAAGTAGCCAAGTATGTTGGCGCATGCCTATAATCCCAGCTACTCAGGAGGCTGAGACAGGAGAATCACTTGAACCCGGGAGGCAGAGGTTGTAGTGAGCTGAGATCATGCCACTGCACTCCAGCCTGGGCGAAAGAACAAGACTTTGTCTCAAAAAAATAAAAATAAGAAAGATATGTGGACGTGTTTCTGACATTTTATGTGAAAAACATAGGGAATATAAAATGGAGCATACAGTAAGACTGTCAAAGAATCTCACTTTTACTAAAACATATACATATACACATACTGTACACACACACACGTGCATGTGTGCACCCCCCACACACGTGAAAAAGATTGGAAGAAAATACACCAAAATGTTTATTGTGTTGCTCTATGTCTCTCTAGTTGGTAAGATTATACATTTTTTGATTAATTTTCTTCCTCCATATTTATTGAATCCTTACTCTGTTGGTCACTGTTCCAGATACAGTAGTATACAGGACACAGACAGTCCCTGACCGACCACATGGAGCTTACATTCTCTTGGAGGAGACACTGTCAACAAGCAAACAAGTCTATATTTGTTTTCTTGGTTATAGTGCTATAATTCTACACACACACACACACACACACACACACACACACGTATATAATTTTAGGTAGTGATATGTTTTAAGAAGGTAGGGAGTGAGGGAGTTACTTTATTTAGGATGATTAGAGATGACTTCTGAGGAGACATCTGAGTAGAGACCTGAATCAAGTGAGAAGCAAATTATGAGAATATCTGGGAGTAAGAACATTCCAGGGCAGGGGTACAGAAAATGCAAAGGTCTTGAGGAGGAATGAGCTTGGTGTGTTTGAGGAACACCAAGAAAGCCAGTAAGACTGGAAGGGACAGAGTGGTAGCAGGGAGACCAGCTAGGAGGCTGGCAGCAGCTCAGGCAATAGGGGAGGGTGGCTTATGCTAAGGTAGAGGTGATGAAAGTGGCTGAATTGGGTACTTATTTTGAAGATAGAGCTGACAGGTTTTGCTAATGATGGTGGGCATGGGTGAAAGAGGAATCAAGTATGACTCTTAGATTTTTGGACTGAACAACTGAATGAATGGTTGTGCTATTTATTAAGATGGGGAAGACCAAGGAGAACAGCAGGTTTAGGAGGAAAATCAAGAGATCTCCTTTGGATGTTAAGTTCGAGGTGGCTGGTAGACATTATATTCCTTATTTTCCAAAATTCCTGAAGTAAGTACATATTTGTTAACACGTGTTACTTTATAAAATTATTTTAAAAGCTAAATGAAATAAAAGAAAAAAGTGAAGACTTTTTCTCCACCTCATAGCCAACATTCATGTTCATTTCTTTATGTTGTTTTCAATTTTTTAACATAGTTTTCATATAACTATGATAATTATATAATTGTGAGTTTGTATTTATATATATAGCACATATATATTCTGATTTTTCCCCTCAACCTGATTTCATAAGACACTTTCATGTTTCTATTTGTATCATGATATTTTTTAAATGGATGTATAATGTTCTATAGTATTATCTCATACTTAATTTAAATATTTTTCCTTTGTTAAAATTTTTAGTTGTTTTATATTACTTTGAACATCTTTGTACAGATAGTTTTTTCTCTGTAATTATTTTCTTTAAATTAGTGGGATTATTTTCTTTTCTTTTTTTTTGAGATGGAGTCTCGCTCTTTCGCCCAGGCTGGAGTGCAGTGGCGCTATCTCGGCTCACTGCAAGCTCCGCCTCCCGGGTTCACGCCATTCTCCTGCCTCAGCCTCCCGAGTAGTCGGGACTACAGGCTCTCGCCCCTGCGCCTGGCTTTTTTTTTTTTTCTTTCTTTCTTTCTTTATTTTTATTATTATTATACTTTAAGTTTTAGGGTACATGTGCACAACGTGCAGGTTTGTTACATATGTATACATGTGCCATGTTGGCGTGCTGCACCCATTAACTCATCATTTAGCATTAGGTATATTTTTAGTAGAGACCGGGTTTCACGGTGATAGCCAGGATGGTCTCGATCTCCTGACCTCGTGATCCGCCCGCCTCGGCCTCCCAAAGTGCTGGGATTATAGGCGTGAGCCACCGTGCCCGGCCAGATTATTTTCTAAGAAAACATTTTATTATGGATTTCTAAAAAAAGTTATTTTAGATTCAGGGCATGTGCAGGTTTGTTACATGGGTGTAGTGAGTTATGCTGAGCTTTGGGCTTCTAATGATCCTGTCACCCAAGTAGTGAACATAGTACCCCATAGGTAGTTTTCCAACCCTTCCCCTGTCTTCCGCCTTTTGGAGTCCCCAGTGTTTTTTGTTCCCATCTTTGTGTCCATGTGTACCCAATGTTTAGCCTCCACTTATAAATGAGAACATGCATTATTTGGTTTTTTGTTCCTGCGTCAGTTCACTTAGGGTACTGGCCTCCAGCTGCATCCATGTTGCTGCAAAGGACATAGTTTTGTTCTCTTTGTGGCTGCGTAGTATTCCATGGTGTATACATACTACAGTTTCTTTATTCAATCCACCATTGATGGGCACCTGGGTTGATTCCATTTCTTTGCTATTGTTAATAGTGCTGCAATAAATATATGAGTGCAGATGTCTTTTTGACAGAACAATTTATTTTCCTTTGGGTATATACCAAGTAATGGGATTGTTGGGTCTAATGCTAGTTCTATTTTTAGTTCTTTGAGAAATCTCCAAACTGCTTTCCACAGGGGCTGAACTAATTTGCATTCCCACCAACAGTGTAGAAGTGTTCACTTTTCTCCACAACCATGCCAAAGTCTGTTATTTTTTGACTTTTTAATAATAGTCGTTCTGACTGATGTGAAATGGAGTCTCTTTGTGGTTCTGATTTGCATCTCTGATGATGCATGATGTTGACCAGTTTTTAATATGTTTGTTGACTGCTTGTATGTCTTCTTTTAAGAAGTGTCTGTTCATATCCTTTGCCCTTTCGCTTCTATGCACCAATAACACCCAGGCTGAGAGTCAAACCAAGAACACAATCCTGACTACAGTAGCCATAAAGAAAATGAAATACCTGGGAATACACCTAATCAAAAACATGAAAGCACTCTCTAGAGGGAGAACTACAAAACATTGCTGAAAGAAATCAGAGATGATTCTCTGAAAAAGAAGTCAGATTAGAAATGATTCTCTGAAAAAGAAATCATCTCTGATTTCTTTCAGCAGTGTGTTTTTTGTTTGTTTGTTTGTTTTGAGACAGAGTCTTGCTCTGTCGCCAAGGCTGGAGGGCAATGGCATGATTTCAGCTCACTACAACCTCCTGCTCCTGGGTTCGAGCGATTCTCCTACCTCAGCCTCCCGAGTAGCTGGGATTACAGGTACCTGCCATCACGCCTGGGCTAATTTTTGTATTTTTAGTAGAGACAAGGTTTTGCCATGTTGACCAGTCTGGTCTCGAACTCCTGACCTCAAGTGATCTGCCTGCCTTGGCCTCCCAAAGTGCTGGGATTAAGGCATGAGCCACTGTGCCTGACCTCTTTTTTTTTTTGAGATGGAGTCTCGCTCTGTCGCCCAGGCTGGAGTGCAGTGGTGTTAAAAACTGGTCAACATCATGCATCATCAGACATGCAAATCAGAACCACAAAGAGACTCCATTTCACATCAGTCAGAATTACTATTATTAAAAAATCAAAAAGTAACAGACGTTGGCATGGTTGTGGAGTGCAGTGGTGTGATCTCGGCCGACTGCAACCTCTGCCTCCCAGGTTCAAGCGATTCTCCTGCCTCAGCCTTCCTAGTAGCTGGAACTACAGGCATGCACCACCACGCCCGACTAATTTTTTTTTTTTTTTTTTTGAGATGGAGTCTCGCTCTGTCGTCACCCAGGCTGGAGTGCAGTGGCGCCATCTTGGCTCACTGCAAGCTCTGCCTCCCAGGTTCACGCCATTCTCCTGCCTCAGCCTCCCGAGTAGCTGGGACTACAGGCGCCCGCCACCTCGCCCGGCTAATTTTTTGTATTTTTAGTAGAGACGGGGGTTTCACCGTGTTAGCCAGGGTGGTCTCGATCTCCTGACCTCGTGATCCGCCCACCTCAGCCTCCCAAAGTGCTGGGATTACAGGCCTGAGCCACCGCACCCAGCCAGCCTGACGTCTTTCAGCAGTGCTTTGTAGTTCTCTTCGTAGAGATCTTTTACCTTATGGATTATTATTATTTTTTTATTTTTTATTTTTATTTTTTTTTTGAGACGGAGTCTCACCCTGTTGCCCAGGCTGGAGTACAGTGGCGCAATCTCAGCTCATTGCAACCTCCGACTCCCGGGTTCACGCCATTCTCCGTCTCAGCTGGGACTACAGGCGCCCGCCACCACACCTGGCTAATTTTTTATATTTTTAGTAGGAACGAGGTTTCACCGTGTTAGCCAGGATGGTCTCGATCTCCTGACTTCATGATCTGCCCACCTCAGCCTCCCAAAGTGCTGGGATTACAGGCGTGAGCCACCATGCCCGGCCTACCTTATTGATTATTTTAAACCTACAAAGGTAGAAAGAAAAGGCTTCTTATTGTTAATAATTTGTTTATTTGAATTAGCATCCAAAGAAGAGCCATATATTGCAATTGGTTGATATCTGTCTTAAATCTTTTTAGGGGTTCCCTTTCCATTTTTTTAAAGTTGAAGAAACAGGGTCTTTGACCTCTAGGGCTTCTCACCATTTAGATTTTGCTAAATGTGTCCCTTGGTGTCATTTAAAATGTTCTTCTGTCTGCTATATTTGTAGTAAATTGGTCATTAGCTCTAGAGGTTTACTCAGATTGACATTTTCTTTTTTTCTTTTTTGAATGCCATTCCACATGTATAAATATCTGGTTGTCTCTCATTTTGTGGTAACTCAAGTCTATGAAAGAACCTAATTATATTCTTTATAATAAATGCACAATGAAATTAGGTAGAAATTGTGGTAGAAGAATGGGCTGGTGAACTTATGGTCTTACTTGGTCCAAGATATAATAATGTTTCTTTTTCTTCCAGGAGGCTGAGAAAATGTTAGAAATTGGGGGAGACAAGTTTCCCTTAGAGAGCAGGAAGTTACTAAGTAGTCCTGGAAAGAACATCAGTTGCAGGTAAAACTTCCAAACACCAAGGAGTTTACTTTTGGGTTATTCTCTAAGTGTTCTGGCTTTGTGGTGGTGGTGGTGTCACAAGTGCAGCTGCTGGCATAAAGAGCTAAATATTCAGCCTCCCAGTTCCATCCTGTGAAAATACCTTTTCCATCTCATTGTTTATTGAATACCTGCTATGTACCAGGCACTGTATCAGGTTATGGGAATCACAAGAAGAGAGGTAAGAAAGCCAATGTACTGAGTGCCTCCTTTGTGCTGGGATTGTGCTAGAGGGTTTACTTATGTGTTGTCAGTTAACCTGTACTCATATGAATATCACTATCCACATTTGTATAAGTGAAGAAACTAAGTCTTAGAGAGTTTTAGGTAATTTATCCAAAGTTACAATGTTGCTGAATAGAAAGATTAGGATTCAAACCCTGGTCGTCTTCTATTCCTCAAACCAGTGCTCCTTCTGCCTTTCTTTGCCACCTTCCAAAGATGAAAAGGATGTGGTCTTTATTTCCAGAGAGTTCTCAGCCTAGTAGGCATGAAATCCAATGCTTGGGCAAGCTTTTGGGGATAGGCAGAAATAGTCAATGTTAGCCTGGCTTGTGGCATCTGTAGTTCTGGGAGCAAGGGGGAATTGAACTGGGATCATGAAAATTCCTTACTTCTGCCAATGATTTTAGCCCCTTTCTCTATCAAACCTATTGCTCACCACAAATGACAGGAAGCTAAATTGGTCCATTCATGGTTTTACTCCTAGCATCTTGTTTCTGAATTGGAAGAGATACACATAGCACTTGTGTACCTCTAGGTACCATAAGCTGAAAAACCTAGAGGTCAAGAGGGAGCAGAGCAAAGGAAAAGAGCAGGATATCTGGGTCATTGAGATTCTGAAGAATTTACTGCTGCATCACTGAGTTGGTTGTGGTTTATACTGTGGGGGAAATTAGGACAGTCTTTTTCGTAATAATAGTCTTGGTTCTTAATAAACTTTCTACGTGTTGTTGTGGAAGGAGCCGTGAGCTTGATTTATCTGGTGGCAAAGTAGGAACAATGTTTCCCCTGTAACAGGATGCTGCCTCCTCTCTTGGCATTTTAGAAGGAGATAATCTGGCTTGCAGCAAACATCAAACTATTCTGTTTCTAGGAAACCAAGGGCTGGGTTCAAGGTCTTGATTCTCTACTTGCTGTTGTTTGACCTTGGATAGTCACTTAGCTCTGAGAGCTTTCATTTCTGCACCTTCAAAATGAGGATGTTAATAATCTCTGTTGCTATGATAGTTAAGATACTAGGAAAGTCCTTTGTGAACTATGAATAGAAGAGATTTGGCTGTTTAAATGGGAAAATGAATGAAAAATGCCTGGCATGCAGCAAGTGCTCCGTAAGTGGTAGTTCCTGATGCTACACTGTTGATATCATAGTGTTGTCAGCAGCATCTCCAGTGAGGCCCTTCGGAGGAGTGCACAGTTGTGGGAGCAGGACTGGCTGCCACCTGGCACACCAGCCCAGCTTTCAGCACCACCTCATGGGCCACCTTGCCATTCTGACCTCAGTGGCTGCAGGAGAAAGATCAGACTCCATCTTGTTCCCCGAGTTCCTGAGAGCTGTTGGCTGCGTGGTCTCAAACCCCATCTTCTCCCTTCTATTGGGACAGTGATCATTATAGACTGTGGTATGTATTTTACTTGTATGTCTGACATTCACTGTCCTAATGATTGATTTCAGATGTGACCCCTCTGAGATTAATATATCTGATGAAATGCCTAAAACTACAGTTTGGAAAGCTCTCAGTATGAATTCTGGAAATGCAAAGGAAAAGAGGTAAAGAGAACTGTAACATCTGGTTTTTATTTATTTCTGGCTTTTGACAATGGCGATATTGAAGGTAAAATGTGTTTTAGTTGTAAAATGGAATTTGTGTAATAAATAGCACTTCCAGGAACTGCCGCTAACCACATAAGAATAGCTATAAGCCTTAAAAAAGTAAAAATGTTTTCTAAATATTTGGTCAGGGTGTTTTAAGCAGCCCGTTTACACAGGTCCAAGGTCAGGAAGGGATTATTTTGGCATATAAATTTGCTTTGCCTGTTTATTTCCTTTAATCCTCTTTCTAGTTCTCATTTCAGAATCTGAAGGGCATGTCTCTGGTTACTGCAACCACACAAAGTAGGAAATTGCTAAAATATTCAGATAGTGTTGATAGTACTGATACATTCTTTAACCTATTTCACTTGTTACATAATGAGAACTAACAACAAGTAAAGATTTTTGAAATATTAAATTGTAACTGGTTTTTTTTTTCTTTCTTTCTTTTTCTTTTCCTTTTTTTCTTTTTTTGTTTTTTTGAGACGGTCAGTCTCTGTCTCCCAGGCTGGAGTGCAATGGCACAATCTCAGCTCACTGTAATCTCTGCCATCCGGGCTCAAGCAATCCTTCTGCCTCAGCCTTCCAAGTAGCTGGGAGTACAGGTGCATGCCACCCCTGCCAGATAACTTTTGCATTTTTATAGAGATGAGGATTTACTGTGTTGCCCAGGCTGGTCTGGAACTCCTGGACTCAAGGGATCCTCCTACCTTGGCCTCCCAAAGTGCTGGGATTACAGGCGTGGGCCACTGCACCCGGCCGTAACTGTTTTTCTGTTTTGAAACCAAATACCGTATATCATTTACTAATAGCATAGATCAACCTTAATCAGGTTAATGAAGAAAATGGAAGAACTTGAGGCATTTTTGCCTGCATTGAGGTAGGCTATATGCCAAAATTTCTTGAATAATTTAGTCCAAATACCATTTAAATATAAGTAAATAACTGAAGACAAAATCTGAGGCCTTCCTAAAGTCAACTTTTCTAGTTAAAAAAAAAAAGCTAGGAATTAGGAGACCTAGTCCTTCGATTAATTCCTTGTATAACTTGGCAGACCACTGTTTCTGGTGTTCAGTTTACTCAGCAGGAAAATGGAGATAATAATAACTAACTGCCCCACTCCTGAGGCTGCTCCAAGGAGAAACTGAAGTGCTCTGAAAAGTCACAGCCACCAGTGGGTGGTAGTGGTGATTTATGTCTTCATCGAATGGGTTAAAATGAATCTCTGCTGAATGTGAGTGAAATATAGAATCTTGTTTCCTTCGGAGGAAAATCCAGGCAGCTGTCGAAATGTATAACGCACATGGTTATTTTTAGTTGAGAACTAGTCTACTTGTAAATGAACTTAAAATATAGCCAGATCCAAATTGTGGTGACATCTTCAAAGTATTGTGTTAAAAGGAGGAATGAATCATATGTTCCCTTTTTGTCTAATTGTAACACTTTTATTCAGTCTCTTCAACTAAGAGTCTTTGCTGGGATGGAAGATTTGGGCCGTGTGGTGCCTCAGGGAAGTTCTGGTTACAGAGAAAATGGCGAGTCTCTCAGAGAAGAAGCAAGACCAAGTCTGGCCCTGTCCTTGGTCATCTCAAAGCCATGCCGAAGCATTCAGTTATTCTTGGTGTGCATTGGAAGGCATCCAGCTATCCCCATACCAGCAGCCAGTCACCAGATGTGAATGTGGAAGCAGAAGACCACCTCCTGTTGGTTCTTCTCCTCTTCCTTCTTTTTCTCTTTAGAACGGCCACCATTGAAGACCTAGCTTCCCATTTTCCAGACGTTTTCTCTGAAATTCTCTGCTGGCCTGCCAAGCCATATGGATTCATTCTGCCACTGAGGAGTCCTTCAGTGAGGTCCCTCTTCCTAAAGGACAGAGTGGGGAGTAGGAGGGGAACAGAGAGGACATCCTCTCTGGCTCTCCAGTGCTCTTAGTGTCTACAGGCTCCTAGGCAGCCCTGGGCCTTGGTTTGATTACCTCCCCTGGGGGATGCTGGTCAGACCCAGAGGTTGTCAGGAGGTCAGCTACCAGGAAGATCCATGATCTGGGCATTGGCAGTGCCTGCCACCACAGCCAGGAAGATGCCTCTGACCTGGGTGCATCTCCATCACTCCTTAGCAGCAGCCTGCATAACTGGCAAGAATCTTGGATGATACAAGAGCCAAGAAGGGACATTTGAGTTGTGTCGCTTAGATAGGAAAGGGATCCAGGGAAAATCAACAGTAAGTGAGGATGAGCAGTGTCTCTTGGTTTTCATTGAGGATAGAGTAAGAGATTGAGTTTAGATTGCAACAGAAGGAATTAGTTTAGATACCAGGAAGAACTTCCTAGCCTGAAGATTTGTCATAGTGTCTGCTTTCTAGATATCTGGGAAAGATTTGATAATAGTTGTTTGTGAATAGAAAGGAGGATATGATGTTTTTATTGGCCATTTTGCGGGACTCTTCGACTTCTTGCTGCTGTCTCTTGAGGATACATTCCAATTCCATCCTGGCGAGATCCAAGTGCTTACGTACTGTCTCCTTAGCTGCCTTAGAGTAAACGATCATCAGTTCAATGGACCAAAATCACCTTCAGCCATGTGGTTTCTTCATCATCATGGATTTCTTTTGGTTGACAAACATTCTGGCTCTCAGATGCAAAAAGTCACACTGGGAAATGAACTGTAAGTGGTGAAATTAGTTTTGGTATTTAATTTAAAACTACATTTATAGTTTTTCTCTTCTCTTCTATGTTGCAATGAATGTAAAGTATTTGGGATCCAGTGCTTATAAACCTTTCCTTCCTTTGTGCACAGAATGTAACTAGCAAGCCCATTAGCACCCAGATAATTCTATCATGTTAGTTTCCCATCCTGGAAAATCTTTGTACAGTGGGAAGTTCCCCGATGTGTTTTTCTTTCTTAGGTGAAGGGTTGGCTATATCACTTTATTGAATTTTGCATTCCTTAGACTTTTAAAATATACTAATGTATTCTAGTCTTACTCTAAAGACCTTTGATGTTAAAGGAATCCTTCATTTATTTCATATTCCCTATCTCATAGGGCCACAATTATTTTAATACAGAGATGATTTTCAAAATATTTTAACAACTGGTACAGGACAGATGCCAGCCACTCAGAAGGGATGCCTGCTGTAAACAAGCAGTATGTATGGTTGTACCAATGCCTATTGGCTGAACATTATGCTACTTTCAGATATTAAAATGGTGTTCCTTTGAATCGTGGGTATTGTTCCTGGTTTGTCTCATTTCTATCACAAGGCTGTTTTGGGCACAGCCTTAGCTTCCTTTCATATATATATGGTGCAGACAGGATAGGTCATGCTTCTTGGAACCTATATGGGCATTAAAATCTTCATGAGCCAAAGCTTCACATTTTAGCACTTTAGGATAACTGTAGTAATTGTACTCATTTACCTACCTAATTGGGAAGAATTAAAAGGCAGCCCATCTGGAGGATAAGCTTTCTTGCAGACTTTTCCCTTGTCCCTCTCTGGCTGCCTCCTTGAGCTTGCCACTTTTTCATCTTCATTGTTCCCTGAGAACATCTCCCCTTTCTTGCTCTATCTTGCCCCTCCCATCTTTTCCTGCCACCTCTGTGTGGGGAGGTTGATGACCATTTCACCTCTTTCCCTAGCCTCAGCACAGCTGTAAGGAGTGTATCAAAACTGGGTGAGAGTATCACTCAGAAAAATGCCTCCCCTAACACACGGATGTCTTGTGCTGCCTTGACCGCTTGAGGGGAGGAGCCTTCATTAACTCTGTGTAGTGCAGGTACAGGACCACCTGTGCACTTTAGGGTACTTCTCGAGCTAGACCCTCCTGGATCAC
Organism: Homo sapiens; assembly: GCF_000001405.40. Taxonomy (NCBI): domain Eukaryota; kingdom Metazoa; phylum Chordata; class Mammalia; order Primates; family Hominidae; genus Homo; species Homo sapiens. The sequence continues at coordinate 51,509,803 of NC_000012.12, forward strand.
TGCGCCTTAGGAATGTTAGCTACTTTTTAAAAAAAATATGATTTGGTGCGTTGTTGGGGTGAACTCCATGGGGAAGATTGTGAGTGAAGATGGGAAGGAATTTGGGTGGTTTTGCCACGAGGTGATGGTTGGGGTTGGGCGAATGGGTTGGATGATCCTGGCTCTGTGGGTGTGGTGCTCGGTTGCCTCCGTACAGTTGCAGTTCACCTTTGTGCATGGTGATTACCAGTCACTCTAGGGATTGTAGGTCCCAACAGCGGTTCCAGCAGCCTGCACAGCTGGTACGAGGACAGCTGGAGGAGGGTCTGATATCCCTGCAAGTGATGCAGGATAAAACTTCCCGGCCGGGCGCAATGGCTCGCGCCTGTAATCCCAGCACTTTGGGAGGCCAAGATGGGCGGATCACGAGGTCAGGAGATCGAGACCATCCTGGCTAACGTGGTGAAACCCCGTCTCTACTAAAAATACAAAAAAATTAGCTGGGCATGGTGGCGGGCGCCTGTAGTCCCAGCTATTCAGGAGGCTGAGGCAGAATGGCGTGAACGCGGGAGGCAGAGCTTGCAGTGAGCCGAGATCATGCCACTGCACTCCAGCCTGGGTGACAGAGCAAGACTCCATTTCAAAAAAAAAAAAAAAAAAAAACTTCCCAATAGGAGGTATTCCTTGATGGCTCTCGAATGCATGAATGATATATCAATTTGAAGTTTCTCGACCTTTCCATCAAGGATCTTGAATTTTTTCTCAATTATGCTTGCTAATGTGTCAAAGGCCAAGTACACTGTATCAAACTTGCCGTCTGTAAGATGCAAGATCAATCTAGTGTTTCAGCCAGTTCACTACTGACATCAGACTCAACTTTGTCCCCTCTCTTTCTTTTCATGCAAGAGACTTTAAGGGTAACCTCTTCAGTTGAAACTGTCTTGGAAGTGCAGCCCTCCTCCTGTGTGGCTAGAGAAAGAGATGGCACCAGGATCTCTTAACGGCAAGTGCTCACGGGGCATGGGTGATTTTGTCTAGTCTGGTCCTTTTGGACGTGGTGATTTCCTGTCATCCTCGTGGTCTGACATTGCTTCTCACTGGATACTGGTTGTGGCCTTTGACTCATTAGCTGATTGTTGGATCTCTTTGTGAGGTTCGATTTTTTAAAAATCCATGGGTCCCTATGGACTGTCACCTGTTGCAGATGATGGTGATTCTCTTCTTTTTTTTGTCTCCAATAGTTGCCTGGACGACTTCATGGGTCAGTCCACATGATTGCAGGATTTCCCATTGTTCATCTGTGAATGTTGATTGGCCAACCTGTCTGAGCTTTCAGCAGATGCATCCTTGAGCTTACTTTCAGGAATTCCTCCTGGAATTGGTTTTCCTTGGTGGTAATTTCTCATGGTGGAGCTTGTTTCTGAGGCATGGTACAGTGCTGCGGAGGCAAGGCAAGGCTGTCATGGTGATTTTCACAGCATCTGGATGGCAAATTGCCTTCACGTAGGGAAACCACATGGGACTGATAGCTTTCTCAAGGGATCTCCAAGCATCTCTGAATTTGGGGATTTCATCAGTTACTCCTGGAATCAAAATGAGTGTGGAGTCATAATATATATTTTTTTTGAGACAAAGTCTCACTCTGTCGCCCAGGCTGGAGTGCAGTGGTGCGATCTCATCTCACTGCAACCTCTGCCTCCTGGGTTCAAGTGATTCTCCTGCCTCAGCCTCCCAAGTAGCTAGGATTACAGGTGCGCACCACCATGCCCAGCTAATTTTTGTATTTTAGTAGAGACGAAGTTTCACTATGTTGGCCAGGCTGGTCTGAAACTCCTGGCCTCAGGTGATCCACCCACCTCAGCCTCCCAAAGTGCTGGGATTACAGGTATGAGCCACTGCCCCTGGCCTCAAAATCTTTAAGGAAGTTATTTATCGTCACAAGTGTTGTCATCTGTGACTCATGGGCCACTTGATGAACCTGAACCATTAGTGGTTGTCCAGATCCTCCAACTTTTTCAGGCAGTATTCCAATCAGGGTTTTACGACACCAGGGTATCCCACCTTTTTTGCAACATAGGCAGAAACACCAAGCTGTGGGTAATTGATGTGCGTGTCACTGATTCCTGCAACAGCTTTGAATGTATTAAATCTGTTTTCAACAGCCCTTGCATAGGTGTTATCTCTCAAATCTCTGTAAAGAGCACTAAGAGTATGTAGTGTTGCATGATATAATCCAAGCCTGTGGGCTGTGTCATCCGGGATTGTTGGAATTTTGCATGTGTCTGTTCCATATCCCGCTGGTAACCAGCTTACAGACCTTCTGTCAGGTTGGCTTACATTATCATCAACAGGTTGCCGTAGTGATGATATGATGCTGGACACAATCATTGTGCACTTTGTTAATTTGGTATGGTGGTGCCACACATTATCACTGTACAGCATTAACAAGGCTGGAATATGGCCCTCTGCTGTAGGGGGCGTGGCACCTGTGACTTGCACTGGAATAAGTAGGAGGCTTTCCCCAAAGGATATGGAGACTGATGTGTGCTCCATATCTTGAGGGGAGCTCTCTTGGTTTCCTTTGGCCGGGTCTGTTAGTTACTTTTGAAGGCCATGCCAACCCTTTTAGGCCATTAAATTTTTCTCAAACAATAGCCAGCCTCATTTCTGCTTCATCTCTGTGGTAGGAACCATTCCCTACTCTTACTCCCTCCTCTTGTCCAACTTCCACCAAACACTCAATCCGAGTCCTGGCTGCTTTCTTGCTTAGGTCTGTGGCTGGTCACTGTGGTGAAAGAGTCAAGGTGGGCAGTGTTTGGGGTAGGAAATGAGTAGTGGTGAAGCAGCAGCAGTGTGTGTGTGGGTGTGGGTGTGTGTGCATGCGTGTGCATTTGCATGTGTGTATGTTGACAAATGAGAGTGTAGCCATAAGATTTCATTGTTACTACTAGTCTTTGTGTACCTATCTGGAGGGACATTAAAAAAATATGGCCATTCTCCCATCTAGGGGGTTCCCATCTCAGACTTCTCTGATAAGAGTAATTTGAGAACAAATACAGATTCATCTATGGGAAAAGATGTTTAAACTCAGCATGAAGGAGAAACAAATTTAGGAGTGGAAAGCAAGGCAGGTAGTTAGGTGATTTCCATGACCACATTTGCTTGGGCCAGGGAAGTGGTGCACCTCTTTTATAACAATGGGAGATTTCAGAAACAGTTTGAGTGTTGGCAGACCAATGCCCTGATAAGCTTGTGGTATAGAGGTAGGAAGGGAGGGAGGCCAGAGATTAGATAAAATGATGGTGGGTGGGATCTTAGCTCTAAATGAAAAGAACTGGACTTACTAAGTGGGTGGATTACTTGCTAGCCATAACTTTTAGGGAAGGGTAGGTCTGGAGAGAAGGTGAAGACCAGCAGAAATATACTGTGAAATTGCCAAATATGTTTGGTTGCAGAAAACACAGCCTGGCTCTTTGTGGCTAGATGTGACTTCCAACTTCTGAAGACAGGATTGCCAAGAGATGTGATCTTTCCACATACAGCTCCTGTCCCCATCTCTTTATGTGTAGAGACCTGGATTTGGGGTAGTGGGGTAGTAAACCATATATTTCCAAAAGATGGTGTGAAGAGTCGTTTCTCTTCGTCTGGGATGTGATTGGCTTTTGTTTTTTGTTTTTTGTTTTTGAGACGGAGTCTCGCTCTGTCGCTTTGTCACCAGGCTGGAGTGCAATGGCACAATCTCAGCTCACTGCAACCTCCGCCTCCTGGCTTCAAGTGATTCTCCTGCCTCAGCCTCCTGAGTAGCTGGGACTATAGGCGCGCACCACCATGCCCAGCTAATTTTTGTATTTTTAGTAGAGATGGGATTTCACCATGTTGGCCAGGATGGTCTTGATCTCTTGACCTCATGATCCACCCGCCTTGGCCTCCCAAAGTGCTGGGATTACAGGCTTGAGCTACTGCGCCCGGCCAGTGATTGGCTTTTAAATTAATCACAAATGTTTGATAAAATTCTGGTATGTGCTAAGTCCCAGGCTTGGTTGATATCTCAGACTATGATAGCTGTGACCTTCAAGAAATTTCTGGCTTGGGGAATCTGTAGTTTCTGGTTGTCCAAAAAAGATAGTTCTTAGTCCTACTTTATTTTCTACCCACTCAACTCTCCAGACTTCCCTCTTAGTAAAGGAATTCATAATTCTCCCTGCATCTTCTCTGTTTATTTCAATGTCCATGTTCTGAGTCTCAAGTTTTCCTGAAGCACAGGAGCAGGCTTGGCCCCAGAGCCCCTGGCTTTTTCAACGAGCATCAGAAATGCTATCAATATATTCTCTCTGTTGCTTTATCAGCTTCTCTAAATTTATTTTGTAAGGAAGTTAGCACCTCCTTCCAGGACTTTAAACAGTTGTCTTTGCCAATTTGTTCCTGGATTTTCCTTGAACTTCTCAGGTTTCCAAGCCACATCCTAGCAGGGCATCCAGGAGCCTTGCACTGAACCTCTCAGCTCTTTTGACTTTCTTCTGGTCATAGGTGTTGGGCCTCCCATTAGGTAGAAGTCCTTTGAGCAGACCCGAAATGGCCAAATGAGACATCATCCAAGTTCCTCCCTCCTTTACTGTCTCGGCTTTTTCAAGCACCCCTTTCACCTCTCTTTTCTGCCTTTTCCTCAGTCTGTCAAGTTCTTTGGAGGAAAGAAGTTCTTGGTCAGAGGTCCTAAAACCACCACCAGCTGGGGGTGCTGAGAATGGTGAGGAGTTGGACAGTCCCGGGGCTTTTTTGAAAGGGGACTTTATGGTCATTTCCCCTGTTTAGGGTGAGGGACTAAGAATTCTCAAGCCTTCAGTTTCATCCATATTTCAATGTAAGCAGAAAAGCACATCTCAAAGCCAAATAGAAATGATTTTCTACTAAGCCTATCCTTTGTGATTCTTGGTTCCCTTGGTCTCTTAATATTAATTATAGAGAATGGGCAGTTGAGTCAGTTAACATCTTTTCATCAGAAAGGAGGGTAATATTCATAACCAAAAGAGATGTAAAGGAAGTATATTACTGCTTGAAGTGTGAAAAGAGGAAAGGAGTGTTATGTGAACCTTTTCAGTAGGGAAATTCAGAAAATGGAATGATTCATCCATAGGCATAATTCTTTTAGGAGATTCTGTGCTCAAAGGGAAGGGAATGGTTTCTGATCCTTCTGAAGAGAAAAGGAATAGCATTTTTCTTAAACCTAACCCAGTTTCAGCATTGGAGAATACAGAACTTTTTCTTCTAGCTGATGGCATTAATATTTCTTGAGAGAGAGAACTCACCCATGGCACTTTTCTGAGCCCAGCAGAAATCAGCGGAGCTTGGGCTTCGCTTAGCAGGTTTGCAATTGACTTCAACATGCAGGCTTTTCACATGTGCAATAATGCTGGAAACAGAAGCACCAAACTGATTGTGCAATTACTCCTTTTGTAGAAGAGGCCAAAATCCTCCTCCTCCTTCCTTTCTCCTATATTCACTCCTCCAGGATCATAAAGCCTCCCTCTTGTTTATCTGTGTCTGTCTGTCTGATTGGTTAGATTTGGCTGCCCTTCCAAGCTAATGGTGTCAGGTGGAGAACAGAGCAACCTTCCCTCGGAAGGAGACAATTCGAGGTGCTGGTACATTTCCCTTGTTTTCTATGTTCTTCTTTCTAGTGGGTCTCATGTAGAGATAGAGATATTTTTTTGTTTTAGAGATTCCAAAGTATATATTTTTAGTGTAAGAAATGTACCCTCTCCACACTCCATGATGTAAATAGAACCAGGAATAAATGTGTCATTGTGATAATCCCATAGCAATTTATGGTAAGAACAAGACCCCTTTCCCTCACCACCGAGTCTCGTGGTCTGTGTCTGTGAACCAGGGCAGGTAATTGTGACACTGCATCTCATAGAACTCTGCCTGCCCAGATTTTTGTGTGCTCACCTCAATGGGTGAAAAATAAAGTCTGTGTAAACTGTTTGTACCTGTGGTGTTCTTTGAGTCCAAATGAAGGGGCTGAGCCAATGCTGACCAATTTCAGAGCGTGTGAATGAGAGTGTGAAGATGGGGGAAAAAGGTGTGGTGACTGCTGAGAATGCCTAGGAGGGATGTGTGCATCTCCCTGGTGCAGAGCATGAAGGAGGCTGTCAGGACCTCTCTCATGGGATGGCTAAGCTTATGTTGGCGGAACAGGACAGCCTGAAAAGAAAGCTCATTCTGAAGATACAACAGGCTGATGAGAGTACCTGTTAATATTTAGGGACTCTGCTGCCTAGAAATTCAGATTTTAAAAATCTGTGGTCACGCCAGAGTTGGCTTTTTTGGGTGGGGGAGGCATGTTGTGTTTCTCTTCCTCTGATATCCCATTGTTGGAGACTTAGAGAAGAGGGGGAGAGGGAAGCAATGGAGGGAGAGTAGAGCGGCCAGTGAGGGGGTGAAAGGAAAGGGTGAGGGATCCCAGCAGCAGCTTTACTGAGTGCCAAGGAAGGCACCCACTGAGAACGTCCTGAACATGTGGCACCATGTGGACATTTATTACACAGCCAGTGCCAGCACAGCCTGTGGCCTACAGACAGAGAGCTCACTAGTTCTGAGGCCTTTTGCTATCTTTTGGCTATTCTTTACCCCAACAGTACACACATCATACCCTTTGTCTCACAGAGAGACACGCTTAGATTGCATTGAGTAGAGTATGGGAAGGCTGCTCCTGCAGGAAACAGAGCCAGTTCTGATGCCTTGGACTGTGGAGGGGCTAGGGTACAAGTGCAGAGAGATGACATGTATCATTTTCACACTCAGGGTTGTTAAGGATTCCATTAATTGATATGAGAAAAGTGCTTACAACAGCACCTGGCTCATGGTAAGCACATAGTAAGCAATAAAAAATTTGGAGGTAGGTGATTCCTGGGTTGGTTAATTCAGCAATAATCCTATTAGGGCTCTGGTCAGCTTCTCTGCAGTTCTCTTGGGTTTTCCCCTCACAGTCACAAGATGGCTCCTGAAGCTCCAGGTGTCACATCTGCAGCATAACTTCCAAATGCAGGTAGGGTGAGAGGGTTTTCTAGCTTCCCCCATTCTCTCTCTAAAAAGGGGAAAATCTTTCCCAAAAGGCCACCTTCCTCCTATGTCATTGGTTATAACTGAATCACATACTCATCTCTAAGATGGGAAAAGGGAGATGGGATTATCATGTTTGGTTTGAACCCATTAGACGCATCCTGTGGGGTTGGGCCCATCTTCCGTAACCATTTTGCTGCTCTAATACTTGTACAAAATCAGGGTTCTGTTAGCAAAGGATAGGCAGGAGTTGCGAGTGATTACATGTCCCAAAGTGACTGCCAGTGGACCCAGGAAAACCTGCACCACGGGGCCTCTGCAGAGCTGGAGCCGCAGTGTAGAGGGCCATGAACCTCAGCAGCAGGGATGCCAGGAGGCCAAGAAACTCCTCTGAAGGTCAGTGGGGAGATTTCTAACGCATCAGTACCTGAGTCCCACTCTACACCAATTACATAGACTCTCTGGAGAGGAGCCAGGTGCCAATATCTGTGAAACCCTCTCCAGATGATTCTTTGCAGGCAGGGTTGAACGTCAGCTGCCATAATGCTTTTCCTCTGCCATGACCAGGCTTTTCTGTGTCTGCTTCACTTCCAGCTCTCCACTCTGTAATACTCAGCTCTGCTACAATGTCAGTTTCTCCTGCCTAGATTATCACAGCCTTAACCACCTCCAGATTCTTTCCGCTTCAACCCCCACTCTTCACAGCTTCATTGCCTCTGTATTTCCAAAATCAGATTCCCAAGACTGAGAATGCAATTGTTCGTCATTTCTCAGCAGGCCACACTGTAGGTCCCTGGCCAGCCTATGGGTTAGGGGCCTTTGGGTCTGAAGCCACCTTTGGGCCAACCAAGGAAGAGTGAGAGTGAAGTGATAAAGAATATGGCAGGTGAAGGGTGTTCCTTGTCAGGGTTGCAACGTCGTTTCCCCTAGAAGAAAACAAGGGCCAGAGAGACATAGTAATGATGTGTCTAGTTATCTTAGTGACGTCCAAAGGCTGTTTCCCGGTTACAGACCTGGCTACAGAATTACCCCTTTTACCTTTTGCTTGTGTTTAATTATAAGGACAAACAGGCACATACTTAGAAGAACAGCCTGCAAGTCACTGCGTTGCTCCCTCGACAGAGCACACTTACCATGGTCGCACTTGCTTGTGATGTCAGTGCTCACGGATAGAGGGAAGCATAGAGCTTCCCTGTCCAGAGGCTGAGGGCATGATTGAGGCCTTTAGCAAGAGACAGTGTATAATATATAACAAGCCAATCAGGAACAAACCTGCCTGAGTTCAAGTCCTAGCTCTGCCCCCATAGCTGTATGCCCTTGGGCTACTGGCTTCATCTGTGCCTCAGTTTTTTCACCTGCAAAATGGGAGTGATAGTACTACCTACTTTATAGGGTCAATAAGGAAGAGTCAGTGAATTCACAAGCATGCTAAGGCAGGCTCCCCTCCATGTGCCCTCTGAGCCTCCTCTGGTAGCAGCAGGTCTTCCCTCCTCTTGCCCTTCTGATGCTTGGATTTGCAGCTGTGTGGTGGAGTTGACCCCTAGAGTCCAGGGGAAAGGAGTCGTGGTCACTGTGACCTTTGTCTGTGTGGTTTATAGGTATTAACTCATAGGAAGAGAGACTTTGCTTGGGCTCCTAGTCTACACCACGTTCTCCAGCACAACTTCTACCTTTCATTTGGAGTTAGGGAATGTTTGCCTAGTTGTAAGATCATCAGTACTTTATTTGGCCATTGATCTTTAGTGTATATGGAGGGACTGGAGGGTGGGAGTGGAAATAGTGCTATGGTCAATACCCCTAAAGGGTAGTGACCATTTGTCTATTATTATTACCATAGTCCCCAAAGCCCCTCCACGCTCTCAGAAATTACACAATGCATTATCATCACCAGATTTCCCTAATAGCCACAGTAGGCAAGGAGGAAATGCCTTGGCCTTCACTACCCAGGCTAAACAGTAGTAAAACAGTTTTCTAGTAACTTTCAGCTGTGGGATTCCAGCACTAGTTTTGAGTCATAGGGGACTCCATGTCTAGTTTTAACAGTTTCATCATCACAGTCATCGTCATCAAAGGCCTGCTTTGGGCATTTCATAACCTACCACGCAGGGTTGAAGCACTTCACTGAGAGAATCACTGGCAGTAGTGGACAGCACCTGGTGTGTGTGTGTGTGTGTGTGTGTGTGTGTGTGTGATAAGCATGTCACAAATACATTCTCTGATCTAATCCTCACCACACACACAATGGGCACTATTCCTTCTACAGATGAGGAAACTGAAGCTCAAAAAGGTAAATAAGTTACTGAAGTTCACATAACTGGTAAGTGGCAGAGCCCAGGGTGAAGTCATGTTTGTCTGGAATCTGTGCTCTCGGCTTCCCCTCTCTACTGACTCCATTAAGGGGTCTGACTATGGGATCGTGACTATGAGGGCTGCTTCTAAAACACATACCTGATATGTAAATTAAAGGACATACTGAAAAATAAAACAGTAGAGAAATGTGAAATTAGAGAACATACTATTACATCACTTGTAAATAGCAAGAGAAGTTGAGAAAGTGAATAAAAATTCAAATTCTTCTTCTGGAACAATTCAACAAATTCACATTCTAGAATTTGTTCCAGAAAGTATTCATAGGATATGGCAGATATGCAACTTTTTTTTTTTAATGAATGAGCAAAGAAAGTCGTCCCTGCTCCTGAGCAATCCTGGAAAAGTTTTCCCAGGAAGAACATAGGACTCATTAAGATGTGAAGAACTCAAGCACTGATCAAATATTTTGGTAATTTAAATAAATAATTGCCACATCATAATTTATTGCATCAATTTCCCTACCTTGTGTTCAGGGGAGCCATGGTTTCAGTCTACCTGACAGTGGTCAGACCCCACAGAAAGCACTATGGTATGTTCAGAGGCTGCTGGAAAAACAGAGAAACCCAAAGCTTGTCCTGAGGAGGACCTGTTGAAGGAAATGGCGAAGAGACTCAGGGAGTACTGGCAGCTGGGTTTATCTCATCATTGTCCTCAAAATTCATGCTTGAGGACATGAGTTTTGAAGGGCATGGAGGTGAAATGAGTTCTCTGAGGATCTACAACTGGACTCACATAAAAAACGAGACTATATATGCAAAGCACAGTGGTGAGGCCTGTGGGTTTTGTAGCATCAGGGAGGGGACTCTTTCAGAGACAGGGAGGCCTTCAAAGAGAAGACAGGGTTGGAGAAGGAAAAGAAGTTATAGATTGGGTCCCACAGGCAGGATGACCATGAATTGACTGGTTTGCTTGCAATTAAGGGTTTTGTAAAAGGAAGCAAGTGTGCTTAAAATAGGAGACCCAGGAAAGAAGACCTTAAATGCCAGGTTATGAGGTGGGGACTATCCTGTAAGCTCTAAGGCACCATCAGATGGGAGATGTGTGCTCATTGGCATTTTAGAAAAATTCATCTTGTAGCAGTGAGGGAGAAGAATTGGAAAAGGGAAAAACTGGATGTAGCTAGGCCACGGCAGGGCAATGGTGATGGAGAGGAAGAGGGAAGATAAGGAGACAAATGAAGAAACAACAGACTTGGAACCCATGAGTGACTGGCCGTGGAGGAAGCACAGGTGCAGTAAAACAGCACCCTGATGTCATGCGTCTGAGAGAAAAGCTGTCATGTGAAATAAAGATTAAGCTCATTTGACAGAGCTCTAGAGGATGTAACCAAGACCAACTTATCTTCTGGGAGGCAGATTTGGGCTCAGTGTGAGGAACTCACAGCTAATGCTGTCCAAGAATGGAATTGGCTGCCCTGGTACCAGCAAGTTCCCAGGGTTGAGGATGCCAGGAAGCTGCAGGTGTGGGAGGATGGACTTGAGGGCCCGTGACTTCAAGACAGGGACAGAGAGGGCGCTGCAGACAGACACCGCCTGGGAGCAGGATGAGAGATGGGAGGGTGGTGAAGAAGGAGTGGGTGGGGAACAGATGTCTGCGTTAGGAGGAGGGAGCAGACGGGTGCGGGGAAGAAAGCCTGGGTGGGATGAGGCTGTCTGCAGCTGAGGCCCAGCAGGTGGATGAGGGCCTCAGCACTTGGAGTCCCCACTGCTCGGAGGCTGGATCTTTGAGTGACATGGGACCCAGGTTTCATGGGTCTAGGTTAAAAACAGAGTTTCATAAGAACACAGGAAAGTATTTTCATGACTGTCCCACCTCCAGCTGCCACTGTAGGACTTCCAGACCCTCTTAAAAGTCCCTAGGGCGGAATGTCTGACCTCAATGGCAACCTCCCCATTCCAGGCTCCAGTTCCAGCTCTCTGTGTCATCCCCACCGCTTAGCAAGACCCGTGCTGCCACTGGCTCCACCGCCCACTGCCCACATGTGCCACGCCACCCTGCACTGGGCCAACACCCCTGTGTGCGGATGGCATTGGCTCATGGGGGGCCTCAGTGCAGCAGTGCCAAGCTATTTTCCCTGATCTAGGAGTGAAGAGCCTTTCCCCCCCCACATTGAGGCACCCTCTGCCAACGGATTCCCACAGCTAAGTTGTCAAGATTTCTCCAATGGGTCAAAGGGAGACAGTTCATTGCAAGGTGGCCATTGCCTGGAAGGCCCAGGTCCCACAAAGAGGATGGAGTAGATTGACCCTTACTGCTAATTCTCCACCCAGGTCCAATCAGATGTGGCCAGTGTCAGAGTCAGGCAGATGGCAGAGGCTGTGAGTGAGGGCTGCTTTTAGATGGAGATGTGGGTAGGACTGGCAATGAGTGTCATCTCTAATACGCTTTGAGTGCTCAAGATGTGCCAAACGCTGTACTTCAAGTGCGTAATTCATCTAACTCTCGCAACAGTAGGCATTGTGATTCCTTCTTTACAGGTGTGGAAACTGAGGTTAAGAACAGTTAAGTATTTGTATGATGTACAGCCAGTAGATGGCAGAGCTAAGATTCCAACCTAGGTCTTTCTGAGTCCAAAGCACATGTGTGCTCATACATCACTGTTATAACCACACTGGTTCAGCTGGTCTAGTTTTCTAGGCCCAGAAGACCACTTTGAGAGCTGAGTATTTGGTTTGGCCATATCTACACTGACTCGTCTATTGAATCAACAAATAATGATGGAGCACGTGCTCTGTGCCAGCCCCCGTCCCTGATGCTCAGGCCACAGTGGTGAACAACTCAGGAGTTTCCAGCCCAGAAAGGAGCAACAGAAATAAGTACATTACAGTGAGGAGGAGGCTGGTCTCACCAATACACAGTGCAGAAAACCTTTGTAAGGAAACCCTAGGCTGATGGTTGTCACATGGCCCTGGCCGGGGCAAGTCAAGAGACACGGTTCTGGTTCTGGTCCTCACTCTTCTCATTACTAGCTTCAGTTTCCTTCTCTGGACTCCAGTTTCCTTATGAGGGGACAGACTGAGATGGTTTCTAAGCTGTCTTCCAATATTCCCTGACTGAGATGGTTTCTAAGCTGTCTTCCAATATTCCCTGACTGAGATGTTTTCTAAGCTGTCTTCCAATATTCCCTGACTGAGATGGTTTCTAAGCTGTCTTCCAATATTCCCTGACTGAGATGGTTTCTAAGCTGTCTTCCAATATTCCCTGAGTCTATAATGAGGGCAGGAATTGCTTGGCAGGATCCACCCTGGGCCTTAGGTGTGATGAGTCAGGAGCTACAGAGGTGTGACGAGGATGGAAGATTGGACAGATGTGAGTCCAGGGAACCATGCTCAGGACCAGAGACATCCAGGAGGGTCCAGGCAAGCTGAAGTCTGGGGTCCAGCAGGTGAGAGCTGGAGGCAGCAGCATCAGGAGGAAGAAGCCCCTCATAGGACCTAAACCCTCAGGGACCCTATTAGGGCAGGCTGGTACACATGTCCCTGAGTGGTCGCCTGGCTCTGGCGTATTGCCATTGATGAAGGTCCAAAGTAAAGGGTTCACACAGTCTTCAATCCCTTGCCTGAAAGGGACAGCTCCATTCATCTTATCACTTGGTCACAGACACAGCTTTGCCTGTCCTTTAATGAGTTATTGGAAAAATCTAACCAGAGGCCATCTGTGTTATGTTACTGCAGAGATAAGTCACACCCTCAGACAACACTGTGACCTTGCAGATCAAATCCCTGGAACCAGAGTCTTCATCCCACGGGCAAAGTCCCAACCAGGAAGGTGGAAATGCAAATCCTTAGAGGAAGAAGAGGAGAGGCCTGTCTAGGCCTCCCGATCAGCCTTTCATTGTCTCCATGACAAATATCTCACTGCCGATATCTCACTATGGTTATCTCACCACCTGCTTTGAAGAGGCAATGGAAGAAATCAAGCACCTGCCTCTGGGTCCCATACTTCCCACTGTCTACTCCAACACAGCCCCTTCCTATATCTTCAACTACTGGTTCCTCCCATCCATCTCTCCCCTTGCACAGGATAAACATACCAAGAGGTGTTACATGTCAGGGAATGCTCAGGGGCCTCATTCTCTTTGTCAAGCCCCAGCTCCAGATCTCCCCCAGTTCCTGCTGACATTGACCCCCACAGTGCATGCCCAGCAAGTCTGCCAGCTTCTTTTTTCTTCTGCCCATTGCTCCTGTCCTCCCCAGAGGATTGGAATTGGATGAGGTACATGGATGCTGTTGGGCTAGACATAGTTTCAAACAAAATATACCTTTTGTGGAGCACTATATAGTAGGTATAATTACTTTACAGATGAAGACACTGAGTCTCAGAGAGGCTAAGTAACTTTCTGAAGGTCACACAGTTATTAAGCAGCAGATCTCCTTCAAAGCTCTTTTTTCTTTCCACCACATTTGTTTTTTATTTATTTTTTAGCTGGAGTCTTGCTCTGTCACCCAGGCTGGAGTGCAGTGGCACGATCTCGGCTCACTGCAACCTCCGCCTCCCGGGTTCAAGCGATTCTCCTGCCTCAGCCTCCCGAGTAGCTGGGATTACAGGTCCTTGCCACCACGCCTGGCTAATTTTTATATTTTTAGGGTTTCACTGTGTTGGCCAGGCTGCTCTCAAACTCCTGACCTCAAGTGATCTGCCTGCCTTGGCCTCCCAAAGTGCTGGGATTACAGGCGTGAGCCACCGCACCTGGCCTCTACCACATTTATTTATCCCCCAGAGCCTCCTGCCCCACCAGCCAAGGAGATTTTGTCTAGCTTCAATTTCTGTATCTTGTATTAGGAAAATAAGTAAACTTTTTATCATTCAAGTGTACAATTATTATTATTACTATTTTATTTTATTTTTTGAGACAGAGCTTCACTCTGTCACCCAGGCTGGAGTGCAGTGCTGCGATCTCGACTCACTGCAACCTCTGCCTCTTGGGTTCAAGCGATCCTCCTGCCTCAGCCTCCTGAGTAGCTGGGATTACAGGTGTGTGCTCCTGCGCCCAGCTAATTTTTGTATTTTTAGTAGAGATGTGGTTTCGCCATGCGTTGGCCAGGCTAATCTTGAACTCCTGACCTCAGGTGATCCACCCTCTTTGGCTTCCCAAAGTGCTGGGATTACAGACGTGAGCCACTGTGCCCGGCCACAATTATTTTATCATATAACTATGCTTTTCCCACTCGATTCTGTTCTTTCACCGCCACCCCCTCCCAGAGAGGCTGCTGTGAGCATTCACAGGAAGAGATTCTCGCCACCCCCACCCCAGCTCCTGAGGGCCATGAGCTGCCTTGAAGTGGTGTGATTCCACTTGGGTAGGAGCCAAGATTCCCCTGTACTCAGCCAGAAGAGCACATCCAGAAAGAAAGGTGTCTGCCAGTGCCTTCCATAGGGAGCACACACGCAGCTTTCAACTGTAACCACAGTCACAGCACAAGAGAGCAGAGCTTCCAGGGGCCCTCGCATGGAACGCAGGAGCTCATCCTTCCTGTCTCCTTAGCCTGAGCTATCTGGGTCAGAAAGCACCCAAGTTCGCCAGAAAGCAGGTTCTCTTCCATTCAATTTGGCCAGAACCAGAGGGGAGATAAGGCCTGGCTTCTGTCTTCATGGCAGCCTTTCTGTGTGCAGCCTCTTATCTGACCCTTGAAACTGAGGGCAATTATTGTTATTTCCTTTCTAGAGATAAGAACATTCAGGGCCAAAAGACCAGTGAATGCTGTCCCTGCTGTACCTCGATGCCTCCTGTTTAGATGTGATCATTTTCTCACCATTTCCTTTCCAAGTGGACATTTACCTGCAATTTGTTAAATGGGCCAATTTTTTAAAAAATCATAAGAACGAAGTACAGAACTATTGTCCAATATGCTATCCACTAGCTACATGTGGCTGTTTAAAATAAAATTTTAAAGAATTTCATTTCTGAGTCCCACCAGCCACATTTCAGGTGCTCCATAGCCACATGTGGCTAATGGCTGGTGGATTGGATGGCACAGGTGACAACATTTCCGCCATTGCAGGCAGTTCTAATTGACAGCACTGTAAATACTTAGAAGGTACAGAAAATTATAAAGTTAAATACAACTATAAAGATATTCATTTTCGTATTGCTGCAGTAAGAAAATTACCACAACCTTAGTGACTGCAAAAAATGCACATTTATTTATTTATTTATTTTATTTTTTTTGAGATGGAGTCTTGCTCTGTCACCAGATTGGAGTGCAGTGGTGCGATCTCGGCTCGCTGCAACCTCTGCCTGCCGGGTTCACGCCATTCTCCTGCCTCAGCCTCCCCAGTAGCTGGGATTACAGGTACCCGGCACCACGCCCAGCTAATTTTTGTATTTTTAGTAGAGAAGGAGTTTCACCATGTTGGCCAGGCTGGTCTCGATCTCTTGACCTTATGATCCGCCCGCCTTGGCCTCCTAAAGTATTGGGATTACAGGCGTGAGCCACTGTGCCCGGCCTACATTTATTATCTCATTGTTTCCTTGGATCGGGAGCCTGGGCGTGGCTCAACAGGGTCCTCTACTCAGGGTCTCTCAGGGGCTGCAGTCAAGGTGTCGGCTGCGGCTTCTGTCTCGTCTGAAGCTGGAGGTCCTTTTCTAAGATCCTGGAAGTTGTTGGGAGAATTCAGATCCTTGTGGCTGTGGGCTGAGGCCCTCCACTCTCAGAGACCACTGGTTTCTATGGCCGTGTCATGTCATGGCTGATAGCTTCTGGAGGCCCAGAATCCAGTCACAGGTTTTCTAAATTTCGAAATATTTCTCGAAGTTCTTACTTCTCTTAAAGCGCACCTGTACTATGCTCAAACAGCAGGTAAGGCCGGGCACGGTGGCTCACGCCTGTAATCCTAGCACTTTGGGAGGCCAAGACGGGCGGATCACTTGAGGCCAGGAGTTCAGAACCAACCCGGCCAACATGGGGAAACCCTGTCTCCACTGAAAATCCAAAAATTAGCCGGGCATGGTGGTGGGCACCTGTAATCACAAGTACTCCAGAGGCTGAGGCAGGAGAATTGCTTGAACCTGGGAGGCAGCGGTTGCAGTGAGTCGAGATCGCACCACTGCACTCCAGCCTGGGCAACAGAGCGGGACCCTGTCTCAAAACAAACAAACAACAAAACAGCAGGTAAACCCCTTCTAGAGAGTACCTCTTATTCCTGGACCCTTTCTTCAAGAACTCACATGATTGGGTCAGGCCTACTAAGATGATCTCCCTTGTGATTAACTTAGAGTCAACAGACTGAGGGCAGTAATTACACCAGAGAAATCTCCTCACCTTTGCTGTATAACGTTCATAATCACAGAGTGGCGTCCCATCGCCCTTGCTGCAGCCTGTTGGCTGCATCTTACAGGTTCCACCCACACGCGAAGGGAGGGAGTGTACAAAGGTGTGGGCACCAAAGGATGGAACCACAGAGGCCTTCTGAGCTGTCCGCCTAACAATCAGGTTTAACAGTAGGAAAAGAAGACAATAGAAATCCGTGATTCTACCATTGAAGGAAACCACATTTTGATACATTTCTTTCTAGTCATTTTCTGAGCATATTTCTGTTTACATTATTACAACCATGCTGTATGTAACACTTGAATTGATTTTTTCAGCTTTATTAAGCTATAATCATCAAAAATCATATAAAGTGAACAACTCGATGTTTTGATGTATGTATACAGTGTGAAATGATCACCACACCAAGCTAATTAATATATCCACCACCTCATATAATTATCTTAATTTTTTTGTGGTAGGAATCTGGATTTTTTTGGCCACTATCATGTCATCAAAAAGTCATTATAAACATCATTATTAATAACTGGATAACATCAAGGGATACACAATGACTGATTGAACCAATTCCCTATTGTTGGACATCTGTGCTATTTCTAATTGATTGCCTGTTACCAAGATTGTGACAAACATCTTTGTAAGTAAAGGTTTTGCTGTCACATCATTTCTTTAGAATAGAATCTGTAATGGTAACTGTTTGTTTAAAGGATATGCCGATTTGTAAAGCTCTTGATACTACTCTTCAGCTAACCGCTTTCCCCAACAGAACCAACGGATTCTCCTCCTGCAGGGAATGGGCGTGCCGTTTTGCTGCAGCAGGAGATGGTCTGGACTGCATGGGTTTTGGTTGAGTAGAGATGATCAAGCATCCCTGAGCAGGCTCTCCAGCTCCCCACCAGACTGAGGCCCCTCATTGTCCCCCCAAACCCCCAAAACCAGGTAGGTGTAGCCCAGATTCTTTATCAGCCACCAGGACTTGAACAAAACCTTTACAGAGAAGTACAGCCTTTCCCCAGGCCAGAAAAAACAACAGATGCCGAGCTGGGCTAGGGCCTCCTCCAGGCACCTCAACATTGAGAAAAGAAAGAGTGGGTTCCTACTATCAGGGGTTTACCTGCTGTTTGAGAATAGTACAAGTGCACTTCAAGACAAATAGGAACTTCAATAAATATTATGAAATTTAGAAAACCTGGCCAGGCATGGCAGCTCATGCCTGTAGAATCCCAGCACTTTGAGAGATTGAAGTGGGAGGATCGCTTGAGCCCAGGAGTTCAAGACCAGCCTGGGCAACATAGCAAAACCCCATCTCTACCAAAAAAATTTAAAAATTAGCTGAGCATGGTGGCACACACCTGTAGTCCCAGCTACTCAGGAGGCTGAGGCAGGAGGATTGCTTGAGCCCAGGAATTTGAGGCTGCAGTGAGCTATGATTGTGCCACGGCACTCCAGCCTAGGTGACAGAACATGACCCTGTCTCCAAAACAAAACAAAACAAAACAAAAAACAAAGAAAACCTGCCCCTGGATTCTGGGGAATTGCTACATTTTTCAGGGAAAACTCGCCCACACATATCACTAGTTTATTTGAGGGCAACTTCCCTCTTCCCTCTTGAGGTTGGCATCATGGAGAAGAGAGATTTTCTGTCTCAGTACTGAGCATGCTGAGGACTTCCTTTCAGCTTCAGCTACACAGATGAGGGGCAAATTCAATGCCTGCCCAGCAACCACTGGTGAGCCTTCTAGGGGGCCCAAACTCCACTTCCATCTGACCATGATCTCAGCTCCTCATCCCAGTTCTGCCACTCACTAGCTGCATGACCCACCCTGGGTAAGACACTTCCGCACTTTTCGTATCAGTTTCCTTCTCTATAAGAAGCAGGAAATGAAGGTCACTTCATTTTATCCCTGTCATTTTATGATATATTTGAAATCACTTTGCTACAATGCAATGTATGTATTG
The DNA here is from genome assembly GCF_000001405.40 of Homo sapiens. Lineage (NCBI taxonomy): Eukaryota > Metazoa > Chordata > Mammalia > Primates > Hominidae > Homo > Homo sapiens. Next base: position 51,528,441 of record NC_000012.12, read on the forward strand.
AGTGTTTAACGTTTATTTTATGGTGCATAAATATCATCCCAGTGGCATTCACAGAGACTGGGCCTCTGTGTTTCATCCACAAGCATTTCTTGGGTATGAGCAGAGCTGTTGCTGAGCTGAGATACAGAAATGATGCAGAGGAACATAATCTGAGGTGCTGGCTCTGCTGAGGGAGTCTCAGGGACTCTGGGACCTCTTGATCTGCCCTTGGGTGTTTTCCTCTTGAATTCCTGTTTCTGTCCTTACTACTGCCCTTGCCTGCTTTTCAGACTTCAGACTGATCTGTCACTGGCTCATCGAGTACCTGAGCTGAGCATCAGTATATCCTGGGGAAAGTCAGGCTTCAGTGAAAGCAAAGCTCCAGAAGTGTTAGCAGGAAAGCTCAAGAACATAGGGGAGTGTGCTCACAAAAGACAGGGCATTCCTGAGGACACAAGGCAAAGGAGGGCATGAGCCTGGGATGGGATGGGCATATGAGAGTAAGAAAGCACGAGAACCAGGAGAGGTTCTGAGGGCATGGTGACATCTGCTGCTCTCCCCAGGACACACAGCCCGCAGAGCATCAGGAATGTGCCAGGAGCTACAGGCAGGGGTTTGGCATGGTGGTGAGCTAATATCTGCAGAATGCTGGGAATGGCATCCGGCACATAGTAGGTGCCATGTAAGTATTTGATACATAAATATGGATAGAGCATTAAGGTTTTTCCTGGCTGCCCTTTATCTTGGAAGGCAGCCTTGCTCCAAGCAAATCTCCAGTGCCTCAGACAAGCCACAGGAATCTCCCAGGATCTGCTTGCTGAAGGTTCAAAGGGCAGAGCTAATGACAGGGAAGAGGCTTTCTCTCCCGCACCTTCATCATCTTCACTCCACAGTCATCTCTTCTTCCTGCTTGCCCTCAGAGTGGGTTGTTATCTCCAAGGAATCCTTCATATGCCAAAGTCCAAGAACTGACCTGTAACTAGACTAGACTAAACTTCCTGAGACACGGACCATGTCTGCCATGTCCATTTTTGCATTCCCCATAAAGCACCATATCTAGCACACAGTACGTGCTCATTAACCCTGTGAAATGAATATATGACCCAACCCTGAGGTAAGTTAGCCTGCAAGTATAACTTAATTAGGCACAATAATATCTGGGGAGAAGTCAGACCAATACCAACCACATAGATTAATTACAGAACAGTCTCAGTTGGGGCCATGTTGAGAATCTGCTTACTGGTGTCTGCGCAGGAAAGGGTTAACGCAGCAGGTATGGGTTGCTCAAACCTTGCACATTCCAAAGAAAGGACTGGGCCCTTGACTGGCTCCTGGGAGGTGACCTTTGAGCCCTTGGAAGATCCTGCCTGGTTGACTTTTTTTCTATGCCCCAGGCCTTAGGCCACACTATCAGTCTGACCAGTTTGTGCTAATAAAGTGATTTATGGTGAATGTCTGGTTTTGTATGCCTAAGGCCCTGCCTGGGCTGTGCACCAACAGTTTGACCTCTCAGTAGCGTGGGGAACTAGAGACTGAGTGGCTAAAATAAGTCATGTGGGTACTGCCACCACATAAAACCCCTGGACAACAAGGCTCATCCCTGGTTGGTAATATTTTGCACGTGTTGTCATGCATAGTTTTTGGGGGAATTAACTGCATTCCCGTCAGGCCCACTGGGAGAGGACACCTAGAAGGTTGAGCCTGATTGCCTGATTTCTCCTGGACATCGCCACCTACTTTGTCCCTTTGCTGATGTTCATCTGTATCCTTTCCCTGTAATGAACCATAACTGTGAGTATATCAGCTTTTCGGAGTCCTGTGAGTCCTGCCAGTAAGTCATTGAATCTGAGGGGGGTCTCAGGGCACAGATAATGCAATGTCTGTTATCAAAGAAGTTTAGAAGTGGATAATTTGTAATGATCTTTGTCTTCAGTTACTCTGATGCCTCTCCACACAATTACTTCATTCATTCATGCAACACGTGTTTTTGAACACCAACCATGTGTGGATACTGCATTCCAGGCACTGGGACATAGCAGTCAGCCAGACAAAGATCCCTGCCCTCATGGAGCTCATGTTCTAATGGGGGAAGGTGAGAGACTAAGCGATACACATAATGAAAAAGGTGATAATGCTATGGTAGGAAGAAGTAGAATAGGTACAGGGGATCAGGAGCACTGGGACGGGGGTGGGGCTCCTTGAGAAGGTGAGATGTGGCTTGACAAAGGTGAAAGTGTGCCATGGGGGTTCCTGAAAGTTCTCTGGAGGACTCATTTGCCCCTTGAGTGCTTGGGCCATGGCTCTCATTCTTTAATGAGCACCAGAATTACTTAGGAAGTTTGTGAAAGAGGCTGATTTCCAGACCCCTTTTGTGTGTGTGCGGTGGGATGGGGGCTGGCGGGGAAGTTAAGATTATAAAACGCACTTGCCGTGAGCCTGATGCTGGAGGTCCAGGAACTGCACTTAGAGACCCACTCCATCAGGCAGGCCTGGGCAAGGAATGAGAAACAGCCCTTGCTCTCGGAGAGCTCCCACTTGAGTGGTAACAGAAGGGAGAGCTGGGTAAAACACAGTGCCTGTCAGAGCATCTCTCTGCCATTAATGCATCCATGGGGAACGTCAATGCCCGAACTGACAATTAGCTGAGGGTGGAGAACTCTGAAGGGATGCATTTTGAGGAGCTGGGGTAGAAGGGATTAGGGGACAGAGGTGAGGACTCCTGCAATAAAAATACAGGTTCCCCAGAGCAAGACCAGAGGTGCTGAGAGACCAGAAATGATCTCTTCTGAAAAGACAAGAGGGCTTGGAATCTTCCTGGGTTTCCCCAGTGGTAGTTCTGTCTGCAAGACAAAGTCTTTGGTCATGGGGAGACTGGATAAATAGAAGGGGCCTTGGAGAGAGTAGCAAAGGCGGTCGGAGCCGCACCCAGCTGTCCTCAGATCCCCTTTCCAGCTGTGTATGTTCACTGTCGATGGCTCCTATCAACACCTGTCTTCAGACGATAAAGCACGGGCTCCTGGGGCTAAGTCACCCAGATGCACCAAGAACTGGAAGGGGCTGCCAGTTGACGTCCCCCTGGGGCAGCCGTGGTCAGCCATTGATGGGTGCAGCAGTACAAAGCCCTGTTCCTTTGCCCTGAGGGAGGGCAAACTCTGTGCTGCAAGGCACGCCCCTGGAGCTCCCTCAGGCATCAGGCTGAGGCTGGGACTTCACCCCAAATCAGACACTTGCCTGGCATTTACTCTTTCCCTATTCTACTGTCCCCACTTCCTTATAATATTTTCTTGGGAATATTTCCTTAGTAAACCACTTGAGCATGAATTATTGTCTCATCTGACCATAGACAGAGAAATACTTTAAGCACCAAAGCAACCCATACCTCGGCTCCCAGTTCCTTAGGGAGAGTGGGGAATAAACTCCCATGGCAACCCAGAAAGGCAGTCCTCTCCCCTTCCCCAGGCTGGACTGCCCAAACCTGCCCGGCCTGACTGCTCTAGAAAGGGCACCTTAGTGTCCATGGAGAGGTGGCACCAGGGCAGGTGGCACCAGGTTTCAGTTACCGCCCCTTCTTAGTAAACCCAGAAAGCCGTCTAGACAGTTCTGGGCATGCAAAGCCCCACTCAAGACTGGGCTGAAGAATCGGACTCTCCTTCCCGTCTTTGCTATGCCTGCCCTCTGCTGGAGGAACTCATGAACGGCAGCTGGTTAGAAGGGAAGGAGTGAGCCAGAAGCACCAGGGCTCCAAACCCCACCCATCCTTTAGGGTCCAACTCAAATGTCGCTTCCTCCAGGTAACCTCCTCTGATTCCCGCAGCTGAAAGCAAGCTCTCTGCTGTAAGCCCCCACGCCCTTCCTCTACGCGTCCCTAATGGTGCCGTCTACCTTATGTCCTGGTTATGCATTACATGTTACCTCCTCAGCTCATCTGTGAGCTCCCAGGGGAAGAGGATTTTTTTTGTTGCTGGAATTTACTCCCAAAGGATTTTGCACCTCCCTAGAAATATCTCCCACAACTAAGCCCTAAATTCACATCATTAAAGAGAGCCTTTTGAATTCAAGTGTTGTATCTCTAAAAAGGCCCAATTAAAATGTAACTATGAAAAGACATAACCAAGTTGCCTGGACTGTGAGTCATTAAACATTTAGGACATTAGCAAATTAATAGAGCTCAGAGTGCGGAGAGCCGAGGTGTTATCAGAAATGTTTTGGGTGCCAAAGAAAGATGAGAAAAGGAAGAAGGGTAAAGAAAAAAAGAGGAAAAAGTTGAGCATGAGGAACTTCTGAAGAGAGTTGACTGGATAAAGCTGGGGAGGGGCTGGGGGGTTGGAGGGAGGCAGGAGGGTAATAAAGTCCCATTTACCCTGGGGTAGAGATTCCAGAAGAACAGGTGGGGGACACATATCAATAGTGCCATTTTATCTTGTGGACCCAAAAAGAAGTTACTGGGTCCAAATGCCAAAAAAAAAAAAAAAAAGCCCAGTAAAACAAAATTTATAAATGCTTAATTAGACATCAGTAAAACATAACATTGTCAATTTCATTAATTGTTAAATTTAGTATTTATAAATATTTATTCCATTTGAAAAGAATTTTGTGGGTTAGATTTTTTTCACTTCTTAAGAATTCCTGGGTAGAGATGGTGACTCCTGAGTAATCGTAGCCAATAATAAATTAAATATTACTCATCGCCAAATAATTTCCAAAGCAAAATTATAAAATTCCTTTCAAACTTACAGGGCAGGGTCAGGCACGGTGGATAATCCCAGCACACTTTTGGGAGGCCAGGGCGTAGTGGGTCACTTGAGCTCAGGAATTCAAGACCAGCCTGGGCAACATGGTGGGACCTTCTCTACTCAGCCTCCTGAGTAGCTGTAGTCCCATCTACTCAGGAGGCTGAGGTGGGAGGATCGCTTGAGCCCAGGAGGTAGAGGCTGCAGTGAGCCGTGTTGGTGCCACTGCACTCCAGCCTGGGTGACAGAGCAAGACCCTATCTCAAAAAAAAAAAAAAAAATTATAGGGCAAATTATATTTAACATAGGATATGAGTGTGTTTTAATATATTTGCTATAATAAAACTAGGAGTCTCTGGGGCTTACAAAGTTCTTAAAATGGCCTTTAATATCAAAGATCAATTTCCTCCATCTGCTTCACAACAGTTTCACCCTAGATGATATCAGAGTCCTCACCTTTCATAAGCAGACAAAGCACCCAGAGACAAACTGCTTTCTTTTCTTCAACACAATTTGAATTTACCTTCTTGTCCACCTGCATGGGCAAATTAGTTGGTGATTAAATGCTTAGAATAGCTAACTATAAAGTTTTTCTGCTCTCAAGGAACTTTCCAGAGGGAAACAATGTTATCATTTCTTCTGTATATTTTCTGTGCATTTTATGTATTTCCAATCAAAAACTAAATACATATTCTCCAACTTCTCCTTTTAAACAAACATTAATATTCTGTGTATGTTGCTCACATTGCTATATTCCTCTTTTTTTCTACTTAACAATTGAATCCCCCTTGTAGAGCCCATAATTATTAGGAAATTAACAGTAACTCTCCCTCCACAATGGTCGAAAGGGGGAGTAAAGTACAGCCTTTAAGAGGTAGGAGCAATTTGCATCCAGAAAACACTGAGCTACTGAATGTAGTCAAAGAGAGCCCCTAAGTCATTTTATGCAGAAATAATTTAGACACTGGCAGAGCATGTCAAAGTCAGGGATATGGACTGGGTGAGCTTGTAGAAACCTGATGGCCAAGAGTGACAATTCTTCAGTGCAAGAGAAATGGTGCTGGGGAAAACCAGAGCCTTGTCTTTCTCCTCCCCTTCCTCCTCTTCCTCTTCCTCCTCTCCCACTTTTCTTTCCTCGCTTATTCTTGCTGGAAAAAAAAAAAAAGGTTGCCAAGAAGGCTGCAGGAATAGCCAAACGCAAGCAAAGAGAGGCTGATTATTCCATAAAAGCTGCACACACACTGGTGGCGGGGCGGGGGCGGGGGGGGATGGTGCAGGCAGCAGAGAACAGAGCTGTCATGCAAGCAGCCAGGGAAGCCGGGGCTGTCCATCCTTAGGAGGGAAAAGGAAGGAAGTCCCAGGTTTAGTCAAGTCATGTTTTCTTGACTTGTATTTAGAAACTTGGAGAATTCTACAGTGAAGTGATATTTATTTCGTGGCTGCTGTGCACCAGGCAGTAGGACACAGCAGGGAGCCAAACAGATAACAGTCCTGGTTTCATGCCGCTGACTTTCTAGACAGGGAAAAGCCAGTAAGCGAACACATGGCACATGTATGTGACATAAGAGCAGGCTGTGATCAGTGCCACAAAGACACAGAAAGAGGGTAAGGGGACGGAGAATGATGGGGTTATATGTGAGGTGTGTGCCTTTAGCCAGGGTAGGCAGGGGAGGCCTTTCGGAAGGGGTGGTGTCTGGGCGGAGACACAAATAAAGATTCCATCTCTGGGTAAAGTGGGTCCCAGCACGGAAGCCCTGGGTCTTGGCAGTGTGCGGGGGCTTGGTGGAGATGAGGCCACGTGGGGCAGAGTCCCAGGGAGAGGCTCATCCACAGGTGAGACCAGCACTAAAACAAATGAAACGGAATAGAGTAGAAAAGAAACATCATAGTGCACCGGGAGTAATACAGTGGGGATTGTCTGGGGACATTTCTGTTGCAGATATATACATGTGTATGTAGTAGGTTATAACTGAAAGAGTCTTTTCCAGTCAGAAAAGTGTCAAAGCCCCTGAAACGAAGGTACAGAATCTGGACGCGGATTATCTTCATGCATATATATTAGTATATATACATATATACATATATATAGTAGTAAACTTTTTATTTTGGAATAATTTTAAATTTACAGAACAGTTGTAAAGATAATATAAGGGTTCCTCTATTTCCCCTCACCCTGTTTTCTCTAAAGCTAACATCTTTCAGTGCCCTGCTACATTTGTTAAAACTGAGAAAACAGCATTGGTACATGACTCAATTGAACTCTAGACTTAACTTTTTTTTTTTGAGGAGTCTCGCTCTGTCGCCCAGGCTGGAGTGCAGTGGCACGATCTCGGCTCACTGCAATCTCTGCCTCCCAGGTTCAAGTGATTCTCTTGTCCCAGCCTCCCACGTAGCTGGGACTACAGGCACGTGCCACCATGACCGGCTAAGTTTTGTATTTTTAGCAGAGATGGGGTTTCACCATGTTGGCCATGCCGATCTCGAATTCCTGATCTCAGGTGATCCACCCGCCTCAGCCTCCCAAGGTGCTGGCATTACAGGTGTGAGCCACCACGCCCGGCCTTAATTTGGATTTTGGTAGTTTTTATGGTTTTTAGTACCAGGATCCAATCCAGGGTCCGGCTTTGCATTTAGTCATCCTGTCTCCTTAGCCGCCACATCTGGTCTGCGATAATTTCTGTCTTTCCACGTTTTTCATGACCTTGGCAATTTTCAGAAGTATTGGTGAGATATTTTGAAGACTCTCTCAATTTCGGTTTTTCTGGTGTTTTGCTCACTATTAGAATGGGTCTATGGGTTTTTGGGAGGAATACAACAGAGGCGAAGGGCCCTTCTCATCACACCTTATTGGAGGGTATGATATTAACATCACTTATCACTGATGAAGTTAACCCGAACTCACTGGTTTAGGCAGCGTTTGTCAAGTGTCTCCACCATAAAGTTACTGTTTTTTTCCTTTCATTACTATATTCTTGGCATGTGAGTAAGTCCAGCCCACACTCAAGGGTGGGGGGCAAGAATTAACCTCCACTTCCTAAGATGAATTTATCTACTTATATTATTTGGAATTCTTCCATAAGGATGATCTGTTTCTTGTGCCCATCTATGCATTGAATCATTAATTTACACCTGTATGGACTTATGTATATTCCATACTTTGTGTTGTAATCCAGTACTACACTACTTATTTTGTTCCTCAACATTATCCCAGCGGTGACCACTGGGAGCTCTTTCAAGTTGCTTCCTGTGTCTCTGGAGATCCTTTCATTTTCTGAGCACTTCCTTGCTCTCCGACACTACAAGTCGCTATATATTTATTATATATATTTATTATATTTTAATATATATAATATAATAAATATTTAAATATATATATATTAAATATATATATTTAAAATATATAAATATTTATATAATATAATATATATTTAAATATATAATATATTTAAATATATATTATATTATATAAATATTTAAAATATATTTAATAAAATATAATAATTTAATATAATTTATTATAAAATATTTTAATTAAATAATATATATTTTAATATAACGACTGCCCTGCAGTCATCACTTTGTTGGGATTTTTCCTAGCAAAATTTTACATATTTATGCTATTACCTTGGGCATGAGCTGAAGGGGTGAAGTGAGGAGGTAGAGACTACTTGTCCCTCAACCTTCTAAAATTGCAGAGTTTTAGCTAGGTATGAGGTCACCCAGGTAAACTTACATTTGCTAGCCTATTTGCAGCTAGGTGTGTCTATTAACTTAACTCTCACCAGCAGTGCGTAGATGGATGTGGTGAGCCACTCCCAAGTTTTTGCTCTTAAAAAGACTGAGCATGAAGCTGGGCGCTGTGGCTCATGCCTGTAATCCCAGCACTTTGGGAGACTGAGGCAGGCGGATCACGACGTCAGGAGACCGAGACCAGCCTGGCCAATATGGTGAAACCCCGTCTCTACTAAAAATACAAAAATTAGCCAGGTGTGGTGGCATGTGCCTGTAGTCCCAGCTACTCGGGAGGCTGAGGCAGGAGAATCACTTGAACCCGGGAGGCGGAGGTTGCAGTGACCCGAGATGGCACCACTGCAACTCCAGCCTGGGCGACAGAGTGAGACTCCGTCTCAAAACAAACAAACAAAAGAAAAACGACTGAGCATGAGCGAGCTCCCCAGGTGCCGCTCCTCCTCCCTGCTGGCCGACAGATGGTGAAATCCACAGCAGTCCTTTTCTAACCAGCTGCAGCAGCACAGACCTGCACCCCTTGTTGGGCAGTGCTTCCCGGCAGCTGAACTGAGGGAGTCCCACAATCTGTTCTCTGTCCCTAGGAGTCTTGACAACGCCGCACAGGCAGGACAAACAGGCAGACAAGGCAATCAGAGAGTGGACATCACCATCAAGACAGCCCACACGTGGGTGGCCAGCTAAAAGCAGGTCTAGGGAAACTGTGCTTAGGGAGAGATAAGCGGCCTGGGCACCAGTAGGCTCTGAGCCCTCCAGCCACAGCCCACCTTGCCACTCTCTCCAGAGGTGGCTGGGCAGAGGTGGTGAGGCTCAGAGGCTTGGCTCAGGCAGCCAGATCGAGGTCTGAGACCCAGCTCCTCACTGTCAGTGGACGGTAAGTTGCCTTGGTTAGTTGCCAAAGGGGGACAGGATTCCGATTTCACTTTTCTTCCACCTCTTCGCTACTCCCTTTTAAATATGACCAACGCTAAATGATCAGAAACTGTGAAATGTTTGAGGAATAAAAAGAACTCAATGATATTCGGAATCCCTGGGTAAGGATCAAGGGAAACTAACGTTCATTGAGTTTCTACTATATGCCAACAGTGTGTCACACAGACTATATGATTTTATCTCTATATTTTATCTCTCACTGTTAAGTGGGAGAAGGTGGTCAGAGAGATTAGGTAACTTCCCCAAGTTGCACAGCAGACAATTGGCAGAACTGGGATTAGACTCAAGGCCGCCTGTCCCCAGCTCCTGCTCTTACCTTGTCATCGCTGGACCTCCCTGGGTGCGCGGGGGCCTGCTGTACGTTTAGTATTTGTTACTTGGCTCTGTTCTTTCTGGAAGAGTTATTTGTTGGAACTCAGCTTAGGAGGCCCATCATTCAGTCGCCTTGGCTCCCTTTTCTTCTGGGCAGTTGTGGTGGACACTGCTCTTCTCTGACACTGAACCTTCGTGGGTGTCATGCGTTCCATCCTGCAGCCCTGGGTTCGTCTGGGTCATCCCCTATCATCCCTGATGGAAGAGCTGTCAGCAGGGTCCCTGAACAGAAGCCACAGAGTCACTGCCTGGTGGTGTGGAACAAATTCAGGGGCTTCTATGAAAACAGGTGGAATGCTTGTGTTTTTTCTCTTGCCCAGTGATGGCTGCTAACATCATCTGAATGGCCTGGTGCTTGATGCATGAGCTTCTGAGTTAGACAGCCTGGGTTTGTCTCCAAGGCTTGCTACTATTAAGGCTATCTGTTGCTCTGTAACAAACTACCTGGAGACATGGCGGCAAGTGTTTTATTATAGCACATGAATTTGTGGGTTGGGAATTCAGACAGGGCCGGCATGTCCATCTGGCATCACCTGAGGTCACTTGATATTCAGCAGTGACACCAAGCAATTGAGCTGGTCTGAAGGGCCCAAGACGGTTTCACTCACATATCTGGTGTGTTGCTGGGTGAGCTGGAGGGCTGCACTCAGTGGGGCCGGTGTCTCCTTCCATGTGGCCTCAGGACCTCCCCACATGGTCTGTCAGCACGGGAGTCAGACTTCTTACACGGCCGTTGGTGCTCCAAGAGACCAGGCTGCCAGGCCTTCTAAAGGCTAAGTGGGGAACTCACGGAGCACCCTCTCTGCTGTTCTGTATTATAGGCCAGAGCAGTGAGAGGTCTGCCCAGATTCAAGAGGAGGGAAGACAGACCTCCCCTTCTGTGGCAGGAGTACCATATCAAATAGCTTCTGGCCATGTTTCTTCCATCAGTGCAGCTCACAAGTCTGTGTCCTTGGGTACATTTCTTTCTTTCTTTTTTTTTTGAGACAGAGTTTTTGCTCTTATTGCCCAGGCTGGAGGGCAGTGGCACCATCTCGGTTCACTGCAACCTCCACCTTCTCCTGCCTGGTTCAAGCAATTCTCCTGCCTCAGCCTCCTGAGTAGCTGGGATTACAGATGCCTGCCACCACGCCTAGCTAATTTTTTGTATTTTTAGTAGAGACGGGGTTTCACCGTGTTGACCAGGCTGGTCTCGAACCCCTGACCTCAGGTGATCCTCCCACCTCGGCCTCCCAAAGTGCTGGGATTACAGGCGTGAGCCACTGCGCCGGGCCGGATACATTTCTTAACTTCTCTAAGCCTCAGTTTCTTCATCTGTAACAATGGTGATAATAACACAAATGGCATAGAATTGTTGCTATGAGAATTACATTAGAGAGCTTGTGTAAAGCACTCAGGACGTTGCCATGCATATATTATGTGCTCCATCAATAGTAGCTGTTACAGTGCAAGGCTCCAGTCCATAGGCTGTGGAGTCAGACTGCCTGGGATTCAGTTCTGCCACTTGGCAACCGTGTGACCCTGAGAAAGTTACCGAATTTCTCTTTGCTTCCATTTTCTCTCTGTACCTGCCTCATAGGACTGTGTTGTTAGGATTAAGTGAGATAATATGTGTAAAGCAATGGCACATAGTAAACACCCGCATGGGCCGGGCGAGGTGGCTCATGCCTGTAATCCTAGCACTTTGCGGGGCTGAGGTGGGCGGATTGCTTCAGGTCGGGAGTTCGAGACCAGCCTGACCATCATGGAGAAACCCTGTCTCTACTAAAAATACAAAAAATTACCTGGGCGTGGTGGCACATGCCTGTAATTCCAGCTACTTGGGAGGCTGAGGCAGGAGAATTGCTTGAACCCGGGAGGCGGAGTTTGCGGTAAGCTGAGATTGCGCCATTGCACTCCAGCCTGGGTGACAGAGTGAAACTCCATCTCAAAAAAAGAAAAGAAAAGAAAGAAGAAAACAACCACATGCTGTTTGGGTGGTGGAGTGTGTTCCCAAATCAGGGGAAACAGATCTTTCTCACCTTGGACTTCAGCAAGATGTGTTTCTAGGCTAATACTCTAGAAACTTTTTTTTTGAGACTGGGTCTCACTCTGTCACCCAGGCTGGAGTGCAGTGGTGCGATCTCACCTCACTGCAACCTCTATCTCCTGGGTTCAAGCGATTCTCCTGTCTCAGCCTCCCGAGTAGCTGAGATTACAGGAGGCTGCCACTGCGCCCGGCCAGTTTTTGTATTTTTAGTAGAGACAGGGTTTCACCATGTTGGCCAGGCTGGTCTCGAACTCCTGACCTCAGATGATCTGCCTGCCTCGGCCTCCCAAAGTGCTGGGGTTACAGGTGTGAGCCACTGTACCCTGCCTACCCTGGGCACTGTTAAGGAAAGCTAGAGAAAAGTGGAGGTGCCACACGACACCGAATCTACCAGTGACCTTTCTGGTCATAACTTTCAGTCAGGTACCAGTGGAATAGGATGGATGCTGCCTTGCAGAGAAGCTGATGATTCCACCATAAACCAGTGCAAAGAAACATGCTCCACCTTACAACAGGGTAAGGCAAGTTCCTCCTGGAAAAGCTAAGAAGAAAATCTCAGAACAAAACCAGAATGAAGGAGCAAAACTGTCAGAGGCTGTCAGGAAGGATGGGTACAGGTAGTGCCACCCAGCCTGCACTTGGGGGTTTTGCAGAGTTCAGGGAGCAGCTGCTGACATGGAGGCTCTGGAAGATGCCCAGTGGATGGGCATTTGGGTAATCCCAACATCACAGACTCCCAAGGTTACCACAGAAGGAGATGGCATCATTGAGTCTCAGGGTTGGGAGGAATCTCAGAGGCCCTACCAGATGCAGAATAACTTCTCCATTCTAGAAAAGTGGTCAATGTCTGCTTGTCACTGCACACCCAAGTGGAAGGTGACTCATCTGGCATTCATTTATTTTGTGTACATCTCTGATAGTTATTCTCTCTTAATTAAGGAAAATCTTTCCTGGAATGTCCACCCGGTGGTCCTAGTTCTGGCAGCACACAAACAAATCCAATAACACACGCTAGTCTTCTAGACATCTTAAATCAGTTCCCCATCCCCGCCGAGCCTTCTCTTCACCAGGACAAACAACTCTAGCTCCTTCTGCTGTGTCTCAGTGACTCCCCTGAACTCCATTTACCAACCTCATGATTTTTCTTTTGACCTTCACTTTCTAGAAAAACAAAGCAAAATAAAATAACGCAGATACCCTAGAGCCAAAAACCAAAATACCATTTAATTCATGTGTGTTCCCTTTCTACTCTTTATCACTCTGCTGACACCTTCCTGTGTGGTTGCTATCACAGTGCTTTAGGATACTACCTTTTTCACGTAATGGGATGGATTTAAAAATGCCACAAATTCTTTGCTGATCTTCCCATCCAGAGATGGCACCTATTTCTCCCCCCTTTGAATCTGGGCTGGCCTTTTGGTGTGTTTTAGCCAATAGAACATGGCAGAATAGTAAGACTTCCAAGCCAGAATCGAGAGGACTAGTGGTTCCCACCTTGGTCCTCTTGGGATTCTGCCCCAAGACCATCATGCAAAGAATTCCAGGATGTGAGACCTGGTGGAGTGAGACGCCTGGCCATCCTGAACATTCCAGCCATTGTAGCCAAGGCCCCAGACACACAAGTGAGGCTGTTCTGTACCATCCAGCCCTGAATGCAGCTTTGAGTGGGGCCAGGAGAGACCAGAACTGCCCTTCCAACCCACGTCATGGTATGAAATAATATATTGTTGATGTTTTAAGCTACTGAATTTTGGGCAGTTTATTATGCAGCAATAGATAACTGATATGTTTATAGTAGAAGTCATTTTATCAAGTGCTTTTTGCTCTACACTTACCCAGAGGGTTTTGTTCTCTTGCGATAATAAAATATTTATCTACGGACCTTCTCTTAGCAAGGTGTCTCCAGCCTAGGGCCCCCTGCCATGGGGGGAGGGATTCCAGCTATCTCATTGTGCCAATCAGCTGGCATTGCTAGGAATGTGTGCCCAGCTTGGGAACAAGCTGCCTAAGCTGGGAAACTAGACCCTTGTTTTATTTTTTTAATTTTTATTTTTTGGAGACAGAGTCTCACTCTGTCACCCAGGCTGGAGTGCAGTGGCATGATCTTGGCTCATTGCAACCTCCACCTCCCGGGTTCAAGCAATTCTCCTGCCTCAGCCTCCCGAGTAGCTGGGAGTACAGGCGCACGCCACCACACCTGGCTAATTTTTTGTATTTTAGTGAAGACGGTTTCCCAGGCTGGTCTCGAACTCCTGAGCTCAGGCAATCCACCCACCTCGGCCTCCCAAAGTGCTAGGATTACAGGCATGAGCCTCGGTGCCTGGCCTAGACCCCTGTTTTAAATGACAGTTGTCACAGAAAAACACGATGTCTGAAACTGACAGTAAAGAAGAGTGTTCTTCAGTGGCAGGTATCTCACTAATATTGGGAGGGGAGGAGTCAGCAAGCTAAAGGAAACATGGCAGATGGGAGAGGCCAATGGCAGCATCTCTTGTGGAATCAAGAAAGGAATGGAATAGCTTCCATTTCCAACAAGTTGTGTTTTTTTGTTTTTTGTTTGTTTGTTTTTTATCTTTTTTGGGTCTTTGGATTCCCAGTTAGTGAGGTATTAGCAGAGTTACAGAAATCAATTCATTCCAGCAAACAATTTTGACCACCTATTAAGAACCATACCCCACACACAGGGGGACAGAGTTAAACAACACAGTGTCTGCCCTCAGGTAGGTTCATTTAGAGTTGTTCAAATCCAGATGCGTTGGCTGCAAGTAGCAATGAATGTAAAGATTTCAAGACATCTGCAGTAGCTGTGCTGTAACATGACAATATCTGTGGGTTTTATTGATGACAAATTCATAGGTACTGCTAATCCTATTGGAGTTTGTTGCCTACATTCATAATTGAAGAAAATGCTAATTTTCAGTTAGTAATCAGAAAAATAAAGATTTTTTTCCCATTAGAGTTCACAGGCCCCCTAAATCTTTCCACAGATGCTAGCTTCAGAACCCCTGTGTCCAGAGCAATAGCAGAGGTGAGAAAATAAAACAGTCGTTTCCATGTTATCACAGCGCAGGTGCTCACCTCTCACCACACAAGATGCTGAAACTGTTCAAAGTAGCTGGGGGAGCCCAAGCGCCTTCTGGGGTGACTCCAGGAACTGGACAGTCAGGCATTCTTGGAGCCATCTGGCTTTCGCACCCTTTGATGAATCCACACCAATCTCCTCTCCACTGACAGCCCCTCCTCTGGCTCCTTATTTCTGCTCCTGTAAAACTTTGACTTGCAGGGCTTTGTTTTGCCATGGTGCTTTATTTTCTGAATTTTTAGAAAACATTTGAAATAATTTTAAACTTACAATTGCAAAAATGGTATAGATAACAGAGTATACACTCATGTTCACCAAATTTTTAACATTTTTGTCATACATATTTGTTTTATCATTCCCTCTATCTGTTGTGGGAAGTCAGGGACCCCAAACGGAGGGACCGGCTGAAGCCATGGCAGAAGAACGTGGATTGTGAAGATTTTATGGACATTTATTAGTTCCCCAAATTAATACTTTTATAATTTCTTATGCCTGTCTTTACTGCAATCTCTAAACATAAATTGTAAAGATTTCATGGACACTTATCACTTCCCCAATCAATACCCTTGTGATTTCCTATGCCTGTCTTTACTTTAATCTCTTAATCCTGTCAGCTGAGGAGGATGTATAACGCCTCAGGACCCTGTAATAATTGCATTAACTGCACAAATTGTACAGCATGTGTGTTTAAACAATATGAAATCTGGGCACCTTGAAAAAAGAACAAGATAACAGCAACGTTTAGGAAACAAGAGAGATAACCTTAAACTCTGACCACCGGTGAGCTGGGCGGAACAGAGCCATATTTCTCTTCTTTCAAAAGCAAATGGGAGAAATATTGCTGAATTCTTTTTCTCAGCATGGAACATCCCTGAGAAAGAGAATACGCACCTGGGGGTGGGTCTCTGAACTGACCCCTCTGGGCGTGGTCGTCTCTTACGGTCGAGACTGCAGAGATGAAATAGACTCCAGTCTCCCATAGCACTCCCAGGCTTATTAGGAAGAGGAAATTCCAGCCTAATAAATTTTGGTCAGACCTGTTGATCTCAAAACCCTGTCTCCTGATAAGATGTTATCAATGACAATGGTGCCCGAAACTTCATTAGCAATTTTAATTTCGCCTCTGTCCTGTGGTCCTGTGATCTTGCCCTGCCTCCACTTGCCTTGTGATATTCTATTACCTTGTAAAGTAGTTGATGTCTGTGACCCACACCTATTCACACACTCCCTCCCCTTTTGAAACACCATAAAAACTTGCTGGTTTTTGCAGCTTGTGGGGCATCACAGAACCTACCGACATGTGATGTCTCCCCTGGATGCCCAGCTTTAAAATTTCTCTCTTTTGTACTCTGTCCCTTTATCTCTCAAGCCGGCCAATGCTTAGGGAAAATAGAAAAGAATCTATGTGAATATCGGGGCAGATTCCCCGATATCTATCCATGTATATGTATGTGTTATATACATACATACATATATCTATAATGTATGCTGTACCTATATTTTATATGTATACACACAGTTTCCTAAAACAGTTTGAGAGTAGGTTGCATACATCATGTCCCTTTACTCCTAAATACTTCAGTGTGCGCACTAAATAGGGATATTCTCTTACATTTTCACATTACAGTGATCAAGTTCAGGAAATTTAACATTGGCATATAACTTTCATCTAATCTATGCTGCATATTCCAATGTTTTCACTTGCCCTAGTGATGTCCCTCATGGCCATCCTTTCCCTCTACAGCAGGGGTCCCCAGCCTTTTTGGCACCAGGGACTGATTTTGTAGAAGACAATTTTTCCACCGACTGGGGGGGATGGTTTGGGGATGATTCAAGTTCATTACATTTATTGTGCCCTTTATTTCTATTATTATTACATTGTAATATATAATGAAATAATTATACAACTCACTCACCATAATGTAGAATTAGTGGGAGCCATGGGCTTGTTTTCCTGCAGCTAGATGGTCCCGTCTGGGGGTGATGGGATACAGTGACAGATCATCAGGCATTAGATCGTCATAAGAAGCATGCAACCTAAATCTCTCGCATGCAGAGTTCACAACAGGGTTTGTGCTCCTGTGAGAATCTAATGCCCCTGCTGATCTGACAGAAGGCAGAACTCAGGCAGTAATGCAAGCTCTGGGGAGCGGCTGTGAATACGGATGAACCTTCACTAGCCCACTGCTCACCTCCTGCTGCATGGCCTGATTCCTAACAGGCCACGGGATTGGGGACCCTGCTCTAACAGGACCCAGCCCAGGAAGGGGTGCTGCATTTGGCTCTCCCACATTTTCAGCCCCCTTCCTTCTGGAAGAGCACCTCAGTCTGTCTTTGTCTTTCAAGTCAATATTTCTGAAGTATACACACCAGTTATTTTACAGAGTGTCCTTCAGTTTGAGTTTCTCTGATGTGTCCTTGTGATTAGACATAGGCTATACATATTTGGCTAGAACAATATATAAGTTATATATGTTTCCTTGGGAAATCACATCTGAGAGTGTGTGATATTTATTTGTCCCTTATTGGTGATAATGCATTGCTTAGTTTCTGCACTATATATTTACTATTTTTCCTTTGTAACTAATAACTCACTTGTGAATGGATATTTTGAGACTATGTAAATGTTGTGTTGTTCCTCAAACCTCCCCCTGTATCTGCCTTGATTTCGATGCATTGATGGCTCTTTCCTAAATCCATTTTTACTATGGCAGTTGTAAAATCATTACTTTTTAAACGTCACTTCTTCCGTATTTATCTGTCAGTGTCTATCATTTATCTGTTTCTTATTACTATGAACTCATGGATTTTTATTTTATTCAATGGGTTATGACTCTCCTTAACTATTTTGATGTTTAAATTTTTTATGGCCCAGATTTTGCCAGTGGAAATCTCATAAAGCTGATTGCTGTGTCTTTTATTACATATGCTCATCATATTTTTGAAGCACTTCCTCACTCTCAGGCATACTAAGGCATTCCAGGCTCATCTTGTGCCTTCCCTGCTTCAGCTCTGGAATCAGCAATTTCTCCAAGGAGCCCTGATTCACAAACAAAGATATGCTCTCAGTCAATAAACACATAAAAACATGTCAATATCATTAATCATCAGGAAATTCATATTAAAATCACAATGATATACCACTACACACTCACCAGAATGGCTAAAATTCAAAGAATGACAATTAAAAAACATCGACAAAGATGCAGATGACTAAAATGCACACCAACTGCTGTTGAAGCCACTTTGAAAAAAATTAAGTTTTTTATAGCTACACTTAGAAAGCTTTTATACTTACCATGTGACCTAGAAATCGTAATCCTACATATCAACCTAAGAGCAATGAAAATGTGTGTCCACACAAAGACTTGTACATGAACATTCATAGCCACTTTATTCATAATTGTAAAAAATTAGGAACAACTCAAATGTTCATTAACAGGTGATTGGATCAATACATTGTGGCGTATCCAGGCACTGGACTACTGCTCTGTAACAGATAGAAGTGAACTCTGATGCACACCGCAACACGGATGTTAATCTCAGAAACATCCTGCTGAGCCAAAGAAGCCAGACACAGAAGAGTATATACTGTATGATTCCATTTACATAAAACGCCAAAGAACACACACCTAATCCATGGTGGTAGAAGCAGCTAAGGGGTTACCTGAAGCTGGTGGGAAGTGTGGGGCTTGCCTGGGGAGAAGTATTATAAGGGAACTTTATGAGGTGATGGAAATGTTCTATATTTTGATTTGGTGAGGAGTGGTGGTTACAAGGTTGCATGCATTCATCGAAACACATCAAATTGTATCCTTAGAATGGATTCACTTTACTATATGTAAATTATACTTCAAGAAATTTGACCAGGTGCAGTGGCCCATGCCTGTAATCCCCAGCACTTTGGGGGACCGAGGCAAGCAGATCATCTGAGGTCAGGAGTTTGAGACCAGCCTGGCCAACATGGTAAAACCCCATCTCTACTAAGAATACCAAAAAAATTAGCCGCGCATGGTGGTGCACGGGTGTAGTCCCAGCTACTCAGGAGGCTGAGGCAGGGAGACTCGCTTGAACCCAGGAGGCAGGGGTTGCAGTGAGCAGAGACTGCACCACTGCACTCCAACCCGGACGACAGAGTGAGACTCTGTCTCAAAGAAAAAAAAAATTACACTTCGAGAAATTTAATGAAAAAGCTATATAAAAAGGCATGCATAGAGAGTTATCACTTTCTTCCTTGTCCCTTCCACTGAGTATTGTGCTGGAGCCAGCTTGTCCTGGCTTACAAGAGCCCATTCTGTACACCTCTGTAGGTAGCTTGAATACAGTGGGAGTATTTACACCAAGGAAACGCCAGTGTTACAAAGCAGGACTTTTGCAGGTTGTTTTGCGTGGATCTGGTTTCCCGCCCACTACGGCCTCTGCTTTGTCTACTCCCCACTCCAGCAGGTAACCCATGTCACTGGTTTCTGGTTTAATTTGCCTGTGTCTTTTTGTAAAAAATAAGCAAATATGTGTTTGTTTTCTCATTTCCTCTTTTTTTAACACAAAATTGATGTACTATACATGCTCTTTTGCATTTAGCAATTCAATCTGTAGCGATCATCTCCATTCTTTCTACAGCTGCATAGTGCTCTGTGTGTGACTGTACTGTAGTTTATTCAACCAATCTCCTACTTTGGGGCATTTACACGGTTTCCAGTAATTTGCAGTTACACATAATGCTGCAATAAATAACCCTGTGCCTATGTAGTTTTGTATTGTTGGAGGGGTCTCTTGAATTTAAATTCCTAAAAGTGGGATTGCTGGGCCAACTAGCAGTTCTATTAGATATTGCCAACTTCCTCTGCATAGTGCTGTACTATTTTGTGTTTTTACCAGCAATGTAGGAGAGTGCCTGTATCCCCATGACCTTGCCAATCACGTATGTTGCTGAGCTTTCAAATTTGTGCTAATCTTATGGATGAGGAATGGTATCTCAGTGTAGTTTCAAATGCATTTCCCTTATTATGAGTGAACTGAACACATTTTCCTGCAAAAGATATGGTACAGACTCTTGCTCCTGCCGGACAAATCCTTGCATTTGTAGAGCCCATTCTTGTCTGACCAAGCCTTGTTCTCTCCCTGAGAGAATCTGACGGGCCCCACCTGTCTGTGAATTAGTTGTCAACACAGCTGTACTCAGCTCTGATCAGCTGCCTAGGCCTGTTCAGTGATAGGGGATTGGGGGTTGAGGGAATTCTCAAAAGTGGGTGTGGAAAGAGCAGAAACTGTAAGTATGAAAGATGCTGAGTGAAAATCAGCTCTAAAATGTGTGTTGGAGCCAAGATGGCCCTTTTGCTAAGGCTGCTGTCAGACAATTCCATCATTCAATACATATTTTTTGAGTAACTACTATTCGTAAAGTACTGATATAGGCACCATAGAAGAGACTTTTTTTGTATTAAAAATGTATTACAGAACATCTCAAACATATACAAAAGTAGAGAAAATATATAATGAAGTTTGATGGACTCATGACCCTGCTATCTATCCATGCACAACTATCAACTCACTTCCATTTTTTTCCATCTATATACCATATGCCTCCCTCCCCATGGCTTTAAATCATCTCACCTGTAAATATGTTACCCTGATTCTCCAACAGATAAGAACTCACAACTATAAGAACATAACCACAACATCATCATACCTTAAAACTTAACAGTCCGCCGGGTGCAGTGGCTCAGTCTGTAATCCTAGCACTTTGGGAGGCTGAGGCAGGCGGATCACCTGATGTTGGGAGTTCAAGACCAGCCTGACCAACATGGAGAAACCCCGTCTCTGCTAAAAATACAAAATTAGCCAGGCATGGTGGCGCATGCCTATAATCTCAGCTACTCGGAGGCTGAGGCAGGAGAATCGCTTGAACCCGGGAGGTGGAGGTTGCAGTGAGCTGAGATTGTACCACTGCACTCCAGCCTGGGCAACAAGAGTGAAACTCTGTCTCAAAAAACAGAAAAAAAAATTAACAATAATCGCTTAATAGCAAGTATTCACTCAGATTAGGTTTGCATGTTTGTTTATTTTTAGTTTGTTTGAATCATCACCCAAAGGTCAATATATTGCAATTGATTTCTATGTCCCTCAAGTTTCTTTTAACTTGTAGCTTCTTGCCTTCCTTTCTCTCTCTCCTTTCCCTTGTAATTTGTGTGTTGAGGAAACCATGTCATTTGTCCCATCAGGATTTTGCTGATGGCGTGCCCCTGTGTTGTTATTTAAAATAGTCCTCCATATCCTCTATTTCTTTTAAGTTCATATTTGATGGAGGAGGGCATGACTTTTCAGACAGGCACAAAATGTACGGTTGTCTCTCCTTTTGAGATGTCAGCCAGCATGTTTGATCTATTATTCGTTCTTGAGGGCAGGGGTCCCCAGGCCCTGGGCCATGGACTGGTACCTGTCTGTGGCCTGTTAGGAACTGGGCTGCACAGCAGGACGTGAGCAGCTGGTGAGTGAGTGAAGCGTCATCTGTATTTACAGCTGCTCCCCATTATGTGAGTTACTGCCTGAGCTCCGCCTGCTGTTAGATCAGCTGCGGCATTAGATTCTCATAGAAGTGCAAACCCTATTGTGAACTCCGCATGCGAGAGATCTAGGTTGCACACTCCTTATGAGAATCTAATGCCTGATGATCTTTCACTGTCTTTCATCACCCCCAGATGGGACCATCTAGTTGCAGGGGAACCAGCTCATGGCCCCCACTAATTCTACATTATGGTGAGTTATATAATTATTTCATTATATATTATAATGTAATAATAATAGAAATAAAATGCACAATAAATGTAATGCACTTGAATCATTCTGAAACCATACCCTGCCCTGTCTGTGGCAAAATTGCTTTCCATGAAATCAGTCCCTGGAACCAAAAAGGTTGGGACTGTTGCTTAGGGGATACAAAATGGTGATATTTTAATTCTATTATTCCTTCTTTATTTATTAGCTGAAATATTTCCACAAAGGGAAACTTCTCAATAGCTATTTGGTTATCCATATTTCTAGTTCCCATTGGAAAGGCTGGATAAATGCTTGAATCTTTCCCTGTTTTTACCAGTTTTCAACACAAGAATTGGTTCCCTACCATGGAAAATACAAATTGAATCCAACATGGATCCTGCCCTCAAGGAGCTTCCCATCTAGTAGGGGGATAAGACATGTAGACAGAAGTGATGAGAGAAGCCAAGAGGGGCAGAGGACTATGGGCACACGCAGAGGATTCAAGATTATTTGTAGTACCACTATTCAAAATAAGCCTGAAGTGGAAACAACCCAAATATCAGCAGCAGAAGAGATAAAGGAATTGTGGTATATTCATGGAATAAAATAACATACAGCAGTGAAAACAAGTAAGCTAAAGCTATACACGATAACTTCAAAAAATTTCACAAACATATTGAGTGAAAGAAGGCAAAAGTAAAATAATATATACTATATTATTCTATTGACATACAAAGCTTTAAAATGGGCAAAACTAATCTATGGTAGTTTTGGTCAGAACTACCTAGAGGTTCTAACCTCTAGGTCAGAAAAGTGGTTATCTTTGAGGATCAGAGTGGAGTTAGCGACATTGAGGGACCCACAGAGGATTTCTGAAATGCTACTAATGTTCTACTTCATAACCTGGGTGGTGCTCACCTTGTGATAATTCATTGAACTGTATATTTATAGTGTTTGCATGTTTTTGTATGTAGACTTCACTCTAAAAGTTAATTTTAAAAGAGTTGCATCCTGGGGCGGTGGCTCACGCCTGTAATCCCAGCACTTTAGGAGGCCGAGGTAGGTGGTTCGCCTGAGGTCAGGAGTTCAAGACCAGCTTGGGCAACATGGTGAAACCCTGTCTCTACTAAAAATACAAAAATTAACCAGGCATGGTGGTGGACGCCTGTAGTCCCAGCTACTCAGGAGGCTGAGGCACGAGAATCGCTTGAACCTGGGAGGCAGAGGTTTCAGTGAGCAGAGATTGTGCCACTGCACTCCAGCCTGGGTGACAGAGCAAGACTCCAACTCAAAAAAAAAAAGAGTTGGATCTTACATTCTTAGGGAAGTAAAGCTGCAGAGAGGTGTGATGGAATTAGGGTAGATTATATATGGAGGGATTCTTTTAGTTTCAAAGTAGCTGTCACATTTCTCAAGCAAAACATTGCAACATACAAGATATTTTATATACCATGCAAAGAAATGCATGGTATATAAAATGGTACCTGAAAGATGAAAATAAAACTAGTTCTTAGATTTAAGCAAATCTCAGATACCACTTACCATTAAATGCATCGTTATTCTATAAACCATTAAGAGGGGAAAAAAATGCTGTCAGTTAAGTATGAAGCAATGTCTTAACGATGGTCCTGGGCGATGCAGGAATTGATTATGTATCAGCTTCTTGCTGCCTTGAGATTTCTTTGATTTATTTCAAGGGATTTGGCAGATTTCCCTACCTTCAGTTGCCTTGGCTTATGATAGACCTTGCTTTTGCGTGTATTTCAGCAGCAAATGGAACACCAGTTCATCTAAGTATGGGTCTCTTCCTTTCTTAGGTCCTATATAACTTTTTGTTGGTCTTTACAAGACAATTTGGAATTTTGGCCATTCCTCCAAAGTGAAATGTCTGCTTTATCACTATCAATCCCCCCCTGCTGCTGTATTTCCCTGCCTTTCTGTGACTACAGTAACCCTTGGTTGCAATGAGCAATCATTTAAAAGACATTTTAAGCAGCAATCAAACTCATCGATGGTGATGCCAATATAATAGCTATGGCCAAGTTCACACAAGGGAAGGCAGTGACACAGCTGCTGCCTGGCCAACAGCGGCTGGAAGAGGCTTCTCGATTTCAGAGATGTTAAGATGTGAAAAAATATGCATCCTAGAATTGATGAATCAGTGTGTTGAAGGAAAAGGCAAAGTCAGAAAATTACTATTTACAGAGTTAGAGGAAGTCTTACATACTTGCATAATTTGGGCTGAAAATAAGCAGTGATGTATTTCAAGGACTTAGAAGAAAATCAGGGAATAGGCCAAATGAAAATAACATAGTTTGCCTAAAATAAATATACTATGCTTGATGGAGGTTGGTATTAATTAACTTGATAGAGAGAAGATGACTGCTCTCCCTTTCTGCTGGGGAGGCAAGGTGATATAACTTAGAGCAGTGGAATGCTGGTGAATATTAGCAAATGTGCATGGAGATGTAGTTTTTCCAGAGAGCTAGTTTATTATGTTTATTAAAAATTTTTTCCTGAGAACTGATTTAATAGATGTTAATTATAAATTTTACTGACGTAAAAGATGTGCAGCACACAATTCACAAATAATGTTAAATACAGACATGCCTCAAAGATAGTTCAGGTTCAGTTCCAGACCAACGCAATAAGGTGACTGTTGCAACAAAGTGAGTCCGTGAACTTTTTGGTTTCTCAGTGCATATAAAAATTATATTTACACTATATTGTAGTCTGTTAAATGTGCAGCATCATATGTCTAAAAAACAATGTACATACTTTAATTTAAAAATACTTTATTGCCAAAAATGTCATCTGAGCTTTCAGTGAGTCATCATCTTTTTGGTGATGGAGGGACTCACCTTGTTGAGGGCTGCTGACTGATGAGGGTGATGGTTGTTGAAGGTGTGTGTGGCTGTGGCAATTTCTTAAAATATGATGACAATGAAGTTTGCCATATCAACTAACTCTTCCTTTCATGAAATATTTCCCTGTAACATGCAATGCTGTTTGATAGCATTTTACCTACAGTAAAATTTTTAAAATTGGAGTCAATCCTCTCAAACACTGCCAATACTTTATCAACTTAAGTTTATGGGATATTCTAAACCCTTTATTGTCATTTCAACAATGTTCACAGCATCTTCACCAGGAGTAGATTCCATCTCAACAAACCACTTTCTTTGCTCATCCATCCTAAGTAGCAACTCCTCATTTGTTCAGTTTTTATCATGAAATTGCAGCAATTCAGTCACGTTTTCAGGCTTTACTTCTAATTCTAGTTTCCTTGCCATATTCACCACATCTGCAATTTCTTCCTCCATTAACATCTTGAACCTCTCAAAGTCATCCATGAGGGTTAGAATTTACTTCTTTCAAACTCCTGTTGATGTTGGTATTTTGACCTCCTTCCACGGATGACAGATGTTCTTAATGGCTTCTAGAATAGTGAATGCTTTCCAGAAGGTTTTCAATTTATGTTGCTCAAATCAATCAGAGGAATCAGTATCTATGGCAGCCATAGTCTTACAAAATGCATTTCCTAAATAATAAGACTTGAAGGTTGAAATTGCTCCTTGATTCATGGGCTCCAAAATGGATGTTGTGTTAGCTGGCATGAAAACAACATGAATCTCCTTGTACATCTCCATCAGAGCTCTTGGGTGACCACATGTATTGTGAATAAGCAGTAATATTTTGAAAATAATCTTTTTTTTTCTGAGCAGTAGGTCTCAACAGTGGGCTTAAAATATTTAGTAAACCATGCTGTCAACAGATGTGCTGTCATCCAGGCTTTGTTATCCCATGTATAGAGCATAGCCAGAGTAGATTTAGCATCATTCTTAAGGAGCCTGGGATTTTCAGAATGGCCAATGAGCACTGGCTTAAACTCAGAGTCACCAGCTACATTAGCCCCTGGCAAGAGAGTCAGCCTGTCTTTTGAAGCTTTGAAGCCAGGCATTGTCTTCTCCTCTCTAGCTGTGACAATCCTAGATGGCATCTTCTTCCAATAGAAAGCTGGTTCTTTACACTGAAGACCTGTTGTTTAGTGTGGCCATCTTCATCAATGATCTTGGCTGGATCTTCTGGATAACTTGCTACAGCCTCTTTATCAGGACTTGCTGCTTCTCCTTGTACTTCTATGTTCTGGAGATGGTTTCTTTCCTTAAACCTCATGAGTTTAAGGAAACTGTGCTAGCTTCCAACTTTTCTCCTGCAGGTTCCTCACCTCTCTCAGCTTTCATAGAATTGAAGAGAGTTATTGCCTTGCTCTGGATTGGGCTTTGGCTTAAGAAAATGTTGTGGCTGGTTTGATCTTCTATCCAAACCACTGATACTTTCTCCATATCAGCAATAAGTCTGTTTAGCTTTCTTAACATTCATTTGTTCACTGGAGTAGCACTTTTAATTTCCTTCAATGACTTTTTTGTTGCATTCACAACTTGGCTAACTGGTGAAAAAGGCTTAGATTTCAGCCTGACTCAGCTTTTGACATGCCTTCCTCACTTAGCTCAATTATCTCTAGCTTTTGATTTAAAGTGAGAGACGTTCAAGTGAAAGGAATGTTTTTTCTTTCACTTGAACACTTAGAGGACATTGTAGGACTATCAGCTGGACTAATTTCAGTATTGTTGTGTCTCAGGAAATAGGGAGGCCTGAGGAAAGGGAGAGAGATGGGGGAACAGCCGGTCACTGGAGCAGCCAGGGCATACAATATTTATGGATTAAGTTCGCCATCTTATCTACGTGCAGGTCCTGGTGCCCAAAACAATGACAATAGTGACATCAAAGATCACTGATCACAGATCACCATAACAGATATAATAATAATGAAAAAGTATGAGAATTGGGAGCATTGCTAAAATGTGACACCAAGACACACAGTGAGCACATGCTTTTGGGAAAATGGCATCAGTAGACTTGCTTGATGCAGGGCTGCCGCAAACCTTTGATTTGTGAAAAACATGATATCTGCAAAGCACAAGAATAGGAAGGATGTCTGTATGTAATGCTCTATTGTAAATGACCATATAGCCATTTGATTCTCACAGAATGCTTTTGTTGATATTTTTCCTGAAATCTGTATCCATAACTAACCTATAGTTGCAACTGACAAATGAGTACAGTTCTGATGTGAATGTTGGTTGATTTTTTTTTACATTAATAAATAAAATCAAAGTGGAAGAGAAAAGACATATTGGAACTTCACTCACTTGTCAACGACATGAGTGACTTTGCTGAATTGATTAACAGTTTTCTAATTCTAGAAGACTATTTCTTCAGCGTTTTTGTGTTATGCAAAATGGAACAGCTATAGACATGACAGACTTTTAAGTTTAATCTATAGACATTACACACTTTCAAGTTTAATCTGTAATGTTAATAATAAAGATTATCTTTAAAAATCTGTATTATTAACATTTTCCTACCACTTTCTTAACTCTAGCTAATCCACACTATGCCAAACCAAGCTGTAATTTGTAACATGTGCCAATTGCTACATTGTAAATACTCTTATCTTGGCCAATTTCAAGCTAGGATTGTGACCTTATTGGATGTGGAGTTGGGAAGAGATGTTCAGCAGCACAGTGATATATCATGTTTCTACCATGTAGATGGAAGAGGTGTAAGTCAACTTAGGAGCACAGACAATAGTCAAAGGTAGTAATAATAACTAAGAAATGATACACTTTGAATATTTATTACCTTGTTTTAAATACAACTTACTTAATTGTAAGTTTACATCATTTAATTTTTAGTAGTGGCTGTGTTTAACAAATGCTCACAGGCCGGGTGTGGTGGCTCACACCTGTAATCCCAGCATTTTGGGAGGCTGAGACAGGAGAATCACTTGAACCCGCGAGGTGGAGGTTGCAGTGAGCTGAGATCATACCACTGCACTCCAGCCTGAGTGATAGAGCAAGACTCTGTCTTGGGAAAAAAAAAAAAAAACCCTCACAAAATTCCTGAAATTTTAACTATCAGGTCTTGCAAGCCTTTATAAGTCAGCTCCAGCATACCTCTGCTTTGGAGTCAGACAACTTTAGGTTTAAATTTAACTTTACCAGTTCCTTGCTCTCCAACCATGGACAATATAAGTAGCCTCTTCAAGCCTCATTATTTCTGTAATAAGGCTAATAACACCTGCATCATAGAGTTGAGTGAAGATGAAACAAGATAAACTTTGTGACATGCCAAAATCAATGCAAAGTAGGAACCCAATATTAAATTCCTTCCCCACTCTCTGGTCTTTTTCTTGTCTCATCCATCCTGAATACTGCTTATTAAACAGAGATAATGACATGTCATTCCTCTGACTTACAGTGGTCTTAAGCACACACTGCAGTTTGCTATCAAAGTCCACATCTCACCAATCTCATTTTTTCATTTCTCCCCAGGAGGTTGTCTATGCCCCAATCACAGATCTGATGGTGTCTCCCACATAGTCCCCATAGTCCCTGGGGATCCCATCTCTACACCTTTGCTCATGGTGTTCCTTCCCATTGACTTCTTTGTAACATCTGTGCCACTTTCTTCCTTCCTCATCCAAACATACCTCCATGAGATTCCTCTTGTTAGTCCCATCTCATAATAGTATCTGACCTGTATTGAGCGCTGGGGATGTGCCAGGGGCTGTGCTAAGTGCTTTATCTGCATTATCCCAATTGGTTATTCCCATTTAAGGGTGACACAGAGGCACAGTGAGAGTACATAACTTGCCCAAGGTCATACACCTAAGTGGACAGTACAACTGGGATTCCAACACAGGTAAGTCTGACTCTAGAAGCTGGGCTCTTAGACATCATATCCGACTTGTTGCCTGAATAACTACCTTTTAAATAAATTACCTCTGTTTGGGCCGAGTGCGGTGGCTCATGCCTATAATCACAGCACTTTGGGAGGCTGAGGTGGGTGGATCACCTGAGGTCAGGAGTTTGAAACAAGCCTGACCAACATGGTGAAACCCCGTCTCTACTAAAAAATACAAAAGTGGCTGGGCGTGGTGGCACGTGCCTGTAATCCCAGCTGCTTGTGGGGCTGACGCAGAATTGCTTGAATCCAGGAGGCGGAGGTTGCAGTGAGCCGAGATCACGCCATTACACTCCAGCCTGGGCAACAAGAGCAAAACAGTGTCTCAGAAAAAAAGAAATTACCTCTGTTTAATGTTAATATATTTTGCTCCTGGCTTTTTTTCATGTCTATGTTTATATGTTTTATTGCATACCACCTTCTTGAGGGTGGAGGTATTCATTTATCAAATATTTGTAAAGTGCCTTCCCTATGTAACAGGTACTATACTAGGCATTGGGGAGAGGGCCAGTCCTTGGTTAAATAAGTTACAAAACACCCATAGAGTGGAATACTATGCAGCTATAACAAAGAATAAGGAGGCTGTTTATATATGAACATGGAAAGATTTCTAAGCTGTATTGTTAAATGAATATGAGTAAGGCCCAGAAGACATTGTATACTATGCCACCTTTTGTATAAAATATGAGAGACGGTTGAGTTGTGTGTGTGTGGCCAGCCATGGTGGTTCACGCCTTTAATCCCAGCACTTTGGGAGGCCAAGGCAGGCAGATCACGAAGTCGGGAGATGGAGACCATCCTGCCCAACATGGTGAAACCCCGTCTCTACTAAAAATACAAAAATTAGCTGGGCATGGTGGCGCATGCCTATAATCCCAGCTACTTGGGAGGTTGAGGCAGGAGAATCACTTGAACCTGGGAGGTGGAGGTTGCCATGAGCCAAGATCATGCCACTGCACTCTAGCCTGGTGACAGAGCAAGACTCTGTCTCAAAACAACAACAACAACAAAAAAAACAGAATTTTGTGTGTATGTATGTGTGTGTACTTGTTTAAAACAAAAAGACCCAGTCCTTATTATTATGTCCACATCCACGATGTTAGTGAATGACCGCGTGGAGCAAAGCCACTTCACACCCGTTCCTCCTGCTGCCCTGCGTGTTTATATGGGAAATAAAATTCTATTATGTTTAGCTACTGAGATTACAGTGTTTACCTGGTATTGCAGTTTGTATTATCCTCACTAATACCCCACTCTAGTATACAATTTTCATTTTTTCACAAACTAAAATTGTAAGTGACTCCTTCAGACGCTTAACAATTTATCTCACCTGATAATCATATTTTTGTATACTGACTGGAACACTTGCTGAAACAGATTCACAAATTGCTTTTTCTTTTCCTTTTTTTTCTTTTTTGAGACAGAGTCTTGCTGTCACCCAGGCTGGAGTGCAGTGGCGAAATCTTGGCTCTCTGCAACCTCCACCTCCCGGGTTCGAGCAATTCTCCTGCCTCAGCCTCCTGAGTGCACCACCATGCCCGGCTAATTTTTGTATTTTTGGTAGAGACAGGGTTTCACCATGTTGGCCAGGCTGGTCTTGAACTCCTGACCTCGTGATACCCCTGCCTCGGCCTCCAAAGTGCTGGGATTACAGGCATGAGCCACCATGCCCAGCCTTTATTTTTACCTAATGCTTGTGGTAGGCTCATCCACATCACAAAGCTGCATAGGCGTATGCAGGCATATGTGACATCTCACTCTCTAAGTGATCCAATATTTCCATTTTCTCACAAGAACTACATTTTCTTAGACTTTTAATGTCTGTCTGTAGTGTTAACAGCTGCCAGCTTTCCTCTTACTTTTCTTCTTTTTAAAATTTCACTTTGTTATGAGAGATATTATCATATACGCAGAAGAGTGCACAAAACAGAGAATACAGTTTTCAATAAAAAAGTGCAAAGTGAAGATTTGATAACCACCATCCAAGTCAAGAAACAGCACATTTCCAGCTCCAGGAAGCCCTCCCATCATCCCTTTCAAATTACCACAGAGGTAGACACTATCCTGACCTTGGGGATAAGCATTTCCTTGCTTTTCTTTATAGCTTTACCACCTATATGTGATCCCTAAATTATCTAGTGTATCTGTTTTTGAACTTTATAGGAAGGGAGTAATCAGATGTATTTTGTGCCTTATTTCTGTGTTCAACATTATGTTTGTGAGAGTCATCCACGATTCTTTGTGTAGATCTATTAATAGTGAATCCATTTTCATGGCTGTAGAGTAGTCCTTTCTGTGACCAGACTGCATTTCACTTATTTATTCTACTGTTGAAGTGCCTTTGACTATTGCAAACATTGCTTCTGTGATTCTTCTTTTGCATATATCCTAGTGCAGGTGAGCATGTGTTTCCTAAGGTATATGCCTAGGAGTGAACTTGTCAGCATGTGGCCTATGCCTATCTTCAGCTTTACTGGAGAATGCCATACTATTTTGCAAGTGGTTGTACCACTTCATGTGCCCACCAGTGGTATATGAAAGTTCTCCTTGCTCTGCATCTATGCCAACACTGGTGCTTTCAGATTAAAAAAAATTTTCAGTCAATCTGATAGGCATTTCATTTTGGTTTTAATTTGAATGTTTTTAAAGGTTTAAAAAGATTAAAGCCTCTTTTTAGGCTTATTGGCCATTTGGATTTTCTTTTTTATTTTATTTTATTTTATTATACTTTAAGTTTTAAGGTACAGGTGCACAATGTGCAGGTTAGCTACATATGTATACATGTGCCATGCTGGTGCGCTGCACCCATTAACTCGTCATTTAGCATTAGGTATATCTCCTAAAGCTATCCCTCCCCCCTCCCCCACCCCACAACAGTCCCCAGAGTGTGATGTTCCCCTTCCTGTGTCCATGTGTTCTCATTGTTCAATTCCCACCTATGAGTGAGAATATGCGGTGTTTGGTTTTTTGTTCTTGTGATAGTTTACTGAGAATGATGATTTCCAATTTCATCCATGTCCCTACAAAGGACATGAACTCATCATTTTTTATGGCTGCATAGTATTCCATGGTGTATATGTGCCACATTTTCTTAAACCAGTCTATCATTGTTGGACATTTGGGTTGGTTCCAAGTCTTTGCTATTGTGAATAGTGCCGCGATAAACATACGTGTGCATGTGTCTTTATAGCAGCATGATTTATAGTCCTTTGGGTATATACCCAGTAATGGGATGGCTGGGTCAAATGGTATTTCTAGCTCTAGATCCCTGAGGAATGGCCACACTGACTTCCACAAGGGTTGAACTAGTTTACAGTCCCACCAACAGTGTAAAAGTGTTCCTATTTCTCCACATCCTCTCTAGCACCTGTTGTTTCCTGACTTTTTAATGATCGCCATTCTAACTGGTGTGAGATGGTATCTCATTGTGGTTTTGATTTGCATTTCTCTGATGGCCAGTGATGGTGAGCATTTTTTCATGTGTTTTTTCGCTGCATAAATGTCTTCTTTTGAGAAGTGTCTGTTCATGTCCTTCGCCCACCTTTTGATGGGGTTGTTTGTTTTTTTCTTGTAAATTTGTTTGAGTTCATTGTAGATTCTGGATATTAGCCCTTTGTCAGATGAGTAGTTTGCGAAAATTTTCTCCTATTTTGTAGGTTGCCTGTTCACTCTGATGGTAGTTTCTTTTGCTGTGCAGAAGCTCTTTAGTTTAATTAGATCCCATTTGTCAATTTTGGCTTTTGTTGCCATTGCTTTTGGTGTTTTAGATATGAAGTCCTTGCCCATGCCTATGTCCCGAATGGTAATGCCTAGGTTTTGTTCCAGGGTTTTTATGGTTTTAGGTCTAACGTTTAAGTCTTTAATCTATCTTGAATTAATTTTTGTATAAGGTGTAAGGAAGGGATCCAGTTTCAGCTTTCTACATATGGCTAGCCAGTTTTCCCAGCACCACTTATTAAATAGGGAATCCTTTCCCCATTGCTTGTTTTTCTCAGGTTTGTCAAAGATCAGATAGTTGTAGATATGCGGCGTTATTTGTGAGGGCTCTGTTCTGTTCCATCGATCTATATCTCTGTTTTGGTACCAGTACCATGCTGTTTTGGTTACTGTAGCCTTGTTGTATAGTTTGAAGTCAGGTAGTGTGATGCCTCCAGCTTTGTTCTTTTGGCTTAGGATTGACTTGGCGATACGGGCTCTTTTTTGGTTCCATATGAACTTTAAAGTAGTTTTTTCCAATTCTGTGAAGAAAGTCATTGGTAGCTTGATGGGGATGGCATTGAATCTATAAATTACCTTGGGCAGTATGACCATTTTCATGATATTGATTCTTCCTACCCATGAACATGGAATGTTCTTCCATTTGTTTGTATCCTCTTTTATTTCATTGAGCAGTGGTTTGTAGTTCTGCTTGAAGAGGTCCTTCATGTCCCTTGTAAGTTGGATTCCTAGGTATTTTATTCTCTTTGAAGCAATTGTGAATGGGAATTCACTCATGATTTGGCTCTCTGTTTGTCTGTTATTGGTGTATAAGAATGCTTGTGATTTTTGTACATTGATTTTGTATCCTGAGACTTTGCTGAAGTTGCTTATCAGTTTAAGGAGATTTTGGGCTGAGACAATGGGGTTTTCTAGATATACAATCATGTCATCTGCAAACAGGGACAATTTGACTTCCTCTTTTCCTAATTGAATACCCTTTATTTCCTTCTCCTGCCTAATTGCCCTGGCCAGAACTTCCAACACTATGTTGAATAGGAGTGGTGAGAGAGGGCATCCCTGTCTTGTGCCAGTTTTCAAAGGGAATGCTTCCAGTTTTTGCCCATTCAGTATGATACTGGCTGTGGGTTTGTCATAGATAGCTCTTATTATTTTGAGATACATCCCATCAATACCTAATTTATTGAGAGTTTTTAGCATGAAGGGCTGTTGAATTTTGTCAAAGGCCTTTTCTGCATCTATTGAGATAATCATGTGGTTTTTGTCTTTGGTTCTGTTTATATGCTGGATTACATTTATTGATTTGCATATATTGAACCAGCCTTGCATCCCAGGGATGAAGCCCACTTGATCATGGTGGATAAGCTTTTTGATGTGCTGCTGGATTCATTTTGCCAGTATTTTATTGAGGATTTTTGCATCAATGTTCATCAAGGATATTGGTCTAAAATTCTCTTTTTTGGTTGTGTCTCTGCCCGGCTTTGGTATCAGGATGATGCTGGCCTCATAAAATGAGTTAGGGAAGATTCCCTCTTTTTCTATTGATTGGGATAGTTTCAGAAGGAATGGTACCAATTCCTCCTTATACCTCTGGTAGAATTCGGCTGCGAATCCATCTGGTCCTGGACTCTTTTTGGTTGGTAAGCTATTGATTATTGCCCCACCCAGAGCCTGTTATTGGTCTATTCAGAGTCAACTTCTTCCTGGTTTAGTCTTGGGAGAGTGTATGTGTCGAGGAATGTATCCATTTCTTCTAGATTTTCTAGTTTATTTGCGTAGAGGTGTTTGTAGTATTCTTTGATGGTAGTTTGCATTTCTGTGGGATCGGTGGTGATATCCCCTTTATCATTTTTTATTGCATCTATTTGATTCTTCTTTCTTTTCTTCTTTATTAGTCTTGCTAGCAGTCTATCAATTTTGTTGATCCTTTCAAAAAACCAGCTCCTGGATTCATTAATTTTTTGAAGGGTTTTTTGTGTCTCTATTTCCTTCAGTTCTGCTCTGATTTTAGTTATTTCTTTTTTTTTTTTTTTTAATTTTTTTTTTTATTATACTCTAAGTTTTAGGGTACATGTGCACATTGTGCAGGTTAGTTACATATGTATACATGTGCCATGCTGGTGCGCTGCACCCACTAACGTGTCATCTAGCATTAGGTATATCTCCCAATGCTATCCCTCCCCCCTCCCCCGACCCCACCACAGTCCCCAGAGTGTGATATTCCCCTTCCTGTGTCCATGTGATCTCATTGTTCAATTCCCACCTATGAGTGAGAATATGCGGTGTTTGGTTTTTTGTTCTTGCGATAGTTTACTGAGAATGATGGTTTCCAATTTCATCCACGTCCCTACAAAGGACATGAACTCATCATTTTTTATGGCTGCATAGTATTCCATGGTGTATAAGTGCCACATTTTCTTAATCCAGTCTATCATTGTTGGACATTTGGGTTGGTTCCAAGTCTTTGCTATTGTGAATAGTGCCGCAATAAACATACGTGTGCATGTGTCTTTATAGCAGCATGATTTATAGTCCTTTGGGTATATACCCAGTAATGGGATGGCTGGGTCAAATGGTATTTCTAGTTCTAGATCCCTGAGGAATCGCCACACTGACTTCCACAATGGTTGAACTAGTTTACAGTCCCACCAACAGTGTAAAAGTGTTCCTATTTCTCCACATCCTCTCCAGCACCTGTTGTTTCCTGACTTTTTAATGATTGCCATTCTAACTGGTGTGAGATGATATCTCATAGTGGTTTTGATTTGCATTTCTCTGATGGCCAGTGATGATGAGCATTTCTTCATGTGTTTTTTGGCTGCATAAATGTCTTCTTTTGAGAAGTGTCTGTTCATGTCCTTCGCCCACTTTTTGATGGGGTTGTTTGTTTTTTTCTTGTAAATTTGTTTGAGTTCATTGTAGATTCTGGATATTAGCCCTTTGTCAGATGAGTAGGTTGCGAAAATTTTCTCCCATGTTGTAGGTTGCCTGTTCACTCTGATGGTAGTTTCTTTTGCTGTGCAGAAGCTCTTGAGTTTAATTAGATCCCATTTGTCAATTTTGGCTTTTGTTGCCATTGCTTTTGGTGTTTTGGACATGAAGTCCTTGCCCATGCCTATGTCCTGAATGGTAATGCCTAGGTTTTCTTTTAGGGTTTTTATGGTTTTAGGTCTAACGTTTAAATCTTTAATCCATCTTGAATTGATTTTTGTATAAGGTGTAAGGAAGGGATCCAGTTTCAGCTTTCTACATATGGCTAGCCAGTTTTCCCAGCACCATTTATTAAATAGGGAATCCTTTCCCCATTGCTTGTTTTTCTCAGGTTTGTCAAAGATCAGATAGTTGTAGATATGCGGCATTATTTCTGAGGGCTCTGTTCTGTTCCATTGATCTATATCTCTGTTTTGGTACCAGTACCATGCTGTTTTGGTTACTGTAGCCTTGTAGTATAGTTTGAAGTCAGGTAGTGTGATGCCTCCAGCTTTGTTCTTTTGGCTTAGGATTGACTTGGCGATGCGGGCTCTTTTTTGGTTCCATATGAACTTTAAAGTAGTTTTTTCCAATTCTGTGAAGAAAGTCATTGGTAGCTTGATGGGGATGGCATTGAATCTGTAAATTACCTTGGGCAGTATGGCCATTTTCACGATATTGATTCTTCCTACCCATGAGCATGGAATGTTCTTCCATTTGTTTGTGTCCTCTTTTATTTCCTTGAGCAGTGGTTTGTAGTTCTCCTTGAAGAGGTCCTTCACATCCCTTGTAAGTTGGATTCCTAGGTATTTTATTCTCTTTGAAGCAATTGTGAATGGGAGTTCACTCATGATTTGGCTCTTTGTTTGTCTGTTGTTGGTGTATAAGAATGCTTGTGATTTTTGTACATTGATTTTGTATCCTGAGACTTTGCTGAAGTTGCTTATCAGCTTAAGGAGATTTTGGGCTGAGACGATGGGGTTTTCTAGATAAACAATCATGTCATCTGCAAACAGGGACAATTTGACTTCCTCTTTTCCTAATTGAATACCCTTTATTTCCTTCTCCTGCCTGATTGCCCTGGCCAGAACTTCCAACACTATGTTGAATAGGAGCGGTGAGAGAGGGCATCCCTGTCTTGTGCCAGTTTTCAAAGGGAATGCTTCCAGTTTTTGCCCATTCAGTATGATATTGGCTGTGGGTTTGTCATAGATAGCTCTTATTATTTTGAAATACGTCCCATCAATACCTAATTTATTGAGAGTTTTTAGCATGAAGGGTTGTTGAATTTTGTCAAAGGCTTTTTCTGCATCTATTGAGATAATCATGTGGTTTTTGTCTTTGGTTCTGTTTATATGCTGGATTACATTTATTGATTTGCGTATATTGAATCAGCCTTGCATCCCAGGGATGAAGCCCACTTGATCATGGTGGATAAGCTTTTTGATGTGCTGCTGGATTCGGTTTGCCAGTATTTTATTGAGGATTTTTGCATCAATGTTCATCAAGGATATTGGTCTAAAATTCTCTTTTTTGGTTGTGTCTCTGCCCGGCTTTGGTATCAGAATGATGCTGGCCTCATAAAATGAGTTAGGGAGGATTCCCTCTTTTTCTATTGATTGGAATAGTTTCAGAAGGAATGGTACCAGTTCCTCCTCGTACCTCTGGTAGAATTCGGCTGTGAATCCATCTGGTCCTGGACTCTTTTTGGTTGGTAAACTATTGATTATTGCCACAATTTCAGAGCCTGTTATTGGTCTATTCAGAGATTCAACTTCTTCCTGGTTTAGTCTTGGGAGAGTGTATGTGTCGAGGAATGTATCCATTTCTTCTAGATTTTCTAGTTTATTTGCGTAGAGGTGTTTGTAGTATTCTCTGATGGTAGTTTGTATTTCTGTGGGATCGGTGGTGATATCCCCTTTATCATTTTTTATTGTGTCTATTTGATTCTTCTCTCTTTTTTTCTTTATTAGTCTTGCTAGCGGTCTATCAATTTTGTTGATCCTTTCAAAAAACCAGCTCCTGGATTCGTTGATTTTTTGAAGGGTTTTTTGTGTCTCTATTTCCTTCAGTTCTGCTCTGATTTTAGTTATTTCTTGCCTTCTGCTAGCTTTTGAATGTGTTTGCTCTTGCTTTTCTAGTTCTTTTAATTGTGATGTTAGGGTGTCAATTTTGGATCTTTCCTGCTTTCTCTTGTAGGCATTTAGTGCTATAAATTTCCCTCTACACACTGCTTTGAATGCGTCCCAGAGATTCTGGTATGTGGTGTCTTTGTTCTCGTTGGTTTCAAAGAACATCTTTATTTCTGCCTTCATTTCGTTATGTACCCAGTAGTCATTCAGGAGCAGGTTGTTCAGTTTCCATGTAGTTGAGCGGCTTTGAGTGAGATTCTTAATCCTGAGTTCTAGTTTGATTGCACTGTGGTCTGAGAGATAGTTTGTTATAATTTCTATTCTTTTACATTTGCTGAGGAGAGCTTTACTTCCAACTATGTGGTCAATTTTGGAATAGGTGTGGTGTGGTGCTGAAAAAAATGTATATTCTGTTGATTTGGGGTGGAGAGTTCTGTAGATGTCTATTAGGTCTGCTTGGTGCAGAGGTGAGTTCAATTCCTGGGTATCCTTGTTGACTTTCTGTCTCGTTGATCTGTCTAATGTTGACAGTGGGGTGTTAAAGTCTCCCATTATTAATGTGTGGGAGTCTAAGTCTCTTTGTAGGTCACTCAGGACTTGCTTTATGAATCTGGGTGCTCCTGTATTGGGTGCATAAATATTTAGGATAGTTAGCTCCTCTTGTTGAATTGATCCCTTTATCATTATGTAATGGTCTTCTTTGTCTCTTTTGATCTTTGTTGGTTTAAAGTCTGTTTTATCAGAGACTAGGATTGCAACCCCTGCCTTTTTTTGTTTTCCATTGGCTTGGTAGATCTTCCTCCATCCTTTGATTTTGAGCCTATGTGTGTCTCTGCACGTGAGATGGGTTTCCTGAATACAGCACACTGATGGGTCTTGACTCTTTATCCAACTTGCCAGTCTGTGTCTTTTAATTGGAGCATTTAGTCCATTTACATTTAAAGTTAATATTGTTATGTGTGAATTTGATCCTGTCATTATGATGTTAGCTGGTGATTTTGCTCATTAGTTGATGCAGTTTCTTCCTAGTCTCGATGGTCTTTACATTTTGGCATGATTTTGCAGCGGCTGGTACCGGTTGTTCCTTTCCATGTTTAGCGCTTCCTTCAGGAGCTCTTTTAGGGCAGGCCTGGTGGTGACAAAATGTCTCAGCATTTGCTTGTCTGTAAAGTATTTTATTTCTCCTTCACTTATGAAGCTTAGTTTGGCTGGATATGAAATTCTGGGTTGAAAATTCTTTTCTTTAAGAATGTTGAATATTGGCCCCCACTCTCTTCTGGCTTGTAGGGTTTCTGCCGAGAGATCCGCTGTTAGTCTGATGGGCTTTCCTTTGAGGGTAACCCGACCTTTCTCTCTGGCTGCCCTTAACATTTTTTCCTTCATTTCAACTTTGGTGAATCTGACAATTATGTGTCTTGGAGTTGCTCTTCTCCAGGAGTATCTTTGTGGCGTTCTCTGTATTTCCTGAATCTGAATGTTGGCCTGCCTTGCTAGATTGGGGAAGTTCTCCTGGATAATATCCTGCAGAGTGTTTTCCAACTTGGTTCCATTCTCCACATCACTTTCAGGTACACCAATCAGACGTAGATTTGGTCTTTTCACATAGTCCCATATTTCTTGGAGGCTTTGCTCATTTCTTTTTATTCTTTTTTCTCTAAACTTCCCTTCTCGCTTCATTTCATTCATTTCATCTTCCATTGCTGATACCCTTTCTTCCAGTTGATCGCATCGGCTCCTGAGGCTTCTGCATTCTTCATGTAGTTCTCGAGCCTTGGTTTTCAGCTCCATCAGCTCCTTTAAGCACTTCTCTGTATTGGTTATTCTAGTTATACATTCTTCTAAATTTTTTTCAAAGTTTTCAACTTCTTTGCCTTTGGTTTGAATGTCCTCCCGTAGCTCAGAGTAATTTGATCGTCTGAAGCCTTCTTCTCTCAGCTCGTCAAAATCATTCTCCATCCAGCTTTGTTCTGTTGCTGGTGAGGAACTGCGTTCCTTTGGAGGAGGAGAGGCGCTCTGCGTTTTAGAGTTTCCAGTTTTTCTGTTCTGTTTTTTCCCCATCTTTGTGGTTTTATCTACTTTTGGTCTTTGATGATGGTGATGTACAGATGGGTTTTCGGTGTAGATGTCCTTTCTGGTTGTTAGTTTTCCTTCTAACAGACAGGACCCTCAGCTGCAGGTCTGTTGGAATACCCTGCCGTGTGAGGTGTCAGTGTGCCCCTGCTGGGGGGTGCCTCCCAGTTAGGCTGCTCGGGGGTCAGGGGTCAGGGACCCACTTGAGGAGGCAGTCTGCCCGTTCTCAGATCTCCAGCTGCGTGCTGGGAGAACCACTGCTCTCTTCAAAGCTGTCAGACAGGGACACTTAAGTCTGCAGAGGTTACTGCTGTCTTTTTGTTTGTCTGTGCCCTGCCCCCAGAGGTGGAGCCTACAGAGGCAGGCAGGCCTCCTTGAGCTGTGGTGGGCTCCACCCAGTTCGAGCTTCCCGGCTGCTTTGTTTACCTAAGCAAGCCTGGGCAATGGCGGGCGCCCCTCCCCCAGCCTCGTTGCCGCCTTGCAGTTTGATCTCAGACTGCTGTGCTAGCAATCAGCGAGACTCCGTGGGCGTAGGACTCTCTGAGCCAGGTGTGGGATATAGTCTCGTGGTGCGCCGTTTCTTAAGCCGGTCTGAAAAGCGCAATATTCTGGTGGGAGTGACCCGATTTTCCAGGTGCGTCCGTCACCCCTTTCTTTGACTCGGAAAGGGAACTCCCTGACCCCTTGCGCTTCCCAGGTGAGGCAAGCGCCCTGCTTCGGCTCGCGCACGGTGCGCACACACACTGGCCTGCGCCCACTGTCTGGCACTCCCTAGTGAGATGAACCCGGTACCTCAGATGGAAATGCAGAAATCACCCGTCTTCTGCGTCGCTCACGCTGGGAGCTGTAGACCGGAGCTGTTCCTATTCGGCCATCTTGGCTCCTCCTCCGATTTTAGTTATTTCTTGCCTTCTGCTAGCTTTTGAATGTGTTTGCTCTTGCTTTTCTAGTTCTTTTAATTGTGATGTTAGGGTGTCAATTTTGGATCTTTCCTGCTTTCTCTTGTGGGCATTTAGTACTATAAATTTCCCTCTACACACTGCTTTGAATGTGTCCCAGAGATTCTGGTATGTTGTGTCTTTGTTCTCATTGGTTTCAAAGACATCTTTATTTCTGCCTTCTTTTCATTATGTACCCAGTAGTCATTCAGGAGCAGGTTGTTCAGTTTCCATGTAGTTGAGTGGTTTTGAGTGAGTTTCTTAATCCTGAGTTCTAGTTTGATTGCACTGTGGTCTGAGAGACAGTTTGTTATAATTTCTGATCTTTTACATTTGCTGAGGAGAGCTTTACTTCCAACTATGTGGTCAATTTTGGAATAGGTGTGGTGTGGTGCTGAAAAAAATGTATATTCTGTTGATTTGGGGTGGAGAGTTCTGTAGATGTCTATTAGGTCCGCTTGGTGCAGAGCTGAGTTCAATTCCTGGGTATCCTTGTTAACTTTCTGTCTCATTGATCTGTCTAATGTTGACAGTGGGGTGTTAAAGTCTCCCGTTATTATTGTGTGGAAGTCTAAGTCTCTTTGTAGGTCACTGAGGACTTGCTTTATGAATCTGGGTGCTCCTGTATTGGGTGCATATATATTTAGGATAGTTAGCTCTTCTTGTTGAATTGATCCCTTTACCATTATGTAATGGCCTTCTTTGTCTCTTTTGATCTTTGTTGGTTTAAAGTCTGTTTTATCAGAGACTAGGATTGCAACCCCTGCCTTTTTTTGTTTTCCATTTGCTTGGTAGGTCTTCCTCCATCCTTTGATTTTGAGCCTATGTGTGTCTCTACACGTGAGATGGGTTTCCTGAATACAGCACACTGATGGGTCTTGACTCTTTGTCCAATTTGCCAGTCTGTGTCTTTTAATTGGAGCATTTAGTCCATTTACATTTAAAGTTAATATTGTTATGTGTGAATTTGATCCTGTCATTATGATGTTAGCTGGTTATTTTGCTCATTAGCTGATGCAGTTTCTTCCTAGCCTCAGCGGTCTTTACAATTTGGCATGATTTTGCAGTGGCTGGTACTGGTTGTTCCTTTCCATGTTTAGGGCTTCCTTCAGGAGCTCTTTTAGGGCAGGCCTGGTGGTGACAAAATGTCTCAGCATTTGCTTGTCTGTAAAGTATTTTATTTCTCCTTCACTTATGAAGCTTAGTTTGGCTGGATATGAAATTCTGGGTTAAAAATTCTTTTCTTTATGAATGTTGAATATTGGCCCCCACTCTCTTCTGGCTTGTAGAGTTTCTGCCGAGAGATCCGCTGTTAGTCTGATGGGCTTCCCTTTGTGGGTAACCCGACCTTTCTCTTTGGCTGCCCTTAACATTTTTTCCTTCATTTCAACTTTGGTGAATCTGACAATTATGTGTCTTGGAGTTGCTCTTCTCCAGGAGTATCTTTGTGGCGTTCTCTGTATTTCCTGAATCTGAATGTTGGCCTGCCTTGCTAGATTGGGGATGTTCTCCTGGATAATATCCTGCAGAGTGTTTTCCAACTTGGTTCCATTCTCCCCATCACTTTCAGGTACACCAATCAGACGTAGATTTGGTCTTTTCACATAGTCCCATATTTCTTGGAGGCTTTGTTCGTTTCTTTTTATTCTTTTTTCTCTAAACTTCCCTTCTCGCTTCATTTCATTCATTTCATCTTCCATCACTGATATCCTTTCTTCCAGTTGATTGCATCGGCTCCTGAGGCTTCTGCATTCTTCACGTAGTTCTCGAGCCTTGGCTTTCAGCTCCATCAGCTCCTTTAAGCACTTCTCTGTATTGGTTATTCTAGTTATACATTCATCTAAATTTTTTTCAAAGTTTTCAACTTCTTTGCTTTTGGTTTGAATTTCCTCCTGTAGCTCGGAGTAGTTTGATCGTCTGAAGCCTTCTTCTCTCAACTCGTCAAAGTCATTCTCCATCCAGCTTTGTTCCGTTGCTGGTGAGGAGCTGTGTTCCTTTGGAGGAGGAGAGGCACTCTGCTTTTTAGAGTTTCCAGTTTTTCTGCTCTGTTTTTTCCCCATCTTTGTGGTTTTATCTACTTTTGGTCTTTGATGATGGTGATGTACAGATGGGTTTTTGGTGTGGATGTCCTTTCTGTTTGTTAGTTTTCCTTCTAACAGACAGGACCCTCAGCTGCAGGTCTGTTGGAGTTTGCTAGAGGTCCACTCCGGACCCTGTTTGCCTGGGTACCAGCAGCAGCGGCTGCAGAACAGCGGATTTTCATGAACCGCGAATGCTGCTGTCTGATCGTTCCTCTCGAAGTTTTGTCTCAGAGGAGTACCCGGCCGTGTGAGGTGTCAGTGTGCCCCTACTGGGGGGTGCCTCCCAGTTAGGCTGCTCAGGGGTCAGGCGTCAGGGACCCACTTGAGGAGGCAGTCTGCCCGTTCTCAGATCTCAGCTGCGTGCTGGGAGAACCACTGCTCTCTTCAAAGCTGTCAGACAGGGACATTTAAGTCTGCAGAGGTTACTGCTGTCTTTTTGTTTGTCTGTCCCCTGCCCCCAGAGGTGGAGCCTACAGAGGCAGGCAGGCCTCCTTGAGCTGTGGTAGGCTCCACCCAGTTCGAGCTTCCCGGCTGCTTTCTTTACCTAAGCAAGCCTGGGCAATGGTGGGCGCCCCTCCCTCAGCCTTGCTGCCGCCTTGCAGTTTGATATCAGACTGCTGTGCTAGCAATCAGCGAGACTCCGTGGGCATGGGACCCTCTGAGCCAGGTGCAGGATATAATCTCCTGGTGCGCCGTTTTTTAAGCCTGTCGGAAAAGCGCAGTATTGGGGTGGGAGTGACCCGATTTTCCAGGTGCCGTCTGTCACCCCTTTCTTTGACTAGGAAAGGGAACTCCCTGACCCCTTGCGCTTCCGGAGTGAGGCAATGACTCGCCCTGCTTCAGCTCGCGCACAGTGCGCTGCACCCACTGACCTGCGCCCACTGTCTGGCACTCCCTAGTGAGATGAACCCGGTACCTCAGATGGAAATGCAGAGATCACCCCTCTTCTGTGTCGCTCACGCTGGGAGCTGTAGACCGGAGCTGTTCCTATTCGGCCATCTTGGCTCCACCCGCTGGATTTTCTTTATTGTGAAGTACCTATTTAAGTCTTCTGTCTATTTTCTTTCTTTCTTTTCTTTACTTTTCTTTCTTTCTTTCTTTCTTTTTTTTTTTTTTTTTTTTTGAGACAGAGTTTTGCTCTTATTGCCCAGGCTGGAGTGCAGTAGCACGATCTCGGCTCACCGCAACCTTCGCCTCCCAGGTTCAAGCAATTCTCCTGCCTCAGCATCCCATGTAACGGATTACAGGCCCTGCCACCATGCCCGGCTAATTTTTGTATTTTTAGTAGAGACGGGGTTTCACCATGTTGGCCAGGCTGGTCTCGAACTCCTGACCTCAAGTGATCCACCCGCCTTGGCCTCCCAAAGTGCTGAGATTACAGGTGTGAACCACCACACCCAGCCTTTCTGCCCATTTTCTAATGGTTGTTTTACTCTCGATTATAGAAGTTCTTAATCTTAGATCCATGCCAATTATGTATGTTTCAAATATTTTTCCTACCTTGTAACTTGTCTTTTCACTTTCTTTATTGTATCTTTTGAAAAATAGACACTCTTAATTTTAGCAGGTCTGAATTTGTCTTTTCCTTTATAGAGAGCGCTTTTCGTATCTTGTTTAAGAAATCCTTTTCCCTGAGGTCATGAAGTTATTTTCCAGTATTACATTCAAAGGCTTTATAGTTCTGGCTTTCACATTTAGATCTTTATTTCACCTGGAACTATGGCTCTAATTTCATTATTTTCCAAGTAATTACCCAATCATTCTAGCACCATTTATTGAAAAATCTGTTGTTTCCCAGTTGATCTGCAATGCCCCGTGTGGTCATACACCAGGAGTTCAAATATTGGGGGTCTGTTTCTGGGATTTCTATTCTGCTCCATTGATTTATTTGTTTAACCCTGTGCCAAAACCATACATTTTTCCCCATTTCAGTTTTCGTTATTCATTCAACACATTTATTTGAAATGCTTAATAGACAGCATGCTAGGTAGTGAAGATAGAGCCCTGCCCTCCTAGAATTTATGGTCTAGTGGGAGAG
This sequence comes from Homo sapiens, assembly GCF_000001405.40. Classification (NCBI taxonomy): domain Eukaryota; kingdom Metazoa; phylum Chordata; class Mammalia; order Primates; family Hominidae; genus Homo; species Homo sapiens. Next base: position 51,572,825 of record NC_000012.12, read on the forward strand.
TCACACAATAAACAAGATAAATAAATAAAATACATAGTATGTTAGATAACAATACATGCCGAGGAGAAAAATAAAGCAGGGAAGGGGATTAGGAAGAGTTGGGGATGGAGTTGGAATTTTGAGTTTTGGTCAGGGAAGGTTTCACTGTAAAGGAGATAGTAATGTTAATATCTAAGGGAAATAAGAGGGCCCCCTGTGGCTGTCTGGAGGAAAAGAGCTCCAGGCAGAAGGATCCGCAGGTGCAAAGGCCCTGAGAAGGGACCATGCCTGGTGTGTTTGAGTAACAGGTTTGGCCAGTGAGCACGCATGGTGCAAGCAGATACAGGGAGATGAAGTTGGAGCGTTAATGGGGCCTATCACAGAAGCCCTGTCATTCACCATACGGATTTTGGCTTTTATTGCCATTAGAGGGTTTGAGTAGAGTAACTTGATCTACTCTATATTTAAAAGGATCCCTCTTGATATTGAGTTGAGAAAAGACCAAAGAGGGGCCAGGGTGGAAACAGGAATACCAGCCAAGAATCTGTTGAAACAATTCAGGTGAAAGATAATGGTGACTTGGAGCAGGGGTGTAGCCCTGGTGAAAGAGGTGAGATTCTGGATGTGCCAACAGATTCCATGTGAGGCTTGAGAGAAAGACAACAGTCAAGGAGGGCTCCAGGATTTCTTCTTGGGGACATTTTCCACAAAGGAACGAAGTCTTTATCATCTGATGAGCATTACTGCACACAGAATGCTGACAAACAGGGAACAGGAGCTTCACTCTGAGGCAGGTGCTGGGCTGAACTGGTCCACCGCTGCCTCCATCTGTGAAAGTCGAGACAGACTTCCTAGAGGAGGCTGAACCCAATCTCATTTTTTTGAAGGACAAATGAGAGTTTGCCAGATGAACGCTGGGCATTTCAAGCATGGGAACAGCGTGAGTAAAAGTCTGGGCAAGTGAAATAGTACAGAGCAGACGTTTCCAAACCTTCTCAGTTTACTGAGCCCTTAGTGTCTTGGTGAATTTTTCATAGCATTTCTAGTCCAAAAATAATGCCTAACTGTTCCATGATTGACTGATTAGGTCCAAACAACTTAATAACTATTTATGTCCTAATAACTAAATAGCTGCTTAAAAAAATCATACACATAAATTGAAAGAAAAGAATATTTTAATTTTATTCTTAAATAACCACAATGACGTACTAATAGAATGTGTGCACATGTTGGGTACTACTCAGTTTCCCAGATGTTGGGATCAGATTGGACACCACCACCGTGCTTTCCTGTTTCACATTGATTTTTCACGTGGTATTTGTGTTTTATTATAGCAACTCTTGAAAACCCAGTTTTGAAAGAGATAATGTCACTGAAAGGAATGCTTATGTTGAAATTGTGAACTACTTCAAGTTAAAGGTTACGCAGTATCTGACAGATGCTGAGTATTGGTGTATTTCCCTCAAAAAGTTAAAATATTTTTCAAGGCCTCTGTGAATTAAGTGTCCTGGGGTGACTTGGTGCACATTCTGGGAGCCACAGGCCTTGGGTATTTGGGGGAACTAAAAGCATTTTCTTTTCTTTTTGAGACGGAGTCTTGCTCTGTCACCCAGGCTGGAGTGCTGTGGCACGATCTCGGCTCACTGCAACCTCCACCTCCCAAGTTCAAGAGATTCTCATGCCTCAGCCTCAGCCTCTCAAGTAGCTGGGGTTACAGGCACGTGCCACCATGTCCGGCTAATCTTTTGTATTTTTAGTAGAGATGGGGTTTCACCATGCTGGCCAGGCTGGTCTCAAACTCCTGACCTCGTGATCCACCCGCCTTGGCCTCCCAATGTGCTGGAATTACAGGCGTGAGCCACTGCACCCACCCAATTTTTTGTATTTTTTAGTAGAGACGGGGTTTCCCCGTGTTGGCCAGGCTGGTCTTGAACTCCTGAGCTCAGACAATCCGCCTGCCTCGGCCTCCCAAAGTGCTAGGATTACAGGTGTGAGCCACTATGCCCAATCAAAGCATTTTTCATGCTAGGAGAGAACATGTTTGTACAGGGGAGAGTGAGAGGAAATGAAGCTAAACTATTAGGCAGGGGCACTTATGCAAGACATTGTCTGCCATGTTAAGTTTTATCCAGCCAATGGAACACCAGGAATGCATGGTCTTAGTCTCAGGAAAAGTACACTATAATTTAAAAGACAGATATGTGTGCATATATACACACATACACATATAGACCTGCAATACATTGTGATTATTCCCCTGAGAAAAAGATATGTACTAAACGCTTGATTTTTGACTCAGGAGGAGGTTAGAGAAAGCGTTATGAAGTATAGAATATATAGGTTGGTCCCTGAAGAATGAAGAACAAATGACCAGAAAAAAAGAGTCAACTGCAAAAGCAAATCAACAGATGTGATAGTGCATGGCATATTTGTGAACTGCACAGGACTGGTATGGCCAATGAATTAAAATTGTAGGAGGTAACAATGAAAAGATTGCCTAGGGCCAACTGTGAGTAGTTTTGAATGCAATACTGTGGAGTTTAGACTTTCTTCCAATAACTATATGAAGCTGTCAAGGATTTCTGAGAGGTGATTGATTTGATTAGTTTTGTGTTCTAGAAAGACAAATCTGGCAGCATGAAGATTGACTGGAATATAAAGAGATGAGTCATAGGGCGACTGGCTAGAAAGATGGTTGTATTGGTTAGCTAGTGCTACACTACTGCTGCATAACAAACCACTCCAAAAGTAAGTGTTTCTCCCAGCATTTCTCACTTATGGGTCTGTGGGTTGGCTGCAACTCAGCTGGGGTAGGCTGGAGTCCAGGCACAAGGCTGCAAGGTAGGTCCAAGTCTGTCCCATACTTTTCTACATTAGCTTTGGACCAGAAACTACTTGGGAGCATGCTCTTCTCATGGTAGATGTTAGTGCAAGAGATTAAGCCAAATGGTGCAAAGCCACATGTAAAGCCTCTGCTTGTATTGTGTCTACTTTCTGTTGAACTAAGCAAGTCACATAGCTAATCCAAAGTCACTGACATGATCACTTGAGGCCAGGAGTTTGAGACAAGCCTGGCCAACATAGCAAAACCCTATCACTACTAAAAATACAAAGAATCAGCTGGGTGTGGCAGTGCATGCCTGTAATCCCAGCTACTCAGAAGGCTGAGGTGGGAGGATTGCTTGAACCTGGGAGACAGAGGTTGTGGTGAGCTGAGATGGTGCCACTGCACTCCAGCCTGGGCGACAGAGCAAGACCCTGTCTCAAAAAACAAAACAAAGTCACTGACATGACACCAAAGAGAGGGAAGAATGAACAACACTCCATTAACAATACTCCTGTACTGGCCAAGTGCAGTGGCTCACGCCTGTAATCCTAGCACTTTGGGAAGCTGAGGCAGGTGGATCACCTGAGGTAATAAGTTCGAGACCAGCCTGGCCAACATGGTGAAACCCTGTCTCTACTAAAAATACAAAAATTAGTTGGGCGTGGTGTCATGTGTGTGTAATCCCAGCTACTTGGGACGCTGAGACAGGAGAATTGCTTGAAACCAGCAGGCGGAGGTTGCAGTGAGCCGAGATCATGCCACTGCACTCCAGCCTGGGTGACAGAGCAAGACACTGTCTCGAAAAACAAAAACAAAACTCCTGTATTATAGTAGAAACAAGAGATAATTGGGGCAATAGCAGTGGAAAGGTAGGCATAGAATCAAAGGTATTAAGCAGCACCAGCTCCTAGGACTTAGGGTTCATTAGAAGTGAGGTTTCTATCTTGGGAATATGGATTATAAACTAATACTTACAGGGTGCGCAGTAGGCCCTAGGCACCATTCTAAGTGCTTACCTGCACTGATTAATGCAACCTGTCATAACAACCCTATGAGACAGGAGCTACCATTATCTCTATTTTACAGATAAGGAATCCAGACCGGGCACAGTGGCTCACACCTGTAATCCCAGTACTTTGGGAGGCAGAGGTGGGAGGTTCGCTTGAGCCCAGGAGTTCAAGACTGGCCTGGGCAAACAGGGTGAAACCCCATCTCTGCAAAAAATAGAAAAATTAGCTGGGCATGGTGGTGCATGTCTGTAGCCCCAGCTACTCAGGAGGCTGAGTTGGGAAGATCACCTGAGCCCAGGGAGGTCGAGGCTGCGGTGAGCCATGATTGTGCCACTGCACTCCAGAGTTCCAGCTTGGGTGACAGGGCAAGACACTGTCTCAAAAAGAAAAAGAAAAGAAAAGAAGGAAAGAAGAAACCCAAAGCTCAATAGTTATATAACTGCCCAAGATTAAAAGGCTGCTACATGGTGAAGTGTGGATTTGAATCCAAGACAACTGGCTGCACAGTCCACATGGCTGGCCACAATGAACACTATCTCTCAACTGTGCCTATCGAAGAGTGTACTTACTACATAAGATGCACAGCAGTGCCATCTATGCCATTACAGATGCTGACTTTGAGACATGAAGTATGCTCTTGTAGATGCAGCTTGACCAAAAGTTAATTAGCAAATTATTTGCAAAGCTACAATAATCCAAAAGTAGGATAAACCAAGAAAAGTCCACAGGCTAACACATGAGGCCTATTGTCATAAGTTGCAGTGGAAAGGATGGCTAGAGGGAGCGACATCTTCCACATCACCAATATTTCTGCAGGGCTTGCTGGTGTGGGAGGAGATTAGGAGTAATCTCAGAGATAAAATCTTCAGACTGGAGTCAGCTGGCATCATAGAAAACTAAGGGATTAAAATCCGTCTCCATCAAAGGGAACAGTACATTTAGAGGAAGCAATAATGTCCGGAATGAGGGATGGAAGATTAAGTAAACTATGATTGGGTTAAAAGGTAGAAAGAAGTGAGGCAGAACATCCAAAGAAGGAAGGTAACTTCCACTGCTGGATTTCCATCAGGAAACCTTAAATAACCTCTAAAGGTAGTGATGAGAATGGGGATATAACCAGAGGGTCACAGACTCTCAGAGGTGGAAGGTGCACAGTCCTACTTTATACTTTAAACATTTGTATACCCCAGACATTGTTAACCTGGGCCTCAAGGATGAGTTTCACAGTCAAATGCAAAATTATGCATTACTTTGTGTGTGTGTGTGTGTGTGTGTGTGCCTGCGTGTGCACGTGCATACATGCATGAGTATATGTGCATGGATCTGAGCATTTTTCTGGGAAGAAAAAATATCCATGGTGTCCATTCAATTTTCAAAGAGGCCCTTGAACATAAAAATGTCCAGGACAAGTGATTGTATAATTTTTCCTTGAATAAACGTGGCTGGCTCCTTCTTTTGGTGGCCTGTCTTGTTGCTGATCAGTTCTGTTGTAACATCCTTCCTCATATTGGGCTGGTGTTTATCCTCCAGGAACTCCCACCCGCAGTCCTGGTTTGCCCTCTGGAGTAACACCGGGTAAGTCTAATCCCTCTTTCATCTTTCTAAATGGAAACTCCTTTCTCAGAGTATTGAATTTTTTTTTCCTGATATGAGCTTAGTTGTTAAAAGAAATCCTTGACATTTTTGATCCTTCTAAAGATTCTCATGGAGTCAGCAATATCCTCATATTTGAAAAGTTTGTAAGCTTGGCTACCTGGAGCTGAAAGGTAACCGATTCCATTACTACTTAACCCGATATAGTCCCAGAGGGTGTAATTTTCATGTTTGTTAAAATATTGGAGAAAGGATATAGAATTCCGTCCTCTCTCCCTGTTTGGCAAATAATGCTTAATGATAGCTCCAAAAGGTCTGATTTTCAGGAAATGCAGCTTTAACAAGGAGGACATAACATTCTGATTATAACCACAGAACTTCAGAAAATGCAAAATAAAAAGTAAGCTTATTACGTGGAAAGACTTTATGTCATAGGATTGAATTTTTTTAAATCTATGACCTCAAACTTTTCTTTTTAACTTATTTACACATTGGCTTTCTTATAAATTATACTACATAAAGCCTTTAGTAATTATATTTTAACCATATTTGTGGATTTATCTTTCTTTCCTTCTGTTTATAATCACGTTGATTTAGTTACCATACTGGAAATCAATGCTCCATCTCTTTTTTTTTTTTTTTTTTTTGAGATGGTGTTTTGCTCTTGTTACCCAGGCTGGAGTGCAGTGGCACGATCTCGGCTCACCGCAACCTCTGCCTCCCGGGTTCAAGCGATTCTCCTGCCTCAGACTCCTGAGTAGCTGGGATTACAGGCATGCACTACCACGCCCGGCTAATTTTGTATTTTTAGTAGAGACGGGGTTTCACCATGTTGGTCAGGCTGGTCTCGAACTCCCAACCTCAGGTGATCTGCTTGCCTCGGCCTCCCAAAGTGCTGGGATTACAGGTGTGAGCCACCACCCTGGCCTCCATCTCCTTATCTAGTATGAGGTCTGCTTCATTTGAAGCCAACTGCTAATTCAGCTACCTGGAGCAGCCTTAGCAGGTAATCACTAAATGTTTGTTGATGTAAGATGAGAAGAAACAAATGTTCACTCATTCAGTGAGTATGTATTGAAAACCTACTGTGTACAAAACATACAAACTGCAAGGAGTCGAAGTGTTACTGGTGGACAGTGTCCAGGTAAAATAATTGGACAAAATGCACAAACAAATCAAGATAAGAATGAAGCAAGGAAAGCACAGATTTACTGAAATGAAAGTACACTCCACAGACTGGGAGCAGGCTTAAGCAAGCGGCTCAAGAGTGCTGGTTACAGAATTTTCCAGGATTTAAATACCCTCCAGAGGTTTCCCATTGGTTACTTGGTTTACAACCTATGTAACTGAAGTAGTGGCCTGCAATCAGTCTGATTGGTTGCAGAAGGTGAACAATCAGAGGCTGAAGTGAAGTTACAAAGTTACACACGAAGTCTTGGCGTTAAGACCAGTCTGATTGCTGATTGGTTGCAGGAGGGGACCAATCGCAGGTACTTTCATTTTTCATCTGCAATGCAGAAAATCGGGGTGTGCAAATGGAGTAGCCTCTGATCCTTTTGTTACTTGGTGTGGAGAGGTGGTTTTTTCCCTTTTGATTCAGTTCTAGGAAGTCAGTGCAAATGCACCATGGGTTCCCTGCCTCCAGACCCTATTCTTGAACCTGCCTCAAAAGAACTTACAGTTTAGTACTCAAGTTAAGACAGATATTTAAATTGATGTAGAGGTAAAACAATGCAACAATGAATATGGCTGATACACCAACAATGTAGATAAAAGAATTATAAAATATATACCAATTAATTAAAGCAGAAAGAGAGAAGAGAGGAAACAAAGAACAGATGGGAATAAATAGGAAACAAAGTAGCTCAATGTTAGATTTAACCCCGATATTGATAATCACATCAACTATAACTTGTCTAACCCAATTGAAAAAAAAAAAGATTGTCAGATTGGAAAATAAAGTAATACCCAACCATATGTTGCCTAAAATAAACCACCTTTTTGTGGTGGGGTGGGGAGGGTTTTTTAATTGACAAATAAAAATCATATATATTTATGGTGTACAATATGATATTTGGAAATACGTATACATTGTGAAATGACTAAATCAAACTAATTAACAGATGCATTTTTTTTGTGGTGAGAACACTTAAAATCTATTCTCTTAGCAATTTTCAAGTACTGGTGTACCTTGTTTTATTGTGCTTTTTATTTTTTATTTTATTTTATTTTTGTTTTTGAGATGGAGTCTTGCTCTGTCACCCAGGCTGCAGTGCAGTGGCACAATCTCAGCTCACCGCAACCTCCACCTCCTGGGTTCAAGCGATTCTCCTGCCTCAGCCTCCTGAGTAGCTGGGATTATAGGCACCCACTACCACGCCTGGCTAATTTCTGTAGTTTTAATAGAAAGGGGGTTTTGCCATGTTGGCCAGGATGTCTCAAACTCCTGACCTCAAGTGATCCGCCCGCTTTGGCCTCCCAAAGTGCTGGGATTACAGGCATGAGCCACTATGCCTGGCCTATTGTACTTTCTAAAATTGCACTTCACAGATATTGTTTTCTTTTTTTCAAATTGAAGTTTTGTGGCAACCCTACATTGAGCAAGCCTATGGGTGCCTTTTTTCCAACAGCACGTGCTCACTTTATGTTTCTGTGTCACATTTTGGTAATTCTTGCTATATTTCAAACTTTTAAACTGTTATAACATCTGTTATATCTGTGGTTAGTGATCTTTGATGTGACAGTTGTAATTCTTTTGGGGTACCACGAACCATACCCATACAAGGTGGCAAGCTAAAATGTTGTGTGTGCTCTGACTGCTCCACCAACTAGTTGTTCTCTGTCTTTCTTCTTCTCCTTGGGCCTCTCTATTCCCTAAGATACAATATTAAAATTAGGCCAATTAACAATTCTATAGTGTGGCTGGGCACAGTGGTTCATGCCTGTAATCCCAGCACTTTGGGAGGCCAAAGTGGGTGGATCACCTGAGGTCAGGAGTTTAAGACCAGCCTGGCCAACATGGTAAAACCCCATCTCTACCAAAAAATACAAAAAATTAGCCAGGCAGGGTGGCGCATGCCTGTAGTCCTAGCTACTCGGGAGGCTGAGGGAAGAGAATCAGTTGAACCTGGGAGGCGGAGGTTGAGGTGATCCAAGATCGCGCCACTGCACTCCAGCTCAGGTGACAGAGTGAGACTCCATCTCAAAAAAAGAAAGAAAGAAAGAAAGAAAAAAATCCTATAGTGGCCTCTAAGTGTTCAAATAAAAGGAAGAGTTGCATGTCTCTCACTTTAAATCAAAAGCTAGAGATGATTGAGCTTAGTGAGGAAGACATGTTGAAAACTGAGACAGGCTGAAAGGTATGTCTCCCAGGCTAAAGGGCAGGGCACAATCATAGTTCATTGTAACCTCAAACTTCTGGGCTCAAGTGATCCTCCTGTCTCAGTCTCCCAGGTAGCTGAGATTACATGGCCCATGTCACGGTGCCCAGCTATGTTTTAAAGTTTTTTGTAGAGAGAGGGTCTTGCTATGTTGCCCAGGCTGGTCTTGAAATCCTGGCCTCAACTAATCTTCTTGCCTTGGCCTCCCAAGTCCTGGGATTACAGGCATGAGCCACTGCACCTGGTCAAGGAAAAATTCTTGAGGGAAATTTAAAGTGCTACTCCAGTGAACACATGAATAATAAGAAAGCAAAACAGCCTTATTGCTGATATGGAGAAAGTATCAGTTGTCTGGGTGGAAGACCAAACCAGCCACAACATTCCCTTAAACCAAAACCCAATGTAGAACAAGGCAATAACTCTTCAATTCAGTGAAGGCTGAAGGAGGTGAGGAAGCTTCAGGAGAAAAGTTTGAAGCCAGCAGAGGTTGGTTCATGAGGTTTATAGGAAGAAGCCAAGAAGCCATCTCCAGAACATGACAGTACAAGGTGAAGGAGCAAGCGCTGATGGAGAATCTGTAGTAAGTTATCCAGAAGAACTAGCTAAGATCATTAATTGATGAAAGTGGTCACACTAAACACAGATTTTCTGTGTAGAAAAAAAGCCTTCTATTGGAAGAAGATGCCATCTAGGACTTTCACAGCTAGAGAGGAGAAGTCAATGCCTGGCTTCAAAGTTTCAAAGGACAGGCTGACTCTTGTGTTAGGAGGTAATGCAGCTGGTGACTTTAAGTGGAAGCCAATGCTCATTGACCATTTTGAAAATCCTAGGCCCCTTAAGAATGATGCTAAATCTACTCTACCTGTGTTCTATACATGGAACAACAAAGCCTGGATAACAGCACATTTGTTGACAGCACCGTTTATTAAATATTTTAAGCCCACTGTTCAGACCTACTGCTCAAAAAAAAAAAAAAAGATTCCTTTCAATACATTACTGCTCGTTGAGAATATACCTGGTCACCCAAGAGCTCTGATGGAGATGTATAAGGAAATTAATGTTGTTTACATGCCTGCTAACACACCATCCATTCTGTAGCCCGTGGATCAAAGAGTAATTTCAATTTTCAAGTCATATTATTTAAGAAGTACATTTTGTAGGACTATGGCAGCCATAGGTAATGATTCCTCTGATGGATCTGGGAAAGGAAATGGAGAGCCTTCTGGAAATGATTCACCATTGAAAAAGTCATTAACAACATCTGTAATTCATGGGAGAAGGTCAAAATATCAACATCAACTGGAGTGGGAAAAAGTTTATTCCAGCCCTTTGGGAGTGTAAACTAGTTCAAACATTGTGGAAGACAATGTGGCAATTCCTCAAGGCTCTAGAACTAGAAATACCATTTGACCCAGCGATCCCATTACTGGGTGTATACCCAAAGGATTATAAATCATGCTACTATAAAGACACATGCACCCGTATGTTTATTGCGGCACTATTCACAATAGCAAAGACTTGGAACCAACCCAAATGTCTATCAGTGATAGACTGGATAAAGAAAATGTGGCACATATGCACCATGGAAAACTATGCAGCCATAAAAAAGGATGAGTTCATGTCCTTTGCAGGGATATGGATGAAGCTGGAAACCATCATTCTCAGCAAACTATCACAAGGACAGAAAACCAAACGTCGCATGTTCTCACTCATAGGTGGGAATTGAACAACGAGAACACATGGACACAGTGCAGGGAACATCATACACTGGGGCCTGTTGTGGGGTGGGAGGCTGGGGGAGGTATAGCATTAGGAGAAATACCTAATGTAAATGATGAGTTGATGGGTGCAGCAAACCAATATGGCACACGTATACCTATGTAACAAATCTGCACGTTGTGTGCATGTACCCTAGAACTTAAAGTATAATAATAAAAAAAGCATAAAAAAAGATCATGACTTGCTGCAGGCTCAGATGATGGTTAGCACTTTTTAGGAATGAAGTATTTTCAAACTAAGGTATGTACATTTTTAAGATATAATGCTATCGCACACTTAGTAACTACATTATAGTATAAACATAACTTTTTATGTACACTGGGAAACCAAAAATTTATGTAACTTACTTGCCTGTGATATTTGCAATATCTTGGAGGTATGCCTGTATACAAAACATTGTTATTAACTATTGTCACTATGATGTATAATAGATTTCTGGAACTATTCTTCCTGTCTAACTGACATCTTGTATCCTTTGACCAACATCTCCCCAATCCCCTTATCCCACAGCCTCTGATAACCACCATTTTACTCTTTACTTTTATGAGGTTGACTTTATTAGATTTCAGATATTAGTGAGATCATATGGTATTTGTCTTTTTGTGTCTGGCTTATTTCACTTAACATAATGTCCTTCAGGTTTATCTATGTTGTTGCAAATGATGGGATTTCCTTCATTTTTAAGGCTGAATAAAAAGACCAAATTTTCTTTATCCATTCACCCACTGATAGACACTTAGTGGACTTTATATCTTAGCTATTGTGAATAATGCTGCAGTGAACAAGCGAGTTCAGTATCACTTCAATGTACTAATTTTATTTCCGTTGGATATATACTCAGTAGTGGGATTGCTGGATCATATGGTAGTTTTATTTTTTATTTTTTTGAGGAGCCTTCATATTGTTTTCCATAATGGCTGTACTAATTTACATTCCTACTAACAGTGTACAAGAGTTCTCTTTTCTCTACATCCTTGCAAAAACTTATTTTTTGTCTTTTTTTTTTTTTTTTACAATTTACATTTTAACAGGTGTGAGGAGATATTTCACTGTGGTTTTGATTTGCATTTTCCTGATGATTAGTGATACTGAGTTTTTTTCATATACTTCTTGGCCATTTGCATGTCTTCTTTTGAGACATGTCTATTCAGGTTCTTTGCCTATGTTTTAACAGGGTTCTTTGTTTCTTTATTATTGAGTTGTTTGAGTTCCTTATATATTTTGGATATTAGCCGCTTGTTAGATGTATGGCTAACAAATATTTTCTCCCATTCTGTTGGTTGTCTCATTATTCTGTTTATTGTTAAGGAACCCATTTTAAATATAAAGACACAAAGAGGTTAAAATTAAAAGAATGGGGGAAAAAGAAATACCATGCTGATGCTATATTAGACAAAGTAGATTTCAGAGCAAAAAATATTAGAAGGATAAAGAAGGTCATGCCATAATGATAAAGAAGTGATTTGATCAAGAGGACACAACAATCCTAAACATCAATTTACCTAATAACAGAGCTTCCAAATAAAGGAAGCAAAAACTGATAGAACTGCAAGAAGTAGAATAATCTGCAATTATATTCAGAAATGTCCTTTCTCAATAAATGACAGAACAAGTATAAAGAAAATCAGTAGGGATATGGGATACTTGAACATCACTATTAATCACCTTGACCTAATTGACATTTATAGAGCATTCCATCCAATGACAACAGGGAACACATTCTTCATAAATGCATACAAAACAGCTGGGCACAGTGGCTCATGCCCATAATCCCAGCACTTTGGGAGGCTGAGGCGGTCGAATCACTTGAGGTCAGGAGTTTGAGACCAGTCTGGCCAACATGGTGAAACCCTGTCTCTACTGAAAACACAGCATTTAGATGGGCATGGTGGAGCACACCTGTAATTCCAACTACTCTGGAAGCTGAGGTGGGAGAATCGCTTGAACCTAGGAGGCAGAGGTTGCAGTGAGCCAAGATCGCACCATTGCACTTCAGCCTAGCTGACAGAGTGAGACCCTGTCTTGGAAAATAAAACAAAAGTCAAAAAACTAACCAACCAACCAAACAAACAAACAAAATACAGAACATTTACCAAGATAGATCATATTCTGGGTCATAAAACAAGTCTCAAAAACCTGAAGACGATCAATTCCTATAAATCTTTTTCTCTGACTACATGCACTAAAATTAGAAATTGACAACAGAAAGTAATTGGGAAAATCCCCGAATATTTGAAAATTAGGTCGTATGCTTCTAAATAACCCATGAGTCAAAGAGAAAGCAAAAGGGGAATTAAAAGGCATTTTTAACTGAATTAAAATGAAAATCCAACATATCGAAATTTGTGGGATGCAGCTAAAGTAGTACTTACAGAGAAATTTATAGCATTAGGTGTCTATTTTAGAAAAGAGGAAAGGTCTTAAATAAATGACCTCAGCTTTTACCTTAAAAAATTAGGGGAAATTTGGGAGGCTGAGTTGGGTGGATCACCTGAGGTCAAGAGTTTGAGACCAGCCTGGCCAACATGGCAAAACCCCGTCTCTACTAAAAATATAAAAATTAGCCGGGTGTGGTGGTGGGTACCTGTAATCACAGCTACTTGGGAGGCTGAGGCAGGAGAATTGCTTGAACCCAGGGGGCCGGAGGTTGCAGTGAGCCAAGATCATGCCACTTCACTCCAGCCTGGGCAAAAGAGTGAAACGCCGTCTAAAAAAAAAATTAGGGGGAAAAAAAGCAAGTGAAACTCAAAGTAAACAGAAGGAAGGAAATAATAAAGATTAGAGTAGAAATCAATGAAACAGAACACAGAAAATCAGTGGAGAAAAATCAATGAAACCAAAAAGTATTTTTTGAGATCAATAAAGTTGATTAAACTTTAGCCAGACTAACTGAGAGAGGGGGAAGAGAGAGAGAGAGAGAGAGAGAGAAAGAGAGAGAGAGAGAGAATACAAATGACCAATATCAGGAATGAGAGAGGCGACATTACTACAAATTGTATAGATAGTAAAAGAATAATACAGGAATTTTATGAACACCTTTATGCCCATATAAATAAAATAGACAAATTCCTTGATAGATAAAACTACCAATAAGAAATTTAAAACCTGAAAATCCCTATATTAAAGACAATAAATTTGTAGTCAAAAACTTTCCCTCAAGCCAGGCACAGTGGTTCATGCCTGTAATCACAACATTTTGGGAGGCTGAGGCAGGAGGACTGCTTGAGCCCAGGCATTTGAGAACAGCCTGAGCAACATAGCGACAACTTGTCTCTGTAAATAATAAAAAATTTAGCCAGGCACGGTGGCACATGCCTGTGGTCCCAGCTACTCGGGAAGCTGAGGTGGGAGGATCGCTTGACCCCGGGAGGTTGAGGCTGCTGTGAGCTGTGATGGCACCACTGCACTCCAGCCTGGGCAACACAGTGAGAACCCTGTTTCAAAAAAACAAAAACAGGCCAGGCGCGGTGGCTCACGCCTATAATCCCAGCACTTTGGGAAGCCAAGGGGAGGGGTGGACTACCTGAGGTCAGGAGTTCGAGACCAGCCTGGCTGGAACCCCTTCTCTACTAAAAATACAAAAAATTAGCCAGGCGTGGTGGCGGGCACCTGTAGTCCCAGCTACTTGGGAGGCTGAGACAGGAGAATCGCTTGAACTGGGAGGCGGAGATTGTAGTGAGCCAAGATTGCACCATTGCACTCCAGCCTGCCAACAAGAGCGAAAACTTCATCTCAAAAAACAACAACAATAAAAAAAACCAAAAGAAACAAACAAAAAAACAAAAACAAAAACAAATCGAAACCCAAAACCCAAAAACTTTCCCACAAAGAAAACTCCAGGCCCAGATGATTTCACTAGGCAATTCTACTAAACAGTTAAGGAACATGTAATATGAATTTTACACAAATTCTTCCAGAAAATTGAAGAGAAGGGAATACTTTCTTTTCTATGAGGCCAGCATTACTGTGATACCAGGACTAGACAAAGGCATTAGAGGAGAACTACAGACCAATGCACTTCATAACATAGATGTGCTAATTCTTAACAAAATGTTAGCAAACCAAAGCCAGCAATATATAAAAAAGATAGTATGTCATGATCAATACATTACCCTAGGAACGTGAGTTTAGTTTAACACTTGAAAATTAACCACTATATGTAAGACTAAAAAAAAAAAAATATGCAGAAAAAGCATTGACAAAATTAAACATCCATTATTGATAAAACCCCTCAGCCAAATAGGAATAGAAGATTCCTTCCTCAACATGACAAAGGGTATTTAGAAAAAAAAGTCTACAGCCATCATCATGTTTAAAGGCCAAAGATTCAAAGTTTTCCCCCAAGATGAGGAACTAAACAAAGATGTCTGCTCTTACCACTTCTATTCAACATTGTATTAGAGGTTCTAGCCAGTGCATAAAGGCAAGGAAAACAACGACGACGACATCTAGATTGGAAAGGAAGAAGTAAAACTGTGTATTTGCAGATTGTATGTTTATCAGTAGAAAATCTAAATGACTCTACAAAAAGCTCTACTAAAGGTATTAAATGAATTTAGCAAAGTTTCAAGACATATGATTAATATACAAAAATAATTATATTTCTATACCATACCAATGAATAATCAAATTGCCATATAAAAATAGCATTCAATAACATCAAAAATATGAAATATTTAGGAATAAATCCCAGAAAGGTGAGCAAGACCCATATCTTGAAAACTATAAAACATTGAAATTAAAAAGGACTAAAATAAAGTGTCCATGGAATGAAAAATTTGATTTTGTTATGATATAAGTTCTTCCCAAGTTGATCTACAGATTCAATGCAATCTTGATCAAAATCTCAGTGGATTTTTGTTGAAATTTGACAAGGTGATTCTAAAATTCATATGGAAATGCAAAGAACCTAGACTAGCAAGATCAATATTGAAAACGAAGGGCAAAGTCAAGGGCTGAAAGTACCTGATTTCAAGATTTATTATAAAGGCAGAGTAATCCAGACAGTGTGGTATTAGTGCCAAGACAGAAAAATATATCAATGAAACAGAAGGAGAGTTTAGAACTAGATTCTTACATACTTGAGTAAACGATTTTTTGCAAAGGTGCAAGGGTAGTCAGTGGAGACAGGATAGTGTTTTCAACAAATAGTATGGGGACAACTATATATCTATGCAACAAAACAACAAAAGAACTTCAAACTACATTTCATACCACATACAAAAATCAATTCAAAATGGATTATAAACCTAAATGTAAACTCTAGAACTATAAAATTTCCAGAAGGAAACATAGGATAAAATATTTGGGGCCTTGTGTTGGGCAAAAACTTATTAGACATGACATTAAAAGCATGATTCATAGAAGAAAAAATAATAAACTGAACTTCATAAAAATTAAGAAGGTCTAATTTTTTTTTTTTTAAGAGACAGGTTCTGGCTATGTTGGCCAGGCTTGAGTGCAGCAGCTATTCACAGGCCCAATTATAACACATTATAGCCTCCAACTTCTGGCCTCAGGAGATCCTCTTGCCCGAGCCTCCCGAGTAGCTGGGACTACAAGTGTGCACCAGGACAACTGGCTGAAGAACCTCTGCTTTTGGAAAAACACTGTTAAGAGAGTAAAAAGAATAAAAAGATAAGCCTAAACTGGGAAACAATATTTGCCAATCACATGTCTGACAGAAGATTTGTATCCACAATATATAAACAACTCTTTAATTTTTTTAAAAAAATTTTAGAATCAGAGTCTCCTGTGTTGTCCATGCTGGACTTGAAATCCTAGGTTTAAGCAATTATTCCTGCTCAGTGTCCAGAGTAGCTGGGACACCAGGCATGCGTCACTGAGCCCAGCCAGGATATATAAACAACTCGTAAAACTCAATTAACAAGAAAAAACCCCACCAATTTTTAAATAGGCTAAAGACTTGAAGAGACACTTCGCCAGGAGGATTTACAGATGACAAGTCCATGAAAAGATGTTCAACATCTTTAGTCACTAGTGAAATGGACGACAGACCCACAGCGAGATAAAACTACACATCTATTCAAATGGCTAAAATTAAAAAGACTGATCACTCCAAATGTTGGTGAGGATGTAGAACAACTGAAATTCATGTGCTGCTAGTAGGAATGGAAAGGCACAACCACTTTGGAAGGCAGTTTGGCCCTTTCTTAATATGTTAAATATACACCTAAGACAGGACTCAGTTATTCCATTCCTAGATATTTATACCCACGAGAAACGAAAGCATATATATCCATACAAAGACCTGCACACGAAAGCTCATAACAGCTTTGTTCGTAACGGACAAACATTGGAAATAACCTAAATGTCATCAACAGGTGACTGGATAAACACATTGTGGTGTATCCCCATAAAGAATACTACTAAGCAGTAAAAAAGAACTCTTGATAGGCAACGACTGAATAATCTCAAAACGATTATGCCGAGTGGAAGAAGCCATACAAAAAAGAGAGTTTGTACTGTATGATTCCATTTATTTAAAATTCCGGAAAATGCAAACCAATGTACAGTAATAGAAAGAAGATCAGTGGTTGCCTGGAGAGGGTGTGTGGGGGCGAGCGATGCAGGGAGTGATTACAAAGAAGCACACGGAGAAATTTTTGGAGGTGATGGGTGTGTTCATTACCTTGGTGGTGATGGTTTCATGAGTGCACACATAACTCAAAATTGTACAATCTAAACACACGCAAATATACCCCAGTAAAGCTAATTTTAAATGTATTGTAGAGGGCACATTATGTGATAAGCATACCATGTGCCTGGCTGTGTTAGCAATGTGTGAAGTGCATGCTCCCCGTTAGTACAAACAAGAAGTTTATAAGGTTGCTACTGTGACTGTTTCCTTTTACAGACGAGAACACTGAGGTTTGGAGAGGTTGTTACACCCTTTTTCCCTCTTGTGATTGGTGGTAGGAAAATATTAAGTAGAGGAGAGACACAGTAAAGTGCCAAGAGCTCTGGCACTCATTACCTAGATCCTCGCGAGGGTGGAGTGAGCGGTCGAAATGCTCATGCCTACTTTACAGATGGACAGACTGAGGATCGGAAAGACTGAGGTGGCCTGGGGGCTGTCAGGGAGGCAGCGCCTCCCCGCTCCTGGCAGCAGGTCCCTGTGGGCTGAAACACGAGCCTCCACCTGCCGCTGATTGACTTCTCGTTTTTTCAGTGGGCCCAAGATCCTGTAAATTGAGTTCCCTGCGCTTTTGGATGTCAGAAACTTCACTGAGCGCGGCACTGTTGGGGGGCAGGAGAAAGGTAAGACTTGGCACTGACGCGGGCCACAGAGCACGCGGGTCACCACGACAGCTTTCGGGTCTCGCCGCCCGGCGCTGGCGAGCAGCCAGCCAGCGTCTCGCGGCGGGTCCCGGTCCTCAGCCCGCGGCCCCTCCCGGCGGCTCGGCGGGGGCGTAGTGGAGGCGGGCCCGGGGACGCTCGCTGGCGCTCCCGCGCGGCGCCCCCTGCCGGCGCCCTGTTCCCTCTTGCCCCTGATCCGCTCCCGGCGGCGCGGAGACGCGAGTCTGAGAGCCTGCGGGCGGGCGGCGCGCTGCAGGCGAGCGGGCGAGCGGGCGCGCCCTGCAGGGGTAGGTGGGCCGCGGGGGCGCGGGCGGGCGGGCGCGAAGCGCAGGGAGGGGGCGGGGGCGGTGGCAGCGGCGCTTGCGGGCCGGGGCCGGCCCGGGCAGGGGGCGCGCGCGGAGGGGTAGGCGCGGGGGCGGGGCGGGCGGGGGGCCCGGCAGTAGGGGCGCGCGCGCGGTGGCGCGCGGCGGGCGCGAGTCATCAATTATGCAAGGACTCGGGCGGTGCGGGGGGCGGGCGCGGGGAGCGCTCCAAGATGGCGCCCACCGCAGTCCCGCCCGCCGCATCCTCGGCGCCTTTGCAGTCCGGCCGCGCCTCCCGGGCCCCGCGTTAGGGCCGCCGCTGCCTCCCTCGCCGCCGCCGCTGCCGTAAGTCGCCCCAGAGCCCCCGCCCTAGCGCTGCTTCCTGCCCTCCGGGTTTCCCTTCTCGCCTCGGGACCCTTGAGCGGGGCTCGCCCATCTCCAGTCAGGGGCTTTGCCGCAGAGTGCGCGGCGGGGCTCCAGGGGCCGTGGAGCTGGGGCTCTGCTCTCCTTGTTTTGGACAGGTGTTTGGAACTCTTGCTTCCTTCTACTGTGTGTACCGGGGGTCTCTTAAGAGAACTGAGGACCACCAGTCCCCACCCCGGACACCCTGCTTTCTCCGTCTCGGCTACAGTGAGGGACACGGCCCGTCCTTGGTGCCCCTTCCGCGGTGCAGCCCTCCATCCCTCCCTCAGTGCCGGGCAGAGTTGGGGCCCCTAGCCGGCTTGCACTGGGAAGGGCAGCGCTGTCGGGATCTTCCTACAGCAGCCCCTCAGCCCTCCCCCTCCCCCATGTCTTACTGCATCCTTCTCCCTCAGCCGGCTTCACACTGCTAAAAACTGCAGAAGCCAAGGGCTCCTGGGTTCTTCCCGCAGCCAGCACTCCCGACTCCCTCTGTCCTTTACTCGGATGCGTTCGTCCCCCTCCCAACAGGGTGCTCTGGAGTTGTGATGGGGGCTCCCGGGACCTTCCTCGGCAGGCGAGGATTCCTGCATTTGGAAGCACATCACTTTGAGAATATCCCCTTCCCCCATCCCACCCCCACCCCCACCCCCCACCCCCACGCCACCCGATGCAGAGCTTGTTCCTCTCCTCTCCCTCCCCCACCTTACCATCAGCAGCAGCACCCTTGGCTTCTTGTTAGCGTTGGGGTACAGGACTGTTTGCCCAGCTCCGTGGGCTTGGACCCTCCTCTCTAGTTCTCACTTGGTACCTTGGGGCACCGCAAAGCCTCTGCAGTTTCTCCTGAGAGCTCAGCTCCATCCCCTCCATTGCCAGCAACAACCACCGGTGGAGACTTGGCTAACTTTCCAGGGGTTAGCCAGGACTGTCAGACCCTTTCAGGGGCCCCAGCTTCGAGTTGGGATGGAATGGGAACCATTTTTCAGCCCGATAAATAGGATTCTTCAAACCATGCATTCCATCCGACTACTCCACCCTATGCCCTCTTCCTCACTTACACTGCAGTTTTTGAAGCATGAGGGAATACATTTTATGTCCGGAGATTCCAAGGTTCTGCATCAGCGTTCATAATAAATGGATGTCATCTGTTTGGGGGGAGGGTAGAAGAAACTTTGGATTGCATCTGGCTAAAGTCAGGGGGAGGGAGAAATAATTAGCATGGAGCAAGCTCTGCCACACAAGGAAAACTGCTTTTTATGCACAGTGGGCACCAGAGAGTCAGGGATGGAAGCAGGAAGTGTGGGTGGGGGCCATGGGGGTAAAGGGGGAGAGTGCTTTTTATAACTGTTTTCCCAAGTTTGAACCTGGAGAGCCTTTAGAGAGAGGTAGCAGTGTGTTAGGGCTGGGGGATGTTTTAGCTTTCCAATGGAGATTTCGGGTGTGGTAGGTTTTTCACTGTCTCAAAATCCCTCTGCACTTCTCTTTTCTCCACGTGCATTAGAAGATGTGGAGGGGGGGATGTTGTGCTTTTATTCTTTTCTCAAAAAAAATTTTTTTTTTGATTTGTGATGCAAATGGCTGGATAACATTACCACACGGTACCATCCTGGTAGGAATCTTGGGGGAATCAGACTTAAAATGCTGAAAGCTTTATAGCACATTACATGTAACCTGGTTCTTGAAATACTGCAGCATTTTTCTTTGGAGCTCATGACCCATAAGGCCTTCATTTCTCCCTGAAAGAGGATTTGGTTGCTGGTTGGTGAGGTGGTGGTTGTGGGTAGTGATCCTTTGGTGTTCAGCACGCATTCCCTGTCCTAGAAATTGAGGTCCTCCCTGGAGAGGGCTGCAAGCATGTTCCGTGTTCTCTGAACATCTGATTCAGGGTATATGTAAATGTGTTGTGTTTCTGAGTAGAGCTGGTGGTGGGTATTGCAAAGCAGTTCATAATGGTGCAGATCAGTTATTGGTTTCTTGGCTTCAGTTTGAGCAGCTTTGGTTTTCATTTGGGGTTTTGTCAACTTTTATCAAAATCTTTGGAGGATTTTGTTTTAAATTAATAAAGGATAATCAAGTGGAATACTGCATCCTTAAAAACAACCATACGGTTGCTGTTGCTTTCCTTGTAGGACCCTTAAGAATTTTTTCTCCTGGTCCAGCTTTGGGTTGCCTGTGTTTAGGCTTGTATTCAGGTTTCTTGCTGTGGTGCTGAAAGGACAGTTCCCCGACCAGTTCTGCGGCGAAGTGCACACACACTGGACATGATTGAGTTTTTTTTTGCTTTTTATTATCAGCAGGCTTTCTCGTGGATGTGTATGTACATGCGCAGCTGGGTTTGTACTTGAGGTTGAGGCCTAGTTATCATATTTTATTACTCCCACATAACTCTTCATTTTGGCTGTCCCTCATGGAGACAATGTTTTACAGGCTGCAACAGATCCATATGTAAGCCATAAGTGACATTTTGCTGACTGCATTATTTCAGCACACTTCAGTCATTTCAAATAGCAAGCAACTGTTAATATTCTTGGTCTCCACAGGAAGTAATCCGATAGCTGGCTAAATTAAACTGGATCAGGAGAGCGTCTTCTGTGGGTTGATTTGAATAGTGAACTGGGAAAGGCACTTGACACAGCAGAGGTCAGTATTACTAAAGTCGATTTATCCAAAAAACTATTTTAAAATCATAAAATAGGAAGGAGGCCATAAAATTCACATGGTACCACCTCCCACCCAATACAGGAATCTCCTTTATGGGAGATCTTTGCTTTGAATACATCCGTTGGTAGGGAACTTACTGCCACATAACGTAGCTCATTCCATTTGGATTCCACTGTGATCAAAGTATTTTAATCTCATTGAAAAGGTAATATACATAAAGTTGAAAGACATATAAATTGGAGCTATATCGGGGTAAATGCCATTCTTGTGCTTGTTTCCAAGAAAAGATTGAGAACCATTTTTCTGTAGAGAACATACAAGAAACTTGCACTTACTTGAAAAGAATGCAAAAATAGAGACATGTCCACCTAAAGCAAGAAAAACATTCTGTGAATGGAAAGAAAAATAATTATCTTTAATGTGCTGGTATTATGTAACAAATTGTTCTAGAAGGCACATGCTTGAATTAATGAATATTTAATTCCTATGGATTATGTCTAAGGACACTAAAGCTATACTATATAGAAAGCGTTAAAAATCCAAAGTATATCCAGAGTGAGATCAGTTACCATAATTATAAAAATACATACTTATTGCAGAAAAATTTTAATATATGTAAAAACAGGGAAAAAGTCATCCTTAGTTTTACCATCCTTACCATCTTTGCTTCTACCATAAGCAAAACAATTATCTGTGTTTTATTATGTTTTTCCAGTCTTTTTTTTTCCCATAGAGAGGGAAAGAAGCGCTTGTAAAGTTATCCAGAATGATAGTATTTTAAAACTGAGCCCTTTAAGCTCTTAATTTTATAGTTCACTTGCTAGTCATTTAGGGACTTAAACAGATTGTTGTATCTCAATTTACCTTTTTCTTAATCCTTTAGAAATGTTCCAAAAAAAACTGTAATGTGAAAGAATTCACTCATAGAATTGGACTTCACTCGTAAAGTCTGTTTGTTTATATTTAGCACATTAACTGAGGAATCAATAAACCTTTTCTTAATCAATGAATCAACAAATAGTCTCACTCTGCACCTACTATATATAAGGCACTGAACTGAACACTAGTACAATGCCTCTCTAAGCTGGCGAGCACCCGCTTAAAAAATAATACTGTGCTCAAAAACTGTGGCTATTAAGGTGTCGAAGGAAACAGAACTCTTACCCTGTAAGTTTATTAATTGCGGAAATGTATGGCAGTCTGTTAGGGCCAGCCCAGTGATTTAACCTAAAAAAGAATAGTTTGTGCAAGAATGGGAAGTAAATGCAGTCAAAAGACAAAGGAGAAGGTTTCTGGAAAAATTATCCCTTTGTGAAGTTATGGAGACACAGCCAGGACACATATTTAAGTACTATGTTAGAGATTAAGGTGAAATGAAAACCCAAGAAGGTTGCTATAGTTACACTATTGAGAAGAAAATGTCAGAAGCAGTATGGGCTTTGGAATCAGACAAAACTAGATTCAAATCCCGACTCTGCTATGTATTGGCTTTGTGACCTTGGGCAAGTTATTTAATCTATTGGAGCTTCAGTGTTCCTATCTATAAAAGTGGGAATAATAATACCTACGTTGCAGGGTATTTGTGGGGATTAAATGAAATCTCTGTTTCCTTATGGTTTCTGACACATAGTGCTTAATATATATTAGCCCCCTTGCCTCTAGGGATTTAGCAGCTTAATGTGTATTTATGTATGTATTTGACGTAGTATATATGTACTGTATTGAATTTCAGTAGTCTGAAAAGCAGACGGATGCTTTATCTTCAGTCTGGCATAGAGGATGGAACCCGTAGGTACCCTAACTTGGATGGACATTGCTAAGAAAAGTTTTACTGTACAATTGCTCTGCTGGCTTCCACCAACACAGTGCAAATGTGGTTACCAAAGTACCTCTTGCCTTGTCCATTCCCAAACTACACTAGAATAGGACTCTTTACCCAAAAGGAATGCTTTGGCACTCTCCAGCTGGGCTGTTTTTAGCTGTAGCCTGGGATCTGAAGGTGAAATGGACTCAAAGGCTGAGGCCTGCCTTTATGCTGACTTGAGCTGGATTTTTACATTGTGGTAAGTGATTATACATGTTTGGAGTTGGTTTTGTCTTCAGCACCATTTTAGGTTTCCCCACTGTATAGTCTTTGAACTGCTTTATTTGAATGGGTCTCATAGGTGACCTGCCACCTTTGGTAAATGTTACTCTGTGTTTGTCTATTTATAAAAACTTTCAAAATCCTTCTATCAGTCGATTGAGAAGGAGGTAAAGCAAATATCCTACCCACTTTATAGCTGAAGAAACTGAGTATCGAAGAGCTTAATGAAGGAAGTTGTCCAAGCTAAGGACTATCTAACTGGTGTAGTGGAGACTGGTACCTAGGTTGGTCGACTCATGTTTAGTGACTTCTTTCTGTTAAATGGTGTTATATTCTGATGTTCATATAACCAAGTAATGTGAACAATTTTGGTTTTATTTTAAGATATTATTAGCTTAGGTAGCTAAACATATCTTAGTGAGTGGGTATAATGAAAGATTCTGGGATAGACAGAGGGAGGGCAAAAGTGCCTTTGAAGGAAAGCATTTTGGAAGCAGGAAGGATGAGGGGAAATTAACAGAGGATGTATCAATAAGTAGAATATGGATGAAAACAGGAGGCACCAAAGTAACACACTTGTGTTCCTTCTGTGGCTATCCTAGCTACTTTTAAAAAGGTCATATCTTGGTGTCTGCTTATCTTTCATCCGTGTCTCTTGCATGTAAACACATATACTTGGCTATTCATGAAATCTCTCCCATTGCCAACCTAGGTTGTAACCAGGACTGTAGGGAATTATGACCATTGTTACCTGGACTTCTTTGCTTATGCAAGGCTGAAACTGGTGTGAGACTCAGAGAACAGAATATGCTGGGGATTGGTGATGGGTACGGGCAGCAAGTTGGGGCCAAAGAAGTTCTGGGAGGACTTTGGGCTAGAAGTAGTACAAAGGTTGGAGAGGCTAATAGTTAAGATTTTCCTTGGGTGTATGGAGATGTGTCATACTGAGGAGAATAGAATGAAATAAAAGCCAGAAGCCTGAGGGTCTAAGAGGTACTTTTAGTTTGGTGCTGAAGCTCTCTTGATCCTGGAAGGAGTTGATTGGGGTGGGTTGACTAAAATAGGCGATGGAGAGATTTGGATCACTTTATATTCACTATTGATGGTAGGCATCCTGTATTCACTGGGCATGTCCCAGGATCTGGAAGTGGAAAGCACTGAACTCCCTCAAAAGGCACATTCACAGGCTCCTTTCATATTCAGCTGATTAGTGTAGTTTTTTGTGCTATAAATTTTTGGGGGTTCCTGGGGAGTAAGAATGCTAGAGAAATAGTGGATGCTTACTTATCCAGGGATGGATCATCAAGCTTGTGAATTATACAGTTATTTATTTTTCTCCTTTTTCCTCCATTATGAGCACTTAACTGATCATTAGCATTTCTACCAGCGTGAACTTGGGAAGGGAGAAAAAGTCAAAATTAAAATGTTACTTTTACTTTTTAGATAATGATTGATAAAGGAAGAGATGGCAACTACTTTGTCAATGAAAAAACACCTCATATTTAATCTGTTCTTCTCTCCTTATTTTAATAGTATAGACAGTTGAAGGCTGAGCCTCTACAAGTTTAATGTCCACTGCAAGCTGGTGTAAATAGCATTTTTCTTTCATTTTAGTGAGCAACAACCCTGTAAACAAGTAGGGCTTAATTTATTATATATTTAGCTCCTTGTTTCAGGATTAATTCCTCAATTAAGGATAATGCAACAGGCTTTTGTGTTACATTCACTACTGTTTTTTTGTCTTAGCAGGAAGCTGAATGCTTTTAAGTGAAAAAAATTAATGCATTATTAAATTGCAGGAAAAAAATCAAGCAGGTTGCAAATGAGACTGATAGGGCATTCTCAGAGGTCAGAATACCCAGAAATCACATTTGCTACAGATTTCTCAATTGGATTTCCTGTGATTTGGTGAATACTCTAAAGAGGCATAATGCCTTGTTTGTAGGAAAGATGTCTTGAAGATAATTAGTCATTTTTTAAGATGAGTATTGTGATAGGGAGGGAAGAAAGTGTTTGGAGTGTGACGAATCATCATAGGGAGAAAGCAAAAGAAGGTGAATGACAGAGTGAAAATGGGCAAGGGGATTTGGATGTGAACGTGGGGAACTGCTCATATTTTAAGAGTAGGTATTCACTCCCCTCCAACAATTCCTTTGGGTACACCTCCGTATTACTGAACCAGATCCTCATCTGCTGGACAGGGCACAGAACCTTGGGAAGGTGGTTTTTGTTGTTGTTGTTTAGTTTTATTTTATTCTTAGCTCTGCTAGAACTTTGCTGCAAATTGCTTTCTTTATCTGATCTCTGCATTGAGAAAACTGGAGAATATTTTCTTGCTTTATGGAAAAAAATGTAATATTCTTAAACGTTTCTTTCATTTCCTCTTGATTTTTAGTCATTTAATACAAAAACATTTTCTCAGAAGGCTCTGTTGACAGTTTCTCTTCCATTGTCTTGAAATGTTTGTTTGAATATTTAACAGAGGCACAAAATTCAAAAATCAAAAAGTTCGAAGTTAAGTCTTCTTTTACTGTCTCCCAGTCATGCAGTATGCACTCCATAATAGCAATTACTGTTACTAATTTCTCTTGTAATGCTTCCTGCATACATACATGCACATATACATATTGTCTCCCCCTGCTCCTCACAGTTAGTTCCATTGTCTTTTAAGGAAGACTTAAAATAATTTGAGGATTTGGATTCTCATTCTAGATCATCTTAGATCAGTTAGTTACCCCTTTTCCTTAAGAAATACATAATGCCTCTGTTTTATTTTTCTTAGTAAAATTTATATTCTAATTTCTTGGCTTATTTAATGTGCAAGTTAGTTTGGGCTGAAGCAGCCTTTCCTACTAACCTACATTGCTTTTAGGGTTTTCCTTATAGAATTACCTGTTAAAAATAAAAGTGCAGGGGGAGACATAACCTTGAGAACTATTGGTTCATTGCTGTCTATGAGTGAATTCTAAATCGCCTGCTTGACCACATCAGTCAACAAATATTTAGCGAGTAGCAACTATGGGATATATAAAAGATAGACCTTATGTTCTAGGAGCTTATTTATTTTGTGAAATAAGTCATAAACACAAAATGTTAAATAAGAAAAGATTTTCATAATGGTTGATGATTAAAAAGTTGGAAAGGATTTATTGCTAAATAAATGGTATAGTTAATAAATTGATTTTTTAGGAAAGAGAGAGCATTTCAAGTTGGTATGATTAGAGACAGGTTGATGGAAGAAGCATGATTTGAGCTGGGCTTTACAGAATGGTTGGGTAGAACAGTGTGAGCCAAAGTGAGAAGGCAAGAATGTACAAAGTGTTTTGGGGGAGCAGTGAGAATCTCCTTGTGGCAGATAAGCCTGCAAAGATAGGATAGAGTTAGCCAAATATTAAGGACTTTTTGAAGTTTCATTCATAACATGGAGAATGTAGAATTTAGAGAGTATAGAATGACAGATGATCAAAGCTATACTGTAGTGTTTTAGGAATATTGGGCAGCAGTGTCTAATTGGATGGAATAGAGCAAGGAATGGACATCCACTTAGTTGGCTCTTTGATTTGTCCCAGCTGTGTAGTGATGAAGGGTTGGAGTAGTGTAGTGGTTATAAGGATGGGAAGGAAGGAAAGTAAATATAACTTTGTATATGTGTGTTACATGAATGTGTGTGTTTAACGTTTTTCTAATGTTAGAAATAGTTTATAGGAAGACTCAGTAGAACTCAGTGAATGACTTTACATGGGAGAAAAGGGAGAGGGAATAAAGATTATTTTACTGTTTTAAAGATTAGAGATAGAGAGTCTCCTATTTTGAAAATCTGGGGAAGTATGTTCTGTAATCCATGGTAGTCTGGTCCATAGCATTTTGGTTAACAAGCTGTCTTTATTTCTAATTTTCTAATTGTTTCTCTGCAGAGGGTTTTCTTGAGCTTTTAATGTTATTTCTTGTAGGAAAACTTGAATCTTCTGAACTTTATTATCTAAGCTCTCACTGATAAAGATTATTTAATCTTCGTTTGTGGGTCTCTACCCTTGTTTTGGAGTTTTACATTCTGTCCATTCATAGACACTTAACTTGTCATTTTCGTTGGCATTCTCAACTCACCTTCAGTTTGGAGGATAAAGGAACAAGAATTCTATACCTTTTTATAGACTTGGTAAATGACTCTTTTGTCCTTACCGAAACTCAGTATATTTGATTTTTTGATTGTTTGTTTATATCCCATGTGCTTCATGACAGCCATACTATTTGAAATTGCAGGCTGAGTTAAAGGTAGTAACTGAAAGGATTTTAGTAGGTGAAAGCAGAGGGAAAGAAAAGGCCTTATCAGCCAGTGATGTTGCTTTCTGTTTC
Source organism: Homo sapiens (assembly GCF_000001405.40). Taxonomy (NCBI): domain Eukaryota; kingdom Metazoa; phylum Chordata; class Mammalia; order Primates; family Hominidae; genus Homo; species Homo sapiens. The sequence continues at coordinate 51,600,514 of NC_000012.12, forward strand.
AGGTACTGAATCTTAGGCCGTGTATGAAAAATGTCAGACTTGACTTGCATGATCTTCTTGGTATAGCTGGGGTACAAGACGGTGGCCAGAGGGCCCTAACGTACAACTTGAGTATACAGTGGTAACTTAGAGCAAAGGCAGAACTCAGGGAGCTTGGGTTCTGCTACTGCCCTTTCTCGTCAGAAATGATCATTGAATGAGAAAAAATAAAGGGTTACTAGATTATCAGAACATGGACATCAAAATAATAGAATACACCAAGAGAAAAAAAATTAGAAATTTAATGCAATTTTTAAATCTCATTTAATTTGTTAAAATTATATTTCTTCTCACCACGAAAGTTACTGAGTTCTTGCAAATTCCATTACATTTACCACAGTTTGCACTCAGACATTTGGCAGAAGTCCCCATGGTTTGCTGTGGAACCAGTAGAGCAGGCACAGTTCATGTACAAGATGTTAATAAATTTAGCACTCTATTTAGGGTATTACCCAAATTACCCTTACAGTAATTCTATTAGGAGATTCTCTGTGCAATCCCATTATAAGTGCATACCTTTCTCCTAGTTTGAATGCTCAAAGTAACAGTAATTAAGAACTGTTATACAATAGTCTCTTGGAAAGGCATTCTTAAGGTAGCCTGGGATGAGGAAAGTCCATAAACACCACTTAACTGAATGATGGCAATCTGTTTTATTCATCTGGATGTTCTCATGCAAGTAATATTTTAGTAGATCTATAGATTTTTCTTATTTCTTAACCATCTTTTTGTTTGTAGTATTTCTTCTTCCTTGTCTCTAGAAATGCAGGAGAGGGTTGTGTAAAACCCAAGAAGGGTTTTACTAAGTGCACAGACTGAATGATTAAGAAGTGTAGTAGGGAAACAAAGTACAGTGATCATATGAATGTTTCACTTACCTAACAAGGCCTTTTTTTTTTTTTTCCTGACTCATGCAGGAAACTTCACCCATAAGTGCCCAAGGGGTAAGACTTATTTTGGGATCTTAAGGTAGACTTCTGGCATTAGAAATTGCTCAAAAGCTTTATAGGTCAAAGAAAATAAATTCATCTTTGTGTTATGAGTGGATATCAAAGATTTGCTATTAATTAGATATGTTTTCCATTTTAATTTTAATTAGATTAAAATTAAAGTCTGACCCTTGGGGGCTGATGTGCTTTGTTCCTAGCCAGTTGCCTTGTCTTTCACCTCGCACTTCTCCACAGGCTGCCTTGCTGGTTCCAGTGGTGAGGCTCAGCAGTCAAATGGGGATGTCACTTACATGCCCCACTTGGGCTCTACCCTGGAGCCCTACCTTTGCCAAGGGTGGTGCTCAGAGAAAGGGTTTTTTTTTTTTTTTTTTTTTTTTTAAGAGCAATGCATTTAATACTCAATGCAATCTGTTGCAAAATCTCAAGAAAAAAACTCATTCCCAGAGAGGAAGGAGTGTGTATGTTTTTTTTCTAGCCAGGATTCTAGAACCATTAGCTCCTTATAGGCATTGCTTCTGTTTATATGGATGTTGAGTGGTCAGGCCTTTCCAGTTTTTTTGTTTTTTCCTTCCACAGTTTAATCCTAGAACCTAGAAAGAACTGTTATTTGTGGGAATTGAATGCTGACTTTGGTAGTATTAAGAAAAATCCAGTGTGGATCTGTAGAGTTCAGAGTATTGGTGCTCAACACAGGAATGATAAATGTTTGAGATTATGGATATGCGAATTACCCTGATCTGATCACTATATATGAATTGAAACATCACTATGTACCCCATAAATATGTATAGTTATTATGTGTCAATTAAAAATAAAGCAAAGGTAAAAATTTGAGTAAGTTTGTAACACAGAAGGCCAAACATTGTATAATTCCACTTATGTGAGTTACCTAGAATAGTCAAATTCACAGACAGAAAGTAGAATAGTGGCTATCAAGGGTTGTGAGAAACGGGTAGTGGAGAGCTACTGGTTAAGGAGTACAGAGTTTCAGCTTGAGAAAATGAGATTGTTCTGGAGATTTGTAGTGATAATGGTTGTACCACAATGCATGTACTTAATGTTACATACTTGTATACTTAAAAAACGGTTAAGATGGTAAATTTTATGTATATTTTACCACAATCAATCAATCAATCAATCAATATAAAACAAAAAATAGAGTATGGATGCTAGTCCAGATTTTGGACAAGAGGGTATGTGGTGTTTTTATGGCCAAAATATAGGGACCAGAAACCCTGCTTTCTAGTGTGGCTTTGGGCCAATACACAGTTCCCCTGGGATGAGCAGGGTACTCTTTCCTAGTGGGAGACCTATTCCTATTAGAGTATTACAGCCAAATAAACCACTACTTTCTTCACAAGAATAAGCTCAATAAAACTAATATTTGAAAAGATTTTGAAGTTCTAGCTCATGAATGGCAAATATTATTTTCCTTTTTTTCTTCTTAATCTACCCAAGATAGTATTTCATTTTTCCCTTTTAACATTTTAAACAGCTTTTGTTTTATTTTTTCTTATTTTTAAAATTTTACAAACAGTAAAATTGAAACAAATCTTGGTGTACAGCTCTGAATTTTTACACATGTATAGGTTCATGTAACCGTGCCACAATCAGGATACAGAACAGTTCCATTACCCCAAAATACTCCCTCCTGCTGTTCCTTTGCAGTCAAACTTTCCCTAATCCCCAGCCCCTGGAAACCTGATTGGTTCTCCATTCCTGTGGTGTTACCTTTTCCAGAATGTCATAAAAGTAGAATCATACTACACTATATAACCCTTTGAGACTGACTTCTTTTGCTGAGCATAATACTTTGGAGATTTAACCATGTTGTTGTATTTTTCAATTGTTCTTTTTTATTGCTGAGTAGTATTGTATGTAACTGTTCCAATGCATATACATTGTATATAACAGTTTGTCAACCTGTTCGTCTGTTGAAGAACATTTGGAATATGTCCAGTTTCTGGTGATTATGAATAGTACTTCTGCAAACATTCATGTACAGGTTTTTGTGTGACCCTACCTTCATATTTCTCAAAGCTGATCCCTAAGAGTAGGATTGCTGGGTAATATAGTAAGTGTATGTTTACCTTTATAAGCAACTAACAACTGTTTTTCAGAATGGTTGTACCATTTCGCATTCCCAACAGCAGTGTATGAGAGTTCAGCAGCATATGCGAGTTCAGGTGCTCTGTATCCTCATTGGCACTTGGAATTGTCAGGTTTAAATTTTTTTTTTTTTATCTTAGCCATTCTAATAGGTGTGTAGTGGTATCTCATTGTGATTTCAGTTTGCATTTCTGTAATGGCTAATGATGTCTAATATCTTTTCATGTGCTCTCTGTGTATCTTTGTGAAGTGTCTGTTGAAATGTTTTGCCCATTAAAAAAAATTGGATTGTTTGTATTCTTACTATGAGTTTTGAGATTTTTGTTTTTAAAAATGTTGTTTTTGAGATATCAAAACAGATATCTTTATCAGATAACTTACATGGGCATATTTTCTCCCACTCTTTAGCTTAGCTTTTCTTAATAGTGTTTTTATAGAGCTAAAGTTTTAAATTTTGATTTAGTCCAATTTGTCAATTTTTTTCATTTATGGGTCACGTTTTTGATGTCATATATAAGAACTCTTTGTCAAATTCAAGATGTTCTTGGTTTTCTGTTAAAAATTTTGTGTAGTTTTACATTTTACCTTTAGATCTGTGATCCATTCAAGTTAATCTGTGTATTAGATATGAGATTTAGGCCTAGGTTTATTTTTATTTTTTTGCTAATAGATGTGCAGTTAACTGTTTGAGCACCATTGTTGTTCAAAAGACTGTCTTTCTCCTGAATTGATTTTGGACTTTTGTCAAAAGTCAATTGCCTGTATTTATGTGGGTTTATTTCTGGGCTCTCTCTTCTGTTCCATCAGTCTGTATGTGTGTCTGCGCCTTCCTCAATACCACACGGTCTCTTTTTTCCCCAGGTTTTTTTGTTTGTTTGTTTGTTTGTTTTTTGTTTTTTTAACGGGTTTTTGTTTCGTTTTGTTTGGTTTTCTTTAGAGATGGAGTTTCGCTCTTGTTGCCCAGGCTGGAGTGCATGTCACGATCTCAGCTCACCGCAACCTCCGCCTCCCCTTCAAGCAATTCTCCTGCCTCAGCCTCAGAAGTAGCTGGGATTACAGGCATGCGCCACCACACCTGGCTAATTTTGTATTTTTCTTTTTTAGTAGAGATGGGGTTTCTCCATGTTGGTCAGGCTGGTCTCAAACTCCTGATCTCAGGTGATCCGCTGCCTTGGCCTCCCAAAGTGCTGGGATTACAGGCATGAGCCACTGTACCAGGCTCCAGTGTTTTTTTTTTTAGCTTTTATTTTAGGTTTGGGGGTACATGTGCAGGTTTGTTGTATAGATAGATTACATATCACTGGGGTTTAGCATACAGATTATTTTGTCACCCAGGTTATAAGCATAGTACCTGATGGGTGTTTTTTTGTTTCTCACCCTCCTCCTAACGTCCACCCTAAAGTAGGCCCAGGTGTCTGTTGTTCCCCTCTTCCTTTCCATATGTACTCAGAGTTTTAAATACGAGTTTTTCATGTTCCTAATTTAGCTATTCTATTGTCATAGCTTTCTTTTCTTTCCCCATAAGTTATTGGGGTACAGGTGGTATTTGGTTACATCAGTAAGTTCTTTAGTGGTGATATGTGAGATTTTGGTGTACCCATCACCTGAGCAGTACACACTGCACCATATTTGTAGTCTTTTATCCCCTGCCTTCTTCCCCAAAGTCCACTGTATCATTCTTAGGCCTTTTCATCCTCATAGCTTAGCTCCCACCTATCAGTGAGAACACATGATGTTTGGTTTTCCATTCCTGAGTTACTTCACTTAGAATAATAGTCTCCAATCTCATCTAGGTCATTGCAAATGCCGTTAATTCATTCCTTTTTATGGCTGAGTAGTATTCCATCATATATACACCACAGTTTCTTTATCCACTTGTTGATTAATGGGCATTTGGGTTAGTTCCACAATGTTGCAGTTGTGAATTGTGCTGCTATAAACATGTGTGTGCAAGTATCTTTTTCATATAATGACTTCTTTTCCTCTGGGTGGATACCCAGTAGTGGGATTGCTGGACCAAATGGTAGTTCTACTTTTAGTTTTTTAAGGAATCTCCACACTGTTTTCCATAGCAGCTGTACTAGTTTACGTTCCCACCAGCAATGTAGAAGTGTTCCCTGTTCACTGCATCCACACCAACATCTACTGTTTTTTGATTATTTGATTATGGCCATTCTTTCAGGAGTAAGGTGGTATTGCATTGTGGTTTTGGTTCCCATTTCCCTGATCATTAGTGATGTTGAGCATTTTTTCATATATTTGTTGGCCATTTGTATATCTTCTTTTGAGAATTGTCTGTTCATGTCCTTAGCCCACTTTTTGATGGGATTGTTTGTTTTTTTTCTTACTGATTTGTTTGAGTTCATTGTAGATTCTGGTTATTAGTCCTTTTTCAGATATATAGATTGTCAAGATTTTCTCCTCTGTGGGTTGTCTGTTTACTCTGCTGACTTCCTTGTGCCGTGCAAAAGCTTTTAGTTTAATTAAGCCCCAACTATTATCTTTGTTTTTATTGCATTTGCTTTTGGGTTCTTGGCCATGAAATCCTTGCCTAAGCCAATGTCTAGAAGGGTTTTTCATTGTTATCTTCTAGAATTTTTATAGTTTCAGGTTTTAGATTTAAGTCCTTAATCCATCTTGAGTTGATTTTTGTATAAGGTGAGAGATGAGGATCCAATTTCATTCTCCTACATGTGGCTAGCCAATTATCCCAGCACCATTTGTTGAAAAGGGTGTCTATTCCCCGCTTACGTTTTTGTTTCCTTTGTTGAAGATCAGTTGGCTGTAAGTATTTGAGTTTACTTCTGGGTTCTCTATTCTGTTCCGTTGGTCTATGTGCCTATTTTTATACCAGTACCACACTGTTTTGGTGACTATGGCCTTATAGTATAGTTTGAAATCAGGTAGTATGATGCCTCCAGATTTGTTCTTTTTGCTTAGTCTTGCTTTGGCTATGTGGGCTCTTTTTTGGTTCCATATGAATTTTAGAATTGTTTTTCTAATTCCGAGAAGAGTGATGGTGGCATTTTTGTGGGGATTGCATTGCATTTGTAGATTGGTTTTGGCTGTGTGGTCATTTTCACAATATTGATTGTACCCATCCATGAGCATGGGATGTGTTTCCATTTATTTGTGTCGTCTATGATTTCTTTCAGCAGTTTTGTAGTTTTCTTTGTAGAGGTCTTTTGACTCCTTGGTTAGGTATATTCCTAAGTATTTTATTTTATTTTATTTTATTTTATTTTGTGGCTATTGTAAGAGGGGTTGAGTTTTTATATATATTTATTTATTTATTTTTTTTTTTGAGACAGAGTCTTGCTCTGTCGGCCAGGCTGGAGTTCAGTGGCACGATCTCAGCTCACTGCAACCTCTGCCTCCCGGGCTCAAGCAATTCTCCTGCCTCAGCCTCCCAAGTAGCTGGGATTACAGGGGTATGCCACCACACCTGGCTATTTTTGTATTTGCAGTAGAGATGGGGTTTCACCATGTTGGCCAGGCTGGTCTTGAACTCCTGACCTCAGATAATCCACCCACCTTGGCCTCCCAAAGTTCTGGGATTACAGGCGTGAGCCACCTTGCCTGGCCGGGGTTTAGTTCTTGATTTGATTCTCTGCTTGGTTGCTGTTGGTGTATAGAAGAGTTACTGATTTGCATACATTAATCTTGTATCTGGAAACTTTGTTGAATTCTTTTATCAGTTCTTGGAGCTTTCTGGAGGAGTCTTTAGGGTTTTCAAGGTAAATGATCATATCGTCAGCAAATAGTGACAGTTTCACTTCCTCTTTACTGATTTGGATGTCCTTTATTTCTTTCTCTTCTCTGATTGCTCTGGCTAGGACTTCCAGTACTATGTTGAAGACAAGTGGTGAGAGTAGGCATCCTTGTCTTCTTGTTCCAGTTCTCAGAGGGAATGCGTTCAACTTTTCCCCATTCAGTATTGTGTTGGCTGTCAGTTTGTCATAGATGGCTTTTATTACATTGAGGTCTGTCCCTTGTATGCCGATTTTGCTGAGAGGGATCATAAAGCGATGCTGCATTTTGTCGAATGCTTTTTCTGCATCTGTTGAGATGATCATGTGATTTTTGTTTTTAATTCTGTTTATGTGCTGTATCACATTTATTGACTTCCATATGTTAAGCCATCCCTGCATCCTTGATATGAAACCCACTTGATCATGGTGGATTATCTTTTTGGTATGTTGTTGGATTTGGTTAGCTAATATTTTGTGAAGGATTTTAGCATCTGTATTCATCAAGGATATCTGTCTATAGTTTTCTTTTTTGGTTATGTCCTTTTCTGGTTTTGGTATTAGGGTGATGCTGGCTTCATAGAATGAATTAGGGAGGGTTCCTTCTTTCTCTGTCTTGAGGAATAGTGTCAAAAGGATTGGTACCAATTTTTCTTTTTCCTTTTTTTTTTTTTTTTTGAGATGGAGTCTTGCTCTGTCGCCCAGGCTGGAGTGCAGTGGCGTGATCTCGGCTCACTGCAAGCTCCGCCTCCCGGGTTCACACCATTCTCCTGCCTCAGCCTCCTGAGTAGCTGGGGCTACAGGCGCCCACCACCGTGCCCGGCTAATTTTTTTTGTATTTTTAGTAGAGACGGGGTTTCACCATGGTCTCCATCTCCTGACCTTGTGATCCACCCGCCTCGGCCTCCGAAAGTGCTGGGATTACAGGCGTGAGCCACCGCGCCTGGCCTGGTACCAATTTTTCTTTCAATGTCTGGTAGAATTCTGCTGTGAATCCTTCTGGTCCTGGACTTTTTTTTTATTGGTAATTTTTAAATTACTGTTTCAGTCTTGCTGCTTGTTATTGGTCTGTTCAGGGTATCCTAATTCTTCCTGATTTAAGCTAGGAGGGTTGTATTTTTCCAGCAATTGATCCATCTCTTTTAGGTTTTCTAGTTTATGTGCGTAAAAGTGTTCATAGTAGCCTTGAATGATCTTTTGTATTTCAGTGATATCAGTTGTAATACCTCCAGTTTTGTTTCTTATTGAGGTTATTTGGATTTTCTCTCCTCTCTTCTAGGCTAATCTTGCTAAAAGGTCTATCAATTTTATTTATCCTTTGAAAGAACCAGCTTTTTGTTTCATTTTTGTATTTTTTTTGTTTCAATTTCATTTAGTTCTGCTCTGATTTTGGTTATTTCCTTTCATCTGCTGTATTTGGGTTTGATTTGTTCTTGTTTCTCTAGTTCCTTGAGGTGTGACCTTAGATGTCAGTTTATGCTCTTACAGTCTTTTTGATGTAGGCGTTTAGGGCCGTGAACTTTCCTCTTAGCACCACCTTTGCTGTATCCCAGAGGTTTTGATAGTTTGTGTCATTACTGTCGTTCAGTTTGAAGAATTTTTAAATTTCCATCTTGATTTTGTTTTTGACTCAATGCTGATTCAGAAGCAGGTTACTTAACTTCTATGTATTTGCATGGTTTTGAAGGTTTCTTTTGGAGTTGATTTCTAGTTTTATTCCACTGTGGTCTGAGAGAGTGCTTGATACAATTTCAGTTTTCTTAAATTTATTGAGACTTGTTTTATGGCCCATCATATGGTCTCTCTTGGAGGAAGTTCTATACATTGTTGAATAGAATGTGTATTCTGTGGTTGTTGGATGAAATGTTCTGAATGTATCTGTTAAGTCCATTTATTCCAAGGTATTGTTTAAATCCGTTGTTAAATGGATTCATAGTTTAAATCCCTTGTTAAATGGATTTGTAGTTAAATCTGTTGTTTCTTTGTTGACTTTCTGTCTTGATGACCTGTGTAGTGCCGTTAGTATTGAAGTCCCCCACTATTATTGTGTTGCTGTCTCATTTATTAGGTCTATTAGTAATTGTTTTATAAATTTGGGAGCTCCAGTGTTAGATGCATATATGTTTAGGATTGTGATAGTTTCCTGTTGGACAAGGCCTTTTACCATTTTATAATGTCCCTCTTTGTCTCTTTTAACTGCTGTTGCTTTAAAGTTTGTTTTGTCTGATATAAGAATAGCTACCCCTAGGCTGGGGGCAGTGGCTCACGCCTGTAATCCCAGCACTTTGGGAGGCAGAGGCAGACAGATCACCTGAGGTCAGGAGTTCGAGATGAGCCTGGCCAACATGGCAAAACCCCGCCTCTACTAAAAATACAAAAATACTCATAGGTGGGAATTGAACAATGAGAACACATGGACACAGGAAGGGGAACATCATACACCGGGGCCTGTTGTGGGGTGTGGGGAGGGGGGAGGGGGGAGGGATAGCATTAGGAGATATACCTAATGTTAAATGAAGAGTTAGTGGGTGCAGCACACCAACATGGCACATGTATACATATGTAACAAACCTGCACGTTGTGCACATGTACCCTAAAACTTAAAGTATAATAAAAAAAATACAATAAAATAAAATAAATAAAAAATAAAAATACAAAAATAAGCCGGGCATGGTGGCGCATGCCTGTAATCCCAGCTACTCCGGAGGCTGAGGCAGGAGAACTGCTTGAACCCAGGAGGCGGAGGTTGCAGTGAGCCGAGATCACACCATGGCACTCCAGCCTGGGTGACAGAGCAAAACTCTGTCTCAAAAAAAAAAAAAAAAAAAAAAAGGAATAGCTCTCCCTGCTCACTCTTGGTGTCCGGTTGTATGAAATGCCTTTTTCCACCTGTTTACCTGAAGTTTATGTGAGTCCTTATGTGTTAGGTGAGTCTCCTGAAGGCAGCAGATGGTTGGTGAGTTCTGCAGTTTTGTATCCTTTAAGTGGAGCATTTAGGCCATTTATATTCAATGTTAGTATTGAGATGTGAGGTACCGTTGCATTCATCGTGCATTTGTTGCCTGTGTACTTTGGTTTTTTTGTTTTTTGTTTTTGCTTTTTAACTTGTATTTTTGTTTTATAGGTCCTGTGTGATTTATGCTTTAAAGTGGTTCTCTTTTAATGTGTTTCCAGGATTTGTTTCAAGATTTAGAGCTCGTTTTAGCAGTTCTTGTACTGGTGGCTTGGTAGTGGCAAATTCTCTCAGCATTTGTTTGTCTGAAAAAGACTGTATCTTTCCTTCATATATGATGCTTAGTTTCACTAGATACAAAATTCCTGGCTGATAATTGTTTTGTTTGAGGAGGCCTGAAGATAGGGTCCCAATCCCTTCTAGCTAGTAGGGTTTCTGATGAGAAATCTGCTGTTAATCTGATAGGTTTTCCTTTATAGGTTACCTGATGCTTCTGTCTCACAGCTGTTAAGATTCTTTCCTTTGTCTTCCACACTGTTGATTACTGTAGCTTCATAGCAAGACTTAAAATTGGATATTGTGACTTTTCCATCTTTGTTCTTTTTTCAAAGTTGTTTTGGCCATTTCAGTCCTTTTGCCTTTGCATATAAATTTCACAGTCAGCTTTTATATCTGCAAAAACTGCTGGCATTTTGATTGGAACTGCATTAAATCTATAAATCAGTTTGAGAATTTATATCTTAACTATATCAAATATTCCAGTTAATCAACATGATACATCTCTTCATTTATTTGGGTAATATTTTATTCCTTTCATCAGCATCTTATAGTTTTCAGCCTATAGATTCTACATGTTTTGTTAGGTTTATACCTAAGTATTTTTTTTTTTTTTTTGAGACAGAGTCTCTCTGTCGCCCAGGCTGGAGCAAGCTCCGCCTCCCAGGTTCACGCCATTCTCCTGCCTCAGCCTCTAGAGTAGCTGGGACTACAGGTGCCCGCCACCACGCCTGGCTAATTTCTTTGTATTTTTAGTAGAGATGGGGTTTCACCGGGTTAGCCAAGGATGGTCTCGATCTCCTGACCTTGTGATCGCCTTCCTCAGCCTCCCAAAGTGCTGGGATTACAGGCGTGAGCCACCGCGCCCAGCTATACCTAAGTATTTCTTAAGCTAATATAATTTGTTTGTTTGTTTGTTTGTTTTTAGATGGAGTTTCACTCTTGTTGCCCAGTCTGGAGTGCAGTGGTGTGATCTCGGCTCACTGCAACCTCTGCCTCCTGGGTTCAGGTGATTCTCCTGCCTCAGCCTCCCAAGTAGCTGGGATTACATGCATCCCTATGCCTGGCTAATTTTTGTATTTTTAGTAGAGACAGGGTTTCACCACATTGGTCAGGCTGGTCTCGAACTCCCTGACCTCAGGTGATCCACCCACCCTGGCCTCCCAAAGTGTTGGGATTACTGACGTGAGCCACTGCACCCGGCCTAATGTAAATTTTTCTATTTTAGATTTCAGTTTCTAATTTATTTCTTGTATATAGAGATATGATGATTTTTTTGTATGTGAACTTGTATCTTACAACCTTGTTAAAGTCACTTGTTCTAGAAGCTTTATTATAGGTTTCTTGGGATTTGCTATATAGATAATCATAGTCCATGAAAAGTGATAGTTTTATTTCTTCCTGTCTAATCTATATGCCTTTTCTTTGTTTCTTTTTTCCCCCATTTTTACAGACTTCCAGTAAGATATCAAATGTGGGTAGCGAGACTGGACATCCATGCATTCTTCCTGATTTTAGGGAAAAAACATTCAGTTTTTCACTATTAAGTATGATATTCCCTGCTTGTTTTTTTTGTTTTGTTTTGTTTTTGAGACAAGGTGTTACTCTGACAGCCAAGCTGGAGTGTAGTGGCGCGAACGCAGCTCACTGCAACCTCTACCTCCCAGGCTTGAGCAATCCTCCCACCTCAGCCTTCGAAGTAGCTGGGATCACAGGCACATGCCACCACACTTGGCTAATTTTTAAAATTTTTTTGTAGAGACAGGGTTTTGCCATGTTGCCCAGGCTGGTCTTGAATTCCTGAGCTCAAGTGATCCACTCACCTTGGCCTACCAAAGTACTGGATTACAGGCATGAGCCACCATGCCCTAGCTGCTAGTTTTAGTACATTCATTTTATCAGGTCGGGTAAGTTCCCTTCTATTCCTAGTTTACTGAGAATTTTATCAGGAATGAATGTTGAATTTTGTCAAATGCTTTTTCTATATGAATTGATATGATCATATGATTTTTTTCTTGTTTAGTCTGTTAATATAATGAATTACATTGGTTTTCAGATAATGAACCTACTTTGCATTTCTGGGGTAAATGCCACTTGGTGGTGATGTATTCTCCTATATTGTTGGATATGATTTGCTAATATTTTTTTTGAGATGGAGTTTCACTCTTGTTGACCAGGCTGGAGTGCAATGGTACGATCTCAGCTCACTGCAACCTCCGCCTTCTGGGTTCAAGTGATTCTCCTGCCTCAGCCTCCCGAGTAGCTGGGATTACAGGCACCCACCACCATGCTCAGCTAATTTTTTGTATTTTTAGTAGAGATGGGGTTTCACCATATTGGCCAGACTGGTCTTGAACTCCTGACATCCCGTGATCCAACCGCCCTGCCTCCCAAAGTGCTGAAATTATAGGTGTGAGCCACCATACCCAGCCAATTTGCTAATCTTTTTGTTGAGAAGTTTTGCATTATCTGTGTTCACTAGGATATTGGTCTGTAGTTTTGTTTTTTTCTTGTCCTGTCTTTGTTTAGTTTTGGTATCAGGATAATACTGACCTTATAAGATAAGTTGGGATATGTTCCCTTTAACATTAAAAAAATATTTTCGGAAAAAGATTTTGTAGAATTCTCCAGGGAAACCATCTGAGCCTAGGGTTTTCTTTGTGTGAAGGTTTTAAACTATAGGTTAGATTTCTCTAATAGATATAGAACAATTCAGGTTGTCATTTCTTTTGGGGTGAGTTTTAATACTTTGTGGCTTTCAAGGAATTGGTCCATTTAATTTTTGTTGTCAAATTTATGTGTATAGATTTGTCTGTAGTATTTCCTTATTCTTTTAACATCTATGGAGGTCTATGGTGATATACTTTCTTTTATTCCTGATATTGATAGTTTGTATATTCATTCTTTTTTTTCCCTTTGGCTAGAGGCTTATTAATGTTATTCATCTTTTCAAAGAACCAGCTTTTCCTATATTAATTTTCCTCTATTTTTCTGTTTTCAATGTAGTTGATTTCTGTTCTTTATTTTCTTTCTTCTGCTTTCTTTAATTTACTCTTCCTTTTCTGTTTTTCTAAGGTGGAAACTTGGATTGTTGATTTGAGACCTTTCTTCTTTTCTAATATAATCTCTTAATGCTACAAATTTCCCTCTAGGTACTGTTGTCCCTGCATTTTACAAATTTTGATATGTTGATTTTTGTTTCCCCTGAGACTTTCTCTTTGACCTGTGGATTATTTAGAAGTATGTTGTTTGGAGTGTTGGGAGATTTGTCAGTGTCTTTGTTTTATTGATTTCTAGTTTATTCCATTATGATTAGAGAGCATACTTTGTATTATTTCAATATTTTACAATTTGTTAGGGTTTGTTTTATGACCAAGATATGATCTAGCTTGGCGACTGTACATGTGTACTTGAAGATAATGTATATTCTGTTGTTAGGTGGAATGTTCTATGAATATTGATATCTATTCAAGTTGGTTGATGGTGGTGTTTAGTTTCTCTGTATCCCTGATTATTTTCTGTCTACTTGTTTTATTGATTACTAAGAAAGGAAAATTGACTATACTTGTGGATTTGTCCATTTTATCCTTAGTTTTGTCCATCGACTATACTTGTGGATTTGTCCATTTTATCCTTAGTTTTGTTAGTTTTTATTTTGTATATTTGAAGGTTCTTTTGTTAGTTACATACACATTTTGGATTGTTATGTCTTTTAGTGAATTGACTTTTTAAAATCATTATTTAGTGTCTCTATCCCTGGTAATTTTCCTTGCTTTGAAGTCTACTTTATCTGATATTAATATAATCATCCTACCTTTCTGTCGGTTCATATTTTCATGGCATTTATTTTCCACTTTTTACTTAAAAGACATTTTTCCCTTGAAATAATTTCAGATTTATAGAAGTGTTGCAAAAATAGTAAAGAGAGTTCTTGTATTTTCTTCACCCAGCTTCCCCTAATGTTAGCATCTTATATAACAGTGATACATTTGTTAAAACTAAGACATTTACATTGGTATAATACTTTATTAGGTAAGCTACAGACTTCATTTGGATTTCACCAAATTTTCTACTAATGTCCTTTTTTCTGATCCAGGATCCGGTCCAGGATACCATATTGCATTTAACATTCTATTTTTAACTTACATTTATCGTATTTAATGTGGGTTTCTGGTAGATAGCATACTGTATGTTCTTTTTTTTTTTTTTTAAATCCATTCTGACAACCTCTCTTCTTCTTATTCCTTTTTGAAAAAATTGTATTGTGGTAAGAACATTTTACATGAGATGTACCCTCTTAACAAATTTTAAGTGTACAATACAGTATTGTTAATTATATGTTCAATGTTGTACAGGAGATCTCCAGAATTTATTCATCTTACTTAACTGAAAGTTTATGCCCATTGATTAGTAACTGCCCATGACAATCTCTTTTAGTTGGTATGTTTAGACCACCTTCATTTAATGTAGTTATTAATATGTTTGGGTGGTCTGTCATTTTATTTGTTTTCTATTTCCTTTTCCTTCTTTTGGATTATTTTTAATATTCTATTTTTTTTTTACTGTTTTCATTATATAGTTATTTTAGTGTAGCACTAGGAATTACAATGTACATACTTAAGTGTTCAGTCTACTTAGAATTAATATATTACCACTTTAAGTGGAATATAGAAATGTTAGTACCACCAGGTGCAGTGGTGCACACCTATAATCCAAACACTTTGGGAGGCCAAGGTGGGCAGATCGCTTGAGCCCAGGAATTTGAGACTAGCCTGAGCAACATGGTAAAACCCTATCCCTACAAAAAATACAAAAATTAGTGGGCGTGGTGGCTCATGCCTGTGGTCCCAGCTTCTCTGGAGGCTGGGGTGAAGGATTACTTGAGCCTGGGAGTTTGAGGCTGCAGTGAGCTGTGATCACACCATTGTCTTCCAGCTACGGCAGCAGGGTAAAACCCTGTCTGAAACAAAAACAAAAGAAAAAAAAATGTTAGTACCGTGTAGATCTCTTTACTGTCTCCCTTTTATGTTGTAATTTTCATACATATTGCATCTACATGCATGAAAACCCAATCAATAATGTTATAATTTGTGCTTTTCAACCATCATTTATATTTTATTATTATTTTTAAAAATTATTTTTTGTGGAGACAAGGTCTTACTCTGTCACCCAGGCTGGAGTGCAGTGGTACAATCGTAGCTCACTGCAGCCTCAAACTTCTGGGCTTAAGTGATCCTCTCACCTCAGCCTCCTGGGTAGATAGGACTATAGGTGCATGTCATCCTTCATGCCTGGCTAATTTAAAGAAAAAATTTTTTTTTTGCAGAGATGAGGGTCTGACTGTGTTGCCCAGGCTGGTCTTAAACTCTTGGCCTCCAGCAGTCCTGTCATCTTGGCCTCCCAAAATGGTGAGACTACAGGCGTGAGCCACCACAGTTGGCCTCATCATTTATATTTTAAAGACCCTAAAAGGAGTAAAATGGGTATTACATTTACCTTGGTATTTACCACTTCTATTGCTCTTCCTTGTTTCCTGAAGTTCTAAATTTCCCTGTAATATTATTTTCCCTCCATCTAAAGAATTTCCTTTAGCATTTCTTTTAGAGCAGTCTGCTAGTGATGAATTATTTTGGTTTTCTTTATATGAGAATTTCTGTATTTCATCATCATCTTTTAAAAATATTTTCACTAGATATACAATTCTGGGTTGACATTTGTTTCTTTTCATTTTCCCCCAGCACTTAAAAGTGTTTCACTGGGCTAGGCCAGGTGCAGTGGCTCACACCTGGCTCACGGATCACTTGAGGTCAGGAGTTCGAGACCAGCCTGGCTAACATGGTGAAACCTGTCTCTACTAAAAATACAAAAAAAAATTAGCCAGACATGGTGGTGGGCACCTGTAGTCCCAGCTACTCAGGAGGTTGAGGCAGGAGAATCATTTGAACCCGGGAGGCGGAGGTACAGTGAGCAAAGAATGCACCACTGCACCCCAGCCTGGGCAACAGAGTGAAACTGTCTCCAAACAAACAAACAAAAAGTGTTTCACTGGGTTGGGCATGGTGGTTCCTGCTTGTCATCTCCGCACTTTGGGAGGCTGACATGGGAGGACTGCCTGAGCCCAGGAGTTTGAGACAGGCTGGGCAACATAGGGAGACCCCCATCTCTACAAATAATAAAAAATTAGCCAGGCATGGTGGTGCATACCTGTAGTCCCAGCTACTCAGGAGGCTGAGGTGGGAGGATCACTTGAGCCTGGGAAGTTGAGGCTGCAGTGAGCCATGATCATGCCACTGCACTCCAGCCTGAGTGACAGAGTGAGACCCTGTCTCAAAAAAAAAAAAAAAGTTTTACTGTCTTTTGTTATGATTTCTGTTGGGAAATTTCAGTCATTCAAATTATTGTTTCCCTATGTGTAATGTATCCTTTTTCTCTTACTGCTTTCAAGATTTTTTATTTTAGTTTTCATTGGTTTGATCATGATGTTTTTGCACAAGGATTTCTTTGAGTTTATCCTGTTTGGTGATCACTGAGTTTCTTAAATCTGTAAGTTTATGTCTTCTTAAATTTGGGAAGTTTTAGCCATTGTTTCTTCAAATACTTTTTGTGCACTATACTTTCTCCTTACCTGTTGGGCCTTTGATACAAATGTTAAGTCTTTTGGTGTTGTCCCATGGGTCATTGAGATTCTGTGCTTTTTTTCCTTCGTTTCTAATTTTTTTCTCTCTCTCTTGTTCAGCTTGGATAATTTGTGTATTTTCAAGTTCATCAACTATTCTGTCATCTCTATTATACTATTGAGCCCATCCAATGAATTTTAAAATTTCTGTTATTGTGTTTTCTAATTTAAAATTTTCCATTTGGTTCTTTTTTAAAAAAGTGTTCTATTTCTTCATTAAGACTTTTTATTTTTCCATTTATTTCAAGACTGTTTGCCTTTCCTTCTTTGAGCATACTTAGAATAGCTGCATTAAAGCCTTTGCCAATTCTAACATCTTGCATTGATATCTGTTGATTGTCTTTTTCCTTGTGAGATGTTGAGATTTTCAAGTTTTTTTGTATGTTAGTTTGAATTTGTATCCTGAACACTTTCAAATTGTTAGAAGACTTTGGGTCTTGTTTAAATCATATAGAGAATGTTTCTTGCTTATTTGTTTTAGCAGGCAATCCAGTTAGATTCAGGTTGCAAATTCCTTCCTGCCTTCTGTGGGCTGGGGTCCAAAATCAGTTCAGTTTTCAAAGTATTTGCCATTCTATTTCTGTTTATTCCAGGTATGTCCCAGCTAGTGGCCAGTTTCAGATCTGGGCAGCAGTATACTCCAGAGATTAGTTGTCAAAACCTTTGGTGTGCTGTTTAGGGCCAGATACATGCATGCACAGCTTGGAGATGAGCCCCGGAATTCATATACAGCCTTATTGAGCTCCTTTCTCTTGTTGTTTCCCAGACTTTCCAGATCTGAAGGGTTTCCCATCCTGCTACCCTGCCTAGAAGTCTTGGACTTTTAGTTTCTCTATTCTGCCTTTTACTTCCTATGACCACATCTCCCTTGAGAACCAAATGGCAAGATACGGAGAGTCAACGAAGCAAGGGAGGCTTTCCTGTGCTCTTGGGATCCCAGCTTCCCTGGTCAGGGAAGAACTTTTGCTATTGACTGCCACTGCTGCTTAACTACTGTGAGGTAGGGCAGGAGAGAGCAGGAAACACACACACAATTCAGATTTTCTCCCTTCCCTTTCGTGTCTAGGGGCTCCCTTTTCTGTTTCTTGGACCAGAAATGGAGGTCTTCTCCTGTAGCTTTTTCTGTCTGTGCTTGGGGCACAGTTCTGGATTTGGCTGCCTTTTTTGAGTCCAGGCCAAGAGATACCAGAGCAACACACACACACACACACACACACACACACACACACACACACACACACACAGAAAGAAAAAAAGGCAAAACTCTGCTGGTTTTGTGATACTTTGAATTGTGGGTTTCTTTTCCTAAACTATCTGCTATCAATTATTTTTCAGAGTCATTAAGTAATGGATGGAGCAGCTCTGTCCAAGGATTTTAGTTGAATACAGTGGGAGATACAGGGTAGAGTGGGCTTACTTCATCTTATCTGGAGTGAGAAACTTTGGTTATTTGAGAGAGGAACAAGGCTGGCAGGTGTGAGAAAGGTGGTGGCTTTGAGGCAGGTTCTCAACCTTGAGAGATCAAGTGACTAGATTGACAGGCCTCGAGGTCCTGGGAGGAGACACCCTGAGGAATGACTTCAGTATTTTTGATGCAGGATGCCCTCTCCTCCTCCTTTTTAATTTTTAAATTTAAGTAAAATGTTTTTTAAAATATATAATATCTGCACTTAGCACCAGATTGGAAAGCTGTAAAGGGAACAAAGTAAGAGAGGTAAGTCTTCCTCAGTTACCTACCTCCTAGCCACACAGTTCCTTTCCCTGGAGGCAACCACTTCCCAGTTTCTCATGTGTCTTTACAGAGACTTTGTACTTATTACCAAACTGGAATATGGATAAGTGTGCATATATTAACAAAAATGGCAGTGTACTGTACACACTATTATATACCTTACTTTTTCTCTTAATATGTCCTGGAGGCCTTTCCATATCAGTGTCCAGAGAAGGCCTCGTTCTTTTTAGCAGCTGTGCAGAATGCCATTAAATGGATATACTATCATTTATTTAATAAGTCCTTTATTGATGGGCATTTATTTCATTAATGAATATTCAGTAAATAAATATTTATTCCATTAATTTCAAACTCTCCTTATTATGGGAAAGTTGCATTCAATATCCTTGTATACATATTTTGCATATGTGAGGCTATATAGAATAAATACCTGGGATTAGAATTGCTGGGCTAATGATGTGTGTCCATTTAAAACTGTTAATAGCATATTGTTAACTTATTTCATATCACTACAAATAATCCATCAACTTTTAAGCCTTGATATGGTAAGGAATATTAGAATAGGTAATAGAAGCCTTCATATAATCTTAAATCTTTATTCAAACTCAGGTTAACATTTAACTCAGGTTTTACCAAGTCTTTTACCAAAATTATGTGGAAAAAAATAAAAAGGATTAACTGACATTTTCCTTCTTTCCTTACCCTTCTAATTCTAGTAAGAGATGTGTCAACAAGCTGTGAAAAGAATATCATAAAATGACTAAATAGTAAACAACCAAAAGGGAAGGATATAACAGTCAAGAGGATTTAGATGACCAATTGATTGGACAGTCAGTTCCCAATCCTCAAATGTTGGTTGGATTAAAGCTTTTCTTCTAAGAACATTTTGTCTATCATGTGTTCTCACCTACACAAGCATGTCTGTATTAGTAGAGAGGGCAGGTGGAAGTTGTTATTTACTGTACTGATGTACTGATGGTGGAATAGAAGCCCTGCAAAAGTGATAATCATTTTTTTCCTGGTCCCTAGATCAAGACATTCAGTGTGAAAAAATTTTGTGCAAGAAACAGTCTTAGAGAAGTATTTAATATTATGGAGACCAAAGAGTTGTCATTTAGGGTTGTTTTGATGGATTGTGGTGATAATTTTAAGTCAAAGCTTTCTTGGAAAATCTGAGATGCAGATTTTTCAATACAATGGAGCATTTTCTTAATAACAATCATTTTAATGTTATACTAGTGACCAAAAATCAGATCAGTGGATGCTTGCTTAAAGTTTTTCATGTTTACTTGGGTATGATTGTATTGGTTTTTACTTCAATTAATTTCAATAAATCATGAATAAAATTAGCTTTAAAATTAATCTGAAAAAGACTATTTTTAAGTGAATAATGTGTTCTTTATATGGGAGGACTCTACTTGGATAAATTGTTAAGTAATAAAACAGGTTTTGGTAGCTCTTCAAATAGTCATCTTTAATTTTTTCTTTATATAACTCTATATTTGAGAAATTGGGATGAG
Organism: Homo sapiens; assembly: GCF_000001405.40. Lineage (NCBI taxonomy): Eukaryota > Metazoa > Chordata > Mammalia > Primates > Hominidae > Homo > Homo sapiens. Next base: position 51,620,518 of record NC_000012.12, read on the forward strand.
CACGTATTAGTTTGTAAAGAAATGCAATGCAGTAGAAACTGTAAAAGAAAGAAAAACAGCTAACTTGGAAGGCTGTGCACTTAATAGAATGAAGCAATCATTGCATAAAACATTCTTGGAATTTCTATTTTGAATTTTGCCTTCTGAACCTGTTCCACATCAGCTAGACTTAAAAAAAAAAAGAAAAAAACTATGTGTGGTGATTCACGCCTGTAATCCCAGCACTTTGGAGGGCCGAAGCAAGAGGATCGCTTGAGCTCAGGAGTTTGAGACCAGTCTGGGCAACATAGTGAGACACCATCTCTATTTAAAAAAAAAAAAAAATTAGGTGTGGTAGCACACGCCTGTGGTCCCAGCTACTCGGGAGGCTGAGGCGGGAGGATGGATTGAGCCCAGGAGGTTGAGGCTGTAGTGAGCCATGGTTACACCACTGCATTCCAGCCTGGGTGACAGAGTGAGACCCTGTCTCAAAAAAACGTGGGGCCTCATAGGATCAGAAACCACGGTGGAGCAGACTATGAAGGAGAAATATGATGGTTCTTATAATGGCTTCAGTGGGGCTGGCTTTCTGGAAGATGTTCAGGTATTTATCCTTGGTCTCTCCTCAGCTGCTTTATAGAGTAATGCAGTAGAGGAAAGACTGTCAAGAAATTTTTTATTACTTAGGTGCTATATCGTTTGCTTTTTAACTTCATAAAATTTTTTGGCCATCTCTGCTTAGTATATAAAGCAAGTTGAGCAAGTGTGGCTCTTGCCAACTATAAACTTAGGTCACTTGGGTCTGGAAATTCCCTCTTGAATGCTATTTCCTGAATTTGATTTAGAGATCAGAGTTTACGTGGTCAATGTACGTCTTTCCCACAGGATAGCCAATGAATTCTTAGAGTTTTAAACCATCACTCTAAAGCATGCTAATTTGCATTTAGAAATACAAAGTGCATCATATTGGTGACCCCTTTTAGATAGTGGGATGGGTATCAGATGTTACCCATTAGTTCTGATGTCTTAGGCAGAGCCTATGCAGTTATTTGGCCACAGACTAGGACATTGCTAGTATATTATCTATTCATGTATATGATGATGATTCTTGGAATAATTTCCTCTGGATGTGGAGAGACTAGGGCAGTACAGATTTCTTTAATTCTGTGTCAGAGCAGTAGTGAGTAAGAAGGAAGGGGCAGAGTGTCAGCCACAGCTACAGGCCTCTTACAGGCAGTCTAGGGTCCAGACCAGACACGATGAGCATCCCAACAGAGGCCTGAGTTCTGCGATGTAGGCAGAATGACCAGAGAGACCCAGTTTATCTCATCCGGAGATTTGGAAGGGAAGAAAGGAGTCCACATCAAAGAAAGAATGTGTACGCCTGTGTTTTCAGGATTCTGTCTGCCTCTGGTAAGGAAGCATCTGACCGTGAATGTGCCATGGAAGCTTTCTCTTCATTAATAGAAGTATCATTACAGGAGACTCAGTTCACAAGACAGTATCTCAAGTGCACTTTGTTCTCTGTAGAAAGAGGTACCCAATAACATGATCATATACTTCTGTCACATAGAAATGTTGCAAATAAATTTTTAATAAGTTAAACAGTTAATTTTTCTCGCTAACTTGACCTTAAACCAGCATTAGATTTTTTAAAATCAACTTTTTATTTTGGAATAATTTTAGGTTTACAGCAAAGTTGCAAGGGGAATACGGAGAATTCCTGTATATGCCTCACCTGGTTTCCCATAATGTTAATATATCACCATGGTGTATTTGTCAGAACTAAGAAACCAATGTTGGTACATTACTATTAACTAAATTCCACACTTTATTTGGATTTTACCACTTTTCACACTGATGTCCTTTTTCTGTTCCAGGATTCAGTCAAGAGTATTACATTGCATTGTCATTATGTCTCCTTAGTCTCTTCTGGTGTGTGACAGTTTCTCAGACTTCCCTTGTTTTTTAATAACCTTGGTAGGTTTGAGGATACTGATGAGGTATTTTGTAGAACACCCCTCAATTTAGGTTTGTATGATGTTTTTCTCATGATTAGACTGGGGTTATGGATTTTTGGGAAGACTACTACAGAGGTGAAGTGCCTTCCTCATATCATATTGGAAGAATATACTAACATGACTTATTACAGATAATGTTAATTTTGATCATTTGGTTGTGTTAGTGTTTGCTAGGTTTCTCACTATAAAGTTACTATTTTTTTTCTCTTTCTATACTGCATTCTTTGGCAATGGGTCACCAAGTCCAGCCCACGCTTGGGGGAGGAGGAGTGAGGATTAAGCTTTACCTCCTACAGAGGGTATTATCTACTTATATTATCTGGAATTCTTCTGCAAAGGAAGATTTTCCCCTTCTACCTATTTGTTTATTTATTGAGTTGTTAATTTGTATCTCTATGGACTTGTATTTATTTTATACCTTGGGTTATAATACAATACCATGCTATTTATTTTCTTCCTGAAATTGTTCTAGCTTTGGCTTCTGGGGCCTCTTCCAGGTTAACTTCTGTGTCACTTTGACATGTCCTCATCCTTTTGCTACTTGAGCACCTCCCTACTTTTTTAGAATTAGAAGATGTTCCAGGTTCATCTTGTATTTTCCTTGCCCCGGCTCTAGAATCAGCTTTTTCTAAAGAGCCCTAGTTCTTTTTATTGGAGAAACCAAGTTCTGAGCATTGGGTTGCATGCTGCTAGTAGGCCCTCTCAGTGAATAGAGTTAGGAAATAAAAGTATGTATGCTAACCCATGTATATATACATATTTCTAATTATTTCTGTATCTATCAGTCTGTATATATGCTAAGCTAAACGTGGATTTGCACTGGTATCTTTGACTCCAACTCAGTACTGCAGAGTTCATTCTAGCCTTTCCCCCTTGCAGATCTGCATTTCACTCTCTGGCAATGAGAAACCTGCCTCTCATCATCCACCGTGGTAGATGGGGAGTTTACTTATTTGTTCAAACCCTTACACATGTAAAGCAGGTTCAGATTTGTTAACTTATACTCCTATGAGCTACGATTTACCAATTAGAGTTCCATGTTTATGTACAGATTATTTTGTCATTAGCCTATAGTTGTCAGTCAAAACACTATTTTCTTTTTTTTTATTATTATACTTTAAGTTTTAGGGTACATGTGCACAACGTGCAGGTTAGTTACATATGTAAACATGTGCCATGTTGGTGTGCTGCACCCATTAACTCGTCATTTAACATTAGGTATATCTTCTAATGCTATCCCTTCCTCCTCCCCCCACCCCACAACAGGCCCCGGTGTGTGATGTTCCCCTTCCTGTGTCCATGTGTTCTCATTGTTCAATTCCCACCTATGAGTGAGAACATGCGGTGTTTGGTTTTTTGTCCTTGTGATAGTTTGCTGAGAATGATGGTTTCCAGCTTCATCCATGTCCCTACAAAGGACATGAACTCATCGTTTATGGCTGCATAGTATTCCATGGTGTATATGTGCCACATTTTCTTAATCCAGTCTATCATTGTTGGACATTTGGGTTGGTTCCAAGTCTTTGCTATTGTGAATAGTGCCACAATAAACATATGTGTGCATGTGTCTTTATAGCAGCATGATTTATAGTCCTTTGGGTATATACCCAGTAATGGGATTGCTGGGTCTAATGGTATTTCTAGTTCAAGATCCCTGAGGAATCGCCACACTGACTTCCACAAGGGTTGAACTAGTTTACAGTCCCACCAACAGTGTAAAAGTGTTCCTATTTCTCCACATCCTCTCTAGCACCTGTTGTTTCCTGACTTTTTAATGATCGCCATTCTAACTGGTGTGAGATGGTATCTCACTGTGGTTTTGATTTGCATTTTTCTGATGGCCAGTGATGATGAGCATTTTTTCATGTGTTTTTTGGCTGCATAAATGTCTTCTTTTGAGAAGTGTCTGTTCATATCCTTCGCCCACTTTTTGATGGGGTTGTTTGTTTTTTTCTTGTAAATTTGTTTGAGTTCATTGTAGATTCTGGATATTAGCCCTTTGTCAGATGAGTAGATTGCAAAAATTTTCTCCCATTCTGTAGGTTGCCTGTTCACTCTGATGGTAGTTTCTTTTGCTGTGCAGAAGCTCTTTAGTTTAATTAGATCCCATTTGTCAATTTTGGCTTTTGTTGCCGTTGCTTTTGGTGTTTTAGACATGAAGTCCTTGCCCATGCCTATGTCCTGAATGGTATTGCCTAGGTTTTGTTTTAGGGTTTTTATGGTTTTAGGTCTAACGTTTAAGTCTTTAATCCATCTTGAATTAATTTTTGTATAAGGTGTAAGGAAGGGATCCAGTTTCAGCTTTCTACATATGGCTAGCCAGTTTTTCCAGCACCGTTTATTAAATAGGGAATCCTTTCCCCATTTCTTGTTCAAAACACTATTTTCTAAGGTTATATAGGCCAGCTTTTTTTTTTCCTCTACCCCCTTCAGTGAGTTTATGTCATACATTTATAATATGTTAGGTTCATTTGTCACAGTCTACATCCTATCCTGGGATTCCCTGACATACTGGTTCTCTTGAAAAAACGTACATACCTTAAAGTTCACTCTTTGTAAGGTACAGTTCTACGGATTTTAACAAATGCATAGAGTAACGTATGTTCCACCCTAGTAACACATAGAATAATTCCGTTATCCTAAAAGTTTCCCTGTGCATCTCCCTGTAGTCAAACACCTTCCACTGCAAACCCTGATAACTAGTAATCTGTTTTTCATCCCTGTAGTTTTGCCTTTTCCAAAATGTCACGTGAGTGGAATCATATAATTTGTAGTCTTTCACCTAGCAAAATGTATTTAAGATTCACTCATATTGTTGCAAGAATCAATGGCTTGTTGCTTTTTGTTGTTGACTAATCGTCCATTCTATGGTATACCACAGTTTCTTTATTCAGTCACCTGTCAAAAGACGTTGTTGCTTCCAGTTTTGGATGCTTATACACAAAGCTGCTATAAATATTTGTGTACAGGTTTTTATGTGAACCTGGTTTTCAGTTAACTTGGATCAATAACTAGGTTGTGATTGCTGGGTCATATTTTAAGTTTATATTTAACTTTATAGGAAGTTGTCAAACTGTGCGGTATTAGAGTTTAATCACCCCTCCCCCTCTTTTGTTTTTTTGGACAGAGGGAATAATTAAACAATCGCTAAGATTCAGGCCAAAAATGTCAACTAATTATCTACTTGTCTGTGTAAAATTCAGCTTATCAAGTAACTGCTGTATACATAGCATTGAATTTGTTGAGTGGTAGAAGTTTTTAAAGGAGTTTGCTATCTAATACGGAAGGTGAGAGTTTGTAAGCAGTGATGTAAGCCACCATTTAGGATTAAGTTGGGTTGGGTTCTAGTTCTTTGTGTCTGGTGGCAATAGTAGTGGTAGTATCCAGTTGATTTGTGGCCATTGATGTAATTTATAAAGGTGACTCAGTGACTACACAGAGTGGTCAATGTCATTGAAAGGAAAGTTTATTACTTACATTTCCCAAGACAAGAGGGCATTCTGCACCACACAGGGCCGCAGAGGGAAGCACCAGTTTCAGTCAGGAGGCAGAAGGAGCGAGGGGAAAGCATGGTCCAGAGCTCTTACTATGTTTTCCTTGGGAAAGGCAAGGCAGGGCAGGAGAAACAGGTTAGAATTGGCCAATTTGAATAATTCCAGTGGGCTTTAGGGCTGTCCTTAGTTGTCTGGTACCTGGTCCTGGGTTGATTTAGGGCAGGTGAAATGTTGGCTTGATGTGTGAGAGTTAGATAAAGGAGGTGGTTCAGAGAATGGACTTTGGCTCTCGGGAGGTTTAAACAACTTTGGCCATTAGTTTGGCCTTGTGATCTATGGATGCCAGATAGACAAATACAGAATCAGCAAAAACACAGAATACCCAACACGACCTTCCTGCATAGAGCTCTCCGTACCTACCAGTTGAATTATTTAATTCAATGCATTATTGACTGCCAACTTTGAAATGGGTACAGAAATTTATAGATGAAGACTTTGTCCTCAAGGAGCTCGTGATATATCATGAAAAACCATTCATTCATTAATTAAGCAAACATTTATTGAATATCTACCATGCACCAGGAACTTGCTAGTCTTTGAAGATTACAGGGCTTTAATCAAACAGATGGAAAATTTATAACAAAATAGAGTATGTTTCTCTTCCTTATAAACATTAGTATTTAGGACAAAAATACATTCTCTCATTTTGCTGTGTTTTCTTTCTCTTACCTCTCCCACCTCCACTCTCCAATTGTTTTCTGGATTTTTAAAAAGATTTATTTATTTATATTAAATTATTAATTGATATTTAATTATATATTCTATTATATGTAAATTAGTATTTATTTATTTATTTAGATTTTTTTAGCTTGGATTATGGATTTGAGTTTTCACATTCATGAACATGTAAGCAAAAGCATGTGATTGACAGATTTTCTTTTAAGGATCTGGGGCAGATATTTAAAAAAACTCAAAAGTTTTCATTTAGTTGTCTTTTTACTATTGCCTCTAACAGGCAGTAATGGGGGAAGTAGCATAGTTATATGTATGTGTGGCTGAAGGAGTGGGAAGATGAGGTGCTGTGGGGGAATATTAGCTTGTGAGGAGAGTTAGAGACTAGGGACTAGGAGTAGGAGACTTATTCTAGTGTTGGTTTTGTTGTTAACATATACACTTTGGGTAGATGTCTTCCTCTTTCTAAAGCCTCAGTTTCCTTGTTTAGAGAACAGGGTTCATGATTACAACTTGTTCTATCTTATATTATTGTTAAACATGAAATGAGATAATAAATATCAGCCTTAAAGTGCAATACAATTGTAAAGTATGTTATAAGGCCTTAACCATAAAAGCCTCAGAAAATATTGAGGGAATGAATGAGTGTATCTCTTTGAGACGCAGTCTTGCTCTGTTGCCAGGGAGGAGTACAGTGGCACGATCTCGGCTCACTGCAATCTCTGCCTCCCAGGTTCAAGGGATTCTCCTGCCTCAGCCTCCCAAGTAGCTGGGATTACAGGCATGCACCACCACACCTAGCTAGTTTTTGTATTTTTCGTAGAGACAGGATTTCACCGTGTTGGCCAGGGTGGTCTCGATCTCCTGACCTCGTGATTCCCCCAGCCTCGGCTTCCCAAATTGCTGGGATTACAGGCATGAGCCATTGTGCCCAGCCCTCTTTTTTCTTCTGTTTCTGACATTTACTACAAGAAATAAGCACTGAGAGCCCTTGATCTTCTTTTCTGAATTGTCTAGTATTAATAATTTATAGCTATAATTTAGTAATCATGTGCTTTCTTGTATTTAGTTATATTTTTGAATGAGTTAGTCTCAGCACTTCAAGGACAGTAACTAGGGAGCATTCATATTTTCTGTCTCCTAGAGTGCAAAGTACATTATAGTTGCTTATCAACTATTTGTTGATTCATTGATACTTGTTGAATGTGTAGAACATCCAAATAAAACCTTTGGAGACTAATGCTAAAGCAGGATATATGCAAGTGAATGAGAAATTGGTATACAGACTGGGAGAGATCATCATGGAATGGAGTTGATAAAAAGGACTTGATAGAAGGTTCAAGGGAGATCCTGACACAGACCTTTAAGACATTGTAGGTTTAGTTTAGGGAACAGAAGGGCATGCCAGGTGGAGGATTAGAGGCAGGAATGAGAATGGCATTAGAAGATGAATGACTGGTGGAATGACAGTAAAGGTCAAATTGGTAAAGGTCAAATTGGTGAATTTTTAAGACTAGTTTACATTTAGCATAGACAAGTGACCTCCAAATTTTGTTTAGAAGTGACTCATTGTGATTATGTGGACTGGCCCTTCAAGGTTGAGACTTAATGCTTACAAAGTCCCTTGCTTCTGCAGAAGAAATCTCTGAGGCTACTGATGTCACTAATAATATAATCCATGTAGAGTGTCAGAGGTTTTTTAGCTGTTTTGTAGCCTGGTTAAGCAGATAGGGCAAGAATTAGCAATCTTTATGGAGATGTGCCAAAGTTTGGGTTACTCTCCTTCTGGAGGGTGAAGAGGATTCTTATTCTGTAGGGATTCGCACAATCTGGGAGTGGTGGGGGGAAAGGGGTGGTGGTGACTGCATGCTGGCCCCAGCTGTAGGTGACTTATAGAGACTGTTTCAAGTGGAAAGAAGAGTTGAGTATTGGTGTCAACAGGCTGGTGTTTGTGTGGGCCAGCAATTTGGTACTTCCACCCTGAAATAAAGATATCTTTCTTATTCAAGAATTATAGCAAGTTGGCAGATACCCACCTGTTTCATGTTCGCTTTCAATCTAGTTGTATATTAGTAAGTACTGGTTATATATTATTAAGTGCTAGTCTGGATAATATTTTTACGGATGAGCTGGGCAACATGATGTAGACATGATTACCTGGTCTTGAGAATTTCAGTCCAGGGCTCTTAAACCTAGATAAACATAGAAGTGTGTATAGACAAGTTTCTGAAAGTCTGTCTGGTGTGTTTATAATGGAAGATGCAGTAGCTATCTTCTGACTTTGAAGAACTGCCATGCAGAACAGGGATTTGACTACTGTTTGGCCTCAAAAACTAGCAGTAGAGTAATTGATGGGTGAAAGCTCGTAGAGGCAAATTCTAACAGTACTTGAGAAATAGATTTCTTTATTAGCAGATGAAATGGGCTGCTTAGGAGGTCACTGTTCTCTGTCTGTCATAGCTATTGATATGGCAGAGGCTATTTTTTCCTGGTAATTTGTGAAGGAAGTACCAGCATCAGTCAGTGGTAGAGCTATCAGAGTGTCTCAATCTTGGCCTTTGGCATTATTGACATTTTGAACTAGTAATTCTTCCTTGTGGGGCTGTTCTGTGCATTGTAAGATGTTTAGTAGCATCCCTGGCCTCTACCACTACTTGCCTGTGGTTCCCTCAGCCCCCAAGTTGTGACACTCAAAAATGTCTCCAGACATTGCCAGATGTTCCCTGAAGGACAAAGTCACACAGGTATAGAACCTCTGGGCTAGGTGAAATTCAGGTACCTTGCAACTCTGGTAATTTATACTTTTTTGTTTTGCAAGTGAATTCTGCATCAGTTTTGCAAAAAAAAAAAAAAAAAAAAAAAGTGAAAATGGTTTAGAGGACGTACATAATTGATGTGGTGGTGTTCTGTTTCCTTCCAATTCAGGGAGACTTTATGGGGATGGAAGTTTTTCAGAATCTTTGAGTGATATTGTGATAAGCTTGGAATTAGCAGGATATTCTCTGTGGCATACTCTTGGGAGAGGGCTAAGAGGTGGGAAGGAGAAGCTGAGATGAGGTTTGAGTGGTGACACCTGGGATGACTACTGTGAGGGAGAAGAGGAGAGAGGAGAGGTGTGAATTAGTTGTGGCAGCCAGATCAGGTTATGGCCATGCAGAGCACTGAGGTTCTCTTCCTGATGGCTGTCTTCATCCTTCTTCTCTCCCAAAGCCTGTGCAATTCTATGGTGGAGGAGGGAGTGCCGGGGAAATTATAAGGTTTAATCTTGTCTTGAATTTTATCTCCTCCATTTCCTAGTTTTGACCTGGCCAAGTTTCTTAACTTCACTGTGCCATGATTTTTTCATTTTGAAAAATTGTGGTAAAATATACATAATATAAAATTTACCATTTTTACCATTTTTTAAGTGTATGGCTTAGTGGCATTAAATACATTCACATTGTTATGTAACCATCAGCACCATCCATTTCCAGAAGGTTTTTATCTTCCCTAACTTAAACTCTAGCTATTAAACATGAACTCCCCATTCCCTGCTCCCAAGCCTCTGACAACCGCCATTCTACTTGCTATCTCTATGGATCGACCACTCTAGGGATCTCATATAAGAAGAATTACACAGTATTTGTCTTTCTTCAACTGGCGTATTTTACTTAGCATAATGTCTTCAAGGGTGATCGATGTTGTAGCATGTGTCATGATTTCCTTCCTTTTTGAGGCTGAATAATATTCCGTTGTGTGCATATACCACATTTTGTTTCCATTCATCTGTCAGTGGACACTTTAGGTTACTTCCATCTTTGGCTATTGTGAATGATGTTGCTGTGGCATTTTGTTTCATTTTCATTGTAAAATGATTTTAAAAATGATGCTTCTTCCACAGCATTCTGGCGTCTGTCCGGAAAGGCTCCTTGTAGAGTGCTGGGCACTGGCTCATGACAAGTGACACTTCCTCTCCTCACCTTTTTGATGCCAGTTCATTGCACTTTTGCTTCTTTTATATCTCCCTCCTAGTATAAGTAATCAAACCCAAGCAGAGACTAATGAATTTTTTTTCCTGCCAATTCAAGTCCATTCTAGGACTGACAATTTCCAATCAATGTTCTCTGAACTGTTTGTTTCAAGACTTGTCAATCTTTGGAAATTTGAGTTTGTTCTAATACTGCCTTATATGTTCAGATTCTCTTTAATGGCTCTGAGAGTCCTTCACTACATCTCATTGTCACACTTTTCTCTAAAATAATTTGTTACAAAGCCTTGCTAATGGCAGCTTGCTGTGCCCAGGGTCCTGAGGTCCCATCATCAAGCGTTTTGATTCATCTGCCATTCAAAAGACTATTGATATCCCGAGGGCAAGTTTTAGATACACTTGGTGAATTTCATTGCTTTGTTCCTTTGACTTCTTCCTTTAAACACCCAGGCTCCCTCCCTCTGTGGGAAGGCGTATTTTTGGCTGGCCCTTTTCTATCTGTGCCATCTGTCACAGGGGTCATTGCTCAGAGGCTGGCTTCCTCCCTGCTGGGAGCAGGTGGTCAAAACCAATGGCTATTGACAGGGTCAGGTTGGGGCAGCTTACCAATATGCCCCCCAAGCAGTATGCATAGTTGTTCTCCTTCAGAGGAACAAGAGAAAACCTTACTTGGGGGTCTTTTTCTGCATTAAAGAGGAAAAGATGCAGATGTGATTCTAAGTTGTTTATTTATTCTTGTGGTCCAGCCACTTGTCAACTGTCCTGTCTGTGCTCTTGTCTCTGCGTACTTCAACTGGCACTGTACTTTAAGACCACTACCTGAAGCAGCCTCCAGTGTAGCAAGAAAGCAACATCTGTGAAAATTATGGATGATAGAATTACTCAAGCTGGTTCATGTCTAAGATGCTAGAGGTGATGATCCTGACCCTTGATCAAACAAAATAAAATATCCCTGAAGTCTTTTGATGATCTCTGGTGGTAAAGACCCTTGTTTCAAAGTCTTATTTAAAGAGATCATACTTCCAAGCACTTAGGATTCTGGGCCTGACTCACAGGAGAGCCAGCCCAGTGCTGAGTCACTTAGCCAACTTCATTCATTGATCATGTGCTTGTGCACAGCTTGGTGGCAAGGTGGGAGAGAATTACTATTTTCAAATGTTCCTTCCTGAGGTAGCATAGTCCAGAAGTAAGCCGAGAGACAGGATGCTAGAGTTCTATTCTTGGCCCAGCTATGCACCTTCAGCAAGATACATCCCCCCACTCCCCTGTCTAATATAGGAGGATCCAGGGAAATAAGTAAAACAAGTAAAACAGATAAGAACAGAAGAGTTTTTAAAAATGCTTTTCCCAGAGAGATTGTGGCTCCCAAACCCATGTCTACCTGGCTGGCCAGGTTTTGTTGCCACCACTTGTTCAAGGAACTTACCATAGCCTCCACTGATAAGGAAGAATTTCTTCTCAAAAAAGAAATTCTGGAATTCCTAGTCTTTGTTCTTTTTCAAACCTTTAATGCTTCTTTCCTGCAGTACTCATTACATTATGCTTGGGTATATTAATCTTTTTAAAAGCACAAATGATTTTTCTGCTAAGTGGGGGAAATAATTCAGAACAGTTTATAGAATAAGTAGTCTTAGATATGTAGTCTCAGGTTACTGAAATCAGCTTGACTCAGTGTAAGGCATTGCTGGTTTCTTTGGGGCCTCCCTAGTTCTCCTTTGAGTTCTAGTGTTGGTGACACTCCCCTCCCTTGTGGCTGTACTCTTATGTCTAACCTCAGTCTTAGACATAATTATGCTTTCACCTCTTCTCATCCCTGGAGAGGTAAAATCTTTTCTACCTAGTCCTCAAGCATTGTCCACAACCTAGGGTCGTATCATAACAGTTCTTTTGGCTGACACCTGAACCACACTGTAGTGGTATCTCTAAATTTGCTCATAGAATTTATTTTTAATATGAAATATAAGAAGCATACAGCAAACTACAGAGAATAATATAATATTTACTTTGGATCTTTCTTTTATGAACAAGAGAATTCATGATGAGTACACTTGAAGCCTGAGGCATCATGTCAACCCCTCTTCCCAGCGCTTTTGAACAAGCCTTTTTTGTTCAAGGCACTTTGCAGCATGCTTAGCTTCCCTGTAGGAAGTCTGCCTTCCATGACCTATATTCATTATTCTGTTTCCTCCGTGCTTTTACAGCCCCCTTCCCACCCCTCACTGTGACCTTGGGCAAATTGCTTTACCTCTCTGAGCTTTATATTTCTGATCTATACAATAAGAATAATAACAACATCTGCCTGCTCTGGGTTATTTTGAGATTCAAATGTGGTAATATATGTGAAGTACTTTGTTAAGCTCTGTGTTACACATGGCATCGATCATCTGTATAGAGAAACTACAACACTGTTTTCCAAGCTGTGGAAGAGGGTGCTGAGGGGAGGAGGGTAGCCAAGAGATGTGGTGGATCAGAATCCCCACAGGCTTTTTCAAACTGCTATGTATCTACCAGCACTGGTATGTGTGTGCATACTCATATATACACATATACATTTACACATAACAATTAGAAATATTTTGAAGGTAGGGACCAAGAGAAATAATCTCTTATCTAGATTCCCTTCTAGCATCTTCATGGTTCTGTGTTTTCTCTCCCACATGGTTTTAAACTGGGATGGCCAATAAAAAATGTCAGTTTCTTAGTTTCTGTATGCTCAAAGTTCACATTTTAAGTAAGAATCTTCATCAACTGTTTGGCCGAGGAGGTTTGCTTTCACCAGTTATGCTTTGTGAAATTCCTCCCACCAATTCTTAATCTAGAATATGTCTTTCTCTCCTTGGTGCTCTGTCTTTCCTGCTGCATGTGGTCTGAAAAAGGTTCTCCTGCTGTGTAAGCATTATGGATGCCTCAGCACTTCCTCTGTTGCACATTAAACTTGAAGGCAGTTGGGGTGTACTCACTGTTGGATCGTTTCTGTACCACTGTGTGTCTGTTCTCTATAGACGTCCTGGTTGCTGGTCATTGTCTCTTAGTGTTCCATGTTGACGTAATCATATGCATTTTATTTGATTATGATACTCTGGCGCAGACTAGGGAAGAGATACTTTGGTGAAAATATCTCTGTATAATTGTATTTAAGAACTATTCAGTCTTATTTTTAAAAATATTTGAGATTCAAGAAGAAATCTTTTAAGGTCAAGTGTTGAAATCAAACACATCCTAGAACCCATTCATTATACTCCTAGGTATCTACCCAAGAGAAACTTATGTGGGCACATGGCAATCTGGACAAGAATGATGATGGTAACATTGTTGATGATAGCACATAGTTGTTGGAAACAAAGTTCACAACAGGAGAGTGGATAAATTATCTTAGAGTCAAACAATGAACTACTGCTATGGGAAAATGCATGAATTAGAGGAAAATGTATCAAAAGAAATAAATGTCAAACATAATGTGGAATAGAAAAATGCAAATTTCAGGATATGATCAATATGTTGCATTTATATAAAGTTTCGGAACATGTAAAACAATCTTTATTATATATGGATACACTGTTTATATGGCAATAATACATAACCCTGCAAGAGAGTGAGAGACACCTAATTCAGGATAGTAGTTGCTTTTGAGGAGGTTAGAGAGGAATTGTATGGAAAAGAATTATACAGGGGCGTCCATTGTGTCTGCAAAGTTCCATTGCTATCTGTGTTTTTGTAATGCCTGAAATATTTCATGAAACAAATCAACTGTAATAAAAAGGATTCAAAATGCATATGGAATATGATCTACAACTTTTGAATGTTATTGGCAAAGGAAAGAACATGGATGGATTTCATAGTGGTTCTCTTAAGTATTAGGCTCATAGACGGTTTTTAATTTTTATAGTTTTCTATATTTTTCAAGTTTTCTACAATGAAATACGTATTATTATTATTATTATTATTATTTTTTTTTTTTGAGACTGAGTCTTGCTGTCACCCAGGCTGGAGTGCAGTGGCGCAATCGTAGCTCACTGCAACCTCCTCCTCCTGGGTTCAAGCGATTCTCTGGCCTCAGTCTCCCAAGTAGCTGGGATTACAGGTGCCTGCCACCACACCCGGCTAATTTTTGTATTTTTTAGTAGAGACAGGGTTTCACCATGTTGGCCAGGCTGATCTTGAACTCCTGACCTCAGATAATCTGCCTGCTTTGGCCTCCCAAAGTTCTGGGATTACAGGCGTGAGCCACCACACCTAGCAACTGTTAGAATTTTTAAAGCCAAAGAATGTTATTTAATATTATGTAAAATCATGTGATGACAAATAGTGATTTTTCAAAGACTGACAGAATAGTCTACAAGTTAACCACTTCCTAGTCAGAAGAAATTCTCATGGGGCTAGAGACAGACTGGATCAAACTGCAGAGAAATAAACAATTTTGATTTGTTGTTATTTTCCGTTTATCTTATTCCTAGGACTTCATACATCTTACTGTTCGTAGAACAGATTTCTGTTTCTTCTCAGCTTAGGTATCACTTTTATAGAAAACTACCCCTTCCCTCTCTACAACACACTTGCCCCTAATGCTGGGTTATGTGAACCTCTAGTACCTTATCCTTAATGCTGTTGTGTCACTGTATTGTAATTGGCTGGTAATCCATCTATCTCTGCTGGAGTTTAAGCTCCACAAGGATGAGATGTAGGTATTTTGTTCATCATTGAATCAGTGCCAGGACCTAGCACAATGTCTGACACATAGAAGGCACTGGTAAATAATTCTTGAATGAATGAATGAATGAATGAACGAAAGGTCACAACTGAAGGGGACATTCTGGAAATGGAGCCATTTGATGGGAAACTTTAAACTAGGTTTTTTTCACTCATAGATACAAGAATGGTAATTAGGCTGAGTAATAAGATGTGAGTAATTCTCTCTGGAACTCTTAAGTGGAAAAGTGAAAAGCCAGAGCTTTAGATGCTGGTGCCTTACTAGAAATAATGAATGAGAAAATGGGGAAATAAAGAAAGTACACCCAAGATAGAGATAAATAATATTTAAAAAGTTTAAGGTGGTTCCTCCTTCATTTTATATGATTTTAAGTGTTGTTTTTAAATCTGGCCTTAAATGATATGATTTCTTAATATTAGGTATGTTTTATCAGTATTCATTTTTTAACATACGTATAGAAAAATGCAATGACTGTATAGCTTCATAAATTTTCAGTGCACAGCAACCCAGAAGCCCACCCAACTTCTCCTAATCACTGCCTTTCCCCAAAGATAACTACTACACCCAGAGTTTTTGTTTTTGTTTGTTTGTTTTGAGACGCAATCTCGCTCTGTCGCCCAGGCTGGAGTGCAATGGCGCCATCTGGGCTCATTGCAAGCTCTGCCTCCTAGGTTCACGCCATTCTCCTGCCTCAGCCTCCCAAGTAGGTAGGACTACAGGAACCCGCCACCACGCCTGGCTAATTTTTTTTCTATTTTTAGTAGAGACGGGGTTTCACCATGTTAGTTGGGGTGGTCTTGATCTCCTGACCTCGTGATCCGCCTGCCTCGGCCTCCCAAAGTGCTGGGATTACATGCGTGAACCACAGCGCCTGGCCGAGTATTTGTTTTTTAATAATACAATCTTTATAGAATGCCTCAACTCATTATGTCGCTGTTTGTATCTGGAGTAAGTCAGCCTGTTGGCCCATCACCATCTTCCACCTAGTAATCTGAATGAAGGCATGGTAACTTTAGCCCAAGAAGGTGCTCCATTTTATTGACAACAAATGTCATACTCCCAAATCATCATTTAACTTTTATTGCAGAGATCCTAAACTATGGGTGTGTAGAAAGGTGGAGAACAGAAATTTACTTATATAGTTTATTTGGCATGAGCTCTGGTTTCCTTGGATATTGAAGACCTCAAAACCGCTGGGTCTGTTATTTAAGAGATATTAAAATCAATTTGCTTCCCAGTTTCAACATTGTCTTTCTTAAGACAATAGCTGGATACCATTCTTTCATTTATGCCACAAACAACTATCCAGTGGCCTACTGTGTTCCTCTTTCAGGGCAAAGCATGATGCAATGCAAGGCATTGTGGAGTATGTGATGATTAATAAGCATACTTTTTGCCTTAAGGCACTTATAACCAAGTAAGCAAAATGAAATACATAAATATAAAACGATACAGGCATACCTCATTTTATTGGGCTTTGCTTTATTGTAATTTGCAGATACTGCATTTTTTTACAAATTGTAAGTTTGTGCCAAACCTGCATTGATTGAGCAAGTCTGTCGGGACCATTTTTTCCAGAAGCATATGCTCACTTTGTGTCTCTGTGTCACATTTTGGTAATTTTTGCAATATTTCAATTTTTTTCATTATTACATCTGTTATGGCGATCAGTGATCTTTGTTGTTACTATTGTAATTGTTCTGGGGTGCCATGAACCACACTCATATGACAGGGAACTTAATAAATGTTATGTGTGTTCTGACTGCTCCACTGACCAGCTGTTCCCCCATCTCTCTCCCTCTCCTCAGGCCTCTCTTTTCCCTGAGACACAACAATATTGAAATTAGGCCAACTAATAGCCTTACATGGCCTCTTAGTGTTCAAGTAAAAGGAAGAGTTGCACATCTGTCACCTTAAAGGCTAGAAATGATTAAACTTAGTGAGGAAGGCATATCAAAAGCCAACTTAGGCCAAAAGCTAGGCCACTTGTGCCAGTTAACCAAGTTGTTAATGCAAAGGAGCAGTTCTTGAAGGAAATTAAAAGTGCTACTCTAGTGAACACACAAATAATAAGAAAATGGAACAGCCTTAATGCTGATATGGAGAAAGTTCGAATGGTCTGGATAGAAGATCGTACTAGCCACAACATTTCCTTAAGCCAACGCCCAATCCAGAGCAAGGCCCTAATTCTCTCCAATTCTATGAAAGCTGAGGGAGGTGAGGAAGCTGCAGGAGAAAAATTGGAAGCTAGCACAGGTTGGTTCAAGAGATTTAAGCAAAGAAGTCATCTCCAGAACATGACAGTATAAGATGAAGGAGCAAGCGCTGATGGAGAAGCTACAGTAAGTTATCCAGAAGATCTAGCTAAGATCATTAATTGATGACGGTGACCATACTAAACAATGGATTTTGAATGTAGAGAAACAACCTTCTATTGGAAGAAGATGCCATCTAGGACTTTCATAGCTAGAGAGGAGAAGTCAATTCCTGGCTTCAGAGTTTCAAAGGACAGGCTGACTCTCCTGTTAGGAGCTAATGCAGCTGGTGACTTTAAGTGGAAGCCAGCGCTTATTTACCATTCTGAAAATGGTAATTAATGGCCTCTTAAGAATTATACTAGATCTACTCTACCTGTGCCCTATAAATGGAACAACAAGGCCTAGATAACAGGATGGTTTACTAGATATTTTAAGCCCACTGTTGAGACCTACTGCTCAGAAAAAAAAGATCCCTTTCAACATATTAATACTCATTGACAGTATACTTGGTCACCCAAGAGCTCTGATGGAGATATACAAGGAGATTAATGTTGTATTCATGCCAGCTAACACAACATCCATTTTGTAGTCCATGGAGCAAGGACTAATTTCAACTTTCAAGTCATTAGTTTAAAAATACATTTTGTAAAGCTATAGCTGCCATAAATAGTGATTTATCTGATGGATCTGGGAAAAGTAAACTGAACACCTTCTGGAAAAGATTCATCATTCTACAAGCCGTAAGAATATCTGTCATCTGTGAGAGGAGGTCAAAATGTCAACGTCAACAGGAGTTTGAAAGGAGTTATTCCTTTTTTTTTTTTTTTTTGAGACGGAGTCTCGCTCTGTCACCAGGCTGGAGTATAGTGGCGTGATCTTGGCTCACTGCAACCTCCGCCTCCCGGGTTCTAGCAATTCTGCTGCCTCAGCCTCCTGAGTAGCTGGGACTACAGGCGCGTGCCACCACACCCAACTAATTTTTGTATTTTTAGTAGAGACGGGGTTTCACCATGTCGGCCAGGATGGTCTCGATCTCTTGACTTCATGATCCACCCTCCTCAGCCTCCCAAAGTGCTGGGATTATAGGCATGAGCCACCACACCCGGCCGGAAGGAGTTATTCTAACCCTCATGAATGACTTTGAGGAGTTCAGGATGTTCATGGGGGAGGGGACTGCAGATGTGGTGAAAATAGCAAGAGAACTAGAATTAGAAGTGGAGCCTAGAGATGTGACTGAATGGCTGCAATCTCATGATAAAACTTGGACAGATGAGAGGTTGCTTTTTATGGATGAGCAAAGAAAAAATTTTTTTTTCTTTTTTGAGACAGGGTCTCGCTTTATCGCTCAGGCTTGAGTGCAGTGGTGCAATTATGGCTCACTGCAGCCTTGACCTCCGGGCTCAAGTGATCCTCCCACCCAGCCTACAGCATAGCTGGGACTACAGGCTTCAGCCACCACACCTGGCTAATTTTTGTATTTTTTTGTAGAGACAAGGTTCACCTTGTTGCCCAGGCTGGTCTTGAACTCCTGGGCTCAAGCAATCTTCCTGCCTTGGTCTCCCAAAGTGCTGGGATTACAGCGTGCTGGGCTGAAAGTCGTTTCCTGAGATGGAATCTCCTCCTGGTGAAGATGCTGTGAGGATTGTTGAAATGACAACAATATATTTAGAATATTCCCTAAACTTAGTTGATAAAGTAGCAGCAAGGTTTGAGAGGACTGACTCCAATTTTGTTTTTTCATTTTTGATTTTTTTAAGAGACAGGGTCTTGCTCTGTCACCCAGGCTGGAGTGCAGTGGTGTGATCATAGCTCACTGTAGCCTCGAACTCCCTGACTCAAGTGATCCTCTCACCTCAGCCTGCCAAGTAGGTGGGACTATGGCTGCGCGCCACAGCGTGACTCAAATTGTGAAAGATGCTCTGCTGTGGATAAAATGCTGTCAAATACCATTGTATGCTACAGAGAAATCTTTTATGAAAGGAAGAATTGATCAATACAGGAAACTTCATTGTTGTCTTATTTTAAGAAATTGCCACAGCCATCCCATTCTTCGGCAACCACCACCCTGATCAGTCAGTCAGTAGCGATCAACATTAAGGCTAGACCCTCCACTAGCAAAAAGATGACAACTAGCTAAAGGCTCAGGTGATCATTAGTTTTTTTTTTTTTAGCAATAAAGTATTTTTTGAATTAAGGTATATGCTTTTTTTTTTTTTTTTTTTTTTTTTTTTTTTTTTTTTTGAGATGGGGTCTCAGCTTGTTGCCCAGGCTAGCAGGCTAGAATGCAGTGGCCCAATCATGGCCCACTGCAGCCTGGACCTCCTGGGCTCAAGTGATTCTCCCACCTCAGCTGGGTAGCTGGGACTATGGGTGTGCACCACCACACTCTGCTAATTTTTTTTAAGTTTTTTTTTTTTTAAAACACAGGATCTCACTGTTGCCCAGGCTTGTCTTAAACTATTGGCCTCAGGTGAGCCTCCTGCCTTGACCTCACAAAGTGCTGGGATTACGGATATGAGCACATGTGCCTGGCCTGTTTTTTTTTTTTTTTTTTTTTTTTTTTTTTTTTTTTTTTTTAAGACAGTGCTTTCCTACACTTAATAGACTACAGCATAGCATAAACATAACTTTTTTATGCACTGAGAAACCAAAAAAATTTTGTTACTGACTTTATTGTGATACTTGCTTTATTGTGATGGTCTGCAACTGAACCCACAATAAGCCTGAGGTATGCCTGTACTTTAAAGTAGTCTTTTAGAAGTGATCTAAAATACCAGGAGGGAGGGAGAGATTTTTTTGATCGGGGGAATAAGAACAACTGTCCCAAGCAGCAATAGGTAAGATAGCATTCTAATCAATAGGAATGGCACAGCCAAAGTATAGGAGTGGAAAAGTACAGTAGGAGTGAGGAATGTTTTTGTGAAGCATTAGACACAGCAGAGAACGTCTATTAATAGGTTGAAAAGAGCCCTGAGTGCTCATTTAAGGATTTGGGACTTTATTCAACAAGCAGTGGAGAGTCTGATGTTTCTGAGGAGAAAGGAGCCATGGCTATCAAACCCAAATTTCCTATCAGTTCCTGATTCATCCACCAGCCAAGGTTACTGTACCATCCTTGAGGTTGAATGGGTTGGGCCAACTTTGAGGATTAGTGAAATCATTTGTTATTAATGAAGTGGTTAACAATAGTTAAGGTACCATAGCAATTATGAACAATCTTCTGCTTTAATTTTTCCTATAGGATCTTTTGCTAGTCAGGTCTTCTCTGAGTAGATGAGAGAGATAACTTTGAATGTCTCAGGGAAAAGTGTAAGAGTAAGTTTTGTTAATACAATACAAGTGAGATTGGAAATGCAGTTGGCTCTCCATATATGTAGTTTCTCCATCCATAGATTCAACCAGCTGCAGATCAAAAATATTTGAGAGAAAAAACAGTAAACATAACAGTAACAATTTAAAAATACAGTGTAACAACTACTTACATAGCATTTACATCATATTAGGTATTATAAGGAATCTAGAGATTATTTAAAGTATATAGGAGGCTGTGCATAGGTTATATGCAAATACTACACCATTTTACATAAGAGACTTGAGCATCTGGGGATTTTGCTATCTAAAGGGGTAGTGGGAGTGTGTGTATCTTGGAACCAATCCCCAATGGATACCAAGGAAGGACTGTATATTCTTATCTTACTACCACTGTGCTTGTCCCATTTTAACATTTTTTTCCTGAATGAGAAATACCATACTGTACAGAAAAAGCACACAGAATGGAGAGTCAACTCCTGAGTCTAAGTCCTAGCTCTGCTACTTATTATCTTTGTGACCCTGAGCAAGTTACTTAACCTTTGTGATCTTGTCATATGGTGGTCAGGAGATTCCAGTTGGAAAGTAGTTGTGAAAGCGTTATTAACAAAATTGGGATGTATGTTGCCTTGCTTGTATTTGGAGATAGTGTCTCCTGTAGGCATTGTTGACATTGTTTATAGATGCTTCTGAAAAGACCAATGCGTGTCCCACATCTTATCCACTGTGCGGAAAGGCAGTGTGTTATAGAAAATCACTGGGGCGGAGAGCAGAAACACTGAATTCCAGCCCACACCCTCGCCCTGGCAGTGTAACTCAAATGTAACTACGACCTCATAAGCTACCCTGCTTTTGTCTTAAGGTACTGTAAAAACAAACCACAACAGTCACAAAAACAACAGAAACCACACACACACACTCAAATCCAATTCCAAGAGACTTAAAGAACAATGCAGATCTTTACTGCAGAACTGTTGAAAAGAAGATGCATTGGACATTCTACTACTAGACTTCTTAAAAAGTACTTTTTGCCCGCATTGTATACTAGTTGTCCTATCTCCTTTTTTTCTTTCTCCTGCACCATGCTCTGCAGCGTCAGCCACATTCCTAGATTGCTCCTTCCTGGTCTTTTTATCATCGCCATCATTATCATTATTTGGAGAGTTTTCCACTTTCTCTTCCTACCTATTGTTCTTTTCAGCATGAGGAAAATAGCTAATTGAAACAAGAAAGGAATGATCTCTTCTTAGAAAATGGACAGGGGGCCACTTAATATTTTGTGCCTGTGTCACTGGCTGTTTGATACAAGGCAACCTCTTTAACCCCAAACACCTTTTCTATGAAGCTGGATCTAGCAATATTTGCTCCTTTAAACTCCAAGTAAGGATGAGTTGAGGTAAAGGATAAGGAAATGCTCTGTAAATGTGAAAGTGCTACACAAATATGAGGTTGCATTAATTTGTAGCCTCAGCAACTGTTTGCAATTTGTCACTCTGTCAGCTCAATCTCCTAAGATCCTAACAAGTCTGAAATCTTGTTCAGGAAAGTTCCACTCTGTTTTTAAACATGGCTGGCCACAATGGATTGTTGCTGCCATTCATAGCTAGGCTACTGTGTATTTTTATATTTATAGTTGTATACCACTTTGTAAGCTTTTGACAAACATTCTCTCATCTGATCCTCACAGTACCCTGTGAGATGATTTTATCACCCCCATGGTTGAAGCTGTACCTCAGGCCTTCCCATCGTTTTTGCCTCTTCTGCTTGCAGTCACCTTATTTGAGCACCACTACAGCTACTTGGGTAACCCATCTTCTCTTCCCCTGTAAAACTTCATGGAAGTGTGAGTGATGCTTCTGAATTTGGTCAGTAGGATATCCTCCAGTAACCATTTAGTGGGTCTGCTCTTCGGCCTGTTAGCGATTGATTCAGCAAATGAAGAGCAAAAAGCACACAAGCCTGACATGGCCTTTGTGATGCCTGTATCCAGACCTCTTAGCCACACTGAAGGCTGGGTGGCCTCACAGCTTTTGATTTGGAGTTTGATACTGCTTTAATGCCCTATTGTTTAACCCAGTTTCACAGTAATCTTTTTTGGTCATTGAAGCAACCTGAGTGTTCCCTGAGTAGCAAAACTTCATGCGAGCTGTCAGTTCTCTTGTTGTCATTAGAAGTCTTCATCTTGTTTTCAGAGCTTCTTTGGAGTAGGAAAGAACTTGATCTTAGTCATTGTCAAAGATGTCATGGTACGGGGAAACCATGTGGACTTTGGAGAGAGGCTGCTCCCAATGTGATCCTAGGAATTCCTGTATTTTCTTCGAGTTCGAGTCTCGCTTTCTTTCCTCACTTGTAAAATGAAGCTGTCAATGCCTGCCTAATTAGGTTGTTATGAAGATTAAATGTAATGTTTATAGAGTGCCTGTATATATTATTATAACGTTCATAGGTATTACACCTGCTTTGCAGACAGGCCCATAACCACTTTGATGTATCTTCTTTACTTCTGTGTATTTGGGCATGTCTATTTCAAGAGAACTTTATTAATAATTAACTCCAGATCTATATTGTTGAAAGAATTGCCATTGAATTCTGGAGTTGAAAGAGAGCCAATTGTTATTTTGTATAATAGTTTAGAGCCATCCTTATACTCTGCAGGAGAGGAATGAGGTGGACTTGAGGCTCATTCCTGCTTCAACCAGAGCAGAAATACTTTTGTCTATATTATATATTGACATTTCGTGTAAGATATGATTTGAAAAAGACTTCCACTGATTGAAAACAAAAAAACTTTAAAATTTTAATGCAACTTTCTTCCTGTCCAACACAGAAATCTATTTTCCAACATGACAGACAGATAATGACTTAGGAGAGTGTATCCTGATACCAGGTTTAAATTCTAAGCTTTCCAATGCCTGGAATGTAGTAGACACTCAAGACGTTCTCATTGAATGGATAAATTCTTGGTCATTGTTGTGTTAAGGGTCAACTGAATAGTGCTGGACCTTTGTTCTAGCCTGTGTGTGTGCATTTTCATTACTTTATTCAACACATAATTATTTGATGATAGATTTTGAGTCAGGATATTATTCCTTCTGATTTAAGCCTCTATGTTTTTTGAATCTTGGTAATCCTGTCAGAGAAACCAACTTTGCTTAGTCTGTCAGATTCCAGGAGAGCTCATTAGTTAAGTGTTATGATCTCATAGGGCTGGAAGGGATCTTAGAAGGGATGCAGGGAAGGGAAAGAGTGCTGATCACAAGAAGTAGTGTGGTGAAGTTGTTAAGAACACAGACCTTGGGGCCAAACAGCTTGGGTTTGAATCCCACTGTGGGACGTAGAGCAAAGTTACTTAACCTCTTTATGCCTCAGTTTTCTCATCAGTGGTATGGGATAAGAACAATAACTACCTCAGAGGGTTGTTGGAAGCATCAAAAGAATTATATATAAAGCTATTAGAACTGTGTCTAGCAGGTAGTTAGTGGTCCATATTAAAAACAATTATTGGAAGTATTATTAAGACCTACTTCAGACGGAGTCTCGTTCACTCAGTGCTCAATGGTGCCCAGGCTGGAGTGCAGTGGCGTGATCTCGGCTCGCTACAACCTCCACCTCCCAGCAGCCTGCCTTGGCCTCCCAAAGTGCCGAGATTGCAGCCTCTGCCCGGCCGCCACCCCGTCTGGGAAGTGAGGAGCGTCTCCGCCTGGCCGCCCATCGTCTGGGATGTGAGGGGCCCCTCTGCCTGGCTGCCCAGTCTGGAAAGTGAGGAGCGTCTCTGCCCGGCCGCCATCCCATCTAGGAAGTGAGGAGCACCTCTTCCCGGCCGCCATCACATCTGGGAAGTGAGGAGCATCTCTGCCCGGCCACCCCGTCTGAGAAGTGAGGAGACCCTCTGCCTGGCAACCGCCCCGTCTGAGAAGTGAGGAGACCCTCCGCCCGGCAGCCGCCCTGTCTGAGAAGTGAGGAGCCCCTCCGCCCAGCAGCCACCCCGTCTGGGAAGTGAGGAGCATCTCCGCCCGGCAGCCACCTCGTCTGGGAGGGAGGTGGGGGGGTCAGCCCCCCACCCGGCCAGCCGCCCCGTCCGGGAGGGAGGTGGGGGGATCAGCCCCCCGCCCGGCCAGCCGCCCCGTCTGGCAGGTGAGGGGCGCCTCTGCCCGGCCGCCCCTACTGGGAAGTGAGGAGCCCCTCTGCCCGGCCAGCCGCCCTGTCCGGGAGGGAGGTGGGGGGGTCAGCCCCCCGCCCGGCCAGCCGCCCCATCCGGGAAGTGAGGGGCGCCTCTGCCCAGCCGCCCCTACTGGGAAGTGAGGAGCCCCTCTGCCCGGCCAGCCGCCCCGTCCAGGAGGGAGGTGGGGGGGTTCAGCCCCCCGTCTGGCCAGCTGCCCCGTCCGGGAGGTGAGGGGCGCCTCTGCCCGGCCGCGCCTACTGGGAAGTGAGGAGCCCCTCTGCCCGGCCACCACCCTGTCTGGGAGGTGTACCCAACAGCTCATTGAGAACGGGCCATGATGACAATGGCGGTTTTGTAGAATAGAAAGGGGGGAAAGGTGGGGAAAAGATTGAGAAATCGGATGGTTGCCGTGTCTGTGTAGAAAGAGGTAGACATGGGAGACTTTTCATTTTGTTCTGTACTAAGAAAAATTCTGCCTTGGGATCCTGTTGATCGGTGACCTTACCCCCAACCCTGTGCTCTCTGAAACATGTGCTGTATCCACTCAGGGTTGAATGGATTAAGGGCGGTGCAAGATGTGCTTTGTTAAACAGATGCTTGAAGGCAGCATGCTCCTTAAGAGTCATCACCACTCCCTAATCTCAAGTACCCAGGGACACAAACACTGCGGAAGGCCTCAGGGTCCTCTGCCTAGGAAAACCAGAGACCTTTGTTCACTTGTTTATCTGCTGACCTTCCCTCCACTATTGTCCTGTGACCCTGCCAAATCCCCCTCTGCGAGAAACACCCAAGAATGATCAATTAAAAAAAAAAAAAAATAATAATAAAATAAAATTAAATAAAAATAAAATAAGATAAAAGTAAAAAAAAAAAAAAAAGACCTACTTCATATGTATCAGCTCATTTAACCCTCAAATGAGGAAATGGTGGCCCCCAGGAACACATTCAGGAACACATTAGTCTACAGGATGCCACTAATGGATTTTAACCAAGGAAGTTAATTTATCAGAATTATATCTTAAAAGTCACTCTTGGGACAGGTAGACTGAAAAGGAATGAAACTGGAGGCAGTGAGACCAGTTAGACGGTTGCTATGGTAACTATACAAGAAGTAGAGAGGCTTTTTCTGGAAAGAGTTAGATGGTAAATATTTCAGGCGTTGTGGGCCACACAGCCTTTTGCAACTACTCAGCTCTGCTGTTGTAACACAGAAGCAGCCACAGACAATACTTACATAAATATGGCTGCATTCTAGTAAAACTTGACTTACAGTGTTTCAGTATTGGATGACAAGATTTGAAGATGGATGGTGCCAATGACAGTACAACAATGTGAATGTATTCCATGCCATGGAACTGTATACTTAAAAATGGCTAAAATGGTAAATTGTATATTATGTATATTTTACCACAAAAAAACTTTGCGAGAAGAAATGAAACACTTTTCAGTTTTAGAACAATGGGCAGGAAAAATTGTTTGCATCATAACTTGAATCAAGGAAACTGGTGAAGAAAATGAGAATAGGTGTGGAGGCAACAGTTAGAGACTACAAAGGGTTTTCTGTTTGCGATATAAAGGGAAAGGCTCTTGTGCCTTGTGGAAGAAATAAAAGAAACATGGAAAGCAAGTTAAATTTGAAGAAAAAATAGGTGATGGGGGAATGGGGAGGTAAAGTAGAGGACAGCTTTGAGTTGTAGTGTCTGCAGGGCCAGGGAGATGGAAGCGGATACTAGTAGCTTGGTAGCTATATGGATGTATGTACAAGGTGGAAACCTGTCTTCATTTTGGACTGATGGAACTTGCTCAGAGAAGCTTTGGGATACATTTATAATAATTGTAATCATTGGATTGACTTCATTAAATAGGATCCATTCTTAAGAATCTTTCTTAGTGTTTTTAGATTAAAATATCTAAGTACTAACTTGGTGGCATGCACCAGTAGTCCCGGCCACTTGGGAGGCTGAGGCAGGAGGATTGCTTGAGCCCAGG
Source organism: Homo sapiens (assembly GCF_000001405.40). Classification (NCBI taxonomy): domain Eukaryota; kingdom Metazoa; phylum Chordata; class Mammalia; order Primates; family Hominidae; genus Homo; species Homo sapiens. The sequence goes on from NC_000012.12 coordinate 51,647,137, forward strand.
AGTTTAAGTCCAGCCTGGGCAACACAGTGGGACCCCATCTCTGAATTAAAGGAAAAAAAAATATCCAAGTACTCAAAGTGTAAGTGCTTCACAAGTATCTCCTGATAGTTACTTATGGATAATCATACATTTATATCCACACTAGGCCTCTGTCAAAGTATTCTATGAACAGATCCTTCAAAGGGTTTCTGGGGGGAAGACATACATGTAAGTCAACCAAGAGTGACTATCTCAAAAGGATTAGGAAGAGACCAGTTCTTGAGAATCAGAGGCAAATAGCTCAGCTTTGGGTAAATTGGGTGGAGTGAGACGTAGGAAGGAAAGACTTCAGAAGTGGCCTCACTAGGTGGAAATCCAGGGAGACAGATGAATGCACGGGCAGTTCCCCATTAACATGGTTGCAGACATTCACCAGGCTGACGAGGTCCCTGAGACCTGGTAGGAGGGAGAGCAGATCTTGATGTTATCAAGAGAGGCTGAAGACTGCAGTTTTTAATGTTTAAAATGATTAAAACTAAGCTTTGACAAAATTGTTTTTATTTCAATTTCTAGAACTGTTATAGATTTTCCAAAGTGAAATCTGTAAGTAACAAAGTAGAAAATTGGCAGCGTAGCATCTCGTTGTCATTGGAGAAGGGAGGAGCCCAGGGAGTGGGGACAGTGTAAACCATCCATCTGGCTGCATTTTTCTCTTCTCCTATGATAAGAGCCACCCACCTTCCTCCCAGTGCAGAGCTGCTCCTCTGGCTAATTCCAAATGAGCTATATATCAACATGCAAAGAGCTGTCTCGCAGTCCTCAGAGTCTAGCTATAGTTCTGTACCAAGCTTCTTATCTTCTTTTGCTTCTTGCTATTAAATCTTTCCCTTGAGGAGCAAAGATGGTGGCGTGAGGTGTGCTGCTGCAAACTGGCCTCTGGGGAGGAGAAGGGTGGGGGCCACTGACTCATGGGAGGCCAAATACATCTACAGGATTGGGGGAGGTTCTTTATCACAGGAAGAATTTTTTTCATAACCTTTAGATGCTTTTACATTCATCTCAAAAACAAAATTCTGAACTCAGAACTTGGAAAAGATAGAGTCTCACTATGTTGCCCAAAGGCTGAAGAGCAGTGGTTATTCACAGGTGTGACCATGGCACACTGAGGTCTCAAACTCCTGGCCTCAAGAAACCCTCCTGCCTCAGCCTCCTCAGTAGCTGGGACTATAGGCATGCCACCACCCTTGGTGTGTAAATGTGTCTCTATGTAGTCTCCTAGAGTGGGTAGTCCTGTTTCTTTTATTAAGCCACTTTCTCTATTCTTGAAATGTGGATGTATTAGTCCGTTTTTACACTGCTGATAAAGACATACCTGAGACTGGGAAGAAAAAGAGGTTTAATTGGACTCACAGTTCCATATGGCTGGGGAGGCCTCAGAATCATGGCAGGAGGCGAAAGGCAATTCTTACATGGCAGCAGCAAGAGAAAATGAAAAGATGCAAAAGCGGAAACCCTTGATAAAACCACTAGATCTCGTGAGACTTATTCTCTACCACAAGAACAGTATGGGGGAAACCACCTCCATGATTCAAATTATCTCCCACCAGGTCCCTCCCACAACACGTGGGAATCATGGGAGTACAATTCAAGATGAGATTTGGGTGGAGACACAGCTAAACCTTATCATTCCACCCCTGGCCCCTCCAAATCTCATGTCCTCACATTTCAAAACCAATCATGCCTTCCCAACAGTCCCCCAAAGTCTTAACTCATTTCAGCATTAACCCAGAAGTCCACAGTCCAAAGTCTCATCTGAGATGAGGCCAGTCCCTTTTGCCTATGAGCCTGTAAAATCAAAAGCAAGCTAGTTACTTCCTAGATACAATTGGGGGTACAGGTATTGGGTAAATACAGCTGTTCCAAATGGGAGAAATTGGCCAAAACAAAGGGGTTATATAGGGCCCATGCAAGTCCGAAATCCAGCGGGGCAGTCAAATTTTAAAGCTCCCAAGTGATCTCCTTTGACTCAAGGCCTCATGTCCATGTCACACTGATGCAATAGGTGGGTTCCCATGGTTTTGGGCTGCTCCACCCTTGTGGTTTTGCAGGGTACAGCCTTCTTCCCAGCTGCTTTCACAGGCTGGCATCGTGTGTCTGTCTTTTCCAAGCGAACAATGCAATTGGTCGGTAGATCTACCATTCTGGGGTCTGGAGGACGGTGGCCCTCTTCTCACAGCTCCACTAGGCATTGCCCCAGTAGGGATTCTGTCTGAGGGCTCCAACCCCACATTTCCCCTCTACACTGCCCTAGCAGAGGTTCTCCATAAGCGTCCTGCCCCACAGCAAACTTCTGCCTGGGCATCCCGGCATTTCCTTACATCTTCTTAAATCTAGGCAGAGGTTCCCAAACCCCAGTTCTTGACTTCTGTGCCCTCGCAGGCTCAACACCACATGGAAGCTGCCAAGTCTTGGAGCTTGCACCCTCTGAAGCCTTGGCCCGAGCTCTACATTGGCCCCTCTCAGCCACAGATGGAGCAGCTGGGACGCAGGGCACCAAGTCCCTAGACTGCACACAGCATGGGGACCCTGGGCCCAGCTCACAAAATTATTTTCTCCTAGGCCTCTGGGCCTGTGATGGGAGGGGCTGCTATGAAGAACTCTGACATGCCCTGGAGACATTTTCCCCATTGTCTTGGAGATTAACATTCGCTCCTGATTCCTTATGCAAATTTCTGCAGCCAGCTTGTATTTCTCCTCAGAAAATGGGTTTTTCTTTTCTATCACATGGACAGGCTGCAAATTTTCCAAATTTTTACTCTCAGCTTCCCTTATAAAACTGAATGCCTTTAACAGCATCCAAGTCACCTCTTGAATGCTTTGCTGCTTAGAAATTTCTTCTGCCAGATACCCTAAATCATCTCTCTCAAGTTCAAAGTTCCACAGATCTCTAGGGCAAGGGTAAAATGCCACCAGTCTCTTTGCTAAAACGTAGCAAGAGTCACCTTTGCTGCAGTTCCCAACAAGTTCCTCATCTCTGTCTGAGACCACCTCAGCCTGGACCTTATTGTCCATATCACCATCAGGCCTCTGGTCAAAGCCATTCAACAAGTCTCTAGGAAGCTCCAAACTTTCCCACATTTTCCTGTCTTCTTCTGAGCCCTCCAAACTGCTCCCATCTCTGCCTGTTATCAAATTCCAAAGTTGCTTCCATGTTTTCAGGTATCTTTTCAGCAATGCCCCACTCTACTGGTGCCAATTTACTGTATTAGTCCGTTTTCATGCTGCTGATAAAGACATACCCAAGACTGGGAAGAAAAAGAGGTTTAATTTGACTTACAGTTCCACATGGCTGAGGAGGCCTCACGATCATGGCGGGAGGCAAAAGGCACTCTTTTTTTTTTTTTTTTTTTTTGAGACAGAATCTTGCACTGTCGCCCAAGCTGCAGTGCAGTGGTGTGATCTTGTTGGGAGCAGGCCCCCCAAAATCTGGCCATAAACTGGCCCCAAAACTGGCCATAAACAAAATCTCTGCAGCACTGTGACATGTTCATGATGGCAATAAAGCCCATGCTGGATGGTTGTGGGTTTACCGGAATGAGGGCAAGGAACACCTGGCCCACCCCACATTGGGCACCACTTGCCGAGACCAGCTCGGTCGGGGAGACCCTAACCCAGCGGTGCTAGAGGAATTAAAGACATACACACAGAAATATAGAAGTGTGAAGTGGGAAATCAGGGGTCTCATAGCCTTCAGAGCTGAGAGCCCCAAACAGAGATTTACCCATGTATTTATTAACAGCAAGCCAGTCATTAGCGTTGTTTCTATAGATATTAAATTAACTAAAAGTATCCCTTATGGGAAATGAAGGGATAGGCCGAATTAAAGGAATAGGTTGGGCTAGTTAACTGCAGCAGCAGCATGTCCTTAAGGCACAGATTGCTCATGCTATTGTTTGTGGTTTAAGAATGCCTTTAAGCGGTTTTCCACCCTGGGCGGGCCAGGTGTTCCTTGCTCTCATTCCCGTAAACCCACAACCTTCCAGCTTGGGCTTTATGGCCATCATAAACATCTCACAGTGCTGCAGAGATTTTGTTTATGGCCAGTTTTGGGGCCAGTTTATGGCCAGATTTTGGGGGGCCTGCTCCCAACAGATCTCGGCCTGCTGCAACCTCCACCTGCTGGGATCAAGTGATTCTCCTGCCTCAGCTTCCTGAGTAGCTGGGGTTACAGGCACCCGCTACCACGCCTGGCTAATTTTTCATATTTTTAGTAGAGATGGGGTTTCTCTATGTTGGCCAGGCTGGTCTTGAACTCCTAACCTCGTGATCCATCCACCTCGGCCTCCCAAAGTGCTGGGATTACAGGCATGAGCCACTGGGCCTGGCTGGCACTTCTTACATGGCAGCAGCAAGAGAAAATGAAAAGATGCAAAAGCAGAAACCCCTGATAAAACCATCAGATCTCAGGAGACTTATTCACTACTATGAGAACAGTATGGGGGAAACCGCCCCCATGATTCAAATTATCTTCCACCTGGTCATTCCCACAACGTGGGAATTATGAGAGTACAATTCAAGATGAGATTTGGGTGGGGACACAGCCAAACCATATCAGTGGATATCTCTTCTCTACATATTACCTCTATGATTTGGAAGAGGCCACTTTTCTTTTTGTTCCACCTCCCAGATTCAACACTGAGAGCTCCTAGGATTGCAGTTATCCTGCCAATTTCTCCAGGGAAGAAAGAAGCAGCTGACATGGGTCTTCTGCTACTACTTAATTAATTATAAAGAAACTATTTTTTAAGCTGAAGCTGATGTTTCACTTGAAACAGGTGCTTAGCTGGTGGTATTTGTGAATTCTTGACTTTTTGTTCCAAACAAGAAGACTAAATAAATAGCAAGTATGGATGAGAAAAAAAATCATTCCCTTGAGCTTCAGAAGCACATATCCTTGCCTATATGATGCCTCCATTTGGAGGTACCAAAGCACCTCAGACTCAGCATGTTCAAAAGTAGTCGTCATCTTAATCTGAACACTCTGCATCACATCTTATTCCTTGTCTCGGTGAATTTCACTACCTTTCATCCCTTTGCTCATGATTTGGGTGTCTTCCTTGATTTTTCTTATATCTTACCTTCCTCTTTTAGTCAGTCAACAAAACTGTCCAGTACATCATCCCTGCTGCTGCTGCCTGGCTTAGGCTGTCATCTCTCAGTGGAATTGCTACAATAGTCTTCTTCCTGGTCTTCCTCACTCTGATCTTATTCCTCCCTCGTCTCATTCTATACACTATAGCTAGAATAACCTTCCTAAAATGTAACTTTGATCAAATCATTTTCTACTTTGAAGCTTTCATTATCTCCTTATTGCCTTCAGAATAAAAGCAAAACTCCTTCCCATGAGAGCAGGGCTTTGCGTTCCTGATGTGGTACTTGATTACCTGTTAGCTGATTTTCTGAAATCCACTTACACTGAACTGCTTGCAGTACCCAAGTGGCTTGATCTCTCTTGTCTGTAGTCTCTTAAATATGCTATTTCTTCTTCCTGCAAAGCTCTACCCATTTTCTTCCCATAACCCACCCTACCAGCCCATCTGTGGGCTTTAGCTAAGATGTTACTTTCTCCAGGAAGCTTTCCTTGATCTCTCCAAACTTGGTTAGATGTCTTGCTTGTATATTCTGTAAAAGCCTGTTTTACTTTATTGGAAGATTTACCATACTGTACTTTGCCTGTTTACCTGTCTACTACCTCAGAAGACTATAAGGTCCTTTGAAGGCAGGAGTGAGCTATTATTCATCAGAGTATCATTTATGGCATATGTTGGGGGGCATAGTAAATTTTTTTCTCTCTTTTAAAAAAGATTGTAGTAAAATATCCATAACATTTACCATCATAACCATTTTTAAATATATAAACTGGGCCAAGCGAGGTGGCTCACGCCTGTAATCCCAGCACTTTGGGAGGCCGAGGTGAGTGGATCATCTGAGGTCAGGAGTTTGAGACCAGCCTGACCAACAAGGTGAAACCCAGTCTCTACTAAAAATACAAAAATTAGCTGGGTGTGGTGGCAGGCACCTGTAGTCCCAGCTACTTGGGAGGCTGAGACAGGAGAATTGCTTGAACCTGGGAGGCGGAGGTTGCAGTGAGCCGAGATCATTTATAAACTTTTTCATCATCCCAAACTGAAACTCTGTACCAACTAAATAGTAACTTCTCATTCCCACACAGCCCCTGATTACCCCTATTCTGCTTTCTGTCTTTATGCATTTGACTATTTTTGGTACCTCATATAAGTGGAATCATACAATATTTGTCCTTTTGTATCTTGTTTATTTCACCTAGCATTTTTTCAAGATTCCTCCATGTTGTAGCATGTGTCAGGATTTCTTGCCTTTTTAAGCTACATAAATATTTCATTATGTGTATATTTCACATTTTGTTTATTCATTCATCCATTTGTTTATCTCATAGACATTTGGGTTGTTTCCACCTTTTGGCAGTTGTGACTAATGCTGCTAAGAACATGTGTGTACAAATATCTTTTTGAGTTCCTGCTTTCAGTTCTTTTGGAATTGCTGGATCTTATGGTAATCCTATGCTTAATTTTTTTGAGGAACTGCAGTAATGTTTTCTATAGCAGCTGCACCATTTTCCTTTACCACCAGCAGAGCACTAGAGTCTGAATTTCTCAACATCCTCACCCATACTTGTTATTTTCTGTGTGTATGTGTTTTTAGGTAAGAAATTTTGTTTGTGTTTTAATATTAGACATCCTAATGGGTATGAAGTGGTATCTAATTGTGATTTTGATTCATATTACCTAATGATTAATGATGCTGAACATCTTTTCATGTGCTTATTGGTCATTTTTATATCTGTTTTTGGAGAAAAGTCTATTCAAGTCTTTTGTCTATTTTTAACTGGGTTTTGTTGTTGTTGAGTTTTAGGAGTTCTTTATATATTCTGGGTATTAATTCTATCACAGATACAATTTGCAAATATTTTCTCTCATTCTCTGAGTTGCCCTTTCACTCTCTTGATAGTATCCTTTGAGCAACAAAAGCTTTTCATTTTAATAAAGTTCCATTTATCTATTTTTTCTTTTATTGCCTATGCTTTTGGTGTCATGTCTAAGAAATCATTGACAGATCCAATGTTATGAAGCTTTTCCTCTATATTTTCTTCTAAGAGTTTTATAGTTTTAGCTCTGACATTTAGGTCTTTGATCCATTTTGAGTTAATTTTTGTGTATGGTATAAGGTAAGGATCCAACTTCGTTCTTTTGCAAGTGAATATCCAGTTTTGCCAGCAACATTTGTTAAAAAGATTGTTTTCCCCATTGAATGGTCTTGGTTCCCTTGTCAAAAATCATTTGACCATATATGTGAGGGTTTATTTCTGGGCTCTTTAATCTATTCCATTAGTCTATATGTCTGTCTTTATGCCAGTACCACATTGTTTTGATTACTATAGATTTGCAGTAAGTTTTGATATCAGGAAATGTGAGTCCTCCAACTTTGTTTTTTTTCAAGTATGAGACAAGATCTTTTTAATTTTCCCCTTAAATCTTTTGTAGATATGGGGTCTCACTATAGTTGACCAGGCTGGCCTTGAACACCTGGCCTCAAGCAGTCTTCCTGCTTTGGCCTCCCAAAATGCTGAGATTGCAAGTGTGAGCCACTGCACCCAGCCTGAGACAAGACCTTAGTGCTACTTGCTACCTTTTATTTGATCTTCCTTCCAACATATTTTTTTGTGTGTTCTAGCATAAAGTGTTTGCTTTATTTATGTATTTATTGAGACAGAGACTCACTCTGTCACCCAGGCTGGAGTGCAGTAGCATGATCTCAGCTCACTGCAACCTCCACCTCCCAGGTTCAAGCGATTCTGGTGCTTTAGCTACCCAAGTAGTTTGGATTACAGGCATGTACACCACGCCCAGCTAATTTTTGTATTTTTAGTACAGATGGGTTTTTGCTGTGTCGGCCAGGCTGGTTTCGAACTCCTGGCCTCAAATGATCTGCCTGGCTCAGCCCCCCATAGTGCTGGGATTACAGCACTTTGTAAGGCATGAGCTACTGCACCTGGCCCTGGAGTGTTTGCTTTAACAGCCCCTCCTAGATGACTTCTCTTCCTTTCATTCCTGTTATAACCGCATTTCAATACTGGTTTTCTTTTCCTCTTTCATGCCGTATCCCTTAATTTGGATTCTACTTTGTTTGTTTTCAGGCCACAGTTGGCATTTTAAGGTCTTTTTTTTTTTTCTTTTTTAGAGACAGGTTTAGACACAAGAGTTGTGTCACCCAGGCTGTAGTGCAGTGGCACCATCATGGTTCACTGTAGCTTCTAACTCCTGGGCTCAAGTGATCCTCCCATCTCAGCCTCCCCAGCAGCTGGGACCACCAGGGGGACCCAGATAAATTTTTTTACTTTTTGTAGAGATGGTATCTTCCTATGTTGCCCAGGCTGGTATCAAACTTCTGGCCTCAAGCGATCTTCCCATCTAAGCCTCCCAAAGCACTAGGATTACAGGCATGAGTCACTGTGGCTGGTTGCATTTTAAGGTCTTAATCCTCCTGGACAACCAAAAGAAGAGAGCTCTACCCATTTGTTTGTCCGTATCTTTGAGTCTAGTTCAATCTCTTTTAGAACTGCCAGAGCCAAAAGTTGCTTTTGTTGTTGCTTTATCATCTGGGCTGCCTGTGTCATCTTTAGCACTGCAGGAAGATGCACAATGATATAGTAGTGGTATGATGGACAAGGTCATTGACTTAGAGATTGGGTGTTTTAGTGAAAAGAACATTATATTGGAAGCCAAGAAATGTGGGTCATAGCTTTGCATCTGTCACTAATTGGCAGTTAGACAATTCAGCCTCTCTTATATAACTTATGGATGAAGCAAATTGAACTAGGTGGTCTCTAAGTTCCTTCTAAATCTAACAAGTTTGTTACTGTGCAAGATGACTTCCTCAGAAACAGAAGACATTTAAGCTTGTTTTAATGGATGAATAGAACTTAGGTAAGAAAGAAAGATGTCAGGAGGTTTAAAATAAGGAAATGAAAATATTTTTAGGAGTCAGTGAAAGTAACAGTGACCAGACATTTTATTAAGTGATGCTGGGTCAATTATATAACCACAGGAAAAAAATGAACCTTGTCCTCCACTTCACACCATATGTAAAAATCAGTTCATATGGTTTTCAAAACTAAATGAGAAAGGTAAAATAATAAAGATTGTAAAACAAAGGAGAATACCTACATGGCCTTGGAATAGGCACAGATTTCCTAGAATAAAAAAGTACTAACATGAAGGAAAAGACTGATAGATTGGATTTCAATTAAATTAAGAACTACAGTTTATCAAATGACACCATTAAGACAGGTGAAAGAGAGGAAATATTTGAAATATTATATCTGACAAATGACTTCAATGGAGAATACACAAAGAACTCCTACAAACTAGTAAGAAAAATGCAGTTTAACCCAATAGGAAAAAGTGAGCAAAGACTTAAATCAGCACTTCACAAAGGAGGATGTCTAAATGGCCAATCAACCTTTGAGAAAGTGCTCAGTATCATCAGACAAATACAAATTTAGACAAGAGTGAGCCAACAAACATGAGAAAATGCATCAGTATCATTAGGGAAGTGCAAATCAAAACCACAGTGAGGTACCACTTTACACCCATTAGGATGGCAGCAATTAAAAAAAAAAGGTAAGAAAAAGGAAAGTAACAAGTGTTGGCAAGGATATGGAGAAATTGTAACCTTCTTATATTGCTGTTGGGAATACAAAATGGTTCAGCCACAAAATGCAAAATAGTTCAGGAAAACAGTTTGGCAGTTCCTCAAAAAAGTTAAATGTAGAATTACCAATTCCACTCCTAGGTATAGACTCAAAGGAATTGAAAATAGGTACTAAAATAAGTACATGTGTGTGCACTGTTCATAGTAGTCGAAAGGTAGAAAGAATTCAATGTCCATCAACAGATGAATGTGTAAACAAATTGTGGTATATACATTTCTGGGATATATATTTTGGGGTTTTTTTGGTTTTATTGTTATTTTTAATTGGCACATAATATGTGGTACAGTGTGATATTTTGATACATGTATACAATGTGTGTAATGATCAAATTAGGGTAATTGGCATATCCATCTCAAATATTTATCATTTCTTTGTATTAGGAACATTCAAAATCCACTTTTCTAGCAATTTAATCCACTTTTCAAAATCCACTTTTCTAGCGTTTCCCTGATGATAAGTGATGAGCATTTTTACATATACGTTTTGGCCATTTATATGTCTTGTTTTGAGAGATGCCTATTCAGTTCATTTGCCTATGTTTTAATTGAATTATTTAGTCTTTTGCTGTTGTTTGAGTTCCTTATATATTCTGGATATTAATCCCTTGTCAGAGGAATAGTTCACAAATATTTTCTCCCATTCTACTGGTTGTCTCTTCACTCTGCTGATTGTTTCCTTTGCTGTGCAGAAGCTTTTTAGTTTGATATAATCCCATTTGTCTATTTTTGCCTGTGTTTCCTGTGCTTTTGAGGTCTTCTCCATAAAATCTTTGCCCAGACCAATGTCCTGAAGTGTTTCTCCTATGTTTTCTTCTAGTAGTTTCATACTTACATGTAAGTCCTTAATTCATTTTGAGTTGATTTTTGTATGTGGTGAGAGATAGGGTTCCAGTTTCATTCTTCTGCATATGGTTATCCAGTTTTCCCGGCACCATTTATTGAAGAAATTATCCCTCCCCAATGAATGTTCTTGGTGCCTTTGTCAAAATTCAGTTGGCTATTAATATGTGGATTTAATTCTGTGTTTTCTATTCTTTTCCATTGGTCTGTGTGTCTTTTTATGCTAATACCATGTTGTTCTGGATACTGTATCTTTGTAGTATATTTTGAAATCCAATAGTGTGATAACTCCAGCTTTGTTCCTTTTGCTCAGGATTACTTTGGCTTTTCAAGGTCTTTTGTGGTTCCATAGAAATTTTAGGATTGTTTTTTCTATTTCTGTGAATAATTTCATTGGTATTTTGATAAGGATTGTATTGAACCTGTAGATGGCTTTTGGTAGTATGGTTATTTTCACAATATTAATTCTTGCAGTTCATGAACATGGGATGTCTTTCCACTTTTTTTCGTGATCTTTGATTTTTCATCAGTGTTTTAGTTTTCCTGGGGAGATCTTTCACCTTCCTGGTTAAATTTATTCCTAGGTCTTACTATTTTTTTGGTGGCTATTATAATTGGGATTGCTTTCTTGATATCTTTTTCTGCTAGTTTGTTGTGGATGTATAGAAATGCTACTGATTTTTGTACGTTGATTCTGTACCCTGCATGAAATACCATAGAAAGGAATGAAGTACTGATACATGCTACATTATGGATGAGCCTTGAGAACACTATGCTAAGTGAAAGAAGTCAGACACAAAGGCTCACATATTGTGTGAGTCCATTTATATGAAACATCTAGAATAGATAAATCAGTAGAGAGAGAATGAAGACTGATAGTTACTAGGAGCTGATGGCAAAGGGTGGAGGCTGAAGGTTGGGAATGGAGAGAAACTGCTTATGTTTTAGAACTAGATAACTGGTAGTGTGAATGTACTAATTGCCACTGAATTGTTCACCTTAAAGTGGTTAATTTTATGTTATGTAAATTTCATCCCAATAAATTACTTTTTTAAAAAATACGAGATGCTGCTATACCCACCAGAGTGGGTAAAATTCAGAAGACTGTCATTCCAAGTGTTGATGAGGATTTGGAACAACTGGAACCCTCTTATATTGCTGGTAGGAATATTACTAAAGCTAAATATCTGCCATTCTCTGACCCAGCATTCCACTCCTAGCTATATGCCAAAAAGAAATAAAGGTATGGCTACCAAAAGACACCTACAAGAAGGCTCTTAGCAGCTTTTATTCATAATAGCTTAAAACTATAAACAACTTAGATGCCCATCAAGGTAGAATGGATAAATTGTACTACATTCATACATGGAATACTATGCAGAATGAACTACTGCTACACATATAAGAAGATGAATTTCACAGAAATAGTGTTGGGTGAAAGAAGCCAGAACCCAAAGAGTATGTTTATAGTCTACTTATATGAGGTTCAGGTAGAAGCAAAACTAATATATGGTGATAACTGTCAGAATAGCTTTTGCTAGGGGTGGTTATTGATGGCTCATGAGAGCTGTCTGGGATGCTGAAAGTAAATTTTCTACATCTTGATTTCAGTGGTGGTTACACAGGCACATACATATGTACAAAATAAGCTGTGCACTTAAGGTTTGCATACTTTATTGCTTTATTGTATTATACCTTCAAAAAATTTAAAACTCAGAATACAGTTACCAGCGCAGGTGTTCTTGCAGAGAAGCCATAGAAGAGAATGTTTATGATGCATACGGTTGTAGAATGCCTTGAGTGGCAGTGAAATGGCAGAAATTTGGAATCTGTCCTATAACTGGTAAGTTTGAGGGAGGGAAATGACTTAATGAAAGCAGATTTTTAGGGAAATGGATCCTTGGAAATATGCCTGGTGGACTGAGGGCTGGTCCACTAGTGGGGAGACTACTGCAGTAGGACCTGAATTAGGGCAATACTATTGAAAATGGAAGCTCTTAAGGAAGAGCAATTGGAAAGGCTGATGACTGGTTGGGTATGGATAGCAAAAGGGGACTTGGCAGAGATAACTGAGATTCCATGCTGGATGGCTGGTCCAGAAATAAGAAAGCCAGGAAGAAGAATCAGTTTTGGAGTAAGATGAATAGTTTTTAAATGCTTTAGTTTGAAAGTCATAGCAGGCCACTAGAGACAGCTGTGGGACTCAGGAGAACAATCAGGGCCAGTGAGAGAAATCTGAAAATTACCAATGTACAAATTATTTTGAATAAATGAGATCCCTAAAAGACTGTAACAGAGAAATTTCAGAAGGCCAGCCCTTAGAGAAGGAAGAGTTGATGAGGAAGAGGAGACTGCAGCTGTAGTTCAACCAGGATAACATAGTGTCACTTAAGCCAAACAAAGAGAGTGGGGGTGGAGATGTAAAGGGAGAAGATACAGGAAAAGGTACAATTGAAGATGGGATGAAGAGCAGGGGTAATCGAGAGGACACAGTCTTGGAGAAGACAGGAAGAAACAGGATCTGAAAGCAAAGACAGAGAACTTAGCCCTGGGCTGCTGTGAAGAACCCAGGTGCCTGCAATTAGATCACAAGAATTTGTCAGCATCTTCAGTGACTTACTCTTGCAGTGTTCTTTGTCCTCTGCGTAGGAACAGAGAGTGACCTAGGATTGAGAATGAGTGTGAATGTAGGAGCCAAGGAGTCTTCATGCATTTGGTCTCATTATGGGTTTCAGGCATAATCTTATTCACTGTGAAAGGGATACAAAAGAAGTTTAAGACCTCTGGGAATTTATTCTCTAAAAGGTACAATTCAGCAATGATTAAGTGCCAAAACAAGTTTATTTAGTGTGTTTCAAATCTTCTTCTGGCTCTATAACTTTGGGCAAGCTACATTAGTTTTCTCTGACTCTGTTTCTTTATCTGTTAAGTGGTGATAATAATATCTGCCTCATATGCTGCTCTGGAGATTGAACGAGTTAATACCAGCAAGGTGCTTGGAATAATGCTTGAAACATAGTATGTGATAAATGTTAGCTAAGGTCATGGTGGAGTGCTGTAGGAGTGTAGAAAGGGAAATAATTAGTCAAGGCTGAGTTGGTGGGAAGACTGTGGAGGAGTAGGGATTTATTGGGGGGCAATGCAAGGATGGGTAGGAGAAGAATGAAGGAAAAGGAATTTTAGGTTGGGGAAAGCATTGTAACTAGTCTTAGATCAGTAAAGCCATAACATCTATGTGATTTACTTACTAAACAAAACTATTCCTGTTAGGGAGTAGTGGGACATAGCAAAGGAGGATAAATAACTGATATTTATTATAATGAAAGAAGTTCTGAGATGGGGCACCAGAGCATTTTGGTTGTGATTTTTATCCTGGCCCTGTGACTCAGGGCAAGTTGTCTGATGTCTTAGGACCCCACCTTTCCTCATCTAAAATCAAATGGACTAAATTTGTAAAATCCTTACAGCTCTGAATTCCTTAGATAATTCCTACATGGAAATGATTTCTCTGACCCCACTGTCTGTAGGATGGTGGTGGTTTTTGCGCAGCGTGAAGCCAACTGGTCTATGTGGGGCAAACTTGTGGTTATGGCCTCTTTAGCCCCCTGCTGTGAGTGAGCAAGCTGACCGGCCCTCATACAGACACTACACACTGTCTTGCAACACTTAGCAATCACCACTGCTCCAGAGATCTGGAATCTCAGCAGGTGGATTTGTGGAAGGAGCTCTTGGGTATCTCATTCCCAACTTATTTAGAGTTAACTCTACTACTGTTCTCTTGAGGAGCCTCAAGGTTTAGTTGCCTTGAAGTGGACCTTGAGGGCTAAGCAAAAGGGGAAAGAACAATCTTTAGTCTTAAAAAAAAAATTCCTGGATTGTTCTTATGGTGTTCACAAAACTAAAGAGAAAAAAGCAGTACCATGAGCACCCAATGAACTGCCAGCAAAGCCCTAAGCCTTTCACAGTAAACTTACCTGCTCAGGTCATTTTGTGCTTGAAACTGAATACTGCTGCTTTTGAAACCAGGGATTGATTCCTCCATTTTACTGCATGTGTTTAAATAATCCAGGACTCTTATAAACATAAATGGAAAATGAGCTTTTCAAATACCATGCTTAGAAATCATTGGCTCTCATAAGACATTACTTCAGTTTTCTTTTTAGAAGGGAATTTTTGTTTGCAACTGTTCTCACGTCTCCGTCCTTCCTGGTTTGAGCCCCTCTCAGGAGTCGCACGCAGGCCCTTCTGCTGCTGCTCTGCCTGCAGTGCTGCAGTGCTGTTGCATCAGAGGAAGTTCTCTAGGATTCCACTCCCATTTGCTTTTTCTAGTTGCTAAGCAGGTGGCACTTAGAACAGTATCTGCCCTCTGAGCTTGATGGTTGAAGAAGATACTTTTGGACTTTTATGCTGGATGGATTTTACACAACTTGATGATTGAAAAATAACTTGAAATGGAAGAACTAAAGCAGATGGAAGCGATTTTATCTATATTTTGTGTCTCCAAAGTTTGAAGGGTTTATTTTGTTTTCAGAAACTGAAATTTGAGAAGAATGACAATTTATCCTCATCTTGCCCTTGAAAGGAAGAGTTTTTCTTTGGGGAGTGGAGCTTTAGGAAAGGAAGGTGACTTGAACTGTAAGGACTTCACAGCTAATATATGCCCCTGGGTAATGTTACATAGTCCTTATTTGTTTAGAATAGAAGTTCCTTGAGGGAGTAGAATATATCCTTTTTGTCATATGTGGTTCCTAATAGTGAGTTGCATCTGAGTGAATATAATAAATAACTAGCAATTCAGGAGACTCCTGATCTTTGATCTCCCTTGGCAGATCAGTCCATGCCACAGATTTCCTGAAAAGAAAAATAAGCATGTCATGGAAGAAACTATGTGTTTTTTTTGCAAAGGTTGTGAATTAAGGTTGAGAGTGAGATGGTTTAGTCTGGCCTCTTTTTAGAGCAGTGATTGATTAATGCTGTCTGTGTTGCTGTTTCTTCCAGAGCTGACCTGTCCTGGACGCAGCATAACTAACGAAGCTGCTGCAGGATGAGAAGATGGCAGCGCGGCTGCTTGCACCACCAGGCCCTGATAGTTTCAAGCCTTTCACCCCTGAGTCACTGGCAAACATTGAGAGGCGCATTGCTGAGAGCAAGCTCAAGAAACCACCAAAGGCCGATGGCAGTCATCGGGAGGACGATGAGGACAGCAAGCCCAAGCCAAACAGCGACCTGGAAGCAGGGAAGAGTTTGCCTTTCATCTACGGGGACATCCCCCAAGGCCTGGTTGCAGTTCCCCTGGAGGACTTTGACCCATACTATTTGACGCAGAAAGTGAGTTGGAGGAGGAGGAGCAGCTGCAGATACCTGTTTCCTAACAGGCTTAGGGAGATGGGGGAGAAAGAACTGTGTCTCTTTGCCAAAGTTTGGATAAGTAGTTAACCTTTTGTTTCAGTTCTGGCTTGTGGGGATTATTTTTCATTTTAATTGCTACTAAGGGTCATTTGTGGTCTTGGCACTCATCAACTCTATTAATAAGACTTCTGATTTTGGCTCCAGGCCAGATCAGAAAAAGGGGATGTAAATGAAATGGGACTATTTAAAAGAGTCTTTAAAAGATGGGATAGTAAAAGATAGTACAGCCTCCCTCTCTCAAACACACATTCAAAATTCTATCTTTAATATAAAGATGTTGTTACTATTGTGACATCAGTAGAGTAGTGTGGTGGAGATGGTGTATTTGCTCTCTTGTCTAGCTCCCTTTGTGACATTAGAGCATAGCTGCTGGGGACAGGAATAAAACTGAGTAAAGCAAACAGCCAATGAGGACAGACCCAGGTCATTGGCCCTGTTACACAGTTGTCTGGATTGATTCTTCCAGCACTGATTCTTGCAGTAGAGTCAATTCTGTTATTCATGCAAGTAGGGAGCTCAAGTGAAAGAACTACTAATCTTCATTTGGCCAAGAGTTTCAAACTTCCTGAACAAATATTTGACTAAATCTTCAGCTACTTTCTCATGATTATCTTCTGAAACAAGGCACCAAGTAGAGAAACAAAGCCTCCTGGGTGATCCACCAGCTAAATAATTGAATCTTGAGGACTGGCATCAGACACCGTTTTAGGGAACCCCTCATTTGACAGATTTTTTTTTTTTTTTTTTTTTTTTGAGATGGAGTCTTGCTCTGTCGCCCAGGCTGGAGTGCAGTGGCGTGATCTCAGCTCACTGCAACCTCCGCCTCCTGGTTTCAAGCAATTCTCCTGCCTCACTCTCCTGCGTAGCTGGGACTACAGGCTCAGAGCAGCTACGTAATAGAAAAAAGTGGAACCATTAGTCTGTTCTTTCACTGGGAAATCTAGAAAGTTTAATGAACAAAATGATATGATGTAAAGAACGGTAGATTGGAAGTAAGAAATCCTGATTCTACCATAATTTACCATGTTTATTATTTACTTTTTTTTTTTTTGAGACAGAGTCTCGCACTGTTGCCCAGACAGGAGTGCAGTGGTGCGGTCTCAGCTCACTGCGACCTCTGCTTCCTGGGTTCAAGCGATTCTGCTGCCTCAGCCTCCTGAGTAGCTGGGACTACAGGCGCCCACCACCACACTCAGCTAATTTTTGTATTTTTAGTAGAGATGGGATTTCACCATGTTGGCCAAGCTGGTCTCAAACTCCTGACCTCAAGTGATTCACCCGCCTCAGCCTTCCAAAATGCTGGGATTACAGGTGTGAGCCATCGCACCTGGCCTTATTATTTACATTTTTATTTTTTAGTAAATGTATTGTCCAAGCTACCACAGATAATTTATGGGGAAATAAATGAAGAAAAAAACCTTCTCAAAACTAGTTTGTAATTTTCGGCAAGACACTTCATCTCTCTGGACCTAAACTATTTTTTCCAACTCAAATGCAAATTAATTTCTCATTTTCTTTTTGTTTTATAGTTTTTATTTTTTATTTTTCCTTTAACTTGTATTTTAAGTTCAGGGGTACATGTGCAGGATGTGCAGGTTTGTTACATAGGTAAATGTGGGCCATGGTGATTTGCTGCACAGATCATCCCATCACCTAGGTATTAAGCCCGGCATCTATTAACTATTCTTCCTGATGCTCTCCCTCCCCCCATTCCCTACCTCTGACAGGCCCCGATGTGTGTTGATCCCTCCCATGTGTCCATGTGTTCTCATGATTCAGCTCCCACTTATAAGTAAGAATGTGTGGTGTTTGGTTTTCTGTTCCTGTGTTAGTTTGCTGAGGATAATGGCTTCCAGCACCATCCATGTCCCTGCAAAGGACATGATCTCATTTCTAATTTCTCATTTTCTTAAACCTGACAGGAGATATGAAAAAATATATAGAGCTAATAGTTGTTAGAGCCCAATTTTCCTTTGCATACTCTTTTTCCCTGGTTCCTGCTCTATAGACAGCCTCTTTCCATTCCCAATGCCTCAGATTTCAGTGGCCTGGCTTGAGAGTGGGGACTTACCAAAGAGAGTGGGTCTCTGGACCTGATGGGTGTCATTCATTGGATAGGCCAAATTGTTCTTGATGGTGCTCCATTAGAAGACTGATTCTTCATGGTAGAAATTCTGACTTCAGCCTTCGGCTTCATCACAAGGGTAAATTGTTCCTGGAAAGGATAACTTTAATAATTTTTTTTGGTAATCTTGAAAAAATATATACCACCATACAGAAAAGCTCATAAAGTATAAATACATAGCATAATGATTACAAACTAACAGCATGTCAAGAAAGAACATTGCTAGCACTTTAGATATGTTCATTGTACTTTTAAATGAAGGATATTTTACTTGATTAAAAATAATATTCTTGCTCAAGTTAACTTGCAAATCTTTACCAGCAGTGCTGATACTTCTATAGGGGTGGAAAAAGTCCACCTCCATTCTCCTAGGGTGCCAGCTGGGTCTTAGAATTAAATTGACATAACATAGATTAACAGGAGAAAAGCATAATACATGCTTTATGTAGCACAGGAACCCTCATGAAGAAATGAAGACCGTAGGCTGGGCGCAATGGTTCACGCCTGTAATCCCAGCACTTTGGGAGGCTGAGGTGGGTGGATCACAAGGTCAGGAGTTTGAGACCAGCCTGACCAACATGGTGAAACCCCATCTCTATTAAAAATACAAAAATTAGCTGGGTATGGTGGCACGGGCCTGTAATCCCAGCTACTCAGGAGGCTGAGTCAGGAGAATCACTTGAACCCGGGAGGTGGAGGTTGCAGTCAGCCAAGATTGTGCTACTGCACTCCAGCCTGGGTGACAGAGTGAGAGTCTGTCTCAAAAAAGAAAAAAAGAAAGAAATGAAGACCTAAAGAAGCAGAGTCAGTTATTTATATACTGGATTGGACAAAAAAGTAGTAAATTGTGAAGAAGCAACTAAATTATGTGGGCAGGCTTAAAAGATAAGACTTATTTAACAAGGTCAGTACAGTATTCTCTTGGTCTCACCTTCTCGCCCTTGAAGATAAGCATGTTGCCTTTCCTTCAGGTTCAGGGAGTGTCTTCCACACAGGAATTTCATCTTCCACTCTTAAGAAACAACAAGAAGATCAGAGTGATTTTTTTGCACCCGCTGTTATACAAATGTCTTTAACTTAGTCAATATGCCAGAATAGCGTATCTTAACCCCTTCACTTCTTGCTAACTAGGCCTTGTACTAAATTAGCAAGATCTCTTCTACAAGGAAGCACACTGGGAATTAACCCACAAATCAAAAAGTCATAAGGGTAGAAATGACTTTAAGAGGACATTCCTTTCTGTTTGTTCTTCAAGGGCTGCCTTAAATAATTCTTCGCAAAATAGAATCTCTTTTCTTTGCTAAATGATACCAGTGGAATCCTTTATCTTTTCCTCATAGGTCTCATTTTCTAACTGATGAATTGTCTTTGTGACTCTCACAAAAACTTGTTTCTTATTTCCTTCCCTCTTTCTCCTAGTGGGTAAGAGAGAACTCGTTTTCTATTAGTGAAGTTCTGGTTTTAGCTCGGATTTCACACTCCCAAGGGACACAGGGCCCTAAAAGTTGTGCACCACGTTTTCGAGATACTGTTATTTATTCCAGCTGGTACTGGTTTGGCTATCATAAGTATCTGAGGTCCTTGTTGGGTTTCACACTGACTTTTTCAGCTGGTCCCTGCAAACAATCTGAATCATCCTCTCTTTGAATTGCCTCAGACTTCTCAGGGCTACTTTACATTTTCTTTGTCTCTTGGTACTTCGTTCTAATACCTCCTTTCTTTGGCTTTCTTGTTTTTCAGCTGTTTGCTACAAATAATTGTTTAAGGAACATTTAAATTTTTAAATTCAGTTTTTAAAATAGGTAATATATTTAAGTGGTTAAAAATTCAAAGGTACTTGGTAAATAAGTTTCCTTTTTACACCTGTCTCTCATCTGTCTATTTCCTATCTCCCTGCACAGGCAACCACTGATAGTAGTATCTTCCAGAGTTTCTTTATGTGTATGCAAGCAAAAACAAATATGTGTTTTATGGAACTTGAACTCCATTAAAAGCCTTTGTTCTTGTTTTTTTCCTGTTGTTTTCTTAAACCTATTGAAGTCTTAATTTTGTTTTTTGTTTTTACTTACTATTATTTTTTTTTTTGGAGACAGAGTCTAACTCCAAGTTGGAGTGCAGTGATGCAATCATAGGTCACTGCAGCCTCAACCTCCTGGGCAACCTCCATCTCTGTCTCCCAAGTAGCTAGGATCATACGCATGCGCCACCACATCTGGCTAATTTTTGTATTTCTCCCACTTTTAAAAGTTTTTCTTGTTTAGTGAAAAATTAAGGACTTTTTCTCTGTTGCACAAAGTGCCTGTCTTCACTAAAAAAATGCTCTCCAATGCTTAATAATTTGTTGAATACAAAATGGCCATATATACTCCTAATGACTATCTTAAGTAGGCAGCCAGGAAATCTGTAGGTTAAGCTGAAACAAGGCCTTCAGAATTGACTCCTATCCCTTTTTAATTTCTTAGAACTGACAGTTGATATATGTGTCTTTTTTGTTTAATGGGTATACCGTGTTACAATCATATAAACAAAAATTTAAATTACAAGATTGATCAATGTGTTTTTAAATAGGGCACACTCCTATTGCATTAAAAAAATTATATATGGCCGGGCGTGGTGGTTCACGCCTGTAATCCCAGCACTTTGGGAGGCTGAGTCAGGCAGATCACTTGAGGTCGGGAGTTTGAGACCAGCCTGACCAACATGGAGAAACCCTGTCTCTACTAAAAATACAAAATTAGCCAGGTGTGGTGGTGCATGCCTATAGTCCCAGCTACTCAGGAGGCTGAGGCAGGAGAATCGCTTGAACCCGGGAGGTGGAGGTTGTGGTGAGCCGAGATCACGCCATCGCACTCCAGCCTGGGCAACAAGAGTGAAACTCCATCTCAAAAAAAAAAAAAAAAATTATATATAGCTTCCTAAAGTTCAGTTTACCTTCAACTTTTCAGGTGTACCTTTTTCTGCAAAGAGATATCTGCTTATTAGAATAATAGAAAATTATAATTTGATAGCCTTAGACATCATCTAGTTCATCCTCCTCATTTTATAAATTTTATGAGGTGAAGTACTTTGTCAAAAGCCCACACCACTGTTGGTGGTATAACCAGGACTAGAGCTCATGCCTCCTGACCCTCCATTTATTACAACATATTTCTAGTTCCCCACTTTTCTAATTTTTTATTAATTGATTCTCAGCCTCAATTGGCTCAGTTCTGCTGAAGCTGGGCAGGGAAATAGAAGAAAAATAAGCTCCATTTTCATTTATTCCTTAAAAATCCCTGTGGTTTTTAGGACAGGTCCTAAAAAGTGCAGTGGTAAGAGCAGTGCTTCTGGGGGAAAGGATTCATGTTAGCCCCCTGTATTGTATCTTCTCAAGTCAAGGAGCTCTGAGGTGTGCTATTCCAGGGACTTGGGCTTATTATCAATACCGCCAGTTATTCAACTGGACATGTGATCTTGAGGCAATTTGTTTAACCTTTCTACCACTTGTTACTTTTTAAAGGAAGAGTATTTCCTATCTGCCATAGTCCATCCCTAACCTATGGTAGGATAGTATACAATCATGTGTCACTTAACGATGGGGGTACGTTCTGAGAAATGAGTTATTAGGCCATTTCATCCTTGTTTGAATGTCACAGAGTGTACTTACACAAATCTAGACGATGTAGCCTACTGCACCCCTAGGCTATATGGTATAGCCTATTGCTCCCAGGCTACACACCTGTACAGCATGTTACCATATTGAATGCTGTAGACATTTGTAACACCATGGTATTTCTGTATCTAAACATAGCTAAACATAGAAAAGGTAATGCATTGTGCTATAGCTACAACTTTATGACAGATACAAGGTCACTGGGCAATAAGAATTTTTCAGCCTCATAATCATCTTATGGAACTACCATCCCAAATATTGTTGACCAAAACATTGTTATGTGGTGTCTGACTATAGTGGAAAGAGTGCCTAACTGGGAATATAAAACCTTGTTTTAGTTCCGGCTTTGCTTCATGTTTGTACTTGGCCAAATCACTTTAATTTCCTTACCTACAATATTTGCAAAATAGAGTTAGACCCATATCTGTATCTTTCTAATTGTATTTCACACTTTTGCCTGTCACATATTGTATTTTAGCTGTGGCGAACTACTTCCTGTTTCCTTAGTGTGGAAGATCCCTCCACCCACCCACCTTCTTCTGGTCTCCCTCTCTTCCTGTTGGAATGTACTCTGTCTTTTAGTTTTACCTTTTGATATTCTACCCACACAGGCCCAGCCCAGAGGCCTCTTTTTCCTTGTAGCCTAACTTAATTATCTTACACTTGGAGAACTGATTACTCCTTTTAAATTTTTAAAACACATTAGGATCTTCAGTCCTACATTGGATAAGAAGTTGGTTTCAGGTTTAACTCAGGTTAGATGTGGAGGGTACCTGTGTTCCCAATAATGTTTGCAATTTTCTCCTTATTTCACTAATATTAGTGCCATCAGCTTAAGTGATACATACACACGCAGCCCTATATGAGCTCCTGGCAGAAAATCCTTGCCAAAACTGTGCTGACACACTTTCAACAGGTGTGCAGCACAGAGACCATTACGGAAGGATTTATGTTCATTAGGTGTGATTTGAAGTATTGCTAATAAGTTGTATTTCCTGCTTTTGCACAATAAGCCTAAATGCTGCTTTCTGTTTTAAATAAAAACTACATATTTTAAAACTTTGGTTTATTTTGTTGTTAAAAATTTTTTCCCAACAATATAAGGAAACAAAATGATGTTTCAGTTATTTTATTTACCAAATCAAATTGAGATAAATGCTTTGAGACACTGGGAGGTGGGCCCTTCTCAAGGGGATGGGTCATTGATGGGCACGTATGGTCTTGTCCCCTCTCTAAGTATGGCTACCTAGAGGAGAAGGAATTTAATTAAGCATTCCTAAATCAGATTTCTCTTTTGTAGCCTTGGCAATAGACCAAAAGTTGGGAAATCTTATTTCTGATCCCATCCCTGTGTAATTCCAGGTGATCTTGGGCATGCTATTTAACCATTTAAGGTCTCAATTCCTCCAATCTAGAAAATTAAGATTATGCTAACAGCTAACATGTCACTTATTACAGGTTGCAGTATAGACCATTTCTGTAAGAAAAATCCAGGTCATCTAATTTGATTGGAATGTGGGGAAGTGACTGAGGAACAGTGGAAGATGAGGCTGGGGAGGGTGAGCTGGAGCAAATCCTGGAGGGCTTAGAATGTTAGACTCAGAGGTGTGGTGTTTGTTTGAGAAGCAGTAGAGAACTACTGAAGGTTCTGGAATGGGAGTAAGGATACGTGATGATAGCTGTGCTTAGAGAGGTGAATGGGACGACAATATGTAAGCTGGGCCAGAAGGAAAGAGAACTGAAACAGGCAGATCAGCTATGAAATAATGAAGGTCTGAGTTACAGTGGTGGGAGTGGAAATTAAGGGGATTGGATGAATTCAATATGATTTATGATAGATTATGGAGGGTTAAGGAAGGAATCGAGCATGCAATTATTCATTTGACAATTTGATAAATTGTTACTGAGTGTTTTCTATATGCCGGGGCTCTGTTCCGTGCCCTTGGGAACAAAACAGACAAGCCATATACATTGTTGGAACTTAGTTTTTTTGTTAGGGAAACACATAACAAACAAATACGGAAATAAAATTATTACTGATAATGATACGTGCATTAATGAAGATAACATGTTCCAGCTACTTTAGAGGCTTATGGTGCTCTAATTTGGTACAGAGACTAAACTTGGAGAATCCAGAAGAATCAAAGATTATATGGTCTCTCAAATATTCAGTATCTTAAATAGGACTTCAGCAAGTACTAAATTATAATCTTTAAAAGAGCCAATTTTGAGAGCATTTGCCCCTCTTGGATTTTTACACAGACAGAAATAAAATATACTTGAGCATCAGTGTGAGCTATTGGGGTGCTTACAAAGAAACCCAGCATTTTCTCCAGGTTTAACTCGGGTTAGATATGGAGGGTACCTGTGTTCCCAATAATGTTTGCAATTTTCTCCAGTCCTAAGTTCTCATGCAGGTACTAAGCTGTGATTCCATAGTTCTGAGCCACATAGGGTATAGACATAGACAGCTTTTACCTGAATTCTAGGATGTGTGTTATTAGCCAGTCACCTCAGCCATAAAATTCCACTGATTGGTAATTTTAGGAATTAGTTTCTGTTGGTTTCTCCAGGGTGTGATTTGTGCAATCTTATCATAACAAAAATTTACCTGTGGAATGGGACTATTTAATAATGGCCATTTAAATGTTAAAGAATGTTTCAAGATTATGATAATATCGATCATCTCTGACAATAATTAAACATATTTTAAGTGCTTTCTTAGTTAAGGAGAGAAAACTGTGTTATTATTTTACAGAGGGATGCTTCTCTTTTGAATTGTTTCCAAATTGACAAATGAGTTGTAAATGTTTCTTTACATATAACACTATTTGACACAACTTAAGATCAGGATTGTCCCATCATATGACAATTTCTGCTAACTCTGATTTTACCAGAAGAATTTTTGATACAAGCTCTGAAGATGCATTTCTATTCCAGACACTGTTGAGCCTGCAAAGTTTGGCCTATGGAACCAAGTTGGAATAAAAGATTCTGCTGATTTCAGAGAATAGGGTGCCCCATCTACTGTTCAAGACCAATCCCTCACCCCTGTCTTTGACCCTGTGCCTTTCTACCTCCTCTGGAATTTCACTCCTTTGGTTACCCTTTCTCTTTTCTGTATTTTCCGTCTTTCCTCTCATATAGGTTCCTTTCCCATAGTCTGTAAACACACTCAAAGCCTCTCCCATCCTAATGAATCCTCACTTGACCTCCTGTCCCCAGGTAGTCTAATTGCTTCCCATGCCACTGAAAATTGTAAAGAGGAGGGTTTACTCACCACATACACATATCTACCCACTCCTCCATCCTTGAAGCCTGACTGCATCCTCACCCCTTTCATGATATTATAAGATCTTCCCAATAACATCTCAAATGGCCAAGTCTAAGATTTTTTTTAAGTTCTTAACTCACTAAACCTCTCTGCAGTGTTTGACACCATTTATTATTCCCTGACTCTTATATCTCTTTACTTCCTTGGCCTAATTTTCTTTTTATCTCAAATGTTTCCTTCTCTTTCATGTTCTCAACCTTTCCCTAAAATGTTTATATTCCCCCAGATTCAGTTCTTGGCCCATGTTCCTCTCAGTTGGCACATTCTCCCTGGATGATCTCATCCAGCCTCAGTTCGAGGACTCCTGACTCTAGCCTAGCCTAGAATGTTCCTTAAATATTCAACACCTTGCCAGTCATCTGTTTCTGGATTTTCCCACAGGTTACTCAGTATATTCAGAATTGAACTCATTTTCTTCCCCTCAAACCTGCTTATCTTCTTTTATCTACTTTCCTAGTTGATGGCACCAGCAAAATTCTAGATATCATTTTTGACTCCCCAATTTTCTTCAGTCCCTGAGGATTGCCAGTACTAGGGATATCTCAGTATAATGATGCACGCTTTCACAAGTATGAAACAGTTGTGGCTCCAGAAACATTAACTTGCTTCCTCAAGTTCCCTCAACTAATATGTGGTAGAGTCAGGTTTCTGTTCCAGGGATCTGTGAATTTCACCTTCATGGTCTTTCTTCCATGCCCTGCTGTCTATATAGAGCATATTGCAGGATGATTTTTTTGGTTTTGTTTCCTATCATTTTTAGAGAATTTTCTATCATTTTGCATTGCCTCAATATGAAGTTAGTATAGTCAGCCCTCCATACCCATGGGTTCCACATTTAAGAATTTGGGGAAATTATTTGGGGAAAAAAGCACATCTGTACTGAACATGTACAGACATTTTTTTCTTGTAATTATTCCCAAACAATATAGTATAACTATTTATAAAGCATTTACATTGTATTAAGTATTATAAGTAATCTAGAGATGATTTAAAATTTACTGATGTGCATAGGTTATGTGCAAATACAATATCATCTTATGTCAGGGATTGAGCATCTGTGGATTTTGGTATCCCTGGGAGTCCTGGAGCCAATTCCCCGTGGATACTGAGGAACAACTGTATGTTGTTGTGTTTAGTTCATTTGTTTTATACCATACCTTCAGCATGGTATCTGAGACATAGAAAAGGAGAGAAGACTTTTCAAACTAAAATTAGTGAATTTTTATGGGTAGATGAGCTAAGGGGTAGAAAAGTGACCGTATAGCTTCAACTGGGCACCCAGAAGAAAGTTGGATATAGTTAAAGGTTAGGTGATTTTAGCTATAGTATTTCTTTATGAAAGAAGAGATTCATACATTCAACAAACATGTATGAACTGTCTACCTTGTGCCAGATAGGCATCACATTATGTACTGTGCTTGCTAAGCTGAGAAAATCATAGTAGATGGAAGATAAACCCCTCCCCTTCACGGATCTCAGGGTCCAGTGAGAGATACTGGTATGTAAACCTCAATAACAATATTCTGTGTTAACTGCTCTAATAGAAGTAAGTACAAGTGTTATAGGGACACACAGGAGGGAAGGACAATTCTATTGAAGAGAGTTGAATGGGGCTGTCTTCATAGAGGATGTGATCTTTGACCTGGACCTTTAAATATTAAAGTATGGTTAAAAAAAAATTCACCTGTCAGAGAAGAGATGAGAGAGTAGTTCAGGTGTGAGGAACAGTGCATATAAAGGCCGAGAGACATGACACAGGTTTAATTGTTTAAAATAGTGAGTGTAGCTGTAACTGAAGCATAGAGTGTGGTTTGGTAAGACAGGAGATAAAGCCTAGAGGCAGGTTGGAGCCAATGAGTGCATCCTAAGGGGTTTTGTTTTCTCTCACTTCCAGAGTTCCCAGGTTGGAAATAACCTTTGGGACCCATTTTGAGCTAGTGCAGCCTTGCTCTGGATTCTTGCTCTAACTTGTGCACAAGTGTCCTTCCTGCAGGCTTGTGCCAAGTATGTGGATCCAAATTAACAGAAATATTAGCCCCTTCTTGTCATCTTCTTTTTTTTTTGAGAGAGAGAGTCTTGTTCTGTCACCCAGGCTGGAGTGCAGTGGCACAGTCTCGGCTCACTGCAACCTCCGCCTCCCGGGTTCAAATGATTCTCCTGCCTCAGCCTCCCTAGTAGCTGGGATTACAGGTGCACGCCACCACGCCTGGCTAATTTTTTTGTATTTTTAGTAGAGACGGGGTTTTGCCATGTTGACCAGGCTGGTCTTGAGCTCCTGACCTCAGGTAATCCACCCGCCTCGGCCTCCCAAAATGATGGGAATACAGGCGTGAGCCACTGCACCTGGCCAGCCCCTTCTTGTCTTCTAATGGCCACTCCGTGTTTGGAGCCAAAGAGCTGAAGGAATGGCAGTACTGTGTGATAGCAGTGGCAGCATCATAACCACATTTAACGAGTGCCTGTTCTGTACCAGCCACTGTGTTAAGGACTCCTTGTGACCCTTCATTTAATCTTTATAACAACCTGATAAAATTGGAATAGTGATTGATGGCACCCACTTTATCAATAAGAAAACTGAGCCTTAGCAACCTTAACATAAGTTGCCTAAGATCATGACAGCTAATGAGTGACAGAGCTGGGTATTGAATCCAGGTCTTTCTGGCCTCAAAGCCTGTAAACCACTCTGCTTTGCTGCTTTCTAAGAGAGAGGAGAGTGAGAATAGATTCTAGAATATGAATTCAGTAAATAGAGGGGTTAATATGCTTTACATAATAAGCCTGCATTTTGCTCTTGCTTAGAGCAACTGTAGTCTGTGCACTTTAAGAGGTTAAAGTAGAAGGTGATCAAAGTCAAATTTATATCGAAGGACAACAAGGAAGAATGGCCATGGAGGAGGGTCAGACCTGCCCTGCCCTGGGAAGCAGCATTGTGCTGGCTCAGCATTGAAGCAGGTGCACAGTGCTGCTGCTCTGCCCGGTATGGCTTCCTGTGACCAGAACGTGAGCAGGAAGGGTGGCAGCTACTCCAAATGTAGGTTGGAGAGCATGGGGTTACAAGGTCAAAGCAAATGAAGAAGTGTATGCAGAAGCACCTGGAAAACTGTAAAGCCACAGGCAGATGTGGTGCTAGCATTATCTTCATCAAACTGAACTTGGAGAAAAGACCATAAACAGCACATGTAGGGGGTTCCGTTTTGCAACAGTTAAAGTTATTAAGTAGAGGAGATTCGTTCATTGATCTGAGGGTTGGACCAGATGACCTGGTGCAGTAAAAAGAGTTTAGAACTAGAAGCCGGGAGATCTAGTCCCTGGCAACTCCCCCGCCCCGCTCCTGCTCACTAGTGCTGTGACCTTAGTTTGGGCAGAGCATTCTGTGCTTGGTTTCTTGTTTGTGAAACGAATAGTTAGATTTGAGTAATAGTTTTGAAGCTTTTTAAAATTGTAGTATGCCTTGATAATTAAGAGTATAGGCTTTGTAGTTAGATTGCCTCAGTTCAATGCTAAATTTCACCACATAATAGCTGTGTTGTCTTGGGCAAGTTACTTAACCTCCTGCCTCAATTTTATCATCTGTAAAATAGTACCTACCTCATAGAGTAGTTGTGAGACAATTATTATATTAAGTATCTTAGTAGGGTGCCTGCCTGCCACATAGTAAATGCTTAATAAATATTGAATTTTATTATTTCTTCAAATAGACTCATAGGTAAAATTATCGGTTACTAAGAAGGAATTTTTAAAATACGGGATTTAGTGGTCTCTTTTGCTCCATTCTCAGTATCGTGTAATAGAGGCGTGGAAAATGATGGTTCTAAATAATCACACAGCTCAAATAGAAGTACACGCCTAGGGAAGAATTTTGCTGGTGTCTTTATGTCCTGCTTTGGTTTAGTATTTCTAAGGGGAGCTGGATAGTACCAGGACACGGGTACTCTGGAAATGCATTCCAGTTATGCCTTTGCTGGAGACTTTCCTGGGACACACTGGGGCTATATAATATAACCTATATTGTAATTTTACTTGAGGAATTCACTAGGCAGATTAGCATAAATCAGGATTCTTTTCAACATGGCATAGTCATTTTTACATAACAGGTCATTTGTTTCTGAACAGCTTCCTAGCCTGATATAGAATCTGTTTAGATTCTGCATTATATTTTCCGTTATTAAACCAGGGAAATTTTGAAAAGACACTTATTTGTTGCTTGCTATATTGGCTGTATGCATACTCAGAAATGAATGCCAAATTGCTGTTGATTAATGAACAACTGGCCAGTTGCCTAGTTCAGAAAGAGGTGCATAGGCCTGGGGGAATAAAGTACATATATTTTGTTTAGGCAGGCAAGAATTTAAGGCCAGAGAAGTTGGCTAAAAATGAGAGGACCAGTTAGTTCTAGAAATCAAAACAGTTAAGATCTAGGGACAGTCATAAGTCATTGCCAGTAATAGTTATAGTCAGATAGACTCAAAGGTTCCCAGCTGCCCTCTTGTTGATTAGCTAAACCTCTGAGCCCCTAGGTGTTCATTATAGCCAGAAGCTCATCAGATGCCTGCAGATTACCTTTGCCCTAGTTGAGATGTTGACCTCTCAGGATGGGGAGAATTGGTTGAGTGAAGAGCTGCTCTCCTGGGCCATGTGTTTCACAGCAAACCAGGGAATGGATAATAAATATTTCTCGAAGAAGCTTTCTCTTCTATGATATTCTCCACCCCTGCATTGAGTACTCTTCTATATAAAGTCTTTTCATATATATGCATCCTTTATTGTTTTGTTTTATTTTATTTTATTTTATTTTATTTTATTTTATTTTATTTTATTTTATTTTACCAAGACAGGGTCCTGCTCTGTTTCCCAGGCTGGAGAGCAGAGCTCACTGCAGTTTCAACCTCCTAGGCTCAAACGATCTTCCCACCTCAGCTTCCTAAGTAAGCTGGGTCTACAGGCACATGCCACCATTCCCAGCAAATTTTTTTTATTTTTTTTGTAGAGATGGAGTTTTGCCATGTTGCCCAGGCTGATCTCGAACTCCTGGGCTCAAGCGATCTTCCCTTCTTGGCCTCCAAGAGTGCTGGGATTACAGGATTACAGATGTGAGCCCATCCTGTTTTTTTTTAATTTACACTTTTTGTGTGGCTAAAAAAATTATTTCAGTCTTGGGATGGGGTGGAGACATGCTAATAAACTAGCTGTACTGCAGTCCTGTGATGACTGTGTGTGTTCATTGTTTTGCATTTGCAGTATGCTAGGATTTGTTTGGTATGCATATGGACGTGCTCTACCTGGCCTTGCACGGTGTTCCTTCCCCTAATAGTGGGCCCCAAAGAGAAGATATCTTACCCTGAGTTAACAATGGCAATGCTTCTACATTGTGTGCTCCAAGCCCCACATTGCTAATTAGAAATGAAAAGCCTGTGCTTTTCAGAAGGCTCATTTTATGCCACATGACACATTTATTAATACTCCATGCCATAACTCGTTAAGAACTGTTCTGCCGCTCTTAATGGACCTTGTGCTGAAACACATTCAGTGGCTGTTGTTGTAAACTGATATTTCCCCTTGGGCAGTAACCGCAATCCAATTTCAATTTCCCTTTTAACTCATTTACTTCACAAAGATCTAATTTGAGACAGATTAGGTAAAATATTATTGGACTTCATGGGCACCAAGTGATTGTTGTTTAAGAAGTATTGTAAAAACCCAAAGCTTGCTGTCCTTTCCACTATATCTAGGCTTTGAAGGATCTGGCGTTAGAGCGTAGTGTTGAACGAGAGAGGACAAATGTCCTTTTCTGGATTCCCACCAGAAGTTTAACGATGATTACAAACGTTTAATCAGCCATATGAAACATATATACATATATCTCTCTCAAAGTCAACCCATCACCAGTCATTCCTTTCCATTCTCCCATATTCACTGTTCTCCTGAGAACAGGGGATAAAAGTAGGGGAGATAGTGCAGGGAAAAGCATTGTGTGACGCAGTTCTGCCTTGGGGCTGCTCTATGCTCCCCCCTGCTGACATAAGTATGGTACTATCAAGCACTGTTGACCCTGGACTTGACAGACTTCAACATAAGGAAGCAGAATAACTAACTCAAGAGAGTTCTACAAGGATAAAATGTGAGAGAATAAATAATAATAGGCTTTCTCCTCAAATTTATGGTTTGCTGCTTTGTTGCACTTAATCCTGGATGCTCTGTGAATTTTCTAAATCGTAGAATTACAGATATCAGTGCTGGAAAGGACCTGAGTATGCCCATCAGGCAGCCCTCTCTCTTATTTTATAGACGAAGAAAATGAGATCTAGAGACATGCAGTGGCCCAGCCAGGCCATACAGTTAGGCAGAGGCAGGGAAGAAGGAGAACACAAATGTTTTAGCACATGACCTGAGAGATGATCTAGTGGTTCCCCAAATCTGGTGAGCACAGATTCCTGGATTCTGCACACTTATTTAATAGAACACCTGGAGAAGGGATTTATGACTGTGTTTTTTAAAAAGCTACTCAGCCTAGGCTGGGCATGGTGGCTCACGCCTGTAATCCCAGCACTTTGGGAGGCTGAGGCAGGTGGATCACGAGGTCAGGAGATCGAGACCATCCTGGCTAACACGGTGAAACCCCGTCTCTACTAAAAATACAAAAATTAGCTGGGCATGGTGGCGGGCGCCTGTAGTCCCAGCTACTCGGGAGGCTGAGGCAGGAGAATGGCATGAACCCAGGAGGTGGAGGTTGCAGTGAGCCGAGATCACACCGCTGCACTCCAGCCTAGGCAGCAGAGCGAGGCTCCGTCTCCAAAAAAAATAAAAAAATAAAAAAAAATAAAGCTACTCACCCCAGGTGCAGTGGCTCACAGCTATAATCATAATCCCAGCACTTTGGGAGGTCAAGGCAGGAGGATTGCATGAGGCCAGGAGTTCGAGACCAGCCTGGACAACATAGCAAGACCCTGTCTCTACAAAAAATAAAAATAAAAGATAAGACAAAATAGAAAGCTAGTCAGATGATTCTTATGCAGTCAGTCTGGACTTAGTCAGGAACTAATATTAGTGTATCCCCTGGGGCAGATCAGTTTTGCCATCTGTTTTTGTATGGCCCACAAGCTAAGAGTAGTTTACATTCTTAAATGGTTGGATGTGTGAAAATGATACGAAATTTAAATTTCTGTGTCCATAAAGTTTTACTGAAACACAGCCACTCTTCTTGGGTTGCATGTTGTCTATGGCTACTTTTACACCACAGTTACAGGGGTAAGTTGTTTTAACAGACACTGTATGGCCTACAAAGCCTGCAGTATTGACTGCCTGCGCCCTTTCAGAAAAAGCTTGCTGGTGCCGGGTATATTACTTATCTCTTTCTCGTGTAACTACTGCAAGCCCCAGTATTAAAAGGGAAATTCCTAAGCTTTGAGTACTTGTGTTTGTCCAAAGACTATCTTGCCTTTTTTTTTTTTTTTTTTTTTTGAGACGGAGTCTCGCTCTGTTGCCCAGGCTGGAGTGCAGTGGTGCAATCTTGGCTCACTGCAAGCTTTGCCTCCTGGGTTCAAGCGATTCTCCTGCCTCAGCCTCCAGAGTAGCTGGGACTACAGGCACATGCCACCATGTCGGGCTAATTTTTGTATTTTTAGTAGAGATGGGGTTTTACCATATTGGTCAGGCTGGTCTTGAACCGCTGACCTCGTGATCCACTCACCTCGACCTCCCAAAGTGCTGGACTTATAGGTGGACTATCTTGCTTTTCAAAAAAGATCCATTGTGAAAAACTGCATGCAAATTATCTGTAAATCTAATTATTTCAATAATAAAACATGTTTTATTGTAATACAATTTCCTACTAAAGTATGGGAGATTTACCTTCATTTCAGGAGTTTAGTGTGCTAGATGTTTATTTTTGTTAACAGAAAAACTGTTTTTATACTTGATGAAGATATAAGATGTAAATATTTAGAAAGGGGTGATGGTAAATGAGTTTTATTTTAAGTGCAACACTCAGTACCCAAATTAATTAGGAAATTTCTATTTCACACATCAAATGTCCTTAGTAAAGCCTTCTGCTTACAAAATCATAGTTTTTGAATTCACTAAAGATGCTTAGTTTCCCCCAGAATCATCAGTCTCCCACTTGACAGCTCATGACTGATCCTAATTCAGAATCCTACCTCCTAGTTTTTCTTCAACCAAGGTGTAACAGTTTCCATTTCCTAATGGCTTCCTTTTGTTTTTCTTCTTCTCCTTTTCCCTCACCTAAAACAACATAAGCATTTGTTCATGAACCAATCAACAGACATTTATGAAGCACCTGCTGTATGCCAAGCACTGCAGGCACTGATTCAGTGATAGGAAATACCCTCCATGCTACCTCTAGACCTATATTTCCATCACGACCAAACCAAGAGACAAGAAAAATGGAAAGTATAGAGTACATTACTTTAAAAAATCCTGCCAGGCGCGGTGACTCACGCCTTTAATCCCAGCCCTTTGGGAGGCTGAGGCAGGCGGATCATCCGAAGTCAGGAGTTCAAGACCAGCCTGGCCAACATGGTGAAACCCTGTCTCTACTAAAAATACAAAAAAATTAGCCGGGCGTGGTGGCAGGTGCCTGTAATCTCAAGTACTGGGGAGGCTGAAGCAGGAAAATTGCTTGAACCCGGGAGGCGGAGGTTGCAGTGAGCCGAGATTGCGCCATTGCACTCCAACCTGGGCAACAAAAGCAAAACTCTGTCTCAAAATAATAATAATAATAATAAATAAAAAATAAAAATCCTGTTGTCTGTCTCCTAAGGAGAGGTTTTGTAGGTGATATTGTAAAGGCCTGGCCCGGTGGTTTTTAGGTCTTGGGGCATGGGCCAGTGCTTCTTTCATTGTTGCTTAGCTGCCCTATCTACCCCGGGGACTCAAATTTCTCATTCACCAGAGAATTTGTCTCCCACACCAACTTCATTCTTTGCCACGTTGCCACTGAACTGCCTCCCAATCTGGCACAGTGGAAGCTGTTGAGAGGCTCGAAGCTCGGCATAACATGCTGCTCTTTGCTGCGTGACCTTTGATAGGTGGTGTTCCTCTCCTGAGCTTTTGTTAAGTGTATAGAGGATAATAATTCCTCCTTCACCCATACTTCATGGGAACCTCATGAGGTTGAATGAGGAGGTTATTTAAAAGGCTATTTTCATAGAGGGAGTTGCTGTAGAAACACAGAGAGGTACAAGTACTTCAGAGAAGGGGTTTGGGGGAAGCCCTGGGCTGTTTGTTTCTTTGAGAAGCCAAGATATGGAAGAGCTATAGCTCAGCCCTCGATATGTTTCAGATGAACCCTAGGTCTCCTACTTCTCTTTGCTTTTAGGATTAGGCTTTTTCTGCAGCATATCCCACCAGAACCAGTATGCTCCATTACAGGAAGAATTTCACTGCAGTACAATGTCAAACACTAGGGATGGTGTAGTGGGCGTTTGTAGAATGAATCTAGCTCAATACTTTTCCATTGGGAAGAGAATGACGTGACTCTGGTAGATTAGGAAAGGAAAGAATAGAAGATAAGAAAAGAACTTTAAAAAACATCACTAATACTGTGCATTGGGAGTACATAGGCTGATCATTATTTTGGAACTGTGGAGGGAAGCATAAGATTGGTTCCTGCCCTCAAAGAACCAAAAGCCTAATTGTAGGGGATGGAGGTTAAAAAAAAAAAGGTGGGGGCTTTTCATAAATGACCTGTATCAGGTTAAGAAGGACCTCTATTACTAGTTTGTTGAGTACTTTTATTATGAAAGGTGTTGAATTTTGTCAAATGCTTTTTTCTGCATCTATTAAGATGATCATGTGGTTTTTCTCCTTTATTAATATGTTGCATTACATTGGTTGATTTTCAAATGCTAAACTATCTTTGCATTCCTGGGATAAATCCCACTTGGTCATGGTGTGCAACCCTTTTTATATGCTACTGGATTTGGTTTGCTGGCATTTTTGTTGAGGCTGTCTGTGTCTATATTCATAAGGGATGTTAGTATAGAGTTTTCTTATGATGTCTTTGGTTTTGTATCAAGGTAATACTGGCCTTTAGAATGAGTTTAGAAATGTTCTCTTCTATTTTGTGGGAGAGTTTGTTTAATTCTTTAAACATTTGGTAGAATTCATCAGCAAAACCGTCTGGTCCTGGGCTCTTCTTTGTGGAGGTTCATTTTTTAATGCAAGGTACAGAAGAGTATTTATGGAACAATCCCATGTGAGAGAGAGACTTTTTAAGGACATAGATGTATGCTTTTATTTACATAGAAAATTTCTAGAAGGATATACAAAAAAACTGGCATCGAAGGTTATCATTAGGTAATGAGATGGAACTTGGTCTTATGTTCCTTTTTTCTTTTAAAAAAATTATGATCATGCATTGCTCCAAAATTTAAAAATAAAAAACTACTTAAAATGACTAGCATTTATTTGGCCATTTGCTCTTTCACTCACACAGTGAGATGTTAGGACTGTGTATCTGCCACTGGCCTGTCTCCTTAGGAACTTGCAGTCTAGTAGGCCCTTGCATCTCTCAGCTTCACAGTCTGCTCTCCCTCTTCCCTATTTTATTCTCCATCAACACTGAATTACTGGTCAATTCCCTAAAAAAAACCTGCAGCTACATGCTACTATGCTTTCATACATGTGATTTTTGTTCCCTTACCTTTCCATCCCTTCTCACTAAATCTGCCCAATTAATTTTTCTTAATTCTTGTTTGTCCTTTAAAGCCCCTTCCAAATATTAGTTACCTTCCTTTGTGAACTTCCCAGCTCACTCTCTTTTTTATTTCCCAGCCAAGGGGAAAAAAATCTCTCCCTCCTGCTGCCTCTCATACATTATGCATATTTTTGTTATTGAACTTTGTACTTACCCTGCATCATAATTACTAGCTCACATATGTGTCTTCCCTAAAAGTACAGTTTTATTCAGTGTTGTGTCCTGGTAATTAGCACAATGCTTGGCACAGAATAGATGCTCAAAAATATTTTAATTCAATTGAATTCAGAACACAGGGCATTCTGGGTAGAATGAGCCACATAAACAAAGGCCAACGTTATGAATTATGAGAACCTGTTCCGAGGACATGAGCTAGTTTGGCTAGATGGGAACATTCATACTGGGAAATATGATTTAATTATTTTGGCAAGGCTGATATTGGGGGCTCTTGAAAGCCATATAAAGCAGATTGAATATTGGTAAGTAAATATTGATTGAATGAAGAACATTTCTCACTTCCTTCCAGTCTTTGCTGAAATCTCTCTTCTCAATAGGCTTATCCTGACCACCTCTTTAAAACTGTTGCCTCTTTATTCACCCATCCCCTGACTCCAGCATTCTTGATCTTCCTCTCCCTGTTCTTCCTCCTTTTCCCATAGCACTTGTCATCTTCTGTGTAGCACAGCCTATATGATTTACTCATTCATTACAGTTTTTATTTATTGTCTGTCTTTCCCACTAGAATTTAAACTCTTCGGGCCAAGACTATCTTGTTCACTGACCATTCCCAAGCACCTAGAACACTGTCTGACACATAGTAGGTGTCCAGTCAATATTTGTTGAGTGAATGAATCCTAAATTAATGAACTTCAGTATCGTGTACAGAGCTGGCATAGAAGCTTAGGTATGATTCAAATGGCCTGTTTCTGAAAGAAACAAGTTTATTCTGTAAAACTGCCAAGATTGCATCAGCTATTTGTATTATAATCTGGGCAGGGCAGAGGGAGGGAGGTGGGGCAAACATTGTGTTAAGTTTGCTTGTTTAAAAACCAAGTTGGGAAGTAAAAAGTATTAAAGACTTTTGAGTTTATGTATTCCTTACCTAGAAATCATTGTTTCATGTGGTGACTCATACCCATGCTTTAATAATTTCTCTCTCTTTCTTTCTCCACAGACCTTTGTAGTATTAAACAGAGGGAAAACTCTCTTCAGATTTAGTGCCACGCCTGCCTTGTACATTTTAAGTCCTTTTAACCTGATAAGAAGAATAGCTATTAAAATTTTGATACATTCATATCCTTTTCGGCAAATGTGGAGTGAGTGCGGCAATTGCATGGTTGCTTGTTTACCTTTCCAATATTTGACAACTGGATTATATGTTAAGTTTTTTACTGATAGTGTAGTTAACTAGCCCATCAGTCAGAGGTTTAAGAGTGAACTCCTGCCACATCCCAAGCTAAGCTTCAGCAAATTATTATTTTTTTTCTTAGGATGATATTGTGGGAATCTGAAATTTTGTTTGGTATCATTGTATGGACAAATTAAAATAACCTTTGTTGAAGTCTTAACTTTATTTAGTACTCAGACTTCAGTGATTTCTTTCTGTGGCCAACTATTCAGCTTAATATATTAAAAGCCATTATTAGAGGTTTTTGAAAGTCCTTCTTGAGTTACAAATAGTTGGATGAATGCTTTAGAAATCAGCTTTGAATTTTTAAAAAATTTTTTGAGCAGTGAGCTTAGAAAGTGAGATAGTTCTCAGATGAAATAACCTCCTTGTTACAGAGGTTTAGATGCAGATTGTAGGATAAATAGGAATTTTTTCTGGTATTTTTACTCACCTTAAATAGAAAAATGCCAATTTATTCAAGTGGCCTGAGTTACACCTTATTAACATATGAGAGTGCATGTGGCAAATGAAAAATTATTTGATGGATTTAGTGATGTTGCATGGTGGCTTGAAACTTCCATGGCTGGTCGATATTTAACAGCATGTAGTCCCATGCTTCGAAGATTACTGTATCCTCCAAGTAGGATGAGGAAGCCAGCAGTGGCAACTTGGTGAATTGGTTTAGAAGCTTTTGCCACATTTTATTAACTCTTGAGAATTTAGCAACATGGTTGTGAAATCTGTAGTTTAGAAGCAACACACTTCTGAAACCTGAAAGTTTATAAGGAAATAAATAATTCACAGTGGACTTCTTCCTTTCTGTTGGATCAGAAGATGGAGTGTTTTTTCTCTTCTGGTTCCAAAAAGCATGAAGACAAATCCAGCTGTAATGAAGAAAAAAAAATCCAGCTGTAAGAAATATTTTCTCTTTTTAAAACTCCACTGGTAGAATAAAGATAGTGAATGCCATTAACAAGAGAGAGTGAATTAGTGGCAAGTGGGATATGGCTCCCAGGCTCTAATTGGCTCTAATTGTCTAATATGACAATTAGAGTTTGAGTAACTTGTGCTGACCTAAAATAGTTTAATTTTTCTCAGAGATAAGAACAGAAAGGCCTGAGAAAAATTCTGGATGGAAATGAAATGGCAGTATGGTTTGCTATCCATAAACATTCCTGGACACTTTCAGAATGGATTTTGCTCTATTACCTAGTCTTCAGAAGTGTGGTGGTGCAGATGTCCTTGAAATCTTTACCTAACACGCCGCAGCTGGTTTCCCACATTGGACATATTCAACACATATGGGCTGTATTGGCTGATGCCTTGCCCCCAAAGACAATTCAGCCCTTTAGAAGGACTAGGGAAGGCTGGGTATGATGGCTCAGGCCTGTAATCCTAGCACTTTAGAAGGCTGAGGATGTAGGATCACTTGAGCCCAGGGCTTCAAGACCAGCCTGGATGACATAGAGAGACCTTGTCTCTTAAAAAAGAACAACAACTATGGAAAAAAAGTGAACCATTGCATGTAGATTTTCAAATAACTAGCTATATAAGATAATTAACTTACCAATAAATGAATACCTAGTCATATAGATTTAATTGATTTTCTTATCTGACAACTTTGGTTGAGAAAGTGCAAAGGTATTATACTAAGTGCAAAAAACATTTAGAGGCTTAGTCTGTAGTTGAGCTGAAAAGTGGTTAGGGGAACATGTTTCATCCAAAGGGAGTAGAACAGTGACGGCCCTTTTGAAAGAAGGAGAATAGCTGTCCTTCCCCATCCATCCACAGTTCACAGTGGCATGCTGTGTTTATGGTGGTGACCACAGTTTTCATTGTCACCTTGCATTTTTCTCTTCTGTGCTTCATCTCCTTTCAGGTTATTGATTTAGATCTGATACCCAATGGAAATGTGTTTGTTTTTTGAGAAAACAAAAGGCAGGCCAGATTTTAATATTGCCCCTTGACTCTTCTCTACAGTATTTAGCATGATCATTATGTGCACTATTTTGACCAACTGTGTATTCATGACTTTTAGTAACCCTCCTGACTGGTCGAAGAATGTGGAGTAAGTAACTCATTTATGTGTGTGCTTGTTTGTTTTAAATATTTTTAGTCACTAAATCTTGCTTTGCCACAGTTTACCCATCAAGGAGAAAAAAAATTAGTTATTGCCTCTCTTTATTTCACAGAGAAGGCTGAAAGTACATGTGGAATTTAGGAAATAGCCCTCCCTAAAAGTCAACTCTAGAAATTACTGCCCTTCACTCCACCCTTTCCTGTGCCAGGCAGTGCCGTTGCCCTGCAGCCCCATCACCATCTTGTATCCTCAGTTCCTGGTGATACTGTTTTCTCCAATTTTAGGTTTCCCTGTTTTTTGACTTCTCTAAGGTTAAAAACAGCTCTGGGGGGCCTCCTTACCTTCTTCAAAATGATCATGTACTAGATAGCTGCAAAGTTAACTTCCTTGGAATACAGTTCAGGACCCAGTACAACATTCCAAAGGTCTTAGTTTGTGCATTTCAGTAAGTTTCATTCAAAGCATTTCTTTCTCCTCCTCACTTCCTTCCTGCTGCATTGGCTGTGCCCTTTCTGTTTTGTCTCTCTTAGTTGAAGCAACACTTCAGGCAAGTGCTAACTTAAAAGGTTCATTTAAAGTTTCTGTCCAGAAATTACCTCAAGCTATTCATTTCTTTGACAGGTACACGTTCACAGGGATTTATACATTTGAATCACTAGTGAAAATCATTGCAAGAGGTTTCTGCATAGATGGCTTTACCTTTTTACGGGACCCATGGAACTGGTTAGATTTCAGTGTCATCATGATGGCGTAAGTTCTCCCCTTACTTTATTGGTGTTCTGGGTGTGATTCTGTGTGTGGAGTTGTACTCCTGGGTCTGTTTGTAGGTGTGCATTTGTGGACACAGCTGTATGAGGAATTAATGGATAACCATGTAAGGCCCTGTGGGCTTATGTCTATGATTCTTGCTTGTGAGGGCCTCTTGTGGTTCAGGCGATGATAATGTGATTATGTGGGAGAAGGCAAGCAGAGGCTTTACAGCTGGGAGAGAAAGGAGGAGGTGATTTCCCATTGGCACTCTCTCGTATTTTATTCCTCCTTGTAACGATCACGGTTTGCACACCTATCATTACAAGGCCTCTGTGAAGACTTGAAATTTTTTAGTTGTAAACTTTCAGCTGAAAATTAGTTTCCTGGGTATGTCTTACCGTATGTAATTTAATAAGGCTGGCCAGGAGTTGCAGACTTCAGAGCACATTTTAGAGTCAAAACATGAGCCAAGGTACCCACACTGGCACTTCCTGAAGAGTTACTAACCAGAATTTCGAACTATTGCTCAAGATCAGTGTAACTCCACATTGGTATGTTACTGCTCTTGCTCATTTGTGTTGTTTTAGCAATAAAAATGTATCTTTGGGAAACTTAGCTGATGATAGAAGAGTTATAGCAGGCTTTAATATTTTTATTTCCAGGTTGGGAAAGCGTTTTGTGGTTTGAGAGTGTAGTGGGGGTGGTGTATAGGTTTTGCATGTATGCATGATGTGTAAGAAAGAGTGCATTTAAATATGTATTGATCTGAGCATCTGGTGGAAAGATGTATTTCAACTGTAAAATGTGAATAAATGATATGCATCGAATACTTGAAACTGAAACTGACTTTCTGTTATATAAAGGCAATGTCTTACTTTCTAGCATTATGAATACACATTAGTGTTCATTTAAAATTTTTAAGTGTCCTTGCTAGGCACAGAGCTTGTAATTAAAATGAGCACTTAACACAATATTTGCTCTGATCCCATGATTTGGATTTTCCTGAGCCCTGCTTTTGTATGTCACAGGCCAAAACTTCGTTTATAGACATGACTACAATCATATGATTACAACTCCTGATTAAGTCATATATACAGACATTTAGTCAATTTTGCCATTGTCAACTAGGGAGTTACTTTAATGTAGATTTGTTTTTGTGGGGCTCCTGCTGCAGAAATTTGTCTCCCTCTCTTAAGAAATTGTTCGCAAAACCTGGGAACATAAGTCTTTGATACCTCCTGGCCTTCCTTTTTACTAAAAAATGTGAATGGGCTGACAGTAAAGCCATTCTGATTGGGATCAGCACATTACTATGCTGATTAAAGGAGTAAATCCCAAAAACCTCCTTTCTAATATACTTTTGAATTCTTCTTGTCCAATTAAAAACAAATGTTCCTTAAATGTTTGTATTTTGAAGCTTTTCTTTTTCAAGGAAAAAAAATGAAACCATAGCTTGTATATAAGACCCTTTCTTCCCCCCATTCTCAAACCCTCGCCCAGTGGTACCATTACAAGTTAACTTTGGTTTGATTCTGCAGGTATATAACAGAGTTTGTAAACCTAGGCAATGTTTCAGCTCTACGCACTTTCAGGGTACTGAGGGCTTTGAAAACTATTTCGGTAATCCCAGGTAAGATGGTCCGGGGTTGGTGTTAGGTGTTGGGATAGGGCCCTGACGTGACGTATTGTACTTTTTGTTTTGTTGTGGTTTTGTTTTTTCCTTTGGTGTTTGTGTTTGTGTCTGTGTTTGTCACTTGTGTCTGTGTGTGACCTCCCTTACTACAGATATGTGACAGAGTTTGTGGACCTGGGCAATGTCTCAGCGCTGAGAACATTCAGGGTTCTCCGAGCTTTGAAAACTATCTCTGTAATTCCAGGTGAGAAAATTTGTACATAAGACTGACTTTGCCACATCTCCTCTTTCTCCTCCATTCGTTTTGTCCACCATTCTAAAGCAGCATCAGTACAGTTGATAATGGCCTTGCATTCTGCATGTTTTTCCTGGGAGACATTCTCTGGAATGGCCGTTGGGTCCTCAGGCAGTTTTCTCTGAGTGCTTGCCAGGCATGCAGCCCCCATTCCATCCATGCTATTGAAAAAGCACGTGCTTAAGAATCACTTGGATCTCACCATATTTGAAAAAATTGTCACAGAGCTAGCTGTCTCTTTGTATATAAATCATTTGCTTCCTGGCTCCATGGAATTACAGTAATTTTGACATTTGCCATCATTTCATTGCTTGTGATTTCTAGGCTTCCTATCGCATGGTTTGCTGATGGGACGTTATTCAAAGAATTATACATTTACTATTACTATATTAATGAAATTTTTTAATCACAGAAGAGATCTACCCAGTTAACTAATCCAGTATCAGAGACAAATTTAAGAGACTTGGAGTTAGTGAACTGCACTTAAATAATCACTGTCTATCATGTTCTACTGCTGTCTGTCTCACTAGAATAAGAACCAGTAGACATCTACTGTACATATTCAGGGTTCATTCTCAGACATAAATCCCAA
This sequence comes from Homo sapiens, assembly GCF_000001405.40. Taxonomy (NCBI): domain Eukaryota; kingdom Metazoa; phylum Chordata; class Mammalia; order Primates; family Hominidae; genus Homo; species Homo sapiens. Next base: position 51,689,740 of record NC_000012.12, read on the forward strand.
TGAAAGCTTATGCAGGCACTGTTAAAAAAAAATCAAAGGTAAGATAAGATACAACTAAAGGTATGGGCAACAAAAAGTATAGAAGTTTGAGGGGGAAAAACAGAATCAGTAGGTGAGTTGAGAGTTAGTTGATTGACAACCTCTTTAAAATTTGTGCCTTTTTCTTTTTGGTTCTGGTTGAGCTAGCCCAGTGGTTCTTAACCTTTTGAAGGTTTTGGATCCCTTTGAGAATCAGATGAAAGTTCACAGACCCCCCCCGAAGCCCATCCATGGACCCCAGGTTAAGATTCCTTAATTTAATTTAAATCATTGCTACTGGGTAATACTTATCTTTCTAAAGACCAGTCTTGAAATCTTAAAGGAAAGATATTTTAGTTAGTATTGTGAGCCTAAGATATACTGGCAGTAACTTGGCAGAGGTGAAGACTGTGTTGTTGCTCTTTGGACTTTAGTTGTGGTCATGGGTTTTCAAGGAAGACTCCGTAGAGACCAGGCTTTCCACAGCAGTTTCGTAGAAATAGGAATGTGGAGAAAGAACAGAGGCATCCTATTCTTATCCTATTCCTATTACGTGGCTCTTCCCCTTGTGGCTGACTCAGAAATATCTCTCTTTTTAAAATTTATTTTTATTTTCTAGAGACAGGGTCTCACTCTGTTGCCCAGGCTGGAGTGGTACGATGATGGCTCACTGCAGCCTTGACTTCCAGGGCCCAAGTGATCCTTCCTTCTCAGCCTTCCAAGTAGCTGAGACCACAGGTGCATGCCATCACACCCAGCTCATTTTTAAAAAAAAATTTTTTTGTAGAGACAGGGTCTCCCTATGTGTTGCCCAGGCTGGCTGCCAACTCCTGGGCTCAAGCAATCTTCCTGCATCAGCCTCCCAAAGTGCTGGGATTACAGGCGTGAACCACTGCATCTGGCCCAGAAATATTTCTTTTTCCCCTTTTTAACATTATCTCAATAGCAGATAGAGAGGGAAGCACAAAGATAGAATCCTGGAGAGGGCAGACTGGAATGTGGTTTACTGAGAACCTCAAAGAAGGTAAATTCATCTTCACCACTTACAAATTTGGGCCATGGAGTTGGCCAGTAAATCAGTGCCCTACCAAAGATGAATTCCTATATTTTTAGCGATGGTAGCTGACTCCCTATCAACCAAAGGCTGGGTGTCAGTTGGAGTATATACTTCTTGGCAAAAAACTACAACCTTAACTTACCAAGATTTAGTTCCTAGCCATTTTAAATCTGCTTAACAGAAAGCTCAGCTCATTCTCCAGACAGCCTCAGATAGCTCATTGATGGTGGCCTAATCTTTAGGCAAGCCCTGTCTTATTTTTTGAGGCATCTGGAATGCCACATCTTTACTTTCCTTTTTCCTATGGTGTCTCTCCTCCTCTGGCCCCTTTTAAATATGATCTTGTGTTTTCTGCTCACTTCCCTCAGCGTACTCTGCAAGGCATCTGTCTCTTTATGTTCCTGTGATCTCAAAACTTCTCTCCCAGAATTAAATTGGAAAGCTGTATTCTATTCACTAACTAGGGCAGCAGATGCTGTCTCTAGTCTAGCTCATAGCTTCTGTCTCTGTCTCTGCTATATGGTTAACTTTTGACCATGGCATTTCTGCAAGATAACTCTTGATTGGTGTCACGTTATTTATTCTTTGTATATATCCTTAATATGTCATGTTATTTATCCTTTATATATATATATATATCTGGAATATATGCAGTATCTAACACAGTGGTGCCTGGCCCATAGTAGTGCTCCATAAATGATTGTAGTAGCAGCACTTATGATTATAAAGAAACCTAAGCCAATAGAAAGGGTTTGTATCAAGATTTAGACATCAGCTTCACAGTTTGAAATAGAGTCCCAGATTCCTATTTCTAGAAGCACCCCCAATTGAGCTGGCTTTGGGAGGCTAACTGGGGTGGAAAATAACATTAAGGGATAGTAAAGCGAATAATAGATCACTGTCAGTAAATGGTATATTTGGTTCTTGAATTAAAAGTGTGGCTCTCAGTCTCAATCTTTTTGCTCCCGATTCTATGTTTTAGAGTTAGCAAGAGAAATCCAGTAATGAAGTTTCCCTCATGGGAAGTTTTCTCTCATCCCATGGGAAATTCTGAAATTGCTGATTATGCTTTCTCCCATAGAGGGCTGTTGTGCTATTCCTACCTGCCTGCTATGCAGTCTCCTTCCAAGGCGGGAGCACCAGTGTATGAGTCAGTGGATCTGGGCCATCTCTTGCTTGGAAGTATGTCATTTTGATTCTTGTGTGGTAGAGCTGGCCCATGATTCCCCCTTAGTAAAAACCATTGTTCTGTATACCAAGTTTTCTCGTGGATCACTTCAGTGGAATTGTTGTTCTCTTTGTCTTCTCCTCTTCCCAGTTTGGTTATAGACTACTGCCAAGGGTGCCAAAAATAGAATGTAAGTGAGAGCAACCACTGACCTGGAGCCTGCAAGGTCTCACAAAGCTCCCTGTGTATCAACTTCCTTTATGAGAGCTTTTCCTTTCCTAGAGCACTCACCCACCCCCAACCTGGGCTGATACTGTCCTTCCTCTTTGTGTCTTTGGTAGATATTCTGAGTATGTCAGGGCCGCCAGGACTCCTGAAGATTGGACAGTAAGGTGCATCAGTTAGCTCTGCCCTTTTCTGTAAGAAATGCTTTGCTTTACAGCTTTCTTGTAGCTCAGAAAAGACCAAACCCACCTTCTGACCCTTTTTACTTTACTTGACTTGGATACATACTATTTATGCTTTCCGTTTTGCTCCAGAGGCAGCAACTTGGAGAACAGTGTACACAAGGTCTGTGCTAAAAGGGTCGGTTATAGAGGAGACCCTTTCTAAATTTTCTTTAGTCTGGAATTTGTCAGGTTCACCTTGACATTGAAATATTCTGCCTAAAAGTTTATATGTCTTAAAACTTTGTTTTCACTTTGTATTTGTCTGAGTCCCGCATAAAGTGAACTTCTAAGTGACTCTGTCAGAAGTTTTGTCCTCTGCATGCTTTGATCATGTGCCACAGGGCTGACATGCCCAAAGAAAGGGTGGGAATCTCGAAAGAGTTTCTCAGGTTCTTCTTAGCAGCATTTAATAGTATAAGTACTAATAGAACTGGTTGAGAGAAACTCACTTGTCAGTTTCTTTTCATTTCTGTCATTTAAATGGCTCCCCCAAAGCACTGCTTATCTGCTGCTCATTAGCACTTATTTAATTTCATTCCACCTTCTTTAGAATTGTACTTTCTTGATTATTTTTCTCTTGGCAATTTTATTTCTCAGCTTTCATTTCTGTTACTTTCACTCCTAACCAGTGGGATCAGACAGGAAGCAGGGAAAATGATAGGCCTTTCTTTTTCCCATCCCAGTATTCACAAAGAAAGCATTTTCTTTAAACGTATACTTTGTGAATGTGGCAATTTCTGCTGCATAATGATGGGAGATATAAACGGTTTTAAGACTATATCCTGACTCATTGTCTCTTTTAAACTATTCTGGTTATTCTCTTGCCTTTGTATTTCTCCTTTTCCCACATTGCTTCTTAGGAAAGATAAAGTTTAACAGTGGTCCTAAGTGAAAAAACACTAAATGCTCACAGGATCCCACTGACCCATCTTTGAGAGCTAGTTTAGTTTTGGTCACACTTTGTGATGTGAATCAGGTCTCGAGTAAATAAATCTAGAGTCCCCCAATCTCTTTCAAATTACTGTTGCTCTAAAGAATCTTCAAGAGCTATCACTGTAGGCTGGGTGCAGTGGTACACACCTATAGTCCCAGCTAATCAGGAGGCTGAGGCAGAGGATCACTTGAGCCCAGGAGTTCGAGGCTGCGTTGAGCTGTGACCACACCTGTGAGTAGCCACTGCATTCCAACCTGGGCAGCATAGTGCGATCTTGTCTCTTAATGAATAAATAAATAAATATTATCATGAGGATTGCAGTTGCAGCAGGAAAAGTCAACACAGCACACTACTTTACCCCTATGCTTTGTCTGAACCCAAGCCTAACTCTGGGAACAGGGCAGTTGTTCTTTCCCTGGGTTGAGAACTGCTTGTTATTGCTACTGAGGCCTGTTTCAATATTAACTTTGTAGGGGAATTAGCTCACATTGCTTCAAACCACTTAGATTTCTCAACCTGAGCTACAAACTAGGGAATATGAATTAGCTTTATTTGTTTATTTTATTTATACATATATATTTTTTGAGACGGAGTTTCGCTGTTGTCACGCAGGCTGGAGTGCAACGGCCTGATCTCAGCTCACTGCAACCGCCACCTCCTGGGTTCAAGCGATTCTCCTGCCTCAGCCTCCTGAGTAGCTAGGATTACAAGCATGCGCCACAACGCCCAGCTAATTTTTGTATTTTTAGTAGAGATGGGGTTTCACCATGTTGGCCAGGCTGGTCTTGAACTCCTGACCTCAGGTGATCCACCCACCTTGGCCTCCCAAAGTGCTGAGATTACAAGTGTGAGCCACCGTGCCTGGCAAATTAACTTTATTTATAATCTGGCCATCCAGTGGTGGAAGACTTTGACCCCAATATGCTTGACTGATTTTTCTGGACATAGCACATAGGCAGGCATTGTTCATTTGTTCACAGGATTCCTGGGCATTGTGAAACGTGACAGGAGATTCAGAAGTACCTTTGGACATAGAGTAGAATTCTTCACCTGCTTCTTAAAATTCCTTAAATATCCAGCTTTCCCTCTTGTCACTGACCGTTCTCTACATTGAATCCAGCTGTCTTTTCTTGGCCTGTGGTAAATGTATTAACTGTTTCTACTCAGACACGTACCAAAGCGAGCTAATGTTAGCCTTTTCCAAGAGTTCTCACTGTCCAATTTGCCCCCACGTGGCTTCTGTTGCACACTCTGTTGTGTAGGAGTCTTTTGAAGAAGCATTCTGCTGTTTTGGATAATTGGTTTTCAGTCAGTATCTTGCTTGTTCTGGAATGTGATGTTGTGAGCCAATAGAATAAAAAGACAGTGTCTCTGTATAGCCAGAATGATGGCATTCTACATTCTGGCTTGTGTCAGGTCAGGAATTCTACTAACAACTTTTTGCCTTTATTGACAGGTGTTGATGGTACGAGGGAGCGCTTTCAGGCAGTCACAGCTGGCAAGACTGTAGAGCTTGAGCTTAGGAAATGAATTGATGGCATCATCTCCATAAATTGGCATTGATGTCTGCAAATATGGCCATTTGCAATTTATCCTAATGCAAGGAAGAAGAGTCTTGGCTGAGACCAATGTATAGTTCAGTGACTGTTTATTATTTAATATTGCTGTGTGATCATGTGCCTTCCTTTACCTGAAAACATGAAGCCGCATCACCTTTCTTCTTCTTTTTCCTTTGCCTTCTCATTTTCTCTTGGTGATCTGGATGGGAATCTTGGAGAGTAAACCTTTTAGATTGCTGTAGTTAGTGTTATTTAGTGATTATCCTTGCTTAATTAAGATTTATCTGACCCTCTGTGAAGTATAAGCAGCTGAATACCATTTCCAATTAAGTTTCTACTTTAAACATCTTAAAAGCTAACTCACCAATGAGATGATCTAAGCCCCAGACTTCAAAGCTGAGGCTTGAAAAAGTGTCTTTTTAGCTTCCTTGACTCATGTTTACACATTTCTTTAGCAATAACATCTGGTTTATGGAGAAGAGATGTTAAACCAGCTGATTGTGAGCATTTGGGTCCATCTCCAGGAAAGTGAATTCCATGCAGGCTTGACATATCAGATTAGTGGGGGTCATCTCTGGTTGCAAGTAGCAGGACACAGGAATAATTCAGGGAACCCAAGGGCTGGAATGCACTTGTGCTTCTGGGAAGCCAGTAGAAACCAGAATGCAGAGCCAGAAAGCCACAGGTACAAGGAAGTACTTTGTCTCCATCTCTCTTCTCTCCACGTGTCCATTTCTCTCTCTCAGCATACTAACTGCCTTTACTGCTCAGTCACATCTTAATATAATGACAGAATATGGCTACCACTTAGCTTCCAAATTTATTTATTACCATTCTCACCACATGAAAATATTACTCAACTGTCTCTTATCCTGTTCCAAATTCCTGTAGGAAAGGATCTGGATTTAGGTCAGATGTCCACCCAGACATCTGCAACTACTGAGAGAAGGTGACCTTGTACAGACATGGCTGCTGAGAGCTCATTCTTAAGGAACAGGGGATAGTTGGAGCTCATGGCCTAGAATTTCCACTTATGTGGACCTGGAACTGTCAAAGAGCTCCCAGCCCAGGAAAATCAGATTCTACTCATGCTAAAATTGTATGCTTTTCAAATTATTTACTTACAAACTCAGTGGTTTGGCTATTTTGTAGTATTATACTCTTGTTACTAATACAAAAGACAGCTTACAGCTCATTTCTCAATTCAGTAAAATAGCAATGGTAAAGTCCTTTAACAGTCATCTGGTGTTTGGAAAGGTGATTGTCTGAATCGTCTGGAGAGATGGCTGTATAGGCTTCATAAAAAAGTCCAGGAAAAAGAAACTGTACAACCATTTTTAGTGACCCATTCAAGTATTATTTTTTAAATCAGTCTATGACTTTGAAAACAGTAAACTTGCGTAATTTTAGAAGCCTAGGATTGAATTATTGATTCAATATAGGCCCACTCCAACCCAGTCAAAATATAATGAGGACTTCTCTGTTCCTTAGCAACTAAATGAAAATAAATTCCATTACACTGGAACAATTTTTATTTCTTGATGGCTGCCTTCTACTTTATTCCACCAGTACCTTCTTACCTAGCTGTGTGATTATGATACGATTTCCCAGGGCCTTAGGTTTAAAAGATAGCTTGAAATTTCAATTACTTAATCTCAATCAAAGAAACATCTCTGCCTTATTTTGAAAGACTTTTGGAGAAGATTCTTCAGCTTCTCCACTACTGCCCACTGCTGTGTAGTGGTGTGTTTATCCATGTTCTGTAGATGAGAAAATGAGACTATGAGAAGTAACCTTAAATTTGATTTGAAACACAATAGGTCAGGCCGGGTGCAGTGGCTCACACCTGTAATCCCAGCACTTTGGGAGGCCAAGGTGGGCGGACGACCTGAGGTCAGGGGTTCGAGACCAGCCTGGCCAATATAGTGAAACCCCATCTCTGCTAAAAAAAAAAAATACAAAATTTAGCCAGGGCATGGTGGCGGGCACCTGTAATCCCAGTTACTCTAGAGGCTGAGGCAGGAGAATCGCTTGAACCCAGAAGACGGAGGTTGCAGTGAGCCAAGATCGTGCCATTGCACTCCAGCCTGGACGACAGAGCGAGAATCCGACTCAAAAAAAAAAAAAAATGAAAAAGAAACACAATAGGTCATAAGTAGTGATTGAGCCAGGGCCAGAATACCAGCTTTCTGATTCCCTGTCTGATGCTCTTTCTGCACAGCCCTGTGAGGAGAAAAATAATCAGATTATAAATGCTTTGTTTCCTGGAGCCCAAGCAAGCGCTTCATAATCCCTTTGTGGCCACAGTCTCCATGGAAGGCTCACTCTAAGAAAGCACAGGACTCTGCATCCTTTATCTCTACAGTCTACCTCTTGGTTCTTTTTTCTTTAATTCCTCTTAGATCCCTTTTAAGATATTTGTGTAAGAGGAGAGAACTTTCTCATTCATTTACTCTCCCAATAAAAATGTATTAAGTGGCTGCCTTTGTGCCAGGTCTTGTGCTAGGCAGAGCATCCATTTCTATTATTGGACTCAGAAAATTCTATTGGGCTCGACTTTGAAAAGTCTAGGTGATTACTTGCAAAATACAGCAAAAGAAGAATCATGTCCATACCACCCATTAGATCACCATTATATGAGGTTAGCCCTGAGCAGTGCCATTTTCCCAATCATGTCCCTTTGAGGAGGGTACCATATGTAAAATAGTGATAACAAGTGTTGAGTGCCAGCTATGTGCCAGGAACTTTACTAGGTATTTTATATAAATTATCTATTTAAACCTAACAACAACCCAATGAGGTTGGTATTGTAAATCCATTTTTATAGATGAGTAGACTGAGGTTCAGACAATAATGGTCAACATTTGACTCATTTGCTATGTACTAAATGCTTTGTGAAGTTTTTTTTGTTTTTGTTTTTTTGTTGTTGTTGTTTTGTTTTTGAGACGGAGTCTCGCTCTGTTGACCAGGCTGGAGTGCAGTGGCGCAATCTTGGCTCACTGGAACCTCCACCCCCGCACCGGGTTCAAGTGGTTCTCCCACCTTAGCCTCCCACAGTAGCTGGGATTACAGGCGTATGCCACCACACCTGGCTAATTTTTGTATTTTTAGTAGAGATGGGGTTTCACCGTGTTGGCCAGGCTGGTCTTGAACTCCCGACCTCAGGTGATCCACCTTTCTTGGCCTCCCAAAGTGCTGGGATTACAGGGGTGACCTACTGCTCCCAGCTGCTTTGTCAGGTGTTTTATATGAACCACACTTAATCCTCACAGCAGCCCTATGCTACTCAACTATAATTTTCCCTACTTTAAAGATGAAAAAACAGATTCTAAGAGGTTAGAAGGCGTATTGCGTAAGTCAGACAAGTAAGTGGCATAACTTAGTTAAGATTAGTGATTATCTACCCAGGCACACCCTTCAAAGCCAGGATTAGGATTCCCTTGAATTTCAGTTCAGTGGTCTTGCCTTCAGAAGTGAGCAGGGATGAGATTCTTCCTGAGGCCTGTGTGTCAAGGCTTAGCGCCTGCCTCTTGCTCATCCTGGTGCATTGGCTACCAAGAGTGCTCAGTGCTTTGTTGGCCGTATCCTATGGATAGCCTGATATCTGGGCACGTAAAGACTCATTTGGACCCAAAAAGCATGAACCTACAACCATATTTTTCTGTCTCTTCTGTCACTGATCTCTCCATGTGCAATTAAGAAATACACCTTCAGTCTACATTTGAGCCAGTGTCTTACATTTAAACTTTAAATTAAAATGTTTTTAATGTTTTTGTTTTTAATTTAGGACAGAAAAAAGATCATTGTAGAAAGCAGGGAATGTATGTGATACAGAAGAAGTATATTTTTAAATGGAAAAAGACAAAGTATAAATACTGGATTAATAATAACCTTTTCAATACCTTGGCATTTCCAGAATCCTTGGGAAAATATTATTGTACCTTCTCATTTATTATTGGCTTTTAAACTTCCCAGTGGTTTTCTTTCTAACCTGGAGGCCTCCTCAATTCCTGATTTTTCCATTTGTTTCTTTGACAAATATTTACTAAATACCTACTGTGGGCTAGGCACTATAGATACAGCTGTGAACAAGGTAGATATAAAAAATCAATTATAACCATGACAAATGCTACAGAAGAAAGTATAAGATGCTACTGAAACACTAGTAACAATGGAGAGGAAGAAGAGTTGCAAAGTCAGAGAAGGCTTTCTGGAAGAATTGACGTTTAAACTGGGCCTTGAAGGATGAGTAGGATTTAGGCACAGAGGACAAGATAATATAGCAGGGAGCATTCCAGGCAGAGGGAACAGCAGGTATGAAGGCCCTATGGCAAGTAAGAGCTGGGCTCATATGGGGAACCAAAAAGTAGTCAGAGATGGGAAAGTGTTCCCAGGAAGAAAGGAGCCACATGTTGGCAGAAGAATCTTTCTTTTGCTTTTTAAGATGTATTCACTTAAAAATGGATACTTCTGGAATATTGATAATTTTGCTGACCTATTATTATTCTCATGGCATAAATATAAAGTGGCCATATTTCAAGAGTGGTGCTGTGGGGAGGAGTAGCAGCCAGTGGCTAAGAGGGAGGCTTGGGGAGGTGGGGAGGGCTTTGAGGTGCCTCTGATTCCGGGGATTCTGTCTCCTCAGGCCTGAAGACAATTGTGGGTGCCCTGATTCAGTCTGTGAAGAAACTGTCAGATGTGATGATCCTGACAGTGTTCTGCCTGAGTGTTTTTGCCTTGATCGGACTGCAGCTGTTCATGGGGAACCTTCGAAACAAGTGTGTTGTGTGGCCCATAAACTTCAACGAGAGCTATCTTGAAAATGGCACCAAAGGCTTTGATTGGGAAGAGTATATCAACAATAAAAGTAGGTGGCCTCTTCTCTGCAAGAGGAATAGGAAAAGTCTATTCCTAGTTCACATGGTCAGAAGCTACCACAGGGCTTAAAAAAGTAGTTGGAGGCCGGGCGCGGTGGCTCACTCCTATAATCCTAGCACTTTGGGAGGCTGAGGCAGGTGGATCACCTGAGATTGGGAGTTTGAGACCAGCCTGACCAACATGGAGAAACCCTCTCTCTACTAAAAATACAAAATTAGCCAGGCGTGGTGGCACATGCCTGTAATCCCAGCTACTCGGGAGGCTGAGGCAGGAGAATTGCTTGAACCCGGGAGGCGGAGGTTGCGGTGAGCCAAGATCACGCCATTGTACTCCAGCCTGGGTGGGCAACAAGAACAAAACTCCATCTCAAAAAAAAAAACAAAAAAAAAAAGAGGTAGTTGGAGCTGGAAAGGAATGGCAGTGCTACTAGAACTAGCCTTGTAAAATTATTCCTTTCCTCGACGTAGGATTGTGTTCAGAAGCTCTCAAACATCAGCCCTCTCTCTCCCTTTTTCGCATGTACCCCTAAACTTTTGCTTTGAAATTCAGGCTTAGAAGCTTGATAAAAATTATTTTTTTCCCTAGCTGAGTTACTTGGGATATTTACACATTTAGTCCAGAATGTATCTATGGAACTCAAATTTTCTTAATACTACTAAGACTATTGCAGTCGATCTAGTCTAGGGAATCAGGTGATCTTTAAGGCACTATTCAATCCTATTACAGTTGAGTAGTTTTAATCATTTTATTTGAGGAACCAAAGGAAAATTTGATGTAGTGATACTTCTTTAGACTCATGAAAAAAGTTAGAGATGTCACTATTAGTCATTCCTGAGAAAATAAAGTCAGTTTAGTAACCATAAGAAAGTGTTGCAAAGGAGATTTCGGGGACATATGCTGGAAAGGAAAACATGCCTTGTAATTTAAAATAGGACCTAGTATCTAGTGACCAATGAGCTCTAAAATATCTTTGATAAAGACACGTTGTAAGGATAGAAGAATAGAGTGGTATAAAGGGGTGTACAACTCAGAAAACTTACTTTTAGGTCCCTTTGATTCAAGTACCAGAATCTGGCATATAGATTTGAAGTATGAATGGAAGTTGGGTGTCTGTGAAAACTATATTGCATCAAGAACTTTGGGATAGCACTTTTAATTTGTAAATATATATAAGAAAATCATTAATAGGAAAGAATTCTTATCAGCTGTCACAGCTGTTGGAAAAGATTTATGAGCTAAAGTCAATAACTTTCTGCTGGGGCTAGTTAGGAACAGTGTAACCTTATTCTCTCATTCACTTAAATCTGCCTGTTCATTTCCTGCCTCTTCAAACTTTTCTAGCAAATTTCTACACAGTTCCTGGCATGCTGGAACCTTTACTCTGTGGGAACAGTTCTGATGCTGGGTAAGTAGCTCACCTAGTTTTATTCTCTTTCCTTAAAATAATGTACCTGTTATTAGTAGGGTCAAAATAGGCAATATGTTTACTTTTCTTTGTGCTCAAGTAGTAGACCTTACAATTGCATCTGACCTATCGGTTGGCATAGATTTTCTTTGTTTCACATTTGTCTATCTAAAGTTGACATTTCACTAGTAAGTGCCTGTGCTTGTAGTCTCAAGCCAAAATGAAAGAATCCAAGGATGAAATCAATAACACCAGATAGCTTACCTGCCTCTTGGGGACTCCTCTCATCCTATAGTACAATAGAGAGCAAAGATACCATCTTAGTGATGGTTATGGATCCAAGGATGACCCAAAATATGCTTGACCTGACAGCATAGAGGAGGAAAAAGAGTAGCAACGTAGTATTTGAGTCCTGATCCTGATACTTCCTGCTCTAAGACCTTTGGCAAGCCATTTAACTTACCTGAGCCTTGGTTTTTTTCATCCATAAAATGGATTTATTTAATAAGCCATGCTCTCTCTTGCTCACAGGGTTACTGTAAGGATCCACTTACATTACATGAAAATGCTTTGTAAACAGAGGGCTTTATAAATGTAGGGTGGTAGTGTCATTTTGCAGAGTATATTGGTCCTCTAAGAACTGGTGTTTTAACATGACCACAATGTCTAGAAATCCATTTAATTTCTGTATTAGACTACTAGAGATTACATTGAAAGAAATATGAGATGAATCTAAAAGCAGGAGAAATGGTGTAACTGAGGTAACTGAAATCCCCCCTTGACTTAGGTTGTCACAGTGAGTGTAAAGAAAACAAATGATTAAGAGGAACTTCTGGCCAGGCGCGGTGGCTCACGCTTGTAATCCCAGCACTTTGGGAGGCTGGGGCAGGCAGATCCCGAGGTCAGGAGTTCGAGACCAGCCAGGCCAACACAGTGAAACCCCGTCTCTACTAAAAATACAAAAATTAGCCAGACGTGGTGGCAGGTGCCTGTAATCCCAGCTACTCGGGAGGCTGAGGCAGGAGAATCGCTTGAACCCAGAAGGCAGAGGTTGCAGTGACCCGAGATCATGCCATGGCACTCTAGCCTGGGCAACAGAGCTAGACTCTGTATCAAAAAAAAAAAAAAAAAAAAAGAGGAACTTCTAGCCGTTTGTCATTTGGGATAATAGCTGAGTTAAATTTGATTGAATTGCACATTGATATGAATCTAGAACAGTACTTCTCACACTTTGGCATGCATAAGAATCACCTGGCATACCTCTTAAAAATGCAGATTCATAGATCCCATATCCAGAACTTTTAATTCCTAGTTTGGGTAAGGATGCAGGAATCTGCATTTTTAAAGACCATGCCAGGTGATTCTGACCCTAGGCTGTCCCCAGAAGTTGGTTAGCTGCTTATTTCCTTCTTCTTTTTCTTCTAATTTGTTGGCCTGGCTCTATCAATGGTTATTTATTATCTCCAAGGTCATGGAGTAAATAGAATTATGTTATTTATTATCTCCAAGGTCATGGCTGGGTGGAATTATGTTGAAAAGTCCTGAACTTCCCTTTCTTTCTTTAGGCAATGCCCAGAGGGATACCAGTGTATGAAAGCAGGAAGGAACCCCAACTATGGTTACACAAGTTTTGACACTTTTAGCTGGGCCTTCTTGGCATTATTTCGCCTTATGACCCAGGACTATTGGGAAAACTTGTATCAATTGGTGAGTAATACCTCTTTTCCTTTGGCCATAGAGTTTGCATGAGCTTATATGGGGTTGGGGACCTTCTGTGTGAGAGACATTTAGTGAAGACATTATACAAGATCTAACTGTTGTGTTTCCCACAGTCAGCTGGTTTTTGATATTAAGTGAATTCTCTCAGTTCTCATCCCTGTTTCTCGAATGCTCAGTCATGTATAGCTGTAGACTCTTACAGCCTTGACGGCCTCTTGTCTGGCCTGAGAATCTGCTATCTCTATCTACTTCCTATTGTTCATCCTCTGCAGCATATCTCCTTTTGGATATTTGGGGTTAGGGTTTGTTTTTTTTGTTTTGTTTTGTTTTGTTTTGTTTTTGAGGTAGGTACTACAGGCATGTACCACCACACCTGGCTATAATATTTCTACTTTTTGGAAAGTTGGGATTTCACTCTGTTGCCCAGGCTGGTCTTGCAACTTCTGGCCTCAAGTGATCCTCCCACTGTGGCCTCCCAAAGTGCTGGAATTACAGGCGTGAGCCACCATTAGGGCTTCTGTTTAAGAAAAATTAAACACCTCTTTGTGCAAGGCACTATATAGATGGAATTTCCATAAGGACCTTGGAGTATATCAACATTTTTGAGATTTGTAACACATTTGGATTTGTTCAAGCAGGTTGTACAGATAAAAATAAGGTCAGTAACATTCTGTTGGGCTACACTGGTGACTCTGGACAAGTCATTTAACTTTGCTGGTTGTAATGAAGTTAGTGTAAGTGATTGCTAAGTGTCTTACAGCTTAGAAATTTTATGACAGTCCATTGTTTTCTCTTTGTGTCATTTGGTGATACCAGTTACTTTGAAAATGAAAAACACGTCCCCTCAGGCATGAAGGACCCTCTTTAAGGGAAGTTTCTAGTTCAAATATCTGAGTTAATTCTTACCTTTCTGTTGCACAGCCTAGAGTTCCCTCAGGTTGAATGTTTCTCATGAAATATTTGTGATTGATGCTGTTTCTTTTTTTTTTTCTTTTTTGAGACAGAGTCTCGCTCTGTCGCCCAGGCTGGAGTGCAGAGGCGCAATCTCTGTTCACTGCAGCCTCCAAACAATTCTCCTGCCTCAGCCTCCCGAGTAGCTGGGATTACAGGCATGACGCACGCACCTGGCTAATTTTTGTATTTTTAATAGAGACGGGGTTTCACCATGTTGGTTGGCCAGGCTCGTCTTGAACTCTTGACCTCAGGTGATCCACCTGTCTTGGCCTCCCAAAGTGCTGGGATTACAGGCATGAGCCACCGTGCCTGGCCCATTTTGTGGTTAACAGAATAAAGATGAAAACTGTGTAATAGTGGGTTGCATGCACATAACCTAAAACCTAGTTTCCTTCTGCCTTTTTTTAACCTCCCCCACTATCCTTTATGTCATATTGTCATATCCTTTTAAAACTCATCCTATTGCAAAAGAATAAGGAAGGGTGTCACTCAAGATGGGGATTTCCTGGCCGGACACAGTGGCTCATGCCTGTAATCCCAGCGCTTTGGGAGGCCGAGGCAGGTGGATCACTTGAGGCCAGGAGTTCAAGACCAACCTGGCAAACCTGGTGAAACCACATCTCTACTAAAAATACAAAAATTAGCTGGGCATGGTGGCACATGCCTGTAATCCCAGCTACTCGGGAGGCTGAGGTGGGAGAATTGCTTTAACCTGGGAGGTGGAGGTTGCAGTGAGCTGAGATGATGGCACTGCACTCCAGCCTGGGTGACAGAGCAAGACTCCACCTACAAAAAAAAAAAAAAAAAAATGGGTCCGGGCGTGGTGGCTCACGCCTGTAATCCCAGCACTTTGGGAGGCCGAGGCGGGTGGATCATGAGGTCAGGAGCTCAAGACCAGCCTGGCCAACATAGTGAAACCCCGTCTCTACTAAAAATACAAAAAAATTAGCTGGGCATGGTGGTGGGCACCTGTAATCCCAGCTACTCGGGAGGCTGAGGCAGGAGAATCGCTTGAACCTGGGAGGCAGAGGTTGCAGTGAGCCAAGATCGTGCCATCACACTCCAGCCTAGGTGATAGTGTGACACTTCATCTCAAAAAAAAAATAAATAAAATAAAAAGATGGGATTTCCTTCAACTTGGACCTGATTTCAGAGACATAATTTGTCTGTTAATGCTGTTTGAGGATCTGTAGATAAATAAACTGCAGTCTTGTATTCTTTTCTTTATACTTGTCTTAGCCCAAAATCAAACTTTTTTTATGAAAGAAGTGTATGGGGAATATTTAGAAATGAGAGGGGATTTTTTTGTCACAATGGTTGGGAGATAACTACTGCCATTTAATATGAGTTGAGGATAAGTGAAACCATTCAACCATTGGGAGTACCAAGTGCCCACAATAGGAAGGAGTACTGCACAAGGAAACAGTCCTGTACAAAATGCAAATAGTGCCCTTACAGAGGAACTTGGCCCATTAGCTGTTTTCAGCCCGGTTCATTTGGTACAAGTGACTCAGAAAATGGCCTTTGTCTTTGCAGACTTTACGAGCAGCCGGGAAAACATACATGATCTTCTTCGTCTTGGTCATCTTTGTGGGTTCTTTCTATCTGGTGAACTTGATCTTGGCTGTGGTGGCCATGGCTTATGAAGAACAGAATCAGGCAACACTGGAGGAGGCAGAACAAAAAGAGGCTGAATTTAAAGCAATGTTGGAGCAACTTAAGAAGCAACAGGAAGAGGCACAGGTTGGTGATGAATTCTTTGCAATAGACCTTCCTGCCAGATCATGGTGACTAAGACCCCATCTGATTTTCACTGCAGTTGATCTTTTCTAGGCATATTTTCAAATAGAGGCCATTGGTCTGATGAAAATAACCCAAGTAACAACTGCAGATGGTTGCTCCAATTATTCCATTTGTCTTAACAGCCAAATTGTTTGTTCATATCATCTTTTGTTGAATTGCTCAACTGTTCAGTGTGCAACCGCCATGATGACTGGGAAGAAAAAAGTGACCAGGGCAGTTTATATAGTGTTTCACATAAGCATATTCTTTTTCTTGGGAGAAATGTTAAGATTCCTGTGGTCATAAAAAGTATTATTTCTAATTAAAAAGAAGATACAGGCAAAATATTAAAGTAAAACTTGAAAGACATTTGTGATCTCATCACCTTAACACTTAACTTTCTCATCCTTATCTAAATGTACATGTATTTATACATTTTTAGGACCCATAATATATAATGTTACTTAGCATTCATTTCCAGACTTGCTCAGAAGGGATCCTCTGGTACCAAGGCAGCAGTCAAGTTCTTGTCTGAAATGCTCAAGAGAATAACTCCCAAAGTTCTCACCACTGGGTTCTGCTCTGTTCACTTAGGGCTGTGTGCCAGAATACACAGAAACCCTCTAACAGTCTAGGTTTCCTGCCTCCTTTTTTCCTCCTTTCCCTTCAGTAGGGAAATGTTCTGTACTAACTGGTTGGCTTTGGGTGGCTCCAGTTAATTGCCCTGGTCTGGCTTCCCTGCTGTGGCTTCTTTCCTAGGCTGCTGCGATGGCCACTTCAGCAGGAACTGTCTCAGAAGATGCCATAGAGGAAGAAGGTGAAGAAGGAGGGGGCTCCCCTCGGAGCTCTTCTGAAATCTCTAAACTCAGCTCAAAGAGTGCAAAGGAAAGACGTAACAGGAGAAAGAAGAGGAAGCAAAAGGAACTCTCTGAAGGAGAGGAGAAAGGGGATCCCGAGAAGGTGTTTAAGTCAGAGTCAGAAGATGGCATGAGAAGGAAGGCCTTTCGGCTGCCAGACAACAGAATAGGGAGGAAATTTTCCATCATGAATCAGGTAAACTCTTCTTTTTTCTATACCTTTTTCAAAAATGTATTTTTTATTAAGGTAAAATGTGTATATGTATATTATACCATCTTTACCATTTTAAGTGTACCGTTCAGTGTTAAGCACAATTATATTCTTCTTTTTCCTCTTTCATCCCCTCTATCCCCTCTTCTTCCTGGCCTCTAGTAACCACCAGTCTACTCTCTACCTTCAAGAGATCCACTTTTTTAGCTCCCACGTATGAGTGAGAACATGCTACATTTGTCTTTCTGTGCTTGGCTTATTTCAGTGAACATAATAACCTCTGGTTCCATCTATGTTGCTGCAAATGATAGGATTTCATTCTTTTTATGGCTGAATAGTATTCCATAATGTAAATATACTGCATTTTCTTTATCCATTTATTTGTTGATGGGCACTTAGGTTGATTTCATATTTTGTCTATTGTAAATAGTACTACAATAAACATGGGAGTGCAAATATCTATTTAATATATTGACTGACTTTCTTTTAGTTATATACCCCATAATGAAATTGCTGGTGTATTATTCAGGGTTCTCTAAAGGTATAGAACTAATAGGATATATTTATATATCTATTAGTATATAAATATATAAAGGGGAGTTTATTAAGTATTAACTTACACAATCACAAGGTCCCACAGTAGGCTGTTTGCAAACTTCAGGAGCAAGGAGAGTGAGTCTGAGTCCCAAAACTGAAGAACTTGGAGTTGGATGTTCGAGGGCAGGAAGCATCCAGCATGGGGGAAAGATGTAGGCTGGGAGGCTAGGCCAGTCTCGCCTTTTTACGTTTTTCTGCCCGCTTTATTTTCACTGACAGCCGATTAAATGGTGCCCACCACATTAAGGGTGGGTCTGCCTTTCCCATCCCACTGACTTGACTGTTAATCTCCTTTGGCAACACACCTCACAAACACACCCAGGATCAATATTTTGCATCCTTCAGTCCAACCAAGTTGACATGCAGTATTAACTATCACATTGGATTATATGGTAATTCTATTTTTAGTTTTTTGAGGAGCCTCCATACTCTTCTCCAAACTCATTGTACTAACGTGCATTCCCACAACAGGTAAACTCTTTGCATTGGCTCAATAAGCCTAAAAACATCTGGTTTTTCTAATCCCACTTGATTTTTGTTTTCCCCTTTGGCCCTATGTTTTCCAGGCCCATCCCTGCATCCTCATTTCTACCTCACTATGCTCCATATTGTTCTCCTCTGGGAGGAAGTGTTACCAGCACATTTGGAACATTCTCCATTCTAATCCTGCCCTCCCTTCTCTGATGTAAAAGCCAACCCTAGACTATGTGATCACCTTTGGCAGACTTGCTTGGCAGTAAAGTATATGTCACACCAGCAATCTTCATGTTCTAAAACATCAGGGAGAGCTTTTCTCCTCTAAGCATCAGAATTTAGCTCAAACATCTCTGTTTAAGAATTGCATTTAATTATAGGGGATAATAATAATAGGAGTCATGAAACAGGACATCTTATTTGAGCATGGCAAGTTCTACTGATTAATTATTCTGGATATGTAGTATCACACTGATAAGTTAGCCTATGGTAGATTGAAAGCCTCCAGTTTTTCCCAACTTTGATAAATAAGGAAACTAAGCAAAAAAGAGAAGAGAAGACTTAGGGTAATTGTTGAGCATTCTGTTACTATAGATGTCATCACATAAATAGGTATTTTTGAATTTCAGAGAACACCACCAAAATCTAATTCTTAGGCCATTTAATTTCCCATTTTAAAGAAATGCTGGAAAGTTGGTAGGTATAGAATAGATTATAGTTACTGTTTATGGCAGTATATCCAGTGTCTTTTCTTTTTTCCCAGAGATGATTCATTTTCCCACTTGCATCTCTCACTTTCCGGTTCAGTCTTTTGCCAGTCTTATTCATTTCAGGGGATGAGCAAAATCCCTCATGTCCATCCCTTTCTTTCCATTCCTTAACCTTATCTTAGTTTTGGCTTTACAATTGTATTATTTTGTTCTACTGCGTTTGTCCACTGCAGTTTTGTTTTCTGTAGTCTTTCTCCTTCTCCTTTGTATTTTATATACTGTCAACAGATTACGTCCTAAAATGTAGTTCTCATCATTCATGTAGTAGGCATTTATGGAGTACCTACTACATATCAAGGATTGTACTAGGTCCTAGGGCTTAAAAGGTGATTAAAACATCATCCCTACCCTAGAGAGCTTACAGTACAGTGAGACAGCTGAATACACTAAAAAATTATGTAGTAGCATGTGTTATTCCATAATTGAGATATGCTGGGGGTGTTAGAAAAGCACAGATCTATCCCAACATGGAGATTCAGTAAAGATTTTCTGGGAAAGGTAAATTTCTGAACTGAAGCTTAAAGGATAGACAGGAATTAGGTAGTGTATGTGTGTGTTGGTGAGGGAACAATAAGAAAAAAGGGATGGTCTAGGTTTAGAAGGGAAGCATATTCCAGTTTAGACATCCAAAGTTTGAATTATTTGTTGGATAACCAAGTACAGATTTTTTTAGACAAGGATAGGCAAATGATAGCTCAGGGAAGAGGTCCTGAGCTGAGAGGTGGTGATTGAAACCATGAGACTTGTGGAGATTACTCAAAGAGAATGTGTCAGTTGGAAGAATAGTGAGCCAAAGGCATGACCATTGCTGTTCACTGGCATAGAGATGGAGTTCAGGAAAGAAAACGGATAAACAGTGTTAGAGAAGCTGAGAGGGCCAAGAGTTCAGTGAAGTCAGGAGAGTAGCGATGTTGGAGAAGGCAGGGCCATGATCAATGGATTGAAATTTAACAGAGATGCTTAGTGAGCTCAGAATTGAAAGTGTCCATCGGATTTGGCAATATAAAGTCATTGAGGACTTTAAAGACATGTTTTAGTCCAGAGTAAGGAAGGATGCCATGTTGAGTGGGGAGTGGAGACAATGAGTATAGACTTCTCATCCCAGCTTCTTTAAAGAGTGTGGGTGGAAATAAGCATGTTTATACTTTGTGGAAGAAAAAAAAACAGAAAAGGGAGACGTGTTAGAAAATGAAATAGAATAGATAGAAGTAGAGCACAATCTTGGAAGATACCGAAATAGATGTGGTTTTTAACAGAAAAGGGACCCTTGTTCCCTGAAACCTTAAGAAAACAGGGAAGGATGAGGTGGATAAATTTGTAGAAAAGGAGTAGGAAGTTGAGGAAGATAACCCCTGACAGTTTAGTGTTTTGATAATGTTGGGAATTAAAAATCAAGGAGTTTGAGATCAGCCTGGGCAACATAGTGAGACCTCTGTCTCTACAAAAAATGAATTAATTTTTTGATAATGTAGGGAATTAAACATCTTATTGAAGGGAATGAGAGGTTGTGTTTGGAGGTTTAAAGAAAATATTGACAGTTTAGAATAGTTTTTAAGAAGAATGGGAGAGGGAATTCCCCTAATCAGATTCATTCTATTTACTAATTAAGTCCCAACTCCTTACCCTGGAATTCATAGCATTCCCCATCCCCTTAGTACGGTTACAACCTATGTGTTCATTCTCCAGTCTCTGTGCCCCATCAAGCACCCTATACCTGAACCAGAATGAGCTACTAGATATTTCTCATATATGATGTTTGTTTTCTACCCTCTGTGGTTTGCTCAAGAAACACCCTCTCTAAAATGTCCTGTTGGCCAGCACAGTGGCTCACACCTGTAATCCCAGCACTTTGGGAGGCCAAGGTGAAAGAATCATTTGAGGCCAGGAGTTCAAGACCACCCTGGGCAACATAGAGAGACCCCTGTCTCTACCAAAAAATTGGCCAGGCGTGGTGGCCCATGCCTGTAGTCCCAGCTACTCCGGAGTCTGAGGCGGGAAGATGGCTTGAGCATGGGAGGTTGAAGCTGCAGTGAGCTGTGATCTTACCACTACACTCCTGCTTGGGCAACAGAACAAGACCCTGTCTCCAAAAAAACAAGAACAAAAACAAACCAAAAAATTAAAATTAAATAAAATGCCCTATTTTTCTGTCTTTGAATTTCTGCATCATAGTTATTCTCAATATCTTCCTTTCAAGAAACCTTCCCTGACTCTCCTGTTTTCTAGTTGGAAATCTTCATTTTATCTTTCTGTTATGTTTTATATGTACCTCTTTATTTGTTGCTTTTTACTCTACATATAGAAAGTACTCTACATATACTCTGTGTGCATATTTATTTATGCTCATATCCTCTTCTCTCTAAATAAAGTGTTAAAGTCAAGGTCTGCTTCTTAGCACATGGCTAGATATTGTTAGACAAATGAATGCAAGACTTTTAGAAATTTGATTTAACCCTTTCTGAGAGACTTCTTTATAGCCTGAAGCCATCTCTATCTCACCTTCACCTCTCCTTTCTTCTAGTTCAGCCTCTTTTGGGGAAAGTATGATAGTAGCTTTGTTGTAATTTTACCCTTGTCTTGAGAGACTCACTGAGCTATGAATACCTTAGCGCTGTTAACGCTTTGCTATTGAATGGTCTCTGATTATTCTATAGGCTTTAGTACAAAGGTACACTGATTGCTCCTTAACTCAAAAAATAAAACCAGGTTTTTGAGATGCCCTGCTGTGCATGAAAATATTCACTTAGTCTAATCTCTCCATTCAAAAAAAATAGTAAATTCCTAGAGGCCAAGGCTGACTGCCAAGAGTAGCTTAAGATGCTACAAGGGATAGTAGTATTCTTTGTCCCAGGACTTTCCTGCAGTTTCTCTGGAAGAGTGACTGAGGAAATCGAGGCCTAGAAAGAATCACTTATAACTATAACTAGTTATAGAAGGTTATATAACTAGTAAGTGTTCAAGCCAAGATTTGAACCCAGGTTCATCCAACTCCAGAGCCTGTGCTCCTAACCACCCCTTCTTTATTCCTGCACACGTACATGATCATCTCTTCTGTTAGTTTAACAATGAATGTGGCTTCAGTTTTCTCACAACATAGTTCAGTTATGTGTCAGTTTCTTTTATTTCCATAGCTTCTGAGTTCTTTTTTTTTTTTTTAGAAATTTTGAGATTTTTTTCATTTGAAGGTAATCGTAATGCTATTAAATTCACAAATGCTAATTTAAATATTCAATCCTATTTATCTAAAACACACATTGCAAACACACAAATTATCTATTCTCTCCACGTCAGTACCCATTCATATAGTGGTTTGGAAATGGGGAGAATAGATTCCCCTTAAACTGCAAGTCAGCAGGTGTTTCTTTACAGTTAACTTTAGCAAAATTCATACAAAATAGTAATTAACAATGATCTTTACTTGTTAACTCACAAGGAAACACCTTCAAAACTGCATTTTGTTAAAGTTTCTGTACTAAAATGTAGAAAAACTGAACTACATAAATATTGAAAAGTTAAAAATTCCTTAATTTTTAATTCCTGGTACCACTACCACAATTTACAGGGCAATATACCTGATGTAATGAAAAGAAAAAGAAAAAGACAAGGCTACAACAGATAAAAAACCTCAGGAATGTACATCTAATTGACACTACATTGCATTAATCAATAGCTGCACTTCCTGCAAACTGTGGCTATGGTAGTCCTGAACAAGAAGGGTTTCCTGTTTAAGCTGCAGTAACTTTTCTGACTATGGATCATCCTTCCTTCTGTGGCAGATTTTTACAGTTCCTCTAATGCATTTGGGACGACTGTCTCAAAGTAACCTGCAGCTTTCCTGACAGCTCCTCGCGCTCTCTCCTGCTGAGAACTGTAGCCCTTTTCTGCTGTTTTTAGAACCTTCTGCTACTATATCCACCACTTCCACCACTAGATGCATAACCACCACCATAGGGACTGCCCGAGCTTCTTCCACCAAAACTTCCCCCTTTCATGGGTCCATAATTTGATTGCTGTTGTCCACTATAATTTCTAAAATCATTATAGTTCCCACCACCACCATAGTTACCACCGCCAAAATTTCCTCCTTCATTGTAACCATCATATCCTCCACCACCGCTACCATATCCACCACACCACCTTGGTTTCCATATCCTGGTCCACCACCACCATAGCCCCCTCTACTACTATAACCAGGACCACCAGCATAGTTGCCACCGTCACTTCCAAATCCATTATATCCACCATCACCTCCTCCATAACTACCTCTGCTGCCACCACCTCCACCACCATAGCCTCCTCTTCCACCAAAGTTTCCACCACGGCCAAAATTACCTCCACCACCTCCAAAGCTTCCTCCGCAACCCATAAAATTGCCAGATCCACCTCCACGACCTGTCCGTGATCCAGCGGACTGCATCTCTTGTTTAGAAAGGGCCTTTTTCACTTCACAATTATGCCCATTAATAGTGTGGTATTTCTGAACAACAATTTTATCAACTGTATCATGATCATCAAAAGTTACAAAAGCAGATCCTCTCTTTTTTCCACTCTGCCTCTCTTGCATAACTTCTATGGTTTCAATCTTGCCATACTTTTCAAAGTAGTCTCTCAAATTATATTCCTTTGTATCTTCTGTAATACCACCAACAAAAATTTTCTTCACTGTTAGATGGGCACCAGGCTTCACAGAATCCTCTCTAGAAACAGCTCTCTTTGGTTCCACTACATGCCCATCAACCTTGTGTGGTCAAGCACACATTGCTGCATCCACCTCTTCAACACAAGAATAAGTCACAAAACCAAAGCCCCTGGACCATTTTGTTTGGGGGTCTCTCATTACCACACAATCTGTGAGTGTGCCCCATTTCTCAAAATGTCCTCTTAAACTATCATCTGTAGTTTCAAAGTTCAGACTACCAATAAACAGTTTTCTCAACTGCTCTGGTTCCTTTGGGTCATGGCCCTCTTCCTGCCGGTGGCAATGTCGACGGCTGGAGTCGGACTGGGGGCGACCAGGCGGTGGTTTTACCTCCATTTTGAGCCTGAGTTCTTCTTGAGACATCTCCTGCTCACTCATCTCCGACCTATTTCTCTATATTTTTAAGGCTCAGGGCAGTTTATAAATATTAAGTTGAGCCTATTTTTTCAAAGTATTTTAATTGCTCTATTGCAGCAGTTTTCAAACTTTCTGGTCTTAGGACCCCTTTATCTTCTTAAAAAATTTTGAGGACCTAAAAACCTTTCTAAAATGTGCTTTTAATTTCTCATATTAGAAATTATAATTAAGAAAATTAAAAAATATTTACTAATTTTAAAAATATAGTAATGATAAACCCATTACATGATTAACACAAATTATATATTTTTAAGAAAAATGAACTGTTTTCCAAAACCAAAAAAAAGGGTTTTTTTTTTTGTATTACATTTCTGCAAATCTCTTTAATCTGTAATGTAATAGAAAACAGTTGAAATATCATACTGGCTTATGCATGCATTCAGTTTGTTGCAGTATGATTTTCTTTGGTTAAGGTATTTGAAGAAAATCAAGTTTCATACAGATATGTAGTGGAAAAGGGAGGAATATTTTAATAACCTTTTCAGATAACTGTGAATGTTCCTCCTTGATGCTGTTCCAAAACTTAACAGTGACAATTATTTAAACAGTTAGTTGTGACGTGGAAACTATAACAGTAACTTTGTACTCTGTTATAGTAAAATCCCTTGCTCCATTTTGTGCCATAGATCTTTAACCTGTGAATGATTTCTAGCATCATGCATTGATCATTTGAGAAATTTCCTGAGTTTATGCAAATCTTCCAAATACACACAAGATTTTAAAACTATATTTATTATTACCACCAATCTCATCATAAAACTATTTAAATATTATGAAACTGTCAGGCTCACAGTGTCACTGTGTGCTTATGAGAAGATGAGTGATAAAAGCACATATCATCTCAGTATTATTAGGAAAGAATTTTGACCTCATGAGCCTTCCTTAAAAGGTCTCAGGGACCTCCGGGGGTCTCCAGACCACACTTTAAGAACCAGTGTTATACTAGAAAGAAAAAGTGAAATATGGCATGGAAATAGAACATGTAAAATCACTCCTTCATCACATTCCAAACATCCCAGTCATGTAAGCCTCATCTTGACAGACAATTTACGTGTATCCCCTGAGATCCCTAGAGATAATTTTTCTGTGGAATGCAAAAGTTACACTCTCAAATCCAGAACATCCCAGAGCCATTCTCCCGAGCAAACATCTAAACCTAAGTTGGAATTCATAGTTTAACTGTGACTGCCTGAAAAGGACTAAAAGCTCCTGGTTGGTTGACAGGAAGATTTTGAAAAGAGGGAGTAAGGCCTACTCATCTCATAAACTACACAGGATCCCAGGATTTAATAGAGCCATGGATCCTGAGTCATCACTGAAAACCTCTAGTCTAGGAAAATTGAGATTGAGGAAGGGTTGGGGTTTCAGCCCTCAGGATGTAGCTCCTTAGGGAATGCCCTAAATCAGGATTGGATCCTGGGTACAAGGAGAAATGGAGCAAGTCACCTTTACCCCTTTCACATTTGTCCATTGCAGACTACTCTTTTGCAAAGAGTGAAACAAGGAATTAGAAAATAATAGAACAGTTTTTCCTCATATTATGTATTATCTTAGGATCCTGATTTTTAAGTGTTCATAGGTTCACTGAATTGGTCATAACCTTCATCACTGTCTTATCATCCTTATCACTATCCTTAAGGTTAAGAATAGTCTGATGTATTAGATCTCATGTAGTATATGATATTTCCTCCTGGCCTCCAAGTTTCAAGAGGGCAGGGACCATGTCATATGTCTCGTTCACCACTGTATCCACACCACTTAGCACACAATAGGTATTTGGTTAAATAAAATTAAATTTTGGCCAGGCACAGTGGCTCACGCCTGTAATCCTGGCACTTTGGGAGGCTGAGGTGGGCAGATCACTTGAGGCTGAGGCAGGAGAATAGCTTGAACCTGGGAGGCGGAAGTTTCAGCAAGCCAAGATTGCACCACTGCACTTCAGCCTGGGTGACAGAGCAAGTCTCTGTCTCAAAAAAAAAAAAAAAAAAAAAAAAATTATATAAAATTAAATTTTATTGTAAAATGCATAAAACCTCTTTCCTAATGTGAAGGCCTAATGTACCAGGTAGTATCAGCACCCAGCATTGACCTAAGGCAAAATTATGAATTCAGTGTAGTTTAGCTTGCTGTGAGAAGTGAAGCAGTGACCCCGTGCAGGTGTGGAACAACCCTAAAATGGGTGGCTAAGCTGCAGTACCTAATCTAAGTGCATGTTAATTAAGTTAAACATTGTAGTTACTATGTGCAAAGCACTCTGGGAGATATAAGGATGAATCAGTCAATGTGCCCTTAAGGAGTTTGTAGTTGGTTAAAAATGAGAGGTAGAACATGTATATAAAGAACTGTTGTAAAAAGTAGAGCGTAGGCTGGATACAGTGACTCACGCCTATAATCTCAGCACTTTGGGAGGCCAAGGCGGGAGGATTGCTTTAGCCCAGGAATTTGAGACCAGCCTGGGCAACATGGCGAAACCCTGTATCTACAAAAAATATAAAAATTAGCCAGGCGTGGTATGGCACATACTGTGTGGTGTGGCACACACCTGTAGTTCCAGCTACTTGGGAGGCTGAGGTGAGAGGATCACTTGAGCCCAGGAGGTTGAGGCTGCAGTGAGTGATTGCACTATTGCACTCCAGCCCAGGCAACAGAGTGAGACCCTGTCTTGAAGAAAACAATAAAAAATAAAGTAGAGCATAAATATTCTGAAAGGGGGTTTGGTGCTATGGAAAGATTAAGGAAGTTAGTAGAGGAAGAAGCAGAAGGGCTGGATCATGGAGAACTGAGAGGATTTCCCCAGCTGAAAATGGAGCGTGCACTGGAAACAGAGGAAATAAAGACCTGCGGTAGGGTGGCTGCATGGTAGGGTGTATGAGAAAACAGTGAAAGATGAAGTAGAATAAGTAAATTAGAGTCAAAGCTGGGAGGGTCTTGAATGCCATTTTTATGACGGTGTGATAGTGTTAAAGGTGATTGTGGCATTTAGCAAAGGGGCCATGAGTACCTGAGTCCTGTGTTTTCCTGGCCATATTTCTCCGCAGTGACGCCCTCAAGAGAGATATATGTGCCCAAGGCACCGGTTATTAACACCTGGGCTTGTACGCTGAACCTCAGTGTTCTATGTTACGCTTGCCTTCAAACTTGTTTTTCATGTACAGATCAACCAGTCCAAAGCCCACATTCCCAACTACCTCCTTTATCTAACTCACTCACTAAGCCAATATTTCCCTTCCCTAAATCACCCCATAGCCAGATACCAGACAAGTAGTTACCACCTCTGTAGGCCAGAGCCTTCCAAAATTATTCAAACTCCCCAATCCTAAACTTGCTCAGACTTACCTATCCTGCCTCATCCCTTCCTTCCTGAGGAAACCACAGGCTCAGGCTAAACTTTCCCCCTCACTCCTTCTGCTTCCTGACCAACACTTATATTTCCCCGTATGGCCCTCCATGGCATGGCAAGCCCACTCCTCTTGGGAACGGAAGTAACGAACTCTTCTTTCAAAGGCAGTTGCCTCTGTGTCTGTCACCTTACCGTGATCTGATTAAAACAAAATCCCAAGTACATCTTAAGACACCATCTTCTGGCCAGCCACATTGTTTAGAGCAGTGTTTCTCAAGTTACCTGTGGTAAAGGACTCATTTCTATTTTTCCCAATTCTTCATGAACTGATACTATTGTAAAATACAGTAACAATCAATTTCTAGAAAAATCATCACATTCTTAGATGTTATGACTGTGTCTAATTGTTACAAAAGTTTCTAAATGCCCCTCTCAGTTTCCTTACTTGTCTCATTGCAGACCAATAACAAGTCATGTACTAGCTGCCTGTGAATCACACCGAGCAGAGCTGGTTCAGGGGAATTAATCAGTGATTCAAAGGGGGTGCCCAAACATACATGTAAGAAGAATAGTAAGCTTACCAATCCAGCAACATGGAAGAAGGACGTGCAAGGGCTTCCTCTGTTATGTGCTCCTTTACCACACAGCGTATGTGTCCTTTTAACACACAGTGACAACATCTACTCATAAATGAGGCTCAGTCAACATTCTGGAATCTAACCAATGTAGCTCCTTCTCTCTGGTACAAGGATGAGGCAGAAGAACAAAATAAGTCAGGGTCATCCTGTTTTCTAGAGACCTATATATAGCATATGGCATGTATCTAACAATGACATTTATATATAATTATCTATGATTAGTGCTTTTCTTGATGTGGTCCCCAGTGATCAAATTCATTTATTGTCTTAGAAGTTCGTGGGTTGCTTAAAGCCAAAGCAGGAAAAGCCTACATAACACGTGAAAGATACAGGTGAGAGCATGGAATAATATGCAACTAGAATTATCCAAAGAAAATATACCAATCTGGGGACAGGGGCTTTGTACATTACAAGAAGAGACAGGATCTAAAGTATAGAACCAGAAACGGAATTGTAGCCAACAAAAAGATAAGGGCAGAAATGTTAAAGAGGAGCCCCATAGCCCTTCCAGTGTTAACATCAAAAGTATTAACAGGCTGAGCGCAGTGCCTCACTCCTGTAATCCCAGGACTTTGGGAGACCAAGGCAGGAGGATCACTTGAACCCAGGAGTTCAAGATCAGCCTGGGCAACATACAGACCCCATCTCTATTAAAAAAAATTTTTTTTTAATTAGCCAGGCATGGTGGCACATGCCTGTAGTCCTAGCTACTTGGAAGGCTGAGGCAGGAGGATGCCTTGAGCCCAGGGGTTTGAGGCATATTTCTGTTTTACATATTTCTGTTATGAGTGAAACAGAATTATAACTGGGGATGTTGAGATGTTTTAATTTCAGGAGATTGTTGCCCTTGCAATACATACTAATACATTTATTAACAGTGAAAAATGGGATCATGCTTTTTCAAATGAAAATAAATCTAATTTAGCCAATTGCTCTGACATTGAGGACTGACTGCTCATTAGATCATGTGATTGAACATTTTCAGAAATGAGCTAAATCTGTGACTTTAAGGTAGATTTTGATGAAAATATATTTAAATCATGTGATAAGATAAAATCATATTAAAAATAAATGTTGGCAATGATGGAAAGACATTAATAATATTTTGATCATTTCAACCATCTATTGGGTTAAACGAGCTTCCTTTAAGTACAAGAGTAACTCATGTGAGAATAACCCACATAATTATTAGTAAATAATACAGCTTTTTGATGTCCTCAGAAATCAAGAAAGGGAATGTGTGTAGGTAACAAATCTTTTGGCAAATTGAGTTTTCAGTTCTTTGCTTTCAATAAAATTGGAAAAAGACTTAATTGCCAGCCGATAGATTATTACAATAAATTTTGCTGATAGTTTGCTATATATTTTTGGTATATAACTTGGAAGGAGTCCAAAGAATTGAGTGACATTACTATAACAAAGTTCTTCCATTCCAAGATAATATTTATGTGAATAAGGTTTTAGCACATAAAATTGATTATTAGAAAGGTGGGGAGGATTGATGTTGAGCCATGTCTCATTCTAATAATAAGTAATACTACCAACAAATATTTAAACACCAATTGAAAAGAAAATCTCATCCATCTTATTAAGAAATGCATTTTAATACAATTTTCTTTCTTAAGTCTATTACCTATAAAATGTGTAATATATTTCTATAGCTTGATCAATTGTATTCATAAGAATATTAATAAAAACTCAATCCAGGAGAATTATTTAAATGTCTTAAAGACTCATGCTCATAGAAAATTTTTAATAGTAAGTACAGTTTATTTATAATTTTTTGTATAATTTGTTGGAATCATAGCCAACAAAAAGATAAGGGCAGAAATGTTAAAGAGGAGCCCCATGGCCCTTCCAGTGTTAACATCAAAAGTGTTAACAGGCTGGGCGTGGTGCCTCCCTCCTGTAATCCCAGCACTTTGGGAGGCCAAGGCAGGAGGATCACTTGAACCCAGGAGTTCGAGATCAGCCTGGGCAACATAGAGAAGTAAATTCAGGGGTGAGCAGTAAAATACATTAAAACATAAAAGTGTACATTCAAATAAAATTCCCTAGGGAATATGGAAAGGAAGCATGAAATTGAAGGAGAAGAATAAATAAGAAAAAATTTATGCTAAAGAATTCTTGGCCGGGCGCGGTGGCTCACGCCTGTAATCCCAGCACTTTGGGAGGCCGAGGCGGGCGGATCACGAGGTCAGGAGATCGAGACCATCCTGGCTAACACGGTGAAACCCCGTCTCTACTAAAAATACAAAAAATTAGCCGGGCGTGGTAGCGGGCGCCTGTAGTCCCAGCTACTCGGGAGGCTGAGGCAGGAGAATGGCGTGAACCTGGCAGGCGGAGCTTGCAGTGAGCCGAGATCGCGCCACTGCACTCCAGCCTGGGCGACAGAGCGAGACTCCGTCTCAAAAAAAAAAAAAAAAAAAAGAATTCTTTAAGTAAATTTCTTTACCACAAACTTTACGGTAAACAAGAGTTTTATTTAAAAACATCAATGCCGGATATTATATAACTTACAGCTGTTTGAGAATTATATACTTTACAACTATGTAAACTTTTGATGAAAAAAATATGTTTAAAATGGGGTGGATGGAATACTATGCAGCCATAAAAAGGATGAGTTCACGTCCTTTGTAGGGACATGGATGAGGCTGGAAACCATCATTCTGAGCAAACTATCACAAGGACAGAAAACCAAATACTGCATATTCTCACTGATAGGTGGAAATTGAACAATGAGAACACTTGGACACAGGTTGGGGAACAACACATACTGGGGCCTGACATAGGGTTGGGGGAGGGGGGAGGGAGAGCATTAGGAGAAATAACTAATGTAAATGATGAGTTAATGGGTGCAGCACACCAACATGGCACATGTATACATATGTAACAAACCTGCACATTATGCACATGTACCCTAGAACTTAAAGTATAATAATAATAAAAGAAAAGGAAAAGTAAATAAATACATAAATAAAATGGGGTGGGAGGGGGCATATATAATTTTCAACTGAACTAAAAGGCTTGAAGGCCACTGTTGGAGTAGTAGTTGACCAGGACATGTACTTGGAGAGAATGGCAAATGATACAGGCACGTTTTAAATTCTGTCTTTTTGGCCAGGAGCGGTGGCTTATGCCTGTAATCCCAGCACTTTGGGAGGCCGAGGCGGGTGGATCACCTGAGGTCAGGAGTTTGAGACCAGCCTGGCCAACATGGCGAAACCCTGTCTGTACTAAAAATACAAAAATTAGCCAGGGCGTGGTGGTGGATGCCTGTAATCCCAGCTACTCAGGAGGCTGAGGCAGGAGAAGCTCTTGAACCCAGGAGCTGGAGGTTGCAGTGAGCCAAGATAGCGCCACCACACTCCAGCCTGGGCCACAAGAGCGAAACTCCATCTCAAAAAAAAAAAAATTATATATATATATATATATATATATAATATTTATTTATTGTTATATATATAATATTTATTTATTGTTATATATATGATAATAAATAAATTCTTTTTGCCCAGTGTGGCGTAGTCTAACTGAAGTTAAAGACACCTCCTCTGAGCCCATGGTAAAAAGAAATACACAGCCATGTGCTTTACCCTGGATAAGTTGTGTATAATGTGAGATAAAAGCATCTTAGGGATGCGTGCAAGAACAGTGGGTAGACGTTTTGAATCCGTAACTGGTCAAGCACAGGTGAGTAACAATGGGTGATGAACTGTAGCAGTCAACATGCAGAAGTGCTTTCTGGAAACACTTGTGTTCTGATCACAGGAGTGCGAGGGTGGGGCCGGCTGGGAACCTAACCACTTTGCTCAGTATAAAGGTCCACACTCCCGTCTCATTTCCCCGTCCCTCTCTCTTTCCCTGTCTGCCCCTGCAGTCACTGCTCAGCATCCCAGGCTCGCCCTTCCTCTCCCGCCACAACAGCAAGAGCAGCATCTTCAGTTTCAGGGGACCTGGGCGGTTCCGAGACCCGGGCTCCGAGAATGAGTTCGCGGATGACGAGCACAGCACGGTGGAGGAGAGCGAGGGCCGCCGGGACTCCCTCTTCATCCCCATCCGGGCCCGCGAGCGCCGGAGCAGCTACAGCGGCTACAGCGGCTACAGCCAGGGCAGCCGCTCCTCGCGCATCTTCCCCAGCCTGCGGCGCAGCGTGAAGCGCAACAGCACGGTGGACTGCAACGGCGTGGTGTCCCTCATCGGCGGCCCCGGCTCCCACATCGGCGGGCGTCTCCTGCCAGAGGTGAAAATTGATAAGGCAGCTACCGATGACAGTGTAAGGAAGAACACAAATAGATCGAGGCTAGGCATGGCAGTCTCCCCCGCTCCTTCCCCTCCTCTTTCCCTGCTCTGCCCATCCCACTTGGTCTGTCTGGACCCCACTCCTGTTAACACCCCAGCCATTTCTGTGTTCTTCCTGGCCTATTTCTATTTCTCTCTTCAGTTTTCCCCCTATTACTCACCCTGTCTTCTCCTTTCCTTTATTCTTTGCTCCATTTTCCCCATCTTCCCTCCTTGTTTCTGACATTCCTTCTCCCCTATCAACTCCTTCCTTTATTTTACCGTTTTCTTTCTCTCCATCTTTATCTTTGCTAGTCTGTGTGCTTGTGTTTCCCTCCTCCCACCTGCTTTGACTGAATGCCTCTGGCCCCGGAGCCTGCCCGGATGGAATGAGAATGCCATGGAGCCACCACCAATGACCAAGTCTGAACCGGTTTGGAACTACCATTGCTTCTCTTCCCCCACGTCTTCTACCCTCCTAGGGAAACAGCTTGGAATTTAGAGATCTTATCCTTTAAATTTCAAAAAAGTAATTGAGTTTTGAATAATGTTCTAAGTCTCCTCTGCAAGAATGAGATGTGCTTTTTCTAAAGAGGAATGCTCATGTGATGTCAGGGTGGGAGGTGTGTGCCAGCAGAGCCAGGCAAGGAGAAGTTAAAGAGGCCAATAGGAAACTGGACCCAGACTTTTAAAAGGGATTGAAATTGAAATAAATCAAAGGAGGAAAAAGTGGGAGGTTGGGGCAAGAACACATTTTATATGGGGGAGGAAGGAAAGGGGAAGCAAAAGATGAATTTTAAATGTAATCAAATGTCAGGCTCTGGAGGAGTTGCATATAATAGCTTCACAAAATCAGTTATCTAGAGGTTTGGATAATGGTGCCCCTCTTTGGGAAGAGCCATCTCCTAACATTTCTTTAAATTCTAAGCTGTTTGTATCTTTTTTATTTTAAAATTCTTATAACCTTAGTGATCCTAATCCTTCATACCTCTAATTTCTAACTTTCCTCAGTCCCTCTTCAGCTGGTATAAACTCCTTGAGATAGCATGTTAGTCTATTTCTTTCTAACACTTCAGTTTCTTCTAACACAGCATGAAGATAGCCAATCCTTTAATTAGCATGATGCATGTATGGAGGAAAACTGGACAATCATGGATAAAGTTTATTGAATGTATAGATAAAATATCAAAAGGCAATTTGTATGTGTTTGGGATTGTCTAGTCTCGCCCTTCCCTTTTATTTAAAAGCAAAATACAGCCGGGCACAGTGGCTCGCACCTGTAATCCCAGCACTTTGGGAGGCCAAGGAAAGAGGATCACATGAAACCAGGAGTTGGAGACCAGCTTGGCAACACAGTGAGACCCTGTTTGTACAAAAAATAAAAATAAGAAACATTAGCCAGGCATGGTGGCATGTGCCTCTATAGTCCCAGCTACTTGGGATGCTGAGGCAGGGGGATCACATGAGCCCAAGAGTTTAAGGCTACAATGAGCTATGATCACTACATTTCAGCCTGAGTGACAGAGTGAGACTCTATCAAAAATAAAATAAAGCAAAAATACTCTCCCCCTTATGTTTGTATAGCTTTTTATAAGCTACAAATTACTCTTACATGCATTATTTAATTTGTCCTAAATAAAAATTCTGGGCTGGGAGTGGTGGCTCACGCCTGTAATCCCAGCACCTTGGGAGGCCAAGGCAGGTGGATTGCTTGAGGCCAGGAGTTCGAGACAAGCCTGGCCAACATGGTTTGAAACCCATCTCTACTACAAATACAAAAGATTAGCCGGATGTGGGAGGCTGAGGCAGGAGAATCGCTTGAACCTGGGACAGGGAGGTTGCAGTGAGCCAAGATTGCGCCACTGCACTCCAGCCTGGGCAACAGAGCGAGACTCCATCTTAAAAAAAAAAAAATCTGTAAGGGTGACTAAGTGAAGATTAATATTTCTGTTTTTGAGATGGGGAGAAGGTTCAGAGAATTTGTGTTCCTTTGGGTCTTACAGCTCATCACTGATAGAGCCAGAATCTCAGACCCCTCAGAGACCCTAATCTTCCGTGTGCCAGTTAATTTTAATTTGTTCTCTGCCTAGACACTTGGCCGTTGCTCTTCTCAAGACCTACTTATTTAAGATCAGCAACAGTAAGAACAATAATAATCCTCTGGTTTCTCTTTAGATTGTATAAATCTTTCACTTTTTACAACAATAATAAACAGTGGGCCGGGCACGGTGGCTCATGCCTATAATCCCAGCACTTTAGGAGGCTGAGGTGGGCAGATCACCTGAGGTCTGGAGTTTGAGACCAGGCTGGCCAACATGGCAAAACCTCCATCTCTACTAAAAATACAAAAATTAGCCAGGCATGGTGGTATGCGCCTATAATCTCGGCTACTTGGGAAGCCAAGGCACGAGAATCACTTGAACCTGGGAGGCGGAGGCTGTAATGAGCCAAGATTGCGCCATTGCACTCCAGCCTAGGCAAGAAGAGCAACACTCTTGTCTCAAAAAAGAAAAAACAAAACAAAACAAAACAAAAACAGTGGCTCCAGATAGTTGGCCAAAATAAATGTTATAGATACTTATCTTTACATTTAATTTTTATTTGACTTTCACTAATTCTGCGAATAGGGATAAATTTTGGGCTCCACAGTTAGATAATTATGTTCTCCGAAAAAACAAGAGATAATATCAATGGCAAATGAAGGATGGATCAACATGGGCAGTAGAGTTGGGGCAATTCAAATGTTTAGAACCAAATTGAATTTTGATATACTGGCAGTTTTTAAAAATATTTAAGCCAAATAATGCAGCTTGCCTTTTCTCTGAATAAAAAGGTATTAGAGAAGGTATTCAGAAAGAAGGAGCTTAAACTTCAGCTGAAGAGAGATGATCAGGTTTAGGGGTTTTGTTTTTGTTTTTTTAGCACCTTCTGTTACACTGTGTGGGAGAAAAAAATTGAGAGTCAGTTAAGCAGATGGCTGTGGAATGTAAGGCTTTCTGTACTGCTTTACACTGTGGTCTATAAAGGTCTGCATTTGGGTTTTGGGGGATCTACATACCCAGCACCCTATAAACACTTAGGAGGTTCTCTGTAGTGACCTCAAGTGAGGATGGTGACAGACTTGAGAATTCCCAAAGTCAGGAGGTCACAGTGGCAGGAAGATGAGGTAGGCAAGACCATATCATTCCCAAGGGCCTCATAACTAGGAAAAACTATTTTTATTTATGTATTTATTTATGTTATTAGAAGCCATAAAGAAACTGTTATGGCTAGTTGTTAACGGTGTGGGAAAATGTCTAAGTTACATTAATAGGCCCAAAGGAAGAAAACAGCAAAACAAGATGCATATAGTTTGTGTGGTATGATACCAAATTATATAAAGACAAACTACATAGAGAAAGAAGATGACCAGCCAATAGTTAACAATAGTTGCCTTTGAGAGAAGAAATTATGGACTTTTTTCTTCCTTATACTTTTCTGTTCTTTCTGGTTTTCTGTAGTGAGCATAATGATTATAGCCATCATATATTGAGTTCTTATTATACTATGCTGAGCATTTTATATACATTATCTCATTTTATTCTTATAATCACTCTATTCAGTAGGTGGTTTTATCCTATTAGCAGATGAGACTCAGAGCGCTGTAGTGACTTGGGAATTGGACCTTAAACCATGGTCTTTCTGATACCAAAAGGAACTTCCTGACAGCTTAAATATTAGCTCCTTTAGAAAGTGGGAAAAACAGTCACTTATCTTAGAAGGACACAGTATATTAAGACTTTTATATTATTCAGGATTATAAATTTAATTATGAATATTAAGAGATTCTAATTGCTTAATATCTCTTAAATTAACTAGAAGCCCAAGACAGATGAAAATTAATACCTCTTGGGGCTAGGATTTAGTGATTGTTACTAGCAAACATTTTGGATGCATCCACAGCCAAGGATTAACCTGAGCAATTAGAATGCATCCAGTTGTGTATACTCACGCTTCACAGAGTGGCATAGGAGCCACTGATAGTGCACGCACTGGTCTCACAC
This sequence comes from Homo sapiens, assembly GCF_000001405.40. Taxonomy (NCBI): domain Eukaryota; kingdom Metazoa; phylum Chordata; class Mammalia; order Primates; family Hominidae; genus Homo; species Homo sapiens. The sequence goes on from NC_000012.12 coordinate 51,725,990, forward strand.
AATATTCCTGCTTAGGCTATGCCAAATCTATATTTTTTCCTTCAGGCTTAAATTAAGAAATAGGCTGTAAGAAAAAAAGACATTCAGACATCACTTCATTAGTCTCATCAAAAATTATTTTATATCTTCATTAGTTATTCAGTTGTGATTGAGTGTTGAGATTTTTTGATCATTTTGGAATTTCACCTTTGCTTTTTGCTGAAGCAGAAGATAAAGGGACTTTTTCCTGCGTCTCCATCTCTGAGCTGGGAAAGTAGGTGAGAATCATTTCTCTTCACTCATTGCCACTAGCAATCCAGAAATCACATGCAATTGAGAAATCATGTTGAGGCAGCTTGCAAATGTATAAGCATTATCTCATTTAATGCTTACAGCCTGGACCTTATGAAACAGATACTGCTATTGGCTGCATCTGACTGAAGAGGAAGCCAAGGCTTAGAGGAATAAAGTAACTTGTCCAAGATGGCACAGTAAGCAGTAGAGTTAGGACTGAATCCAAGCAATCTAACTCCTAAGCTTTTACCATTAACCATTACAATATACTAACTCTGAAGCCCAAGTTCTGTATTTGTGCATATGATCCTGGGAAATTCTCTAAGCCATTTTCTTCTCTGTAAAAAGAGATAAAAGGACCTCTGTTATAGGGCTATTGTGAAGATAAACTATAACATATATATGTTATTCATATATAATATGCTTCATATATAAAGTGTGAAGCATATTATGTGGCCCATTCTTGCTGTTCAGAAAGCCAATTTTCATTCCTTTTCTTACACATTTTTGGCCCTGATAGCTCTGAGAAGTAAACAGTACCGAATTGCTTGACTTGGAGAAGGTGGGGCTCCTTCTAAAAATCCTTTGTTTGAGAAAGAGAAATTATTGTACAATTATTTTAAAGCAAAACACTATGCAAATTTGAGAAAGGCTTGGGAAGGGGATTATGGCTAGGCTCTAAGGATACTTATAAAATGCCATAAGTTTTAATTCCAAGAAAGGTGACTGGCTAATAAACGTCCAGTTATGTATTTCCATGTGAAAACAATTTAGAGTCAATAAGAAGTCAAACTTCCTTGGGCAGATCTCTAGAAATGTGGGCAGAATCTGCCATCTGCAGCTATTGTAGGATATCTCTTTGAAAAGGACTGCTGTAATTTAGGAGGTTGGAAGTCAGTGGCTAAATGCCCAAATAAACAGCATTTGGGTTAAGAGAAATGGAACAAACTTGTACGGGGTTTAACTTCCAAAGAACTTACTTAAGGTTTTCAGTTGCTTCCTCAGTTACTGAGGGTTTTTCCTCCAAGGCTTCTTACAGGTTGAATTAAAAAAAAAATACAAGGCTCCTAACTTTAAAATGTTAATTCTCCTCCCCACTCACCAACAACACAACACAAAACAAAAAAACTATACACCTCCATTTGCAAAAAAAAACCAAAAAACACTGAAAAGATAGAGAAGGGGAGGGAAAGGGTATGTGATCTTTCCTCTGGCCCTTGGATCTCAACATAGTTGGAAGAAGCCCTCTTCCCACTGCCAGGTGATGAGAATTGTGCAGCTGAGCCTGTAACAAAGGTACATCTCACGGAAGCCCAAGCAGAATTCTAGGTGGAAGCTGACTATGAGAAGCTGACAGTGAAGCTGCTTTACCTGGGAGAGAGGCTCCTCCAGATTTTCTTCCCTTCAGTTGTCTGATTTAACATAAATAGTAGCTCATGCCTGTAATCCCAGCACTTTGGGAGGCTGAGGCGGGCAGATCGTTTGAGGTCAGGAGTTTGAGACCAACCTGACCAACATGGTAAAACCCTGTCTCTACTAAAATACAAAAATTAACCAGGCATGGTTAATCTCAGCTACTCGAGAGGCTGAGGCAGGAGAATCACTTGAACCTAGGAGGCAGAGGTTGTAGTGAGTGAAGATTGCACCACTGTACTCCAGTGTGGGTGACAGGGCGAGACTCTTTCTCAAAAAAAAGAAGAAAAAGAATAGCCAAGAACCTAGCCTTGAAATCCCAGCTTTCAAAACCTCACTTAGGGAAGAGGGCCTGCTCACCCGTGTTGGTGTACCCTAAGTTTAACAGATTAGATTTTCCTGGTAGTACAGATATATTGTTCTCTAGACACCATCTTAGCCCCCTCTCAGCACTTTTAGTGATGTCCTTCATAGACAATTTTAGTTTGTGTCATGTTAGTTAACACTGGTGAATATATGTTTGCCCTCTCTCTCTTCATGAATCAGCCTATTTTGATGAATACTATGAGACATCTACAAATGGACAATGACTAGACCATGTAAAAAAATAGAACGTTGACCCATGACCTGCCCAAGAAACCATCCCCCTTATCTACAATAAACAGTCCAAGAAGCCAGCCTGTTATAAGTCAAACTTGCAGGAAGCCAGGTTGCTGTCTCTGATGACAATCCAGGAAGCTAAGTAATAATTTCTGTAACAATAGTCCCCTAATGAGAGCCAGGCATGGTGGCCCTTACCTGTAATCCCAACGCTTTGGGAGGCTGAGGCAGGAAAATTGCTTGAACCCAGGAGTTTGAGACTAGCCTGGGCAACATAGTGAGACCTCATCTCTTCAAAAAAATTAAAAAATTAGCTGGGTGTGGTGTCACGCACCTTTAGTCCCAGCTACTTGGGAGGCTAAGATGGGAGGATCACTTGAGCCTGGGAGGTCAAGGCTGCAGTGAGCAGTGATCACTGTACTCCAGCCTGGGCAACAGAGGAAGACCCTGTTTCCCAAAAAAAAAAAAAAAAAAAAAATTCCCAAATGGCCAGGACTTGATTCATAACTGACAGCTTTCCTTAATTTTTGTTCCCATTTTCAACTTAGATTCAACCAGAGACAGCCAAACATGCACCCCCCAACCCATCACACGAGATGTCCCACTTTTTATTACCTTGACTACAGCTTCCCCATGCCAACAGCCTCCATTCAAGCCACATTTCAAGCCTTCCCTTTTCTCACCTGTAAATCTTTGCCACTCCTCTGCCTGCCTTTGAGTTTCTGCCAAAACACAAATGGCAGTTATGGTGGCGGACTTCCTCAGTATAGCAAGGTCTAAATAGCGTTTGCTTTTCTCATTTGGTTGATCTTTATTTCCACAATACAGATAATATTTTATACATATTTTATACTCCATATTTTTGCATTCCATATTTCTTCTCAAAGGAATTCTGCATAATCAAATTCTGGTAGGACATTGGGTAAGCCGCACCCAAGAGTTAACCAAAGTTGTGGGTAAAAAGGAGGTGGAGAAGGAGTTATCTGAGCAATTGAGGATCATTCCCTAAACCCATCATTACCATAAGACTCTCCTAAAAAGTACTCTCCTACCCGTTTCTAATCAGTTCCTTCCACTTCAGGCAACCACTTCTGACTCGTATCACTATAGATAGATTTGTTTTCTTTTGTATGTGTAGACTCATACAATATGTATTTGTATTTGACTGCTTTCAATCAACAAGATATTTTTGAGACATATTCATGTTTTATATACCAGTAGTTCATTCCTTGTTATTGCTGAGTGGTATTTCATTGTATAAACATATCCCAATTTGTTTATTCATTCTCCTGTCGATAGATGTTCCGGTTGCTTCCAGTTTGCAACTAGTGTGAATAAGCTTGCTATGAGCATTCTTATAAAACTCTTTTAGAACATAAACGTTTTCATTTATATTGGGTAGATACATCAAAGTGAAATTCCTGGGTCATATGGTAAATGTATGTCTAATTTATAAGAAGTTGCCAAACAGTTCCTCAGAATAGTTACACCATTTTTTTATCCCACCAACAATGTATTAGGGTTACACTTGCTCCACATCCTAGCCAAACTTGCTGTTGTTAGTCTTTGATTTTAGCATTTTAATGCATATAAAATGTTGTTTTATTGTGCCATTAATTTGCATTTCCTGATGACTAATTATCTTTTCCTATGTTTTTTGGTTTCTCATACATCTTCTTTAATGAATTGTTTATTCATATCTTTTGCCCCTTTTTTGACTTTTTATTATTGATTTGTTTTTTATGTTCCAGATACAAGTCAAATATAAAAATGTTTAATGTTAATGAAGTTCAGTATATCAATTTTTTTCTTTTATGATATGGCTTTTTGCATCCTGTTCAAGGATGCCTACCCCCAAGAACATGAAGATATTTTACTTCTATAAGTTTTATGGTTCTGAGTTTTACATTCAGGTCTCCAATTTATCTCAAATTAATTTTTGTGTGTGAAATGAGATACAAGTCAACCTGGATAGATATCCAGTCTGTTAGCACCATTTGTTCAAGAGACTTTCCTTTCTCCATTGAAGTGACTTGGCACCTTGGACAAAAATCAATTGATGTATATGTGTGGGTCTATTTCTGGACTCTGTTCTGTTCCCTTGATCTGTTTGTCTATGCTTATGCCAATATACATTTGTCTTGAGTATTGTAACTTTAATTCTTGAAATGTGGTAGTATAAGCCCTAAGAACAAAAAATAATATTTTTAAGATTATTAAATAGCATCTCTAGAGATTATTTTCCTATTCTAGAGCCTTTGCATGTCCTTAGAAAATTTTATTTAATTTCAGATTTTTGTGGGTACATAGTAAGTATATATATTTATGAGGTACATGAGATACTTTGATACAGGCATGCAATGCTTAATGATCACATCATGAAAAATGGGATATCCATCCCCTCAAGCATTTCTTCTTTGTATTACAAACAATCCAGTTATATTCTTTTAGTTATTTTCAAATGTAGAATTAAATTATTTTCACTACAGTCACCCTGTTGTACTATCAAATACTAGCTCTTATTCTTACTTTCTAACAATTTTTTTTGTACCCATTAACTACCTCCATCTCCCCGCTACCCTTCCCCACTACCCTTCCCAGCCTTTGGTAACCATCCTTCTACTTTCTATCCTCAGGAGTTCAATTGCATTGATTTTTCGATCCCACAGATAAGTGAGAACATGTGATGTTTGTCTTCCTGTGCCTGGCTTATTTCACTTAATATAATGACTTTCAGTTCTATCCATGTTGTTGTAAATGACAGGATCTCAGTCTTTTTTTATGTCTGAATAGTACTCTGTTGTGTCTAAGTACCACATTTTCTTTCTCCATTCATCTATTGATGGACACTTAGGTTGCTTCCAAATCTTGGCTGTTATGAACAGTGCTGCAACAAACTTGGGAGTGCACATAGTGCAGATAGTGCAGTTATCTCTTTGATATACTGATTTCTTTTTTCTTTTTCTTCTTCTTTTTTTTTTTGAGACAATCTCACTCTGTCGCCCAGGCTGGAGTGCAATGGCACAATCTCGGCTCACTGCACTGTTAACCTCTGCCACCTGGGTCCTATGTTCAAGCGATTCTCCTGCCTTGGCCTCCCAAGGAGCTGGAATTACAGGCATGTGCCACCACGCCCGGCTAATTTTTGTATTTTTAGTAGAGACGGGGTTTTACCATATTGGCCAGGCTGGTTTCAAACCCCTGACCTCATGTGATCCACCTGCCTCAGCCTCCCAAAGTGCTGGGATTACAGGCATGAGCCACCACGCCCGACTGGATATATTGATTTCTTTTCTTTTGGGCATATACCCAGTAGTGGGATTCCGGATCGTAAGGTAGCTCTATTTTTAGTTTTTTGAGGAACTTCCAAACTGTTCTCCATAGTGGTTGTACTAATTTACATTCCCACCAAGAGTGTACAAGAATTCCCTTTTCTCCACATCCTCTCCAGCATTTATTATTGCCTATCTTTTGGTTAAAAGCCATTTTAACTGGCATGAGATTATATCTCATTGTAGTTTTGATTTGCATTTCTCTGATGATCGTAATGTTAGGCACCTTTTCATATACTTGTTTGCCATTTATATGTCTTCTTTGGAGAAATGTCTATTCAAATCTTTTGCCAGTTTTTAAATTGGATTATTCTGTTTTTTCCTATAGAGTTCTTGGAGCTCCTTATATATTCTGGTTACTAATCTCTTGTCAGATGGATAGTTTTCAGATATTTTCTCCTATTCTTTGGGTTGTCTGTTCACTTTGTTGATTGTTTCCTTGCTGTGCAGAAGCTTTTTAACTTGATGTGATCCCATCTGTCCATTTTTGCTTTGGTTGGCTGTGCTTGTAGGGTATTATTCAAGAAATTTTTACCCAGACCAGTGTCCTGGAGAGTTTCCTCAATGTTGTCTTATAGTAGTTTCATGGTTTGAGGTCTTAGACTTACCTCTTTAATCCATTTTGATTTCATTTTTGTACATGGTGAAAGACAGGGGACTAGTTTCATTCTTCTGCATATGGATATCCAGTTTTCCCAGAACCATTTATTGATGAGACTGTCTTTTCCCCAGTGTTTATTCTTGGCGCTTTTGCTGACAATGAGTTCACTGTAGGTGTGTGGATTTATTTCTGGGTTCTCTATTCTGTTCCATTGGTCTGTGTGTCTGTTTTTATGCCAGTACCATGCTGTTCTGGTTACTATAGCTCCGTTGTATAATTTAAAATCAAGTAATGTGATTCCTCCAGTTTTGTTCTTGTTGCTCAGGATTGCTTTGGCTGTTCTGGGTCTTTTGTGATTTTATATAAATTTTAGGATTTTTTTTCTGTTTCTGTGAAGAACACCATTGGTATTTTGATAGGGATTACATTGAATCTGTAGCTTGCTTTGACTAATATGAACATTTTAACAATATTGAACAATCCACGAACATGGAATATCTTTCCAGTTTTTTGCATCCTCTTCAATTTCTTTCGTCAGTGTTTTATAGTTTTCTTGTAGAGATGTTTTATTTCTTTTATTAATTACTAGGTATTTAATTTTATTTGTGGCTCTTATAAATGGGATTACTTTTTTTATTTCTTTTTCAGATTGTCCACCTTTGGCATATAGAAATGCTTCTGGTTTTTGTATGTTGATTTTATGTCCTGCAACTTTACTGAATTTATCAGTTCTAAGAGTTTTCTGGTGGAGTCTTTGGATTTTTCTCAGTATAAAATCATATCACCTGTAAACAAGGATAATTTGACTTCTTCCTTTCCGATTTGTGTGCCCTTTATTTCTTTTTCTTGTCCAATTGCTCTAAGTAGGACCTCCAGTACTATGTTGAGTAACAGTGGTGAAAGTGAGTATCCTTGTTGTGTTCCAGATCTTAGAGAAAAGCTTTCAGTTTTTCCCTATCCAGTATAATATTAGCTGAGAGTCTGTCATATATGGCTTTTATTATATTGAAGTATGGTCCTTCAATACCTAGTTTTTTGAGGGTTTTTAACCACGAAGGGTGTTGAATTTTATAAAATGCTTTTTCAACGTCAATTGAAATGATCATATGGTTTTTGTTGTTTATTCTGTTGATATGATGTATCACACTGATTGATTTGCATATGTTGAACCTTTCATGCATCCCAGAGATAAATCCAACTTGGTAATGATGAATGATCTTTTTAATGTGTTGTTGAACTTGGTTTGCTAGTATTTTGTTGGGGTTTTTTTGGAAATGTATTTTTGCATCAATATTCATCAGAGATATTAGCCTGTTGTTTTCTTTTTTTGATATTTCCATGTCTGGTTTTAGTATCAGAGTAATACTGGCCTCATAGAATGAGTTTGGAAGTTTCTCTCCTCCTTTATTTTTCAGAATAATTTAAATAGGATTGACATTGGTTCTTCTTTAAATGTTGGTTAAAACTCAGCAGTGAAGCCATCAGGTCCTGAGTTTTTCTTTACTAAATGGCTTTTTATTACAGCTTTGATCTTGTTACTTGTTAATTGGTCTGTTCAGGTTTTGGATTTCTTCATGGTTCAGTTTTGGTAGGTTGAATGTGTCTAGGAATTTATTCACTTTCTCTAGATTTTCCAATTTATTGGCATGTAGTTGCTCATAGTAACCACTAATGCTACTTTGAATTTCTGTGGTATCAGTTGTAATGTTTCCCTTTTCATTTCTGATTTTATTTATTTGGGTCTTCTCCCTTTTTTTCTTCATTAGTCTGGCTAAAGGTTTGTCAATTTTGTTTATCTTTCCAAAAGATAAACAACCTCTTGTTTCATTGATCTTTTGTATTTTCTTCATTCCACATTCATTTATTTCTGCTCTGATCTTTATTATTTCTTTTCTTCTACTAATTTGGGGTTTTGTTTGCCCTTTTCTAGTCAAGATGCACCATTAGGTTATTAATTTGAAGTTTTTCTTCTTTTTTGATGTCAGTGCTGCTGAGACCAGCTCGGTTGGGGAGACCCTAACCCAGTGGCGCTAGAGGAATTAAAGACACACACACACAGAAATATAGAGGTGTGAAGTGGGAAATCAGGGGTCTCACAGCCTTCAGAGCTGAGAGCCCCAAACAGAGATTTACCCACATATTTATTAGTAGCAAACCAGTCATTAGCATTACTTCTATAGATATTGAATTAACTAAAAGTATCCCTTATGGGAAAAGAAGGGAAGGGCCAAATTAAAGGAATAGGTTGGGCTAGTTAACTGCAGCAGGAACATGCCCTTAAGACACAGATCGCTCATGCTATTGTTTGTGGCTTAAGAATGCCTTTAAGCGGTTTTCCACCCTGGGCGGGCCAGGTGTTCCTTGCCGTCATTCCTGTAAACCCACAACCTTCCAGCTTGGGTGTGAGGGCCATCATGAACATGTTACAGTGCTGCAGAGATTTTGTTTATGGCCAGTTTTGGGGCCAGTTTATGGCCAGATTTTGGGGGGCTTGCTCCCAACGTGTCTCCCTTCTTTGATTTGCAAAGAGATAAAAGCAAGGGCGGCTTTGTCACAGTGAGCTACTTCTTGCAGGAGTCAGAATCTGCATCTGCAGACTATACAAAGAAAAACAACGTAGATTAAAAGCACAGTCATCATTGAAATCACAGAGCTTCCAAGTGTTTTTATCCATTTTAATGGATTACTAGCTGCTAATTTGTCTGCAGCGCCTTTAAGCACTCCAGTTCCTGGCATTAAGGTCAGGTGTGCCTGGGATGCTTTAAATATTTGTTCTTTAATTTTGCAATATCCAAAGGCAAGTTTGTAGAGTGTCTTTGTAGATGGTTTTTATTTTTTCCTAAATTTTGATCTTATTAAGAGCTATTAATAGTTTCCACAAATCCTTATGTTTAGCTCCCACAACGAGCCCTATCATTTGAGGTTGAGGTGCCACTATACCACCATGGTTCCAGATAATAGGAACTTTTGCCGTACTTTTTGGTATTTCTACCATGTGATCAGTTTGTTCAGATCATCTGAACATAGTCTGGCCATGGCACGCAGACTGAGAGGTGCAATTCAAGCTTAACATTCCCTTAGGGGACCAATTAATAATGATTCCATAGGAATCGTTGTGCAGCACCTCTGCCTGTTTTGCAAAGCAATCTTCCTAAACAAGTACGTTCATTTTTTCTAACTGGGTCCAATCCTGTTTACAAATAGGTTTTTGAGGGTGGTATGCCTCAATTATAGGAGCAGATTTATTATGGTAAATACCGAGATCAGAAAGCATGTGTAACTGTGTCATAGAGTGATTGCATCCAGGCATTATTACCGGCCCTTATTGAAGGAATACTCACGACAGTGGTGATAACCACTATCATAGCTACCATTAAATTATTCATTGTGACTGGTTGTCCCGCTTTCCTCAGGTTTTCTTCCTCCATCTCTGACAGCTTCTTGATCTGTCCCCAGGTGGGTGGCTGTGGTTGACGGGTGTTGCTCGTAACTGTTGGGGTCCTCCTCAGCATCGGTCTCGACATGGCTGCAACCGGGGGGTCCTCGGGATCCTCCTGGAGTCTCTTCCTCGGCATCTGGCTCCTGATAAGGTTTCAGGTGTCTTGATGGTATCCAAATCGGCTGTTGATTTTGGCCTGGAGAAATACAAGCATAACCTCTACCCCAAGTTATTATTTTACCTATTTCGCACCTTTTTGTTATTGGCTCTGTCCACCAAATCAGTTGTTCTGTTTCTGTCTTTGCAGCTGGTTTCTGTAGATGCTGTTCAGCTGCTGATAGCATCTGGCCTTTGGGCAGGCTCAAAAAATTTAAAGTTAATAATGCTAGGTTCAGTTGCATTTGTGGGGGTTCAGTATTCTCTGTCTCTCCCTTTCTGCTTTTGCAACTGCTGTTTTAGGGAGAGAGATTCATTCTTTCCACTATGGCTTGTCCTTGAGAATTGTATGGGATACCAGTAATGTGTTTAATATTCCACATAGAGAAAAATGTAGCTAGAGCTTGGCTAGTATAGCCTGGGGCATTCTCTGTTTTAATAGAAGCCCATCACCACAAAACACTGCAAAAGGTGACATTTAACACGGGCAGAAGACTCTTCTGATTGGCATGCAGCCCAGACAAAGTGAGAAAAGGTGTCCACACATACATGTACATAAGCTAGTCTCCCAAACGAGGGAACATGTGTGGCATCCATTTGCCAAATAGAGTTAGGTTACAGTCCTCGAGGGTTAACTCCTCCTGTAAAAGATGAGGAATGTACCATTTGGCAAGTTGGGCATCACTGGATAATAGCTTTAGCTTCATTCCAGGTAATGCTATATCTGCATTTGAGACCAGAGGCATTGACATGGGTTGAATTGTCAAAGTGTCCAGCATTAGATATTGCAATAGCAACTAGGCCATCAGCCATTTAATTCCCTTCAGTCAAAGGTCCTGGAAGAGGTGTATGAGCTCTAATGTCAGTGATGTAAAAAGGGTGCATTCTACTCCTAACTGCTATTTGCAGTTGGGTAAATAAAGTCATCGGTTGTTCATCTGTATGAAATCGTAACTGAGAATTTTCAATTAACCGTGTGGAGTGAACCACATATGAAGAATCAGAAATCACATTAATAGGCATTTCAAAAGCAGTCAATACCTCAATTACAGCTACAAGCTCCGCTTTTAGAGCTGAAGTATAGGGCGTCTGAAAAACTTTACCTTTTGATTCAAAATAAGAAGCTTTACCATTACGAGACCCATCTGTAAAAACATTCTCAACACCTTCAATTGGTTTAAATTTAGTTATTTTAGGGAGAATCCAATTAGTTAATTTCAAAAAACTGAAACAGCTTCGTTTTAGGAAAATGATTATCGAGAATACTCACAAAGTCAGCTAAACGGGTTTGCCAAGTAAGACTATTTATAAAAGCTTGCTGTATTTGTGCCTTCGTGAGAGGGACAATAATTTTTCCAGGATCATATCCATGTAATTTAACAATCCGAGTTTTCCCAATCCCTATCATTGTAGCAATTTGATCTAAATAAGGAGTTAGAGTCCGTGAATTAGTATGTGGAAGAAAAAGCCACTCTACTAAGTCCTGTTCTTGGACAATAACACCAGTAGGTGAATGCTGAGTTGAAAAAATTAGCAAATCTAGGGTCTTCTCTGGATCTGTTCTATTTATTTGAGCTTTATGGACTTGCTTCTCAATTAGTTGTAACTCTGCCTCTGCCTCCTTTGTTAATTGCCAAGGGCTAGTGAGACTAGGATTTCCTCTAAGGATAGAAAACAGATTACTCATGGCATAGGTAGGAATGCCTAGAGCAGGTCGTATCCAATTAATATCCCCTAGTAATTTTTGAAAGTCATTTAATGTTTTTAGTTGATCCCTACGTATGGTTACTTTTTGTGGCACAATGGTAGTGTCATTTACTCAGGTCCCCAAGTAGGAGTAGGGAGTAGTAGTCTGAATTTTGTTAGGAGCTATAATTAAACCAGCACGAGAAATTGAATTTTGTAAGTGATCATATAACACTTAGCAGGCTGCAGGTTGTTTACTGCAGGAATTGTAAATGCAAACCATTCACAGTGTTGCTCAGCTAAAGGGATAGTAAAGAAACAGTCTTTTAAATCTATGACTGTTAAAGGAATTGATGGCTTTTAAGTCAGTTAACATTCTCCATTTACCTGATTTTTTCTTAATTACGAAAACTGGAGAATTCCAAGGGGAAAATGTTGGCGCTATGTGCCCATTTTCTGATTGTTCAGCAAGCAATTTCTCTAAAGCCTCCAATTTTTCTTTACTTAGCGGCCATTGTTCTATCCAAATTGGCTTGTCTGTTAACCATTTTAAAGGTATAGGTTCTGGAGGCTTAACAATGGCCGCCATCAAAAATGATTTCCTAATCTTTGGTGGGAACTTTGTTTTTCCACTTTAAGCGGTTCTTTCAAACCATGCAAATTTTTTTCTAGTCCCATACCAGGGACATACCCCATTTCATGAATCATATGTTGACTTTGAGGGCTATATAATTGTTCTGGAATTAGAACTTGTGCTCCCCATTGTTGTAATAAATCTCTTCCCCATAAATTTATAGGTACAGAAGTTATAATTGGTTGAATAGTCCCAGGTCATCCATCGGGCCCCTCACAATGCAAAATATAACTACTTTGATATACTTCAGTGGCTTTACCAACTCCAACTATGTTCAGTTGAGCGGATTGAATTGGCCACGTGGACAGCCAGTGCTATAGAGAAATGATTGAAATGTCCGTTCCTGTATCTCCCAAACCTTTACATTTCCTTCCCTGAATAATTATTTCACAGGTAGGACGTTTATCAGTAATTTGATTTACCCAATAAGCTGCTTTGCCTTGTTTATTTGTGCTTCCAAATCCTCCTGTTCGTTTAATTTCACTTTTTCCCATTCCCACATATGGCACAATCAGGAGCTGTGCTATGCGCTCTCCTGGCTCTGCTTTCCAGGGAACAGAAGTAGATATAACAATTTGAATTTCCCCATTGTAATCTAAATCAATGACTCCTGTATGTATTTGTACGCCTTTTAAACTTAAACTAGGCCTTCCTAGAAGTAATCCTATTGTCCCTGCTGGCAAGGGTCCACAGACTCCTGTTGGGACCTTTTGCGGGGGTTCCCCAGGCAGAAGGCTCACAGCTTTTGTGCAGCATAAATCTACTGCAGCTCTACCGGCTGTGGTGGGGGACAGACATTGTACAGGGGTGAGGGAATGGCCTGAGCTGGAAATGCCCTGGTTTAGAATGGGGCCCGGGACAGGCCCCTCATGGTGTTTCCCAAAATCAGGTTCCCATCTTTATCAAACTTAGAGTGACACTGACTAGTCCAGTGTTTTCCTTTTTTTATATGTTGGACCTATTTCAGACTCAACAGTTTTCCTTTTTCCTCTATCTGGCGGCCTGACTTGCTGATTTTTTCTACATTCTTTTTTAGTATGAATAGCTTTTTTAAATTCTTTGAGTAATTTAAAAGGAAAAGGCTCAAATGTAGCTGTAATATTTCCCTGTTGATCTGGGGGGTTTGTTCTAACAGGGAACCGCCAAACCTCTAAATCACCCTCTCGTATAGCTTGCTGAATTCCTGCCTGAATAGAACTAAGAGCCGTCACTCGAGGTGCCGCTCGAAGAGTCACTGGGGCAACTACTTTTTGCCCAATGTCCTCCGGAAAAGAAAGATCCGGGGGGTCATTTTCTTCAAAATAATAAGGAGGGGGTGCAGAAGGGTAGGGATGAACCTCTCCTTCCTTTGCCACTTTAGCTTTAGCTGGCAAATAAACCTGCTCTGTAACCTCTTCTGTTACTTCACTATTCTCTTGTTCCTCCTCATTATCAGTGTGAAAAAGTTCTAAGGTGAAACGAACCAGACCCCATCCCTGTCCCATTGTTACCCTGAGGCATCCGAGCTCCCCTTCTTACTCACCATGGGGACTGCTTTAAGAGTACTCGGGTGTCCTCCAGCTAGTTTTCTGTTCCAAGCATCGCTTCAGCAACCCTTTGACCTGGATTTGAGCCCCCACGAATGGACGCCACTTGCGCGAGACCAGCTCGGTCAGGGAGACCCTAACCCAGTGGCGCTAGAGGAATTAAAGACACACACACACAGAAATATAGAAGTGTGAAGTGGGAAATCAGGGGTCTCACAGCCTTCGGAGCTGGGAGCCCCAAACAGAGATTTACCCGCGTATTTATTAACAGCAAACCAGTCATTAGCATTGTTTCTATAGATATTAAATTAACTAAAAGTATCCCTTTTGGGAAACTAAGGGAAGGGCCGAATTAAAGGAGTAGGTTGGGCTGGTTAACTGCAGCAGGAGCATGTTCTTAAGGCACAGATCGCTCATGCTATTGTTTGTGGCTTAAGAATGCCTTTAAGTGGTTTTCCACCCTGGGCGGGCCAGGTGTTCCTTGCCCTCATTCCCGTAAACCCACAACCTTCCAGCTTGGGCGTTAGGGCCATTATGAACATGTTACAGTGCTGCAGAGATTTTGTTTATGGCCAGTTTTGGGGCCAGTTTATGGCCAGATTTTGGGGGGCTTGCTCCCAACAAGGTGCTGATAGCTTTAAACTTCCCTCTTACTAGTGCTTGCACTGTATCCCATAGGTTTTGTTATGTTGTGTTTCTGCTATTTGTTTCAAGAAACTTTTCAGTTTCCTTCTTAATTTCTTCATTGACTTTGACCCACTGGTCATTCAGGAGCGTATTTAATCTCCATGTGTTTGTATCATTTCCAAAATTCCTCTTATTGATTTCTGGTTTTATTCAAAGATGCTTGATATTGTGGTAAAAAATGCTGGATATTTCAAATTTTTTGAGTATTTTAAGACTTATTTGTGACCTAACATATGGTCTGTCCTTGAGAATAATCCATGTGCTAAGGGCAATAATGTGTATTCTGTAGCCTTTGGATGAAATGTTCTGTAAATATCTCTTAGGTCCATTTGTTCTATTAGGTCATCCTTAGTGTAGGTTAAGTCCAGTGTTTCTTTGTTGATTTTCTGTCTGGGAGATCTGTCCAGTGCTGAAAGTGGGGTGTTGAAGTCTCTAACTGTTATTGTATTGAGGTCTCTTTCTCTTTGAGACAAGGTCTTGCTCTGTTATCCAGGTTGGAGTGGAGTGGTGCGATCTCAGCCCGCTGCAGCCTCAACCTTACAGGCTCAAGTGATCCTCCTGCCTCAGCCCTCTGATTAGCTGGGACTACAGGCATGCACCACCATGCCTGGCTAATTTTTGTATTTTTTTGTAGAGACAGAGTTTTGCCATGTTTCCCAGGCTGGTCTCAAACTCCTGGGCTCCAGAAACCCACCCACCTGGACCTCCCAAAGTGCTGGGATTATGGGCATGAGCTATTGTGCCTAGCCTGAGGTCTATCTCTTTAGCTATAATAATATTTGCTTTACATATTTGGGTGTTCCAGTGTTGGGTACATGTATATTTATAATTGCTATATCCTTTTGCTAGACTGACCCCTTTATCATTATGTACTAGCGATCTCTGTCTCTTCTTATAATTTTTGTCTTAAAATCTATTTTTTCTAATGTAAGTATAGCTACTACTTCTGCTCTTTTTTGGTTTCCATTGGCATGGAATATCTTTTTCCATCCATTTATTCTCAGTCTGTGTATCTTTATAGGTGAAGTGTGTTTCTTGTAGGCAGCAGATCATTGGGTCTTATTTTTTCATGCATTTAGCCACTCTATGTCTTTTTATTGGAGAGTTTAGTTTATTTACATTCAGTGTTATTACTGATAAGTTGGGACTTACTCCTGCCATTTTGTCATTTGTTTTCTGGTTGTTTTGCGGTCTTCTTTTACTTCTTCCCTTCCTTCCTTGTCTTCCCCTTAGTGAAGGTTATTTTCTCTGGTGGTATGACTTAATTTCTTGCTTTTTATTTTTTGTGTATCCGTTGTGTGTTTTTCAATTCGAGGCTACCATGAGGCTTGCAAATATTATTAATGTCTCATAATCCATTATTTTATTTTATTTTTATTTATTTATTTTTTGAGACAGAGTTTCACTCTTGTTGCCCAGGCTGGAACACAATGGTGTGATCTCGGCTCACTGCAACCTCCACCTCCTAAGTGATTCTCCAGCCTCAGCCCCCCAAGTAGCTGGGATTACAAGCATGTGCCACCACGCCCGGCTAATTTTGTATTTTTAGTAGAGACGGGCTTTCTCCATGTTGGTCAGACTGGTCTCAAACTTCTGACCTCAGGTGATCCGCCCACCTCGACCTCCTAGAGTGCTGGGATTACAGGCGTGAGCCACTGCACCTGGCATAACCCATTATTTTAAACTGATGACAACTTAACACTGATTGCATAAACAAACATGCAAAAAGAAAACTAATAAAAACTGTACACTTTAACTTCATCCCTCTGCTTTTTAACTTTTTGTTGTTTCTCTTTATGTCTTATTGTACTATGTCTTGAAAAGTTGTTGTAGTTATTATTTATATTGGCTTATCATAACACTGTAATTATGGTATGTGGGAGTTTACATGCCACAATTACAGTGTTACAATATTCTGTGTTTTTCTGTATGCCTACTATTACCAGTGAGTTTTGTATCTTCAGATGATTTCTTCTTGCCGTTAACATCCTCTCTTCTTTCAGATGGAAGAACTCCTTTTAGCAGTTCCTGTAGGACAGGTCTGGTGTTGATGAAATCTCTCAGCTTTTGCTTGTCTGGGAAGGTCTTTATTTCTCCTTCATGCTTGAAGGATATTTTTGCCGGATATAGTGTTCTAGGGTAAAAGTTTCTTTCCCTCAGCACTTTAAATATATCATTACCACTTTCTCCTAGCCTGTAAGGTTTTTCACTGAAAGGCCAGCTGCTAGATTTATTGGAGCTCCATTGTATGTTTTTTTTTTTCTTTTCTCTTGCTGCTTTTAGGATCCTTTCTTTATCCTTGACCTTTGGGAGTTTTGTTATTAGATGCCTTGAGGTAGTCTTCTTTTGGTTAAATCTGCTTGGTGTTCTATAATCTTCTTGTACTTGAATGTTGATATCTTTCTCTAGGTTTGGCAAGTTTTCTGTTATTATTCCTTTGAATAAACTTTCTATCCGTATCTCTTTCTCTACGTCCTTTTTAAGGCCAATAACTCTAAGATTTTCCCTTTTGAGGCTATTTGCTAGATCTTGCAGGTGTGCTTCGTTTTGTTGTTGTTGTTGTTCTTTTTTCTTTTGTCTCCTCTGAGTATTTTCAAATAGCCTGTCTTCAAGCTCATTAATTCTTTCTTCTGTCTGATCAATTCTCTTATTAAGAGACTCTAATGCATTGTTTAGTATTCAGTTGCATTTTCCAACTGTAGAGTTTCTGCTTGATTGTTTATAATTATTTCAGTCTCTTTGTTAAATTTATCTGATAGAATGCTGAATTCCTTCTCTGTGTTATCTTGAATTTCCTTGAGTTTCATCAATATAGTTCTTTTGAATTCCCTGTCTGAAAGGTCACATATCTCTGTTTCTCCAGGATTGGTCCCTGGTACCTTATTTAGTTCTTTTGGTGAGGCCATGTTTTCCTGCATGATCTTGATGCTTGTAGATGTTTGTTGGTGTTTGGGCATTGACAAGCTAGGTATTTTTTATAGTCTTCGCAATCTGGGCTTGTTTGTGCCTGTCCTTCTTCAGAAGGCTTTCTAGGTATTCGAAGGAATTTGAGCCCCGAGTCCAATAATGCTGTGGTTTTTGCAGATTCATAGAAATACCACCTTGGTGGTCTTGGATAATAAAGATCTGGAAGAATTCTCTGGATTACGAGACAAAGATTTGTTCTTTTTCCTCACTTTCTCCCAAACAAATGGAGTCTCTTTTTCTGTGCTGAGCCACCTTGAACTGGAGTGTGTTGATGTAAGCACCCCTCTGGCCATTACTGCTGAGACTGCTGGGTCAGACTTGAAGCCAGCACAGCACAGGGTCTCGCCCAAGGCCCGCTGTAACCACTACATGGCTGCCACCTGTGTTCACTCAGGGCCCTAGGGCTCTATAGTCAGCAGGTGGTGAAGCCAGCCAGGTTTGTATCCTCCCCTTCAGGGCAGCAAGTTCCCCCAGGTCCCAGGTGGGTACAGACATGTTGTCCGGAAGCCAGGGATTGGAGCAAAAAGCCTTAGAGATTTCTTAGCACTTTGGGAGTCCAAGGTGGGTGGATCACCTGAGGCCAGGAGTTTGATACCAGCCTGGCCAACATGGTGAAACCCATCAAGAGGACAGGGACCATGTTGTATGTGTTGTTCGCCACTGTATCCACACCACTTAGCAAACAATAAGTATTTGTTTAAATAAAATTAAATTTTAGCTGGGCATGGTGGCTCACATCTGTAATCCCAGCGTTTTGGAAGGCTGAGGTGGGAGGATCACTTGAGGCCAGGAGTTCCAGACCAGCCTGGATAACATGGCGAAACCTTGTCTTTACTAAAAAATACAAAAATTAGCCGGGTGTGCTTGTGTATGCCTGTAATCCCAGCTATTCAGGAGGCTGAGGTGGGAAAATTGCTTGAACCTCAGAGGCAGAGGTTGCGGTAAGCCGAGATCATGCCACTGCATTCCAGCCCGAGCGACAGAGCAGACTCTCAAAAAGCAAAAACAAAAAACCTTAGAGATTTGCCTGATGTTCTATTCTGCAGCTATGCTGGCACTCAAACCACAATACAAAGTCCTTCCTGCTCTTCTCTCCTTTTTCCACAGGCAGGAAGCCTCTTCCTGTGGCCACCACCACAAGTCATTCTTACATACACAGATGTTAGTGTAGTAATGCAGCAAGGAATTCCCAGGGAAATCGGTTTTTTTTTTCCTGTATTTCTTCTGTAGCTTTGCCAAACAAACAAAACAAACAAGACCCCAAGGTCACTGATCCAAATCTGAATCAGTGAAACGGTCTGATGAAACACTTTTTTTTTTTTTTTTTGAGATGAGGTCTCTATGTTGCCCAGGATGGTCTCTAACTCCTGGGCTCATGTAATCCTGCCGCCTCCACCACCTGAGTAGCTGGGACTACAGGCTAATGAAACACTTTGATAAGATAAATCGTAATCTGCTAGGAACTTTCTTCTGTTCAGTCCTTAAAATCTGAAGATGTTTAGAACAGATGGGCTTTTTGATGTAGCTCTCCAGAGGTAATTATTTTCTTTTTAAAACAGCTAGGATCATTCTCTTACTGATCAGACATATGCTTCTCCAGCCTCATACAATCTCCCCTGTCCTCTGAGGGCTGCTGATTGTCTCTGTCCTCTTACCTTCACCATCTTAGAAGGTAGAGCCAAGTCTACATGGGTGATATGGTACAGTGAACAACATGGTTACTAAAGAGCTGGATTAGTTTTAAGCCACCCCATTAAGCCTGAACTGATGTGGAATAGTCACAAGAACGTAAGTCAGGGACATGAAGAAACCCTTTGCTGTAATCTACCATACCAGTTATTGTCCAGGGTGGAGCATGTAATCATATTTTTTATAACAATCTGATTATACTTTCTGCCATTTTTTATTGGGAATTTGAACATTGCAGGTTAACTCATAAAACTGTGAAAGGGCAAGATAAACATAGGATACAATATATTTAATTAAGATAGCAAAACCTTTCTGTACTTTCTTACAATGGCTTGTAGGAGATCTGGAGCAGATCTTCAACTTGCTAATATTCAGTTAGGCCCAGATTTGGTATTTGGAAGAGGCAGTTTATTAGAATAATGGTGCTCCTACTCAAGGAAGAAACAGCATCTATAATACTTAGTGTGATCAGGGACTTGACTTTAATGAAATTTCAAATAGAAGTAAATTTGACTTACTTCGTCATGTGGACCAATTCTAGCCAAATATTGTGGATTTGAGATTAGGACCAGAAAACTCAGGGTCTACTTCGGATGACAGTACCCCAGGAGGATCTGGTCTTTCTACTCTATGCTTGGAATGAACCAGGTGAGATGTTTGGGTCCCAGCCAGATTCTTGGGGTCATTGTAGATTCACACAGACTTAAATGACTTCATCTTATCACCCACAGAAATAAGGATGAACCATAGCCAATTCATTTCATTCTACTTCTTGAAGTGAATAGGACTGTAGGATCAAAGTTAAAGACTGTAATGAAGATCACACACTGGACTGTGTATCAAGTAAGGCCCAGATTTACCTTTATAGACTTAACTCACTCTATTTGCTTTTCTTTTTTTTTTTTTAAAGGCTACAACTGAGGTGGAAATTAAGAAGAAAGGCCCTGGATCTCTTTTAGTTTCCATGGACCAATTAGCCTCCTACGGGCGGAAGGACAGAATCAACAGTATAATGAGTGTTGTTACAAATACACTAGTAGAAGGTATGTGCCCTATAATGTCAGTCCAACCGCTGAGATATAAATATGTAATGTGCATGGTAAATATAATCCCTGTCCCTTGGTCTGAGTTTTGCAAAGACTGTCTCTGAGCTTTAGGAATGGAACGTATTCCTATATAGAAACTAGAATCACAAATTCTCTTCCTAAATTTACATGCAGAGAATCAAATATATGGGCTTCAGATATGCTGCCAGCATTGTACACAGGTACGTAAGAGATAGGAAAGGACCTGCATGAGTGACCTAGAGGAGCTCAAGACCCCTGTCATTGTCATCATGAGGAGTCAGTGGGGTGCTGTAAGGCATAAAGGAATGTAGACTGAAGAACTGCAAAGATACAAAATCATAGAATTTCCCTCATGGTCTCTACCCCAAAACATACCTTCCTTTTTCCTTTTTAACTACTTACAGCCCTTTTGGTTTTCCCTTAAGGAAGAATGTACTGTGCGTTTTGATTGCACCTAGTTCTGTCTCTCTTCAAACACCCCCACATATCCATAAATAAATTTGATGTGTGACTAGGTAAGTTGAAACCCTTCTTACTTTGAGTGCTCCATGCCACAGGGAAAGAGCAACCGCTGTTGAATCATAGCACGTCTGCAGTAATGTTGCTGTCAGTGCCTGAGTTCTCTGTGTTAGGTGGGTTCTCTGTGACACAACCTGGCGTGCTGAGGAATACCTGAAGATTTTCCATTAGGCCACAGTCCCCCTAGCAAGAATCAGCTCCTCTCCAGTTATGGTCTGTAGTCCAGGATCTGCATGCTTTCTTTAGAGGTAAATTCAGTGACAGATTTCCTCTCCCAAGATTCTGATGGATTCTGCACCTATCTTCTTCATTGGATTTATGTTGATTTAGCTGAGTTGTCTCATTGTAGATCTAGACTATTCTTGAGGCCTCAAATTGCTATTCTTCAGAATGCAGATGCCTGGAATAACCAAAGTCCCTGAGACAGGAAAACTCAAAATGGTCCCAGTATCCTTGAGACAAGTTATTTTTTTAGTCATTTAAACCCAGTGCCACTTCTACTCTGTGTGTATGTGTGTGTGTGTGTGTGTGTGTGTGTGTGTGTGTGTGTGTGTTGGGGAGGGGGTTGCAGTGGAGGGAGAGTCCCTAGAAAAGAATTCTCTAAGGGTGCTTACTTCCCCACATATGTGCAAAGAATGAGACTATAACTAGACTGACCTTGAGAATATCTCAAGTAAAAAAATGAATTAACTGCTTTCATCTGCCTTAACAACCTCTGTTTATTCCTGTTTTCTTTAATTACCATCGGGGTTATTGTCTGATAGAACATCTTCAAGCTTTGTAGCTTATACTTTGAGATTGTGGGCAAATAACTGCAGGTCCTAAGAATTCCAAGCTAAGAAATCCTAGCCTAAGAACTTTGGCTAATTTTATTATTCACATAGAGACCAAGACAGGATTTCTCTGGGTATCTGTGGCAGTTGAGAAAGAAAAACTAACAACCTCCAACAGGTGCATTTTATTATTGGTAGAGACATCAGAACAGCAGAACTATCAATACAGTGCAACAGTTATTTATTTATTACTGCATTGGCTTAGCACAGGTCCCAGCAAAAGTAGATGCTCAAACAATCTTTGTCAAGCAGGCATTGGCTGTGCTTAGAATGGTAGGAGTGCTGGTGCTGCAGGGCTCCTTTCGGAGGCCTTAGAGCTTTCATCCCTTTACTGAGTTGGATACAAACCATTGGGACGTTTTAAAATTCTCTTTTCTGCCTCTTCTCCCTGTTCTTTCTCTTTCTGTCCTGCTGTGCTTATTCTCCACCCTTTACCCACCATCACACACATTAAAAAAAAAAATAGATGTAAGGGTAGCTCAGGAGACAGAGACAGATGTAGTTGTGTTCCTGAATAGGAAAATATTATTCCAGTTTTTTGTCCTCTTTCCTAAGCCCTGATTTTCACATAGTTATACCTGTCCTGCCATTTCCTGCTCAGGCATTCCGCCTAACCTCTCCCCTTGTATTTGACCCTTTTGTTGAAGCTGATGGGACAGAACTGCTATAAGCAAAGAGCAATGAATGGCTGACCGGAATCACGTAAGAGGGAATGAAACATCCATGTCTGTTTAACCATTGGTCCCTCTGTATTTAATGCTTGCTACAGCATTAAAAGCCAGCATTGAACGAATTGTAGTTCTTGCTCTCAGACTTTCAGTTAGGAAACTTTGACATTATTTTAATCCAAAGATTAAAATAATTATTATTTAAAACCCAAGAGGCAGGCTACGACTTACCTAATAGTTTAGAAACCACAGTGGAGAATTCTAGAATCCTGTCAATAATTAGAAAACCCTGCCTGCTCTGCCCCACCCCATTCCTATTGCAAACATGCTTACCAGGATCCAGCACATTTAGTAGAGTTCACCACTAGCAGAGCTATAAGCTTTGGGGATATTTCAGAGGACTGGGCGTGGGGTGTAGGTAGAGTAGTATAGTCTCACTCTTCAAAGCAGTAAAGCTGTGGGAGAAGGGGAGATCGTGGTGAAGTAAGAAAGAGGAAGTAGTGATGTACTTGACATTATTGATTTTTAATATCAAGGAAGTACTTGACATTATTGATTCTCAGGTAAAACAATTCCAAAAACTCCCCTAGAGGTAACTGGCCATAGCTATTGCTGCCACTATTTATGTATTCTTTTATTTAACTGACCAGCATCAAGTGTCAGTATAGTTACTTGGCTGATATCAGCCTTTCCTGTGTGGCAGTAACCTTAGTGAGGGTGGGGGCTCTTCATCAGTGTATCCTTGGTGCCTAGCACATTGCAGATGCTTAAAAGTTGTTGAACTGAGTTGAGGGAAGCTCCTGCCTTCAGAAACCTCATGGTCTACCAAAGCCACTATCTTGGTGAAATTGTGAGGTCCTTTCTGAAAACAATTCCCAGTACCCCTGAGGTTAAGACCCAAAGTAACCTCTCTGAAAATGTCCAAAAGCAAAGTAAGAGAAACCCCACAAACCTTTGGACATCTCACCCCTAGATGTTAACCCATTCCCCCAAGCCAAATACTGGGCCATTCCAGGCATGTGGAACCAGTAACAGTTTGCAAAGTCATAAGTCACTTGATAAGCCTTCTTATTCCCCAAATGATCTTTTCTAGCTCCTGAAGCTCCACATTGTCTTACTTTTTGTAGGCGTGAAAGTTTATCCTGAGGATCTTCCCTTCTCAGTAAATGTGGCTAAGAGATGTCTGGTATCCCTAGAGGAATTTTCTTGGTGCCCTGTAGGGCAGGAAAACCCCTTTTTGCTGTGTGGCAAGACTCAAGACCTAGTTCATTTTAAAACATTACAATTGTGTCAACTGTCATAAATGTGAGCAGTCGCAGCTTCAACCTCCACGTGCCAATGAGCAACAGTCGTTTGGAGAAGGGAGGAGATAAAAAAGGGAACGGAACTAAATTTCCAAATATGTACTGTAAGAATTTATGGAAATAAGAGAACCTTGTCATTTTCTTTTTTGGGGGAGAAAACTATATTTACCTTAGGAAGGGAGGGAGTTCTCTGAGGAAGAAGCCACAGCAGATTTTCCTCACAGACTTCCTTTCCCACGCAGCCTCCCACGTGGCGCTTACAGGGGTCCTTAAATCTGAAAAACCAAGGCAACCATTTTCTTAGCAACCAGGGAACCAATCAGAAACTCAGCCAAAACCACCTTGTCTAAAATAAAGCATCGCCATCCAGCTGGTTGGAAAAGGGAACGTAGGCTAATTTAAGGCAGCCATCTTGGTTTTGGTGAAATGTTAGGGAATTTTTTTTTTCCTTAAATGATTTGATAGTGTCAGCAGAATTGAACAGAGAGAGAGTAGCTGTTACAGCCAACCCTGTAGAATCAATACCTCACATTCTGACAGGTTTTCAAAGTTCACCTCTTAAAAAGCATCCTCTTAGCTCAGGGTCCTTGGAATTTTGTAATCCTGGCAGTTGTATTTCATGCTTAATTTGAGGAGAGCTTTGTTATGTAGGGCTTCATACCTAGATTGTTGTAACTGCCAGTTGAGTGTCTGTCTTTGATATCTGATAATTCTTTTGAATCTTTGCTTTGGAAATGACCTTTGAGATCGTCTAGTCCAGTGATTTTTCAGTCTGTGTGTATCAGAGTCCTGGGATTCTAGGGGAGTGCCTCAGGAGAGGAAGAAATCTATCCAAGTGGGCTCCTGCTTCATCTAGGGAAATTCCTGGTGTATTTCATGTATTGGGGGTCATGTGAGATCTTGTTTGACAATAACACTTTCTGTTTCTAAAAGAGACGGAGAAGATAAGACAAAGGAGAGAAAGAAAAAGGAAAGAAGATGATGACCCAGGGAGGGAAGGAGGAAGAAGCTGTAGAAAGAAAGAGAAAAGCAAAGGATGAGAGCAGGAAAGGGCAAAGGGGCAAGAAAGAAGGAGACAGGAGGAGACAGAACAAGGAAGGAAAGGTGAAAAGGGGAGAGGAGTGTGACTTGTATTTCTAACTCAACCATGAGCTGTAAACTTGTTAAGGGTGGAGACAGTAACTTGTACTTCTTTGAGAACATAGCAGATGTGTTTTACATGGTGGCTTGGTCGATGATGCTGGTCCTGCTAATGAAGATAATAATAATAGCAAACACTTCCATGGCACTTTCTATCTGCCAGGGTATTCTGGGGCACTTTGTATATATTTTAGCTCTTTAATTCTCACAGCAAATCAAAGTAACTTGTTCACGGTCCCACAGTTAGCAAGTGTCTGAGCTAGTATTTGAACTCAAATATGTCTGGCTTGAGTCCATACTTTTGATGGCTTCTCTGACAATAATTGAATAATATAGTGTATAATAGAATACCTACCATTTATTGAGGATTTACCCTGTGCCAGATACTATAGTGACTGCTTTACACCAGCATCTAATTTAGTCAAACTCATTCAGTCCTGTAACCTGTAAAGTAAATGCCTTGTTTTACAGCTGAGGCAGCTGAGCAGAGAAATCAGCTACCTTGCCTGGGATCACACAACTTGTAAGCATTCAAGCCAGTTGAGGCCAGGGAGTCAGACCTGAGAGGCCAAGCTCTTGACCTCTGTGCTCGACTCCCATAACTGATGGGTTGAGTTTCATTTATAACTAGATCATTATTAACAGGGAGGCAACTTGTGTGGATCATGCTTCCTCTCTACCTTAGAGAGAAGGAAAACACTTAGGAATGTCAGCGCTCAAAACAACCTTGATTCCATATTAATAACAGTGATAATGACTGAGAGTGAGTAGTGTGTCCCCCTGGTTTTCTTGCTGTGATTGAGGGGCCATCTTTGTTCTTACTTACTGTAGAACTGGAAGAGTCTCAGAGAAAGTGCCCGCCATGCTGGTATAAATTTGCCAACACTTTCCTCATCTGGGAGTGCCACCCCTACTGGATAAAACTGAAAGAGATTGTGAACTTGATAGTTATGGACCCTTTTGTGGATTTAGCCATCACCATCTGCATCGTCCTGAATACACTGTTTATGGCAATGGAGCACCATCCTATGACACCACAATTTGAACATGTCTTGGCTGTAGGAAATCTGGTAAGATGGAACACTGTCTCCCGATATTAGGATTGGAATGTGTTTTGCCTGTAGGATATCTTTTTCTGGTACTGAAAGCTGGAGTTTCTTTGAAAAGAAAGTAATAGTTAATTGGAAGACAAATGCTTCCACATATGCCAGGACACCAGCTGCTTTTCTGCTCACTGTTGTGATCCCTTTCCTCTTTCTGCAGAACTTTGAAGACGTCATTTAGGAGCTATTGGCAGAAAACCAATGTTGGCGACAGAATGGGAGGCCTGGTACAGTGGGTTGGTTTCAGCAGCCTGAGCCAAGTACTTCTGGTTTTTTTCCTCATTCTGTTTCTCACATTGATTCCTGCATTGCTCCAGCAAATCAGTTCCCCTTTCACCTTAAGTAACATCTACCACAAAATAGGGGAGCTCTTATAGTACACTACATGTAACTATGGATTTGCCTGCTCTGTCAGGCCTTAATTACCTAAATGGGGACTATTTATGGGAAAGTTTTCACTCAAGGCTGGTTTCCCCCTCCAATCCAACTTCTAGGCCATTAAAGTATGTAGTTTTAAAAAAAATAGATTACAAAGTGTGTATTCTGAAATTAAGTAGCTGTGATTTGAGGATTATGTGCTTTGTTTACTACAAAAATCAGGAGTTAATTGAATTTTGATAGATAGTAAAGAATTAGTGAGAAAGAATCCCCTAGGTCACCTGGGCCCCCTAATTCCTTAGGTGTTAACCACAGGCATGTCCAAATCTGGCTATTACCGTTTATTAATGATTTGAGCATGATTTCTGCCCAGTTTCTCTTATGTGTGCTCTCTCACTCTCTCTCTCCCTCTCTCACACACACACACACACCACACACCACACAGTTTTGACCTTAAGTCCTATTACTATACTATTAGAGCACTACAATATCATTTTCATTTCTCATTCTCAAAACACATGGCAAAGAGATCCTTTGTAGCCCATTGTGTTCCCTGGTATACATCCAAGATGATTCTGTGATCTTTCCAGTCTCCATGTCTGTGGTTGGTGACATGCTCCAGGCTCTCTGCAATGATGTAAACCCTTGTGTGCAGTCCAGTGGAATGCCCGGAGTCTTGAAATGGGACACTCCCACAGACTGTCCAAGAAGTCTGCTGACTGGCTCTGAAAGGTGCCTGTCAGTGGGCACATGCTGTGACTGGCTGACACAGTACCTTGGCCATCAAGCAGAATTTTAACCCTGTCAACAATATCATTTAGATATAAGCTTGATTTTAGTAGCCAAGAGTTAAGTAACAAGAAATATGTCTTGATAATTTTTATTGTTGATGTTGGTGGTTCTGTTTTCCCTGTAGAGTTTTGTTTTTCTCAAAATCTTTACTTTTCCTTACTTTTTACAGAACCAGTCTTTGATTTTCAAGGGATTTTGAGAGGCTTTTTCACCTATCCCCACTAGAACTCCAGTCAGACCAGGCTAGCAAA
Source organism: Homo sapiens (assembly GCF_000001405.40). NCBI lineage: Eukaryota > Metazoa > Chordata > Mammalia > Primates > Hominidae > Homo > Homo sapiens. Next base: position 51,753,048 of record NC_000012.12, read on the forward strand.
TAATGTTATTTTTCCTTTCATGAAAATTTAGAGATTTAGGATGACATCTAAATTAGAATTGTAAGTATGCAGAAGACTTTGCTCAGAACCATCAGTAAAAAAAGAGGAAATAAGAGAAGGTCAACAGCTAATATTCAGGAACTCCATGAGACAAGCCAACCCAGAACCAAGTTCTAGAATAAGAAAGCTCTTAGGTGGCAAGGGTTTTCAAACGGCAAGTAAATGTACAATTAGCAGTGGGGAGGGAGCTTAGTATATAGTCCAGCATACTTTGTACTAGATGTGAGGGTAAAAGGAAAGAAATCAAGAATGGTGCCTCGATGTGGGGGTTTAATAACTGAGGGAAAAGTGGAATGACTGCAAAGGAACTGGCTTGACGTATAAAATCAAGAGTTCTGTTTTGGACATATTAAGTGTCTATTCACTGAGTGGAGATGCCAAATAAGGAAGTTGGGTACGTGCTGGACCTCATGAGTGTTTTCTGGACAATACCAGAAACTCAAAGATATACTTTGTTGCCAATCAACACGAGCGCTGAGATTGGCAGAAAGAACACAGAATTGGAAGTCAGAAGATTTGGGTTTTCATTCCTATTAGATATCGTATAACCTTAAATAAGTCATTGATTTCTGTCCAGAAATGTTTCACATCTGTAAAGTTAAGATAATACCATGCCATCACTGGTTGGGAAGATAAAATGAGAACCTATATGGAAGTCTTTGGGATAGCTAAAAGTATCTTATAAATCTTAGGAACTGTGTTAGTATAATTCAATAGGAGAATTTTCAAAGATTTGGAGAATTGGGTAGAGGCTTTGACTGAACCTGAGAATAAGAGGATGGAAAAAAAATGAGACTGACTTGTGAAATAAAGTATGACCTTGTCCTGTGGTTGGAATGTGAGGCTTTTCCTATAGCCCTAATTGTGAGTTAAGTTGTCTTTGTCTGTAGACATACAGAAAGATGTTTTTAAAGAAAGATGAGAACAGTCTTCTGCAAATTGAAGATCCCTGCCTCTTCTACCCTCCCCAAAAGAGAAAATAATAGTAGGAAGAACCTTAGAGATAATTCAATCCAATCCACATGTTTTATAGAGGAAATTGAAGCCCAGGGAAGCTGTGTGACTTATACAGCCTCTATGTTATGTAGTAGATAAATGTAATGATTCTTTTCCTGCCTTTTTTGCAACTAACTGAATACAATAGTAAGTTTATGAGGTGACTTTTTAAACATTCTGAATCTTACAGGAAAGTTTCAAGTACAGTACAAAAAACTTCTTTTTTTTTTTTTTTTACAATAAAAGCCTTATCACATAGCCTTATCACCCCCAAATGCTTATAGTGTGTATTTTTTATACACAAGTACATTCTCCTACATAACCATAGTATAACTGTCAAAACCAGGAAATTAACATTGATACATTACAATGTTGTGAAGTAAAGTATGACCTTGTCCTGTGGTTGGAATGTGAGGCTTTTCCTATAGCCCTGATTGTGAGTTAAGTTAAGGGTCTAATTCTCAGGCCCTATTCAAGTTTTGCCAGTGATCCCAGTGGTATCCTCTGTAACAAAAGGATGCAGTTTTAGGATTACCCCATTACATGTAGCTATCATATCTCTCTAATTTTCTTCAGCCTGGAGGAGTTCCTCAGTCTTTCCTTGACTTTCATGTCTTGACATTTTGAAGACTACAGGTCATTTGTTATGTAGAATTCCCTCAATGTGGGCTTGTCTGATGCTTCCTTATGATTAGATGCAGGTTCTGCATTTTGGTAGGAATATCAGATAAGTGAGACTATCTTCTTCACGTTGTATCTACCAGTTGGCATGTAGCTTCCATTTGTCCCACTACTGGTGACGTTCATTTAATCACTTGATTAAGGAGGTGTCTGCCAGGCTTTTCATCTGTGAAGTTACGCTTTTTCCATTTACAGTAAGTCCCCACTTAACATCCTCTATAGGTTCTAGATTTTTGGAAACTGTGACTTTAAGCTAAATGATATACTGTATAACAAAACCAGTTTTACCATAGGCCAGTTGATATAAACAAGAGTTAAGTTCCTATGGCATATAGTACATCATGTGGCTTAAAGTTGCTGTTTTCAAGAACCTATTGAGGACATTAAGTGAGGACTTACTGTATACTTAATAGGTATTTGTGAGGAAGACCATTTGAAACGATTTAAATTTCCTGTTCATTCAGATTTTGATTTCTTCCTTTATTTATATCAGTATGGATTAATGGTTTTCTATTTTATCTGAGTTACAATCCATTTGATGTTTAGACTTCCTCTGATGTGGCCAGTGGAAATTCCTTCAAGCTGGCTTCTGATCCCTTTCACATGTCTTCTTCACTTCCTGGCTTTCTGGTACCACAAGGTATTCCAGGATACTTTCGTGTTTTTCCAGCCCCAGGGCTGGAATCAGCCATTTCTCAAGAAGCCCTGAGTCTTTTAGTGGAAAAATGGCATTTAGAAGTAGAGATCTAGGCTGAGTATCAGCTGAGGCAGGAGGATCGCTTAAAGTTTGAGACCAGCCTTAGCAACACAATGAGACCCCATCTCTAAAACAAAATAGAAAACTAAAAAAAAAGGAAGAGGTGGAGATCTGAGATCTAGGTATGCATATTGCTATGGGAGCAGCATGCAGCCCCTCTTAGGACATGATGAGCTATTTATATTGAGCTAGCCGTGGATATTGCAAACCATGAGTTGATCCTGTCACTTCCAATTCTAATCCAACACTTCAAGATTCTTTCTAGTTTTCTCCCTTTCTGTATTTGTAACTCCTGCAACAATAAGAAACCTCGTTGCCACTATCTTTGGTATACTTATTTGATCAAAAAGCCACTGTTACCTTTTATAGCATGGGTACCCTCCTCACCCTGTATAGGCTCTGGGTGCCCCCCACCCCTTCAGCACCCGAGCCGTGTCCTCCATGTGGACACCTGCTCACACTCCTCAGCTTGGAACCCACACCAGTCCAACTCACACATGGTTTGCCCCACCCTGCTTAGACCCCGATGCCTCACAGTAGGCCTTCGCCTGCATGGACATCCTTCTCACCCCACACCAGACTCTCCCCTGACATAGAAGCTCTGTTTATCCTGCACAGACTCTTAACACCCCTCACCAGGCCACCCCTCGTCACCCTGCTCATGCTGCCATCTGTCTGTGTGAACACTCCTGGAAGTTCTCACCTGGCCCATTGACTTTATCCCAAACTAGGCGACATCCTCCTCACCCTGATGAGCTCTCACACCCTCACTGTCCACCTCCCTGTTTGGACACTTTCCTCACCCCACTCGGGATCTGACACCCCACATCAGGCCTTCCCCTACATGAGTCCCTCATCAGCTCACCTGGCTCTGGCACCCCTTGTGAGTCTTCCCCTGCAGGGAGTCCCTCCTCAGCCCACTCCGGGATCTTCTCCTGGAGATGCTATCTTTACCTTACTTAAGCTCTGACTCTCTCTGCTAAGTCCCCCACCCCCTCAAGTGTGGACGTCCTCCCACCACACTTGGGCCTCAACACCTATGTGGGGTAGCCACGCCTCATACCACTTCCAACTGCCCATCCTAGACTGTTGCCCAAAGCGGATGCCTCTCCTTGGCCCACAGGCTCAGACAGCCCATGCCAGCCTGCTGCCCTGCATGGACCTCCTCGCTCCCCTCCATGTCTGACTCTCCTTGCTGGGCCGTGCCCTTCCTGGGGTTCCAGCACTGGGCAGCAGCCTCCCTCTACCGGCATGCCCACCTACAGCCTTCAGGACTGAGTGGTTCAGGAGGAAGGGGATGGAAAGAAGAGCTAGGGTTTAATCTGACATATAAGTTTAAGTTCTCAGATTCTAAGCAAAAGCAAAAAAGCAGAAAGTTATTTTCCTCCTTCACCAAACATAAATGAATGTTATCATTTCTTAATTATAGGTTACCTAGATTTTCAGCTAAAAAGAATTCTTTTCAGATTTTTTCTTTCATCTGTGCTTCTATAGCCCCATATGGATACTTCTTTTTAAATACTTGTCACATGATTTTTAGTTATTGTTCTGTCCCCTCCTGGTTGGGTAACCAACCACCTTAATTTGCAGAGGCCTGAGGAAGCCCTTGCAGTTTTAAAACTGGGACAGTCCTTGTCAACAGGTACGAGTTGATCACCCTAACTGGAGATGCAGGATGCAGGACTTTCGGTGTGAAAAGTGGCAAACCAGGATGAGTTACTTACATTCTGGCGACTGAGTTCGTAAGGAACCATTATTTTTCATGGTCACATTTTTTTTTTCATGTCTCCATTGCAGTACACATAGAACTTTTAATCAAATTGAACTTGATTAACTTTGGGCGAGGATCTACTGCAGAACAGGAGCTGACAAGCCCTTTTCTGAGCACAAAGAGAGGAGCATGCCAGACGCTCGTCACTTTCAAATAAGGCTGAATTTTTTCTGCAAATGCAATGAGGGCTGAAGGAGGTGTGTGACTTCTCCCCAGACCCCATAGTGACGCCAAAGTGAAATATACCCCAATCTTAGGACTATATAGGCCTTACTTGTTGACCTGGCATTACAAGTTATCAGGCATATGACCACAGGCTAGTCCAAACTAGACTAGGCATGGCTCATGCCTGTCATCCCAGCTCTTTGGGAGGCCGAGGTGAGAGGATTACTTGAGCCTAGAATTTCAAAGCTGCAGTGAGCTATGATCATGCCACTACATTCCAGCCTGGGTGACAGAGCAAGACCCTATCTCAAAAAACAAAACACAACAAAACCCAAACTAGAAAGATATGATGACTGTGAATTCAGAGTATTTTATAGAGAATAGAGAACCATTGTTTTATAGAATATTCTGAGGAGATCAGGACTCCTTTATACTCTTAAATAAAAGTGCTATGTCTATTGATATTTATCATGTTTGAAATTAAAACTGAGAAAATTTCTAAACATTCATTTTGTAATTAAAGAATTACAATAATATAGCTAGGTGAGTCCCAGCTACTTGGGAGGCTGAGGCAGGAGCATGGCTTGAGGCCAGGAATTTGATGCCGAAGTGCTCCAGGAACACGGCTGTGAATAGCCATTGCTTTCTAGCCTGGCTAGAACATAGCGAGACCCCATCTCTACAAAAATAAAAAAATTAACCAGACATGCAGCTCATCCCTATAATCCCAGCTACTCAGGATGCTGAGATGGGAGGATCACTTGAGCTCAAGAATTCAAGACTATCCTGGACAACATAGCAACACCCTATCTGTAAAATAAATATCACAATAATACACCTATCACACATGAACATAAATAACATATTGGTGTGGGGAAACTATATTTTTTAAGAAAAACTGGAAGAATGGCATTGTTCGACATTTTGCAAGTCTCTTTAATGTCTGGTTTGTTTGTTTGTTTGTTTGTTTTGTTTTTTGAGGCAGAGTCTCACTCTGTCGCCCAGGCTGGAGTGCAGTGGCACAATCTCGGCTCACTGCAACCTCCGTCTCCCAGGTTCAAGCGATTCTTCTGCCTCAGCCTCCAGAATAGCTGGGATTATAGGTGCCCGCCACCATGCCTGGCTAATTTTTGTATTTTTAGTAGAGATGGAGTTTCACCATGTTGGCCAGGCTGGTCTTGAACTCCTGACCTCAAGTGATCCACCCACCTGGGCATTCCAAAGTGCTGGGATTATAGGCGTGAGCCACCGTGCCTGGCCTCATGTCTGGTTTAATAGAAGGTAGTTAGATTCTCTTTTTCTGTTTCTACATTCAGTCTGTTGTGATATGTTATTTTAGCTAAAGTATAGGAAGAAAAGCTTGCCTCACACAGATATGTACAGTAGTCCTCTCTTATCCAAGGGGGATACATTCCAAGGCCCCCAGTGGATGCCTGAAACCTCAGATAGTACCAAGCCATACACACACACATACACACACATATACACATACATGTATGTATGTATATGTGTGTGTGTGTGTGTATATATATATATACGTGTGTGTATATGTACAGCCACGTACCACATAACAACATTTTGGTCAATGACAGACTGCATGTCTGACAGTGATACCATAAGATTATAATGGAACATATATAAAAACTTGTTATATGCCATTTGATATTGGCCTTGCAGGTCAAGTAAGAGAAATGATTGATGTTAAGTAAAGGTGCTGGGACATTTGGTTTTCCATATTAAAAAATATATATATATAAATGAAAATATATATATAAGGCCTAGGTTTGTGTAAGTACACTCTTTAATGTTTACACAATGACTAAATTGCCAACAACACATTATCCCTATCATTAAGCAATGCATGACCATACTGGGTTTTGTGAATCTGATAACCAAGATGGCTGCTAAGTGGCTAAAGGGCAAGTAGTTTATACAGCATGGATACACTGGACAAAGGGATGATTCACATCCTGGGAGGATAGAGCAGGACAGCTCAAGAGTTCATCATGCTACTCAGAACAGTATGCAATTTAAAACTTATGAATTGTTTTTCTAGAATTTTTTATTTAATATTTTTGGACTGTAGTTGATGGTAGCTAACTGCAACTGCAGAAAGCAAAACCACAGATGGGGGGTACTTCTGAAGTTGGAAAAGAGCGGACCATGTGCTTCCTGAGAGGGCCTTAGGGACTCTAAGGATCCTCAACTACCCTTTGAGAACTGCTGCATAAGAACATAAATTCTAAAGTGAATATTTGATGACATTCAGGAGAACAACACTGTCTAAGTAATGTTACCACAACAGAGTACCATAGACTGGGTAATTTATAACAGACAGAAATTTATTTGGCTGACATTTCTAGAGACTGAAAAGTACAAGGGCATGGTGCCAGTACCTGGTGAAGACCTTTGTGCTACATCATCCCATGGTAGAAGGCCAAAGGGCAGAAGAAGCTAACAGTGAGAGAGCAAGAGAGGGCCAAACTTGCTTTTATCACAAAGCCCACTATTGAGATAACCAGCCCACTCCTGCAATAACATCAGTCCACTCATGATGGCAGAGTCCTCACATGACCTAATCACCTCTTATCAGACCTTGCTGCCCAACAGTGTTGCATTGGGGATTAAGTTTTAATACATGAACTTTGGGGGACACATTCAAACCATAGCAGACACTTATATATAATTGCTGATACACTGCATGTAATTCTTCCCTTTCTCCTCTTTGAGAAGCATATCACAGTGCAAACAAGAGCATCATAGGATAACCTTAAATCTGCTCTTCTCAATTTTTAAAAAAGCAATTCCTTCACACAGCTAATAGTTATAGGTGTATTTTGACACACACCCAACTGATGGCAACATACCATGTGTTGAAGCAACATGGTGGCTGACCTCTGTCACAGACAATTTCTAATGCCTGGGGCCATTCATCCTGGTGATAGGCAACACCACATAACTATGTCATTGTTGATTTCCCTTAGGAACCAGAGTTCCCACAGTATAGATATTCCATGGTCAATCAGCCAGTGCTTCTTCATGAGCACTTCCTGTGTGTTTACCAGGAACCAGTGGGATAACAAATCAAGTCTCTACTTAGTGTGTGTTAGGCAGGCTAGCATTTCTATGTGGAGAAACCTCCGATGGGTTTACACTAAGGGTGAAATGTATGTCAGGATTTGATGAGCTGTCTGTACTTTCCCTGAACTCACTCAGAGGGATGTTCCATCTATAGATGCTTAACTTGTATTATGAACTTTGATTTTACTTAACTGGATCTCTTTGTGGAATTTTTTTTTCAATTTTAGAATATTGCATCTTCAATCTAGAAACATGAGGAACTACAGAAAAGCATATGAACACCGAAAACCTATAGGCCACTTATCCATTTTGATGTATTTTAGTCATCATTCTGTTTTTTTATTGCTGTTTATTAATTCAGTATATTTCCAAACAGCATCTATAATCTAAGTATTTTTTACTATTTTTAATTTTGTTCTCAGACTATATCTTCAGTTTTCCTTAAACTGTTTCATGTGGAAACTTGGTAAACAGGTAGTTACAAGTACTAATATATTATGACAGTTTTAAATCTATTGTAAAAATAAGTCCTCTCCTCTAAAAACATAATATTCAATAAGAGTCTGTTGTTATATGGTTAGCCTAGAATGAAGGTATTGGTTTTGTCAAAACCGGCATTCATGGGATTTGACTTTCATCCTGCATATCACCTCCTAATGCCTGCAGGATATGGAAGTCATCGGGAAGTGCAGGCACTCTGTCAGCAGAAAAATGGGAGATGGGTAACATAGGGAAGATGTCATTTTTACACACAATAAGCTACAAATCTAAAACATTTATTATGTCATTGATTATCCTATTGAAAAAAATTAAAAGGAAGCACCGAAGTCTCCAACAATAGGAAAATTCTTTGAGGATGTATTTACCCAATAGAATTTTATTCACTATTTATTTATTTATTTATTTATTATTATTTATTTATTATTATTTATTTATTTGATAGGGCTTGCTGTGTCGCCTGTGCTGGAGTGCAGTGGCATGATCCACTGCCCTCCAGGTTGGCTCACTGCAACCTCTGCCTCCCGGGCTCAAGTGATTCTCTCACCTCAGCCTCCTGGTCCCTGGTACCATAGGCGCCCACCACCACGCCCAACTAATTTTTGTATTTTTTGTAGAGATGGGTTTTCACCATGTTGTCCAGGCTGGTCTCAAACTCCTGGACTCAAGTGATCTGCCTGCCTCGACCACCAGAAGTTTTGGGATTACAGGAGTGAGCCATCATCCCCAGCCGCCAGTAGAATTTTATACAGGCAGTAAGAGTGAGAGTTGGGAGAACCGTGTAGCAACATGGATAGACTTAATGATAAGTGAAAAATCAGACCCAAGATATTATGTATTCTATGATTTTCCAACTCTGTCAAAATACCTGTGTATTTGAAAAAAAAAACAGAAAGAAAATACATGAAAATGATAGTTGTATGCAAGGTGGTGAGATTATAGATATTATTTCCTATATTTTGCACATTTTGGCAATATTGTATGCTTTTACACCTTGTGGCAAATGTCTGGGTTTGGTAAGATATAATGTCAAATTAGCATTAATACTTTATTTTTCTAATCATAACGCGAGTGATTTTTTTAAGCAAACATCACAAGTATTATATACATTCAAAATGACTGCTGACCCTTTGAAAGGAGTTGCCTGGTGTAGTATTGCCATTGCTTAGCATATTTTCTCAACTGCACTCTTGAAGAGTTTAAATTGAGTGGTTCTGGCAACAAAGATGGGAACTTTGGGGCTGGGGACTTCATTCAAGAGGAGAATAAGATTTTCCTGCATCAGGTGGGGTGCTCATGAGACATCCAGGTATTGATATCTTCAGATGCAGAATTTAACTAAGGTTAACTCTTGAGGTTTCTTGGACATGTTGTTTTCAAAAATAATGATAAAGGCATTCTCTTTCTACTATTTATTTTTCTTACCCCCTGCATCCCCCTATTTAGGTTTTCACTGGAATTTTCACAGCGGAAATGTTCCTGAAGCTCATAGCCATGGATCCCTACTATTATTTCCAAGAAGGTTGGAACATTTTTGACGGATTTATTGTCTCCCTCAGTTTAATGGAACTGAGTCTAGCAGACGTGGAGGGGCTTTCAGTGCTGCGATCTTTCCGATTGGTATTCCATATTTCTCCAATTTCTTTTAACATTTCCTATCTTGCAGCTACTAGAAAGAGTTCTGCATAAATTAATTTGATGATTTAAAAAATATATTAGCTGTATTTTACTCCCAATTCCAGTTATTTGGCTTAGCTACTAAAATACTAAAAACTTTCCTAAAATACCTGATATGGAAGTTAGTTGTTAAAAATCAATAAGCAAACAGAAATCAATTTTAAGAAGCTCTTTAGAAAATGCTGCTTAATCTAAGAGATGTCTAAGATGATAAGTGAAAAATAAGACCCAAGACAATAGATGAAGAAAATGAACTCCCCCAAGGCCCAGTGTGAGGTCTAATTTGGGTTTGCTAGTGAATCTATTTTTTTAAATCTGAACATCTCCTTGAAATGGCAAGAATTTCTCCTTGTTCAAAGATGACTTTCTTCATTTCTTCTGTCATGGTAGCCCTTCCAAAAAATGAGAATAAAATAAGGTTTTTAAATACAGATGGTTCCCAACTTATGATGGCTCAACTTATAATTTTTCCGCTTTACATTCTGCAAAAAAGCAGTGCACGTTCAGTAGAAACCATACTTTGAGTACCCATACAACCGTCCTGTTTTTCACTTTCAGTATAGTATTCAATAAATTACATGAGATATTCAATACTTTATTATAAAATGGGCTTTGTGTTAGATGATTTTGGCCAACTGTAGGCGAATGTAAGTGTTCAGAACATGTTTAAGGTAGGCTAGGCTAAGATGTGATGTTCAGTAGGTTACGTATATTAAATGCATTTTTACTTACAGCAGTTTCAACTTAAAATGGGTTTATTGGGACATAACCCCATCATAAGTCAAGGAGCATCTGTATTATATTGAAATTAGTTGTTGAACATTGGCTTTATTTTCTCTATCATTAGCTAAAAAGGAGTTTGTATTAATGTATTTGAAGAAGTTAGTGTTTAAGTTACTCTTAATGACTTAAAATGACTCTGAAAGAATAGTTAATGGTATCTTCAAAACAGCTGTCCGTAAACATAAGCGTAAGTGATATCTTGATTAACTCCTCGAGAAACTGAGTTATCCTGGGGGTATCCCACTCAGACAAAGGTCACTACTGCTTCCCTGGCATTAGAATTGGCTTGGGTTTTTCACTCCCTATTGGGAAGATAAGCACTTGGCAACTGAAAAGGTTTAAAGTTTCTTCATTGAGATATTCAGCAGTTCTAAGAAAGAACTGGAAAAAGTGAAACTATTTGTAAAACAGAGATTTCACTCAGTCAAAGTCACAAATAACTGCCAAATTTTTGAAACCTCTGTTTACTACTCTTTGGTTAGGATCCAGTCCACAGTGGACTTTTTTGAGAATAGTTATTACCTAGGTGACAAAAGAAAGGATTGAGAGTAGCCTTAGAACTTATATTCTTAATAAATTAAAAAGCCACTCTGTTGAAAACAATATGAGTGGCCCAGATGTCTGCATATAGGGTAACACCTGGTAAATATTGAACTCTCTGATAAGATAACTTTTCAATTAAAAAAAAGTTAAAATTGTGCTGTTGCCTTCTACCAAAATTCCTATTACATTCTATGTTAGTTATTTGTTAGCATATGACATCTAATGATGATCTCATAATTATAATTTTATTGGCCACACTGCCATAGCCTTTATGCGTTATAATTCTCAGGCTGGGCCAGGCACAGTGGCTTACACCTGTAATCCCAGCACTTCAGGAGGCCAAGGCGGGCGCATCACTTGAGGTCAGGAATTTGAGACCAGCTTGGCCAACATAGTGAAACCCCATCTCTACTAAAAATACAAAAATTAGCCGGGCATGGTGGTGCACGCCTGTAATCCCAGCTACCTGGGAGGCTGAGGCAGGAGAATCACTTGAACCCAGGAGGCGGAGGTTGTAGTGAGCCGAGATCACGTTGCTGCACACCAGCCTGGGCGGCAGAGTGAGACTCTGTCTCAAAAATAAATAAATAAATAAATAAAAAATAATTAACACTCTGTTAGCCAAGATCTTGTGATTATTTATTACAGAATATAGATATTTCATGATTGACAGGTACTAAAAGTTCTGTCCTCTGAATAACAGTATAGGCTCTTTTCTTTTTTTTTTTTTTCTTAGACATAGTCTCATTCTGCTGTCCAGGTTGAAGTGCAGTGGTGTGATCTCGGCTCACCTCAACCTCCACCTCCCAGATTCAAGTGATTGTCATGCCTCAGCCTCCCAAGTAGCTGGGATTACAGGCCTGCACCACCACACTTGGCTAATTTTTGTATTTTTTATTAGAGACGGCATTTCACCATGTTGGCCAGGCTGGTCTCGAACTCCTGGCCTCAAGTCATCTGCCTACCTCAGCCTCCCAAATGCTAGGATTACAGGCATGAGCCACTGCACCTGGCCAGTATAGGCTCTTTTCATAAGATGACTGATGTATGTGGAACTGCCCCTGTTTGAGAGTTGTGCTTTTCCTCCAAGTTATTCCAAGCATATCACAACGGTTTTTTTTTTAATCAGCCATTGATTATTTATTGGCAAGCAAAATAGGTATTTAGAATTTTTTAATGTTTGCTTTTTTAAGGAGATGGATTTTTTTTTAAACTGTCCTTCCCATACTAGTCTTTTGGTTTCCTACAAATCACATTTTATTTCACTTGTCCTGTGAGAAGTCAAGGGAAAATTAGTAGGAAAGGGATATGTTCATATGTGGGTTTTCAAAAAGCAGACTGACTCAGATCTAAAGTAAGGGACTAAGGCAGTATTCCTGGCTTCTAGTTACAATTTTTTCAGCTACTCTGAAATTAATCAGTTTTCCCTTATTTATGTCTCAGTTTCTCCCCATTTAGTCTGAGACACTGTTAGACAGTCCTGGGAATTTTCCAAGGGTGCTCAATATATTTAATCTGATCTTCCTAATTTTATGTTTTTATTTTAGCCATGTGGTGAGAAAATTGATTGAGTATCATTTATTTTTTTGTTTGGGTTTTTTTTTTCCTTAGCTCCGAGTCTTCAAATTGGCCAAATCCTGGCCCACCCTGAACATGCTAATCAAGATTATTGGAAATTCAGTGGGTGCCCTGGGCAACCTGACACTGGTGCTGGCCATTATTGTCTTCATCTTTGCCGTGGTGGGGATGCAACTCTTTGGAAAAAGCTACAAAGAGTGTGTCTGCAAGATCAACCAGGACTGTGAACTCCCTCGCTGGCATATGCATGACTTTTTCCATTCCTTCCTCATTGTCTTTCGAGTGTTGTGCGGGGAGTGGATTGAGACCATGTGGGACTGCATGGAAGTGGCAGGCCAGGCCATGTGCCTCATTGTCTTTATGATGGTCATGGTGATTGGCAACTTGGTGGTTAGTACTAATTTGTAGATATTTTTGTTCTACACCCTGAATATTCTACCCCTGGCCCAGAAGCCCAAGTCCTTCTACTGCTTAGTCCTTCTACTACCCGTCATGTTTGTTGATTTTTATTCTTTCTTGGCCCAGAAACCCTAAGGTACAAATGAAGGAGAGGAGAGAGATACTTACAGAGTGCCTACTTAGTCATGACCCCCACAACTTGTCAACCCTTTTCCTAGAGTTAGGAAAGCAAACTCAGCAAAATTAAGTGACTTTCCCAAATAAATATAGGGCTTGTATTTGAACCTAGACTTTAAAGTCTGTGCCCGTTCGCCTACAGAAGCCTTCCTTTTTCTTAACGACAATTTCTCATCTGTGGTGCTATTGACATCTTGGGCTGGATAATTCTTTGTTGTGGGCTGTCGTGTGCATTGTAGGGTTTAGCAGCGTCCCTCCTGGCCTCTACCCACTAGATGCCAGTAGCATCCTGAGAGCTGTGACAACCAAAAATGTCTGCAGACATTGCCAGATGTCCCTGGGGGGCAAAATTGCCCTCCATTGAGAGCCACTGCTCTAAACCATCTTAGAGTTTTATTTAATTTATATAAATGACAAATCACTTTATTGCTTTACTTTGATCTGTCCACCTGCTCTCTTCTACCTCTGTCTTTAGAAGAGTCACCAACAGATCTTAACACCTTGCTTCTTAAAGTGTGATCTGAGGACTAGCAGCAACAAGATCACTGGAGAGTGTGTTAGAAATGCAGAATTCTAGGCCCCAAATCAGAACTACTGAATCAGAATCTGCATTTTTAACAAGATCCTTGTGTGACTCAAAAGTACACTAAAGTTTGAGAAAGGACTATCTTACAGATCAGGCCCCTAATCCCACCTGCAAGTGTAGGGCAAAGAGGACTGGAAGAAGACAAGCTTATCTGTCCCTTAACATGCTCATCCACATTAGTTCTCTTCCTTTTTCTGCCACAGAGAAGCATGACAGTAAAAGGCTCCTACTCACCAGCCTCTGAACCAGCTACAACTATTCTGTTCTTCCATTTGACCTACAAAAAAAATAGCTACTGTAATGTTTAATTCTTCCTATTCTCCATTCCCAGCCACCTTTCCCTCAGTCCTAATCCCTCTAGTCTTCTCACTACTTCAGTGACTATAACAATGGCTTCCCGGTATGTAGCATGATCAACATTTTCAAGCCCTGACTTTGCCACCCTTTCTTCACTCTCCTGTTCTTATTTGTCTCAAAGACATCTCCCCATGGCTGTCTCCAGATACCTGAGCACTTGATAAATATCAGCTGTTACCACTACCCCCTGATGACACTTTTCAGGTTCCCCTTTGCTCAGTAGTCCTTCTGCCCATCTAGTTTCTAGGAACCTATAACTTTGGAGTATTTTCTGTCTCTTTTCTCTCCACTCCCAGCAAATATCTGATGTGTCTTAAATGCATCTTTCTTCATAGTATTTCTGTGGATATCTTTCTTCATAGTATCTAAGATCTGCCCCTTCCTTTGCATTTCTATAATTCATTCAGTACTTTATAAAAATGTGGTCTCAAGACCACCTGCATCATAATTACACAAGTTTCACTCACAAAAAAAGGCCAAGTCCCAGGCTGTATACCAAATCTACTGAATCCAAATATCTTTAGAGTAGGCTAAGGAAATATTTTTAACAAACATCCACACCCCTCACTCCCTGAGATTCTAATGCATGCTAAGATTTGGGATTTCTGTAGCCTAATCCAGACCCTTATCAATTCATGCATGTAACAGCCTCCTAACTTCTGCCCTTCCCCTCTGTATGTAGTTAGTCTGAATGACTCTTTCAAATCTCTGTCATCATCTGTGACTCCTTTACTCAAGAACCAGTAGTGGATCTAATTAAATAAAATTCAGATCCCTCAGCCTGGCCTTCAAAGCCCTCTCCAACTCACCCGCATTTTACCAACCATATTCCTTTTTAACTCTACAAATGGTGCAGATAATCCGAACACTTATAGTTCATTTATTGTTTCCACCCTCCCACTCTGCACATGACTGTTATCTCCTCCTAAAATGTATGCCTTACTCTTCTTCCCAAGTATGACAAAGTAAGGACCAAGTGTAAATCAAGAAGTGAGCACCTCTCCCACTCCTAAAAAGTAAGTCTTAATAAAAATAAATTAATTAACCTTAATGTTCAATGTAGTAAAATAGGAGATTAAAACAAAAATAAATAAAGCTTGTATCTGATGGCTTGACATTTGGCTATGCAAAAAAATATAAAAGTCACCATCACTGTCTTGCTAAAGCGATTTTATTTTTATAAATGTTAGGAAAACAAAATTTGTTCTTAAAATATGATGACATGAAGTGTATTTCAGTTCTACCTTCTTGGTTTTTTGTATGAAAGGATGGCACTTCAAGCCTCATTTTTTTTTCTGACGTGGGTCCTCTCAAACTCTGCTCATGAATATGTGGCATCTGTACACTTTGTGACCCTCCCCAGTAATGTATATTCACCTTTTTATTTTGGGGAAATGTCCTTCCAAAATGGATACAGCCTTTGTTTTTTCTGATTATAAGAGAAGTAATATATTTTCGGGTACATATATATGTATGTAAAACTATAAAAGACCCAAGAAAAGAGGTGCTAAACTCCTTGTATTACAACCAAAACCAAACACATTCCCACCTGGTAACATGAGCATTAAAATACTACGTGGGCCAAACACAACACAACAGAGCCTCTTTGAGTCTGTCACGTGAAGTCCATTGGCTTCCAGTTTGCAACCCTGAGTTCGATGGATAACTTTTCTGCATTTGTTCCTTTTTTCCAATGCTACTGGCATAGGTGCTGAACCTGTTTCTGGCCTTGCTCCTGAGCTCCTTCAGTGCAGACAACCTGGCTGCCACAGATGACGATGGGGAAATGAACAACCTCCAGATCTCAGTGATCCGTATCAAGAAGGGTGTGGCCTGGACCAAACTAAAGGTGCACGCCTTCATGCAGGCCCACTTTAAGCAGCGTGAGGCTGATGAGGTGAAGCCTCTGGATGAGTTGTATGAAAAGAAGGCCAACTGTATCGCCAATCACACCGGTGCAGACATCCACCGGAATGGTGACTTCCAGAAGAATGGCAATGGCACAACCAGCGGCATTGGCAGCAGCGTGGAGAAGTACATCATTGATGAGGACCACATGTCCTTCATCAACAACCCCAACTTGACTGTACGGGTACCCATTGCTGTGGGCGAGTCTGACTTTGAGAACCTCAACACAGAGGATGTTAGCAGCGAGTCGGATCCTGAAGGCAGCAAAGATGTAAGGTCCCAGCCTAGAAACAGCCTTGATCCTGTGTGAGAGCAAACAGGGTGCTGTCAGCCTTGGGGATTGGTTCAGCTATGGGCTTGGTAGAGAGATTCTGGAATAACCAATTTACTTGGAGAACTAATTCCACCATCCCAGTATCATTCTAGGCCTTTCCTAAATGAGGTGGAATCCTAAGATGATCCTGGACCCACCTGTGTCACTTCTGGATCATCTGGGTCAGAGGCTGGGATAAGCCCTCGAGTACTTCCCTGCCATTCATCTGAGTTATAGCCCTGAAACCAACCTATAGCCGCATTTAGCTTTGGGTGGGTCATTGCCGTCCGTGAGTAGGTTTTGATGTTATATCCCATCTGGACAGAAGTTTTGGGGGCCCGTGGATATGGTTTGCTTATCGCGAGTTGTAGTAAGAATTCTAGAGAGGAGTCAGAGCTGGCCCCTCATCCCCACCAGAGGCAGAGTTCTCAGTGTGGAGTGGGCATGTTGCCTCAGAGCTGCCTGATCTCCCTTTTCCTTGCGTGTCTAGAAACTAGATGACACCAGCTCCTCTGAAGGAAGCACCATTGATATCAAACCAGAAGTAGAAGAGGTCCCTGTGGAACAGCCTGAGGAATACTTGGATCCAGATGCCTGCTTCACAGAAGGTGAAAGGGGATGAGGAGCGGATGGGCTGGGGACACTCGTGTTGCTCACAGACACAGTTGTGCCAGGGCTAGTGGTGGGTGAGGGGCAGCTCAGTGGCTATCTTCAAGAACTTTGCTCCCCACCCCACCATTTTGAAGGAAACTTAGATTGTTTCCCCTATTTGTATCTGACAAGTATATAACAAGTTTCTATTCTCACACTTTTCATCATCCATTTTCTCTTGGCATCAGCCCAAAAATTTCCATTAGAATGTCCTGTTCTGTCATGGCTGTGCCTGCCTCCTGACTACCCTTTTCTCCTCCCTCTCACTGCTTCTTTGTAGGACATCTTCTTGACTCCTGAGGGCCTTGCCCCATTAGCCTTTGCAGCATAGCCCCAGCCCTGCCACCCTCTCCATTTCTGAATCAGACATTCTGATTCAGCCACTGTCCTCCTGGCTGTGTGGTGGGGCAGCACCTGGCAGGGCCTGGGAGATGGAGGAGAGGGCAGGTCTGGGCGGGGCACGTTTCCACGGTCTGACCCGCCTCTCCCGCTGGTGCCAGGTTGTGTCCAGCGGTTCAAGTGCTGCCAGGTCAACATCGAGGAAGGGCTAGGCAAGTCTTGGTGGATCCTGCGGAAAACCTGCTTCCTCATCGTGGAGCACAACTGGTTTGAGACCTTCATCATCTTCATGATTCTGCTGAGCAGTGGCGCCCTGGTGAGGTCCAGGGGAGAGTGTGAGGAGGGATTGGCTGGGGAAGGGTGTAGAGAAGCCAGTGGGAAAAGGCTGAGGCCAAAGCCCAGTGGCTCTGAAAACAGATTGGCTGTGGTCCCAAGAAGAATGATCTGTTAAAGTGCTTTAGGCTGCTGCTTTGAGCCTGTGGGATTAGAATCCATACTTGTTCACATTGTGATCCTCTTAGCACTGTCCCTCTCATGTGTCCCCACTGCCTGGTTTACCCCATCCTTAGCAGCCCCTAAAATGAACTTCCCTCTCTTACCTAATACCCCAGATCTCTTGTTCTTTGCTTTTCAGTTACCCAGGATGGGAGGGAGGTGTTATTCCTCCACTTACTGTCCCTTCACAGCCTACTGGATTTAGAGAACCCATGGCATTAGCAAATGTTTAGAGTCAGATCTCTGGTACAAAGGTTATTTATATTCACATTGTCCTAAGTGCTTATTAATCAGTGAAACATACAAGGCCCTGAACACACAGGCTCCTCCACTGCTGAGACTAATTATCTTGGCATTTGCTTTTATTTTTAGCTGGGTTATAACTGAGGAGACCTGGACAGGGTGTGGTGTGAGGGAGTTGCTTGCTGGTTGAATAGTTTTGAGGACTGCCGGGACTAGAGACAGTACACACTTTCCTTAAGGGAAAGGTGAAGAATGCATAATGTTGAAGTATATTTAAAGAAGGTGGGCACATTCATGTAGGTGTGGAATCAAAGCTTAATCTGGAAGCAAAAAAAAAAACATAGCAAGGGAGAAACCCCAAATTCAGTGTTAAAGATTTTGACAGTGACTTGGGAAGTTTCACTGACTTGTGAGGCAGGAGAATAAGAAAAGCTGAGAGAGGCAGCAGTGTGTATTAAAGACAAGCCCAAGGGTGAAGAAGACAGCTTTCATGAAAAGAGGACCATGGGAAGTAAGGGGAAGGTTTACACAGGAAGGTGTCAGGATTAAAGTAGGAGGCAAAAAAGATGGCTTGGTAGCCACTGATCTGAGTGAAGGGGAGCCAGACCACCCCGCCTGCCCCTGGGCCACTTGTTGCATCAACGAGCATTCACACAACACTTCCTGAGGTGCCGCAGAGGCACCCAAAATGACAGCATGGTCTCTGCCCTTAAGAAAAGAGAGGATCAGACTAAGCCGAGTGATTGGAGAAAGGCGTTTTATTATTGCTGTCATTGTTATTCTTCAAATCTAGTGAACAAAAATCTAAACAGTATGACCCATCATTTGGCTCTTCTCTTTCCCATCTCTACAAAAAAGAATAAAGCAGTAGTGAACTAAAGGTTTTGAACTTTCTTTACTGCTCACCTTTGACAGTTTTTATTTGTCTTAATGATTAAGCAAAGGATATTTGGTTCAGTACCTGCAGACCCTGTGCAACAGTAGGCATGAGATTTAAGAATAACAAAGTGGCCCGGTCCAGTGGCTCACGCCTTAATCCCAGCACTGTGGGAGGCCAAGACGTGCGGATCACCTGAGGTTGGGAGTTCGAGACCAGCCTGACCGATATGGAGAAACCACGTCTCTAGTAAAAATACAAAATTAGCCGGGCATGGTGGTGCATGCCTGTAATCCCAGCTACTCAGGAGGCTGAGGCAGGAGAATTGCTTGAACCTGGGAGGCGGAGGTTGCAGTGTGCCGAGATTGCACCATTGCACTCCAGCCTGGGCAACAAGAGCGAAACTCCATCTCAAAAAAAAAAAAAAATAACAAAATGAAGCCACAGCTAAAATGTCCAAGAAGAAACTAGAACGTGGTTACAATGGGACTAAAGAGGGTGGGGATTAGGGCCCTCAGTGACATGAGATCAGTCTTGGGCATCTCACATACCTTGGATTATAGAAGGGATTTCCAACAGATGGGGTTAAGGGGAAACCTGACATGGAAGCTGTTGCCTTTTTGATTGAGCAAAGGGGATTTATTTGCACCGAGACCCTGAGTAGGACTGTGGAACCCATGACCCCTGTCCCCCCCACTGCCTGTTGATGAAAGTGGAGCCGGGCACGGTAGCTCACACCTGTAATCCCAGCACTTTGGGAGGCTGAGGCGGGCGAATCACGAAGTCAGGAGATTGAGACCATCCTGGCTAACACGGTGAAACCCCATCTCTACTAAAAATACAAAAAAAATTAACCGGGCATGGTGTCTCACACCTGTAATCCCAGCACTTTGGGAGGCTGAGGCGGGCGAATCACGAGGTCAGGAGATTGAGACCATCCCAGCTAACACAGTGAAACCCCATCTCTACTGAAAATACAAAAAAATTAGCCGGGTGTGGTGGCATGTGCCTGTAGTCCCAGCTACTCGGAAGGCTGAGGCAGGAGAATGGCATGAACCCGGGAGGTGGAGGTTGCAGTGAGCTGAGATCGCACCACTGCACTCCATCCTGGGCAACTGAGCGAGACTCCGTCTCCAAAAAAAAAAAAAGAGAGAAAGTGGAGCACCTGATATCCATGTGCCTCCATTTTGGAAGGTGACGCTGCAGACAACCCAATTCTATTCTTCTGGAGCTGTTCAGAGCAAGCACTTCCCATTGTATCACAGAGGACTTCCTCCCCACCTCCACAGGTTGTCCTATGCTTTAGCAATTCCCTCCTCTTGGCACCATACCTGTATAGTCCACCACTCTGCAGATGGGAATGCTCACACCACCATATAAGGGATTATCCCATTCATGAATGCCAAAGAAATAAAATAGTGATAAGATTTTCTTCACCTGAGTATCTCCCACCTGTATGACCCTCCACCCATACTGTGGTGTCAAGGAACTAAAAGGAGGAAAGATTTTGTCATTTCTTTTATATATAGTATTGGTGAGGATGTGGAGAAATTGGAACACTCATATGCTTCTGGTAGGAATGTGAAATGATGCAACCACTTTGGAAAACAGTTTGGCAGTTCCTCAAAAAATTAAACAGTTACCATATGACTCAGCAATTCCATTCCTGGGCATATGCCCTAGAGAATGAAAGCATGTCTACCTAAAAACCCATACACAGATGTTCACAGCAGCATTGTTCACAATAGAAACAATACACATGTCCATCAACTGATGAAGGATAAACAGAATGTGGTATATCCATATATTGGACTATTACTCAGCCGTAAGAAGGAAAATCTAGAGAGAGAAAGTAGGTGAGTGGCTGCCTAGGGCTAGGGGGTTGGGGGTTTAGGGGGTGATAGCTAAAGGGTGTGGGGGTTCTTTTGGAGGTAATGAAAATGTTCTAAAATTGATTGTGGTGATGGATGCACAACTCTGAATATACTAAAAGCCATTTTAAATGGCTGAATTTTATGATGTGTGGATTGTATCTCAATAAACCTATTAAAACATAAAAAGCCTGTGTAGTCGGGGAGTAAAGCGAAGGAGACAGGGAGCTGATGACAGGCCAGCCCATGTGGGACGGCTCCCTGAGGATAGCAGTGCTCCCTGTGGCCTGCTTGCCTTTAGGCACTGTCATAGGCAGCTGCTGCCTCTCTTTTAGGCCTTCGAGGACATCTACATTGAGCAGAGAAAGACCATCCGCACCATCCTGGAATATGCTGACAAAGTCTTCACCTATATCTTCATCCTGGAGATGTTGCTCAAGTGGACAGCCTATGGCTTCGTCAAGTTCTTCACCAATGCCTGGTGTTGGCTGGACTTCCTCATTGTGGCTGTAGGTGTCTTGCTTTCTGTTTCCCACCCCTTCCAGCAGGAACACAGAAACAGGGGTCTCTCTTTTTCTAATGGCAGTAGCTGCCCTGGGCCCAGGTTATAGATCAAGATGTAGATGTAGGTGTGGGTAAAGTTCCTTTCATAGCACTGAGATCTTCATATTAGGAAGGGGAACTCTGAAGTCCCTGCATTTGCTCCAGGGGGACTAACCAACCAACTCTTTAGTCTGGTGGGTTTGGCTTAACTTAGATTCAGAGATTAGGAGAAGTGGAATCACTGGTCTCAAAGGCCCTTGTTATTAGGCTGGGGACAGGAAAGTTCTTGCCCCAGGCCAGCAGGATGTCTTCTTTTTGTGGCTGGGAGAAGGGGTGAGAGAATGAGATGGGGGCTGTTGGGACGAAGGTGGTAGTGGGATCTGTGGTCTCTCCTGCTGACCATTCCCATGAACACTTCCATCCAACTCAAGTCTTGATACCGGACTCATCCAAACAAGTCAGTTTATTAGGTGAGGGGAGTTCATACTGAAATAAAATACCCCCTTCTTCCCACACGTTGCCATTCTACAGTGATCATGAAACTTGAGAAATCCTTTTTTCCTCCAGGTTCCAAGACTATCTCCGAGGTTTGCTGGCCATGACCTCCTGTGTTTTTTCCAGGTTGGAAGTGACATCCTCTCTTTCTCACCCCACCATCACTTGTCCCTTGTCAGCTTTACTAAGGATGATGACTGGTCTCTTATTCTATGTAATAACTAAAGCTTCTTTCTTTCAGCCAAGTCAGCATTTTAAAGAAAGGATGAATGGGATTTGTAGGACCAGGGCCTGTGGAAAATTTACTTCCTTCTGAGGGCTGTTAAGTGCCAAGAAAGTAGAACGGTGGAGACTAGACTGGTCATGTAGAATGCAGGTTTCATTGGCTGCATGGTGAACTACCTGTAGAGTACCTCTGGGATCCAGGATAGAGCAGCATAGAAATCTCTCTGATGGCAAGTGCCCAATACTGAGCCATGATTTCTGCTCTATAAATGGATTTCTTTTCCAATACATTGTCTGCAATTTCCATGGTTAATGACCCCCTTCCCAGAACTGTCACTGTGCCCTCAGTTGCATCCCCATTTCAAAAAGCCAGCCTTTGGGAAATGCCTAAATGAGGTGAGGACCCCAGCCCTAGAGGGTACCAACGTGAGACCCTCGCAGCGAGAGATGTTAGCATCCCTCCAGCAACTGTTGATACCATCCTGTGGTGGAAGGACCTGTACCCCCCACAGACAGAAAGCTGGAGCTCTAAGACTTAAAGAATGGGATTGAGATAAGACCCAGAGAGCCAAAGTGAGACTGGGCCAGTTCTCTTTCTGGAGAAAGGGCAAGTGCCATAGAGTCTTCATTTCACAATAGCTCCTCAGGACTACCTGGCGTCAGGTGGGACACCTGAACTCAAACTGGTACTCCCAGCTGCCTGGGGAGGCTGTGATTTGAAACAGAGCTTCCCCACCATGACCTACCCTCACCAGAACACGTTCTTCTCTTTTCCCTAGGGTGAGCTACCCAGAATTTGAGGATATTGATCAGGTATCCCACATGCCCCTGCTAAACAAATAAGCTGCTAAAGCACTAACAGTCCTACACATTAGCATTTATTTATTTTTTGAGATGAGGTCTTACTCTGTCACCCAGCCTCAAGTGCAGTGGCGCCATCTCTGCTCACTGCAGCCTCTGCCTCCTGGGCTCACACGATCCTTGCACCTCAGCCTCCCGAGTAGCTGGGGCTGCAGGCACACACCACCATGCCTGGCTAATTTTTGTATCTTGGGTAGAGATGGAGTTTCACCATGTTGCCCAGGCTGGTCTGGAACTCCTTGGCCTCCCAAAGTGTTGGGTTTATAGACATGAGCCACTGTGCCAAGCCAGCATTTATTTCACAAACTTTTTTTATGGCTATACGCAAGGTGGAAGGGGGTAAAGAGCATAGGACAGGCATGCAGCCAACTGACACTAATTCATAAGCTCCTCTAGCTTTTGGGGGTTGCTTGATCATTACATTACTGTGGTGCCCAACTGGCTCCTGTGAAGACCTCTGTGCCAGTTATTAGTAAATAATATAGTTGAATGCCATTATCTGTGTAGAATTGCTCCAGAAGCAATAAGGAGAAACAGAGGTTATCCTTGTTGCAAGCATGTTCCCAGCCCCTGGGGAGCTTACACTAGCTTCCATAGCAACTATGTCCTGACTCCAGGCTTGTGCTAGGTGGGGGGACATTCCCAGGCCATCACAGTGGCTCCAATCGCTGCCGCTTTTGAATTGTGGATGAACAATTAGTCTTGGACTGTCACCTGAACAGTTGGAACTGCTGGACTTTTTGGTGTCCATTTGAGTAAAGTGTCTGATTTCTTTGGCATTTTAGAACATCCAGAAGGTTAGGTCCTAACTTAGCACCATCCACTGGTGACTTGATGTCTGAGTCTGTTACTCATCGCATTTGTTTCCCTAATTGATTTTCATTCTTCCTTGTTGCCTCTTAAAGCTGTGAGTACTTTTCAGAGTCATGGGATTATCCAGATGACTTCCAAGGTTAATTCCTTTTATTTATAATCCATATGAGTTCCCAAACAAGGAAAACATTCTGTTTTGCTCAGGTCCTTGGCTGCATTGGAGATTGTGTCCTGTAAAAGAATTTTGGCATCTTTTCCCCAGGACATTTATCCCACTGTATGTGGAGATCAGCAAGCCTGTCAGTTCTGGAGGTGGGGACTTGCAGAGACTACTTGCCTTGGCCTGAATTCAGACTGCTGAAAACATTCCCCGTTTGAAAATATTCACATCATTTTGGAAAAATCACCTAATGTCTTTCCCCCTTTTTTTCCAGCCTGCAACCATAGATGCCCTGAATTTATTTTTTTTTTCATTTTTAAAATTTTTTTAGGTAGGTCTCACCCTGCTGCCCAGGCTGGAGTGCAGTGGCACAATCATGGCTCACTGCAGCCTCCAAGTCCTGGGCTCAAGCAGCCTTCTCACCTCAGCCTCCTGAGTAGCTGGGACTACAGACACGTGCCAAGGCGCCCAGCTTGATGCCCTGAATTTGATGTCTCCTCAATTCCTTTTTTTTGTTGTTTGTTTGTTTGTTTTAGGTTTGATTCTTTCCTTAAAGAATACTTTAAGCAATGTTAGGATTATCTCCAGGAGGGGCTTAACAGAGACTCAGAGGATTATAAGAGAGCCCTCAACTACTAAAGAATAACCCAGATAAGACCCTTATTGATCCTGTCCTGGGCCAGATTAATCAGCTGAGTAACAGCTTATCTCCCAGCAACGTTTAGAGCCAGCCACTGAATTGGCCTTTAGACCTCCTCCTTCATTCTCCACACTGTGGGCCTATTTGTTATCAGATAAGTCACCCACCCTGAAGAGCTGGGATCTTCTTACCTTATATGGTGCCTATAGCCACTCAAAGCTTAGTTTCTTGCAATCTTTACCTGACAAAGTTTCGTAAGATGAAGCTGACCCAGGGGACTGTTGAGTCCAGGTACTTGGTTGAGAAAGAATAGCTTCCCTTCAGATATACTTATTAAGGCCTCATGAAGAATCTGGCAACTTTCAATTCTTTTGGAGTTAAGAGTTGGCTGCACTTGGCAATAATAGGGAAGTAGATACCTCCATATAAATTCTTATTGATAATGATGGATAGATGGAGAGAAAGGGATTAGTTGGTGCTACTATGTTCTAGATAGGGCTTTTGTGGACCATAGTTTAGGCAGACATTGAACTCTGGACCATCTGCCTTTTCATGAAAATTAGGGTAGCCTAATAGGGCAACATTTACTTCCGGATTTGCTTTGGACATTGCCCAGGGCTTCAGAGAAGATAACTACACTGGTGGATTATGAGCACATGCATAGATCAAGGTCCATATCCCTTTTTATTTTATTTATTTATTTATTTATTTGAGATGGAGTTTCTCTCTTTTTGTCCACGTTGGAGTGCAATGGCACCATCTCCGCTCACTGCAACCTCTGCCTCCTGGGTTCAAGCAATTCTCCTGCCTCAGCCTTCCAAGCAGCTGGGATTACAGGCATGCACCACCACGCCCAGCTAATTTATTTTTGTATTTTTAGTAGAGACGGGGTTTCACCATGTTGGCCAGGCTGGTCTCGAACTTCTGACCTCAGGTGATCCACCCACCTCGGCCACAACACCTGGCCATACCTGTTTTTAAATCGAAACCTTTAAACCTGCTCATCCTGACCCTTGCTAGGTCATACACCTTCCGCTTCTACCCCCTGCCAGTCATGCTGCTTAATTATAAATGTCTTCATTTTTTTAAAAATTGTGTGTGTGCAATTCACAGACACAGGATCAAAGAATTAAAGCCCTAGGATAGAGATAAAAAGCAGCAAATGAAACTAATTTGTAGATTGTTTCTTTTTTTTTCCTCTCTAAATTTTCTTTAAAATATCATCAATTTAAGTAAGCTAAGCTGATATGCAACCACCACTTCCCAGTAGGAAGAATTTAAGAGCTGTTGATGGAAATATCTTAACCTATCCTAGAATTTGTGTTGTAAGAAACCCAGAACCCAGCCAGGCATGGTGGCTCAAGCCTGTAATCCCAGCACTTTGGGAGGCCAAGGCAGGCGAATCACCTGAGGTCAGGAGTTTGAGACCAGCCTGGACAACACAGTGAAACCCCATCTCTACTAAAAATACAAAATTAGCCGGGCATGGTGGCACATGCCTGTAATCCAAGCTACTCACCCAGGAGGCTAAGGCAGGGAGAATTGCTTGAACCCAGGAGGTGGAAGTTGCAGTGAGCCAAGATTGTGCCATTGCACTCCAGCCTGAGCGACAGAGTGAGACTTTGTCTCAAAAAAAAAAAAAAAAAATAGAAACCCAGACCCCAAACATTCTGGAGTTTGACTAACTAAAGGTATTTTTAGGTCTGCTCTCCCCTGAAAAATTCTGTAACTCTCAGCTCAGGCCCAGGAAGGCATAAATGTAGTTAGCATGGTGTTGAGAAAGCATCGTGGTAACTGCTCTGAGAGCTCTGGTAGAACAAGGTAAGTTTGCCTCTGGCAGAGCAGGAAAGTGTTTGACCATACGTCTAAGCCTGGAGGTCTGCAGGCTTCTTCCCCCTGGTACGGCAACATATTCAACTCTGGATTGTCCAGATAGTCCTGTTGGAATGTTGTTGTGTAACCTGCCCACTGGGGACGTGACCTGTCTGTGGAAGAAAAAGCATTGGCCTGGGAGTCAGGCAGTGGAGGTCTTTAATCTTGGCTGCAGAACTGCCAGTGTAACCCTGGGCAAATTCTTGTGTACGGGTCTCAATTTCCTCATCTATCAAATTTTGTTTTCCAATAATTCTTCCAACTGTTATTCTAATGATAAAAGTTATAGAAGATTGACATGGAAATGACAGACCTGAGGATAATTCATTTTGGACTGTTCTGGAAGGAAAGAATGAGAATTATAAGGAAAAGTGTGGATTCAGTTGTCCAGACTCACCCAAGTTCTTGTGGCCATGGAGGGGTCCTGGTTGTAGTTAAAAGTCAGAAGGTTATTTTAGTTAAAAGTGAGAGATAGAAGGATGTATTTAAAAGATAGAGATAGAACTCACTTAAGCGAGTTCTCATGGAGCCACAGTTCTTGGGAACTGCAAGTCAGCCATGGTACTTATTGAACGTTTTCATTGTTGTTAATGTCGTGACGCATCAGATTCTCAAACAAATGGTTTTTTGTCAACCAGGAGTAAAAGAGCTTGTCCCTCTTGGAAAGCCAATGGTGAATGAGCTGAGGAGGGGGCAGCTTGTGTGGAGTATGTGTATTTATCTGTATTCTTTTCCATAGGTACCATTAAATTTGTCTGGCTTAATTTAATGGGGACTTCTGGGACCTGCAGAGACTGTAAAGGGCGAGGGTAAGGCTCTTGTCGTCTGTTCAGGCTCCTCTCCTTCCAGTGGAACTTCCTCACTCTCTCCCTCTCCTGTCAGCCTCTCCCCTTTTCCAACTTGTGTGTATGTTCTACCGCCTTCTCGATTTTCTCTTCCCTGTTGTTTTTTCTTCTGCCTCTCAACCACCTTTCCTTCCAGGTCATTTGAGTCAAGTTGAAATAGGCAGCTGGTGTTACCCACTTCCTCTACCTGGGGGGCCCAATCTGTGTCTGCAGTGCTAGGGGCTTTATTCTAACACTCTGGAACCTCTGTTTTCTTTCTTTTTTTTTTTTTTTTTTTTTTTTTTTTTTTTTTTTTTTGGTTACCTTTTTTGTTTTTGTTTTTCTCTTCTGTTTCTGTGTAGGTCTCTTTAGTCAGCCTTATAGCTAATGCCCTGGGCTACTCGGAACTAGGTGCCATAAAGTCCCTTAGGACCCTAAGAGCTTTGAGACCCTTAAGAGCCTTATCACGATTTGAAGGGATGAGGGTAAGATACTAAGAGCAGCTGATCCTTCTGCATGCCAGTGGAAACTGTTTAAGCATGCTAGAACTGATCACATGGTGGAAAGATCATTCAAACACGAATTCTGTGATGCAGCTGCTGATTTGATCCTCCACTCTCTCCCCCACACCTGCCCCGTGCAAAGGGGAATTGCGTTAAGCTGCCTCATCACATTAATATTGGCCCCACCCCCAACAACATGCCATCGCAGAACATGTTAACATTGGCTATTCTCATTTGGCCTGGCTTACCTGTAGCACTCGGGGCGGCTTTCTGGGCTGTTGATTTAATAGGGAGAATCACCAGGTGCAAAGAAGGGGAATTGTAACCCACAGACCCACTGAAAAGCACAAGCTTCAGGCAGGGAGAGTGCTGTGTAGGGGCATCAGCCAGGTGGGGACTGTGGCCTTGGGGTCACTGAGAAAGCAGCTGAGAATGGGCTTGAAGATATGACGGCAGGCCTGGAATTGGGGATGGAGCAGAATTTGGCATGGCCCTGGGAGAAGAAATGCTTTTCTTTCTATTCAGATTCCTCTTATTGCACCTTGTTGTTCTCAGCCCAGTCCCAAATGGACTGGCAGCCTCTGTCTGATAGCAAAGCTTTTTTCCTCACCCCCAACCCCTCTGCCCATGCTGTATGGTCCCCTAACACTGTCAAAATGACAACCAGGTATGATGCTAGATGACTGAATATCAGCTAGTTCTCCTGAAATTTCTTGATACCTCCTATTCCTGCTTTGGTGATACTCCACCCAAAACAATACAAGGTGTTGTCACCCTACCAACTTAGAAACAAGGTGCCTTCTTGGTGCCATTTTCTTGTCTCTTTTGGTTTAAACAATTGTGCGTGTGCGTGCGTGCACGCGCACGCACGCGCACACACACACACTAAAAAGTCAATTTCTTAAAATCAAAGGGGCAACTGGCTTTGGTGGTAATAGTTGTCCTGTGGTGATCAGAGAGAGGTCTGTTATACTTAACGAGACCAAGAAAACTCGCTTCAATTCAGATGTTGAATACATGCAGGAGAGCAAACCAGAGGATATATTTTTAAATGTGCAAACGTCAGAATGTAAGAATAAAAATTAAACTGTTACGATAGTCTACGTGAAGCAAGACCGATTGGAAAAACTAGATACCAGGACAGTGCTGCTACGTTCATTCCTCATCTGTGATCCCTGGCTGTTACTCCGTGAAGCCACCCACAGTTGTATAGGAAGATGAAAACTTAATTGGGACTTGGGAATTTTATTATGTTAATTTATCCAGACAAATGCTTTTTGCAACAAATTCATGTTTCTTCTGTAGCACAGTCACAGTTTGGTGTACTAAATGTAAGCTTTCTGCAACTCTCCTGAAACCATCTGCAGGAAGGGCAGTTCCACAGTAGTGTAAATTTATTTTAATTTTTCAAAAAACTTGGGATTTTAAGACTTTGTCCCACAGATAAGAGAGGTTTTAGAATGTGCGCAATAAGGTCATTGCTATGCTCAGGCTAAATTTAGGAAGAGAGTTTATTACACAAGATTCAGTGGTTTAGACAGCCACGGTGAGATTGAAAATGTGGTTAAAATGTTCTTCTCTGCTCCCTGCACCTTTGCATGTTTTCCAGAGGGAGCTAATAAAATGTTTTAATAAACTATACTGGTTTTGTTATAAAGTTGATAATCCACTTTGGTGACTGAAAAACTGAGGACAAGATGCAACCAAAAAAGTCCACTGAAGACAGTACTTGTCCTGAGCTCCTCCGCATCCCCTTACGGTGATCCCTGATCTTCCAAAAAGAGATTGGTAATACCTGAAGAAATCCCCCCATCCCCCTACAAAAGAAATGCCCATCTGACCCATCTGACGCTTGTTACTAACTATTTCCATCTAGATGCTCATTACTGTCACTCCTGTCCAGGCAGACAGAAGCAGTCCTCATGGCCGCTGAGGCCAGTTTGCTCATGAGGCAGTTATTTGAATAACCTGGATGCAGGAGCCGTTTTGGGAGCCACACCTCTTCCCTTTAGCTGCCCCTTCTTTCTGTACCTTTCCTGGACCCTCAGTTTCCAGTCCCCTAAAAACTTTCATTTGTCAACTTGAAAGTAGTTTAGGAGCTTGGAGGTCCCGAATGAATAATCAAAACAGTAGATAATTTTATTTGAAAAGCATTACGATGTTTTATTTGAAAAGCGTCTACATCAAGATTTTTTTCGGTAAGATAATATGGTCAAGAACAAGTTTGAACCCAAAGCTGGAATTTAAAACAATAAATGCATTAAGGGAAGCTTTGGAATAAGAGTGCCACCTCATTTGATTGACTCCAGCCAACTAACAGACAGTATTGACCATGGCTGGTTGGACAGGTGAAAAGGGATCAGGGATCCATTCCTGCCCTGTGGGTTTCCTAGCCCTTCTGTGGGAGAGTAACTGCAAGAAGAAAAGATTGGATTTGGCTAAGCGTATAGTAAGTCCCCCAGTAATAAACAGAATTAGGTACACATGTTTTATTTAAATGTTGTTTTTCTATGGGGCATTTTTTTTTTATTCTTTGGTTTTGGTTCTTCTATATGCCAACACTTGAGAGATTACCTTTAGAATATTTTAAATAAGAAATCTTCATAAACTGAACACCATCCATGCAGATGGGCTCAACTGTCACTGTGCTGCTCCAATTACAGACTCAGAGCTTCGCTTGAGAGGGAGCATATGACCCAAGCCTGTCCTGGGGCACTGACTTCAGTCTCCTCTTCTTCCTCAAACCAAAGACCAGGAAAACTGAAGCACTTGTGCTATAGGCAAAGGAATACTTAATGTAGTTCTTTGCTTTTCTCTCCTCCATAGTAATCTTCATTTAAAGATTTCGCTGTGCTGTTAAATTTTTGAGGGTATATAATATTAGTGCCATGAAACATGCATGCATTTTTGTTGATTGTCAGTACATAGTTGTCCATTAAAGCCATGTTCCCTCTGCCAGATATTAAAAGCCAGCTGACAGATTTTATAGTATTTATTGAGCAACAATAATGTCCGAGACATTATAGAGAAGACAAAAATACTGTAAGAATTAATATCCATTGGAATTTTCTCATCAATTAAATGGGATTTGTATCAATTGCCAAGTATAAACTTCCATTGATAAAAGTAACTTTTTATAGATTACTAAAACCTAGCTTTGAGTGATATTTCCATGTCTAGTTCTTAACAATAATAGATTTCATGATAATTAAAGGCAATGTAGAGTAACTAGAGAACTTGAGAAGAGAGGATCAAATTCATTAAGTGACTACCAGTGGAAATTTGAATTATCATTTATAATATATCTTTAGTGTGAGAGTTCAAAATAAGAAATATGATCTCTTGCCCAGTGGTTGCTGAGAATAACAGCACAATGATCATTACATATGGAGCACAGTTAAATAGTTTCTGCTTAACATATTGCAGCTTATCAGCTAATGTTCAAAGCAAGGAAGAATTATTAGTACGTTTAATCAACTCTGGGCTGGGCATGGTGTCTTATGCCTGTAATCCCAGAACTTTTGGAGGCCGGGATGGGTGGATCACTTTGAGGTCAGGAGTTTGAGACCAACCTGGCCAACATGGCAGAACTCCACCTCTACTAAAAATACAAAAATTAGCTGGGCACGGTAGCACGCACCTGTAGTCCCAGTTACTCGGGAGGCTGAGGCAGGAGAATCGCTTGAACCTGAGAAGGGCCTCCCCTTCTCAGTGAGCCAAGATTGCACCACTGCACTCCAGCCTGGTCGACAGAGTGAGACCCTTTCTCAAAAAAAGTAAATAAAAAGTTTTCCTCTGGTTATGATTAAAGTACATTTGCATCTTATAAAACTTTGGATTTTATAGGATTTTATATCATATCAGAGAAAAAGGCTCTGAATATTTTTGTATATTGATTCATTTGATCAAATGGATCAATATGTAAAATTTTCTATATACTTTATGAGAATAAAAGTTCAAAGAGATCACGTTAATGTTTCTTCCCTATGGTAAATATTAACCCATATTTAACTGTAACCCATAGTATGTGGGACAGGTTAGACTGGGTTTGAGTAGAAGCATAGTCAGAAGAGTTCCTGGAGGAAGTAGGTTCTGAATTGAGATTAAAAAGCAGCATGCCTTGGTTTCAAGTCTTTGGGGCCTACTTCCTGTGCCACATTTGTAATGGTCTAACAGAAAGTCACGATCTCCCACCTAAGGTCTGCTGTGAAATGCTGTCACATAGACTTGAGCTTTTGAATCTTTACCTAATCTACTCCCGTATTGTTTGAGAAATTATTTTTCCATTTGTGGATCATCCTCCTTTTGCCTGTTCTTTTGCACATTTCATTGCTTTTTGGTGCTCCCGCCAAAGGGTGAGCAACTGTAGAATGAGGAGGTAAATTCAAATCTGGGTACATGACAAATTTGGTAACATAAATAAATATGAATATCATTCTCCAAAAAAAGTGAAGATTTTCCAGATTTCAGATATCCTGGCTTTCCTTGCTCAACTTAATAAACAAAGTAATAAACACTTTAATGACAGAGCTGTCAGATCTAGAAGAGATTTCTTGGTCTAAGAATTAAGAAATAACTGCCTCTCAGTCTAAAGGCCCTAATATATGAATTGGAGAAACACAAAATGAATATTTTAATCTAAAAGGAAGAGTGACTCCTTAGCAGAAGAATATCATTGCATTTTTTACACAAGATAGAACAGGTAGCTCTGATCAGCCACATGTCCTGATGAGTGACAATGCAGTCTAAGGCAAAACCAGAAGATAAGGAAACCCTAAACTCTAAATTGTGTGCTGCTCTGACTGATACTGTAAAGCAAAATCAAAGTTGAAAACAACCCAGAAACTTTGATTCCTAAGGGGTTTTTTTCTTTTGCTTTTTTTTTATTCCTGAGCTTACTGTAGTCAGTGACTTTTTAACAATATGCCAATTTTTTTAGTTTCAAGAGCAGTAATGATCTAACCCAAAACTCTCTTAAAAACCTTAAGTCATCCCTATTTCTAATACACTGTGATGAGTGGAGTCAAGCCCTGGAATGAGCAGAGAGACGACAGCATTAGCCAAGCAGGGAGCGACTCTGATTTAAAAGCCTACAAAGTCAGAATAAAAAGGCTGGAGAAGTATAATGAACCTTGAGTGAAAGCACATCTGTTCAGATTTTATTTTATACTGTTTGGTAGAGGGAATATAGCTTTTTTTTTCTTGAGCCTGCAAAATATGCATGCTCAGCTATTGCCTGAAATAAAATAACTGGCCTTGCGTAGTCATAAAAGAGACATTATGTACTGTTAACTGGCTCTCTATTAACCACAACGGGTAGTTCTCTGTGATTTTGAACAATTATACCTTGTTTTTCAGAGGGGGAATGTCTGTTGAAAGGCAACTAGCAAGCTGAAAGTTACTCATATTTTCCCATTGGGCATATTTTATGAATTGAGGAAGAGGGAGACTGGACTAAGAAATAATTTTTCAGTCCCAGGCTGATGCATAGGAAAGAAGACCTAGGTCAGCTTGGCTGGGGAATTTGTGTTAGTCAAAATAAAGGTGTAACTTTTTAAAATTCCTTCAATATAGTCCTAGACTTAGAAATTTTTGGTCCTACTTGTCAGTCTGTCCAGTTACTCTAATTCCAAAGGGAATGTAATGTTTCCATACAGAACAAGCCACACAATGTCATTCCCCTCCTGGAAATCAAAAAATGTGCTTGCTCTCATTTCCACCCAACACTGAGCAACCTCCCCTTCCAATGCAGGTGGTGGTGAATGCCTTGGTGGGCGCCATCCCCTCCATCATGAATGTGCTGCTGGTGTGTCTCATCTTCTGGCTGATTTTCAGCATCATGGGAGTTAACTTGTTTGCGGGAAAGTACCACTACTGCTTTAATGAGACTTCTGAAATCCGATTTGAAATTGAAGATGTCAACAATAAAACTGAATGTGAAAAGCTTATGGAGGGGAACAATACAGAGATCAGATGGAAGAACGTGAAGATCAACTTTGACAATGTTGGGGCAGGATACCTGGCCCTTCTTCAAGTAGTAAGTAGTGTTTTTGTTTTTGTTTTTTCAGTTCTGTGAAATTCAGGCAGCTAGCACAAATCCCATTTGGCTTCTTCTCAACCCTACTTCTAGAATCAGGATTATTCTCAATAAGTCCAAGAAAACAGTATTGTTCCCCAAACCAGTTTCAGAGAGATACCTTTCCTGAGTATTCTCTGACTTCTACAAGATCTCACTCAAAGGAAATCTCTCATTGTGCTCAGGAACAGAGCTGTGCCCAGCAACAAATAAAGATTCCTGCAGTGTAATAAAGTGGCAGAGAGATCATCTTCCCTTCCCGGTCAGAGAGTGCAGTTAAGGGCAAAAAAAATCAAGATAAGCACATAGACAAAAAAGTAATGGCAATTGTGATGGAGCAAAATAATAGTACATACTCACCACACTCCAGTTAACTTAGGAAAAAACCATGGCAGTGCCTTGGTGCCACACTCACCTCAGCTCCACCCCAGAGAAAGGTATCAGATTAATGTATCACAGTAAGGAAGGATTTAACTATCTAGATAATTTTCTTTTGCCTAATTTCATTCTTTCGTGCTTAGTTTTCACTGCCTCTCTCACCAGTGTTTCAGAATGTGTGACAAGACAACATAATGCAGTGAAAGCTCGTAGGCTTTGAAATTAGACTGTTATAGATTTGAACATACTCTGATACTTACTGGATATGTAACTTTGGACAAATTATTCAGCCTCTCTGATTCTCTGTTTCTTCATCTATTAAATATAGATAATGACACTTTGCATGGTTGTTAAGAGGATTTGTGATTTTTAAAAATTTCTTAGCACAATTCCCAGCATATAACCATGCTTAATTAATGAAAATTGCTATTAAGTATTTTTGTTACTATATTTCCATGCCTATATCATACAGTTCTTGGGAGACTAACTGCAATAACAGATGAAGCTCTCAACCTAACCTTACATATAGTAAGCACTCACTGTCAACTCATAGTAGAAGGCAAAGTTCATGGAATGAACTGTAGTTTTTCCTACCCCAAAGCTTTTTTGCTGTTGTATCCCAGTTCAAAAAATTGGACCCACAAATTGAATCCGCATTGGAGCATCTCCAGAAAACCAGTGCACATCCACAAGCCAGTCAAACATGGTAGTCACAGAGTCCCTGCCATATGCAAGATGCTGTGCTTGACAGTACAGTACTAGGGCCCTCAGATGAATAAAGACCTTCCTGTGCCCTGAAAAAACCTTAGAATCTGGTTGAGTACATAAAACACGGTGAATAGTACATGGATTATCCATATTTGTTTCCAAAATCAGTCTAGATATAGTAGACTGAAGGAGTAGAATTGGGAAGGGACTGTCAAGGATAAAGCTGGTATTGCTACTACATAGGCTATACATGTGTATATTAGTAAAGGGTAAGTCTGATCTTGTTTTTCTGTTAAATCCAACTATGAGTTTTTCCAACCCCCATCGCTTAACACCTTTTTTTTTTTTTTTTTTTTTGCTTACCACCTTTTTAAAAAATGATTCCTCAGTGGAATGGAATGCTAAGTTCCAAGCATTTTCAGTAGATTCCTGCCATTCACTCATAAAAGTTTTCCCTAACTTTAGGCAGGCTTCTCAGGCCCATGTTTTTGAGTCCTTTCGTAAAGCCTTAATCCCATTACCATTTTCAACATGTTTATTTGCCAAACTTTGTTGTTATTTTCAGGAACAAAGCCCTCCTGGGACCTGTAGTAACAAACAGAAAATTCTGTGTCCAAGGGAGGCTGCACCCAAACCCCTGTTCTGTGTTCTCACTGAACCTAAGCCTGGCCTTTGGGACCCCTGCCTAGACTCCCATCCACTCCCTTTATAGGCACCGTCTAATGACTGACTCTGTTTGCCAGGCAACCTTCAAAGGCTGGATGGACATCATGTATGCAGCTGTAGATTCCCGGAAGGTAAGGATGTACATGGCGAAAATACCACCTTCTCAGATGGCTGGAAAGCAAGCAGCATGGTATACCGAGCCCACCAAGAAAGAGGAAGGGATGAAGGAATGGAGGAGTTGACGTTTCTCTTTGGAACATTTATTGCTTGTGTTATTGATTATAGATCATTTTCCTCGTCTCAGTAAGTCATCACTCTCTTACATTGGCCCCCGATGATTAGACTGTTGATTTTTTACGTGGCCCCAGTGAAGCTGTCTATGCTTCAATCCTGCTTCATAGCAAAAGTATGGCTCCTAGCAGACAGCCCTCCCTCCCTGTGGCCTCATGATTTGCATGTTCTCCACATGAGTCAGAGGACGACTAGTGTCCTCTCAAGGCAGGCCATGCCAGTGTAGAGAAGGAGGCAGGCAGAAAGAATCTAGGGCTCTCCCACCCCAAGATGTTTAGCAGCTCAAATGGTCACAGTTACGGCTGATGGCCTTGGCGTGTCAAACTCCAAACTAGGAGCTGATTCTCTTCCTTTTATCCTGTCCTTTGACAGCCTGATGAGCAGCCTAAGTATGAGGACAATATCTACATGTACATCTATTTTGTCATCTTCATCATCTTCGGCTCCTTCTTCACCCTGAACCTGTTCATTGGTGTCATCATTGATAACTTCAATCAACAAAAGAAAAAGATAGGTCTCCTCCCCTCATTGCCAGTGGTTGGAAGTCAGCCCAGATAAGAGGCACCTTTGTCCCTATCTCTAGAAAGAAAATGTCCCTCTTTCTTTCTCTAAAATCTATATTGTTAGCTCACTGTGACCCTGGCCCCCATACGTTAGCCCCAACCCACTCTTTCTGTTCGGGGCTGGATTTTGCAGCATGTAGTTTACCACACTTACTAGCAGTCTTTTATTCTTGAGGCCTATTACTGGTCTTGGTCTCCCACCAGAAGCAGGTAGGTCAGAGAGTGCAGTCGAGCAACAGAGATGAAAAGGAAAGAAACAGATGAATAGCTATCGCAAGAAGTAGAAACTGTCTAGACTTGTGATTATCTAGTCAATCTCTGAGCACAAGCAAATTGGGATTTGAGAGACCCACCTTTGGAAAGTTTACTTCCTTACTTGTTCTAGATGGTTAACAAGTTTTACAAAGCAAATTGAAAAAATTGCTCGTTGCTCATTTTGTAAGTCAAGTCTATCCCAGCATACTCCAAGACACCCTCCAAATTGCTTTCTTGCACCAGAATTTCCAAATTTTGGGTATCATCTAAAATAAATTGGCTATCAGCCAGGACACAAAGATCTTTTTATTCTAAAATGTGTTTTCTAGAATGTATCAGGAAAGCTGGCCCCCAGAAAATGAGACTCTGAGATATGACTGCCTTCAGAGTCACTGCTCTCAAGTTTACCCTTTCTGAGGGTCTATAATTGGATAGTCCATTTCCTTTCTACCTTGGGACTGGAAGATCTTAGAAATCCTGAGCTAAAAACAAAGGCAGGTATCTCTTTAGAGCTGAATGATTATCGCGGGTCTACCCCACTCTGGGACAGCTATTAGCTACAAAGGAAAGGGATAGGTCTCCCCTCAGTTCTCAGTATTGAACCTTAGGTCCAAACCCATAGCATGTTGAGAGCCAGTTGTAATTGTCTGTTTTCTTCTTCCCTCCTTTACTTCGGAGGTCAGGACATCTTCATGACCGAAGAACAGAAGAAGTACTACAATGCCATGAAAAAGCTGGGCTCAAAGAAGCCACAGAAACCTATTCCCCGCCCCTTGGTAAGTGCATTGTGCAGGCTGAGGCCTTGGTGAGAACCCATATAGGAAAAGTACTAGTAGAGTTACTGCAAAGGAAGGAAAAAGGTAAGTGATTGGCTGCTTTGTGCCTAATCCTCTCCTCACCACCCATCCAAAAGATCTGAATAGGACAGCAGAAGAACAGGGATTAAGGCATGGGGGCTTTTACATCAATCCTCGACCTATCCTCTGAGCCTTCCTTGGGCAGCCACCAAGAATCAGCATGTGAACCACATTGGCTTTGGCCCTAGTAGAGAGATGTTTTTAGAGACAACCAAAAGTCAACAAGAGAAAATGAAATAAAGTTGCTCTCTTTCCTGCCAGTTCAAGATAGGATTTGGTCATAATTTTTTCAGCTTCTCTCTGCTCAATAAGGATGTCTTTGCAGGATGTATCTAGAAGTTAAAATCATGCTTCTGGTTATTTGTGGGAGCAGAAGAGGGTAAAACTATGGGAGTCTGGTGCCCTGATTGCCTCTCTTGAGCTGAGCCTTTTATAAAACAGATTAGGGGGCTGAGATTCTGCTCCATTGTTCCATTGGTGATGGTTGTCTTGTTTCAGAGAAGGAGAAGGAGATACCCTGCTCCTGATTCCATATATCCGGTTGGATGGGACATCACCCCCAAAAGCCAGGCCCAAAGTTCCTTCTTCTGTAACTTCCATTTAGCAACTTTAAAAAACAGACACAACACCACCAAAAAAACCCAGCAGAACCTTTAATACAAAAGCTTCCCTGATAATCTAATTTGTAGAAATAAAAGTAGAGTGACTATGTTTGAATCAAGAGTTATAGTTCCAGAACGTTTTCTCCCCTCACCCCCACACGCCGCACGTGGTACATCTACCGCATCAACTTTTGAAGGAAAAGAAATTCTAGGGCTTTGCAGGGCAGATTGAAAACCACCAAGTTAAAGTAATCCTGGAAATAAGCACCAGCCCAAGTATCTCAGTACTTCAAACAAACAAACAAACAAAAAAGCAAGGAATCTCAAGAAAGAGAACATTTGGGGTTTTTTATTTCCTTGATGTTAAGCCTTCATTTTGTGATAGAAATGGGACTAAAGGGAATAGAAAAGGGTTAACATTTCTAAAGTTCTGTTTAGTACTTTCCATATGGGAACCTGAGTGTATTTTCTTCCACATTAAAATATAACTTCCAGCCTAGGCAACATAATGAGACCCCATCTCTACAAAAAAATTTTGTAAAAAGTAGCTGGGCGTGGTTATGTGTACCTGTGGTCCTCACTACGTAGGAGGCTGAGGTAAGAGAATTGCTTGAGCTTGGAGGCCAAGACTGCAGTGAGCCATGACCGTGCCACTGTACTCCAGCTTGGGCAATAGGGAGGGACCCTGTCTCAAAAAATACAAAATAAAATAAAATATTTTAAAAAGTAGGAAACATTAATAAAGAGTGATTAACATTCATTTAGCAAATATTTATCAGTCTTTACTATGTACCGTGCACTAAGCATTATGTGATGAACAAAAGGTAGACTGCTGTCATGGAGCTTATAATAGTTGGGGAGATAGATAATAAATAAGTAAGCAAACAGCTACAATAAAATGTGGAAGATTGTAGGAAAAAAATTAACTAGAGGGCTATAAGTGGTGGATCTACTTTAATATAGTAGTCAGAGAAAGCCTCACTAAGGAGGGTCTACTTGAGTGGATGAGAAGGAACTGGCTGGGCACGGTAGCTCATACTGTAATCCCAACTTGGGATCTAGAGGCAGGCAGATCGCTTGAGCCTAGGAGTTCTAGACCAGCCTGGGCAACACAGTGAAACCCCATCTGTACAAAAAAAAAAAAAAAAATTAGCCGAGCCTGGTAGCATGCCTGTAGTCCCAGCTACTGAGAAGGCTGAGGTGAGAGGATGGCGTGAGTCCAGGAGTCAGGGCTGCAGAGGATATGGTAAGCTATATCATGCCACTGCACTCCAGCCTGGGGAAGACAGCGAGACCCTATCTCAAAAAAAAAAAAAAAAAAAAAAAAAGATGGAACCAAAGAGCTGGGGAAAGAGATTCCTGGCAGAATACACAAGACCCCAGAAGCAGAAAACAGTGTGGCCAGGGGGTGGCGAGCCAGAGGAGGGACATTGATGAGCAGAGTCAGACTGTGCCAGGTGTCTCCCCGTAAGCCAGGTTAACAAATAGGGATTGTGTTGCAAGCCCAGTGGGAAGCTCTTGAAAGGTTTTAAGTAGGGGAATGATGTGATCCATTTGTTTTTTGTTTTATGTTTTGAGACAGAGTCTCTCTCTGTTAACCAGGCTGGAGTGCAGTGGCGTGATCTCGGCCCACTGCAACCTCTGCCTCCCAGGTTCAAGCAATTCTCGTGCCTCAGCCTCCCGAGTAGCTGGGACCACAGGCGCCTGCCACCATGCCCGGCTAATTTTTGTATTTTTAGTAGAGACAAGGTTTCACCATGTTGACCAGGCTGGTCTTGAACTCCTGACCTCAAGTGATCAATTTTGGGAGGCCTCGGCCTCCCAAAGTGCTGGGATTACAGGCGTGAGCCACCGCACCTGGCCATGATCCATTTGTTTTAAATCATTACACTTGCTATTATATGAGGACTGCATTGGATGAGGGCAAGAGAAGAAGTGGGAGACCAGTTAAGTGGCCATACAAGTCCAGATGAGAGATGATGGTGGCTCAGGTTAGCATAGAGCCAATAAAAATGGAATGAAGTGGATGAACCCAAGTTATAATTTTGGAGGAAGAATCAACAGGCCCTTCAGTGGATCAGATGAGGGAGAAGAAAGAGACAAAGATGATGCCCAGATTCCTGGCTTGAGAGCCTGGATGAATAATTGAGATGAGAGGAACAAGCTGGGTGAGGGGCAGGGAACAGACTTGGCTCTGCTTTGGACTTAACTGTGAGAGGCTTGGACATGGTAAGTTTGAGATGCTTATGAGTCATCAAGAAGAAGTGGCAAGAAAGCAACTCAGGATCAGAGGAAAGGTATGGGCTGGAGAAGAAAAGCTTAAGCATAAGTACATAGGTATCACGTAAGCAGCAGGAATAGATGAGCTCTCATAGAGCAAAAATTTAGAGAAAGAAGGGATTGAGAGAAGAAATGGCTGGCAGATGAGACCAAAAAAGGAGCAGCTGGGTAAGTAGGACGACAGCCAGAGTGTGTGGTGTCACAGACGCAAAAGAGAAGTGGGTCAGCTGGGTATAGTGGTGCACACCTGTAGGCCCAGCTTATTGGGAGGCTCAGGCAGGAGGATCACCTGAGGCCAGGAGTTTGAATTGCTATGTGCTATGATCGCGCCTATGCATAGCCACTGCACTCCAGCCTGGGCAACACAGTAAGACCCGTCTCTAAAAACAGAAAGAAAGGCCAGGCATGATGGCTCACACCTGTAATCCTAGCATTTTGGGAGGCCAAGGAAGACAGATCACTTGAGGCCAGGAGTTCGAGACCAGCCTGGCCAATATAGCAAAACCCCGTCTATGCTAAAAATACAAAAAATTAGCCGGACGTGGTGGTGTGTGCCTGTAATCCCAGCTACTCGGGAGACTGAGGCATGAGAATTGTTTGAACCTAGGAGGCAGAGGCTGCAGTGAGTCAAGATCGCACCACTGCACTCCAGCCTGGGCAACAGAATGAGACTGTGTCTCAAGAAAAACAAACAGAAAACAGAGAGAAGCTGGTAACTTTGGAAAGCTCTTGGTGAGGTAATATTGATGTTGGTCTCCATCCATGCTCCTGATAGAGCAGCAGAGCTGACCAGTATTACAGAAAAGGAGGGAGAGGGTACCTCGATTAGCAGGGTGACAGCTTCCATAGGTTGGCTTGGAAAGGTTTTCATGAATCTTTTATCTTTTCCTTCCCTTCCTCCCCAGAACAAAATCCAAGGAATCGTCTTTGATTTTGTCACTCAGCAAGCCTTTGACATTGTTATCATGATGCTCATCTGCCTTAACATGGTGACAATGATGGTGGAGACAGACACTCAAAGCAAGCAGATGGAGAACATCCTCTACTGGATTAACCTGGTGTTTGTTATCTTCTTCACCTGTGAGTGTGTGCTCAAAATGTTTGCGTTGAGGCACTACTACTTCACCATTGGCTGGAACATCTTCGACTTCGTGGTAGTCATCCTCTCCATTGTGGGTGAGTGGGGTTGGGGAAGTAGGCGAGGGGAAAGGGGACCTGACTGATTGTGAGGATGAGATTTCCCAGGAGAGGAATGAATGACACAGGTCTGAAGTGCAGGCAAGATACCCTCATAGCTTAAGTCCATGTGTGCCCCTGAGTCATCTCGGGGGCCTGCCTAGCAGGTTCCATGGTCAGTGAGTTTCTACTGAGTGTTCTCGGTAGTCTTGGATTATAAATTCTGTGGCTCAGGGAAAAAAGAAAAAAAAAGAAGATTGGTTCTTGCTTTTAAGGAGTTTAAAGTCTAACAGGGAAGGTAAAAGAAAGTTGTCATTAAAAAATGTAGCACAATAGAAGTATAAAATGAAAGAAGGAATGATTGCTAAGTTGGCCATTAATGAAATAGTCTAGGTAAGTTCTGGTGGTGATGGCCATGGTAGTGCTGCTGTTACTGGCAGGGCTTGTTTACTGAGATTTTACTGTGGGCCAACTACAGTTTGAGAGTTTCTTCACCTGTGTTATCTCATTTGATTCTTATTACATCCCAGGAAGCAAGCTTCTTTATTATCTGGACTGTATACATGTCCACAGCCACTCGCTAGGAGGTGGTGGAGGCATAACTCGAGTTGATCCCAAAGTCCAAGTTTTTTAACAGTGACTGTGTGCATTTTGCTTCAACCTAAAAGTGTGGGGGGATGATGTCCTGGCAGGCAGGCAGAAGGAAATGCCACCCTGTTGATTGCCCTCCCAAAATGTTTCCTTGCCTTCCTGAAAGGCATCTTTTGTGATAAAACTCAGCCTTGTTTCCAGGTAAGTTTGACTCATTTACACTAGAGAGAGTGCTCGAGACCCATGGGACCAGCCCCAGAGCTCCAGCGGCCATGCTGGGCCTAGTGTAGTGGTTATAAGGTACCAGAAGGCAGGGGTCTCCCCTTGGCCTGTGCCACCCTCTAGTTCTGTCCTCCAGAGCAGCATGTCCAAAAGTGTGTTGATATGTGGAACACTAATCCTAGACATTTCTCCTCAAGAAAAGAATCTCATGAGGGAATTACTTTAGGTAACACTGCCTTTAATTTTCCTTTGAGGATTCACAGTGCACATTACTGAATTCTCTTGGAAATCCTACGGTAAAGAATTCTGGGCCGGGTGCAGTGGCGCGTGCCTGTAATCCCAGCACTTTGGGAGGCAAGGCGGGCAGACAACTTGAGCCCAGGAGTTCAAGACCAGCCTGGGCAACATGATAAAACTCTATCTCTGAAAAAAAAAAAAAAAAATGAGCCAGGCATGGTGATACGTGCCTGTAGTCCCAGTTACTTGGGAGGCTGAGGTGGGAGGATTGTTTAAGCCCGGGAGGTCAAGGCTGCAGTGAGCTGAGATCACGCCATTACACTTCCTAGATGACAGAGAGAGACCTAGTCTCAAAAATAAAGAATTCTGTTTAAATGTAACATAGCATCCCACCTTTATTAGACCAGTTTCCTTTTTTTCAGTAATAATAATGATAGCTCACATTTAAATGGAACACATTATGTGCCAGGTACCATAATAAGTGCTTTAAATATGTTAATTCATATAATCCTCTCAACAAACCTCTAAGAATCCTGAGGAACTGAGGCACAGAGAGGTTCCCAAGACATGTGGCTGGTAAGTGAGCAAGTGGGGATTCAAGCCCAGCCCCTGGCCTCAAGTCCATTCTCCTAATTTCTCACAAAACACACTTTGGACAATGCTACCCTTGTCCACTGCTCTTGAAACTTTCCTGGCCACTTATCGTTGAGTGACACAGAAAATCCACAGACCAAATCATACCCCCTATTTTCAAATGGTACTCTAAAAAGAGGAAGATGTTTTTGATGATGGGGATTTTTATTAACATTAATTTGTTCAGAAACAAAAGTATAGAAATCATCTTTTTAAAGTAAGAAATGTATTAGAGTTTTGTAGAGGGACAAAACTAATAGGATAGATGTATATATGAAAGGGAGTGTATTAAGGAGAACTGACTCACGATCACAAGGTGAAGTCCCACGATAGGCCATCTGCAAGCTGAAGGGAGCCAGTAGTGGCTCAGTCTGAGTCTCAAATCCTCAAAAGTAGGGAAGCTGACAGTGCAGCCTTTGGTCTGGCCAAAGGCCAGAGAGCCCCTGGCAAACCACTGGTGAAAGTCCAAGAGTCTAAAAGCTGAAGAACTCAGAGTCTTATGTTCGAGGGCAGGAAGCATCCAGCGCGGGAGGAGATGAAGGCCAGAAGACTCAGCAAGTCAGCTTCTTCCATCTTCTTCTGCCTGCTTTTTCTAGCTGAGCTGGCAGCCGATTAGATGGTGCCCACCCACATTGAGGGTGGGCCTTCCTCTCCCAGTCCACTGACTCAAATTAAAAGTAATGGCAAAAACTGCAATTACTTTTGCACCAGCCTAATCTCTGGTAACACCCAGAAACGATACTTTGCATCCTTCAGTCCAATCAAATTGACACTTAATATTAACCATTACAAGTCCACCCCTTGCCAACTTGAACCCATACACATCTCCTGAAATCATACTTAATCTCCAAATAAATACAATAATAAGGTCCTAATTACGCCTAACATAATACAGCTATCCTTCATACAACCAGAAGCGCACTAATCCTTAACCTGAATGCTATTACATAAAGTTAACAACACTTAAATGCTGATACGAAGTCAACAAATCTTACGTCACATGATAAAGGAAAAAGAAAAGAACTAAAATGAAGATATTTTCCTAGTACAAGTGTATACATGCACAAACATGTTCTTAACAAAATGAGGAAATACTCATGACAATAGTCTTCATTTCTGCAACTGGTCACGTGGTCGTAGCTGGTATTGATGACTACCTTCTACTACTCATTCTATATTCACTTTGCCTTCAGCAAGCACCACGGCTGGTTGTGGTTATTTACCTGGTGGAGTGACCCAAATCTTCATTCCTAAAGGGTTTGGGGCATTTGTAGTCCTACCTGGATTGGGCTGTTGTAGTTTCCCATTGACCTTAATCACAGGGCATGCTAATACTAAGAGACGCCCTAAGGGATCTCCTGTATTCCATGCATACTCTTCCATACCTCCATTGTGGAGCAGTAGACTGATTTCATCTTGATAGTCTGGGTCAGTC
The DNA here is from genome assembly GCF_000001405.40 of Homo sapiens. Lineage (NCBI taxonomy): Eukaryota > Metazoa > Chordata > Mammalia > Primates > Hominidae > Homo > Homo sapiens. Next base: position 51,797,760 of record NC_000012.12, read on the forward strand.
ACCCCAGCCAACACTATAACTCCCTTCTTAGACTGTTGACTTAGAGGTAGCCCAAAGTGGCTAGGTGGCCATCTTAACTTCAGGTTTAATGGAATCATTGTTGTGTCTCCTAGTGACAGCATTCCTCCCTCTGGAACTAAGACCTTTAGGCCAGCAGAACATAATGTCGCAGGAACAGGAGGCAAAAATTTTGCTAGCCGGTCACTAGGGGTGATGGGGAGTGGTGCCACTTCCATTTCCACCCCTTGATTCCTGGACCCATGAATCCTGGCTATGGGAGAAACAGTACCATATATTGGACACTGATTCAAAGCATACATGGCCTTCTGGAGAACTTTGCCCCAGCCCTGCAAAGTATTGTTACCTAGTTGGCATTGTAATCATGACTTCAAAAGGCCATTCCACCATGCTATCAATCCAGCTGCTTCAAGATGATGAGGAACATGGTAACACCAGTGAATTCCATGAGCATGAACCCACTGCCGCACTTCTTAGCTGTAAAGTGAGTGCCTTGGTCAGAAGCAATGCTGTGTGGAATACCATGATGGTGGGTAATGCATTCCGTGAGTCCACAGATGGTAGTCTTGGCAGAAGCATTGCATGCAGGATAAGCAAACCCATATCCAGAGTAAGTGTCTGTTCTGGTGAGGACAAACCGCTGCCCTTTCCATGATGGAAGAGGTCCGATATAAGCAGCCTACCACCAAGTAGCTGGCTGATCACCCCGAGGAATGGTGTCATATTGAGGGCTCAGTGTTGGTCTCTGCTACTGGCAAATTGGACACTCAGCAGTGGCCACAACCAGGTCAGCCTTGATGAGTGGGAGTCCATGTTGGTGAGCCCATGCGTAACCTCCATCCCTGCCACTATAGTCACTTTGTTCATGGGCCCATTGGGCAATGACAGGGGTGCCTGGGGAAAGAGGCTGAGTGGTGTCCACAGAATGAGTCATCCTATCCACCTGATTATTAAAAGCCTCCTCTGCTGAGGTCACCCTTTGGTAAGCATTCATGTGGGACACAAATATCTTCACAGTTTTTGACCACTCAGAGAGGTCCATCCACATACCTCTTCCCCAAATTTGTCACCAATCATGCTTCTTTGAAGTCCCTGACCATCCAGCCAAACCATTTGCTACAGCCCATGAATCAGTATATAATCACACATCTGGCCATTTCTCCTTCCATGCAAAGTGCACAGCCAGGTGCACTGCTCGAAGTTCTGCCCACTGGGAAGATTTCCCTTCAGTGCTCTCCTTCAGGGATGTCCTAGAAAGGGGCTATAGTGCTGCAGCTGTCCACTTTTGGGTGGTGCCTGCATTTCGTGCAGAACCGTCTGTAAACTAGGCCCTAGTCTTCTCTTCTTCTGTCAGTTGATCATAGCGAACTCCCCATGAGGCCATCTCTGCAGGCTCTGGGAGAGAAGGTAGGGTGGCAGCAGTGGGGACCATGGGCATTTGAGCTACTTCCTCTTGTAACTTACTTGTGCCTTTAGGACCTGCTCGAGCCCAATCAGGTGCATACCATTTCCATTTGACGATGGAATGCTGCTGTGCGCACCCAACTTCATGGCTAGATGGGTCAGAGAGCACCTAGTTCATGAGAGGCGGTTCAGGCCACATGGTAACTGGGTGACCCATGGTCAAACGTTCAGTTTCCACCAAAGCCCAGTAACAGGCCAAGAGCCGTCCCTCAAAAGGCGAGTAGTTATCTGCAGAAGATGGCAGGGCCTTGCTCCAAAATCCTACGGACCTCCTCTGTGATTCACCTATGGGGGCCTACCAAAGGCTCTAAACAGCATCCCTATCTGCCACTGATACCTCAAGCACCACTGGATCTGCTGGGTCATATAGCCCAAGTGGCAGAGCAGCTTGCACAACAGCCTGGACCTATTGCAGAGCCTTCTCCTGTTCTAAACCCCACTCAAAACTGGCAGCCTTTCAGGTGACTCAATAAATGGGCCGGAGTAACATACTCAAATGAGGAATGTGTTGCCCCCAAAATCCAAATAGGCCCACTAGGCGTTGTGACTCTTTCTTGGTTGTAGGAGAGGCCAAATGCAACAACTTATCCTTCACCTTAGAAGGAATATCTTGACAGGCCCCTCAGCACTGGGCCCCTAGAAATTTCACTGAGGTAGAAGGTCCCTGAATTTTAGTCTGATTTATTTCCCATCCCCTGGCACCCAAATGTCTCACCAGTAAGTCCAGTGTGTTTGCTACTTCTCGCTCACTGGGTCCAGTCGGCATAATGTCATCAATGTAATGGACCATCATGATATCTTGTGGAAGGGAAAAGCGATCAAGATCTCTGCGAGCAAGATTATGACACAAAGCCAGGGAGTTTATATACCCCTGAGGTAGGACAGTAAAGATATATTGCTGGCCTTGCCAGCTGAAGGCAAATTGCTTCTGGTGGACCTTATGGACAGGAATGGAGAAAAAGGCATTTGCCAAATCCGTAGCTGCATATCAGATACCAGGAGATGTGTTAATTTGCTCAAGCAATGAAACCGCATCTGGTACAGCAGCTGCAGTTGGAGTCGTCACCACTTGGTTCAGCTTATGATAATCCACTGTCGTTCTCCAAGATCTATCTGACTTCTGCACAGGCCAAATAGGAAAGTTGAATGGGGATGTGGTGGGAATCACCACCCCTGCATCTTTCAAGTCCTTGATGGTGGCACTAATCTCCACAGTCCCTCCAGGGATGCAGTATTGTTTTTGATTTACTGTTTTTCTAGGTAGAAGCAGCTCTAATGGCTTCCATTTGGCCTTTCCCACCATAATAGGCCTCACACTACCAGTCAGCCAATATGGGGATTCTGCCAGTTGCTAAGTATGTCTGTGTCAATTATACATTCTGGCACTGGGAAAATGACCACAGGATGAATCCGGGACCCACTGTAAGTCAGACCTGAGCTGAAACTTCATTAATTATCTGACCTCCATAAGCCCTTACTCTAACTGGAGGACCACAGTGATGTTTTGGGTCCCCTGGAATCATTGTCAGCTCAGAGCCAGTGTCCAGTGTCCAGTAGTCCCCGAAAGGGGACCAGTTACCCTGGTAAAAGACCGGAGGTCTCCTTGGGGAAGCATGGGAGAAAGATTAGCAGTATAAATTGTCAGTAGTGTAGTGGGGTCCTTCCTCAAAGGGACCAGGCCTCCCCTTTATTCAAGGGGAATATTATTCTGGGTCTGTACGCTGGTTCAAGTCTGGAAATTGGTTGAGGGGGCATGATTCTCTATTTTTATAATTCAAATTAGCCTTTTGTCCACTTGACCTGGAAGTTTTCTGCTTACACAAATCAAGAAAGAATGTAGTAGGCTTCCTATCAATTTCACTTCTAGGAACACCATGATTAATTAGCCAATGCCAGAGCTCTACACTAATCAGACTATTCTGAATGCTGCTTTGCCTCTGCTATCCATTATGGTAGCTACGCCCACCTTGCCTTTGACAGTTGAGTGCCCCCACTCAGCCCCTGCCACCTTGGGATCCAATTATTCCCATTGCATTTAAATTATCCAGTTAAGTGACTGCAGTTCCCACTGTAAGATCTGGCATACAGGGAAGAGCAATCACAGAGCTCTTCAAGGATGCAGGTGCTCCCCTCACAAATCTGTTTTGCAAGCTATTAAGGGTATGTCTTCTGGACCCTACCAGTTGGGATGAGTAGGTCTAAGGTGACTAATCCACTCTAGCATTCCAATCTCCCTAAGCCTTTGGATCCCTTCCTCTACATTAAACCAAGGGAGATCAGGCATTTCCAGCTTACTCACAGTGGGCCATCTTTTGATCCACGTTTCAGCTAACCAAGCAAATAAACTATTAGAACCTTTTTAACTCCCCGAGCTGCGATATTAAACACAGAATCCCTGCTTAGTGGGCCCATATCAATAAATTCAACCTGATCCAACTTTATGTTCCTTCCACCGTTGTCCTGCAACCTTAATATCCATTCCCATACCTGTTCTCCAGATTTCTGCTTATACAAATTAGAGAACTCCAGCAGGCCAGGCGCCATAGCTCATGCTTGTAATCCCAGCACTTTGGGAGGCTGAGGGGGGCGGATCACTTGACGTCAGGAGTTCAAGACCAGCCTGGCCAATATGGTGAAACCCCGTCTCTACTAAAAATACAAAAATTAGCCGGGCATGGTGGCATGCACCTGTAACCCCAGCTACTCCGGAGGCTGAGGCACGAGAATCACTTGAACCCAGGAGGTGGAGGTTGCAGTGAGTGGAGATTGCACCACTGCACTCTAGCCTGGGTGACAGAGCAAGACTCTGTCTCAAAAAAAAAGAAACTCAAGCAGTTCTTTTGGAGTGTAGCTCATCTCGTGAGTCACACTCTGAACCTCACTTCTAGAGAGCTGCCATGACTTGAGTCTAGTTACAGGTCTAGAAACAAACAGGGGTGTTGGGGGTGGGTTCAGAAGAGAATCAGCATTGTCTTGCTTCAGGGGAGACCACTGTTGCCTCAAGCATTGCAGGGTTAATCTCAGACAAATGTGGAAAGGCTGGTGGCAGCCTGGGTGGGGGAAGGGATATTGCCACCACTGGGGGTGAGGAGGCTGTTTTCTCTGGCAAAAAAGGCTGTCAGAGTTTACAAGCTCAGTGTCCCCAGCTTCATCAGGGTCCTCCCACACATCCCTATTCCAAGTCGCAGGGTCCCATTCTTTTCCAATCAGTGCCCTCACTTTAACAATAGATACCTAGGGAGGCTACGCATGCACCTTTCCTTGCAGGCCAGCCACTTGCGTGGTAAGAACTTGTGTCTGATTTTCCGCAAATTCAGCCCTTTGTCTACAGGAGATAAGACTCAGGGAAATCTTAGAAGACTTGAGGCTCAGTATGTGCTCTGGAGCTGGGAGTTAGAATCCCTGAGCTCATCCTTTTCTTTCATTACTTTCTCCAGTGAACTTAGGAGAACCAACCAACTTCATTATATTCCTTGGTTCTCCACATATGGTCAAATGTATTACGTACAGAGTCACTAAACTCCTTGCCTCTCAAGAACGACGAATCAGGAATATCAAATGCCATCTATTTTGCATAACTCTCTAAACAGTTCACACCAGGGACTATCAGTGTTCTCCATACTATCAGAAGTAGAGTCCTTAGCATTTTTGGGTCTAATCAGATTAAGCAGCCAACTCCAGAAACCCCAAAACCAACTAAAGAAATCTATTCTTAAAATTCTGTTCCTCTAGACCCACTCCTGGTACCAAAATCTGTCAGGGTTTTCTAGAGGGACAGAACTAATAGGATAGATGTGATCTCACATGATCACAAGGTGAAGTCCCACAGCAGGCCATCTGCAAGCTGAGGAGCAAGGAAGCCAGTAGTGGCTCAGTCTGAGTCCCAAATCCTCAAAAGTAGGGAAGCTGACAGTGCAGCCTTTGGTCTGTGGCCAAAGGCCCGAGAGCCCCTGTAAAACCACTGCTGTAAGTCCAAGGGTCCAAAAGCCAAAGAACTTGGAGTCTGATGTTCCAGGGCAGGAAGCATCCAGCGCGGGAGGAGATGAAGGCCGGAAGACTCAGCAAGTCAGCTTCTTCCACCTTCTTCTGCTTGCTTTTTCTAGCCGAGTTGGCAGCCGATTAGATGGTGCCCACCCACATTGAGGATGGGTCTTCCTCTGCCAGTCCACAGACTCAAATGTTAATCTCCTCTGGCAACACCCAGAAACAATGCTTTGCATCCTTCATTCCAATCAGGTTGACAATATTAACCATCACAAGGAATTGGGGTAAAACTAGCTCTGAAACCACCTACAGTACCCCTTAAATGGTGTTTCTACTGCCTACATTACTGTCTGCCCCATTTCTCCCTTTTTCTATGGGGACAAACACACATTCATCCTTCAAAACCTACCTCAGCCATCATCTTCTCTCTGAAGCCCTACTTGCCCACCATATATGGGCTGCAAGTATCACATATACTTGAATATATATTATATAACCTGACTTCTTTGGTCACTGGTTATGATTTAATTGAGAAGCTGAGAAATCATCATGGGTGGGTCCTGGCTAAGGTAGAGATTTTCTTGAAGGCTCAAATATCCCATGGAATTCTAGCTCCTGAAGAGGCTCCAAGAGGTTACTTGACCCGCTCGCTGAACTTACCGCATCTTGTCTTTTCCTGAAAAGCTAAGATTCTTCAAAGGGGATTCTATAGCCTTCTGCAGTTAACTGCCCCAGTGTTTATGCATTCTTATGAGTGAGAAATGTTTCCTTAAATTAAATCCCTCATGTCAGCTGAAGCTCCCATTGTCTTGTTAGTGCCTGGACGGCAAGAGAAGGTACTGAACGAAGAGAACATGTCAGTGCCTTCCCTTCGGTTGTCATTTCCCAGACTTTTCAACTCCCTTCCTTCTGTGGCCCCTCATTTGGGTCCCCTCATTGCTCTGTAGCTTTAAAGAACAAGTGGCCTGGTTGAGGTGAATCCCTGGACGAATATAACTAGAAAAAGGCGCTCCGATTTGTACACTTTCACCTTCTGCCTTTATATCCTAATGCCTTGGCATCTTTACCTGCTGATACTGGTTTCTTTTCTTTTTCTCTTTTCTTTTTTTTTTTTTTTTAAAGACAGAGTCTCTGCCTGTCGCCCAGGCTGGGGTGTGATCTCAGCTCACTGCAACCTCTGCCTCCCAGGCTCACGCAATTCTCCTGCCTCAGCCTCCTGAGTAGCTCGGGTTACAGGCATGCGCCACCGCGCCCAGCTAATTTTTGTACCTTTTTTTTTTTTGAGATGGAGTCTCACTCTGTCGCCCAGGCTGGAGTGCAGTGGCGTGATCTCAGCTCACTGCAACCTCTGCCTCCTGGGTTCAAGTGATTCTCATGCCTCAGCCTCCTGAATAGCTGGAATTACACTTGGCTAATTTTTTTGTATTTTTAGTAGAGACTGGGTTTTGCCATGTTGGCCAGGCTGGTCTTGAACTCCTAGCCTCAAGTGATCTGCCCACTTCAGCCTCCCAAAGTGCTGGATTACAGGCATGAGCCATTGCGCCCAGCCTGATACTGGTTTCTGATTCACGACTTGCAGCACAAAATCTATCAGCTCAGAGTTGAAAGTCACTCCTGAGAGTCCCTTTAGTTTTCTAGGCTAGTTTGGTAGACTAGGGAGGTAGGGCTATGGGAAACCAAAGATGTTTTTTCAGAGCAAAGAAGAAGATACTTTGAAAATTGCTAGCATTAGAGAATAAGTAAGACATCAAAGTTAAAGGATAATGAGGTTATGAGGTGTAGCCAGGACCTCTCATTTATTGTTTGTGGATATGGAAATTTGATTCCATTGTGGAGAGTATCAGTATCATCTTGGAAAATCATATGTGCACAAATCTGGAAAAAAAACCTAATCATTCTTGAGTAGAAAAACAAGTAAATGAGGACCTATTCATAAAAGGGACTACCACTCAATTGTTAGAATGAGTAATCTAAAATTATTTCAACATGAGGGATCAGTCTCACAATTGTAATGTTAAATCTCAAAAACAAGGTAGAGACCTAAATAGATGGACCTCATAAGACAAATACAGCCTGGATGTGGCAGTTCACACCCGTAATCCCAGCACTTTGGGAGGTTGAGGAGGGAGGATCGGATTGCTTGAACCCAGGCATTCAAGACCAGCCCGGGCAACATAGCAAGACCCCCATCTCTACAAAATATTTAAAATAAATAAATAAGACAGAAACAGTATAATTTCCTAACCATAGTAGGAAATTATATATATATATATGATTCTTACATAGTAAATCTATAAAGGCACACACTAGAATGATACATACCATCTTCAGCATTGTGGATGCTTCATCTGGGAATGATGAAAGAGGAAGAAAAATTGGTAAAATGCTAGCCTCTATTAAATCTGTGTTCCATTCCAGTTACTCAGGAGGTCTGAGGCAGGAGGATCACTTGAGCCCAGGAGTTCAAGACCAGCCTGGGCAACATAGCAAGACCCCATCTCAAAACAAAAAACAACAACATCAAAAGACAAATGTGTGTGTTAGTTATGTGTGTTAGGCACATAGGTGTCTATTTTATTGTTTACTTTTCTATATGTTTAAAATGTTACTTTTTTTTTTTGAGACAAGAATCTTGGTCTTTCACCAAGGCTGGAGTGCAGTGGCACGATCTCGGCTTACTACAACCTCCACCTACCAGGTTCAAGCGATTCTTGTGCCTCTGCCTCCCAAGTAACTGGAATTACAGATGTGCACCACCATGCCCAGCTAATTTTTTATTTTCAGTAGAGACAGGGTTTCACCATGTTGGCCAGGCTGGTCTCCAACTCCTGGCCTCAAGTAATCCACCTGCCTTGGCCTCCCAAAGTCCTGGGATTACAGGCGTGAGCCCCCATGCCCAGCCAAAATGTCACTTTTTGAGAGTTCAGACTGAATAGTAAGGCACTTATTCTGCAAAGCCCTTTGAACCTAAGGGTTCCACAATGCCAGGTAAAAAAAATAAAGAGAAAGGGTGTCTCCCATCTCAATAACATAACTTCTTCTATTCCTCTTCTTAGGAATGTTCCTGGCAGATATAATTGAGAAATACTTTGTTTCCCCAACCCTATTCCGAGTCATCCGATTGGCCCGTATTGGGCGCATCTTGCGTCTGATCAAAGGCGCCAAAGGGATTCGTACCCTGCTCTTTGCCTTAATGATGTCCTTGCCTGCCCTGTTCAACATCGGCCTTCTGCTCTTCCTGGTCATGTTCATCTTCTCCATTTTTGGGATGTCCAATTTTGCATATGTGAAGCACGAGGCTGGTATCGATGACATGTTCAACTTTGAGACATTTGGCAACAGCATGATCTGCCTGTTTCAAATCACAACCTCAGCTGGTTGGGATGGCCTGCTGCTGCCCATCCTAAACCGCCCCCCTGACTGCAGCCTAGATAAGGAACACCCAGGGAGTGGCTTTAAGGGAGATTGTGGGAACCCCTCAGTGGGCATCTTCTTCTTTGTAAGCTACATCATCATCTCTTTCCTAATTGTCGTGAACATGTACATTGCCATCATCCTGGAGAACTTCAGTGTAGCCACAGAGGAAAGTGCAGACCCTCTGAGTGAGGATGACTTTGAGACCTTCTATGAGATCTGGGAGAAGTTCGACCCCGATGCCACCCAGTTCATTGAGTACTGTAAGCTGGCAGACTTTGCAGATGCCTTGGAGCATCCTCTCCGAGTGCCCAAGCCCAATACCATTGAGCTCATCGCTATGGATCTGCCAATGGTGAGCGGGGATCGCATCCACTGCTTGGACATCCTTTTTGCCTTCACCAAGCGGGTCCTGGGAGATAGCGGGGAGTTGGACATCCTGCGGCAGCAGATGGAAGAGCGGTTCGTGGCATCCAATCCTTCCAAAGTGTCTTACGAGCCAATCACAACCACACTGCGTCGCAAGCAGGAGGAGGTATCTGCAGTGGTCCTGCAGCGTGCCTACCGGGGACATTTGGCAAGGCGGGGCTTCATCTGCAAAAAGACAACTTCTAATAAGCTGGAGAATGGAGGCACACACCGGGAGAAAAAAGAGAGCACCCCATCTACAGCCTCCCTCCCGTCCTATGACAGTGTAACTAAACCTGAAAAGGAGAAACAGCAGCGGGCAGAGGAAGGAAGAAGGGAAAGAGCCAAAAGACAAAAAGAGGTCAGAGAATCCAAGTGTTAGAGGAGAACAAAAATTCAGTATTATACAGATCTAAAACTCGCAAGTGAAAGATTGTTTACAAACTTCCTGAATATTATCAATGCAGAACAGCTGTGGAGACTCTAACCTGAAGATCTATACCAAACGTCGTCTGCTTACCACGTAACACAGCTGCATCTTGAGCAGTGACCTGCCAAGGGCAAAGGACCCCGCTCCCTAGACTTACAGATTTTCTAATGCTTGGGCAGGTGGTTACTGCATGTTCCACATCAGTCAATGCAACTTAGGACAAAACTAACCAGATACAGAAACAGAAGAGAGGCTGCCGGGACCAGCATATTTCCGTTGCAGCCAAATGGATTTTATTTTTTCATTTTATTGATTCTCAGAAGCAGAAAGCATCACTTTAAAAGTTCGTTTGTTCATGCAAACTATATTTGCATTCTTACATTAGTTAAGCTAAGCAGCAAAAAGAAAACACACACACACACTCACATTTAGCCCATGTCATTTAATTGTCAGTTTCTTTGACATAAAGCGCATCTTCTCCACATGGGCTTCACGTGGTTTGGAGATGGGTGGGGGAAAACAATCAGGTTTCTTCAGGCTGAGGAGGACTTGCTCAGGCCGATTCCAAACATTGTGCTCGTTCAATGCGTAGAAATGATTTGCATGATGGCATGCCGTGATCAGAAGTCATGCATGAGATCCATACACCACAGGACACTACTAATCTAGTCCCTTGCACTGGGTCAGCCTTTGGACAGGACCCAGCCCTGCACCGTTCACTGTATTTGGAGAAAATGGTAAGAGTTCCATACCGGCTACAATTCTTTGAGTTCTTAAAAGTCCTTCATACACCTTCTGGGTAGGGAAACAACCAACTAATTGACTAACACCACCAACAACAAAAAACAAACCCAATCCAACAAGCAGATGGATCCGTTGCGTGTATATGTTTAACAGACATCTCTAACATACAGCCATTGTTGCACATTTTGCAAGATGAACTATTTAATGCTGCTCTGTGTCCAGTACATGGGGGAGACTTTGATCCCAAATGGCTTGTACTATTTATGTCACTGTAAAACCAAATCCTAGGGCTAAAAAAAAAATTCATTTGTATCTTGCAATATTTATGACGATCGTTTAGCCTTCATACTGGAGAATTGACACTTATTTGGGGTAGAGATAAAAGTGCTTTTCAAAGTAGCACCAGTTATCTCTAGGGGTAATTTGGGGAACTTAAAATGACCTTTCATTGGGAGTTATGGGGTGCTCATTTCATTTCGTATCATGTCCTCTGCATTGTGGCTTTCTCCAGGCATGGGTCGATACCGCGAGGGGTTCAGATATTCTGAACTGACCTCTCTCTTCTGCAGAGGGGTCATCGCATACTCACACACTGCATGGCTCCCCCTGCCTCCATCACATTTCTCCACTGAGCAGGGCTTCCCTTGCCCACAGAGGTGGGTGAGGGTAGCAGCATTGGGGTTACGGCTGTGGTTTCTTTCACTTATTATTAGAATAATAGTCACTGGTGAGACCTGAGGTAGAGATGGAGCCGCCTCTGAACCAAGCCCACTTGGTTTCTTTACTGCACTGGTTTTCATGAGAAAGCAATTTAATATTAATTCTTTAGGATGTTCCAGCTTCCCTCAGTGCATTCCCTTGCAGCCAGTTTTGCTATCTGCTTAGCGACCTGCCCATTGTCATTGAAGTGTGGCTTCTGGGGGAGCGTCATATCTTCCATTCCATCTCCTGCTTTAGGAAAGACAGTTTTTAGTCCAGGGGTTTCTCACCTAATGACTGGATTTCAAAGCCAAGATGCTGCAGTTGAATGTGTCAGGAAGTCTCTATACAAAGAGTGAAAAGAGACTTTAGCATGTGAACCAAATCCAAATAAATTCTTCCTGAACCATACACTAGAGGGGGAAGAAGAACCAACCCATAATCAGACACACCGATCTGCCTTGCAGTAGAAGCACTTTGAAGGTAATTTCACAGTCCACCAGACTAGTTTTGCATAGAACAAACCACAGTAAGTCGGCAAGCAGAGCTTTCTATCTTGTTGGACCACTAGAAACTGTCCAGCTCTCTTAAGCCTGCTTCTGCAGCAGCATCCGTAGAATTTTTGTACTACACCCAATACCAGACTGGGAAGGCCTATCTTTCAGTGACCCTGCTAACTGCTAGGATGAATGTATAGTAACATGTACAGGCTACATTGTAAACAGCACAAAACAGAAGCTGACATGTGTGGTTATTCTTTTTAAGAGAATTATAAATACTGTAATATATAATTTTATTTTATTGGCATGCCTTTTTGTAAATACAAATTATTAACTTATTAAATAGGAAATGGCTTCTGGCTTATGCCATTGTCATGTTTATTTTTATTTTTTATACTTTTCTTTCTTCTTAGAACTTAGATGCTGTCAGCCAATGTACATCCCCAAACCAGACAGACAGACAAAAAATTTTTTATTGCTAATGGTCTTTTCCAAAACAACAAAAAATATATATTTTTGTTCCAATGTGCAATAAATTCTAACCACGTCTATGCAAGATTTGGCTAAACTTAATAATTGTTCTTAGGTCTTGAGATGGGCAACAGAGCTGTAAGATCCCGCCAAGTACACCATGTGCTCATGCTAGTGATGTCATTAAGCTACTAGGGCATAGTGATGAGATTTTTCTGAGATCTAACCGTTTCCCTCCGCTAGCTCCTGACCCCAGCCCAGCAGGCTGTCTCCTCAGTAACACATGGGCCTTGGTATCTGGCACCCATCAGCCAGCCTCATAGGAAAGAAGCCACCTCCGCTGTATTTGAAGTTTCACTTTTTAAAAAAAAAATGTTTCCCACCTTTTTATCCTTCACCCACTGTCCTTCCACCTGCTCACTCACTCACTCTCTCACCCATCCTGCTCCACACTTCTTTGGTAGTAAATGACACCATCACCAGCAGTTTACACCCGCAGTTAACAGGCATCGAACTGAAAGAATCAGTGATGACGTTTTTGTGCATCTTCGCTGAGTGGGTAAGTGGCAATGCTTTGCCAAATATTAACGAAGCCAATCAAAGAGCAGCGCAGCCACAGTATCACTGCACATATATATATAGATATATAAATATAATATAAATATTTATTTTTTGTAGCCAGGTCCTTGGTGCAGTATTTATACTCCACAATCCACCTTTTAAAAAAAGGACAAAAAGCAAAAAGATGTGTGATGCTGTTAATAATTTAAAATGCAGAGCCAAAGCCACTGAGCAGCAGCTGACATGGTTGCTGGTTTGTGTGTGAAAAACATTTTCCCCCTCTTCTTTCCTTAACCTCCTTGTTGCTTAGGATGAGGAGACTCTGTAATTTAAAGCAGAGGACGAGAGGAGGAAGAAACTTCCATGTTAACATGGCCTACTCTCACTCCTTTCTAAACGAGCCACTTTTGGCGTCAGAAGTTGACTGGAGAGAGATAAACAAACTCCCAGTCAAAGCCCCTAAAGCGACAGTGCCCAGAGTTCTTTTATTTTTTGCTGCAACCAACGTAAACCTGTAAAAGACCAACAGTGAAGATTAGTGTATTAGTGAATGCATGGAGGCCAATGCTGCCCTAATGAGACGTGATAAAAAGTCCATCACTCCTCTAAGCCAAAAGGAAACAAAATAAAAATGACCCTTTTTACTGTACAAGGGAAGCCTGTCTTGGTGTGTTTGTTGCTTGACTATCCCAATTCTTGAGTCCTGGGAGGGGTCTGGGAATTGGGACCTTAGCACATTTGGGGAAAGGAGGGGAATAGAGGGAAGAGAAATCAAAGGGGCTCTCGCAAAGTTCTGGCTAAGAAGGAGAGATTGGAAGAAAAGCAAGGTCCTGACCCCCCCCAGATCCCCACTCACCCATTGCATGTGGCATTCCCCACTACTGGCCGGTGCTTAGAGGCCCATAAAACCTCTCTTCACCTAATCCACCTGGCAGAGCCCTCAGAGATGACGTCAGCCAACCCAGCTGGACTGGCCTTACTTCTGCCTTTTTCACCTGTATGTTAAAAAACAAAAACAAAAAAACCCTATCCCTGTGCCCCAAAGCTAGGGCATGTGCGATGCCCAACAGCCTCCACTCTGCAAGCTCATACTGGGCCCTGCCCTCCATCGCCCCAGACAGGCCCACAGACGAGGGCTGGTCTCCTTCACATTTGTGTGGGGGTGGGGGCACGCTTCCTCTTCCTTCTCTCCCTGTCCCCCTTTGGGGACATCCCTCTCTAGGCCTAGGCCATGTCTCCTGGTTCAGGAACACTCTCTCAGGAGGATCTCGAAGTGCCCACTCTAGTCCGCTCCAGTAGCTCCACTCTGGAGCGAGATGGCTGGTAGGTCAGTCCCCATCCTCCTCCCCTCGGCCCCCAGCCTCCAGGCCTGCTGTGGAGGTGAGATCGCCATGGGTCATGACTTTGTGACTTGAGTCCTGGGCATCTTCTGTAATGATGCCTCTTTCTTTTCTCAGATGTTGCCCACAGTTTAGCAAAAAGCTTCGTTCATTTTCAGGTACTCCCCACCCCCTAAAGAATTGGCTGCAACTTGCCAGCCAGGGGGACATCAGGAGAGAAGAGGAAGTCTGGGTTGGGAGGGGCCCAAGTTTTGCAACAGAGTTTCCATTGTTCAGCTCTGTGCTTTCTTGGATTCCCTTTCCAAGATTACCAAGATTTCCTCCATTAAAACTCCTGAGGCACCCCCTGCCCCTGCCCCCCACTGCTGTTTGCTGTACATAGAGGCTAAGTGGGGTGGGGTGGGTGGGTGTGCACATGTGGTGTGTGTGTGTGTGTGTGAAGAATGTATATAGGTAAAGGGGAGTGTGGTCCAGTGGTTCCAGAAAAGGGACAGAACTGTGTTCTGTCCCTAGCTTGACCGCTGGCTCGCTGTGTGGCCTTGGGCAAGTCACTTAACCTCTCTGTGCCTCAGTTTCCCCATCTGTAAAATGGGGATAATAATACTGACCTACCTCACAGGGGTGTTGTGAGGCTTTAACTAAATGTTTTGTAAAGCGTTTTGAGATACAGAGGCAAAGGCGCTAGGGAAGGGCAAAGTATTATTGGACTTAAGGAAGCTGAAATGGTACCATAAATGCTGCTATTCTGAGAGCCATTTTAAACTGCACTGCTCCAACCACCCCCGCTTCTCATCACCAGGACAGCAGGTCGAGAAAATGTCTTTCCTTTCACTTGCTTCTGGGGTTTGTGATTATTCAAGACAATTTTTTCCCCTTGCTGTATCTCCTTCCCTCACCTCCTCGACTTGTTCCCTGTTCTGTTTATGCGGAAATGGCAGAAATGCTTGAGAAATGAGAATGTGTAAGTGGATTGGAAGTTTATAGTATGAAATTTCAATTTTACTTTGTACTGTACATCTTTTTACTTTAGAATTTGCAATAAAGGGTTACGTCAATCTTGTTTTCAACTCTCCTCTTGGACTGGCCTGTCATTCTGTCATTGCCCTCACACTGAAGCCCAAGGTGGACAGGCACCACCACCTCGCAGGACCCCACTCTGTCCCGTGGCGGGGACAGAAGTCTGCGTAAGGGCTCACCGCGGCTCAGCCCCTTAGCTGGGCAGGCAGTGCCCTAGCCACTCCCAGGTGTGTGGGAAAGGTTTGGGACTCCACTCAGCATGTCAGGAGGCCTTGCCTGGCGGGGGGCAGCACCTTGGAGGCGGCGCCCTGCACGTGGGCACACCCCTCTCTAGTGGTGCTGCCTCTGCACACTCCAGCAGAGCCCCAGAGTAGCCCCGAGGGGGAGCTGCACATCTTGTTCTGGTCCCCATCACGTTTTTCAAGCCCCTTATTGCGCACACACCTTTCCTTCTGGAGCTCAAACTTTCAGGTCAGACGGCCGTAGGTTCGAGAACGTGACTATGCCACTAACTAGCTGTGGCCGAGTTTCCGCATGTGTGATGGAGACAATACCTTCCTCCTTGAGTTTTGAAGAGTACATCAAATAATGTATGTAACTAGTTAGCATGAGGCCTGGCACACAGTGCGCAATAAGTGGTAACTCTTCGTGGAAGAATAATTGCAAGATAAGAAGGAATCTGCCTGGCGCAGTGGCTCACGCCTGTAATCCCAGCACTCTGGGAGGCCCAGGCAGGCGGATCACTTGAGCCCAGGAGTTGGAGACCAACTTGGCCAACAAGGCGAAACCCCGTCTCTACTAAAAACACAAAAATTAGCGGGGCGTGGCTGCGCACACCTGTAGTCCCAGCTACTCGGGAGGCTGAGGCAGGAGAATCGCTTGAATCCTTGAACCCCGGAGGCAGAGGTTGCAGTGAGCAGAGATCGCACCACTGCCCTCCAGCCTGGGCAACAGAGCGAGGCTCCTTCTTAAAAAAAAAAAAAAAAGCTAAGCTGACAAGAATTGGGCGGTGCACCTGCCACCCTGGGAGCCTGGTACCTGAGCCCCTCTTCCACCGGCAGTCCCACGGGCTTTGCTGCTCCTTTCCAACGGATTAACAAACTCTCTGCTCTTTCGGTATTTCTTAACGTTTATAAACCGTCCAAAGCACCACTGCCCCAAGACTGTGCTCCCATTTTACAGCTGAGGGCAAGGGCACTGTGAGGTGAGGGAGAATCTGGCCCATCTGCAGCCCAGGCCCCCGGGGGCGCGCGCCGCTCTTTAGGAAGGAGCAGCTTTGTTTCCCACCAGCCCTGCACTGTGGCGAGCGGGCCGGGGCTGCCGGGCGACGCCCGGTCGCCGTCGCCGCCAGTGATCCATAGCGTGAGCAGGACGACCAGCGCCCCGGTGCCCAGCGCCCCCACGAAGCCGGTGAGGAGGCCGAGCGCCAGCGGCCCCGCCCAACCCATGGGGCTCCGCTCGTACAGGGGCTGCGGCAGGCGCTCCACGATCAGCTGCAGGGCGTCCCAGTCCGGCGCGGGGACCGCGGCGCGCCGGGGGCGCGGGGCCGGGGCAAAGGGCACGCGGGCGGCGGCGCCGGGCCGCGGCAGGAAGCGCTGCCCGAACTTGCGCAGCTGCAGCGTCGCCTGCTGGTGGAGGTTCTTGCCCAGCTCCCTGGCCACGTCCGGGCGGCCGCTGCGCCGCAGGGCCCGAGCCAGGCGGTCCCAGGACAGGGACGCGGCCTGGGGGGCCAGCCAGGCCGCCAGCGCCTCCCGGCAGCCGTCGGACACCTCTCCAGGCCCGGCTACCCTGCCCGCCGGGTCCTCGGCCGCCTCTCGCCGCCGCCGCCGGCTCGGAGACCCCGACGTGGTGTTGAGCGGCTCAGGCCGCGCCAGCCGGTCTTCAGAAAGCCGGGACAACTCGGCCTCCACGTCGGGCTCGGGCGCCTCCAGGAGCGACCGGAAATGGCCGCACTCCTCCGGGGTCAGCAGCTCGGCCAGACGGACGGCTGCGTGAGGGCCCATAGCGTCCACGGCCCCCGCCGGAGCCAGCGCCCAAACCCAGAGCGTGAGGACCAAGGCGCTCGCCAGAGTCCGCGCCGCCATCCCTGGCGGGAACCAGGGACCGAGGACTGTGCGGGGACGGGGACGTGGACGGGCTCCGCGCCGGTGATGGGGGAGGGGTTCCGAACGCCCGCGGATTGTGGGAGGGAGGAGGCTCCGAACAGTCGGGAAGCCTAGTGGAGGAGGGGACTGGGGACAAGGGGGCTGCCAACACCCAGCGACGGAGACGGGGACTCCGACATGGCACTTGTTGGAGGGTCTCACGAAACTCAGGAACTGGGGTAAGAGGGCTTGCAACACCCAGGAAGGGGGTTCTCAGCCCCCCAGGAGGCTAGGATTCTGGGCTTTTACATTGTAGCTCCTGCCCTAGGCCTCCTAATAGCCACTAATACCTCAAACTGAACAAGTTACCAACATCTCTTCTAATTCATGTACTCCCCAACCGTTCCCCTTTACGAAAAGCCCTAGACCCCTTGCTCTCCATTAACTTCGATATTCAATCAATTCCTACATTCTCTTTTTTTATTTTCTTTTGTGCAGATAGGGGTCTTGCTGTGTTGCGCAGGCTGGTCTCCAGCTCCAGCCTCCGCCTCTGCCACCACCTCCCAAAGTGCTGTGATGACAGGAATGAGCCACCATGCCTGGCCTCAATTCCTAAATTCTCCTCTTGTCTACCAAATACTAAAGTTTAGTATTTATTAAATGAATCCATCATCCCATTCTCCCACTCCAGTGCAAGTCCAGACCCTCCTCCTCTCTTGCTGGTCCTCCAGCCCCCATCCTTGCCCCCCAACACTGGGGCCCTGCCTACCTGCACTTATTCCATTTCCCCCAAGGAAGCTTGGCTCTGGCTCTCCTTCTGATCGCGGCCTGCACTCCTCCTGCTGTCAGGCGCCTTTGGGAAGCCCTCCCTGACTCCGAGTCACACCCCTTAGTGGTGTCCCCATTAGGGACTCCTCCTATCTGCCCCACAGCACACTGCAGCTCGGCCTTTTTACTGTCTCCGCCAACTAGACTGCAAGGTCCATACATTGTCCCCATGGCAACTAGAGCATAATAAGTGTTCAGTAAAGATTTGTTGAGTCAATGTGTGAATTTTTTGTTTTTTTAAGAGACAGGGTCTCCTGCTGCTGCCCAGGCTGGTCTCGGAACTCCTGGGCTCAAGGGATCCTCCTGCCTCAGCCTCCCAAAGCGCAAGGATTACAGGCATGAGCCACAAGGCAGGGCCATTGTGTGAATTCTTAACTTGCAAATCAGTCCTGTCCTCGGCCCCCTAAACTCCCACAAAGGCTTCATCATAGAGCCCCAGCTCCTAGCAGGGCATGGAAGGCCCTCCATAGTGAGGTCCCCGCTGACTCCTCCAGCCTCACTCCTCCAATTCCTGCCCTCACTATCTTGTAACACAACAAGACTCGTGGCACAGCACGTAAGATGCAGTTTCCAGCCTCCATACTTTGCCCAGCTATCCCCCTCCCCTCCTGGGTAGGAAGTTTTCCTGACACCCCACCAAGACCACCACAAGTCAGGATCTTTTCTGGGCATTGTTTGTTTGTTTTGTTTTGTTTTGTATCAGAATCTCCCTCTGTCACCCAAGTTGGAGTGCAGCGGCATGATCTCGGCTCACTGCAACCTCTGTCTCCCAGGTCCAAGTGATTCTCGTGCCTCAACCTCCCAAGTAGCTTGGACTACAGGTGTGCACCACCATGCCCAGCTAATTTTTGTATTTTTAGTAGAGACTAGGTTTCACCATGTTGACCAGGCTGGTCTCAAACTCCTGACCTCAAGTGATCCGTCCACCTTGGCCTCCCAAAGTGCTGGGATTACAGACGTGAGCCACCGCGCCCCCAGCCATTTCTTGGCATTCTTAAGATAACCTGTGCATCCTCCACCAGGGCACTCATCTGGAAATTAGAGGATTTATTCAAGAAACATCTATTCAATGTCTTGTATGTACCAGATAATTGCACTAGGTGTATGAATATAAAGACTACTTTGATGTGGTCCCCCATCCCCAGCAGCTTTATCCAGTTGTATTTTTAAATGATCAATTTCTGAGCTTTTCCCACCTAGACATGGGCTCCAGGAATAGCAGCTGTGCTTGACCCCTTCTGTATCCTCAGTGCCAGGCCCAATGTCTGCACACAGTAAGGTGCAAAATAGAGGAGTGGGGGCAGGTGGGTCTGGACCTCCAAGGGCTGAGAGGCTTGTGGTAATGGACTCTGGGGCAGTGCCTTAGAGCCCCCACCTCCAGGCACACTCACATTTGTGTCCTCTTTGCTTTGCAGGGTCTCCCTGATGCTCACGCTGCCTCCTGTATGTGTGCAGTGAGCCATAGCAGGGAGCCTGGGTGCACTACTCCCCTGTGCTCTTGCGCATGCTCAGCAATCTTGCCTAGAGTATTCAAGGACCTAGGAGCTGTGGGTCCAAATCTCTCACTGACATCTCTACAGAGCTTGTTCAGCAAGTGTTCCTAGGTTGTTCAGTCTCCCAGTTTACGATGAGCTGTCACAGATAGAGTTAGGGGACTGATGGATGGGGGGATGGTAGACAAAGGACACCACGTCACCTGAGACATTGGAACTTGGCCGTCTCCACACCCCGCCCTCTATCCACTTTATCTCCACTGAGAATGGAATACAAGTATAACCCTAGCTCTATTCAATGAAGGCTGCTGCAGGTTCTGGATGGCTCCTCCCTCTCTTCAGCAACCCCCTTCCTCCATGCATTCATTTCTTCACTCATTCAACAAACATGTGAGCCCTTCCTTGCCCCCCTATTTTGTGGCTCTGGGGATACAATGAGCCTGCCCCAGTGCTGAATGTCAGAGCTCAGAACGGCAGGAAGGCCCCTTACCCATGGCTTCTTCCCCATAGCCTCAGTGCCCATTCCTGTAGGTACTCACTGTATCACAGTGAGTCACAGGAGTCCTTGCTCCTTGTTACTAGGGGATTAGGAACACCCCGCCCAGGGCACCAGCATACACAGGTGTCCAGACATCTCCCAGAGGACTCCCACATCCCACTGCCCCCGAGAAATCTTCTGCAAACCACATGTCATCGCTTTAATACTGTGTAATACTTTCTTTTAAAATACAGTCTCTTCTGAGGTAGACAGACCACAACTGCAGAGCATCGTCAGACAGGAGATAAATACGTCCATGTACAACACGCAGCAAAATGAGGTAGAAATGGTTACAGCGGGAGGAGAGGATCCCAGCCCCAGTCTGGGTAGAGGAAGGGGAGAGGCCAGCTCGGAAGTCACCCTCCCCACTCCCTGCCCCTGGATTCTTTGGTATGCCTCCCCCCAGCATTACCAGAGCTGGACTGGCCCTTCCCCTACCTGCCCCAGAGCCCATGAGGTAGGTGCCACTAGGCTGGGGGCAGTCTCCTTGTGCAAAGCTCCCCAAGCCTGGGGAACAGGAGGAGCCTAGTAGAGAAAGCGGTGGGGACTCCACCTCCCAGAGCTCCCTGCCTCTTGAAGGGAAGGCTGGGATCCCACCCCAACTTCCCTGACACCCTCCACCCACCCCCACCCCCCAATACATACACACCTGAGAGAGAACCCCTCACTCCATGCTCCCTCCGAGGGTCTTTTGCAGCCTGCGGCTGTGACCCGGCAGCCCACTGCTTCTGAGGCACCAAAGCCCTGTGGGTGGCTGGCTCCAAAGAGGGGGCCAGAAAGCAACGGGGGTGGGGGGGAACAGAGCAGCCTTCTGGTCAGCACTCCTAGGCCAGCACAGGCCCTGGGTGCCAGGGCCCCTGAAAGATCCCCCCCAGACACCCTCCCAGCCAGGGGGGAGGCAGTAGACTCTAGGAAATGCACGGGCAGGCAAGGAACTGCACAGGAGGCTGAGATGGGAGAGAGAAAAAGTGGTGGTGGGGGGGCGTGTCCCCTGCTTTGGACTAAGATCAGAGTTGTGAAATGGGCTGGGGGTGGTGGGAGCAAACTGCTAAAGCCTCATCAAGGGAAAATTGGTGGGAAGGAGAGAAATATGGTTCTTGGAAGGGTTCCAAGCCTAGTGGAAAGTTCAGGCAGGACTGAGACTAAGCCCCCAAGGTCAGAGAAAACACCCCTGCCCATCTCCCTCACCCTCTCCCAGCCCTGGAGCTCCAGACCTAGGACTCCGGGGGAATGGGGAAGGCACATTTCCTCACAGAGCCCCCACAAGTGAGGGATGCTCACTCCTCCTCAGAGCCTCCAGCAGAGATGGCTGAGGTCCAGTAGCTGATTTTGTGGCCAGACTGTCTACCCAGATGGAATCCTCCTAGCATAAGTCACTGGGGACCTCTGCCAAGGCAGGGCCAGGGGACATGACCTTTCTGGAGACTTTCTGCTTAGGTCACCTTCCCATTTGGGCCCTCCCACCCTACCTTCTGGGTCTCAGGAAGGAATTGGGCAAGGGCATCCTAACTCTGGATAGCCCTTCACAGAAAACACTCAGCGGAGGGGTTGGGTGGGGCAGGGGGTGGGGAGCAGCAGGAGAGGAATAAGGCCTCCCTTCTCTCAAACCCCACAGCCCACTCCCCACATTCATGCCTAGGCCTCGGCCCTGGGGAGGAAGCCCTTAGGAATACATTCTGCTTCTGACCAGGAATAGCTGGGGTTTCACTGAGGCCTCTGGGTCTTCCTCTCCCCTTCCCCGTAAGTCTCATTTTTTGAGTGTCTGGGAGAATTTGGTCCCCTGGATGGAGTGGGGGGGAGGGGGCAGGTGTGAGGGGCACACAGGAGAGCAGCCAAAGTCTAACATTCTTTCTGAGGTCAGTTTCTTCCTGAGTTGTCAAAAGAAAAAGAAAAACAGCAAATTCTACACATTTTACAAAAATAAGAAGACTAAAATATGAAACAAGCTACATTTCTGGGATCTCCCCTCAAAAACAAACAAAAAATTCCCCTTCTTTGGGGACTTTTTTTCCTTGATCCCCCTAGACCCTAGGTTTCAGATGGGTAGAGGGGTAACCCTCCTCCTCAGCCCCTGGGCCTCCAGAGCTCCTGCAAAGGGCCACTGCAGTCCAAATAAGAACAGAAGGCAGGGAAAGGCATTAAAGCTCAGGGACCAAAAGGCCAGGGACGCTGGAGAGCCAGGGATGGAGACAGAAGCACAGAGGGTGAGGGATGGAGAGCTGGGGAGGGAGGGGCAGGAGAGAAACAGGGCCAGCATGGGGTGGGCAGGGGTGTCAGCGACAAAGCAAAAGGGAGAGAAAACCAAGAGAATGCAGAGAATGGGATGGAGAGAGTGAGGGAGAAGGAGGGTGCCATTCAGATAGCGAGGAGACAAAAGCGTTGTGGCAAGAGAGCAGGAGTTCTTAAGGCCCCGGGTGCCAGCCCATGCCGGATCTGCCCGGTCTGCCGGGCGGAGATGGCGAGCTTCCAGTCCACAATAAATAGGAAAAACCTGAGTACACGGCGCATATGGCATCTGCCTGGCAGAAGCATTTTCCTTCCCACGAAAAAAAAAATATCCACCGGCAGACCCCTCCTGTCCCCGATCCCACATTCACCACTCCAGCCCCTGCCAGCCGGGTTTAGTCAGTGACATCCCTCCCACGCGGAGGCGGCGGGGACGGAGGGACTGCGGCTCCCGCGGCCTCCCCCGCGCGCCGTCAGTGTCCGGAGCCGTACATTTTGTCCCACTCCACGAACGAGTCCAGTTCCTTGGCAGAGGCCCTAGGGCCCACCTTGGCCAGCGCCGCCTCCAGGTCCTTGTAGGAGAGGGGGCGCTGCAGCCCCGGGAGGCCCGCCCCGGCCGCCGCCTGCTGGCACAGCTGCCCCAGCTCGCCCCCAGAGAAGCCCTGCGTGCCCTGCACCAGCGCCGCCAGTTCCCGCTCACTGAGCGCGCAGCCCTGCTGGGCCAGCGCCCGCTGCAGGATCTGCCCGCGGGCCGGGCTGTCGGGCAGCGCCACGTAGAAGCGGAGAGAGAAGCGCCGGCGGGTCGCCTCGTCCAGAGCCGCGGGCCGCGAGGTGGTGCCCACAACCAGCACGCCGTCAGCCCCCGCGCCGCAGCCCCCGTCCAGGCAGGCCAGGAGCGGCACCTGCAGCGCGCCCCCTGCCGCCGCGCCGTCGTCCCGGGCGGGGAGCAGCGCCTCTAGCTCGCTGATGAGGAGTACGGAGGGTGGGCGGCAGCGCGCGGCCGCGAAGGCGGCCTGGAGGAGGCGCGCGCCCTCGGCGGCGCCGGGCGCAGCCAGGGTCGCGCCGCGCAGGCGCAACAGCGTGGCGCCCAGCTGCGTGGCGAGGCAGCGGCCCAGCAGCGCTTTGCCCGCGCCCCGCGGCCCAAAGAGCAGGACGGTCCGCGGCGGGCGCAGGCTGCCCGGGTAGGCGGGCGGCCTGAGCAGGGGCCACACCAGCTCCTCCTCCAGCGCCGCCTTGAGCGCGCCCTGGCCCGCCACATCCGCCCACTGCACCGGGGGCCCGCAGTCCACCATCTTGCTCGTCACCAGCTCCAGGGCCCCAGGGTCCACGCCTTTGGGAGTCTCCCCCGACGGCACGGCGAACCCCCCACGAGGAGCCGGGGCCCGCTCCGGGAACTTTTCAAAGGGCTCCAGTTGCGGGCCGTAGACGGGGGAGCCCAGGACCTTGAGGGGGACGCCGCCACCGTACTTGCCCGACGCCTCCTCCGCGGCTCCTGGCGGCTTGGCCCGGAACCCGTTGCCCCGACATTCGCCGTTGTCCGCGGCGGGGTAGGAGGCTCCGTCAGCCACGGGGGCCTTGGCGGGCTCGTACGCGTACTTGCGGTAGCGGCCCTCGGGCCCCTCGTCGGCGGCCTTGCGCTTCAGCGACAGCCCGGATTCGGCACCCGGCGCGGCCGTGGGGAAGCCATAGGCGGTGGGCGGTGCCGGCGCGGGCAGGGGCGTGGGCGCGGGCAGGCCCGGGGTCAGGTAGGGGGCCGGGGGTGGGCCTGGGGGCGGCGGGAGCGCGCCATAGCCGGGCTGCGCTGCGTAGCCCCCTGCGGGATAGTTGTACAGCGGCGCTGAGGGCCCGTACCCCGGAGGCGGTGGGGGCTGCAGGAGCGCGGCCGGGGGCGGCGGGGGCAGCGCGGCGCCCGTCTGCGCGCAGTAACCCGGCGCCAGGTACCCCCCGCCGTAGCCGGCCGCGTACTCGGGCGCCGCCGATGGGCCCCCGCACGCATTGCCGGCGTAGAGGGGTTCAGGGAGGTTCCCGGCTAAAACTGGGGAGCCCCCCAGGGCCCCGGAACCGCCGCCACCGCCCGATTTGGTTCCTGGGAGGCCTTCGTGGAGTGAGGCCAAGGGGTAGGGTGGCTCCGGCCCTGGCCAGGGCTCGGGATCCCCTTTGGCGCCGTTGAGGAAGGAGGCGTCGCTGTACCCGCCCAGGGCCGGACGCTCGTAGGGAGAATCCAAGACCCCAGAGTACTTCTCTGCATAGCGCTTTAGGAGGTTGGAGGCAGTGAGGGCTGAGATGTCGTCGTGTGCCCAAGCGTAGTGGCAGCGTTGGCGACCCCCAGGGGGCAACTCCAACTTGTGGGCCGGCGACGGGGTGGTGGAGGAGACGTCCAGGTGCTGCTCTGGCCACTGGTTGAGGGGCTGGGCGTGTTCTGGTGTCCAGTGCATCTTCAACAGAGCTGCGGGCAAGAGACAGGAGGTCTGGTGAGGTCTAGCCACCGAGGACCCAGTGGGCCACTGCTAGCCATAGGCCAGTCCGCCTAGACTGCGGCTTGGACAGGCTGGGCTTCCGGCATCCACCACCTACCGCCCCACTCTCTTGGGGCCCTCCCTCCAGGCACCAAATACACTTCTTATGTCCCAGGATTAAAGTTGTCTGAAAATATTTTCCTCAGCGCCCAAAGGGGTCTGGAAATGATGTGGTTGGCCCTAACTTCACCTTGTAGGCAATGGTTATTATTTTTGTCCTGGCCACTCCAGCCATGTCCTTTGCAGGACACGTGATCCTTACTTTCTATGAAGGATCGGACAATGGGCGGGACATCCCAGCCCTCGGAATAGTCAAACTCAAGTGAAGCTCGCTCAGTAAGAGATGTTTGTCACCTACCGTGTGCTGGCCACTACAGAGGCACCAGGGTTATGTAAAGAGTTGTATGAGGCCTGCCCAGAGTCCCTGGCCTAGTGACCCAGAAGTTTGTTATTCCTAAATGCTCTGTTCACCTCAGCCCTTCCTGAGATTCTGAGATTCCAAGGCCCCGTGTGGGCCTGAGGTCAGAGATGCTGGCGTGTATGGGACTGCCTTATCCATGGGAAACCTCAGTGGCTGACCCAGAGCATTCATTTCCTTCCCACTTGGTTTTGGCTTCTGCCTGATGAAGTCAGAGCACCTGGATTCCAGACCCAGCTGCATGTAATGGCTGTATGCCTGGGGCAGGTGCTGCCACCTGCTTTATTCCCAATAGGTCTCACCACAATACAAAAATATGTAGAATAAATAGGTCATATGCTGGAGAAGACCGCGGAAAGTTAATATACAACAATGCACATCATAGGATGTGGACCACAGATTTGTCTCTGAGCTTCCCAGTAGCCAAATAGGGAGAGGTCATCAGACTCACTGCAAAGTAAAAAAACACCATTACTCAAAGCAAAAATGTTCCTGTCTTAGAGATCATAGAACTTTTTTTCGTGGTCCTCAGGAAGCAGACCTGTGAGATGTAATAAACAACGTCCTTCTTGCCATCCATGCTGTAAACACAGCGGAGATGTTCCTTGGCTGTTCCTGACACCCCCTTAGCACCTCCCAGCGTGAGCCAAACACTCTGGTAAGGGGATCTGGGGCTTGGGGAATGGTTCTACCCAGGCACAGGGCTCCTGTGGGCCAGCCTGATAAAATATCTCAAAGACTAAGAGGCCCATGGCACACCCAGCAACAGTCGATGCCGATGATGATTTCTCAAAGCTAAACTTTTGATAAGACAAGTTAACAGGTTCACGTATTCTCATAGGTTCAGTATTCTTTCTTCAACGGATTTTTATGGAGCACATTCCAAGTGTTTTGCTAGGCATGGGGAAAGATTGAAAGGTGAATAGGATGGGTCAGTCGGGTGGAGAAGACAGGTAGACAATGGCCTCTGTGAAGTGAGAAAACAGGTATGTGCCAAGGGCACTGGGGCTCAGGGCAACTTCCCAAGGAGGTGGTGCCTTTGCTGGACCATGAAAAGTGAGGGATCAAGTCGACCAGACAGGCTAAAGTGAGCAGGGCATCCCAGATCACAAGAACAACACCTTCAAAGGTGCAGGGCACAGTGCCTTCAGAAAGCCAGGGCTGCGCTAGCTCACGTACCGTATTCCCTTCCTCAAGGGACTTTACTGCCACCTTCTGGAAAGCTCATAAATCTGGTGTCTGCTGCACTGGAATTGTGAATTGTGCCCTGTTGGAAAGGCTTGTGGACAACCTACATAACCATCCATACACTTTGAGTCCATAGAGAACACCAAGAAATGTTGGGTCACCAGAGCTTTGAAAGTGGGTGTATATAGTCGAAGAGGAAGCTGAAGATAACCCGGTGGCTTCTCAGTTCTCCACAGCTGGCCTTCCTAGCAGCAGCTTGTTGACAGCACCCCACCCCTGTTGATGCTCTCTACTTCAGGTGACTGTGACCTGACATCAGTGGGAGAAGACATTTGAAAATAAAGCTATTTACTCTCATCCCCACTGCCCTAGGGAAGGCATGAGCCATAAAAGTGTAGCTTAAAAAGGAAGGTATGTTGAGTTCTTGAGGTTGTCCTGCCCCCATTTGAGAGGTGATGCTGGCCACTGGGCAGGAGGGAGAGCAGAGTAACAGCTGAGTGCGAGGTCCTTGGGGGCAGATATGCAGCCCTCCAGCTCTTGCCGAGCAGGATCTCCAAAGATCAGAGGCATTACCTGGTGTGAAAGAGGGTAATTTCCTGGAACATCAGAAATCACAAATGGTTCTGGCTGCAGAGTCTTAGGAGGTAACATCAAAGTTATTGGCCAGGCTCAGTGGCTCATGCCTGTAATCCCAACACTTTAGGAGGCCGAGGCTGGTGGATCACCTGAGGTCAGAAATTCAAGACCAGCTTGGCCAACATGGTGAAACACCGTCTGTACTAAAAATACAAAAATTAGCCGGGCGTAGTGGCGGGTGCCTGTCATCCCAGCTACTCAGGATGCTGAGGCAGGAGAACCACTTGAACCCGGGTGGCGGAGGTTACAGTGATCCGAGGTGGCACCACTGCACTCCAGCCTGGGCGACAAGAGTGAGACTCCATCTCAAAACAAACAAACAAACAAAAGTTACACAAATGCAAGTATTGTGTTACTATCCAGACCACAAATCTGTTTTTTTTTTTCTATTTACTATTCTGTGCTTTGTTTCCTTACTTAATATGGAAAGAGAGATTTGACCTTGATGATAGCATTTACCCTGAACATATTAAACTGGACAAGCTGGGGAAAAAGAGTGACATCCTACCCACTAAGGGCACAGACACAGTAAATGAAGAAGACTCAGATCTGGACTTGTCCACACACATCTTCCCCACCGCCAGCCCCTATGCTCCTAAAGCTGTCAGTGATGTCCCTCATTGCCCAGACTTTTGGGCCAGGCTCCCTCTCACCAGCCCCTGGCCTGGCCTTCAGCAATCCTTACTGAAACCTCCACCCGCCAACGAAGATCCTCTGGCCCTGGCTGTCACTGAGAACTGCTCCACCTTGGCAACTGTGGACTCCAGTAAGCCACCTCCAGTCCTCCACCCCATCCTGCCAGCTTCATACCCACGAAGTCTCCTCTACTCCACAGCTCAGACCCTCTCGCCCTTCCAGAGAGGGGAACTTGTCCATGACACTCTTTTTTTTTTTTTTTGAGACGGAGTCTCGCTCTGTCGCCCAGGCTGGAGTGCAGTGGCGCGATCTCGGCTCACTGCAAGCTCCGCCTCCCGGGTTCACGCCATTCTCCTGCCTCAGCCTCCCGAGTAGCTGGGACTACAGGCGCCCGCTACCACGCCCGGCTAATTTTTTGTATTTTTAGTAGAGACGGGGTTTCACCGTGTTAGCCAGGATGGTCTCGATCTCCTGACCTCGTGATCCGCCCGCCTCGGCCTCCCAAAGTGCTGGGATTACAGGCGTGAGCCACCGCGCCCGGCCGACACTCTTATCTAGACCACCTGATCTCTACTCTCAGTCTTCATTTGGCCCTTCATTACCTGGCCCTTCCACTCCAGGTAAATTTCCTCCCATTTTAGCCAGGGCAAAAAATGAAGTCATTGGGCAAAGCTCCCTTACCTCTGGCCCTCTTTTTACCTTTATCTACATCTGTATCCATCTTGCACCCAGAAGGCCTCAGGGTCCATCCGCCCCAGTTCTCGGCCCCATCAATTATCCCTCCTAGGTGCTGGGCCCGCCCCCCCCACACAGTTAGCTTGATTAATTCTCATCTTCAAAATGACCTCTCTTGACCCTGGGTTCCCCACTAGCTACCAGCTCATCCCTTTTTCCCTTCTTCCTTCTTTAAGGCATCATTGTCTACATGCAGTGACATGACATCCACTAGAGATCCTTTCAATAATCTAACCAGGGGCCAGGCACAGTGGCTCACGCCTGTAATCCCAGCACTTTGTGAGGCTGAGGCGGGTGGATCACCTGAGATCAGGAGTTCAAGGCCAGCCTAGCCAACGTGGTGAAACCCCTCTGTACTAAAAATACAAAAAAAAAAAAAAAATTAGCCGGGCGTGGTGGCAGGCACCTGTAATCCCAGCTACTTGGGAGGCTGAGGCAGGAGAATATCTTGAACCTGGGAGGTGGAGGTTGCAGTGAGCCAAGATCGCGCCATTGCACTCCAGCCTGGGCGATAAGAGCGAAACTCCCATCTCAAAAAAAAAAAAAAAAAAAAAAATCTAACCAGGAAGCAGGGCACCAGGTCAGCAACTTCTGCTAAACTTAGTTCCATAGCGCTACATTTTCCTTTAACCCCTTCCAAGAGAAAGAACTCAGCTGCCAAAGGACCAGCCCCAACCTAAGGGCGGGAAGAGGGTAGAAGTTTGAGAAGAGTGGGTGAGATTGCCTTACCTGCACACAGGCCCAGAACGATGTCTCACGTGAGTCTGAATACACACCAACATGTATGTGCACACCACCAGGGATGTGTACAGATGTGCGCAGCTGCAGGCACATGTGCATATGTTCATGCCTGTGCCTGGCACGCACATGTTTAAAGTGTGATCTCACTTAGATGCTTCCTGACAGACCCAGGCCTGCCAGGCCTTGCCTTCCTCCCCTAGCCCGCTATAGGTGGAAAATGCTGTCTCCCTGCCCCCACCCCCAGGCCAGTTACAGCCCTCTTGCTCTGACACAGAGACCCTGGGCCTGCTGCCAGTTTGCCTCCCACAGGAGCCTCAGGAAGGATCTCCCCAGGACGGGGACCCCATGTCTCCTGTCCAGGTTCACAAGTCACACTCCAATGATCAGTGATGCTGGAGGTGAGGAAAGGCCCTGAGGACATGGGGGAAAGTATAGGCTTTGAATCCCAGAGACCTAATTTGAATCCAGGCCCAAACACACACTGTGTGACCCTGGGCAGGTTGCCTGACCTCAGTGAACCTCAATTTCCCCATTTCTATTTGTTTTTTTTTTTTTTAAGTAGAGACAGGGTTTTGCCATATTGGCCAGACTGGTCTCAAACTCCTGGCCTCAAGTGATCTGTCTGCCTCAGCCTACCAAAGTGCTGGGATTACAGGCCTGAGCCACTGCACCCAGCCAATTTCTCCATTTGTTAAAGGGCATAACGTATGTCATGTTGAGTGGCAGTGAGGATTTAAAGATAATGTATATAATGGACACAGTCCAGTGTGGGGCACAAATTACAAATTCAGAACCCAAGCAGTGCCCCAACCTTGCTGAGTGACACTAAACAAGTAACTTCTCTTTGGGGCTGGGGAAACTTGGTGAATGTTCTGTGAAAAGAGGTTCCTTCCAGTTCTAATATGACGGGCCAGTAGCTGACGCCATTTCCCCAAAACCCAAGCACTGTGTACAGAACCAGCGCCTGTTCTACGTTTTACATCTCTAATGCAGCCGTCATACCAGCTCTGAGATCAATACTGTTATTGTCATCCCCATCGCCTCCCCAGATGAGGAGACTGAGGTACAGAGATTAACACATCTTCAGGGTCACATGGCTGTTACAGAGTGGAGACAGGACTCAAAGCCCAGGCCCTGAACCACTTGCCTATAAGGGCTCTCTGGCCCAGCCCTTTGTTCTTACAGCCAGAGAATAGCCTGAGTCATTCCACGCTGCACACCTACACTCACCAACACTCACTTCCTGGGCCTGTGGAAACAGTGGCTCTGCCCCCGAGTGCTGTGTATTTACCCTTCAGAGCAGGCAGGAGAATTTGTGTCCCCTCCCGGTAAAACGCCCAAGTAGAGCCTGTCTTTCCCTGTGAAGGGCCATCAGATAACCAGACACACCCCTGGGCTGGGCACACAGTTCCTTATTTGGGTTTTGTGGTTTTCCCAGGTGGTAGCTGGGACTCTGTGGAGAAAACACTCTCTCTCTCAAACTGCCTGGTTTGGGGAGCAAGGTATTGTTCCTGCGGCAGCTCTTTCTCTGCAGACCTTGAAGGTGAAGTGCTGCTGTGCACATAGGAAGCTGGAA
The DNA here is from genome assembly GCF_000001405.40 of Homo sapiens. Taxonomy (NCBI): domain Eukaryota; kingdom Metazoa; phylum Chordata; class Mammalia; order Primates; family Hominidae; genus Homo; species Homo sapiens. The sequence goes on from NC_000012.12 coordinate 51,828,425, forward strand.
CCCCGCTTGACTCTACCCACAGGACGAAGTCCTTCAAACTCACAGGCAATCAATCAATAGTTACGGAAAGAATTACGGGATGGAAGAGTAAAGTCATTCCTAAAACCCCTCCCCTCATTTTTAGGAAGTCTTACAAGGTTCATGAGAGATGATTCAGCCTTCACAGCTGGCCAGAACACTCAGGCACCTATCTCCCCCGTGGTCCTGCTGCCCTCGGGTCCTGTGGGTGCCTCTCCCATCCCTGAGGACCACAGGCTCTCCATGCACAGGGCCTGATGCAGGCAGTAGGTATCCCCCCAGGCCACCCTGGCTTCCTGGGGCAGCAAATGCCCTGAGCTGTCACTCTGTGATCATGGCCAAGACATGAGTTAACCTTACTAAACTCCACTTTCTTCATCTGTCCATTGAGACCGCTGGTTTAGATCAGTGGACCTCTAACCTTCCTTTCTCATTAGAAACACAAATAAATTTTTTACAGGGTGAGGTAGGAAGAAACCCCAACAACACAGCATCAACACCCTCCTCCAACCCCCGAAGGAGACCCCCAAGATTCCTTCCGGATCTTCCAGAAATTCTCTGATTCTGGATTCCGTCACCCATAGGGGAGGGAAGGGATTGGACCAAACTGGGCTGGGGGCAGGGTAGGCAAGGAGGGGCAGCTGTGAGTCGGCTCCAGGCCGGTGTGGAGAAGGGGCCATGCCTCTGGGCAAGCCTCCTCTGAGCTCCATTATCTCAGCCTGGAACAAAGAGGCTGGAAGGGAGAATCCCATTGTCGGCCTCCCTTATGGAAATCTCATTTATCTATTCACCAAGGCTCCCACAGGCCTTTTGTCCCAGGCTTTTTGTCTGCTGCTTACAACGGGTGCCCCAGGGGGTCTCTGGCTGCCTGGCAGAGCTTGAACAGGACTGTGCCCCCTCCTCTAGGCCCTCTCCCTCATGCCAACCCCCCAGTTATTGCAACAGGAGAGGAGAGGGAGGGGTAACAAGGGGACTCTGGAAGACTGGTCACCTGCCACAGCCCTGGCACCTACCATACAGGAACCTCTTTCCCCAGTTCTGGGCCAGAGAATAGCCTTCAAAACCTGCCTGGGGGCTGCCCTAGAGCTGGCAAGGGGCCTAGCATGAGTAGGGCTCAACACATGTTTAGGGATGAGCTAGAGGATGCCATGGGGTGGCTGCATGATTCTTCCTTCCATGATACCTTGAGTGTGCCAGCCACTGTGTGCCAGCTATGACTCCCGGCTTGAGAGGCAAACCAGACCACATTGGGACCCATGCCTGCAGACTTGATCAGCTAACAGGGAAGAGAAAACAAAGTGTTTCCTCAGAAAGGAGGGAGGGAGGGAAGGGAAGAGAGGAAAAAAGAAGGAAGGAAGGAAGGGAGAAAAGGAAGGAAGAGAGGGAGGGAGAGAGGGAGGAGAAGAAAGGAAAAAAAGGAATGAAAGAGAATGGGAAGGAGGAAGGAAGGAAGAAAGGGTCAAAAGACAAAATTTCAGGAGGAGTAAGTTCAAGAGATCTATTGTTAAATATGGTGACTAGAGTTAATAAAAGTGCATTGTATACTTGAAGATTACTGAGAGTAGGCCTGGTGTGGTGGCTCATGCCTGTAATCCTGGCACTTTGGAAGGGTGAGGGAGGCGGATCACCTGAGGTCGGGAGTTCGAGACCAGCCTGGCCAACATGGTGAAACTCCATCTCTACTAAAAATACAAAAATTAGCCGGGTGTAGTGGCGGGTGCCTGTAATCCCAGCTACTTGAGAGGTTGAGGCAGGAGAATCGCTTGAACCTGGAAGGCGGAGGTTGCAGTGAGCTGAGATCGCGCCACTGCACTCCAGCCTGGGCAACAGAGCCAGTCTCCATCTCAAAAAAAAAAAGAAGAAGAAGAAAATTACTGAGAGTAGATTTTAGGTGTTCTTACCACAAATAAGTATGTGAGGGAATGCATATGTTAATTAGCTCAATTTAGCCATTCCACAATGGGTACATATTTCGAAACACCATTTTGTATACCATAAATATACCCATTTTTATTTAAAAAAAGAAATTTTAAAATCAAAATATTGAGTTGTTTTTTTTTTTTTTTTGAGATGGAGTCTCACACTGTCGCATGGGCTGGAGTGCAGTGGTGCGATCTCGGCTCACTGCAACCTCCCCCTCCTGAGTTCAAGTGATTCTCTTGCCTCAGCCTCCTGAGTAGCTGGGATTACAGGCGCCCACCACTACACCCAGCTAATTTTCTGTATTTTTAGTAGAGATGGGGTTTCACCATGTTGGCCAGGCTGGTCTCAAACTCCTGACCTCATGATTCGCCCGCCTTGGCCTCCTAAAGTGCTGGATTACAGGCATGAGCCACCACACCCGGCCTACGCTCTTTTTTTCTTGAGACAGAGTCTCACTCTATTGCCCAGGCTGGAGTGCAGTGGCGAGATCACCACAGCCTCAACTTCCCAGGTTCAAGCGATCCCCCCACCTCAGCCTCCTTAGCAGTTGGGACCACAGGTGCCAGGTACATGCCACCGAGCTTGGCTAATGTTTGTGTTTGTTTGTTTGTTTGTTTTTGTACAGACAGAGTTTCACCAGGTTGTTCAGGTTGGCCTCAAACTCCGGGGCTCAGGCAGCCCACCCCCTCAGCCTCCCAAAGTGCTGGGATTACAGGCGTGAGCACAAAACCCAGCCTGTATTACCCTTAAAACAGAGACAACTGTTGATTTTTTGTGCAAATGAAGAATTACAGGAATAAATACAGTTGATAGATTAAAAAAATAAGGTCATATAGCTAAAAAAGAAAAAAAGAGGAAAAGAAAGAATGCTGGAGGTTCAGAGACAGCGGAGGTACTTTCGCTAGGGAGTCAGGAATTCATTTTGCAGCAGTCATGGGGAGCACTGGGGCATGGAGGGGACAGCAGGTCCCAGCTCGGAGGCTCCAGGAGAAAACAAGGAAAGTGCAGAGCTGAGCAGGGAGTGCTGGCACCCACTCCCCACAGCACCCCAGTTAAGCAGGTATTATTTGCAGATAAAACAGTGCCAGACAGATGTGGCTGGCCCCAGGTCACGCAATCCTCTGGAGGCCAAGTGGGGACCTGAAAGCAGATCTCCTCCCACTTCCACAGGCTGTGGAAAGGCAAGGATACAAGGCAGGGAGCACACCCCTGAGCGGGGCATGAGAGCCAAATGCTTTCCTTCCCTGTCCCTAAGCTCACTCCTTGGCGGGAGAGGGGATAGAACAAAGGATGAACCGAGGATGGGTGAGCTGTCTGAAGTCTCCCTCTTGTGCACTGATCCCACCCTCTTTCAAGAAAGACACTGTTCCCTCGGTTCCCCCTTCTCCTACCTGATCCATTTCCCTCTCTGCTGGGTCACTCTCATCAGCTCGCAAATATGCTGTTGTAGTTCCCGTTTTAGGAAAAAAAGCCCAAAATATATATACATTTTTGAGACAAGGTCTTGCTCTGTTGCCCAGGCTACAGTGCAGTAGTGTCCCCATAGCTCACTGCAGCCTCCACCTCCCAGGCTCAAGCATTCCTCCACCCCAGTCTCTTGAGCAGCTGGGACTACAGGCACATGCCACCACACCTAGCTAATTTTTAATTTAATTTAATTTATTTATTTTGAGACAGAGTTTTGCTCTGATGCCCAGGCGGAATGCAGTGTCACGATCTTGCCTCGCTGCAACCTCTGCCTCCTGGATTTAAGCAATTCTCCTGCCTCAGCCTCCTAAGTAGCTGGGATTACAAGTGCCCACCACCACGCCCAGCTAATTTTGGCATTTTTAGTAGAGACAGGGTTTCTCTATGTTGGCCAGGCTGGTCTTGAACTCCTGACCTTAGGTGGTCCACCTGCCTTAGCCTCCCAAAGTGCTGTGATTACAGGCGTGTGCCACTGTGCCCGGCCCCAAAATAATTTCTGAATCCCCCTTCAGCTACATTCTATCTCTCTCTCTTTGCTTGTTTTTACCTTTTCTATGCTACTGTTTCTTATTCCTGTCCTTCCATTCCTCTTGAACCCCTTCCAAGCAGGCATTTACCCCCAACACTCCACTACCTTTGCCTCATAACCACACAGCTGAATCTGATGCTCTGCCCTCCTCTTGCAAAACCAGGGACCTGCGCTCTCCTGGCCCCTGCTGCCGTCCCCTCCACAGCCTCTTTGCTGCCCTCCCATCACCCACTCCCTTCTAAACCCTGCAGACCTCGGGCTCAGTCCTGCAGCCTTCTTTTCCCTCTCCATGGTAATTCCGTGCATGATCCCATCCCATCTCCTAGCTTTGACCATCACCTGTGTATTGATGTTTCCCAAACATAGTTCTCCAGCTGAGATTTCTCCCCTGCACTCCGCACTTTATTCAACCTTCTTGCTGACATCCCCACTGGAATATTTAATTGGCATAATTAACATGCCCAAAAGTGAAACTCCGGGCTCCCACATCCGCAACCTAGCCCTCCCTCAGCCTTCCCCACTGCAGGAAATGGCAGCTGCATCCTTTCTAGTTGCTCAAGCCAGAAACCTTGCGGTCATCCTTAACTTCTCTTTCACTCTTCAGAACAGCAAATTAGATTCTTCAATCACTTCTCACCACCTCAGGGATGCTATCACCTGGACGACAGCTGCAGCCTCTCTCTCTTTTTTTTGTTTTGTTTTTTGAGACAGGGTCTCACTTTGCTGACCAGACTGGAGTGCAGCGGCGTGATCACGGCTCACTGCAGCCTGGACCTCCCAGGCTCAAGCAGTCCTCCTACCTCAGCCTCCCAAGTAGTTGGGACCATAGGTGTGGTGGGCCACCACACCCAGCTAATTTTTAAAATTTTTTTGTAGAGATGGGGGTCTCACTGTGTTGTCCAGGCTGGTCTTGAGCTCCTGGGCTCAAGCTAGCCTCCTTCCTTGGCCTCCAAAGGGCTGGGATTCCAGGCATGGGCCACTGTGCCTGGCCTCACTTCCATCTCACCTCCCCCTTTCTACATCGTCCTCTCTTTTCTTAACACAGTTGCCAGTGTAACTCTTGAAAGCATGTTCCATAAGTCATTCTTCCACCAAAAGCTTCCAGTGGCTCCCATCTCACTCAGAATAAAAGCCAAAGTCCTCTCATTGGCATACAGGGTCCTCATGGTCGGCTTCCATTACCTCTCGGCCTCACCTGCTGCCACTGCCCCTCCTCCCTCCCTTCCACACCCTGGCCTCCTCACAGCTCCTCCCGCCACGCTGCTTTCCACCTCAGTGCCCCTGCCTCTGCCCTGCCTGGAACACACCTTCCCTGGGCTTGCACCCTGCCTAGCATCAAGTCTCTGCTTAGCCGTTGCCTCGGCAGACACTGTCCCCTTCAACCTGATGTTCCCTGTAACACTCATCCATCAGATTATGGAACAACAGGTTGAAGGGGACAGTCCTATTTGTTGCTTTATTGTCTGTGTACCCACTAGAAAGTTCATGAGAGCAGGGACTTTGTTTTGTTCACTGTTATATCCCAAGCACCTAGGACAGTGCCCGGCACAGATTAAGTTCTCAATAGACTACAGGATGGATGGACAGACGGACGGATGGATGGATGAATGGACAGACAAATGGACGGATGGATGGATGAATGGACAGACAAATGGACGGATGGATGGATGGATGGATGGATGAATGGACAGATGGACAGATGGACAGATGGATGAATAGACAGACAGACGGATGGGTGGATGGATGGTTGGATGGATGGATGGATGGATGGATGGATGGATGATCCTAGAGGCTTGAAATGGCCTCTGTGTCCAAATAAAGAAAGCAATCAGGGTGACTAAATTTGAGTGTACATGTGATGGTGAGGGTGGCAAGGGGTGAAGCCAGGGGCTCACCTCAGGAATGGATAGGGGAGGGGAGTCCAGAAGGGGCATTTGTGTCTGTGAACACCAGAGGAAAGTGTCCAGCCCCCAAAGGCACCTATCTCAGCCCCCCAGAGACTCCACAGGGCCTCTTTCTCTTTAAATCTCTCTCCTTCTGTTACCCCCCACCCCATTGGGCTTCTGTGGGAGAGGACAAAAGGGGTGCTGGAATTCCCATCAAAGGTCTCTGGACACATGGTAAAGAGATCAGGGCCCTCAGGATCCTGCTTCCTGGAGGTGCGGAGGCCGCCCCGCCAGTCTGGCTCCTCTCTGGGGTGGGAGATGTGGTGAGGGGTGTGCTCTGGCCCTGGTCTTCTCATATGTCAAATGCCAAACAGCAGGAGGTCGGCCTGGGAGAAGCTGGCCAAGCGGCCCCCATCTGGGCTCTGTGTACGCGTGCACACGCTGACGGGAGGGGACAGCACAGATATCCCTGCCTGTGTCCGCGGTCAGGGCCACAGCCAAGCTGTGACCATCTGTTGTTGCTCTGAGAGGCCAGGCCAGGGGCCCAGCACCCTTGAGGAATGAACCTTCCCTTTCACCCAGCCTTCTAGTGTTTGCAAAGAACTTCATAGTTATCCATCGTTTTCGTCCTCACAATGTCCCTGCCAGATGGGCATTATTCTCCCCATTTTATAGAAGAGGAAATGGAGACTCAAGTGTGGAAAGAGATTCTCCCAAGGTCATACAAGCTGTAAGAGGGGAAGTGGGACTCAGCCCATGTGTCAACACCTGCCTACCCCAGCCTAGAGGCAGTAAGGCTCTCCAAGGTGCCTCAAAGCACAGGGTCCTCATTTCAAGCTCAAAATAAGCAGATCTCCAGGGTCAGGCTCTCAGGCACAGCCTCCCACCCATCCCCTGGCTCAACTCCTGCCCAACCCTCCCCCACCACCCCCTCTTCCAGGAAGCCTTCTTGGACTGACCCCCAAGGAAGTTCCTTAGATGCCTCAAAGTCTAGAGCTCCCTGCAGCCACTTCTTTCCCACTGTGACTGCCATGCTCTCCTTGCATGTTTATCTCCTCTGTGATCCAGGACCTCTTGAGGGAAGCCCAGTCACCCAAAGGAACAGATGATTCTCTAACTTCAGATGGCCCACACCGCATTCCCCTTCGAGGCAGCCCAGCAACCTGGGGAAGGAACATAGTGTGGCGGGAAGAGTCCTGCCCAAGGCCACCAGCCCAAAAGGGGCAGAATTGGCACTTGCACTCAAGGACTTTGCTTCAGCCCTGAACACAGCCTCTAATCCTGTACTGTCCAATGACAGGCACTAGCCCCATGTAACTATTTAAATTTGCAGACATTAAAATTTAATAAAATAAAAATTTTACTTCCTCAGTGGTACTAGCCACATTCCATATGTTCAACAACCGTATGTGGAAGTGGCCACTGTAGTAGACATCACAGACACAGAACCTTTCCATCACCATAGAAAGTTCTATCGGACGGAGCTGCTCTATCTTGAACTTCTATGGAGTCTCGCTTCTTAAGGTCTTTAGGTAGACTTCCTGCGGATCTAGACTTCTTTTTTTTTTTTTTTTTATAGACAGAGTTTCATTCTTATCACCCAGGCTGAAGTGCAGTGGCGTGATCTCCGTTTACTGCAACCTCCACCTCCTGGGTTCAAGTGATTGATTCTCCTGCCTCAGCCTCCTGAGTAGCTGGGATTACAGGCGTGCACCACCATACCTGGCTAATTGTTGTATTTTTAGTATAGACAGGGTTTCACCATGTTGGCCATGCTGGTCTCGAACTCCTGACCTCAGGTGATCCACCCACCTCAGCCTCCCAAAGCGCTGGGATTACAGGAGTGAGCCACCGTGCCCTGCAGGCTTCTTTTCCTAGGATTCCCAGGCAGTTTTACAGCTACCCTGGACTGGAGCTTTCCCTAGAACCAGGGGAGGGAGGATGGGCTAGCTGAGTCAACTCCCTCCGCCCCAGCCCCGCCTGTCTGCCCTGCCTCAGGAGAGGAGGGACAGGCGGAGGAGGAGGAGAGGAAGGTAGGACAGGGCACTCTGTCATCTGGCCTTTGGGCTGCGCTGCCCTCCCCCATCAGCTGCTCAACACCCCTCCCCCACCCCGCCCACCATCCTCATCCTCATCCAATCCCAAGGACAGATGGGGGCCAGCAGAGAGGGAGAAACGTGACCACAGTGAAAGCACTCTCAAGTGGTAACACAGTCCGGGGGTCACAGCTGTGTCCCCCGAGGCCTGGCCAGTCTCTCATGTCCAGCCTTGATGTCTGGTCAGGCCTGGGCTAAAGTGAGTCTCTGTTGGTGGGGGGCGGATACTTCAGAATCCTAAGGGGAGATGGAGGAATCTGTTGGTGCCGGATTATCCCAGCAGACACACCCCAGTTAGAAATGCAGTCACTCTTGTGGTCACTCATCCATCCATCCATTCAACACACATTGAATAAGCCCCCACCATGTCACAGTGTAATAGGAGGATGTAGAGGTGGGCAGTGGACTTCCTAACCAGCTTGACCAGGTAGGGACATGGCTGGTGGGCTTAATCCTCGTCCCAGGCTAGATGAAGGTCCTTTGTCTCTGCCCAGTGGTCTGAGCAGGGTGGACACCCCCAGCCCCCTCCTCCCCTCACACAGGCGCACATGCCGGTGGGTGGGTGCGCAGACACACACACTCCCAGCTGCTGCCAGAAACCCCCCTCCTGTGGTCTCTCTGGCCAATCACAGCACTGAGGAGTAAGTCCCACTGTCCGGTGGCCCCCAGGGAGTGTATTAGCACATTTGAACCGCTCAACCTGCAACTGACAAAGCCTGGGGCCTTGGGAGGGGACACAGCAGGAGGGGTGGGGGCCTGTGGGGAGCTCTCCTCCCGTCTGCCTCTCAGGGGGAAGCTCAAGACTAGATTAAGCATTCTGGGGCACAGAGGAATTTGGGGGCCCCAGCTCCAGCCGTGAATAAGCGATCCATAAAATCCCAATTTACACACTCACTGATCAAACAGCCCATCTACTACCCCAGGAGGTTGGGGGTGGCTCCTGGGCCTCTCCTGCTCTCAAAGAAGGTCCGGGGGAGCTGGGAACTGGACATAGGACGCAGGCTCCCAATGTTTTCCCTACAGCCTCAGTCCCATTCCCAATCCCCATGAGGGGTATCCATGCCAAGGGCGTGGGGCCTGCCGGTACCCCCTGTGACCTGGCTGCCTTGGGATGGGCTGGGGGGCTGCCTCAGTCAGGCAGCCATCTTTGTCCACCCTCTGTGAATAACAGCTCCTTTTTTCTCTTGTGTTGCCCTGGGGCCGCCAGGCCCGACTGCAACCTCATCAGAGCTGCTAATCACTTTTCCAGCTCTCCTCTCCTCCCCACCCCCTTCTTCCCAACAGCCCCTCCACGTTTTCTCTGGACCCTCCACCAAAAGCTGCCCTGGGATGCTCAGGCCACCTTCCTTCCACTGTCTTGTCTCACCCCAAAGCTAGGCAATATCCAGGAACACAAGGGGCTCCAGGCTGGTGCTCTGTCCCCAGCCCATCTTCTGGGAGAAAGCAGGTAGAGAGAAATAGCCTTGTTATTACCCTAGTCCCTGCCACCAAAGAAAACACAACGTGTCTCCCTCTTGCCTAGGTGTTGTTTGCTCCCCTTGGTTAGGCTGCCTGCAATTTCACCAAGAGAACACCATTCTGGTTAAGAAGGATTCTCTTTTAAACCAAATGGAACTTCTGGGAGGCTCCAGGCTGTCAGCCAGTCACACCTCCAGGAGGATTAGCAAGGCTGATTCTCCTTCTCCTTCCCACCTGCTCGAGGTGAGCTGCATGGGCCACTAGAAGTGTTCATGGAGGCCGGGGAAAGCGAGTCTTTGGGGCTGGGAATTGCCCACCACACCACACCCCACTTCTCACTACATGTGAGCTATGTTGGAGCAGGTCAGAGATGGATGTCAGCTCCTGGGCCCTGGGGGAAGAAAGGAGTAAGGGCTGCCCTGTCTGTGTGCTTCCCAGAGGCCACTGCACACTGGGCTGGGAGCTGGATCTCCATTGTCTCATTCAGTCCCCTCAGCAGGCTGCTGGGAGGATTGTGGTGTGAGCCTGTTCTACGGTGAGACATACTCCTTCCCTTCTCCCCTTTCTCCACTTCACTGGCTGCTCCAGGTACCCCACCCCAATAGAGCCTGTACCCATTAGTAACCTGGGTAAGGCAGGTGTCTGAAGGGCAACCTGAAAGACTGACCCACGGCTTGCAGGGGTCTCTGAGCCCACTCTAGCCAGCCCTTCCCCCTCCCATGACTCAGGTATTGCAGGGAGTGAGCACTGGCCTCAGAGTCAGCCTCTGAGATGTGGGACAATGTCTTGATCTGTTTCCTCCATTGTGAAATGGGGGGTGGAGAGGCAGCATCCCCCTCACAGGCTGGCCTGAGGGCAGTGAAGGAGAGGTGGAACTTTCCTGACTAGCTAGAGGGGCCACCCATGCAGGACCCAGGGCAGGCTCCAACTCGCTCCTAGAGACTGGCTAGGTGCAGTGGCCTGGGAAAGAGGTGGGGGGGCTGCTCTCCAGGCCCAGAAGGACCCAACTCATTTGACAGAGGACTCCAAAGAGAAAACATAATCCTGGAGCTGCCTGCGGGGCCCCAGAAGAGCTCTGCCTTGCAGGAATGAGTTCCCTGTCCTGCCCTGACCAGCTGACCGTCACTGAAAATACAGTCCCAAACCACAGCTTCCCAGGATGTCCTCGCCTGACCCCTGGCTGCTCTGACCTGTGTCCTGGGACATCTGTCACCAGCCTCTCCTCTGCTAATAGAGGGAGGAGCACCAGGGCCCTCCCATGACCCCCCCAGCCCACCCTCTGCCACTTAGAAACTGCCAGGCAAGTCTCATACTCCTGCTTCAAGTCCCTCCTGACAGCCCACTGTGCCCAGACGTAACTTGGTCTTGAGCCACATTCTTCACTGTCCCCGGGAATCTTAAGAGGAGAGGTAGGAATCTAGGTGAGAATCTTAGGACCCTCTGGGAGGGTCCACAGAGACCTCAGACTCAACATGCCCAAGGAAAACATCTCCACCTCCTCTCTCCCGATTCCATCTCTTCAGCTAGGCTGGAAACCTAGGAGTCCCTGTGTCTGTCTCTCCAGCCTCCACTCATCTAGCTGGCCATGAAGTCAGGTTAACACTCTCTCTAAAACAACCCACAGCTCTCATGTTCCCCACCACAGCTGGCCCCACCTCTGAATTCTGCCTCTGTTCTCTGCCTTCCTAATCCTTCTTCTGTGTGGCTGCTAGGGTGGTCTTTCTGTCTAAAACAGACTCAGCCTCCTACCAAGCACAGAGACGATGTTAACCCTTCAGCCTGGCACCAGAGGTGGATGAGTCTGTCCTTCCTTCCAGCTTCGGGCCCTTTCCAGCTCCTCCAGTCACATCAGCCCATTCTCTCTGAGGCTGTTCCTGTCTCCCTCTTTGGTGCCCCGAAGCATGTTCCAGGCACTTCTGCCCTTCCACTCCAATGCCCAATTTAGAGGTGACATCACTTGTTAACTGGGTTCCCATTCCCTCCGCTGCTCAGCCAGCCCCTGTCTGTGAGCCCTGGTACAAGTGGCTCTCTAGCCCTTTCTGCAGCTCTCTCTCTACCCTGACCTGCTCCTTCCCAAAGTCCCCTCCCTCAGAAAACATTCCCTGACACACAGTGGTAGAAAGAGCAGGGCCACTGGGAACGAGGATGACCTGGACTTTTTAATGATAGTCATGACTTTTTGTCAGCAATTACTTTTTAAAAAGATGACTTGCTTTTTCATTGAGGAACAGGGATTTGCAGTTGACTCTGCGCTTTGCCCTGTCTGAAGTCAGTTCCCCTCCCTGAGGCTCTGTTTCTAGCACACAACGCAGCCTCACACCTGTGCACTCAGTGATGGGCACTGCGGGGAGGGCGCAGGTGCTCAGTGGAGGCCGCCATGGACTGTCCTCTGTCCACTTGGGGTGGCCCTGTGATCTGGGGCTGGTGAGGTCCTTCCAGTGCCTGTCTCCTCTTGGGTCTGCATCTGGGGCTCCTCTTTGCCTGGGACTTGGCCCTGCATGGGCGAGAGATGGAGGATGAGGCCAGAGCTCTTCACCACTTTCAGCCTTAGGCCCCTTTCGCAGTCTGGAAAACCTATGACCTGTTCTCAAAAATACTTCCTCAATGCATAAAAGAAAAATACATGGGGCTACAAAGGGAATTAATAACATTGGCCAGGCACGGTGGTTCACGCCTGTAATCCCAACACTTTGGGAGGCTGAGGCAGGCTGATCACCTGAGGTCGGGAGTTCAAGACCACCCTGACCAACATGGCGAAACCCTGTCTCTACTAAAAATACAAAATTAGCTGGGTGTGGTGGCACATGCCTGTAATCCCAGCTACTTGGGAGGCTGAGGCAAGAGAATTGCTTGAACCCAGGAGGCAGAGGTTGTGGTGAGCCGAGATCACACCATTGTACTCCAGCCTGGGCAACAGAGCAAAACTCCATCTCAAACAAAAACAAAAACATTGGAATACAGTTATCTGCAGGAACTCCTCAGGGTCATGGACCACAAGGCTCAGCCCAAGAGCCTAGAGTCTCTTGGAGGGCCCCACACTTCCCCTCCCCGTAGCCAGTTTTAGGATCCAAGGTTGACTTGAGTCTGTTTGGGTGGCATGTGGCCTCCAAAAGGCTTAAGCTTTAAAGTCTGGGTGATCCTGTGTGCCCTAGCCCCAAATATGGCCCCTTCCCGTGCATGGGGGTGGGAGAGAGACATGCCCCCACAGGGCCAGGCCTTACCAAAGGCGAGGAAACAGGCCCAGGCAGCCCACCCAGGAGTCCCCAGCAGCTGCCTCAGCCCCTCCTGCCCTCTTCCCAGCCCTGGGGGGGCTGAGCCGAGTAACTCCAGCTATGCAGCCCGGCCGGTCCACCTGGGTGTGAGTGGGCAGGGCTGTCCTCAAGGGGGTGGCCCCCTACACCTGCAGGGCCACAGGAACACAGAGGGAAAAAGATACTGGGGGGAGGGTGCTAGGAAAAGACTGAGCAACCACAGCAGCTCCTGTCTGCCTGCTCCCATATGGGATTCTCAACACAAGCCAAGTCCGGCCCTGAGTGCTTCACACACATCAGTTCATTTAATCTGAGTGAGGACGTTATTCCCATGTTGCAGGTGAGGAAACTGAGGCTCGATTAACTTGTCTAAGTCACCAAGCTGGGACAGATGCCACCCCCAGCAGTCTTGCTCCAGATACTTCTCTGCCTGCCACAGCAGGTGGTGGTGTTCCCATCGAACAGCTGAGAAAACTGAGGGAGCAGTTCATTCCCACCCTCTTCCTCAACCTCCCCTGCTCCCCCAGCCCTCCTTTCTTGAACCCCCTCCCACACTTAGCCACCAACCCCGGAGCTTAGCATATCTCAAACTTGTTCTCATGGGACCAGATAAATCCCTGCCCAGGTCTGAGAGGCGCTGGCCTCAAGGCTAGGACACAGGACTCTGGTTAGGGTCTCAGCCAGACTCTGCAGAGAGTGATCAGAAAGGACTGCAAGGCTGAGACTGTGCCAGAGGAGTGGGGAGGAGAAAGGCTCCTGAAGACCAGATCTCTGCACGACCGTGGCGGCCCCTGCAGCTCTGCACAGCCCCTCCTCCCCTTTTCCTCAAAAGAAGCAAATCCTCCATGAAAGATTTTTGGCTTCACAGAAGGACTTGGCCCCATCTGAGAACACGTGAGCCATCTCTAGAAGTGCTGAGTCCCCATCAGTGGAGGCACTCGGCACCAGAGAATGCCTTTCCCGGGAGGGGCACTGCTGGGCAGGTGGAAGGGCTCTCCCCTCCTCTCCCCTCCTCTCTTCTTCTCTGATATCTAATGATCACTACAAACTCAACAAGTCCCAGAATGGACTCCTGACCTCCTCCTACCTCAGCCTCCCAGCTGCCTTCCTCATTTTACGCAGCTCCTTTTTTCTCAACAAGGGGCTCAGTCCCCAAAACTCAGGCCTGAGGAGGGCCACAGTGTGGAAGACGATGGTAAAAGAATGGCCAGCCCATGCCGGACACAGTGTGCCTGGAAAGGAAGCCCCTTCCTAGAGGAGTGAGGACCCAGCCACTGATGAAATGCTGTCCCTCCAGAGAGCAAGGAGGAAGGTGCAGTTTCTCCTGGTGTCCAGAGAGTTCCCAGGGAGCCCCTTTGCTCCAGCAGAAGGCAACAGACAGGCTGGGTGGGGAGGGAGCCGCATGATATGAGGGCTGGGGAAGAGGGATCCTTTTTCAGGTATAACCTAAATCCTACCAGTTTTCTTTCCCCACTGGCCTGGAAAGAACAAACACCTCCAGATTCTTAAGCATCCAAGGGTCAAATAGGGCACTCGGCTGCAGGTGGACCCTCCCCAAGCAGTGGCCCTTGTCTCACTTTGCTTCTAATGCCCACCGACACAGCCTCCCCCAGGAAAAGGCAATCTGCTCAGGACTCCTCTGAGGCAAGCCCCTGCTGTCAGATGCTGATCCTCCCCCTTACAGCCTCTGAAACCTGTCCTGTACCCTCGCCATAGCCCAGAGGCTGCCATTCCCCAGCTCACATGCCCTATGTGGCTTCCTTCTGCTTAGAGAATGCAGGGACAGTGGTCCTAAAAGCATAGCCTGTCCTTTTGCCTCTTCGCTGGTCCCCAACATCTTGTGAGCTCCTTGAAGGTGGCACCACATCAGAAAATAATGGTTGCTGGATGAATAGCTACCTGGATAAAATATTCAAGGCCTCACAGCCATGATACATGCTAGGCACTTGTGGCAAAGCAACACCAAAGCTGGGGCCACCCTTGGGCTCTCCCTGGCCATGTGGGAGGCTGCAGGTGGCTAAGGAAGCCAAAGCATAAAAGCCCCAGCTCAGAGCCTGGTCCATAGGTGTCCACTGCATGTGTGGGGAGGCTCAGGAAGGCCAATCCTGGCTGGACACCCGCGGGAGCAGCTGAGGTTCACCCAGAGCCTTGCACAGTACTGGACACAGTGCGTAGGTGCTCAACACAGGTTTGTTAATAGTAAATGAAGTCTCACGGCTCACGTCTGTAATCCCAACACTTTGGGAGGCTGAGATGGGCAGATCACTTGAGGTTAGGAGTTTGAGACCAGCTTGGCCAACATGGCAAAACCCCGTCTCTACTAAAAATACAAAAAAAAAAAAAAAATTAGCTGGGCGTGGTGGCATGCACCTGTAGTCCCAGCTACTCAGGAGGCTGAGGCATGAGAATTGCTTGAACCCAGGAGGTGGTGGTTGCAGTGAGCAAAGATCATGCCACTGCACTGCAGCCTGGGTGACAGAAGAGACAATCTCAAAAAAAAAAAAAAAGAGTCAATGCAGCTTGTTTGTCACATCTTCACATCCATCCCTGATTAATCACAACACTGGGCTGGGGACCATGTGGCCTGAGTCTGCCCTGGCAGTGAGAGGGGACAGAGGGAGGTATGCTGCTACCTTCCAGATTCCTGCAGGCATCCATGCTGCCTCTCCTCCCATCTACCTGCCCACCCCCTGTCTGCCCTGACTCCATGTCGGAGGGGGCTTCAAATATGGCCTGGCAGGCTGGTTGCAATGGCTCACACCTGTAATCTCAGTACTTTGGGAGGGCAAGATGGGAGGATCACTTGAAGCCAGGAGTTCAAGATCAGCCTGGGCAACATAGTGAGACCACCGCCTCTACAATTTTTTTTTTTTAAGATGACTTGGGCAAGCACTGCTGTGGGCCAGAACTTTCACACACACATGCCCTTTCCCCATCCTCACTCCTATGCTAGAAGGTCGTTCTCTGGAGTCCCTGGGCCCCGAGTCACTAAGCGGGTCCCCAAGGTAGGCTTCAGAATCAAAGGGGCAGACTATTTGAAACCAGGGCCACATCACCATCATATGAGGTTCTTATCCCCATTTTAGAAATGATGAAATTGAAACCCAAACAGATGAAGTCACTTGTCCGGAGTTACATCTGATTAGCAGCAAGGGGTTGCTGAAGCACAAAGCTTGGTCTCTAGGGTAGGGGTCATAACTGGTCATCAAAAATGGGGTTGGGGCTACAGAGGCAGGCCATGGCCACTGCCCAGCTCTCCCACTCACTAAGAACCCCCACTCTGCCTCCAACCCTGAAGATGAATATTCCAAAGGCTGACACTGTCCATACCTCGGTACTAAAGGAAAAGACAGAAGGCACTCAGGGGGTTCGCACTGCAGTCCCCTTTCCTTGGCTAAGCAAACTGGGGAAATGCTGGCCTCAACAGTAACCACAGCCCTGAGCACCTGCACCTAGAGTCATTCAAGACTAGGACTCAGGTCTCCCAGCTCTGACTCCTTTCATCCTCACAATATCCTGCTTAGGAGGTGGACACCATTCTTCACTCTATTTTCTCACCTCACAGATGAGATACAGAGTGTTTAACAAGTGTGTGGAAGCGTTAACTATGATTCATCAAGATGCTTATGAAACTGCTCGGAGAAGAGCAATTGCCACTTGTTCCTGGAGACAAGTGGACCCTAAAAAAAAAGCTGGACAGCCTCTCTCCAAGCCACATAGTCAGAGATGAGATGACCAGCCCAGACCCTGACCCAGCCAGTGTGAACTCTTCCCACTTAAAGGCTGGCCTAGTGCCTCAATCTCATACCCCTGGTCGCTTGGTTCTGGCGGTCCTACTGCAAGTAATATGGCCATGGAGTGAGCACTGAGTGGGGAGGTCAGGAAACCCAGGCTGCAGGCATGACTCTGTCCTCAGCACATCAGAGAGGGATGGACTGGGGTGAGGGTTTCTTGACATAAGGTCCCCATGGGCTTCAGGGGATCCAAGAATCCTCTAAAGCAGAATGCAAAGTCTGGTGTCAATTAACGGAAGTGCATTTTTCTGGGGATGGCTTTCATCAGTGTCTCCAAGGGCTCTGTAAATCAAAAAAAGTTATGGATACCCAGAATGGGTAATCTTGGAGGCTCCTTCCATGCCCTAGTATTCCTGGGTTATATATGGGTTTAAACGTGAAGTACACTCCCCATCCTTCAAGGCCAATTCAGTGGCTGCTCTGGGAAGCTCTAACAGATTTCTTGCTTCTTTGACTGCAGGGAAAGGCTGGGAGCCCAACACCACAGAGCCTGGCAGGGTCCCTCTGCCCTGATCTCCCTCACCAGACAGCCAGCTCCCAAAAGGGGGCAGGACCAGCCCAAGGCTAAGGTAGCAGATGCCAGCACCCCATACTTGACCTCTTGTGGCTCACCGCCCCCCCCCCACAGTCTCTGTCCCCTGAAGGGGGTCTCAGGGCTGCAGAGCACAGGGGCACTGGGGCCTGGAGTCCACATCTCCCTGCTGCAGCCCTGGAGCTTTGCAGAGCCATGCTCCTTCCAGGAACCTGGTTTTCATTAAATCGGGTAAAGGAGTCGATAACCGCCAAGTCCAGGAGAGGCAAAGTTCTGCTAGAAGGCACAGGGAAGGTGAGGGAGACCAGCCTGTCTCTTGCCCTCCCTGGCTGACCGACGGCAGGGGGAGGGGAAGGCAGGGCTCCTAAGGGTCCAGCAATGGCAGCAGTCGGAGCTTGGGGGGAGAGTCGGGGGAGTCCTGGCCCAGATAATAAGCAATTGTTAATGTGATCCATATGGATCCTGACTGGCCTCTCTGTTTAACAGAATGATAATGGCAGGGAAAGAATGCTGGTCTGTGGGGAAGGGAAGGGGCAAAGTCCTCCCCGGACTTGGGGGGGTGGGGTAGGGTCATGGGGAGGAGAAGGAGGCAAATAAGGGAAAGGGAGAGGAGGAGCCCCACCCAGGGGTCTCCACCACCCAAGAGCACAGAGCTGTTTACCTGAAGGTGGCCAGATTCCATGCTATGCAGACTGCCTGGCTAAAGGCCCTTACAAAACCCCTTTTATTCAGCCAACCAATATTTATGGAGCACCCACAAGGTGTCAAGCCCTGTGGCAAGCCCACTGGGGGCAGGGCCAGGGAGTACATGCTCCATTTCAGTCAAAGCCCTGAGTGGACCCCGCCACAAAGGCGGAAGGGAGCACAGGTGCAGGCCACGGAGGGAGGAGCAAGTGACAGAAGCTCGGGGCTGGGGAGGTGATGCGGAGGAGGTGCGCATCCGAGTTGGGCCCTGAAGAATAAGGAGGTTGTGGAAAGACAGGGACAATGAGGAAGGCATTTGGCTGGAGGAACAGCGGGAGCAAAGGCAGAGAGGCGTGAAATTGCGTGGAGAGAGCCCTAGATCTCAGCAATAAAGCTGCGGCCCAGGCAGGGCAGGGAGGGGAGTCCTGATCCATAAAAAGCTGTGGCCATGGGTGAGCAGAAGAAAGGCAGGAAAGGGCTCTGCGACGCCACACTCAGTCTGGGTGGCTCTCCCCAGCCTTCGCCCAGGCTGGTACTGGAATTGACAGTTACGGGATCCTCAGCCCAGCCCTCAGCCATACCACGGCCAGAGAATCGGGCAGGGCCTCCGAAGCCAAACTCATTTCTGTGTCTCTCAGCCCCTTCTGTTTCTTCTTCTGGGGCGGGGGTGGGGGCAACAGGAATCCCCCCGAGGAATGCGGGTCCTCTAGGCCTCCCCAGGAGCAACTCCTCTGCCCCACACAGCCTAATTCCCTTTGGCCCAAAAGGGCTTCGCCCAGAAGATATTACAGCGAGGACACGAGGGTCGCTCCCGTCTGCCTTGGATGCCAATGGAATCAAGTGGAAAGAAATGAAATGGTGTTAAACATGGGAAAGGGGATTTACGAGGCCTGTCACCCGTCCAGCCCAGCCACCCCAGCAAGCCCCGCCCCTTTCCTCGCCCACCCCAGGAAGTCCCGCCCCGCCCCCTGCCCGCAGCTCGCGCGGCCGCCCGGTACCCGCGTCCCACAGCTGGGTGGCGGCGGCACCACAGCACCGGGCAGCCCGGCGCGCCCGTCCTTGGGGGCTCAGGCACAGCGGGGAATGGCGTCGGTTCCGGACTGAGAGGCTCGGGGAGGCTTTAGGAGGATGCTATGGGATTTCGGGGTAGGCTCCGGGAGGGTCTGGGACTCCCTCTGCAGGGTCAGAGGGTTTCGCACCGTGGCATCTGCGGGCCCAGCCCACTCCAGAGACTGGGCGGCTCCACAGGGGAGGCCCCACGGCCCAGGAACCGGGAAGCCCACCTGCGCCGTAAGCCCAGAGTTGGGCTGGAACCGGGTCCCCACTCCTCGCTGCCGGGCGGAAAGCAGGAGACCGCTCCGCCGCCACAGCCCGTGCGGACAACACAAACATTCTTCAGTCCTCTATTCTCCTCCAAATTAGGTATCCATGGAGACAGGGCCGGCAGCCTGACAGCCCTACGGCCTAATCCTGATTTAGTGACCGTCCCTTTAACAGCCCACCCACCCGTCCACCCACCCCTGCGCTCCGGGCCGCCGCTGGGCGCAGGGTCCAGGCCGCGCGCTCTCTGCCCCGCGCAGACCCCTTCCCAGGCCTCCTCCTCTGGCGGGGGCAGGGGGACCAGCGGGGCTGGGGAAGGGCACCAGCATTTGCTGATCACCTACAGGGTGCTCAGCAATCTGCGAAGGACCCTCTGCAGCGGCGGGGGGGTTGCTAGCATGCGAATCTCTGTGTAGAACAGGAGAGGGCTCTTGCGGTGGGGAAGTTTGAGGGGCCCTCTCTGGAGAGCTGGGCGCTCCGGGGGTCCCCCTTGTTGCCTGTAGCCCCAGGGTGAAGGTGAGTACAGCCTCCTACAACCCCCTGACTCTGAGACGCGGGCTCTGTTCTCCCGGGCCAGAGGAGAAGACATGAAGAGGGTGGGTGTTAGGGGCGCGGGGACCCTAAGTAGCCTCGGCCTCCTGTCACTGCCCCGTCACCATGCTGGGGAATCTCCGGGCCAGTAACCCAGCCCCCACCCCTCCCACACACACACACAGGGGCCGCTGGACAAAGACCTGACGGAGTGGGAGGGGCCTGCGGGCCGGCCCTCGGGCTCCGGACGCTGGATCCTTCTGGGACCCGAACCCGCAAACCTTGGCTCCCCACCCCCAGGCCAGCAGACGCCCCCGAGCCGGCTGCTCGCTTTCGCTGCAGCCCCCGCACCAGAGGGGGCTGCGAGACGGGTGCCCGTCGGCGGCCGGGCGGCTATCCCCTGCTCTGCCCGCCCCCTCCCCCCGAGAAGTGACCCTCGGCTCCCACGTACCCGCTAGGGTCTCTCGCCGGCCCTGCCCTCCGACCCCCGCCGAGCTGAACCCCGCGACTAGCAGCCCCCGCCCTCTCGGCCCTCTCCGGCCCCGGGCCGGCGGACAAAGCTCCGGACACCCTGACCGAACGGTCACCTCCCCCCGCCCCATCCCGGCCCGCCCGCGGCCCCGTACCTCGGCATCACGGCCGGGTCCTAGGTGAGTGTGCGCGGCCTGGGGGCGCGTCCGGCCCGGGGACCGGGGCGGCGGCGCGGGCCGGGGGCGACAGGCCTGGGCTGGGGGGCAGTGGCGCTCACCATCCTGGAGCCGCTGCTGCTGCGGCTGCTGCGGCCGCCGCGGGCGGGAGCGGGACTGGGCAGTGGGGGTGGCCGGACAAGGGGCGGCCCCGGCTCCCCCCGCAGGAAAGACCCCCACCCCCACCCCCGCCTCCCCTCGCCCGCCCCCAGGGCCCTCCCTCGCAGGCCCTCCCTCCCCTCCCCTTTCCCTGCTCCTCCCTCTCCTAGTGCCCCTCTCTTCCCCCAGCTCCCGCCCCTTCTCTGGCCCCTCCACCCCCGGCTTCTTCCCCGCCCTCCCCCACCTCGCCCCCGCCCCGCCCCCACCTCCCCTGGGCTCGCCCAGCCCCTCCTTGCCACCCTCCCGGCTGGCCCCGCCCCCTCCCGCCCCTGGCTCTAAAATAAATTAGCCACAGAGGGGAAAAAAGAGCAAGTGACCCTCGGTGTGGAGAGTGTCCTTCGCCACTCTCAGACCCGTCCGCCCCGCCTCTCCCGGCCGTCGGAGCGGGAAGCTGGGGTTGGGGTGGGGGTCGGGCCGGCGGGTAGGGGTGGGGGACGGCATGGGGACGGGGCCGAGGCCGGGACTGAGCAGCCCAGCCCGTCGAGCGTGTCCGCTGGATGTGGGCGGCTTCCTGGGTCGAAGGGCAAAGGGGAAGGCAGCCGGCCTGGGCCCGCCCCGTCCGCGGGCCGCCCCAGACCCCCTTTCCCAGGACTGCCTTGGCCCCCTGGCCCCAGTCTGGAGGACTCTTGCTCACTTCCTCCGCCCCCAGGTGAGCTGAGAACCCACTGCGCGCGGGACTCTGCTGCGCCTGCCCTCCCGGGCTGCAGAGGGCAGGACGCACCGCCAGGCAAGGCCGCGGCTCTGCGCTGATGCCACTCCGGGAGCGGGTGGCTGCGGGGGAGGAGGGCGAGCACTGGACGGGGGCAGCGGAGTGTAGGGTGTGAGATCTAAACAGAGGGCTCCACTGGAGGGCTTGCCCAGAAGGCGGCAGTCACACTGGGCCAAGCAGGATGACTGGCAGGAAGAAAAGATGAGGGATGAATCCCAGACCTCTAGTCCACTGAGAGTGTCCAAAGACATCCGTTCAATAGATACATACTGAGTGTTAACTTTGTGCCAAACATTGGACTGTGCACCAGGGATACCCAAGAGAGTCCAAGAGGCACAGCCCTGTCTTCCTGGAGCTCCCAGTCGAAGGGTAGACAGAATTCTGCCCGACACACACACACTCAAGGCTTCATCAGGGATAAAGGCCAGGAACCGGCTTTGCCCCAGGAGAAGGTAGGAGGAGGGCTGTGCTGATGATGGAGGGTCCAGAGAACCTTCCTGCTGTTGAGCCTCCAGATGTCCCAAGGCAATCCTGTTTCCACCCAAGGGCAGTGCTTAAGGGTCCTCTCTCCTGAGAGCTTGTTTCCCTTTTGAGTGGCTGCCTAGCCTGAGTGTCAGTAGGGCAAGATTGGCCCTCACCCACTAGCCTGTAGAACTCCAAACACTACCCCCTCCCTTCTTCTAATGCAGATTCCCCTGCAGGCTCTGGGGTCTGACAGGTCTGGGGCACTCCTTTAGGTGCCACTCAGGGAAACAGAAGGGGAGGGCCTCAGTAGCTCCCACTTCTTTTCCAGCCCACATTTGGAAGCAACCGGCACCCACGCAGGTTCTGGAACTTGCCAAGGTCAGTGTCTTTTCCACCTCCAGAATTATCTCTTCCTTGCCACTCCCCACCCCCAGGGCTCTGCCCTGGCACAGGAGGAGGGACGTGTCAAGGCTCAGAGTGCTAGAGTAGCCCCTGGCTTCAGAATCAGGCAGGATGAAGGGAGCCACAACCACCATGCTAGGAGACTGGAACCCTTGCTGGAGGAACAATCCCAGGATACCAGCTGGAAGGAACTCCTTGGCTATTTCCTTATTGTTGGAGCACTGGAGGCCCAGAGAGGAGAAGTGACACACTTGGGGTCACACAGCAAAGCTGGATCTAGAATCCACTGCACTTTTTCCACCCCTACCTGTCAGGTTCCCTGACAGCCAGAGACAGGAACTAAGGGAAAGACTAATATCCTTATGAGCTGGGTGCCTCAGCCAGCAGGATTAGTGCCAGGAAGCCAAGTCTGGCATTGCCAATGGGGATCCTGCTCCACCATGCTCCAGGGAAGGGGGGATGACAGGAGTGGGGTTGGACTGAGGCGCTCAGTGTGAAGGAAGGAATTGATCATGCGCTCCCCTGGAGCGGGGATCCGGTTCTCCTTCATCCTCTAGGAGTCCGGGAGTAAAGGAAGGACAAGCTTAAAGCTAAGGAAGGCCTTGCTAGTGAGATAGTGGAAGACACCAGCCTGCTGGATAAGGCCTTCGCTGGACTCCAGGGGCAAGACCAGCAGCTTGGCAGTACTGAGTTGTTTCCAATGGGCGGACTGCTGTGGGTGATATTAAGAGGTTTAGTTAGCAGGTGGGGGTGAGGTTGATCATTTCACCCCTCCACCTCCCACCCTGCACCAGTGCTCAGGGCGATGAAGTGTGGCTCCCCCTCCCAGAGCTCATTAAAGTCCTGTTAATACATCATCCAGCCTCCTGGGCTGACAAATACTCTGTTCATCACATCTCTACCTCCTGCCCTCTTGGGCAGGGCCCGAGAGACTGATCTCTGAGGACTCTGGGGTGACCTCACTCCTGGCTGTCCCCAGTCAAGGGATCTGTGCCCTGAGAGCCCCTGCTGAGGTGGCTGTGATCATCCCCAGGCAGGTCAAGTGCCTGGCAATGGATTGGATAATAATAGTGGTAATGATGGTGGTAATGTGTGGCTTCTGCAGAGGGCCCTCCATTCTTTCCCAGATCTTTTGCTAGTATCACACCCAAGGTGGAGAATCCCACCCCCATCCTGCCCCCAGGGGAGACAGGTGCTATGCTTGGTTGTGTGGCTGAGTGCAGGCACCTGCTGCGGGCGCATGCATGTGGGTGTGCAGCAGAAGTGTGGGAGTGTGTGACCTTCCTGGTCCAGAGACCTGCAACAAGGGCTTTCTAAAAACATTAAGAAGAAAAATAACTCCGTGGGTCTAGGGAGAATCAGCTCAAAGGATTTTGGAGGGAGGGGGGAGAGTTAGAGGGAGGAAGTAAAAGCTAGAGAGAGAGGGCGGGAGGAGCAAGTAGGGTGAGGAGGAAGGAAAGAAAAGGGCCCCGGGTTGGGGGAAGGATGGGGTGGGGGGAGGAAGGGAGAAAGAAATGGAAGAGAGGAAGAGGAAAGGGCGGGGAGGCCTCTTTGTGGTCCTCTGGACTGGCCACTCAGGAGTCATTATGAGCAGGAAAGGAAGGAAATGTGTCCTGGCTTGGGGATTGGGGTGCGTGCCCAGAGGGCACCACACCCAGCTGGGCTTCCCCCCAACCACACTTGCCCGGGACTCAGGCTGCTGTCCCCACAAATGGAAACTCTAGCCCTTCTCATTCTTGCTCTTTGCCCATCAAGGCCCAGTTCCCAGTGCCTCCCCAACCCTGATCAAACCACCCCAAAAACTCTTACTCTTCATGAACGTATACCAGCTTTGCCTTCCCACTGTGCTACAAGCTGTGTCTAGTCTGGATCCTATCCCCACCCCACATCCAGCCTAGGAGCCCTCGAAAGCCTGTAGGCAAACTAGAAAACATGTTCCTCCCTCTATGCAGCTCAGACTTGGGAGGAGGAGCTGGGTGGCTATCAGTCTCCGCTAACTCCTTGGGGCCCAACACTTGGGGACGCTGATACCTCGCTTCCAAAATCGTTACCCCACACATGGCCCTGCTGTTTGTTCTTTGAGCAGAAGCACATCCTGCACCATCCTGCAGCATAGCTCTTCAGCCAGCACCCCAAATTGATCCCACCATGTACCTTACAGTCACACAGAAACTCCCACTAAACATGCATACCTTTTTAATACCTCAGAATCTTTCTGCCTGGAATCTCATTTCCCTACTCTGCCTGATGAGCTCCTATTCATCCTTCAGAACCCAACTCAGGTATGCCCTTCTCTGTAAAGTCTTCCCTATCTGTCCCGCATCCTAGCAGAGCACTTCCAATCTTTTTTTTCCCCTAGGTTCCAGGGGTTGAGCCCACTCCATCCTGTCCAAAGGCAGAAGCCTCCTCCAAGTCCTGCACGATCCGCCCTCTAACATGCAAGCCCATCTGGAACCTCTGGAATCCTACTGGGCTTCTTCGCTCCCTAAAGTTTACAGACCCAGGGCAAAATAGGGAACTGCAAATCCAAGTGGCCCAGAGGTCTCTCCACCCCCACTCTGCCCTCTCTGGGCCTGAGCCTGACAGGAGATTCCCAGCACATCTGGTTGTACTTAAATCATCCAGCACTACTGGAGTAGGTTCCCTGCTTCTCTCCCTTCAGCCCCAGCCTCCTCCCCTTCCTACACCAGCCTTCCAGGTCTCTCCTCCAGGATGCCTTCCCTAACTCATCCAGCCTCGGTATCTGCACCCCACCCTTGAACCTCCACCTCTTTGGGTCTGGAGTCTGCCAGGGTGTGGAAGGGAGGGTGTGTGCTCCGCAAGACTCAGTGTGTAGAATCTCATCCTTCCCGAGCATTGGTCCTAGATAGAAACCTTCCCTTCAGGTAAGGAAGGGAGCCAGCCAAGAGCCTCCCCTCTGCTCCCTTGGCCTCAGGGGTGGCTGTCTCCAGTTATGGGTGTGTACAGTGGGGAGGAACAAGTTCAGATCCAGGCAGAGCCATTCCTTTGGCAACTCTTGCTGTCAGCCATCTTCCAAAGAGCTTTGCAAAATGTTAAAGAACAAAAGAGAAATAAATACAGAGAATATAGCAAGTATAAAAATGCACAGTCTAGGCCAGGCACGGTGGCTCACACCTGTAATCCTAGCACTTTGGGAGGCTGAGGCAGATGGATCACTTGAGGTCAGGAATTTGAAACCAGCCTGGCCAAGATGGTGAAACCCCATCTCTACTAAAAATACAAAAATTAGCCAGGTGTGGTGGCGGGCACCTGTAGTCCCAGCTATTTGGGAGGCTGAGGCAGAAGAATTACTTGAACCCCGGAAGTGGAGGTTGTAGTGAGCCAAGATCACACCACTGCACCCCAGCCTGGCTGACAAAGCAAGATTCTGTCTCAAAAAAAAAAAAAAAAAAAAAAAAGAATGCACGGACTCTAAAGAACAAGTTTGTAACCTACCATGACCTGCTCCACCAGGGCTCCAGGTTTGAATGTTCATTCATTCTTTTATTCAATAGCATGTACTGATGCCTGAGTCTACTAAGTTCTAGGAACAGTGACTCAAGTAAGATCCCAGGGTCAGTGGGGGACAGGAACAGGTGGATGAACAAATGCTGCATGCTGTAATGGACATGAGTCAGGGAGACAGAGGGGTGCCAAGGTTGAAGGTCAGAGACCCTGGACTGAATCCCACCTCTGTCACTTTCTGCACTGTCTCTGGGGAGCCACTTAATCTTGGGGAGCCTGTCTCCCCACCTGGAAAAGGACGATGATGTGACCTCACAGGGTCGTAGTGGGACTCAAATAAGATAATGTGTGTGAAAACGCCTTGCAAAGTGCTAAGTGAGTTGTTGCTATTATGATTAGGCTCAGGGGCTGCCTATCTGACACTCATTTTTCTAATGCCTCAACAGCTGTCTCTCTTACCCTCCCAGGGCAGGTACCACGTTGGAGAAACTTCTGAGGGTGAAGGACACCCACCCTAGAGTAGTGGGCAGTTAAGCTGCCCGCATAGACACACACACACACACTTTAGTTACACAAGCAGAACACCTTTTTATAAAAATTCGAAAGGCATCATGTGCCTACAGCCTCAGTTACTCAGGAGGCCGAGGCAAGAGGATTGCATGAGTCCTGGGCAACAGAGTGAAACCCATTTCTACTATTTAAAAAACACTAATAAGAAAAAATAGATAAGCAGAAAACAAAAAAATTAAAAATCCAACGCCTTTAATCCCACCACCCAGAGATAACCACCAGTAATATGTTGGAGTCAGTTAGCCGGTCACAGTGGTGGGGGGCCTGTGGTCCCAGCTACTCGGGAGACTAAGGTGGGAGGATTGCTTGAGCCAGGGAGATTGAGGCTGCAGTGAGCCGTGATTGCGCCAATGCACTCCACCCTGGGCAACAAAGCAAGACCCCATTTCAAAACAAAACAAACAAAAAACCATTTTGGAGTCAGCTAGATATTATTCTATTTATCTCTCTCTACACACACACACACACACACACACACACACACACACACACACACACACATATGTATATATAGAGAGATCTCCACAGTGTTTTATAATATACTTTTCTTAATAGACAATTTTTTTTTTTGAGAGGGAGTCTTGCTCTGTTGCCCAGGCTGGAGTGCAGTGGTGTGATCGCGGCTCACTGCAACCTCCACCTCCCAGGTTCAAGCAATTCTCCTGCCTCAGCCTCCTAAGTAGCTGGGATTACAGGCATGTGCCACCACAGCTGGCTGATTTTGGCATTTTTAGTAGAGACGGGTTTCACCATGTTGACCAGTCTGGTCTCAAACTCCTGACCTCAAGTGATCCACCTGCCTTGGCCTCCCAAAGTGCTGGGATTACAGGCGTGAGCCACCGCACCCAGACAATGGACAAATATTTTGAACATCTTTTGCTGTCTATAATACGTTTATACCACACAATTGTTAATGACAGCTTAATATTCCATCAAGTGGACATGTCTAAATTAATTTAAAAAGTTTCCTGGCCAGGTGCGGTGGCTCTTGCCTGTAATCCCAGCACTTTGGGAGGCCAAGGCGGGCGGATCATGAGGTCAGGAGTTTGAGACCAGCCTGGCCAACATGATGAAACCCCATCTCTACTCAAAATACAAAAGTTAGGTGGGCATGGTGGCGCACTCCTGTAGTCCCAGCTACTAGGCAGGCTGAGGCAGGAGAATAGCTTGAACCTGGGAGGCAGAGGTAGCAGTGAGCCAAGATCTCACCTCTGCATTCAAGCCTGGGCAACAGAGTAAGACTCTTCTGGAAAAAAAAAAAAAAGTTTCCTTTGTTGTTGATTTTTTTCCAGAAATAAAAGCTTCATGAACAAACCTGTAACTTCCACCTTTGTGCACGCGTCTAATTATTGCCTTAGGATAAAGTTCTGGTAACCAGAGGCTAGGAATGCATATTTTTATCTCTGAGGAGCCAGGAGCCCAGGCCTCTGGGCAGTGCTCTCACCTCTCCTCCAGGCAGCCCTCCCAGACCTCCAGGGTTGAGTACATCTCCCATGGTCCTTTCCTCTCCAAGTAACTTCATCTCTTAGAGACCTGCCCTGAGACCCCTGAAAAATGCTGGGAAAGTCTGGCTGGTGACGGCCAGGAGGGGCCGGGGTGGAGAGCACAAAGCAGGCTTGTCTGGGGCACGGGAAGAGGCCCCGCCCTCCGTGCTGCTGGTCCAACATTCCTCCTGGACAATGGCTGCCTTGGGAATCCCGGGAATGAAGGAGGCGGGCGGCTTCCCGAACCTGCGCCCTCCACCCCCATCAAGTTGCGCCCTTTCCCCAGATGGAAAGCAGGGGCACTTTGCATTGCGGCAGGGTGGGGAGGCCAGCTAGCCTCCATGCCTACAGCCCCCGCCCCTCCTTTTACCAACACTAATCCACAACGCCCCGCAGCCGAGTCCTGCTCAGCCACCCCATCCCCATGGACCTTGGGCGAGTCCTGCTCCTTCAACTGTAAAATCAGGAGCTTGGATTCAGTGGTTGCAAAACTCCCCACAGATCTCAAAGGCCGAAATGTAGTGACTAAGGCATGCACAGGCTTTGGAGCCAGGTTGCCCGAGTTCAAATCCTGGGCTGCCCTTTACCCTGGGAACTTAAGCCCCTGGGTTGCCGGCTTCCCTCTCGCAAAGTGTGTTTGTTGATACAGCTCCACTCCCTCCCGATGGGAAGGCAAACTCCTCAAAGTCTATAAATCCCGATCCATGTGTAACTCTGCTCAAAACACTAACCAGATCTCCAACCCCAGGCCCCCTCATACCCTGTGCGGATTTTGGCCCCTGGACATTTGCCCAACAACTGGCCACACTTCTGGGAGCTGCGACGGGCACCTGATATCCCTGACGAAGCATCCTTCCCCAGCATGTTTCCATCTTCCCTTGCATCAGTCATAAGGCCGTAAAGCTGTAAATGGTAAAGGCTTACTGGGGCACACAAAAATTTTAAATATAGGAAAACTCTTATTTATTTATTTATTTAGAGACAGAGTCTCACCCTGTCGCCCAGGCTGGAGTGCAGTGGTGTGATCTTGGCTCTCTACAACCTCCACCTCCCGGGTTCAAGTGATTCTCCTGCCTCAGCCTCCTGAGTAGCTGGGATTACAGGCATGCGCCACCACGCTCAACTAATTTTTGTAGGTTTTGTTTGTTTGTTCGTTTGAGTAGAGATGAATTTTCGCCACATTGGCCAGGCTGCTCTCGAACTGCTGACCTCAAGTGATCTGCCCGCCTTGGCCTCCCAAAGTGCTGGGATGATGGGCATGAACCACTGCACCAGCCAGAAAACTCTTATGTTAGGTCATATGTCCTTATTTTTGTTTGGGAAATGCAGGCATTTCCAATGCCACCAGCAATTGCTAGGCATCATGGGTGGTATACACCCCAGGCTCTTATTAACCTATTGGAGGGTTAGAACAAACACACTTCAACAGGGACCCATTCACAAAGTTACCTCTGGAAATATTCCTGAGCTTTTTGCCACAAATCCCTGCCCACTCTCCCTCATAGACTTGTTCCCTGCTTCCCCTTACTCACCTCCTCCTCAGCCCTATTCCTATGCTCCCCTGAATTCAGATCCTCTGCTGCAAGTGCCAGAAAACTCCCCTCATAATGGCTTCTACTATAAGGAAAATACATGATCGTATTTCATCCAATTTAGACACCAATGATGTTAAGAAGCACTGCTGCTTCATGTACTTGATTGATTGATTGATTGATTGATTGATTGATTGATTTTTCAGAGACAGGGTCTTGCTGTGTTGCTCAGGCTGGTCTTGAACTCCTGGGCTGAAGCCATCCTTCCACCTCGGCCTCCCAAAGTGCTGGGATTACAGGCATGAACCACCATACTTCATGTACTTTAGAAAGAAAAAACACTGGCCGGGCGCGGTGGCTCACGCCTGTAATCCCAGCACTTTGGGAGGCTGAGGCGGGTGGATCACAAGATCAGGAGTTCAAGACCAGACTGGCCAACATGGTGAAACCCTGTGTCTACTAAAAATACAACAATTAGCTGGGCGTGGTGGCAGGTGCCTGTAATCCCAGCTATTCAGGAGGCTGAGGCAGGAGAATTGCTTGAAGCCGGGAGGCAGAGGTTGCAGTGAGCCGAGATCCTGCCACTGCACTCCAGCCTGGGTAACAGAGCAAGACTCCATCTGAAAAAAAAAAAAAAAAAAAAAAAGAAAGAAAGAAAAAACACTAAAACTGCGGATTAAAGTGATGATGACTTCTTATCACTTAGAATTTTTATTTTACACTTACTGAAAAGGTTCTCTTAGACTTACTACCTTTGTACTTACGTAACAAGGAAAACATGGGTGAAATAAACTGGTTAAGGTTTTCCTAAAACTTCACCCCATTCAGAGTCTGATTCTTGGATCACTTTTCAATTCCCAGCTGTCAATATCTGTTTTTCCACACAGAATCAGCATCTGGGCCATCTTACAAGTACTGGTGATACAGAACATTTCTTAAAAGTGCTCTACCAGGCTGGGCGTGGTGGCTCACACCTGTAATCCCAGCACTTTGGGAGGCCAAGGTGGGCAGATTACTTGAGGTCAGGAGTTCAAGACCAACCTGGCCAACATGGTGAAACCCCGTCTCTATTAAAAATACAAAAAAATTAGCCTGGCATGGTGGCACACACCTGTAATCCCAGTTACTTGGGAGGCTGAGGCACAAGAGTTGCTTGAACCCAGGAAGCGGAGGTTGCAGTGAGCTGAGATTGCACCACTGCACTCCAGCCTGAGTGACAGAGTGAGACCCCGTCTCAAAAAAAAAAAAAAAAAGTGGGCCGGGCGCAGTGGCTCAAGCCTATAATCCCAGCACTTTGGGATGCCGAGGTGGGCAGATCATCTGAGGTCAGGAGTTCGAGACCAGCCTGGCCAACATGGTGAAACCCCGTCTCTACTAAAAGTACAAAAATTAGCCAGGCGTGGTGGTGGGCGCCTGTAGTCCCAGCTACTCAGGAGGCTGAGGCAGGAGAATCCCTGGAACCCAGGAGGTAGAGATTCTAGCGAGCCGAGATCGTGCCGCTGCACTGTAGCCTGGGCGACAGAGCGAGACTGTCCCCCCCCACCAAAAAAAGTGCTCTACCAAATTATCTATTGCTGCATAAAAGATTACCCCAAATCGGCTGGGCATGGTGGCTCATGCCTGTAATCCCAGCACTTTGGGAGGCCAAGGCGGGCAGATCACCTGAGGTTGGGAGTTCGAGACCACCCTGACCAACATGGAGAAACCCCGTCTCTACTAAAAATACAAAATTAGCCGGGTGTGGTGGCACATGCCTGTTATCCCAGCTGCTCAGGAGGCTGAGGCAGGAGAATTGCTTGAACCCAGGAGGCGGAGTTTGCGGTGAGCCGAGATCACGCCATTTCACTCCAGATTACCCCAAATCTTAGCAGCTTTAAGCAATCAACATTTTATATTATACTTTCTGTGGGTCAGGACTCTGGGTATGGCTTAACTGGGTGGTTCTGGCTCCTGGTCTCTTATGAGGCTGCACTCAAGCTGTCCTCTGGGGGCTGCAGGCATGTGGGACTGGAGAGCCCACTTTCAAGTTCACTCACATGGCTGTGCACAGACCTTGGTTCCTAGCTGGCTACTGGCTAGAGACCACCTCAGGGCCTCAACACATGGGCCTCCCTATAGGCCTCCTAACTGTCTTTATGACATGGCCCTGGCTTCCCACCCCCACAGCAAATGATCCAAGAGAAAGCACAAGTAAGCATTCAAGACAGAAGAGACAGTTTTTTTGTTTTTGTTTTTGTTTTTGAGATGGAGTCTTGCTCTGTCGCCCAACCTAGAGTACAATAGCTCAATCTCAGCTCACTGCAACCTCCGCCTCCCAGGTTCAAGCGATTCTCCCACCTCAGCCAACCGAGTAGCTGGGATTACAGGCACCCGCCATCATGCCCGTCTAATCCATCTAAATTTTGTATTTTTGGAGAGATGGGGTTTCACCCTGTTGGCCAGGCTGGTCTTGAACTCCTGACCTCAGGTGATCTGCCTGCCTCAGCCTCCCAAAGTGCTGGGATTACAGGCATGCCCCACCATGCCTGACTAATTTTGTATTTTTAGTAGAGATGGGGTTTCATCACGTTGGCTGGGCTGGTCTTGAATTCCTGACCTCAGGTGATCCACTCGCCTCAGCCTCCCAAAGTGCTGAGATTACAGGTGTGAGCCACCGTGCCCGGCAGCCATAGTCTTTTTATAACCTAATAGCAGAAGCGACATCACAGAATTTATTTAATTATTTTTTTCAGACAGGGTCTTACTCTGTTGCCCAGGCTGAAGTGCAGTGGCACAATCTCGGCTTACTGCAGGCTCGACCTCCTGGGCTCTGTGATTCTCCTTCCTCAGCTTCCTGAGTAGCTGGGACTACAGGTGTGTGCCACCATGCCTGGCTAATTTTTTTAGTTTTCTGTAGAGACGAGGTCTCCCTATGTTGCCCAGGCTGGTCTCAAATTCCATTTAAGAATGGACACATGGCATGATTTGGCCTATGAGACATAAGGGGATGTTTTGTGGGAAGCTTCTAAAAAGATTTCACAGAGGCTGAAAGAGAAACAGTTTTTCTTGGCCTCTGAATGTCATTGTCTGCCTGTGGTGTCTGAAACTGCAGCATCTACCTTGTGACTTTGAGGGAAGTCAGGATACAAGGACAAAAATCCAGAGGATAAGGATGGCAGAAAAAAGAGAAAGAAATGTGGTGGAATATTTTGAGTGGAAACCTATTCAGCAATAACAATGAGCCAGGCATGAGCTCGTGCCTGTAATCTAATGCTTTGAGAGGCTGAGGCAGGTGGATTGCTTGAGCCTAAGAGTTTGAGACTAGCCTGGGCAACATAGCGAGACCCTGTATCTAAAAAAAAAAAAAAAAAAAAAAAACCAGGGCCGGGTGCGGTGGCTCACGCCTGTAATCCCAGCGCTTTGGGAAGCCGAGGCAGGCAGATCACAAGGTCAGGAGATCGAGACCATCCTGGCTAACATGGTGAAACACCATCTCTACCAAAAATACAAAAAAATTAGCCGGGCTTGGTGGCAGGCGCCTGTAGTCCCAGCTACTCGAGAGGCTGAGGCAGGAGAATGGCGTGAACCCAGGAGGCGGAGCTTGCAGTGAGCCGAGATCGCTCCACTGCACTCCAGACTGGGTGACAGAGCGAGACTCCATCTCAAAAAAAAAAAACAAAAAACTACTGATACAATAAAATGCGTGAATCTCAATACCATTGTCTGAAGCCAAAGGGCCAGACACAGAAGAGTACATACAATATAATTCCATTCATAGGAAGACCTGGAATATGCAAAACTGATCTAGAGGTAAACATCAGATTACCTGTAGCAGGAGGTGGCCGGGGATGGGGGGACTGACTGCCTATGGACAGGAGGGGACTTGCTGCATGATGTCAATATTCCACATCTTGATTGGAATGGTGGTGACCAGGTAAACACTTGTCAAAATTCATCAAACTGTAGTTTTAAAATCTGTGCATCCTGGCCAGGTACAGTGGCTCATGCCCCATAATCCCAGCACTTTGGGATGCCGAGGCAGGCAGATCTCTTGAGTCCAGGAGTTCGAGACCAACCTGGACAACATGGTGACACCCCATCTCTACAAAAACCACAAAAATTAGCTAGACATGATGGTGCATGCCTGTAGTCCCAGCTACTCAGGAGGCTGAGGTGGCAGGATCACCTCAGCCCGAGGAGGTCAATTCTGCAGTAAGCTGTGATTGTGCTACTGCACTCCAGCCTAGGTGACAGAGGGAGACACTGTCTTAATAAACAAATAAACAATAAAATAAAATCTGTGCATCCTACTGCATATAAATTGTATTTCAATAAAGTTGACGAAAGAAGGAAAGAAAAAGAAAACCAAACAAACAAGAAACAAAGAAGTACAGAAGTAACCTAGGTCCTTGATAACACTGTTGAGCCACTGACTTCACCAACAGCCTTGGGACTTCTTGTTTTGTGACATTATAAATGCTGTATAAGCCATTTTTAAGTTGGGTCTCTCATAGCTGGAAGCCCAAAACACCTTTATGTCAAGGGGGAGGAGAGGCATCCAGAACCAGCCTGGGGAAGTGGGTTTTGAAGAGCAGCTGAGAAGGCAAGAGACTCTGAAGCGCGCTTGATCCGGTGGGGTCTGCTTGCTGCTCCACCATCAGGCCCAGTATAGCTGGGGATTTCTTCCCACAGTTCCCCAACCTTCCCCAGCCCATCTGTGAAATGGAGACCCTGGTAATCAAAGGACCTAGTCTTAGGCTTCTGGAGAGGGCTGATGCAGAGACAATGCCTGAAAGCTCTTAGCACAGAGCCTGGCGCAGACGGAGGTTCAATGTGGTGTACCTCCCCTGGCCCTGGCAAGGATGACCTGAGCCTGAACCAAGCAGGGGCAGGCAGAGAGGAGGGAACAGAACTTAGAAACCTTTGGGACTGTAAATGATCGATAACGCCAAGCACTCGGGCATGGGTGACAATGTGGATGGGATCATTTCTCAGGCTTTTGGCAAAGATTACATGCAGGATCTGTTTTCATCACCAGGTAGGTGCCGGTAAAAGGAGAGAAGAGATACAGTAGGAGAAACAGGTTTGGGGGGTGAAAAAGTGTAAGTTTGAGGTATCTGTGAGCAGTACGGCGTGGTGGACAAGAGCAAGCGTTCTGCCACCCACTAGCTATGTGATCTGGGTCAAACTACCACCTTTCTCGGAGCCTCAGTATCCTCATCTGTAAAATGGGAATTCTAAAAATACTTAGCTCATTGGGTTGCTATAAAGATTACATGAGGTCGGGCACAGTGGCTCATGCCTAAAATCCCAGCACTTTGGGAGGCTGAGGCTGGTGGATCACAAGTTCAGGAATTTGGGAGCAGCCTGACAAACATGGTGAAACCCTGTCTCTACTAAAAGTACAAAAATTAGCTGGGCGTGGTTGTGCACATTTTTAATCCCAGCTACTCAGGAGGCTAAGGAAGGAGAATCACTTGAACCCGGGAGGCAGAGGTTGCAGTGAGCTGAGATCAGCCACTGCACTCCAGCCTGGGCGACAGAGCGAGACTCCGTCTCAAAACAAAACAAAACAAAACAAAACAAAACTTTAGATGAAACATAACAAAAAGAAAAAAACAAGATTAGATGAAACAATATATTGGCAGTGCTTAGCATAGTGCCTGGCACATAGCAGGTACTCCTTAAACGGTGATAATAAGGTCATCATCCCTTCATCCCTTCACAGCCTGCGTCTTCGGGTTAGGCCTAGGAGGGCAGCCTCCTGCTGAGCCTCTGCACTAGAATACCAAACTCAGCGTGAGGCTCTTTGGGCTTTCAGCTTACTCTCTCTTGCCTCAAACAGGATGATCCCCTGTGGAAGATTTCTTCTCCTTTCCTTTTTCCTTGACCCCTTCCCTCCCTCCCTTCCAGTCTCTACTCTGCCCTGCCTCTAACAGGAAGCCTTCCTTGACTAATGTCTCTCCATTCTCTGCCAACCTCCCCACTGCCTCCGTGTAGGTTCTGGCCTTCCAGCCCAGAGCTCTATCCACCCTACTCCATTGCCCATGCCCCCAGTACAAACCGTGGGCTTTCTCCGTGCCAGCTCAAGGGAGGTCTGACCCCATGGGGACGCCTGACTGCAAAGGGAAGGATGCCGCCTTCCACCGCAGCACCACCACAGCTCCGTGGACCCGCTGGGAAAGGGGTGGGGCTGGCGAGGAGGAGGCCACCTGCCAGAGTGGCAGCAGACAGGCCAGCTAAATCCTTGACCTATGATTTAAGAGGTCGGGCATAGTTCAATAGAGCCCTCCAGGCTGAGTCCCAGCTCATTCACACAGGTCAGAGGGATGAGGGGCAAGGCGGAGAGGAGGGCCGTCTCCTCCGAGGGCCCTTGGCTTCCTCCCTAGCCTTCTGGGGCATAATCCAGCCTGAAAACCACAAAAACCCTGAAAACCACCAGCTCCATTCCCATCAGCGTAGATGCCCCCTCTGAGAGGCCGGGGGAGGAGGGCGGGGCCGGGAGGGGGTGGGCAGCAGGGCAGGAAAGTGGAGATTTAGGCAGGCACAGCGCCTGGCACACAGCAAGGGCGGGAAAGGCTCCTCCCTCTGCTAACCGCGGCGCCCTTTGTTAGGTCCCGAGACGCAGCGGAGCTGCCTGGCTTCCAGGTCGGCCCTGGTCTCTGCTCCCCTCCGTTGCCTTTGGAATTTGCCCTCAGACCTGGACCCTACCAGGGAACAGCGGGATTGTCTGATGGAATTCCACGTGCAAACCGAGAGAGGTTTTGCCATAAATTCTAGTCCGGCCCCGGGAGGAGGGCCACGCCTGGGCCCCACTCCCCATCACCCTCCCGCCTCCCAGACCCCCGGCACAGGGCCTCCCCAGGCCGTGCCCCGGGCTGCCCCTGGGAGCGCTATGCAAATGAGATGCAAAGTAGGCCGAGGCAGCCGCAAAGATTGGCTGCCGCAGAGGCTCAGTCCGCCCAATCCCCGGCCGCCCGCCATCCTGGGCGCCCCCGGCCCGGGGCCCGGTCCCGCCCGTAAATCAGCTCCGTCAGCGTTAATGGCTCCTGACTAATTGCCTGGACTTGGGCTCCGGGCTCGGGTCGCCAGCATTAAAATTCAATCAGGCCTAGCGCTATGCTATTAAATATTCATTGGGAGAGCTTCCCGAAATCGGGCTGGGGGATGGGGACGGACTGGGTTGGAGGGACTACCCGAATCCTCAGCTCCAGAGGAGGTGCCGCTCCTCCCCAGCGTGCTGTCAGCTTCTGCAGCGGCTGCCGGGCTTCCATTCGGCTGGGTCTGATTTCTCTCTGGAGGTCCCTGCGCCCTCTCTAGAGACTTTTGGGAGACTGAGCTGCCCTGCAGAAGGAATGTTAAGTTATGCCAAGGGGGCTGTGTCTGCTCAACGCCTGGTCACCTCGCCGCACGACCCTTTACCCAGTGCCCACCATGAGCTCCTATTCATGCTGGAACCTTAGGTCCCACCGGGAGTGGAAGAGCTCCAGGGCACAGAAGGCTTAATCTTTAGAAGAGCCCCTACTTCCCTGGCCCTACTGCCGGGTTTTTATGGAGCTACACTGGCCATCCTCAGCGTGGCTAGAGAGAGCATCAGTCTGGGCAGCTCCGGGTGTGTGCTGGAAGGGAGTAGTGGGCTTTGTACAGTCCTCCCCTCCTCTTCCCTGCCCTCAGGAATGCAGCCTGTCCGAGCTCCTGGGCCCCTGGCCTGATGCTGAGCAGGCTGCCTGGAAGTTCTCAAAGAGGGTACCAAGGGGGAGGGGGCTGGGCCTGAGGGGGCCCTTGGGAGTGTCAGGGACTTAAGCAGAAACTGCATCCTCCACCCACACACACACACAATAGTCAGAGGGTTATGAAGAGGGCTTAGCAGATGTGATGACAGCCATGGCTCAAGGACTGGGTGAGCCACTCAAATAAAGACCAAGAGTTTTTCTAGGCCCTCTATGATGTATTGACACATCTCTTCACGCGGCAGCTCTAGTCCTCAGACAAGGAGGTATTTGGGTCGGGAGGAAGAGAAAGTCTTGGGAAGTGTGCTAGGAGAGACTCATTTCCCTCCTCTGGATTTTCAAGGACTCCTCAGGAGCAAACCACCTGTTCACAGGGCTTGTCCCCTGCCCTTTGGACTGCTCCTTGCTCCTAGTGCCTGAGGATGGTGCAAGGAATTAACCCTGTGGGGCATGGGGGGAGGCTCCGACTGCCAGAGCCACAGAGCACCCGCAGACGCTGCAGGGGAGGGGTGGAGGCTGAGGGTACCGGTCTCTGCAAGGCCAGAAGCCATCAGGACTCCAAGAGGGTTGTAAATTCAGGGAATACTGTTTTGATGGACACTGGAAGGAACTTCTTGGTCGGCAATCTCTGAGAGCATCAACCCTTGGCCGTGCAGGAAGCCTGGAATTCCTGCCTGAGGACCCCTACTCCCCCAGGGTGTAGATGATGATCTTACAGCAAGTGGGGTCCAAGGAGCACCCTCTCTCCAGAAACCAGGCAGGCCCCAGGGCAGAATGCGTCTGGCAGCGATTAGGAGGAGAGCTGGGGCTGGGAGGCCTCAGACTTCAGCAGGTCAGGAGCGACCCCAGCCAAGTGTCCGATTCCAAAGCCAAACGTCACAGGCAATCCGGGATTCCAAACTCACCCCACGTGTGGTTCCCATTAGGGCTGGCTGGGGTCTTCCTGAAGGCCAGGCCAGATTCCTGAGCCCCTCCCCCAGGACAACCCCTCCCTCTGCAGGCAGTTTGGAATGTCTTACTAGCCCCATGGGGTGGCCTGCCAGCACCCACCCTTGGGAATTTCCAGGGGTATCCAACTCTAAATAGGCCTCTCCACCCACTAGATGATGATGTTTTGCAATCCCTCAGAGGGGACAAAGGGATAGGAGACTTTAAACCTTTAACTTCCCAGGGTGGGCCAATCCCTGAAGATCCCTACAGTGTGCCTGGGGAGTCTTCCCCATCTCCCGGTCAGCCACTTTTGTTCAGGCCTCAGCCCCTCTGGCCTGGACAACTGCAACTGCCCCCATTCACCTTCTGCTACCAGTCCATTCCTCCACACTGCCCCTGAGCGAGTGTCCTAAAACTCAGGCCTGTTATTCGGATTGTTTCCCTCCTTGCACAACTTCCAATAGCTTTCCAGCAACTCTGAAGCCATTGAAGACTGGTGGCCAGTGGGCCAAATCTAGTCCCATTATGTTTGTGTCCTGTGTAGTTAGGGCACTCACATAATTAAACTTTTTTAAAAATAGTTGTCAAGATTTAAAAGCCAGGAGGCAACACCAAAATCTACATTTATTAAAAAAAATTTTTTTTTGGCTGGGCATAGTGACTCACGCCTGTAATCAGAGCACTTTGGAAGGCGAGGTGGGCAGATCACTTGAGCCCAGGAATTAGAGACCAGCCTGAGCAACACGGCGAAACCGCGTCTTTACAAAAAAAAAAAAAAAAAAAGGAAACAACAACAAAAAAACATAGCCAGGTGTGGTGGTGTGTGCTTGTAGTCCCAGCTACTCAGGAGACTAAGGTGGGAGGATTGCTTGAGCCCAGCAGGCAGAGGCTGCAGTAAGCTGAGTGGCGTGGTGCCATTGTACTCCAACCTGGGTGACAGAGTGCAACCCTGTTTAAAAAAAAAAAAAAAAAATTTAAGGCGGAGTCTTGCTTTGTCCCTCAGGCTGGAGTGCAGTGGTGCAATCATAGCTCACTGCAGCCTTAATTCCTGGGCCCAAGTGATCCTCCCGCTTCAGCCTCCTGAGTAGCTGAGATTACAGGCTCCAGTCACTATTTTTAAATAGTGCACATCGCTCTATTTTTAAATTTTCTTGAAAACACTGGCAATATGTTTGCATTCTTGGATGGCAACAAGTGGCTGGGGCTGAGTAACAACTGTGGCCTTTACAAGGTATCCCTGGGGCTTACCTATGCACCATTGAGGGAATTCTGGAAACCTCACCAATCCCTATTGTCTCCCAGGTCTGAGGCCCAGATGAGTGAATGGCCTTTTTATCACTTAGGCTGGCCCTTGCCTTCTTATTTTACTTCTTGTCAGCTTCATGTGTTTGGCCATTTTTGTTCCTGTCTACCCCTTCCTGCAGATACTTCAATTTGTTATAACAAACTCAAGTCAAAATTCCTTGACCTGGTATTTGTGTCCCTTCAGACTCCCTTCACACATGGTTCCCCTCCATATCCCAGTCAACTCCTCCCCTCCAACACTCTTCCTGCAGGTACATCACACTTGCCATGCTTCCCCAGGCTGCAGCTGGACTTTCACACTCCCATCTTTGCACACACTGCTCCTTCTTCCTGGAGCACCACTTCTCTTCCTTCTCTGGTGAACTTTTAAACTTTTTTAGAGATGGAGTCTCAGTCTGTCACCCAGGCTGGAGTGCAGTGGCACAATCATAGCTCACTGCAGCTTCCAACTCCTGGGCTCAAGCAATCTTTCTGCCTCAGCCTCCAGAGTAGGTAGGACTACAGACACGTACCACCACAGCTGGCTAATATTTTAATTTTTTTTTTTCAGAGATGGTATCTCACTGTGTTGCCTGGGCTGGTCCAGAACTTCAGGCCTCAAATAATCCTCCCTGGGGCCGAGCCTCCGGCCCTGGTGAACTTTTATTTTATTCCTCCCTCCAACCCCAGCCCAGAAGCCACTGACTCTGGGGCATCCTCCTGACCCCTGCAGAAGTCAGTTACCCTCAGGTTGTCCAATGGTCCCTGTGATTCCAGAATTCTCACAATGTATCCCCTCCCTATAGTGACAGCCCCTCCAGGGTTTTGAGGAGGCCTGCTCTCGGCACCCCAAGGCTCACTGTGCTGAGGAGTCAGGCCATCGGACTGGTGGCAGTGACGGTTAGGGGAAGGAGGCGTAGTTCAGTCCTGCAGGAGCTGGCCTCTGAGACAAACACAGGTTTGTCGGAGTCAGCAAGGCTACAAGAGAGGGAGGCAGCGGGCACCTTCTGTGCCACAAGGTGAGGTTTTCTGGGTCCTGGGCAGCACGGCTGTCTGTGTCACCAGCGGACCGGGGTGAGTGGCTTCCTGTACCAGGGCAGTCAGGTGCTCTCTGCTACCCTGTGAGTATTCTAGTGAGCAGAAATCCAGAAGAAAAAAAGAGGAGCAAAACATCAGAACTCAGGGTGCTAGGCAAAAGTGTTCTTATGAGAAAAATGCGACAGATTATTTGAGACTCTGATAGCCTGGGGGTGATCCATAAACATTCCCGAACTCCTCCAATGCCCCCCAGCACTGTCATCAGACATCTTCACCCTCTGAAGCCCATGCTGCTGGAGACCCCAGGAAATGGCCTTGATACCAACCTCCCATCCCCAGCCCACACTCCCTCTTCCTGGCCTAACCATTCTCCCACCCGCAGGTGTTGCTTCCCAGACTGTGGAATCAAATCCTCTGGATGCACCCAAGAAGCAGGTACTGGGTCCCCATTTAACAGATGAGGACACGGCTCTGAGCGCTGCCCGAGGTTCCCCAGCCGACGATAACTCCAGCCCGCCGGGCCCGAAGAGCAGAGTCCTGCCTCCTCCCCACCGGCTTCAGCCTCGGGCCTCGGCTCTGCTCCTCCCTCCTACACACACCCCGGACGCGTCTGTCCAGGTCCGAAATCCAGATCCACACGTCCGTATCCCGAGGCGGGCGTGAACTATCCACCCGTGTGCACGCCAGCCGAGCGAGTGGCCGAGGGACACCCCCGTGCTTCCCAAGGCCTGGCTCCACGAGGAGCAGAACCCCAGCGGTGGGATTCTGTCGCGCAATGCTGTGTGGCTCCGACTAGGGCCCGCCCTCCAGCAAAGAGATGCTGGTGGGTGCTCTCGGTTCACCCCCGCACTCGCCCCAGGGGGGCTCGCGGGCCACCTGGAGCTCCCGCCCCTCGGTGGCCAGGGCTGCGCGTGAAAGGGGGACGTTCGGACGCGGGGGCGCGGAGCCAGCGCGCGAGCCTCGGAGCCTCCCCCAGGCTGTGGGGGAAGAGGAGGGAGGAGGGAGCAGATGGCAGCAATTACCGCTCGGACCCTCCCCCGCCGTAGCCTGGGGCCGGAAGATCGGCTCGGCAGCTCGCTCCTGCGGGAGGGGCGGCGGCCTCCCCGGCCGGGAACCGGCGGGGAGGGGGTCCGGGAGGGGCGGCTCTGGCCGCCGGGGCGCGGGCATCCCAGCTTCTAGGGGAGAGTGATGTGAGGGCCCGGTGGAGACACCTCCTTCTCCCGGGACGAGGGCTGAGAGATTCCCTTTGGAAAGGCCGAGTCTCCGGCCGCCCCCACCCCCAGAGTTGTTTCAGGCCAGGGCCGGCCGCAACCAGCTCCGGGCCTTTAGGTCCTCAAAGTTCCGAAGATTTTCAGGTCGAGCCAGTGGCCCAGGCTAGGGAGAGGGGAGCTGTACGGTTGTGCAGGTTGTGACCTATACAAGGTGGGAGGCGTGGTTGTGGGTGAGTGGGATTCCAAGCTCGGCCTTGGCAGGTGCTGACTCGTTCTGAAGGAGGGCAGGGGGCACCGTTTCTCACAAAGGTCTCGGATGAGCCAGCCTGGCCTGCCCTTGATTTAGGGCTGCTGAGGGTAGACACAGTGGGAGAGCAAATGGCTAGGGTTGGCCCCTGTGGGTCAGGGCCAGGGCTAAAGAGGACAGGGGGACTCTCCTGGCCCAGAGTAGAAACAACTGGATCATCTGGGCTCCCTGGGCCTTTCTTTCTTCTTGAATTCCTCTCCCACCCTCACCCTGAATCTTGTTCCTCTGTCTCTAACATAGTTCCTAAAACAGCCCCTGCCCCTGCCCCCACTCAACTGCCCAAGCTCCTGTTACTTCCCTGCACAATCGAAAAGACTCCTGTCCGCTCTCCCAGGGTCCCCAACAATCAGTTCACACTGCAGGCAAAGAGACCTTTAAAAATACAAATCAGGAAAACACCAGGGCATGTGATTCCTCGCTTAACAGCCACCCACAGCTTCCCTGCAAAGGAAGCCCAAACCTTTTCCCCCAGCCCCTACCTACACAGACAGACCTCTCTTCCTATCCTTCTCCCCACTGCCCAGACACTGCTTACACTGGCTGCCTTTCTGTTCATTGAACTTGATAAGCTTTCCCCCACCTCTGGCCTTGGCTTTGCTGGTGCTTTTCCTGGATCGCTCTGCCCAGATCCTTCCCAGGAACGTCACCTTCCCATCATCCCTGACCACAATAATAAAGCAGCCCCATCTGCCTGATCCAGTCTGTCACTTAACCTTATATATTTCTTCCACTGAACTCACCACATTCTGTAATTATCTTTCTTATTCACTTGGTTTGTGGTCTGTTTCACTTACCAGAATGTCAGCTTCATGAACGCGGGGACCTTGTCTTTCTTGTTCTCTAGCACAATGCCTGGTGCAAACCAAGAAGCACTCAGTACATGCTCCATACATTCCAGGAAAGGAGTCCCTGGGACCAAACTGGATGCTAGTTCATCTGGTCACCTCCGAGAGGGCTTCTCTCTGGGTGGGGCCAGCTACAAACACCTGTACTCACCTGGTACCCACCTAGATGCTTTGCACACATGGGCAGACCCATGGCTTACTATAACAATAATCTTGGCTGACAGCTAATCAGCTGACTGTGCCAGACATCATTCTAAGTCCTTTACATAGTTTAGTTTAATTTAACTCATTCCATCCTCCTGTGAAGTAGACACTAATAGCCTCAGTTTACAAGTAGATATACCACACACACAGATCCACACCACAACACACAGGCAGCATAAGCATTGAATTCATTATTACTATCCAACAGATAGATGAGTGGGGTAAAGAAATCAGGGTGAGCCTGGGACATTTAATAACTACTGTGGGA
Organism: Homo sapiens; assembly: GCF_000001405.40. Taxonomy (NCBI): domain Eukaryota; kingdom Metazoa; phylum Chordata; class Mammalia; order Primates; family Hominidae; genus Homo; species Homo sapiens. Next base: position 51,871,182 of record NC_000012.12, read on the forward strand.
AGATGGGAAGAACACCAGGGAAAGCTCAGCATGGGGGTCAGGCACAGGGCCAGCTGGGCAAGTGGTAGAAGAGGAAGTTGAGCCTCAGCCCACGCCCATATTCTGAGTCCCCACAGCACTTGGAGTGGTGCGGAGGGTGGTTCCTGGTTCAGTTCTGCTACCCACCAGAGGGGTGATCTTGCCCACCAGAGGGCAACCGTTTACCCTCTTGAGACCACATTAGCAAAATGGTGGGGGAGGCGTACATAATACCTGTCTCCCAGGGACCCCACCAGGATCAAACTCCAAAATGCTCATGAAAGCCGTGTAGGGCTTGCTGATGAAAGGGTGCAGGTTGCCAGCCGGGAAAACTGGGGCTGGAGCTATGCTTTGGCTCTTCTGGAACCATAGCTCACTGCTGTATGACCCTCCAGAGTGGGGGGCTGGTGGAGGGGCTGGGTCTCACCAACCATTGCCCCCTCTGTACCTGGCCTGGTGCTCATCTAGAACTCCATAGGTATTTGTGGAGTGAATGCCTGCGTGAGGGAAGGACCAGGGCATAGGTAAGAGGAGGAGAATGAATACATGAGTGAGAGGCAGAGTGAATGAAGCAGGGACTGGAGACGCCCTCTGCCTCTGAGCCTCAGTTTCTTCATCTGTGAAAGCCAGTGGTGGGGCTTGGCCCACTTCTGTCTCTGGGCTCCAGTGTGAATCAGACAAGATGGGGCCACTCCATGGAAGCCCCTCCTTGCTATCTATGCAGGGCCCCCAGGGTGGACGGGGGGAGCTGAAGTGACCAGTGTTCCCCTCCCCCCATCCCTGTCCCCCGGAATTTATAGATTCCTCATTGTCCTGCACAAAGGCCTTCTTGAGGAGGGGGCGGGGTGATGGAGGAGACGGGAGAATTAGAAAGGCGGAAGCTGAGCAACAGCCAGCCACACCCAAGGCCCCATAAATCTGCCCAGGCCCCTGTAAGATGGACTCGCTTTGCCGCACTTGAAGCGGCTTGCAGGGCTCCTGCTGCTGGGATCAGCTCACCTTCCTCACAGCTCTGGATCCTCAGCAAGATGGGGGGTGGAGCTGCGGGGGGCATGAAGACAAGACCTGGTGGTCAGGGAGGGGTGACTCACCTTGCGTTATACCTCTGACCTCAGAAAGTCCTTAATCTTGTTCCTGTGCTGCCCCCTGTAATTCTAGTCCACAGCTGTTGGTTCTGAGCTGAAAAATGAGCTTTTTGTGGGTACTCTGAGTCTTTTTGTGGGAGTGGGCCTGAAGGCTCAGACTCTAAGAAAATGGCCTCCTCCCCCACGCTGGCCTCTGGGTAGTGGGTGGGAGGCTGAGGGTGGAATTGACAGATGGTGCGGTGTTTAACAGATGACGGGAAACAAAATTACTCAGCTGCCGTGTCTCTCCATCTTCCCCATGGAAGGAGATGGCCTTCGGACTGGAAACAGACAATGACCTCAATCAGGAGGCTGTCAGAGGACAGGGAAAGAGAGAAGCGACGGGGTATTAGGGGTATTAGGGCACCATGAACAGGTGTACAAAAGACCTGACTCAGAATCCCATCCCTGCCACACACCAGCTGGGTGATCTTCAGCAGATCTCACAGAGTCTCTGTTTTCTCATCTGTAAGATGGGTCAATGAAAAACCCTGCCTTATCTTCCTCACTGGCTTTTATGAAGATTATATGGATTCTGTGTTTGAAAGATGGGCTTTAAAGACTTGCGAAGGTGTAAAGATGTAAGAGGTTATCTACTGGAAACTCTAAGTGCCGGCCCACTAGTTGTTGACGGAATCATTTTAAAAACTTTTTTTTTCCTTACAACAAAACAGAATAGAGTAGAAAACATAACAGTGCTTTACAGTTTCAGGAAACGCTGCTTGTAGTTACATGTGCATTCATGTGTCCTGGGTCCAGAAGTAAATGTATTTACTGTGGATGACGGTCAAAAAAGTGAAATACTCAGAGTAGAGAATATTCTTCAGTGATATCTCCAGAAGGGAATGGTGGATGAATGGAAACTGACAACATGAAATATATCAGGCTAAACATAAATGTAAAAATTTTTGTAAACAAAAATGTACACTGGCTCTGAGCAGCTCAGTGTAACTGCGGTTGGTGGTGATGGGTGGAAGGGCTTACGTAGGACTTAACTGACTGCCCTTTTGGTGGGCAATGAAGCTCTCTCTGCTGTGTAAGACACCTTGAGCCTGATTCCTGAGAATGCTGTCCCTGAACGCCCACTAGGCAATGACCGTGGCTCCCTCACCGTGGCCCTGAGCTGTGCCAGAGGGAATGGGTTATTTAGCGAGAACCTTGAACTCATGTGCCCAGGCCTCCCCTCCAGTCCACTAGGAGTGCAGAAGGATTTGCAACAGGTATGCTGTAGTGGTGGTCAGGACACCCCTGCCTGAACTTCACCCATGACCCTTGTCCTCACCCCCACCCAAGGGGTCATAGTCCAGTGAGGGTGAGCTGGTCAGAGTGGACCCTAAATCAATCCCAGACCTTCCTGGCTGGCTCTGAGTTACAAGCTGTGGGCTTTGTGATGCAGATCATGATTCGGGAGTAGGGGGCATGACCTATGGCAGGTCACACAGGACCCCTAGAAAGGGCCAGAGCTGGGGTCAGAGGCCACCTCCTCCATTCTCTGCCCTGCTCTGCTGGGTCCCATCCTGCATCTACCTAGTCCTTCAGCTGGGCTGGGCCATTTCCCCACTGACTGCCGGCTCCAGCTGTAACTGCCACCAAGCCTGGAGGCTGGGAGGAGAGGGGCTTCTGCTGGAAAAAGATCCCAGAAGAAAAGAAAGGGATGAGATGACACAGTATTTTGTTCCCAAACCAGACTCAAAAGTTTCCTGAGTTCCTTCTCTGTAGATTTGCCCCTGCACCGCCCCCCCGCCCCCCGCCCCACCACCTTCTCTTCTGATTGAATTCCGCAAGTCAAGACTCTGGGCAAAAATCCAGCCCAAAGGATTAGATGGCTGGAGATTACGCACGGCAGTCAGAGAGCAAGTTAGGGAGCAAGCAGTGTATGTTATCAGGGCTTAAGAGAGAGCATCAGAGGGAGAGAGAGATGGAAAGAGCCAGATGGCGAGATGAGAAAGATCAAGCTGAAGAAAAGGGGATGACAGGCAGACAGAAAGAGGAGTACCAGCAGAAGACACTGAAGAGAGTGATTGAGAAATAGGAGCGGCAGGCAAAGGAACATCCTTGTGAACTCCTGTCAGACCCCAGCGGCTGAGAGGTCCAAAGGAGGTTAATCCATAAAGGGCCTTTGCTTTTAATCCTTAAGACCACCAGCCTGAGACTGCAGAAGGCCCTGGCTGAAGTGTACCTGTGTCATCCAGGAGCTATCCATTATTTTACACATTAACCAACAACTCCATGCCCCACTACCACAATCATTTCTATCAACAAAGGCATACACAGAGAGGGTCAAGACCAGGCCTGGGGAACTTGGCAGGGGCTGGGAAGGGATCCCTATTGAGTCCTCTTGAGGAGGGAGGCCTGGACAGGGCACTTCAAGACAGGGCATCAATGCAGGTAGAAGGTAGAAGAATCCTCACACTTGGCCATGTGCTGTGGCTCACACCTGTAATCACAGCACTTTGGGAGGCTGAGATGGGCGGATCACCCGAGGTCAGGAGTTCAAGACCAGCCTAGCCAACATGGTAAAACCGCGTCTCTACTAAAAATACAAAAATTAGCCAGGTTTGGTGGCACATGCCTATAGTCCCAGCTGCTCGGGAGGCTGAGACAGAAAAGAATCGCTTGAACCTTGGAGGCAGAGGTTGCCGTGAGCCAAGATGGCGTCACTGCACTCCAGCCTGGGCTACAAGAATGAAACTCTGTCTCAAAAAAAAGAAAAAAAAAATACAAAAGTAAGCCGGGTGTGGTGGCTCACATCTGTAATCCCGGGTACTCAGGTGGCTGAGGCAGGAAAATTGCTTGAACCTGGGAGGCAGAGGTTGCAGTGAGCCGAGATCGCGCCACTGCACTGCAGCCTGGGCAACGGAGCAAGACTCCTGAAAAAAAAAAATCCTCACACTTGGGGTACCCATCCAGGTTGGCTAAAGCTGATATACAGAAATAACTACAGAAATAACTCCCTTTCCTTTGAGCCAGAAACGGAACCCCACAACCCTCCTGTGCATCTGCCCTGCCAAGACCCAGACACTGCACCTGACCCTAGAACCCTCAGCTATAGCCTCAAGCCCTGTGGGGTGGGGATGCTCTTCCAATTCCTGCCCAGACCTGCCACCTGCTGGCTGACAGTGGCCTCGCAGTAACAAGACCCTTGCTGAGGCTGGGGTGATTGGTGCTAGAAGTAGCTTCTCTGGGCTTGGGGAAAAGAGGATTTGAAAAGCAAAATGTGAAATCCCCATTCACCTACCTACGTGTTCTTATGGTCTCTCTGCACAGGTTAAAAAGACTCTGTCCCTAGGCCAGGCACGGTGGCTCACCCTTGTAATACCAGCACTTTGGGAGCCCGAGGCAGGCGGATCACGAGGTCAGGAGTTCAAGACCAGCCTGGCCAGCATGGTGAAACCCCGTCTCTACTAAAAATACAAAAATTAGCTGGGCATATTTGCACGCCTGTAGTCCCAGCTACTCAGGAGACTGAGGCAGGAGAATCACTTGAACCCGGGAGGTGGAGGTTGCAGTGAACCAAGATCGGGCCACTGTATTCTAGCCTGGGCAACAGAGTGAGACTCCCTCTCAAAACAAACAAACAAACAAAAATAAGACTTCTTGTCCCTGACCATCACTCCTGCATGATGCTGGGGGTGATCTTCAGGCCAGAGGAGAATCTGGAGGGGAACTCACATTTACTGAATGGCCGACAAGGTACTAGATGCGGGAGACACAGAGATAACCAAAGTCCTGGGATTATAGGTGTGAGCCACGGCACCTGGCCAAGAATGAGATTAATGATAACTAGTGTGAAAAACACAAGCACTGAACTGTGTGCCTGACTCAGAGTAGTTTTCAATTAATAGTGATTGAATGAATGAATTAGAGCTACCACCAAGGGATGACGAACTCTGTGTGCAGAGGAAAAGAAGGAAACAGACAGGGAAATATTTCTGATTCTTTTATATATTTTTTTCTATCATTACCAAGTAGTAATTATCTAGGTGGAAGATTCAAACATTATACAAGTTTGAAAAACAAACCCGCTGGGCGCAGTGGCTCACGCCTGTAATCCCAACACTTTGGTAGGCCGAGGCGGGCGGATCACGAGGTCAGGAGATCGAGACCATCCTGGCTAACATGGTGAAACCCCATCTCTACTAAAAATACAAAAAATTAGACGGGCGTGGTGGCAGGCACCTGTAGTCCCAGCTACTCGGGAGGCTGAGGCAGGAGAATTGCGTGAACCCGGGAGGCGGAGCTTGCAGTGAGTGGAGATCGCGCCACTGCACTCCAGCCTGGGCAACAGAGCGAGACTCCATCTCAAAACAAACAAACAAACAAACAAAAAACCTTTTTCTTCACCCTTCTCTTATTCCTCCTCTTTAAGTTAACCATGTTTTAAAGAGCATCATTTTGTCTAGAGGTTCCCCATCTGGGCTGTACATTAGAATCACATGAAGAGATTTTTAAAATCCTGTTGCCCAGGTTGTGCCCCAGACCAATAGTCTCAGAATCTCCAGAGTGGGTTCCAGGCATCACTATTTCTAAAAAGTCCTTAAGTGATTACATTGTGCCGCCAATGTTAAGAATGACCATTCTGGCCGGACACGGTGGCTCATGCCTGTAATCCCAGCACTTTAGAAGGCCAAGGCGGGTGGATCACTTGAGCCCAGGAGTTACCAGCCTGGGCAACACAGCAAGACCCCGTCTCTACAAAAAATACAAAAATTAGCTGGGCGTGCTGGCGCATGCCCGTAGTCCCAGCTACTCAGGAAGCTGAAGTGAGAGGATTGCTTGATCCCGGGGAGGTCAAGGCTGCAGTGAGCCATGATTGTACCACTGCACTCCAGCCTGAAAGACAGAGCAAGACTCTGTCTCAAAAAAAAAAAAAACCATTCCAGCTCTTTCTATGCATTTACAAAAAACACGTAAATAGCCAGACTCTCTCTCTCTCTCTCACACACACACACGCATATGTATATTGTAGAGACGGGGTCTCACTATGTTGCCCAGGCTGGTCTTGAACTCCTGGCCTCAAGTGTGTGTGTATATGTGTGTGTATATATATGTATACAGTATACTGTGTGCCTGTGTGTTTGTATGTGTGTGTGTCATTGCATTTGGCTTTTTTTCCAACCATGAACAAGGTGGCTCAGAGAGATTTTCAGGGCAAACCATGTAGATATTTATCTTCTTCTTGAAGATAAATGGAGGCATTGAATGGAGGCATAATCTACAGGTGCCTCTAACCTTTCCTCTACTGATGAACATTTAAATTGTTTCTAATTTTTTTTACTGTTACAAACAATGCTTCAAGGTATATTCAGTATGTCTTTTTAAATTTTATTTTATTATTTATTTGTATTTATTTATTTTGCAGAGACAGGGTCTCCGTGTGTTGCCCAGGCTGGTCTTGAACTCCTGGCCTCAAGCAATCCTCCTGCCTTAGCCTCCCAAAGTGCTAGCATTACAGGCATGAACCACTATGCCAGGCCTACTCAGTCTATCTTTGCTCACATATGCAAGCACTGTTTTGAAAAAGATTTCTAAAAGCAGAATTTCTGGGTCAATGTGTATGTACATTTGTTATTTTGATAGATACTGTCAAAATGCTTTCCAAAAATACTTCACTAATTTACATTCTCCCCACAGTGTAAGCACTTCATATTATTAATGTTTAATTTTTACCAAACTGATGGGCCAAAAGCAATATTTCATTGTTATTTTAATTTGCCTTTTCCTGCCTATTTGTGAGGTTAAGCATCTTTTCATATGTTTATTGGACATTTGTATTTCTTTTCTTTTTTTTTTTTTTTTTTTCGAGACAGAGTTTCGCTCTTGTTGCCCAGGCTGGAGTGCAATGGCACGATCTCAGCTCACTGCAACCTCACCTCCGCCTCCCGGGTTCAAGTGATTCTCCTGCCTCAGCCTCCCGAGTAGCTGGGATTACAGGCATGCACCAGCACACCTGACTAATTTTGTATTTTTATTGGGGATAGGGTTTCTCCATGTTGGTCAGGCTGGTCTCAAACTCCCAGCCTCAGGTGATCTGCCCACCTCCACCTCCCAAAGTGCTGGGATTACAGGTGTGAGCCACCGCGCCTGGCCTGGCCATTTGTATTTCTTTTATGAATTAATTGACCATGCTATTTGCCCATTTCCTATTGGGCTTTTTATTTTATTTATTTATTTATTTATTTATTTATTTATTTATTTATTTAATTTTGAGATGGGGTCTTGCTCTGTTGCCCAGGCTGGAGTGCAGTGGTGTAATCTCAGCTCACTGCAACCTCCATCTTCCAGGCTCAAGCCAACATTTCAGCCTACTGAGTAGCTGGGACTACAGGCACAGGCTACCATGCCTGGCTAATTTTTTTTTTTTTTTTTGGTATTTTTAATAGAGACAGGGTTTTGCCATGTTGCCCAGGTTGGTCTCTAACTCCTGGCCTCAAGTGATCTGCCTGCCTCAGCCTCCGAGAGTGTTGGGATTACAGCCGTGAGCCACCACATCTGTCTCCTATTGGGCTTTTTTGCAATTAATTAGGAATAGAGGAAATTCTATTTCCAATAATATGACTGGCTGGATTCTGGACTGATTTTTCAGCATAAGTCATGTAAAAATGCTGGTTGAAATACGCAAATTATTTTAAAAGTGTAGATGTGCTGGCCAGATAGCAAGAAAGTATTAGGTTAAAGTCTAAGGGAAGGCAGGAACTCAGAGAAACAGACAAAGGAATCCTTCTTTAGTGTGAGGATATTTGTCGAATTAGGCAAACTTGAACTTCAAATTTCACAGTCTCTATTTTTGATAGAACCAAGGTGAGGAATCTAATAGGAGATTCTCTAAAAAGCTATGACTCCAAAGGATTCATCGTTCATGTAAGATTGAACCTGAAATAAATCTATCCCGCTGTCACATCCAGAGGACTTTAATGAAAGCTGCCTCAGTGCTGAGCTGATAGCAAGGCTGTATCTCTGAGTTGTAACCACCAGCTGATCTTTGCGCTTATTTGCAGCCCTGGATGACCCAAAACTATCCAAGTTAGGTATTTAGTTTAAAGTGGTTCAGGACTGGTTAGTACCTCTACATGCCTGGCAGGAAAAAACAAAACAAAACAAAACAAAACAAAAAAACTTCATATTCTCTGAAGGAAGATACCTTAGTCCTCAGCCTCAAGAAATTTCTAACATCATTTTCTAGGGAAAATAATAAATAGCTCACAGGGGGAAAAAAAATCTCTAGGCTGGGCGTGGTGGCTCATACCTGTAATCCCAGCAGTTTGGGAGGCCAAGGCAAGAGGATCACTGGAGCCCAGGAGCTCAAGACCAGCCTGGGCAACATAGTGAGACCTCCTTTTTATAAAACAGAAAAAAAAAATTAGCTGGGCATAGTGGCAGGTGCCTGTAGTCTCAGCTACTTGGGAGGCTGAGGTGAAAGGATCACCTGATAGAGTGAGATACCACCTGATAGAGTGAGACCCTGTCTCAAAAAAAAAAAAAAAAAAAAAAGGTAAATCATAAGAAATCCATACCTAAGCATTGAAGTAAAACTTAAGAACACCAAAGACAAGAAGAAGACCTTGAAGACTTAAGAAAAGAAGGCCGGGCGCAGTGGCTCACGCCTGTAATCCCAGCACTTTGGGAGGCCGAGGCGGGCAGATCACCTGAGGCCAGGAGTTCGAGACCAGCCTGGCCAACATGGTGAAACTCCGTCTCTACTAAAAATCCAAAAAATTAGCCAGGCGTGGTGGTGGGCGCCTGTAATCCCAGCTACTCGGGAGGCTGAGGCAGGAGAATCGCTTGAATCCGGGAGGTGGAGGTTGCAGTGAGCCGAGATTGTGCCATTATACTCCAGCCTGGGAAACAAGAGTGAAACTCTGTCTCAAAAAAAAATAATTAAATTTAAAAAAAAAGAAAAGACAATCTTTAAAGGAGACACACTGAACTCTCAACAAGATAATGAAAGCCAGAACCCAGTGAAATACTTTCCACACATCATGGCACCGAACAACTGAAAAATACACAGTCTTTTAAAGCACACATGACGTATTTGGCAAAATCTGATCATATACTAGATTATAAAGCAAGTCTCGATTGATTTTAAAGATTTGACCACAGTGCTAGAAATAAGTAACAAAAATAATTTCCATATGTTTGAAAGTTATTAAAGACATTTCTAAATAATTCATTGATCAAAGAGGAAATAAAAATGGAACAACTAAAGTAGTATTCAATGGGAAATTTAAGGTCTATAAGGCTTATATTCAAAGACTTGAAGAAAGGATGAAAATTAATTAGCTACACACATATCTCAAAAAATTAGAAAATAAGAGCAATTCCACTTGTAGGTATACACTCAAGAATACTTTTTTTCTTTCTTTCTTTCTTTTTTTTTTTTTTTTTAAGACAAAGTCTCAATCCAGCGCCCAGGCTGTAGTGCAGTCATGCAATCTTGGCTTACTATAGCCTCAACCTCCCAGGCTTGGGTGATCCTCCCACCTCAGCCTCCCAAGTAGCTGGCACTACAGGTATGTGCCACTGAGCCCAGCTAATTTTTTCATTTTTAGTAGAGACAGGGCTTGGCCATGTTGCCCAGTCTGGTCTCAAACTACTGGGCTCAAGCAATCTGCCAGCTTTAGCCTCCCAAAGTTCTGAGATGACAGGTGTGAGCCACTGTGCCTGGACTCAAGGAATACTTTTTTTTTTCGAGACGGAGTTTTGCTCCTGTCACCCAGGCTGGAGTGCAGTGGCTCCATCTCGGCTCACTGCAACCTCCGCCTCTGGAGTTCAAGCGATACTCCTGCCTCAGCCTCCTGAGTAGCTGGGATTACAGGCATGTGCCACCACGCCCAGCTAATTTGGTATTTTTAGTAGAGACGGGGTTTCATCATCTTGGCCAGGCTTATCTTGAACTTCTGACCTCAGGTGATCCGCCTGCCTCAGCCTCCCAAAGTGCTGGAATTACAGGTGTGAACCACCACACCTGGCCATCAAGGAATATTTTTCCATAAACAACCATGCCTGTGTGTTCATAGTGGCAGAATTTATAATAGCAGAAACTTGGACACATCCCAAATATCCGTTAATAAGACAGTGCATAGGCTGGGTGTGGTGGCTCATGCCTGTAATCCCAGCACTTTGGGAGGCCAAGATGGGTGGATCACCTGAGATCGGGAGTTCGAGACCAGCCTGACCAACATGGTGAAACACCGTCTCTATTAAAATACAAAATTAGCTGGGCATGGTGGCGCATGCCTGTATTCCCAGCTACTCGGGAGGCTGAGGCAGGAGAATTGCTTGAACCTGGGAGGCAGAGGTTGTGGTGAGCCGAGATCGCGCCATTGCACTCCAGCCTGGACAACAAGAGCAGAACTCCGTCTCAAAAAAAAAAAAAAAAAAAAGACAGTGCATAATAACTGTGGTACATCAACGCAATAGAGTATTATACAGCAATCAAAATGAGTAGACCATAGTAACACAACAATGTGAATGAATCTTAGCAATATGATATTAAGTGATAAAAGTGGACAGCAAATGACTACATAAAGCATTATATGCTTCTAAATAAAATAGCTAAAATTGTATATGTATATATACATAATATAAATACTCTGAAGAATACATGAAGAGGTAGTAAAACAATATATAAAGGAGAGCAAAAGAATAATGGACAAGAGACTAGGATTATAGCTGCCTTGGATGAGGAGAGGCCGGGGCTATGTCAGGGAAATCATGTTAAACTGTAAAGTGTTATCAAGATTGAGGCCAGGCGCAGTGGCTCACGCCTGTATTCCCAGCACTTTGGTGGGATTGACTCACAGTTCCGCAGGGTTGGGGAGGCCTCAGGAAACTTACAATCATGGCAGAAGGGGAAGCAATCATAACCTTTTTCACAGGGCAGCAGGAAGGAGAAGTGCCATTCAAAAGGGGAAAAGCCCCTTATAAAACCATCAGATCGCTGGGCGTGGTAGCTCATGCCTGTAATCCTGGCACTTTGGGAGGCCAAGGCAGGCAGATCACCTGAGGTCAGGAGTTCAGGACCAGCCTGGCCAATGTGGTGAAATCCTGTCTATACTAATAATACAAAAAAAATTAGCCAGGCGTGGTGGCGCACGCTTGTAATCCCAGCTACTTGGAAGGCAGGAGAATCGCTTGAACCCAGGAGGCGGAGTTTGCAGTGAGCTGAGATCGCGCCATTGCACTCCAGCCTGGGCGACAGGAGCAAAACTCCGTCTCAAACAACAACAACAACAAAAACCCCATCAGATCTTGTGAGAACTCACTATCACAAAATAGCATGGGAGTAATCGCCCCTATGATTCAATTACCTCCCACTGGATCCCTCCCATGACAGGTGGGAATTACGGGAACTATAATTCAAGATGAGATTTAGTTGGGGGACACAGTCTAACCATATCAGTCCTCATATGGTGGAAGCGGTGAGGCAGCTCTCTGGGGTCTTTTTTTATAAAGGCACTAACTACCCCCTAAAAAGTCTCACCTTCTAATACCATCACCTTGGGGGCTTAGGATTTCAACATATGAATTCTGGGGGAAACAAACACTCAGATCATAGCGTATCCCATGTTCAGGGAGGAGAGAAGATCTAACATTATGAGGCAGTCAATTTTCCCCAAATTACTCTATAAATTCAAATAAATGCCTATCAAAACTGTAGCAAAAATTTTAAAAGAACCCAACAATCTTATATGCAATTTTACATGAGAGAATAAAAATCAACTTCAAAAAAGAAAATCAGATATGGAGAACTTACTCTATCAGGTAGTCAGAGAGACTACAAGGCTAGAGTAATAAAATCAGTGTAGCATTGGCACAGGAATGCCCTCATAAGATGCTATAAGATAACTGAAACATAGCATAAAACATAAAAGAGAACTCAACGTTTACATGTGATAAAAACGACACCACAAATCAAGGGAGAGAGAATTGTTTAATAGATGGAGTTATCTTGCTAAATGGAGAAAAAAATAAGGTTGGATCCTTTATTAGTCTGTTCAGGTTGCTTTAACAAAATACACAGGCTGGATGGGTTACACAACAGAAATGTATTTTCTCACAGTTCTGGAAGCTAGAAATCCAAAATCAAGGTGTCAGCAGGATTGGTCTCCAGAGAGGCCTCTCTCCTTGGCTTGTAGATGGTACCTTCTGACTGTGTCCTCACGTGTCCTTTTCTTGTGCAGGCACAGAGAGAGAGAGTTCTGGTGTCTCTTCCTCTTCTTATAAGGACAACAGTTCTATTGGATTAGGGCCCTATCCTGCCCTAATAACTTCATTTAACCTTAATTACCTCCTTAAAGGCCCTGTCTCCAAACACAGTCATTTTTGGTGTCAGGGCTTCAATATATGAATTGGGGTTGGTTGAGGGAGACACAATTTAGTCTATAACAGATTATTTCTTCAATATTATAAAAGTGAATTCCAGATGAATTAAAGACTAAATATTAAAAATAAAACTGCAAGATTAATAAAAGAAATGAAGATCTTTGTGATCTTGGAGTAGAAAATTCTTAGTAAACAAGACCCTGAACACAAAGTATAAGGAGAAATTCTGGTGAATTTAACCATATCAAAATTCAGGAGCTATTTCAATGAAGGTCACCATAGATAAAGCTAACAGAAGGGTTTATATAGTACAGTTGCCTCATCTATAACCCATCTGACAATGGCTTTATTATCTAGAATATTAAAAGAATTCCTGAAAAATCAATAAGAAAAGGATAGGAAAATTCAATAGAATACTGAGCAAAGGCCATGAACAGTCAATTCACAGGAGGGAAAACAAGATTGGCCAGCAGGGCATGTGGAGAGATGCTCACCTTGTTGATAATCAGAAAAATTCAATGTAAAATAGCAATATCGCTTTATAGTTCTATCAGATTGACAAACATTAGAAGGCTGAATAATGACATGTGTTGTCTAAGACGTAGGGAGACTCTTATGCACTGCTGGTAGGCACACATGGTGAAACAGAGTGCAACCTGAGTATCCACTCAGTAAGTGTGTATGTGCCCTGTGATCTAGTGATCTCAGAGACCCCGATGGGTCCACAACTAGATACGTATGAGGGTGTTCACTTTGGCATTATTTATAGTGACAGGAAGTTGGAGGCAACCTAAGCATCTATTGCAGGAAGAAGGGATAGGCTAAATGAGGTGGATGCACACTATGGAATTCTATAAGCAGGAAGAAAGAGGGAAGAAAGAGGGAAGAAAGAAAGAAAAAAAGTGGTGCACTCTACATCTTTCATCAAGACAGTGTTAATTATAGTGAACCCCAAGTTTCTCTTCAAAGAATCAGTATGTCAGTATGTTCAGCTCTCTTATTCTTTGATTATCCATTTTAAAGTTTAGCTTCCTGGTTCTCTTCCGTTCCCTTGCTCCTGGTTTTAGTAAACAACTTTCCCTCTAGTCCTAATCAGTAGTTCACATCTGTTCTCTGGTCAGCTGCTCCATCCTGACTCATCCCGTTTATCTGCTTTGACCTGAGTCATCCCAGTCACCTGCTTTGACCTGAGTCACCCTGGTCACCTGCTCTGATCTAAGTCACCTTTAGTTCCCTGTTCCTAACTGTCCTTCCCGCCAAACTACCCACCCCGCCACTCTAACTCATATCCCTGCTCTCTTTAAAATAGCCAATCGGAATTAGCTTAGGCTGTGCGGTCCAACCCTAGCCAATAGGGGAACGCCACAGCAGTAGGGCCGTGTGTCAGGAATAAGAACTCCTTCTCCTCTCCTGTCCAGGTGTGCTCTTGCCATTGTTCCATTCACGACTCGCACCCTTCTATAGAAGTAAAAATTGCCATGCTGAGAAAATTAAATTTATGTTCGAGTGCTATTTCCTTGCAGCATTGAAAATTTATTTACAACAACAGCATGAACTTTTTTCCTAGAATCCCTATCCATCAGACTTCTGTTTGCATTTCATTGGCCAAAACTGCATTACATGATAACACCTAACTGAAAGGTAACTAGAGAGAAGGGGAGTTATGAACAGGGATTGTGTTAGATAATCAGAGATGTCTGGTTTATCATCTGATAGATTTTTTTCTAACTGCTGTATAGAATTCCATAGGGTGCATCTATCCCATTTTGCTGTGATGGCTAGAGGTTTAGCAGCCATCTTGTGCCAAGGAGGAAAAGTCAAGAGAATCCCAGAGAAGGCCCTGACAAGTTTCTTAACCAACATCAACAGTTTCCTATTCCTGAACTTTTTATCATGTATTAAAAACAAGCACCTCTTTGTTTAAGCTACATGTGTCAGAGTTCAATTGCAGACAACAGAAATAAATCTGGACCTGGTGCAGTGGCTCACGCCTATAATCCCGGCACTTTAGGGGGCCGAGGTGGGCTGATCAACTGAGGTCAGGAGTTCAAGACCTGCCTGACCAACATGGAGAAACCCCGTCTCTACTAAAAATACAAAATTAGCCGGGGTGGTGGCACATACTTGTAATCCCAGCTACTGGGGAGGCTGAGGCAGGAGAATCACTTGAACCCGTGAAGCGGAGGTTGTGGTGAGCCGAGATCGCGCCATTGCACTCCAGCCTGGGCAACAAGAGTGAAACTCTGTCTCAAAAAAAAAAAAAAAAGAAAGAAAGAAAGAAAGAAAGAAAGAAATCTGATCAGTTTAAACAGAAAGGGATGGAGAAGCAGGCTTAGGTCCAGGAACAACCCCCAGCTTTGAGAGTCACATGACCTCTGCCTGTGATTGAGAAAACAACAGTCACTACTACAGGAAGCTGATGAATCAGGAAGCTGCTCACCAGAGCCTTGCTGCTGCTGCCATGACCTGTGACAGCAAAACGGATGTCCCATGCTACGTAGCTCTGTTCCAAATTTATATCTTGCACAAGAGCAGGACGCAAACCACAGAGTCATAGCTCAAGGGAATCTGGGAAGGGTTGTTTTAGCTTTCCAACTTCTGCAGCGCAGAAGAAACACTGAAAGCAGTTTTAGATTAATGTTGAGGAGCCCGTCTATTATGGACAACATACCATTCAGCTTTTTGGTTACTAAAAACCAAATGCACATCCAACTGATACACTGCACCTAAAGCAATAAGGATGGAGCTTAAGTGAAAAAGAAAAAACTAACAGAATAAGTTCTATAGCACAATTCATAACATGTTAGTTAAAAACACATACAAGCAGAGCATGGAGGCTCATGCCTGCAATCCCAGCACTGTGGGATGCCAAGACAGGAGGATCACTTGATGCCAGGAGTTTGAGACCAGCCTGGGCAACAAAGTGAGATCCCCATCTCTACATAAAAAAGTTAGACAGGCGCGGTGGCACACACCTGTGTGCCTCCGAGAAGCTCGTAGCTTCTCGGGAGGCTGAGGTGGGAGAATCACTTAAGCCCAGGAGTTTGAGGCTGCAGTAAGCTATGATCATGCCACTCCACTCCAGCCCAGGTGACAGAGTAAGACCCTGTTTCTAAAAAGAAAAAAATAAAATAAAAACACACAAATCAGTACTATCTTTTTCAATGAAATGTACATTTTCAAGGATATACAAGTGCCAGTTGGTAAAGGGTGGAGGAGAATGGGATGTGGGGATTAAGGGTGAAAGAGAGAAACTAAAGAAAGTAAAACAAAACAAGAGAGAGGTCTTGTACAGTCTGATGATGGGAGTGATACCAATGGGGGAATATCATTGGCTCCATTTTCTACATCTGTGGACCAAGACCAATCCATCAAGCTTAATATGTAATATAAATATTAAAGAATATTTTGATAACAATTTATCATTATATTAACAGATCATTTAATTTAAATATTTCATATTTAATTTATCACACTGAAACTAATCTATTAAATTTCATACATCATAATTTCTGGCCAATCCCTCCCTCACTACTGCCTGCCGCACTTTGTGCCCCGACTGCCCACCTGCACTAGACACATAATGTCGGTACTCACAATTTCGTTTGTTTGTTTGTTTTGTTTTTTGAGAAGGAGTTTCGCTCTTGTTGCCTAGGCTGGAGAGCAATGGTGCGATCCCGGCTTACTGCAACCTCTGCCTCCCGGGTTCAAGTGATTCTCCTGCCTCAGCCTCCTGAGTAGCTGGGATTACAGGCGCCCACCACCAAGCCCAGCTAATTTTTGTATTTTTAGTAGAGACAGGGTTTTGCCATGTTAGCCAGGCTGTTCTTGAACTCCTGACCTCAGATAATCCACCCGTCTTGGAATCTCAAAGTGCTGGGATTACAGGCGTGAGCCACCCCGCCTGGCCACAATTTTTTTTTAAAAGGAGGTCTCCCTCTGTTGCCCAGGCTAGAGTTCAGTGGCGCGACATCGGTTCATTGCAGCCTCGACCTCCCGGGCTCAAGCGATCCTCCCACCTCAGCCTCCTGAGTCGCTGGGATAACAGACGTGAGCCACCGGGCCCAGCTCTATACTCATAATTTGACAATTATGTTTTTATTTCCCCAGAACCTCAAAAAATAAGTTCAGGTGACCCCCCTGGAGACCCCACCCCAGGGTCATTCTGAGAGTACCAACCCTATTTAATGAGATACCTGCATTCACTCACCCCCTCTCCCGCAACCACCCCTTCAGCAAGTCGCGCTCCACCCAATTAGGAGGGGCTTTAGGCTGGGCCTAAAAAGTTGGGCCAAGACCCCACGAGGCAGCATCTCCGCCGGCGTCCCCAAGGCTGAGAGTGGGCGCGTCCGTCAGGAGGAGTCGTCTTTGTGAGCCCGCCCCGGCGGGGAGGAGCTGCCCGGCTCAGGCCCCGCCCACCCGGAGGATCTTGGGGCTGGTCTGAGTCCGCTCCTGAGACGTGACCACCCGCCCCGCATGGGGCCCCAGTCCCAGCTGCTTGATCCGGCTCAGCCCCGAGGTGTTTGCAGCAGCTCTTTATGAAAGTCCAGCCATCTGTTACCTGCGTTGCTTCCTGGGGAGGGATAGTCCACCTGGAGGCATTCGGAGACCCAGTGATTGTGCTCCGCGGAGCCTGGGCTGTGCCCCGCGTTGACTGCCTCATAGATACCCTACGAACCCCAAGTAAGAAAAAACGACGACCCTCTCTCCGTGAGTCTCACTGGGGTGCTGACCTAGAGTGAACCCTGCTTGCTTAGGGCTCCTGACCCAGCGCTTGTCCTTTCTCAGGGTGGATGGGGCGAGACCCCTGCTGGGATAAATGTTTTCCCTGGGGCAAGGGCTGTGCACTTCGCAGCTGCTGGGTCCCCTCCCTAGGATCCAGGGAGACACTCACTACTCCTCTCCATTCTGTGTTTTAGATGCCAGCTGCATGAGAAAAGGGACTCACCTTCTGGTTCCCTGCCTGGAAGAGGAAGAGCTGGCATTGCACAGGAGACGGCTGGACATGTCTGAGGCACTGCCCTGCCCGGGCAAGGAGACCCCCACCCCAGGCTGCAGGCTGGGGGCCCTGTATTGGGCCTGTGTCCACAATGATCCCACCCAGCTCCAAGCCATACTGGATGGTGGGGTCTCCCCAGAGGAGGCCACCCAGGTGGACAGCAATGGGAGGGTGAGATGTCCTGGCTTCCCAGAACAGCTGGGGGCATCTTTGCATCCCCACCACACCGTCCTGGCCTGGCTCCCTGAGAGGGGTTCAGGGGCAATACCTCCTGCAGTCCTAAGGAGGAAGGGAATGGTTAAGGGCGGGTCTTCACGGGGTTTGGGGCAGGCTCTGGGACAGATATGGGTTTAGAGGGTGCAAGGGGCCCTGGAGTGGCCCAGGGGGAAAGCAGGGGATCTGAGCTGCCCCTCCCTCAGACAGGCCTCATGGTCGCATGCTACCACGGCTTCCAGAGTGTTGTGGCCCTGCTCAGCCACTGTCCTTTCCTTGATGTGAACCAGCAGGACAAAGGAGGGGACACGGCCCTCATGTTGGCTGCCCAAGCAGGTGTGAGGCTGCTGCACCCCACTTCCGACAGCCCCCTTTTGATGCAGACAGGGCCTCAGCCCCACCCTTGTTGCACGGTGTTCTACACCAGACTCTGTCATGCTGGGTGGAGGGCGGTTTGGGAGCTTCATCACCCCCTTTCCTGGGGACCAAGCTTACCCTTGCTGCCCTGCAGGCCACGTGCCTCTAGTGAGTCTCCTGCTCAACTACTATGTGGGCCTGGACCTGGAACGCCGGGACCAGCGGGGGCTCACGGCGTTAATGAAGGCTGCCATGCGGAACCGCTGTGAGTGCGTGGCCACCCTCCTCATGGCAGGTGTGCGGGGCCTGGACCGGGGTGTGTGGCCTCCAGTCCCTCCTCCAAGCCTTCCCACCAGACACTAAGTCAGCTGTGATTATTTGCAGAAAGGAGAGAGGTGGAGATGGGGGATCAATCTAGTTCACCTTCCTGGAGGGGGGGGCACATGATTTGGGCTTCGTACAATCAACCAAGTCCTGCTATTGATAGCTCAGACATTGTGTGTGGAGGTCCCAGGAAGGAAAGTGTGGGAGGGGAACCTAGCCCAGCTGGAAAATCTAACACGAAAAAAGGCTGGCATCTGGAACCAGCCCCTGTTCCTAGCTGAGTGGCTTCCCTCTTTGGGCCTCACCAGTATTGTGAGGGTGTTAGCTTTCCCTGGGACTACCTCCAACTCTGACAAGCCAGGCTTCCAGGGGATCCAGGGAAGTGTCGTTGAGGCCTGTGGCTCTGTGGGGTCGTTCAGGGGGAGGTGCGGTGAAGTCCACATTGTCCATGGAGTTGTTTGGGGGCCCTTCTTCCCCGCAGTGGGGCTGCCCTCTGCTGGTCACTCTGGGGGACCCCTGCCTCCATTTTTCCCTTCCCCACACACCCCACTGGGTTTGGAGTGAAAAAGGAGTGAATGAAAAAGGAGGGCGCTCTACACCCTTTCTTTTGTCTTAGAGTGACTGCTCCTCCCACAACCCCAAGATGGGAGAGGGAGATGGTGAGAAGAGAAGAACCAGGAGAGGGAACCAGCCGATCATCCCCACCCACCTGCCCCAGAGGGTGCAGCTCAGGCCTCTGCCTGTCCTGGGCAGCCTGCACCGCTGCTCTGCTCAGCTCCTTGGATTGAGGAGATCCCTATTCTGCCCTAGGTGGAGCCCCACAATAGGTCTCTCTGAAGTCTTTTCCCCTCTCTGGACCTAAGTGTCTTAATCTCTCTTAAACAGGAGGTTGCAACACTGGCCTCCCTGATTCCACCTTCAACAGGATGGGACTCTATGGCTTCGAATGTAACCCACATCAGTCTTGCTCCTAAAGAATCTGCCCTTCCACAAATCACCAACCCCTATCCCGCCCCATGTCACCCCCTGTGCTCCTTCCCAGGTGCTGACCTGACAGCAGTGGACCCTGTTCGGGGCAAGACGGCCCTGGAATGGGCAGTGCTGACCGACAGCTTCGACACCGTGTGGAGGATTCGGCAGCTGCTGAGGCGGCCCCAAGTGGAGCAGCTTAGCCAGCACTACAAGCCCGAGTGGCCGGCCTTGTCCGGGCTCGTGGCCCAGGCCCAGGCCCAGGCCCAGGTTGCCCCTTCACTCCTAGAACGGCTGCAGGCTACCTTGAGCCTCCCCTTTGCCCCGTCTCCTCAGGAGGGGGGTGTTCTGGACCACCTTGTGACTGCCACAACCAGCCTGGCCAGTCCCTTCGTCACCACTGCCTGCCACACTCTGTGCCCTGACCATCCACCTTCGCTGGGCACCCGAAGCAAGTCCGTGCCAGAGCTGTTAGGTACTGCCCCGCCCCCTCCCCTGGTTCCCCAGTCCCCGCCAGGGAGTCCCCAGAGGTCCCCGTGGGTCTTCGTCCCCTACCAGAGCCCTCAGGGCATATTGAGCAAGTGCCTTCAGTGGCTACAACCCAGGGATAGCACCAGCCCCAGGCCCCAAGTCCCCAAGATCCTCCTCTCCAAGGCATCCTCATCCTCCCACCAGTGCCAGCCGAAGCCCAGTCCTTCAGGACACCAAAGTCTGGCCCTTCCTCTCTGGCGATACCAGGAGCTCAGGATAGAGAAGAGGAAACAGGAGGAGGAGGCCAGAATGGCACAGAAGTAGGGGAAGATGGGATAGGACAGGCTGGGAACAGGTAATCAGGCCCCTCCCAGGGCTTCTTTCCCCTCTGGAGTGCCTCCGGCCTCCCCATCCACCTCTGCCTAAGTAAATCTGCTCTCAACCTATATATATACAAGGTCATTCATTCTAGCATTGTTTGCAAGAGTGAAAGAGTGGAAACACCCGAAGTGTCCATCAGTAAGGGACAGGCTAGATTGATTACGGATGTAATTGCTGTCCATCCATACAGAGCATACTCTACAGTGTATTCTAAAATAAGACTAAGGAAGCTGTTTATATTCTGATATGAAACTACCATCAAGATGTATAAAGTAAAAATAACTAAGGAGTGGAACAGTGTATATGGCATATTATTATTTGTCGAAGTAAAATTTTCACGAAGATAAACATGACTAAGACAAATATATAGCGAGTACTAAGATTTATTTAACTACTTAATGAGTGAACCAGCAGGATAGATCAAAAAAAAAAAAAAGAAAAGAAAAGCCATTATTGACAATCAGTGAAAAAATGAATGCTAGAATAAGATTGCAAAGTTAGACACAAAAAAGTTAATTGACACCTGGCAATAAAGCCATAACCATTTTTATTTTTTTCTACTAGACCAAAATAATTTGCCACTTATCAATCTTTAACAGGTTAATCTGTCTTTTTAGAGAGCCTGGGTCCTTATCAATAGTAAATATTAATAGCATGTCAAACAAAGTTAACTTCCCCTAGATGACCCATAGGTGGGGTTATTAGCCAATGATCTAAAATATATTTGAAAGGGCACTAACTTTATTTTTTGGCCTTATTTACAAGTTTTGGATATTTTTCTCAAACTTTTGTTGTGTAAATATATTTGCTTGTATGTTTATAATAATGATAGCAACTACTTAGAAGGTGCTTACTATTTATAGTAACACATTTAACCCTTCCAGTAATCCTGAGGATTTTATCTTTGAGGATATGAGGCACAGAGAAGCTAAGGAATTGCCTAGGTCCCACAGCTAGACACTGGCAGGGCTCAAGATTGAGATCTAGCCATCCAGTGTGGCCTCCAGGCTTTAACGCTAACCCCCAATGCGGTACTGGAGCATCCCTGGGAAGAACACAGTAGTGTTCTCCAGAAAAGGACTGAACAGATTTATTCAGATTTCCTTAATTTTTTTTTCTTTTTCTTTTTCTTTTTTTTTTTTTTTTTTGAGACAGAGTCTCCCTCTGTTGCCCAGGCTGGAGTGCAGTGGTTTGATCTCGGCTCACTGCAACCTCCACCTTCTGGATTCAAGTGATTCTCCTGCCTCAGCCTCCCGTGTAGCTGGGATTACAGGCGTGCGCCACCATGCCCAGCTAATTTGTGTGTTTTCAGTAGAGACAGGGTTTCACTGTGTTGATCAGGCTGGCCTCAAACTCCTGACCTCAAGTGATCTGCCTGCCTTGACCTCCCAAAATGCTAGGATTACAGGGGTGAGCCACTGCACCCAGCCCTAATGTCCCTTTTCTATCCCAGGATTCTATCCAGGATCCCCTGTTACATTTCATCATCACATCCCCCAGAATCCTCTTGACTGTGACAGTTTCTCCGATTTCCCTTGTTCCTCATGATCTTGACAGTTTTGAGTCATATTGGTCATGTATTTTGTGCATGTCTCTCAATTGAGGTTTGTCTGATTTTTTTTGTTGTTGTTGGTGGTGTGTGTGTGTGTATTTTTGATAGAGACGCAGTTTTACCATGTTGCCCAGGCTAGTCTTGATCTCCTGAGCTCAAGTGATCCGCCTGCCTTGGCCTCTCAAAGTGCTGGGATTACAGGTGTGAGCCACCATGCCTGGCCTGTCTGATGTTTTTCTTATAATTAATGTAAGACTGGGTCTTTGGGTTTTCAGAAGGGAAAATTCCACAGAGGTAAAGTTTTTCTCACATCATGTCAAGGGAGGCATATAGTATGAACATGACTTATCACTTGATATAGACCTCAATCACCTGGCTCAGGTAGTTTGTCAGTTTTCTCCACTGTAAAGTTTCTCTTTCTTCCCCCTCTCTGCACTGTCATCTTTGGAAGGAAGTCTTATACAAGGTCCACACTAACAGAGTGGGGAGTTATACACCATCTCCTTGAGGGTAGAGTATCTAGATAAATTATTTGGAATTCCGCACAGGGCGTTTTGACTTTCTAATTATGTCTACCAAATTTTGAAACATTAAAAAATAAATCCACTCTTTGAATAGGGAAAATACACCCCCCCAAACACACACACACACTGAGAAGAAAATGACTAATAGGGTCAGATAATATATGATTTCTCCCAGAAGAGCTCTGAAGGCCACTATGGTGGACTGGAAGGGACTCAAGGGTAACTTGATCCTGAATAAGGCACTTAAATTTCTCTTGCCTCGGCTTTCACATCTGTTAAATGGAGAAAATGGGGGCTATTGGAAGGATCCACTAGCTAGTATGGGTGAAAGAGTTCCATAAACTGTAAAGTACTATCAAGAGGTGACGTATTAAGGAAGAGCCCCGGGGAAGTGAGTTGGATTAAACAGCTTCAGGGCCTCCAGGATGGAGCTAGATTTCTTTCCTCCCCACCCACTGCTGAAATCATGGCATAGGAAGCCAGCCTTGGCATTGGACATCATAGACAGAGAAAGAAGCTACATCGATAGTCGTGGATCAGCATCGTGGCAAAATGCCTCCCTGGGAGTTGGCCTGTGACCTTGGACAAGTTACTTACACTTTCTGAGCCTCACAGGTGTCACTTGCAGAATAGAGGTAAGAGTAACATGTTCACCATAGGGCTGTTATAAGAATTGAATGAGATGACGCAGCACTTGGCATCATACCTGGCTCTATCTATCTGTATCTATATCTATATATTTTGAGATATGGTCTTGTTCTGCTGCTCATGCTGGAGTGCAAGGTTGTGATCATAGCTCACTGCAGGCTTGAACTCCTGAACTCAAAGGATCCTCCCGCCTCAGCCTCCCAAGTAGCTGGGACTATAAGTGTGTGCCACCACACCTGGAAAACTTTTTAATTTTTTTGTGGAGATAAAGTCTCACTATGTTGCCAAGGCTGGTCTCAAACTCCTGGGCTCAAGCGATCCTCCTACCTCAGCCTCCCAAAGTGCTGGGATTATAGTTGTGAGCCACCACGCCTGGCCCATTTTCTTTTCTTTCTTTCTTTCTTTTCTTTTTTTTTTTGAGATGGAGTCTCATCTCTGTCACCCAGGCTAGAGTGCAGTGGCTTGATCTCAGCTCACTGCAACCTCCGCCTCCCAGGTAGCTGGGATTACAGGCATGCGCCATCACACCTGGCTAATTTTTGTATTTGTAGTAGAGATGGGGTTTCACCATGTTGGCCAGGCTGGTCTTGAACTCCTGACCTTAGGTGATCCACCCGCCTCAGCCTCCCAAAGTGCTGGGATTACAGGCATGAGCCACCGTGCCCGGCCTCTGTTTTCTTATTTAATCTGCACAGCCTTCCTATTTTGCAGTTGAGGAAATTGAGGCTATAAAGTTTAGGCAACTTGCCCAATGTCACCAATTGGTAAGTGGCAAAGCAGTGCTTGGAGCTCAAGTCTGTGAGATTCCAAAGCCTGCGCTCATTCCACTGTAGCACATGGCATCTGCTTGCAGCCAGGGAGGATTAAACTTTGAGCCTCTGATTCTTTGAGCCTCTCCCTCCACCTCCAACCTGCTCAGGGACGACTACTGTACCTTCAAGGCCAGGGAACTAGCCCTCTGTGGTTCCCTAGGCCCCTCTGTCCTGGCCGTGGTGGATCTGGTGGAACCCACATTAATGCCTGGGTTCCAGGTTGGAGCATGTTTTCCAGCAGAGGGAGCCTCTCTGCCTTGGAGAAGACCCACCCTTCCAATCCCTGGCCATCTCCAGGACAGCTAGAGTCCCCGGACTTCACTCTAGCAACTCCCCCTCCCATGCCAAGCCATTTCTCTCTAATCCTCTAATAGGTCCTGACAATAGCCTTCCCTCCCCCTCCCAGAACCCTTTCAGGCTGATCAGAGAGAGAGAAGCCTTGAGGCCTGGAGTTGCTGTGGCCTGTGCCTCCCAAAGTCAACCTCTCCTCTAATATCCCTGCCTCCCCCTCCCTCATCACAGCTCCTGAGGCTTCCGAACTCAGTCCCTGTCAGCAGAGGCCAAGAAATCCATAGTGAGGCCCCTGGCTGTGCAGAATGCAGGCACGGCAAAGCCTTTGGAGTCAGACAGACCTGGGTTTCAGTCCTGGCTCTGCCTCTCCCAACCTGAGTCACCTCATGTGTAACATCAAATGATGAGACCACAATTGCTGCCACCCAGGGCTGTCTGTAGCCCAAGCAGTGAGGGGTCTGAGAGGCATTGGGCACCGCCTGGCACATGGTCAGGGCATGGTGGGTCAACAGCAGCCTGGGATTGTACCTGAGCAGCAGTGAGTAAGGGAACAGCCCAGGGTGCAGCTACATGGAGGAGGCTGGCGGATGTGCCCTTGAGGCCCCATGGCCTCCCCTGTGATTCTAGGAAACTATTCTGGTGGCCCAGGAAATGAAAACACACATCTCTGCATCCCCCACCCTAGGCCCACTCCCAGCCCACCTCATCACCACAGTGCTGGCGGCTGGAGGAGCTGCTCCCGGAGTGTACACATGTACACCCTCCACCTGGAAGGCAGAGGGCTCCTATACCTGGGACTGCAGAGTTGGCTGTCCCGACACACACTGGGATGTCAGCCAGGCTTGTGTGGACTCCTGGGGAAGCCTACTCACTCCCGTGTGGGCAGGGACCATGTCTGTGTCCCTAGCCTCTGGCTCAGCATGGAACCCATCCCAGGCTCAAAACATGTGCATAGGGAAGAACCTTGTTCAGGCTCCTCTAAGGTCCTGGATGCTCAGGGGGTCCTTTATCATCTCCCTCCTTCTCTCAGGGGCCGCTCTTATCCATGGACTGGCAGTGGGCATTCCAGGGCATGCCCCAGGAAACCCCTTGCCAGGAAAAGGCAAGGGAGTACATATATGTAGGGAGGACAGAGGACAGATGGGGACTCACTGGTCTGTGTCCTCTTTTCTCCATACTGGGGAACCTGGACAGGATGCCCCCTCTCCAGCAGTCACACTTTCCAAGTGGTTGGGACCACACATGCGTCTTCTACCACATCAACCACCAGGCCAGCCACACCCTTACCCTGGCCCGTCTGGACCTTCCACCTATCAGATCTCAGCTGGTCACACCGAGAGAGACCTAATTGGCCACAGCTCACACAGAAGTTTACATCTGCTCTCCTCTCTCCTTTCCCACAGGGAGACCTTTTCATCCCTAAGGAAAATACCCAGATCTGAAGGAGAGGGCTTGAGGACAAGGTTTAGGCCCTCCTCAACACCCCAGCTCCTGCCAACTTCTACTCCAGATGGTTAGAGAGACACATGCAGACAAGCCATCAGCAACGGGCTTAGAGGCACAGACATCTACACAGGCCCATTGGCCCACAAACACCCAGTTGCACGTAACGAGGCTTCACATGCAGGCACACATATACACACTTGTTCACACAGGTGCACAAACACTCACTGACCAGGAAAAAATAAAAACAGGGCCCCCTTTTCCCTAGATTCCTGACCCATGCCCTGCTCTGCCCCCTCTGCCCCACAACACCGCATCCATTGCCCCAGCCATCCAGCTCCAAAAATTGCCTGTGTGACTGGTTGGAGTTTCATGGTCCATCTATCTGAGCAGGAATTGGGGTGCTAGGGGGGCCCAGGCCCTGCCTTTAAGTCCTCCCTTCAGAGCTTGGTGTCCTCCTTAACTGTGAAAGGCCATGATCCCTCCAAGGGAGAGGAGAGCAGTGAGCAGGTCTAAACCTCACTCCTTATTTGTTCCTGTTTACTCCAGACCCGCCTTGGATACCCCGACCCCTATTTCCTACATCCATGCCAGTGCCCTGCTTTTGGGGGACAAGGGGCAGAAGCCTGTGGATTTGGGGGTCCTGGAAATAAGCATTCACCTGAGGGCCCTCAGTCCCAGGCCTTCTGGTCCTGAGAAGGGCAGAGCCTGGGCACGGATGCTGGAGGGGTGGGAACGGGGCAGAATTTATGGCATTTCCCCTCCAGCTGGAAACAAAGGCAGATTCCTGTGTCCAGCATGAGCAATCCGGTCCCACCCACCAGAGTGGCTGGAGCTGAAGGAAATCCCGCTGGCTCTGACCTCTCCCAGACGTGCAGCCCCACTTCCAAACATTCTCTCTCAGCCGGGGCCATTACCTACTCTCAGATACTGGGGATCTTTTCTGGTCCACACTGGGGATGGTCACCTTAATGCCTCAAACTCTCTCCCCATGCAGTAAGGGTTCTCTCAACACCACCCAAGAGCCTGCCAGGCTCCCACCCCCTTGCCAGTCAACTCTGCCCTTCCTCATCCAAGCAAACTCAGACCTTGCTGTTCATTGGAATGGGGAAGTCTTGATGTCTCCAGGACCTCCTATGCCATCTGGAATGCTCAGCACAGCCGTCAGAGCATCTCCACCTTCAGGAGTTCCAGCTGAACACCCCCCATAACAAGATGGTTCATCTTAGATGATTGACATGTCTTCCCTCATTGCAGCTCAGGGAAGAGCAGGGTGCCGCTATCCTCAATCAGTACAGTCAAGAGATACTTTCTAATACCATAAATAGGAACTAGAGGTTGGGCTATATTACTTAAATTTATACAATAATAATATAATGATCAATAATTAGAGGGAGAGGAGGCCAAGGTGGGAGGATCACTTAAGCCCAGGAGTTCAAGACCAGCTGGGCAACATAGCAAGACCTCATCTCCACAGATAATTAAAAAATTAGCTGGGCATGGTGGTGCATGCCTGTAGTCCCAGCTACTTGGGAGGCTGAGGCGGGAGGATCACTTGAGCCAGGGAGTTTGAGGCTGCAGTGAGCCATGACCTCGCCACTGCACTCCATCCTGGGTGACAGAGTACAGAGTGAGACCCTGTCTCAAAAAAAAAAAAAAAAAATTAGAGAGAGACAACCTAAATGGCCTAAATCCTGAACCTTTTAAATCTAGAGATAGCAGTGTACACATATTACTGAGGGTTTGTTGAAGTAAATGTCAGAAAAACTAGTATTTGGAACTTTGAGACAAGGGTTGGCCCTAGCAATGCGGTCTGGGGATGGGTACGGTTGCTTCTCATTATAAACTCTTCTGCAAAGTTGTATTTATTTTACCCTGAACTTATTTGGGATTCTTTTAATTTTTTTTCAAAACAGCTGCCTCCTCCTTTGCAGCCTCTTCAGGGGCTATATTCATCTGTATCATAACCTCTCATGCAGCCAGTAGTAGAAAAGGCAATATGTATTATTCGTCTTTGAGCAGACAAGGAAATAGAGGCTCCTCCACTGTGTATGGCCAAGCCTCAGGTCTCCTGACTCCTGGTTCAGTGCCCTTCCTCCTATCCCACACCTCTGCCCCTCCTTCCACACAAACCAGTGTCCCTGTGGGTTTTACAGCCGGCTGGTTAAGGGCTTTTGCACATAGTTTGCTTAGTTTGAGAATGTGGTAGAGAAGGAATTATCAACCCTTTCCTACAGGAATGAAAACTGAGGCTCACACACAGGTTTTCCAACTCCAAGTCTGAGCTCTTTCCACTAACTCTCCTCTTCCTCAGTGCTGAGGCCAATTTGGAGGGTGACAGTTACAGCCTATGGGAAGCCTGCAGGGAGGGGCAATGCACAGCTCACTGCACTGCCAGGCAGGCAGCGCTAAAACAGCTTCTCCACAGAGACCAGGCTTCAGGCCCACCCACCTCCATGCCATCATGTGGACACCGTCCAACCTTAAGACTCTGCTGCCCTGACGTGGCATCCCTTCCTCAAGAGGTTCCATCCTGAGAAGAGTCATCCTGAGGGCGGGGGGTGGGCGGGGAGTGGACGAGACCATCTGGAGGAGATCTGGAAGAGCTGGAGAGGAAGAGGAAGATGACTTGGCGGCTCAAAGTCTGGGAATCTACCAGCCTCTTCCTGAGTCTCGGGGCAGAACTCTGGCTACCCCGCATCCTCCCCAAACCTAGGCACCAGCCAAACTGTCTTTTTTACCTGAGTTCTAGTGACCAGTTCTGGGACCGGGTAGTATTCCCGAATCTTAGAGCCAAAAGAGAGCATATAAGGCAGGCAAGGACCTTCAGGATTGTCTGGTCGAAACCTCTCAGTGTACAGAGGAGGAAACTGAGGCCCAGATAAATGATTCGGGCCTGGAACCCAGGCCCCACGTCCCACAGTTTATGCTCTTTCAGGACACCATCATGCTTTCTGCCCTGAGCTAAAGAAGACCTAGAGAAGTCATTTCTTCTCCCTTTTCCTCCAGGCAAAACCCAGACTCCATTTGCCCACAAAACTGGTCACTCTCCTATGTGTTGAAGAGATGGATAAATGGAATTTGCAGACATCTGTCCCACTTCTCCCCTAATGGAGACCCACAGTTCTTCCTCCTTGGGTACCCTGTTCTACTGTTTTCATGTTTCTTGTGTTTAAAAAATCCCTAGGTTGGCTAGGAGCAGTGGCTCACGCCTGTAATCCCAGCACTTTGGGAGGCCGAGGTGGGAGGATCACTTGAGGTCAGGAGTTCGAGACCAACTCCTGACCATGGCCAACATGGTGAAACCCCGTCTCTACTAAAAACACACAAAAAATTAGCCGGGCCGTGGTGGCTCATGCCTGTAATCCCAGCTACTTAGGAGGCTGAGGCAGGAAAATTGCTTGAACTTGGGAGGCGGAGGTTGCATTGAGCTGTGATAGTGCCACTGCACTCCAGCCTCCAGCCTGGGCAACAGAGCAAGACTCTGTCTCAAAAAACAAAAAACAAACAAAACAAACAAAGAAACAAAAAATCCCTAGGTTGTCTCATATAATTCTCCCACCCTGCAATTTCAATGGAGCAAAGCCCATCTCATGCCCTGCTAGTTTTCCTCCCTTGCTGTTTCTCCTTACCCTCCCTGGTGCAGAACCAGCTGTATAATTTGTGAGGCCCATTGCTGAATGAAAATGCTGAGCCCTTTGTTCAAACATCATTAAGAATATTAAGAGGCGGCTCAGCACGCAGGCGCAGGGCCAGGCGCCTCCCGCGGCCAGGGGCGGGCAGCCGCAGAGCAGCACGCTGGGCCTTGGCTCCGGTAGCAGCAAGTTCGAACCCCGCTCCTGCTCCGCTTCGGTTCTCGCTCCTCGGCCCTTGGGCCTCCAAACACCATTTCCTGGCAGTTCGTTGCGCATTGCGCTCTCCCCGCCACCAGGATGCCAGTGACCAAGAAGGATCTGGCGGAGGACGCGCCGTGGAAGAAGATCCAGCAGAAGACGTTCACAAGCTGGTGCCACGAGCACCTCAAGTGCGTGAACAAACGGCATTGGCGCTGACCTGAGCGACGGGCTGCCGCCCATTGCGCTGCTCGAGGTGCTCAGCCAGAAGCACATGTACCTCAAGTACCATCAGCGGCCCACCTTTCGCCAGATGCAGCTCAAGAACGTGTCCGTGGCGCTCGAGTTCCTGGACCGTGACAGCATCAAGCTCGTGTCCATCGATAGCAAAGCCACTGTGGATGGGAACCTGAAGCTCATCTTGGGTCTGGTGTGGACGCTGATCCTCCGCTACTCCATCTCCACGCCCGTGTGTGAGGATGAAGGGGATGATGATGCCAAGAAGCAGATGCGGAAGCAGAGGCTGCTGGGGTGGATTCAGAACAAGGTCCCCTACTTGCCCATCACCAACTTTAGCCAGAACTGGCAAGACAGCAAAGCCCTGAGAGCCCTGGTAGACAGCTGTGCTCCAGGTCTGTGCCCAGACTGGGAATCCTGGCACCCACAGAAACCTGTGGATAACGCAGGAGAAGCCATGCAGCAGGCAGATGATGGCTGGGTGTCCCACAGGTCACCACTCCTGAAGAAACCATTCACCCGGATGTGGACGAACACTCAGTTATGACTTACCTATCCCAGTTCCCCAAAGCCAAGCTCAAGCCAGGGGCGCCTCTCAAACCCAAACTCAACCCGAAGAAAGCCAGGGCCTATGGCAGAGAATTGGAGCCAAAGAAGCCGACGACCTGAAAATGCCAGTGGGCACAAACATAGAAAGTGCCAACAAAAGCTGCCCTGTCCAGCCAGAAGACCAGGAAAGAGCAGCCCAGTGAGGCAGAAAACTTTTAAACAATCACTGCTCTGCTCCAGCTCCACACCACAGAAAAAACTGTGCAGTCCCGCACTTACACCCGCAAAGGTGAAAGGGGAGCCTAGACTTTGACCACAGTCTAGCAATAAGGAAGCCACTCCCCGGGAAGGTGTCAGTAGAGGCCGTGGAGGAGCAGTAATGAGGCACTCCTACTCCCTCCAGCGGAACTCCCACCCCCACATGCCAGTAATGAGCATCAGTGGAGGTTGAATGGAGAACCTAGACTTCCTCCCCCACTGTTAGTAACGAGATGTGTACCCTCTCCTCCCCTGCCAGAATGGTATCATAAAACGCCAGCTACAACAGAACATTTACAGAAGACTCAGAGTTTCATTACATGATACCTCAAATATCCAGTTTCAAAAAAAAAAAAATCACTTGTCATACCAAGAACCAGAAAGATCTCAAACTGAATGAAAAACACAGTTGATGCCAACGCGGAGATGATAGAGATGTTAGAATCGTATGACAAAAATTTTAAAGTGGCCGTTAAAAAAAGGCTTCAGTAGCCGGGCATGGTGGCTCATGCTTGTGATCCCAGCACTTTGGGAGGTTGAGGCGAGTGGATCGCCTGAGGTCAGGAGTTTGAGGCCAGCCTGGCCGACATGATGAAACCCCATCTCTAGTAAAAAATGCAAAAAATTAGCCGGGCGTAGCTGGGTGCCTGTAATCCTGGCTGCTTGGGAGGCTGAGGCAGAAGAATTGCTTGAACCCAGGAGGCGGAGGTTGCAGTGGGCCAAGGTCAGGCCATTGCACTCCAGCCTGGGCAGGAAGAGTGAGACTCCATCTCAAAAAAAAAAAAAAAAAAAAAAAGGCTTCAGTAAGTAATTAAGAACAATCATGAAACAAATGAAAAAAATCAAAAATCTCAACAAAGAAATAGAATGTCCCAGCAAAATAATAATAAAAATTTAGGAGATACAAAGAACCAAATGGACATTTTAGAACTGGAAATTGCAGTAACTGAAATAAAAACTCATTGGATGAGCGCAATAACAGGGTGGAAGGACAGAGAAAATAATCCTTGAACTGGACAAAAACTGGTTGTTTTGTTTTGAGATGCAGTTTTGCTCTTGTCGCCCAGGCTGGAGTGCAATGGCGTGATCTCGGCTCACCGCGGCCTCTGCCTCTTGGATTGGGGTGATTCTCCTGCCTCAGCCTCCCTAGTAGCTGGGCTTGCCGGTGCCCGCCACCACGCCCGGCTATTTTTTGTGTTTTTGGTAGAGATGGGGTTTCACCCTGTTGGCCTGGCTGGTCTCAGGCTCCTGACCTTAGGTGATCTGCCCACCTCAGCCTCCCAAAGTGCTGGGATTACAGGCATGAGCCACCGCGCCCGGCTTCTATAAGTTTTTTTCTATGTTTAAAACTTTTAATTTCATTTTTGTACTTAATTTTTTTTTTTTATTAAACACACACATTAGCCTAGGCTTACACAGGGTCAGGATCATCATTATCACTGTCTTCCACCTCCACATCCTGTCCCACTGGTAGGTCTTCAGGGGCAGTAATGTGTGGAACTGCTGTCTCCTGTAATAACAATGCCTTCTGGAATACTTCCTGAAGGACTTGCTTGAGGCTGCTTTAAAGTTAACTTTTTTAAAAAATAGAAGATGCACACTCTAAAATATAATAATAAAAAGTATAGGATATTAAATACATAAACCAGTAGCATTGTCATTTATCATCAAGTATTGTTTATTGAACATAGCTGTACATGCTGTATACGTTTCTATGGCTAGCAGCGCAGTGGGTTTGTTTATACCAGCATCAGCACAAACACATGAGTAATGCGATGCGTTACTACGACGTCAGTAGGCAACAGGAATTTTTTGGCTCCATTTATAATCTTATGCGACCATCATTGTATGTGTGGAATATTTTTGACTGAAACTTCATTATGCAGCAAATTACTATATTAGCAAATAAAATTGAGCTATATATAATGAAGAAGTACACATTATAACCAAGTGGGTTTATTCCAGGGATGTAAGGCCTGGTTCACTATTAGAAAATCAGTCAACATAGGCTGGGCACGGTGGCTCACGCCTCTAATCCCAGCACTTTGGGAGGCCGAGGCGGGTGGATCACCTGAGGTCGGGAGTTCAAGACCAGACTGACCAACATGGAGAAACCCCTTCTCTACTAAAAATACAAAATTAGCCAGGTGTGGTGACAGGCACCTGTAATCCTAGCTACTAGGGAGGCTGAGGCAGGAGAATCGCTTGAACCCAGGAGGCAGATATTGCAGTGAGCCGAGATCACGCCATTGTACTCCAGCCTGGGCAACAAGAGCAAAACTCTGTTTCAAAAAAAAAAAAAAAGAAAAAGAAAGAAGAGAAAATCAGTCAACATAATCTACCGTATTAACAGACTAACAAAGAGAAATTACACAATTCGTATCAGTGGATGCAGAAAAGGCATTTGACAAAATTCAATAGCCATCCATGATAAGAATACACACACACACACAAAAGAGGAATGGGGGAACTTTCTCAATCTGATATAGAGTGGCTACTACAAGAAACTTACGGCTAACATTATGATTAATAGATTGAGTGTGTTCTCCTAAGAGAAACAAGGCAAGGATGGCTGTTCTGTTTTGACCACTCTTATTCAACATAATGCTAGAAGTTTTAGCTAGTGCAGTCAGGTAAGAAAAGGAAATAAAAGATATGCATATTGGAAGGTAAGAAATAATACTGTCTCTATTTGCAGATGCAGATGACTGTCGATGTAGAAAATCCCAAAGAATCCATGAGGGGTAGAAAACCCAAATACCTCACCCCCTTGAATAAGTGAGTTCAGCAAGGTCACAGTATACAAGATCAATATGTAAAAATCGATTATATTTCTATATAATTTAATGAACAAATGGACACAAAAATTAAAAATAGCATATCCTGTTTATAATTGCTTTTAAAAAGTATAAGTGTAACAAAACACATAAAGGAGTTAAATGCTGAAAACTACAAGAACACTGATAAATAAAAGAGACCTAAATAAATGGAAAAAAAATATATCATTAAGAATTTTAAGATGGCAATGACAGCGCATTAAACCAAGCATGGGGCCCTGTGCATCTGCACAGGTCACACTCCCATGAAGCCAGCCCCGCACTAGTATCAAGAGTGATGTTTGAGTCTGGGTGGGGTGGCTTATGCCTGTAATCTCAGCACTTTGGGAGGCTGAGTGGGTGGATCAGCTGAGGTCAGGAGTTCGAGACCAGCCTGTACAACATGGTGAAACCCCGTCTCTACTAAAAATACAAACATTAGCCAGGCGTGGAGGCACGCATCTGTAATCCCAGCTACTTGGGAGACTGAGACAGGAGAATCACTTGAACCTGGGAGGCAGACCTGAGATCACGCAACTGCACTCCAGCCTGGGCGACACTGTGAGACTCCATCTCAAAAAAAAAAGAATGATGCTTGAACTTAATACTCATAGCTGGTCCTGAAAGGTGAAGGTGTCCATTGCCCTGCCTTCCTGACAGACTCCATGTCACCCACCTTCCACAGATGAGAATCTGCTTGAGGTTTCACCCCACACAGAATCTCCAGGCCTCTGCTTCCTGCAGTGTTGGGAAATCCTTCTGAGTATCTAAATCTAAATCTTTGTCCTTTGGGCCTGTTTCCTCTTGTTCTGTCCTCACTGAATATGGGGAACAGCTGGTCCCTCTGAGTAATTAATTCTTGTAGACTTGGACACAGTCTGTAATTCCTTTTCCCTTTTCTCATTGGGATGACTCTCCAGGGCTTTCTCCAACTCTGGATCTCCAACTCTGACACCTCCCCCAGGTTCTCTGTGTGCTTTGGAAGGCATGGGGTTCACAAGAGCCCCAAAGAGCACCAGTCAGGGGCCAGAGGGCTCAGTGCTCTGGGGAGATGGGGAAGATTCCAGCACTGATGAACAGACTCCAGCCCCCCCTGGGTCCTCTCTTCCAGCTCCCAAAATGTACTCTATTTTTATCTGTTTCACGAACGCTGGTCCAGATAGTCTTCCATCCCCCACTGACTGTTAGAAGTGACTCTCAGCTTTTGTCCATCTCGAAGTTTCTGTGCTCAGTGTGCCTCTCAGACTAAAGGCTTCCTTTGGGAAGCCCCGACTCTCGCTTCTCAGGACAGAGATCCAGGGGTTGGGGGAGGAAAAGGTTGACCAGAAGCCATAGCGGAGCAGGGAGAGAGAGTGTGAAAGACAGACCCGCGGCCAGGCTCCCAGTTCTCCAGCTCGTAGAGGGCCCAAGTGGCCGCTATAATCTGAAAGAGCAGATATCGTAATCCCATAGTACTTCCTATTGGCTGCAGGACACAGTTCTGTCCTGACACTGAAATTTGGGTGTGTCAGGGTTCTGGGAATTCACAACGCTCACAACTTGTGAAGCAGCTGTGGGGTGGGGGATGGGGAGGGTTTCAGCAGAGGAAGTGAGGTCAGTCAATAATTGATGCCTGTCTGAGCTTTTAGCCATTATCTCCCCCAGCCTCTATTCCTGTCAAAAGGTGGGGCGGGGCAGGAGGAGGGGTCCCTGGCTCATCTTGTAGAATCCCCATATTAGAGTAAGACACCTTAGAGGTCTACTCCTGCTTCTAATACCCACGTCTTTCCAAGTGTCTCTGAGGCCACCCCCTCCCCAGCCTTTTCATTTATTCATTTAATTAACGAACGCCTTCATTGAGGGCCTCCTCTGAGTCAGGCTCAGCCAGCCAGCATCTTTGCTATGAGCTGAGATAAGCATCATTTCCGTCTATTCTCACAACCACCCTATGAGGCTGGCACGGTTTACTATGCCTATTTAGCAGATGGGGGACTGAAGCATGGAGAGGTGTCACTAGCCTACGGTAACACAACCAGCCTGCATTCCTAGTAGGTAGTTTGACTTCAGAGTCTCTGTGGATAACCAGGAGGCTAGGACTAAGACCAGAGTCCTGCAGGTACTTAGATGGTTGGAGCAAAGCAGGGCAGTGAGGTCAGTGCTCCCAGCCTGTGCAGGAGCATCAGGAAGAGTCTGTGTCCCCCTCCCCTGCCGGTATGAAGCCATTCTGCTTCCCTCCCCAGCTGCCTTGTGTCAGCAGAGTTCCAGGGAGGCTCCATTCCCCACCTCTATCTAAAGCTCCATTTGCTGGGGTGGGGGCCCTGCCTGGAAGGGGAAGGTCCAAGGCTGCTCCCAGCGTGTCCCTCCATCCTGACTGTCCCTGGCGGGGCGGGGGTGTCTTTGTCACCCAGCTGCACAACGGCCAGGAAGGGCTCAAACCATCCTCAGGGCTAACCCAAGGCCGTCCTCTGGGCCTGTATACCCCTGTGCTGAGTGCGGATCGGGAGAGGCTGCTGAAGACAGGAGGGGACAAATGGGGGACGAAGGGGCCCGAGGGAGGGGACTGAAGGATTTGGGCCAAGTCGGGAGTTCCCGAGGGCGGAGTCAAAACGCATCTGGATTTTGCTAGCCCCAAACTCTGCCCTCATTGCTGCAAGCCTCCTAGACCGAGGACCCCCGGGCTGAGGGTGGGGTAAGGATAGGTAGTGTCCCTCCCCGTCCCACCCCCGCCTGTCCCTTCCTCGGTGGCCCCTTCCCGGCGCCCCGATTCCAGGCGGCCCCTCCGCTGCTGCCAGCCGATCCCCCTCTACCCCCACCCACTACTCCGGCCGCCAGACGTTGCCTACAGTCTCGGCTCTGTCTCCCACGGCTGTGGGTCCGGACCCCACGGGACCCCTATGGGACCCCCACAGGACCCCCACGGCCTGAGTCCAAGGCCCGCCCCCTCGGGGAGGCGGATGTGGGAGGCCCGGCCCGGGTGCGGGCCAGCGACCCGGGAGCTGCGGGCGGCTGGGAGGGGAGGCCGCCCTGAGGGGCTGGGAGCGGCGCGGGGGTGGGTCCCGGTCCTGCAGCCCCAGCGAGGGGCGAGCGGCGGCCAGTCGGCGAGCTGGGCAATAAGGAAACGGTTTATTAGGAGGGAGTGGTGGAGCTGGGCCAGGCAGGAAGACGCTGGAATAAGAAACATTTTTGCTCCAGCCCCCATCCCAGTCCCGGGAGGCTGCCGCGCCAGCTGCGCCGAGCGAGCCCCTCCCCGGCTCCAGCCCGGTCCGGGGCCGCGCCCGGACCCCAGCCCGCCGTCCAGCGCTGGCGGTGCAACTGCGGCCGCGCGGTGGAGGGGAGGTGGCCCCGGTCCGCCGAAGGCTAGCGCCCCGCCACCCGCAGAGCGGGCCCAGAGGTGAGTCGAGGTCCGCGGACGGGACCGGGTGGCGGGCGGCCTGACCCCCGCTTCAGTGGGCCCTTCCTTCGGGCGGACCCCAGAGTCACCGCAGAGTGGTCGCGGGAGGCTCAGTCCCAGCTCATTAGAAAGGCAAGCTGCTCCTGGCTGACCACGCACAGCTCCCATGACCCTACCTGAGACTTGGAGGGGAATGGACGAGACTGGACTGGAAATCAGAAACTTGGTTCTAGTCGGGTGACCTGGGGTCAGTGACTTCACTTCTCTGTTCTCCTACCCTCTTCATAAAATGGGCAGTGGGATTCCTGTCTTGCTCTACTCACATAGAAGGGATCACACGTCCTCCAGGCCGCTGGGTGGACCTGGAGTGAATGCCTACTTCCACAGCTGTTGAGCCTCCCAGCAGAGCTCACCTTTCCCAGATCAGTCCTTCCAGCTGTTGCTTGAGGAATCTGACACTATCACTCCAACCTAGGAGTCTCACCCTAGGCGCGCATGGTCAGTCACCTCCTTGCCACGACCTTCCTTCAGGATCCAGGCCAAAGGGGATCCCAGTCTCCCCCCAGGCTGGGACCCCAGATTTTTCCATGGAGGCCAGTGCTGTGAAACCCATGGCTGGGCTGGCTGCCCCAGCTCCTCTTTCCTTCTCCAAGGACAGGGGCATAATGGACAGTTGCTCTCACTCTCTCTATGTATGGCCAGCTTCTGGCTGAGTCAGGGTCTGTCCTAATACCTGTCCTCTCACCTGTCCCCCCATTTCATTGGTTTGTTAGAAATAGCTACCATTGATTGAGTACTAACTATGTAGACACTTAGATATATATATTTTTTCTCATGTAATCCTGGCCGCAACCTAGTGGAAGAGGGGTTACTATCCCCTTCCTACAGAAAAGGAAACAGACATGAATATGGGACTTGTCCAAAACTCCTTGGATGGTGGGGTGAATGGCATGGTTGGGGTCTTGATAACATTTCAGTGCTTACTGTGTACTACTTATACTCTGCTAAATAATTGTACTACATTTTACCTATGAGATAACACTATTATTATTCCCACTTTACATATGATGGGAAGCCTAAGCCTCAGAAAGTTTAAGTAACGTCTCAAATTTCATACCTCTAAGTGGCAAAGGCAGGATTTGAACCCAGGTCTCCATGCTCCAGAGCCCACACCCTAACCTCTGTGCTACACTGTGCTGCCTCCATGGTCTGCCTGAGACCTGAAAATCCAGGCATCACCTGGATGTTCCACTGCATCACCCCGCTGTGAAGGGCTAATAAATCACATGGATGAATCGTAAGGGCAACCCAATATGAACAGCTGGGTCTGCTCCTCTGCTGTTGGGGTAAGGCCTACTGAAGTGCAGAGTGAGTCCAGAAGGTTGTGCTTGATATGGCGCTTCTCCAGCCCTGTGAAGATCACTGCTGTGCTGAGCCACTGCCGTTGATGGGAGTAGGTTTTATCAATCCTTCAGGTGTGCTAGGGAGAAAAACATTGATAAGCACCTTTCGGGCATACCACTACTCTGGCTCTCCCCACCTGAGGCTCAGACTTTGACTAAGCCTATGGCAAACAGATGATTTCTGGGCAGCAACACCACCTTTGTTGCCTGGGTCAACATAGTGAGACCCTATCTCTACTAAAAATAAAACTGGGCATGGTGCTGCACCCCTGTAGTCCCTTGGGACTTGGGAGGCTGAGGTGGGAGGATCACTTGAGCCCAGGAGTTCAAGGCTACAGTGAGCTATGATTGCACCACTGCACTCCAGCCTGGGCGACTGAGCAAGACCCTGTCTCAAAAAAAATTAAAAACAAACAAAAACGCTGTCTTCATTTAAACAAATCTGAGTAGGGCACCCGTTAATAACAACAGTAGTGGGCAATTTGTACACGTCCACCGAGACCCATGTCTTTTTCTTCCTTTGAGGGACTCATCTAACCCCAAACAACTGGAGGAATAACAATGACCAAGGAATGATTTATTATCAGCAATTTAAGTTTATTAAGACACGCTCAGTGACTATGGACAAGAAACTGAACATCTCTGAGCCTCACTTTCCCCCGTTGGACTGTTGTGATGATTAAATCAGATAAACCATTCAAGTTCAGTACTTAGCACATAATTAGTACTCAGAGAAGGTTAACTGTTATTATTAAGTATTTCATAGTGTTTAGCTAACGTTTGAAATTAGTTTAACGTCTGTAATTTCTGGCCAACAATAGTGATGCTTCTGTCAGCAGGAGATCTTTCACAAAGTTTTGCTTAGAAGTGAAAGGATCCTGCCAGGCCCCAGGAGTCTGTCTGTGCTACAGTCAGATTTCAGGGTAAATCGTACAGAGTCAGCTCTGAGTTTGGACTGGTCGGGACTCAGCATCCTCCTGTACTTGATCTCACACTGGGTCCAGTTAAAAATTGGACAGTCCCAATTTTACTCCATCACATTCCCAGGATTAGACCATAGATGGGTTCTGCAGATGCAGACAGCCTCGCTCCACAGTGTCACCACGTCCCAGCTTTGGTGTTTACCCTTGGCTGTCCCTTCTGTAGTAGATGGGGAGTATCCTGGGTGGGAGTGAGTGTCCCCTCCCTCTGCATCCCACTCCCACTCACCCAGCAGGGCCCTGTACAGCAAAATGAAAGCAGAGGAACCAGACTTAGCGTTGTGCCCACACAAACTGATCAGAACTCCCTGGGGAACTTTTAAAAAATGCATGTTTCTTGCTGATTCCAGGACTGAATCAGAGTCTGGAGTGAGGGTGAAACCAGTGAATATGCTTTTCTCAGTGAGCACTTCAGGTGATTCTGATGCGTGATAAAGTAGAAGGAGGGTGGACTGGGGCACGGCCAGAGAAGTAGAGGTACGGACAGAGGATCCTAGAGGAATGCCGGATTTTAGCCTTATTGTTAGCCACTTTTTCCTTTCCACCTCAAACCCTCTCCTTTGCAGCTTTCTGGGCTAGCAAAGGCTGCCAAGGATGGCTTCCTGCTAGTACCCCAGTGGGCAGATTCAGCTCCTCTAGGGTGCTCTCTCCATCCCATCCCACCGTCAGTCCTGCCGCACAGTGCTAGCCAGAGTCCTCACTGGCTGCGGGAGGGGCAAGAGGCAGGAGGTCAGGCAGAGGCTGGGGACACAGCTGCAGCAGCCCAGGGCTCTGTTTCCTCCCCCAGCCTGGGCCTCTGGGGCAGAGGAAGCCCAGGCAGGAAGGCCAGGCCTGCCACCAGCCAGAGAGGCCTATGAAGCCCCCCTACCCCACCCCTAGCCATACTGCCCTCAGAGCCTCAGCATCTTGGGTCTTCATTTGGCACCATTCTTAGACTATGGGCTTTCTGAAGCCTCTGTGGCCATGTGCCCAGCCCTGTCAGGCTCACCATGTCATGCCAAAGGACAGTCTCCCTGCCTTGTGCCCTGCCTGAGGATCCAGTCCCCAGACACACACCTGCACATGCTCCACCATTCAGAAAGTCCTGTTGCTGTCTGACCAGGGTCCTTCTTGCTGCAGCTTTAGCCAATATCTTCTGGTTCTAAACCTGTGAGAAATGAAGACTGGGTGGCTTCAGAAGCACTAGTTGGTGTGGGACCTGGATTGGGGACTATCATAGACCAGAATTACTCCCCCTAACACTCTCCAACAAACTTCTGGAAAAGTTCAACCCTAGTCAGCCATGGAAGGTCAAACATTCAGTGTCTAAGTGTGTTTCACTTCCCCTGCCACATCACTGGCCCTCCACCCACCCTTTCCTAGATGGCAAGGGGAAAGAAGGGGGCCAGGGAACAGCTCCGAGAGGGCAGCTTATACTCTGGTGAGCTTGCAGAGAGGTTTCTCTACACCTGGCATGACCCTGCCCCGTCCGAGCTTTGCATGGTTGTTATAGCCCTGAGGGCTCAGACATGGGCTGCCACCACTGGATAGGGACAGAGCGAAGAGAGCACTTGATTAGGAGTCTGGAAACCTGGGATGTACGCCTGCTGGTGCCAGTGAGTCCTGTCTGACCCGGGACAAGTCTTCTTCCCTGTATGAGCCTTACTCCTCTCTTCTGTAAAACAAGGAGCTGGATTTTGTGATTCACAGGATGTCCACCTAGAATTCTGTCATGTGGGTGTCCCAGGCACAAGGAACTAAGGGTAGCAAGGAACTAAGGGCATATTTAAAAAGCCCCTCCAGACCTTGTGGCTGCTGCAGCCCACCCTGAAAATATGCCCTCAGTTCCCTGCTGTGCGTGACTCCTGCCTGTTCTATCCAGACCCCAATCTAAACAATCTTGATTCCTGTTCCTGGCTTGGCAGGACCCTGAATGGCAGGAAGCGAAGACAGGAGCCTGTTTATGTTTGAGGCAGCCAGGGCTGGGGGGGCATTGAGAAAGGGTAGGCAGGGGTGGAAGCTGTGAGGGAGTGGGAAAGAGACACAGAACAGAAGGGGAGCTGCTGGAGAGATGCTCCTTCTACCCCAATTGGGTGCTCCCTGCGGCTCTCCCAACCTGCCTGCAGTCTGAGCTCAGCAGCAGGAGTGCAGAGCTAGGGTTTCCCCAAGCTCTCAGTCACTTAAACATTGCTCTCCACCCTTCACCTCTAACAGGATGGTTTCCATGGGGAAGTGAACCAGGACTTCCCCTGCAGGCCCCGCCCCAAAGCCAGGCGGCAGGGAGTAGGGAGGCGGCCTCCCTGCCTCCCCTCCAAAAAAAACTCTGTGATTTCCTCTGGGCAGGAGGGAGCCACGGCCAGCGGCTGTCACACTTCATGGCTCTTACTCCACCTCTCTTGCTCCTCTCTGCAGGGACCATGACCTTGGGCTCCCCCAGGAAAGGCCTTCTGATGCTGCTGATGGCCTTGGTGACCCAGGGTGAGTACTGGGGGAGCAGTTAGGAAACAGGAACCTGGATACAGAAAGGGCTATCTGGGCCCAGATCAGCTCTGCCTGGGGCTGAACTTGAGAAGCTGGGGAGAATGTAGGAGCTTGACTGGAGAGTGGAGGACAGTGAGGCTCCATTAGACTCA
This sequence comes from Homo sapiens, assembly GCF_000001405.40. NCBI lineage: Eukaryota > Metazoa > Chordata > Mammalia > Primates > Hominidae > Homo > Homo sapiens. The sequence continues at coordinate 51,912,691 of NC_000012.12, forward strand.
GTCCCCAGCTACCCCAGCCCTCCTTTGCTCTCCTCTTGATCCAGACCTGCAGGCTGGAGCTCTGTCAGACTAGGGTGGAAGCCTATATGTGGGGTGGAGGGAGAGCAGGTGTTGGCAGGCCAAGCCTGGGAGAGCACTCAGGGCTGGGGCTGGGGGCCCAGCCCAGCCTAGAACTGGGAGGGGAGGACCTAGGAGCCAGGAGGGGACAAAAGCCTGCTTTTCAGAGTGTCAGCTGCTCTGAGGGGAGGGTTCTGAGGGAAGGATGACTGAGGATGAAAGTAAGAGACCAAAGCTTCAAGGTGTTTGTCTGAGGGGTCAGACGAGAGGGACAGTAGGACAGAAATGGGTGTCGGGCTCAGCCTGGGGGAGCTGGGACCACAGTGGCTGAGCTTCCGGTGTGTCTTCCAGGAGACCCTGTGAAGCCGTCTCGGGGCCCGCTGGTGACCTGCACGTGTGAGAGCCCACATTGCAAGGGGCCTACCTGCCGGGGGGCCTGGTGCACAGTAGTGCTGGTGCGGGAGGAGGGGAGGCACCCCCAGGAACATCGGGGCTGCGGGAACTTGCACAGGGAGCTCTGCAGGGGGCGCCCCACCGAGTTCGTCAACCACTACTGCTGCGACAGCCACCTCTGCAACCACAACGTGTCCCTGGTGCTGGAGGGTACGTCCAGCTGCCCTAGCACTCCCTCCCCATCTTCTTGGCCCCTGCCCTCCCTTCCCTCCTTTCCTCTCATGCTCTGGCCAATAAAGGGGCTGGGGGCGGGGGAGCGGGTGGGCAGGACTCTGGGATCTAACTGGCAGAGTGGTCTGGCCCGAGGTGGGGGGAGCTGACCTAGTGGAAGCTGAGCCTCAGTGTCCCCCTCCCTCAGCCACCCAACCTCCTTCGGAGCAGCCGGGAACAGATGGCCAGCTGGCCCTGATCCTGGGCCCCGTGCTGGCCTTGCTGGCCCTGGTGGCCCTGGGTGTCCTGGGCCTGTGGCATGTCCGACGGAGGCAGGAGAAGCAGCGTGGCCTGCACAGCGAGCTGGGAGAGTCCAGTCTCATCCTGAAAGCATCTGAGCAGGGCGACAGCATGTTGGGGGTATGGGCCTGGGGACCTGGGACACAGGGTGTAGGAGGGGCAGATAGGAACTGCAGAATCAGAGGGGTCACCCAGAGATTAGAGCCGGTGGGGAGCTGGGCGAGTGAGGAGCTTGCAGTGACCCAGCAGGTCCCAGGTCGAGGATAGAGAAGGGGGCTGTGGCTGGTTGTGGCAGCCTCTCAGTGGCCTCTCCGTACCCCCAGGACCTCCTGGACAGTGACTGCACCACAGGGAGTGGCTCAGGGCTCCCCTTCCTGGTGCAGAGGACAGTGGCACGGCAGGTTGCCTTGGTGGAGTGTGTGGGTGAGCAGTGGGTGAGCCCGGTGGATGAGGACCAAGGGCTCTCATGAGCCTGGAGGGGTGAGGGAGTTTTTGGCTACTGGAATCACAGGCGGTGCCAGGCCTGGGTCAGAATTGGAATTCTGCTGGGCAGGGAGTGGGCTGGAGACGGGCCAGGGCTAGGTTCTTCTTTCTGCAGGACCGGGGTGGAACGAGAGGCAGCTGGGGGTGGCCTGCCACTGGGTTTGGGTCTGGATTAAGTTAAACCTAAGGGTCTGGGGTTCTGTGGGTGGGGTGGGCGAGGGAGGCAGCGCAGCATCAAGATGGGGGGCTCTTCCAGGGCTCTGTGTGCCCAGTGTGTAACCCTCACCTTCCCCTCTGGCCATCAGGAAAAGGCCGCTATGGCGAAGTGTGGCGGGGCTTGTGGCACGGTGAGAGTGTGGCCGTCAAGATCTTCTCCTCGAGGGATGAACAGTCCTGGTTCCGGGAGACTGAGATCTATAACACAGTGTTGCTCAGACACGACAACATCCTAGGCAAGGGGAGAGGCCAGCTGTGCCAGGCCTGGGGCTTTGCCCCCCTGCACTCAGGGCTCAAGTTTGCAGACCTCCAGACATTAACAGAACCCTGAAGGACTCTCAGCCCACCTGCAGCATCAACCTCTTTTTTTAATTTAATTTAATTTAATTTAATTTAATTTAATTTAATTTAATTTTTGAGACAGGGCCTCGCTCTGTCACCCAGGCTGGGATGCAGTGGTGCAATCTCACTGGAGCCTCAATCTCTTGAGCTCAAGTGATCCTCCCACTTCAGCCTCTTGAGTAGCTGGGACCACAGGCATGTGCCACCATGCCCAGCTAACTTTTTTATTTTTTGTAGAGACGAGGTCTCCCTATGTTTCCCAGACTGGTCTCAAATTCCTAGGCTCAAGCAGTGCTCTTGCCTTGGCCTCCCAAAGTGTTGGGATTACAGGTGCAAGCCACTAAGCCAGGCCCAGACCCAACCTCTGACTCCAGCTCTGTCTCTGACCTAAGCCACATCAACCCCCACCCCCAGACCTAGCTTAGCAGTGACCCAGTCCATTCCCTCTCCCCCAACCCCACCCTGACCCTGACGACTCCAGCCTCCCTTAGCCCCAGCCCCTTGGCTGAGTCACCCAACCTTTCTGCACACAGGCTTCATCGCCTCAGACATGACCTCCCGCAACTCGAGCACGCAGCTGTGGCTCATCACGCACTACCACGAGCACGGCTCCCTCTACGACTTTCTGCAGAGACAGACGCTGGAGCCCCATCTGGCTCTGAGGCTAGCTGTGTCCGCGGCATGCGGCCTGGCGCACCTGCACGTGGAGATCTTCGGTACACAGGGCAAACCAGCCATTGCCCACCGCGACTTCAAGAGCCGCAATGTGCTGGTCAAGAGCAACCTGCAGTGTTGCATCGCCGACCTGGGTGAGCCGGGCGGGGCAGGGGCGCGCCCTTCACAGGTGGGCGGAGCTTGTGCGCTCTCCTCTCCTTTGCCTGTGGGCGGTGACCATGATTAGCACTTGAAAATTTAGAGGTGCATGTTGTTTCAGTTCTCCTCCGCAAGACCCCACGAGTTGTCTGAACACCCTTTTCAAACCCAGATTCCTTCCACCATACCATCCTGGCTCCAGGAGTTGGGAGAAAGGAGGCAGGAGCCAGGAACCTGGGTTCTCATCCTGGTTTCGCCAGCCTCCAGGTCTGCTCTGTGAAGTGGGCTCATAATGCCTGCCTTGCCCACTCACATCTCGCTGGGTTCTTGGGAACCTAGAGAGCACTACACAAGCAAAGAGTACCTGGGGCCATGGTTCTCTCTGTGGCCACTGCCTTCCAGCCCATCTCCGTGCACGTCTCCATCTGCCTTCCCCTCTCTGTCCCACTGTTTCTCTCAGTCCCCACCTTGCCTGCCCCCTGGATCCCAGGTTTGGGAGAGGGGCAGGAGTGACAGGCCTCACCCCCACAGGCCTGGCTGTGATGCACTCACAGGGCAGCGATTACCTGGACATCGGCAACAACCCGAGAGTGGGCACCAAGCGGTACATGGCACCCGAGGTGCTGGACGAGCAGATCCGCACGGACTGCTTTGAGTCCTACAAGTGGACTGACATCTGGGCCTTTGGCCTGGTGCTGTGGGAGATTGCCCGCCGGACCATCGTGAATGGTGAGGGCCCACCCTACACAGGGTAGGGAAAGGGGAATCAGCCTGTGGAGCCAGGGGCTTCCAGCCATGGCCAGTGCCCATGGCCTGGGAGGTTTGCAGTCAGACCTCCTGGCACCCCTTCCATGCTGCCCACCAGCTGGTTCAGCTGAGTGACCTTTTAAGGTATAAACCTTAAAAACAGATAACAGGGTCTGTGAGTCTGGCTGTGAAATCTTGGGTACATGATAATAACAGAAATATTAATAGCAGCTAATATTGATTGAGCTTAAATATGTGCCAGATGCCATGCTATGCACTTTACATGTATTATTTAATTCTTTGGTATGGACAAGGCAGTGGTATTGCTTAGTGGCTAAGAGCATAGGCTTGGAATCAGACTTCCTGGGTTCTATTCCTGATCTTGCCATGACCGTGCGTAGGTTATTTGACCTCTCTGTGCCTCAGCTTCCTCATTTGTAAAATGGGTGCGATGGCTCATGCCTGTAATCCCAGCACTTTGGGAGGCCGAGGCAGGCAGATCACCTGAGGTCAGGAATTCAAGACCAGCCTGGCCAACATGGCGAAACCCTGTCTGTACTAAAAATACAAAAATTAGCTGGCTGTGGTGGCACACACCTGTAATCCCAGCTACTCGGGAGGCTGAGGCAGGAGAATCACTTGAATCTAGGAGGCAGAGGTTGCGGTGAGCCAAGATCATGCCACTGCACTCCAGTCTGGGCGACAGAGTGAGACCCTGTCTCAAAAAAAGAAAATTTATTAAAATAAATAAATAAAATGAGAATAAAAATAGCTTCCAGTTGTTGAGATAATCTAAGTATTTAGAACAGTATCTAGAGCTAAATATTAGTGGCTGTTATTGTTGTAGATAGAATGAGTGCCTGACATCATATTGTCCCCATTTTACAGTTGAGGAGACGGGGGCACAGAATGACAGTGGGCTTGAGGCAGCATCAGGGTCCGAAACCGGGCAGTCTGCCCCGGGGCCAGTGCTCATCATCACTGTGTGCACTTAAACCTCTCTGGCCCTTGATTTCCTCATGCACGCAATGCATGTGAGTGCCTGCACTGCCTGCTTATTGCTGCCTGGTTGTTACTGTGGGTTGCCACAGGGGACTCTGATTTAGAGGGACTGCGACAGGTAGAGAGACCTGCCCTGGGCAGGCAGCCCTGAGGTCGATGTTCTCTCAGCCCTGGAGTGGACGGAGGATAGGTGGGTCGTCTAGACTGGTGGGAGCATTGTCAACCTTTGAGGAGGCTGTCCATGGTGAGGGACTTCCAGGAGTCGTGACAGGTTGGGGACAATCCTCAGGATATGGCTGGAGCCCTGCTTCTTGGGGACAAGGATGTCCTCATTTCCTGAGCATCTACCAGGAGCCAGCCCCATGCCAGACTTCATTTGTCCTCGGTGGTCATCAACTGAAAACAGAGGCTGTGGTGTCACCGGTCCCTTGGGGAGACTCACGAGGTGCTTAGATTCCTCAAGACTCCGGGCATGAATTGCCAGAGTGGGCTCTAAGGAGACCGGGATCGGGGGAAAGAGGAACCTGGAAGAAGCCAAGGCTCCTTGGACCAGGCTGCAGGGCAGAAAGGAAAGGCTGGGAGGAGGCTGCCTGGGGTGGAGGGGGAAGCTCCATCAGCCCCACACGGACTCGCGGCGCATTATAAACACTGTAATCTGGTGTCAGCCCCGGCACTGATTAAAGGCCCATTAGACACATTCAGGCCTCTGTGCAGCACTGATTAGGGCGTGAGCGGCACAGGGGCCGGCCTGGAAGCTGGCCATGGGGAGAACAGCTGGCGAAGGCTCTATCGAGGTTGCGGCCTGTGTGGCCATGGCCCCCAGCCTCAGGCTGGGAAACAGGATGGGGCACGGGGCTGTCTGCGGCTCCACCGGCATTGTTTTCAGAAAGCTCCTACTAAAAACTGTGAACTTGGGATACCAAGAGGAGGGGGTCAGTGCTGGCTGCAGGAGTCAGCAGAGGCCTGTGCCATCCCTGACACTGGGTGATGTTATGTGGACCTGGGTAAAAAGATAAGTGCAGCTCAGAGGTCAAGAGCACATGCTTTGGTGTTAGACTGTGGGCTTAAATCCTAGCCCTGTCACTTACTATCTGTTGATCTTAGACAAGTTTCTTAAACTCTCTGGCCTTCATTTCTTGGCTTATAAAGTGGAGCTCATAGTATTACCTACCTCATAGGGCTGCTGTGAGGATTTCATGCAGAGCTCTTAGGACAGCACCTGGCATACAGTGCTCAGTAAACATTTGGTGTTATTATTATCAGGCATGTGTGATAGTTGGGGCCTGGGAGCAGTCCCGGGCACTGGGTGGAAGGCAGCTGAGGGAAGACTGGAACAAGGCTGGCCTAGGAATCCGAGATGGGTTTGAGTCTTGCCTCTGCCATTACTAGCTGTGGAACCTTGGGCCCCCCTTCTCTGAGCATCAGTTTCTTCATCTGTAAAATGGAGGTAATACTAGTACCCACCCCACAGGGCTGTTGTGAGGACAAACAGGATAAAGCATGTAAAGTGTTTACAGCAGAATATCTGGCACATGCCATGTGCAAAACAAATGGCAGTCATTAACATTAGTTAGAAACACATTTATTGCATTATACTGTCCCTCTCAGGGGTAGCGTGTCCAGGCCACTGGTTTCTGGCCCTTGGATAGAGGGTAGAAAAGGCTCTCCTCTGGGTGGTATTGGGCCTCCTTAGAGTCCCAAGTGATTGTCCTGTCCATTCTCCATTTCCAGGCATCGTGGAGGACTATAGACCACCCTTCTATGATGTGGTGCCCAATGACCCCAGCTTTGAGGACATGAAGAAGGTGGTGTGTGTGGATCAGCAGACCCCCACCATCCCTAACCGGCTGGCTGCAGACCCGGTGAGGCCTCTGCTGGGACTAGGATGGCGTGGGGTGGTGGCTCATGGCTGGGATTTCTGGGCCCAGGAACTTGTGTCTGAGGCCTCTGCTTCATCTCATAGATACTGAGTGTCCTGGTTAGGGCACCTCTCTAGGTACTCCCTCTTTCAACCCTGGCCCATGCTCCCTGCCCCCAGGGCCATCTGGTCATTCTGGGATTTTAAGAACCTTCACCTTCCCTGTGAAAAGTCAGAGGCTATCTGTGGCTCTGTGTGTGTGTGTGTGTGTGTGTGTGTGTGTGTGTGTGTGTTTGAGAGTCAGGGTTTTGTTTGCTCTTGTCACCCAGGCTGGGGTGCAGTGGCACAGTCATAGCTCACTGTAACCTCAAACTCCTCGGCTCAACTGATCCTACTGCCTCAGCCTCCCCAGTAGCTAGGTGTAGTGCACACCACCACACCTGGCTAATTTTTAAAATTTTTTGTAGAGACAAGGTCTTTTATGTTGCTCAGGCTTATCTCAAACTCTTGGGCTCAAGTGATCCTCCTGCCTCAGCCTCCCAAAGTGTTGGGATTATAGGTGTGAGCCTCCACACCTGACCACTGTGGTATTTTTGTTGCTATTTGTCTTTGTTTGTTGCTGTTTTGTTGTTGTTTGTCCTTGTTTTTTCTCAAAACACTTCACTTGTACAAAGACACACACACGTATATCAACACATACAAGCGTGAATATCCTTCTGAACATACACTCACAGAAATATACACATGCGCATATATGCCAGACTGTTGGCCCCGTGAGGACAAAGAACGTGTCTTTTGCTCACCCTTATGTCCCTATTACCTATCATAGTATCTGGCTCACAATAGGTGCTAATAAATATTTACTGAAAGAATGAATATATTCTATACATGTATACATCTATGTGTACATAGACATACATTTCTGTACAACATATCCGCAAAAAGCCACATGTATGCATTCCTGTACACACACACATACACTCACTTTCAGGAGCCAGAAGTGGGGCCAGCTCATTTCAGGCCCTGGGATGGGTTGATGAGCTTCCTGGGATGGGTTGATGAGCTTTTTGGGATGGGTTGCTCCCTGGACACTTGCATTTTTAGGGCAGTTCCCACTTCCACAGTCCCCTGGGCCCAGCCATGGCTGATGGAGGGGCTGGAAGACACTGCCCTCTGCACTGGGGTCTTAGGCTGTGGATGGGGATGTGGGAGCCCCCAGGCTTGAAGAATCGGCCCCTTCCTATGGATCTTGGCAAAGGTGGGGATGGGGGTAAGGTGTTTCACAGACACTGCTTGCCCAAGGGGGCTTGAGTGCTCCTGAAGATCTGAGTTCTCTCTTTCTGTCCGCCCTGTCTTTCTCCATCCCTTTCTCACTCTACTCTCTTCCTCTTCCATTTTTTATTTTTTTGTCATCCTCTGTTCTCTCTCTCACCACTTGTCTTTCCTCTCGCTCTCCTTTCCAATGCTCTCATCTCCCTCCTCTCATCCTTTCTCTCCTGCTTATGTCTCCCCATTACCGGCCATCCTCCTCATCTTCTTCCCATCTTCTCTGACCCACCTCCCTCTGCATCTCTCTCCCGACCCCCTCCTCTTCTCTGCATCTCTCTCTCTGCCTCCTCTCCTCTGCACCTCTCTCCCAACCCCCAGGTCCTCTCAGGCCTAGCTCAGATGATGCGGGAGTGCTGGTACCCAAACCCCTCTGCCCGACTCACCGCGCTGCGGATCAAGAAGACACTACAAAAAATTAGCAACAGTCCAGAGAAGCCTAAAGTGATTCAATAGCCCAGGAGCACCTGATTCCTTTCTGCCTGCAGGGGGCTGGGGGGGTGGGGGGCAGTGGATGGTGCCCTATCTGGGTAGAGGTAGTGTGAGTGTGGTGTGTGCTGGGGATGGGCAGCTGCGCCTGCCTGCTCGGCCCCCAGCCCACCCAGCCAAAAATACAGCTGGGCTGAAACCTGATCCCCTGCTGTCTGGCCTGCTCAAAGCGGCAGGCTCCCTGACGCCTGGCTCTCTCCCCACCCCTATGGCCAGCATGGTGCACCCCCTACCACTCCCGGGACAGGATGCAAAAGAGGCTCCAGAGTCAGAGTGCCAAGCCAGGGAATCCCAGTCCCAGACTCAGAGCCCGGGCCTGCACTTTGCCCCCTGCCCTTGATCAACCCCACTGCCCCACCAGAGCTGCCAGGGTGGCACAGGGCCCTGTCCAGCCCCTGGCACACACTTCCCTGCCAGGCCTCAGCCTCTAGCATAAGCTCCAGAGAGCCAGGGCCCATCAGTTTCTCTCTGTGGATTTGTATCTCAGCTCCATGATGCCTTGGGCTTTCTGTCTCCTCAACAAGAGTGCAGCTTGCTGAATGTCAGCTGCCTGAGAGAGCTGGGGCCTGACTTACTAGGGCATTAAATCCTAAGAGGTCCTACTGAGGTGTGGCAGGATCACAGGCCAGTGGAAAAAGGGCAGGTCAGATGGGCAAGGCCCAGGACTTTCAGATTAACTGAGAGGATATCGAGGCCAAGCATGGCAGGGGGAAGGTCAGTGGGTGTCAAGAGACCCAGGTCTGACCCCGGATGTTTGCTCCATGTGACAAAAGCAGGCCTGTCTCAGGACCTTTTCTTTTCTTTTTTCCTTCTTTTTTTTTTTGACACGGAGTTTCGCTCTTGTTGTCCAGGCTAGAGTGCAATGGCATGATCCCAGCTCACCGCAACGTCTACCTCCCAGGTTCAAATCATTCTCTTGCCTCAGACTCCCGAGTAGCTGGGATTACAGGCACATGCCACCATGCCTGGCTAATTTTGTATATTTAGTAGAAACAGGGTTTCACCATGCTGGCCATGCTGGTCTCGAACTCCTGACCTCAGGTGTTCCACCTACCTCAGCCTCCCAAAGTGCTGGGGTTACAGGTGTGAGCCATCGCGCCTGGCCAGGACCTTTGTTTCTTATCTACATATTGGAAGATTTGGTCCTGATGTCCTTTGAGGCTTCTTTAGCTCTAGTTCTCTGACACTTCAGCCTATATCACAGCTAACTTCTTCAGTCTCATCTATTCCTTATGCTCCAGCCCCTGGCAATTTGCCTCAAGATGGGGGTTTGAAAATAACTTTACCTGACTCAAGGAGTGTCTGGAGCACCTCCTAGTCTAAGTCTGCAAGCTCCAGTTCTTGCCTAAAACCATGCCAGTGGCCACCCTTGGGCTCAGACAGCTCTGGGCCTTTTGACCACAAGCCAGCCCCTCGCCCTCTCTGTGGCATAGTCTTCTCTGCCCCAGGACTGCAGGGCGGCTTCCTCCAAGGCTTCCAAGGCTCAAAAGAAATTTGGCTCCATCCAAGAAGGCTCCAGCTCCCCTACTGGCCCCTGGCTCAGGCCCACACCCCTGGCCAGGCCCAGAGAGTGTGTCTCAGGAGAATTCAATGGCTCTAGAGAGACACACAGAAAGTTTGGCATTTGGAAATTTCAAGGATGTATGTATGCTCACGTATGGAGCAGGTTGTCCTGGTCCCTGGGTGCAGGGAAGTGGGCTGCAGGGAAGTGGATTGGAGGGGAGCTTGAGGAATATAAGGAGCGGGGGTGGAGACTCAGGCTATGGACAAGGACAGCCCCAAGGTTGGGAAGACCTGGCCTTAGTCGTCCTCAGCCTAGGGGCAGGGCAGTGAAGAAAGCTCTCCCCGCTCCTGCTGTAATGACCCAGAGTAGCCTCCCCAGGCCGGCATCTTATGTGTGTCTTCCACCATCCTCATGGTGGCACTTTTCTAGGCCTGTCTCCCAGCATTGTGCAAGGCTCGGAAGAGAACCAGGAAGTGAAACTGGGTGAAAACAGAAAGCTCAATGGATGGGCTAGGTTCCCAGATCATTAGGGCAGAGTTTGCACGTCCTCTGGTCACTGGAATCCACCCAGCCCACGAATCATCTCCCTCTTGAAGGATTTTATTTCTACTGGGTTTTGGAACAAACTCCTGCTGAGACCCCACAGCCAGAAACTGAAAGCAGCAGCTCCCCAAAGCCTGGAAAATCCCTAAGAGAAGGCCTGGGGCAGGAAGTGGAGTGACAGGGGACAGGTAGAGAGAAGGGGGCCCAATGGCCAGGGAGTGAAGGAGGTGGCGTTGCTGAGAGCAGTCTGCACATGCTTCTGTCTGAGTGCAGGAAGGTGTTCCAGGGTCGAAATTACACTTCTCGTACCTGGAGACGCTGTTTGTGGGAGCACTGGGCTCATGCCTGGCACACAATAGGTCTGCAATAAACCATGGTTAAATCCTGAGCTCCGGAGTCTTCCCAGGCCGATGCCTCTGCAGTGGCCCGTCGCAGAGGTCCAGATAAAACCAGAGGGATCCGGGGAGAAGAGGGTCCCAGGATACACGCCCAGCTTTGCCCTTAGACAGGTCACAGTTTCCTCACGCCCCTGCTCAGACCCCCGCGGGGGCCCAAATCTCAGTTCCTACCCCAGATTGGGAGCAGCCTAGTCGCCGCACCTGCCACGTCGCCCTCTGCTGGCCGAGGGCTGCCCAGCGGCCGCCTCCCATCCCCACACAGGGACCGCGGGGCCTTTCCCGGCAGGGTGGGGCAGCCTTCCCCGCACCCGGGGGCCAACGTCTGTGTGCTCACTGACTTGCTGTTCTGCAGGGACTGTCCCCCTAATACCACACCTAGCGAAGAGCGTTCTGCTTCCGAACCGGCAGCTTGGACCCTCCCTCCTCAATTCCTTGTTCTCACTTCCCTTCTCAAATGGGGTCCCCATCTTGCCAGGAGTCAGTCCCCATTCCCAGCATGGGAAGATCCCCTTCCCTGGGGACCTACCTTGTCCTGGGATCAGAAGGCACTTCACACACACATCCCATTCTCACACCCGGAAATTCGGGGCGGGGACATGCTGTGGGGGAGGCAGATACTAAAAGAAGCTGAGAGGGTCCTGGCCCATGGGACTGCCCAGCCTAGAAAATCTGTGCCTTCGTGTTAGACGCCCTCTTAGGGAAACATAGGAAGGGTACACCTTACACCACAGATGACCTTGTGGTCCCTTGCACCCCCAAGGCGGCCTCATGCCTGGAACCTCCTACCCTGGGTTCATGGATCCCCCAACAACACAGCGCCTTCCCAGAGGATTCGGGCACCCGGCCTCAGACCAGCTTTGACGAAATAGGAGCGTTGCTAGCATCCAGCAAAGGCAGCCTTTCCCCTTCCCCTGTGCCTGCCAGACTCTGTCCTTACGTCCTCCCCATGATGTCCAGGCTATGGTGGGAGAGTGGGGAGAAGGGCAGTGGGGAAATTGCAGAGAAAGGGGTACGTGAACGCTGAGCAGGATCTGCGGCAAGATTGGCTCACTGCTCTCCAGTTCTTGCGAAGAGCCCTTGGGAAGTCACCCCGTCCGAGCCCCTGCCTACAAGTAGACCTCAGGGAACCTGCCTGCCTTTGGAGGAAAAAAACCTACTGCTCACTTTACTTCTCTGCAGCTTTGCCCTGACTTCCTCAGGGACCCCAGGCCCCAATTTCCCTATCTAGACAAAGAGGGAGAGGACCATCTGTGTGGTAAAGGCCCTCCCTGAGGGGTGATAGGTGCTATAGCATGCCACAGTGGGGCTGAGGGTAGCTCCTGGAATATGAGCCTTGATGTGGAGGGCCACCCCTTCCCCTGCCAAGGCCTCACCAACAGTTTTTCTCTCCACCCTCCAAGGCACCATCCTCCCTCAGTCCTGCCTTGCACCAGCCTCCAAGGAAGGTGCTGTTTCCTCCATATCCTCACCAACATTAAGATCAACAGCCCAAGAGATGGCAAAGTCCTCACGCCTAGAAGTCCCTGTCCTGGGGGAGGAGTGGGGGGTGCATGTCCTGCGTCCAGTCTCCCAGGGCTGGGACTGATGCTAGCTGTGTAATCATCACTCTGGGTGGGCGACTCTTGGAATGAGCTGCTTCCACCAGGGCCACATTCAGTTTGCTCGAAATAGAGACAGAGGGCTTCTTGACTTTGCATATGATTTGCATAATGTCATAGACACACAGTCTATTTTCAGGCAGTTTTCAGGTTAAAGTGTTGTCACTGCTGCCCTACAGGGTGTCATGTCTGGATGAGTCTCTTCTCTGTTCTTTCTCACCCACCCACTCTTACTGACCTACATCCCCAGCTGCAGGAGCGAATGGTGAGGCAGGGGGAGAATGGGGTTGTCCAGGGAGACACATGGGCAGGGAAATCAAGGGAATTTCCTTATTACCAGCATCACCAGAAACAGAATCTGGTTGCTCAGGGTCAACTGATAGGAAGAGGGTAAGGAATGGGAAGTCAGGTAACCCATCTGCTGTTCTGCACAAACCCTTCCCACCTCTCCTACCAGGAGAACAGCCAGTTCCTGTTTCTCTATTCAGTCTTCTGACAGTTTGAAGAAAGATGTCTAGATAGATAAACCTGTTTCTTTCAGCCACCCATAAAGCCTTGCTTGGCCCAGACATCCCTCATGGGCATTTATTTTCAGCGCTAAGATTAGATCTTCACCTCTTGGGAAATCTGACCTGCAGTCTGTTCCTCTCCTGGGAGCCTTATCTGAGAGATAAGGATCATAGTCTCATGATCAATATTTTTGGAGCACCTGGCACACAGTAGGAGGTCAGTCAGTGCTGGAGTCCCCTCCTCTTCTTCATCTAGAGGTCTGTACCAAGTACCTCATTGTCCCAGGCCTGGATGCTCGACACACACACCAGCCTCTGAGGGCTCAGATGCAGAAACAGACTTACAAGGGCCAGTTGAGGTGACTGTCACTAAGTTATCTGGGACCTTGGCCAGTTGCTCGGCCTCCTCATCTGGAAAGGAGGGGGATTGGTGATTGGTGGAGACTAGGGGCAAAGACAATTCCTATATTATAGCTTGAGCTGTTTGGCAACCTTCCTTGATCACAGAGGGTCAGGGCTGGAGCCCCACCCAGGGCTCCCTCCTGTAGACACTCTGGCTTTGGGGCATGTCTGGTGTGCTGTCTTCCTGTGTACATCAAAGGATCCACCAGATGCCAAGGCAAAGAGCCTGAGAACCTTACTGGGTCCTGGGAAAGGGGAGACCACTTGGTCTGGCTGCCCAGCCGCCACGCACTACCCAGAATTCCCTGTCCCATGTCCAGCCCCCAGGACCTGCCTCATCCCCTCAGGCAGGCGTTTCCTGTTGATAAGAAGCTCCGTCACAAACACTGATAAAGACATGAAAAAAGGAAATCGACAGGCTTGGGTATAATGGGCATTTTGTCTGCCTTTTCTACCCCTCTTCCTTCTCCCAGAACCGCCCACTCCACACCCCCACCTCATACCACTTCCCAGAACTGAGGAGAAAGGATTCCCCTACCTCCACCATGGGCCCTATTTGATAGTCTCCAGGAATTTGGCCTGAAGGCTTACACAGGTCTCAGAAGAGGGACCCAGCTTGGCCTGGGTCAGGATGGGAGCCCTGAGGCAGTAAGCACTGGGTGCTGGGAGGCCCCAGGCCAGGGAAATGGGCAGCAGCACCTAGAGGAAGGACAGTCCAGTGCAGGTCTAATCGAGGACCGTCCTCTTCCCTCCTCCTCTCCTCCCAGAGGCTTGGATCCAAGTGGTGGTTAGGTGGCTAGATAGTCTATAATTAGTGCATTTTCCTTAATTTTAGTCTCAAGCTTGTTACTGGAAAATCTCATTAATTTTGAGTCTACTAATTTGGAATCTATGATCCTTCAGGCCAAGAGGCTGAACTGATGTTTAGAAAAATAAACAAAGCAAACAAGTTTTCGAGGCAGGCCCTACCACCCTTCTTGTGTTGGATTTGTAAGTTCAACTTGACAAAGGTAGTTGTCCTAAAGCGCTGGGCCTGCAGTTGAGATAACCTGCCACCAGGTGGGTGATGAGGCCTGCCACTGGTGTTTTAAGTAGTCATTGCTCATGGACAGATGTTTTAAAGATTTTATATTCAATGATTCTTTCTTCCTCTTCTCCAGAGATGCAACTCCTTAATAAAACAGTAAGACAAACACAGAAAAGTGGAATAGATGGTTCTAAGTGGCCAGCATTTAACAGAAAAACAACAGCCAGCATATACAACTTGGAGATTTTCTTGATTTAACTGTTTTCCAGTCCTGGTTGCCACCCAGCTAGGGCCTTATCCTGGTTTCAGGCCCTCACATCTCTCATTGCATTTTTGACACTTGGTGGAAGGAGCAGAGGAGTAAAGAGCAAAGGGTTTTATCCAAGTCAAAATTCCAGCTGTTCTACCCTGGTCCAGTGGCTCACTCCTGTAATCCTAGAACTTTGGGAGGCTGAGGCGGGCAGATCACTTGAGGCCAGGAGTTTGAGACCAGCCTGGCCAACATGGTGAAACCTCATGTCTACTAAAGATACAAAAAATTAGCCAGGCGCGGTGGTGGGCACTTGTCATCCCAGCTACTCTGGAGGTTGGGGTGGGAAAATTGCTTGAACCTGGGAGGCGGAGGTTGCAGTGAGCTGAGATCACACCACTGTACTCCAGCCTGGGAGACAGAGTGAGATTCTGTCTCAAAAAATAAAACAAAACAAAACAAAAACAAAATTCCAGCTGTTTTGTTGGATTTTACTTACTTACTTATTTATTTATTTTGAGGCAGGATCTTGCTATATCACCTAGGCCGGTCACAGGCTCCTAGGCTCAAACAATCCTCCTGAGACAGCCTCCTGGGTAGCTGAGACTACAGGTGCATGTCACCATCCTGGCTAATTTTTTTTACTTTTAATTTTTTTTAGAGATAGAAGTCTTACTCAGATGTTGCTCAGACTGGCCTCAAACTCCCAGCCTCAAGTCATCCTCCCACCTGGGCCTCCCGAGTAGCTAGGATTACAGGTGCAAGCTACCACGCCTAGCCTACCTGTTGTTTTAGTAATTCGACAAATTTATTCTAAATTTATATGGAAGAGTATAAGTTCATGAATAACTAAGTCAATTTTCTTTATTTTGGGTTATTTTCTGACTATGTTATGCATTCACATGATTCAAAAGCCAATGCATCTACATTGGAGTAGTGTGGGAATGAAAAAAAAAAATTAAAATAAAGAAATAAAGGCCGGGTGTGGTGGCTCATGCCTATAATCCCAGCCCTTTGGGAGGCCGAGGTGTTTGAGTCCAACCTGGGCAGCAAAGAAAGAATTAGTCCCTACAGAAAATTAAAACAGTGTAGTATTCCACTCTTTGAATGTACCAGTCCCCTATTTTTGGAAGTTTTGTTTTTTTCCAGTTTGGGGCCATTATAAGCAAGGCTGCAGTGAATAAATTTGTGTATACATTATTTTCCTTTATTCCAGTATTTCTGTAAGATACATTCTAAAAAGTGGAATTCCTGGGTCAAAGGAAATGTGAATTTGGCCAAGTCAGTTGTGAAGAAGTGCAAAGGGGGAGACTTGCCCCAGAAGACAATAAGACAAGTCACAGAAAAATAGAATAGTACCAGACAAGTAGACAAATAGACAAGTAGAACATGTTAAAGAACCCAGGAACAGGCCAGGCACGGTCTCTCACGCCTGTAATCCCAGCACTTTGGGAGGCCAAGGCAGGTGGATCACCTGAGGTCAGGAGTTCGAGACCAGCCTGGCCAACATGGTGAAACCTCGTCTCTATTAAAAATACAAAAATTAGCCAGACGTGGGGGCGGGTGCCTATAATCCCAGCTACTCGGGAGGCTGAGGCAGGAGAATCGCTTGAACCTGGAGGGTGGAGGTTGCAGTGAGCAGAGATCATGCTACATCATTCCAGCCTGGGTGGAAGAGCAAAACTCTGTCTGAAAAACAAAACAAAACAAAACGAAACAGAACCCAGGAACACCCAGGCGCAGTGGCTCATGTCTGTAATCCCAGTACTTTGGGAGGCTGAGGCAGGAGGATTGCTTGAGCCCAGGAGTTCAAGACCAGCCTGGGTAACATCGCAAGACCCTGTCTCTATAAAAAATAAAAAATTACCCAGGCATGGTGGCACATGCCTGTGGTCCCAGCTTCTCAGGAGGCTGAGACGGGAGGATTGCTTGAGCCCGCTGGTCGGGTGGGAGTCTAGGGCTCCAGTGAGCCATGATCACACCACTTCACTCCAGCCTGGGTGACAGTGAGATCCTATCTTAAAAACAAAAAAACAAAAAACAAAGAACTCAGAAACAAATCCATATGCATCTGAAAACTGTTATGTGATAAAGGTTGCATCAGAAATTAGTGAAGGCTGGGCGTTGTGGCTCACGCCTGTAATCCCAGCACTTTGGGAGGCTAAGGCAGGCAGATCACCTGAGGTCAGGAGTTTGAGATCAGCCTGGTCAACATGGTGAAACCCTGTCTCTACTGCAAATACAAAAATTAGCCAGGCGTGGTGGCGCACACCTGTAATCCTAGCTACTCAGGAGGCTGAGGCACAAGAATTGCTTGAACCTGGGAGGCAGAGGTTGCGGTGAGCTGAGATCACACCACTGTACTCCAGCCTGGGCTATGGAGTGAGACCCTGTCTCAAAAAAAAAAAGAAAAAAAGTGAAGATGATGGCTAAAAAATACAGGGTTTTGTGAGGGGGTGATGAAAATGTTCTAAAATGGACTGTGATCATGGTTTTACAGTTCTGTGAATATACTGAAAGTCATTGAATTATGTGCTTTAAATGGATGAATTGTATGGTATGTAAATTATATCTTAATAAAGCTGTTAAAATATGGGGAAGAAAGGCCAGATTTTTTAGATAGTGTTGGAAATACTGGAACACTGTTCAGATAGAAAATGCAGTTGGGACTCTCCCTTACATCGTCTACAAAGATGGACTCCACATGGATTAAGGACCAAAGTGTAAAAGGCCACACTATAAGGCTAGTAAAAGAAAGTGTAAGAGAACATCCTTGTGACCCAAGGTTGGGGAAAGACTTAAAGAAGACCCTTGGCCGGGCGCCGGTGGCTCACGCCTGTAATCCTAGCACTTTTGGAGGCCGAGGCGGGTGGATCACGAGGTCAGGAGATGGAGACCATCCTGGCTAACATGGTGAAACCTCATCTCTACTAAAAATACAAACAATTAGCCAAGCGTGGTGGCGGGTGCCTGTAGTCCCAGCTACTCGGGAGGCTGAGGCAGGAGAATCGCATGAACCGGGAGGCAGAGGTCGCAGTGAGCCGAGATCACGCCACTGCACTCCAGCTGGGCAACACAGCAGGACTCTGTCTCAAAAAAAAAGAAGACCCTTGAAGTGCAAACTGTAAAAAAAAATATGAACATGACTATATCAGTTCACTCTTCAATTATACACTATATATATTTAACATTGAAAAATTAATAAAACTCATAGATAGATGGTAGACTGGAAGGAGATATTTACAGTCCTTAAAACTGTTGAGGCGTTAATATCTACAATATATAAAAAACTCTTGCAAATCAGTAAGACCCAAGAGAAAAACAGGCGAGAGACATGCAGAGTTAATTTACAAAAGAGGAAGCCCAAATGGCTAACGAGTATAGAATGGAATGCTCAAACTCACTAGTAATCAGAGAAATGTACATGTAAGTGACATACCAACTAACATCCATCAAAATGGCAAAATGAGAAAAGTGGATAATGCTAAGAGTTGTCAAGGGTGTGGGGGAATAAGAACTCTTGTGCAGTTCTTGTAGAAGTATAAACTGGCATAGACTTTTTAGCATTACTTAGTAAAAATGGGTATTCCTATGCCATTTGGCCTCATGATACCATTCCTGGGTATACAGTTGACCCTTGAACAACACAAGTTTGTGCTACATGCATTCACTTACATGCAGATTTCCATCCTCCTTTGCCACTACTGAGACAGCAAGACTAACCCCTTCTCTTCCTCCTCCTTCTCAGCTTACTCAACATGAAGACAAGGATGAAGACTTTATGATAATCCACTTCCACTTAATGGATAGTAAATATATTTCCTCTTCTGGCCAGGCACGGTGGCTCACGACTGTAATCCCAGCACTTTGGGAGGTCGAGGCTGGTGGATTGCCTGAGGTCAGGAGTTCGAGACCAGTCTGGCCAACATGGTGAAAACCCGTCTCTACTAAAAATACAAAAAAAATTAACCAGGCGTGGTGGTGTGCACCTGTAATCCTGGCTACTCGGGAAGCTGAGGCAGGGGAATTTTTTGAACCAGGGAGGCGGAGCTTGCAGTGAGCCGAGATCGCACCACTGAACTCCAGCCTGGGTGACAGAGCGAGATTCCATCTCAAATATATATATATATATATATATATATATATACGTATATATATATATATATATACGTATATATATATATATATACACGTATATATATATATATACGTATATATACACACACACACACACACACACACACACACATATATATTCTCTTCCTTATGATTTTCTTAACATTTTCTTTTCTCTAGCTTACTTTATTTTAAGAATATAGTACATAATGCATATAACATATGTATGTGTTAATTGACTGTTCATTATCAGTAAGGCTTCCAGTCAACAATAGACTATTATTAAATTGTGGGGGAGTCAAAAGTCATACACAGATTTTTGATTGCATGGGAGATCAGCACCCCAAACCTCACCTTGTTCAAGGGTCAACCATGTATCTCCTAGAAATTCTCATACAAGTCCACAAGTGGAGACATGATGAAGTTCAACACACTGTTGCTTGTGGTAGCAGGGAACTGGAACCAACCTTGGTGTCCATCCCTAGGGCAACAGATAAGAAAATGTTCGGAATACGATGTCATCCATTGGAAGCAATTAACCACACATATATGCAGCAACATAGATAGACCTTAAAAATATGGGATTGGCAAATAAAGAGAATGAGGGTTATAACACAATGCCTTTTATATAAGTTTAGGATGCATACATATTCAAAACAACATTATATGCTTAGCAAGGATATGCATACGTTTTAGGACATGGAGCAAGCTCACTAGAGTGCCTGGGGGTGAGGAGAGCAAGATAGATGGAGATGGAAAGGGGGATTGGAGAAGGAGCTGGAAAATAAGATCTAAGAGAGGCCTCGTTACCTTGCACAGAATAAGGATGATAACATGTTACCCCGTGATTAACCTGAAGACCATAGAGGGAAAAGAAAAAAATTAACAACTGCAGAGCCTCAGATCCTGGGCATGAAACATAACAGAACCTCCAGGGACTCAGTTTCCTCCTATTCAGAATGGGGATAATATGTAAGGTGGTTGTGAGGACTGGGATCATGTTGGGCAAGAGGCCTGGCCAGAATTGTTGTTCAATAATAAAAATAATGCTAATGATAGTATGCTATCCTTGCCGATAGTGTTTGCAGGTTCAGTTCTGCAGAGTTGCAGACCAGCTTGGTGTCAACACCTCTTGCTTTGCTCCCCAGCTCCTGGCTCTCTTATCTCTCTGGCCTCCTCATCTGGGCTGCAGCTAAATAGGAGAGATTTGCAAGGCAAGGTGAAAAGGTGAAAACCTGTGATTATATATATGTATACTTCTATGTTTATATTTATTTATTTCAATTAGAAAAAGCCTCTTCATCCTGTATTCACTGGCTGCTCCCTTTGGATCAATACTTTAGTTAGGTCTTTAGAGAAATGAAATTTATATTCATGCCCCGCTGTTCCCTTAGTAACAATCTCCGGCAATCAGATCTGCTCTCTGGTGGAAATGGCCTTTGGAAAGCGCTTGTGCAGTGTGCAGTTGCACAATCTTACCTTTGCCAGAAACTGTTTTCTGATGTAGCCAGTATCTTTTCCAGAAAAAAAAAATTAACTACATTTAAGCAGACTTAACAAGGTCTTAAAATAGATATAAAGTGGTTTCACCCCACAAGGGGAATTCTTAAAATACTAAAGTACTGTTTTTAAGCATAGTCAAGTACTTCAGAAACACTCATTTACATTGCAAACAATTTCTATGCTAATTACAAATGATTCTTTCCCAACCACTAGGTAATATTTTGTGTTACTGTATGTACCTGAAACGAATAAAATTACTTCTCTTTCTTCTTCTTTTATTTTTTTTGATCAATATTCATTATTCAAACTGGTCTTTCCACCATTCTTCCAGATTTGCACTTTTATTGTGTTTCAGGTGTGAATTTGAGAATCTAATCCCCATAGTGTTGAGGTAAGACCACAAAAACAGATTTATCACAATCACTCCTCTAATAAGAGACTTATTGGAGGATCTAAGAGTCACAACCCTCTTTGTGGCTCTCAGATCCTCCAATAAGTCTCTTTCAAACATTTTATACTTCTCCAACAACTGAATCTCCCCACGCTGACTTTGATTCTTCATAAATAAAATGGAAGCCCTAGGCTGGGCGCGGTAGCTCACACCTGTAATCCCAGCACTTTGGGAGGCCGAGGCAGGTGGGTCATCTGAGGCCAGGAGTTCGAGACCAGCCTGGACAACACTGTGAAACCCTGTCTCTACTAAAAATACAAAAATTAGCCAGGCGTGGTGGTGGGTGCCTGTAATCCTAGCTACTCGGGAGGCTGAGGCATGAGAATCACTTGAACCCGGGAGGTGGAGGCTGCAGTGAGCCAAGATTGCACCATTGCACTCCAGCCTGCGTGACAGAGCAAGACTCCATCAGAAAAGAAAAGAAAAAAGAAAAGAAAAGAGAAGCCCTAAGATGCCCTCAATGGCAGACAACAAACCTATGAACTCACCTGCGTCTCTATTGCTTCCTCCTTCTACCTTTCCAGCCCCCCATTCAGGTTCTTCACTCTTTTTCTTTTCTTTTCTTTTCTTTTCTTTTTTTTTTTTTTTTTTTGAGATGGAGTTTTGCTCTTGTTGCCCAGGCTGGAGTGCAATGGCGCGATCTCAGCTCACTGCAACCTCCACCTCCTGGGTTCAAGCGATTCTCCTGCCTCAGCCTCCCAAGTAGCTGGGATTACAGGCATGTGCCACCACACCCAGCTAATTTTGTATTTTTAGTAGAGCTGGGGTTTCTCCATGTTGGTCAGGCTGGTCTCAAACTCCCGACCTCAGGTGATCCGCCTGCCTTGGCCTCCCAAAGTGCTGGGATTACAGGTGTGAGCCACCACGCCCGGCCTCAGGTTCTTCACTCTTAATAACCTTTCACTCTTCTGAATGAATTCTCAACTTACTCTTCTCCATCAGGTCCTTCCCACAAGGCATCAACTGGCTGCCAAGAGAAACCCTCAAGCCCACACCCCTCCAGCCACTCTGGACTCCCTCCTCCTCCCCTTCTTGCTCACATTTATTGGAAAAGCCAGCTTCTCACCTCCCACTCACTCCTCAGCCCACGCCCCCTGATTTTGCCATGGAAACTGATCATTTGGAGGTCACCACTGGTCTTGTTGCTAAATCCAGCGGACCCTCCCAGTCATTCCTTATTCCAGTGACCACTCTGCCTCTTGGCTTTCCTACCCTACTCAGCTCATCTCCCTCCTACCTCTCTGCAGGGTTCCTCAGATTTCTTTGTAGGTTTCTCTTTGCTTCTCCTTTAAATGCTGATGTTCCTAGCGCCCAGTTCCTCTGCTCCCTCTCCAGACATCTCCTGGGTGAGCACATCATGCCTTGCCTTTAGTGCTCATTGGTTACTTTGAGATCCGTGTCTCCAGCTCATGCCTCCCTCCTGAGCTCCAGACCTCAAGGCCCAGCTCCTTCTGGATGGCTCCTTGGATGGCTCCCAGGACTCTCAAACTCATCATGTCTGAAACAGAACTCCCCAAACCTGCTCTGTCCTCAATATTCCAAGACTGGTATAACTAGCCAATAAACACATGAGATTTGTTAGGACTTCCTTCTCTCTTATCACCAAAGGCCCTAGCCCCAATCAATCAATGAACACAAAGTCTTGTCCATCCTATCTTCTGTTATATCTTAACTCTGTCCACCTTTCTTCGTCCCTACGCTGGTCCTAGCTACCATCATTCTCACCTAGGGTGGTGGGACCTCCTCCTGGTTTCCTGCATCCTGACCCCTCCAGTCCGTCTTTCACACTGTAGCTGGAGAAGTTCCTCTAAAATACACATTGTTGGCCAGGCGTGGTGGCTCATGCCTGTAATCCCAGCATTTTGGGAGCCTGAGGCAGGTGGATTGCCTGAGCTCAGGAATTTGAGACCAGCCTGAGCAACATGGTGAAACCCTGTCTCTACTAAAATACAAAAAATTAGATGGACGTGGTGGCACACGCCTGCAGTCCCAGCTACTCAGGAGGCTGAGGCACGAGAATTGCTTGAACCAGGGAGGCAGAGGTTGCAGTGAGCCAAGATCATGCCACTGCACTCCAGCCTGGACAACAGAGTGAGACTTTGTCTCCAAAATAAATAAAATAAAATAAAGTAAAATGCAAATTGTTATTCCATAATGCTATCTGCTGAGTGTCACTGCCTTCAGGTTAAAGTGCAAACTCCTTATTAATAGGCCCTTATTGCTTGATCTGACCTGGCCTACAGCTCTGGCCACATCTCCCTCCATAGTCCTCCTCTCTCTTCATGTCCCTTTCAGCTCCTTAGACCCACAGTTCCTTTTTGCCACCAGGCCTCTACACATACTATCCCCTCTTGGACACTCTTAGCCTGGCCAACTTGCATTTACCAGCACATGTGTGGGTGGTGTGATGGAGTGGACTTTGGAGAGAGGCAGGCATAGGTTTGAATTCCAGCTCTGTTCTTTTCAAGCTGTAAAAACTTAAGGATGTCAACCAACCTCTCTGAGCCTCAGAGTCCTCATCTGCAGAGAGAGGCATCATAATATTCACCATGTCTCCATATGTTGATTTCTCTTTTCAATCACTTGACCCATCTCCACCCACCCACTCTCACCCGCTTTTTCTGAGAACTGACCCTTCTTCCCTATGCACACAGAGACGATGGTGGTTCCTGGCCACCATGTTAGTCCAACACGATGCAGCCCACTCCCCACAGATTACTGGGCCAGAGGTCGGGACCATCAGCTGCTACATCACCAGTTAGGAATTGGAACCCAGAGAGAGTCACACTGGACTCTTTTCCCATACAGCTATACTGACTGTAGACCCAATGGCTATATATCAGTAGCCATATGTTCCTGTGTGGCTGGGAAGCAGAAAAAGCTGGTCTGCATAAGAGTAGATGGAAGCCAATGCACAAAGGAAGCACAGGCCCAGAGAGGAAGAGACAGTGGAAACAGAGAAAGGGTCTTGCACATTTAATGTCCTGGTTTCAGTGACTGACTGAGGCCAGCTGCACTGAGCTTGTGAGAAACCCGCACCCTTAAACCAAAAAAAAAAAAAAAAAAAAAAAATCTCCTTAAGGCCAGGCGTGGTGGCTCACTCCTGTAATCCCAGCATTTTGGTAGTTCAGAGGCTGGCCAATCGCTTGAGCCCAGCAGTTCAAGACCAGCCTGGGCAACATGGGAAACCCCATCTCTACAAAAATTACAAACAAGTAGCTGGGTGTGGTGGCTCATATCTGTAATCCCAGCACTTTGGGAGGCTGAGGCAGGTGGATCATGAGGTCAGGAGTTCAAGACCAGCCTGACCAACATGGTGAAACCTCATCTCTACTAAAAATACAAAAATTAGCCAGGTGTGGTGACGGGCACCTGCAATCCCAGCTACTCAGGAGGCTGAGGCAGGAGAGTCTCTTGAACCCGGGAGGCAGAGGTTGCAGTGAGCCCAGATGGCACCACTGCACTCCAGCCTGGGTGACAGAGTGAGACTCCATCTCAAAAAATAATAACAATAATAAAATAAAAATAAAAATAATTAGTCAGGAGGGTGTGGTGGTGCATGCCTATTGTCCCAGATACTCTGGAACCGAGGTGGGAGCCCAGGAGGCAGAGGTTGCAGCGAGCCAAGATTGCACCACTGCGCTCTGCATCCAGCATGGGCAACAGAGTGAGACCCTGTATCAAAAAAAAAAAAAAAAAAACTCCTTAAATAGCTAGCATGGATTTTCATTACATGAAACCAACAAAGTCCTAAGTAATTTACCTATTTTGTGAAACAATTATTGTGAAAACTAGAAACGAGATATGCACACATATAGTAGATATTCAATAAAAAATTATTCTTAATATATACTCAATAGATGAATGAGGCAAGGACTGAGGGAGGGATGTTGGAACTCTCTGCACCCATTTCTTTATAATCGTTTCAGAAATAGGGCCGAGTTCTTAACCCTATATCATCCCAAGAGTTTTTTTTGTTTTGTTTTGCTTGAAAAGGCAAAGTATTATATTTTGGTAACTTCGAAAAGAGAAAAAAATTACACATAATCTCACCCCATCAAATTGAAGCAGATATTTTCATTGCATACATACTTTGCATACTTATAATCATGGTGCATATTCTATTTTGTGTCTAGTATTTTTTACTTAACATTTTAATATTTCTACACAGACTTTGCAATCCTTTTAATGATTGTATAATATTTAATAGTGTATTATCTAATTTATTAAACCATCCCCTATATAGATGTGCTTTCTGATTTTTCTATCATTAATCATGCTGCAATGTACATCTCTGTGGATAGGTCTTTTTTTTTTGAGACAGAGATCCCAGGCATTTGGGGGTAATGGCAAAGATCCAAACACTTAGGTTCCAGGTCTCGGTTCCACATTTCACTGGCTAAATGACTCAGGTGGTTACTTGGGTGCCTGAGGCCTCAGTTTCCCCATCTGTTAAATGAAGCTAATTGTCTCTGCTCTGGAGATGCGCATTTGTCTTGAAGGTAAAGAGGAGCAGTAAATCAATTCTAAAGCCCTACTCTAAGCCATGATTCTGTTTAGCCCTACAAGGACAAGGAAACAATAGTGCTTAGTACCAGCTCCATTTTTGAAAAGGTGCTAGAGGAATGGTGGCAGAGAGTATTGAATCATAGGGTCTTACCCACTCAGCCGGTGCTAAGTGATTAGGGGCCCACTCAACAGCAGATGAGGCCAGGGCAGGAGTGGACCTCCAGATAAACTCCCCTTCTGGCCCCCCACCATCTGGCTCTATTCTGGAGGGCTAGAATGGTGGCTATCCCACTATTGCACTGGCTGCAATAGCAGTGGCAGGATTCTTTGGCTTTAATCCACAACCCCTTTCTCCCCCAAACCCAGGCGGCCTCTGTAGGTTCCCATGACAACAGCATGCCTGGGAAGGACCAGCTTGAGGAAAAAACAGATTTTACTGTAAGAAAAAACTGGCCAGAAGCCACAGGCCGGGCAGGCTGGGACAGGGGCTCTGCAGTGGGGCTGGGTCCTGGGACATGGACCAGAGAGAGGAGTGAGCACCAGCTCTGTGCTAGAAGCTGACACATTTTGAGCACTTACAATAGCCAGATACTATTAAATGTGCTGTGTATGTATTGACTTATTTGATCCTCATGACAATGAGGTAGGTACCATTGTTATCCATGTTTTACAGGTGAGGTGACAGAGGTATGGTGAGGTTCAAACCTGGCAGTCTGACGTCAGTGCCTGCATTATGGACCCCTTGGAAGTCATAATTCTCATCTCTACAGCCTTTATCAATTGATAAAAGACAGTTTCATTCTATCCTCACAACATTTTTCCAAGATTAAAGATTATTATTCCCATGTTACAGATGAGGATCCCAAAGGTCAGAGAGGTTAAGCAATGTGTCCCAAATCACGCAGCTAGCAAGTAATAGAGCTGGAATTTGAACTCAGATGTGTCTGAACCCAAAGCCCATGGTTGCTACTAAGATGCCAGGAAATAGATCTGAGCCTTCCTATCCTCCCATAAGCCTGGGAGAAGGGTCATGTAGCGTAGGCTAGCTTTAGAGATATGAGTGGGATACATTTCTGTGTCCTCAGTGCCGTGCCAACCCTCTCCCAACACAGACACTCACACATGCACACACACATGCACGCATGCATGGGCGTGAACACAGGCCCTGGCAGGCAGACGCTGCCCTCCTCTCAGCCAGGAATGGGCCCGCCTACTCACAACAGGCTTCTCAGGCTGGTGAGCCTGCCCACACCTGATTGCCTTACCTGGGAGAGGCTGCTGGAAGGCATGGAAGGCATATCTCCCCACCCCAACTCATTCTGTGTAACCAGGCTGGGGCTTCCCAAGGAAGGGAGAGAATTCCTGAGGTCTGTGAGACCCCTGGGATGTTTTGGGTTTTTTATTTCTAAACCAAGTGGGAGCCTAAACTTCAGAGCCGGGAGCCTAGGCTGCTTAGAGTAGAGTAGGGAAAGTTCTGTCATCCCTAAAGGACTCTTCCTATTGTTGTTCCAGTGTTTGTTTTTTTCTTTTCTTTTCTGTCTTTTTTTTTTTTTTTTTTCTGAGAGAATCCCGCTCTGTCACCCAGGCTGGAACGCAGTGGCGTGATCACAGCTCACTGCAGCCTCAAATTCCTTGGCTCAAGTGATCCTCCTTCCTCAGCCTCCCGAGTAGCTGGGACTACAGGAACACAGCACCATGCCCGGTTAATTTTTAAACGTTTTTTTGGTGGAGTCAGGGTCTCACTATGTTGCTCAGGCTCCAGTGACTTAGTATATTTCATTACCTTTCCCCTGACTTGATTATTTTCTAGATGGTGGTGGCCTTTGATTTTTTTTTTTTTTTGAGATGGAGTCTTGTTCTGTCACCCAGGCTGGAGTGCAGTGGCGCGATCTTGGCTCATTGCAACCTCTGCCTCCTGAGGTTCAAGTGATTCTCCTGCCTCAGCCTCCCAAGTAGCTGGGATTACAAGTGCCCAACACCATGCCCGGCTAATTTTTCTATTTTTAGTACCGACGGGGTTTCACCATGTTGGCCAGGCTGGTCTCGAACTCCTGACCTCAAGTGATCTGCCCGCCTCGGCCTCCCAAAATGTTGGGATTACAGGTGTGAGCCACTGCGCCCAGCCACCTTTGATTTTTAAAAGTCCCCCACTTCCTGTGGTAAGTGCAGTGGCCTTCTATGTCTTTCTATCTCATCTCTGATAGACTAGTCCATATTTTCCACTGGGAGCTTACCTCTAAAATTACATTTGCATAAAATCGGTCATTCCACAGATATTGATCATATGGCTTCCCCTCAAAGGCAGGGTGTACATGGGAAACTAAAGACACATTCAGACCCACCCCTACTGAATTAAAGGGAGGCAACAGAAGCCTCAAGTCCTGCCGGGTTCTCTTGGAGATGGTGGGCTAGATAAGGGGCAGAGACCTGTTGACCTGTCTTGCTGCAGAAAGCTCTACACATTTGGTTCCTGGAAGCAGAGCAAAGGTTCTATCCCCAACATCATCAGTCTGATCAGATTGGGGACCATCTAGTTCCCAGTGAAGCGTCCACCTAAAGTCCTTGGGCAGGACAAGGAAACTATCTTTTTTTTTTTTTTTTTTTTGAGACCGAGTTTCACTCTTGTTGCCCAGGCTGGAGTGCAATGGTGTGATCTCGGCTCACTGCAACTTCTGCCTCCCAGGTTCAAGCGATTCTCTTGCCTCAATCTCCCGAGTAGCTGGGATTACAGGCATGCGCCACTATGCCTGGCTAATTTTGTATTTATAGTAGAGACAGGGTTTCTCCATGTTGGTCAGGCTGGTCTCAAACTCCCAACCTCAGGTGATCTGCCCGCCTCAGCTTCCCAAAGTGCTGGGATTATAGGTGTGAGCCACCGCGCCCAGTGGAAACTATCTTAAGAGGCTTGGACACCCCAGCTTTCTCTAGCCTCTGCAGACCCTGCCATGCCTGCACATAAACCCCATTTCTTCTCCATGCCATACTGCAAAGAATTGGAGTAGCGCATTGAGCACACTACAGTTTCTCCCTGCTGTAGATGTTACCCTCGAAGCCCTTCTTTGGAAGACCCACACACCCATCCACAGGACAGCATGGACTCCAAAGTGAAGGTGGGTAAGAGAGAGAGAGCCTGCAGACTGAGAGAGAAGGAGAGCAAGAAAGTGAGGAGATAGGGCTGCTGGGAGAGAGAGCAGGGAGGTCAGAGTTGGGGACCATGCCCAAAACATGTCAATACCATGTCTGGTTTTTTTCCTCTGGGGAGAGAAGGCATCCCTGCTGCCTGCAGTACTGAGCACCTGTGCTCCCCACAAGCCCCCTCCAGCCTGGCCCGGGCACGCAGTGGGCATTTAGTAAGTGCACACTAGAGCTGGTGGTTATGTTGATAAGATGACGGCACAGCACTCAGTCTGCAAAGTCCAGACTTCTGTCTCTCTCACCCCCTGGGAATTTCATAAATAAATCCCTGGACCTGTTCCAAGAAGAATTTCAAGGCTTCTCTGCATGTGTATGTGTTTCCAGAAACACAACAATTTTACATGATGCCTGGTGTGCAAACTCCCAAGCAACCCATGGAGAGGAATGAGGACTTGGGCATGGCAAAGAGGAGGTGGACAGAACGGGTCAGGCTGGGCTGGCGCGGGCCAGGAAACCAGCAGTCGATGGCGGCAGTTTGAGCCCAGGCTCTGCAGCTGGCGGCTGCTAACCTGGCTCCCCAGACGCCCGGTCTGCCCCAGGCTCAGATTGCCCAGCCTCCCCTCCCCCACCCTTGGGCTTTGGCAGGATTCTCCATCAGGTTTTTGCAAAGTGCTGGGGTCTTAAAATAGCATAAAGGCCCACGCGCGCGCGCGCACACACACACACACACACACATGCATGCACACACACAAACATACACATTTAGACTATAGTGTCAATTCCCGTACCATAGAATGAGGATCAAAAAAGGAGGGAGAGTAGAGGGTGGAGCAAGGACTTCACGGCATCTTCTAGAGCTGAGCACAGTGAGAGGCCAGGCAGGAAACAGGGGTGGCACTCGGTGTGAAGAAGGGGAATGGGGAGGAGAAAACAAGATAGAGCCTGTTTTTGGGTGTGTGTGACAACGTGACAGGGCTAATAGTCATGTCTGGAGTGTGTGTTTATGTGTAGCTGGGATCATGAAAGCAAAGGCTGTGTTGGTGTGACCAGTTTGGCAAGAGGAAGCTGGATTTCCCTCCTGGACTGTGAACTCCTATGGGGCAAGAACTAAGAACTTTATCCTCATCATTCCCAGGGCCTAGCCCAGTGCCTGACACAGACACTAAATACATGTTCCAAGAATAAATAGATGATGGACGGATACATGGATTTGCTAGAACACTAAGTAGTAACCATAATGATAGTATAATTTCAAAGAGCAAAATTGGAAATGGCACCCCAAAGTTAGAAGATGTGGCCAATCCACAAGTACGTGCTGGATGCTGAGAAGGAAAGGGAAGTGACCGCCGCTGTGATAGGGTTTGGGATCTGTCTGGGGAAGACGAGACGAATACAGAGAGGTAGGGAGAAGGCTTCCCAGAGGAGTCAGGCCCTGAGCTGGTCGAATTACTTGAGCTGGTGTTCTAGCCAGGGCTCACAGGCTATAAGGACAAACACACTCAAACCAGTGGAACTGAAAAGAGGATTTCCTAGGAAGATAGATGGGAATCTCAGAGAACCCAGCAGTGGAAAATACAGTCAGATCCCATGGGATCTGAGAAGACGCTGGGCTGATTATATGTTGGGGATTCTGTTAGAGTGGGCGAGGCCAGAGGGTGTGTGTGCATGGACACATTCCCAGCACACCTGGGGTGAACACCAGGGGTCTCTGGTCTCTCCTTTCCCTGGGCCTCTGCTCCACTCTCCTCTCCTGGCTCACCCTGGCCCAGGGTAGCTTCCAGCTAGTCTCCATTGCTCGCTACCACCTAAGTAACTCGGTTTTTGTAACTTCTTAGTTCAAATGCTCATGAGAAAGGACTTGCATGGCTCAGCCAGTTTATTTCTTGCTTTCCCTTGGTTCAATGCCCAGCCCTGGTGCGATCATCTGTGGCCAGAGGGCAGACCATGCAAACTCCCCTAGGAGAAGTGGGTGTAGCAGGTGACAGCGGCAGACTCTGGAGATCCAGACAGGAGGAAAACTACATGAGGCACTTGGTTGTGTGGTGTGTGTGTGTGTGAGAAGGGGGTGGATGGGGGAAGCCAGGACAAAAGAGGAGCTGTCAGGACGGGGGTGAGCCAGGTGACCTTGGGCAAATTACTTAATCCCTCTATGCCTCAGTTCCTTGTCTCTACTATGGAGTGAATAATACTACTCTCATGCGGTTGCTGTGAAGATCGAGTAAATAATCTGTGCCAAGTTCTTAGGAGTCAATGTTCTCTACAGCCTTTAGCAATTGATAAACGACAGTTTCATTCTATCCTCACAACATTTTTCCGAAATTAAAGATTATCATTCCCATGTTACAGATGAGGAACCCAAAGGTCAGAGAGGTTAAGCATGTACATGCAGTCTCTGCATGTATTGTGATGTGCAGGAGAGTTAGGATGGATAGTAAGTTCTCATCACGTAGAGGCCTCACTACCAGTTTTGGCTCTGTCCTGGGCAAGTCACACATCTTCTCTGAGCCTGGGATTCCTCACCTGTGAAACAAGGGAGTCCAACTGAATCATTTCTTAAATCCCCTCTTAGTTTAGAAAGCCAAGCTTTTGGCTTGGCCATAGGGAGCCTGTGGATTCTGAAGAAGGCAGATGACAGACAAAATGAAGGAGGCTTTCTTAGAATACAGTTATGTTGCAGGGTGCCTTGCGGACTGGAAGGAGGGTGACCAGGAGGCAGGGAGGTTACACCACCAGTAGTCCCAGAGATGTGTTGTGTAAGGTTCTGGACTGTAGCATCGCAGGAGGGGACCAGCCAGATAGGCAAAAGCTGTGAGGTCCACAACAAAAGGAAAATGACCAGGAGAGCAATCCCATTTGGCCACTGGCCTTCCCAGATAGATAGAAACTGATATATTAATCATCAAGGCTGAGGGCACAGGGCCTATTTCCAAGGAGGCACTGGGGAATGGATGGGGTAGGGGGAGGATGAGGTCAATGTGTAGATTAAAAGAACCAAAGAAGGCTTGCTTCTAAAAATCATGTAATTGCCTCTGGAGTAGAAAGTGAGCAAGAAAAGCCTGGGAGGGTTTTCTCCAAGTACACCACAGCTCCGCACCACCCCACGGACTGCTAAACACAGACTACAGGCTGCTGACCACAGCAAGACCCTAACGCTGACTCTGGCCTTTGGGCTTCTTGGGCCCAGAGCAATCCCTCTAATTAGCCCCCATCCTTAGTCACCAGGCATATCCCATCCAAGTTCTCTTCATTGCCTAACCTCCCCTCCCTCTGCTTCCCTCACCATCCTGGCTCATTTGTCCCTTCACCAGGGCCCCACCCCTACACCTTCAACCTCCAAACGGCCCCTCTTCTGCTCCCAGCCTGGACTGCTGAGCATTTCCTGAGGAAATGGTATTATAAAAGAGGCTTGTTATGACCTCAAATTTATGTTCTGTAATCCTGCCTGGGCCCCAGTGCCACTCTGACAATCCCTTTCTGCTTTTCTATGTCCCTGGACACCACTCCCATTCTCCACAGTGGCTTTTTACAAATCCTTACCACCTTCCTCAAGCACATCTACCATCATATGCCACCATGCCCCCTGAGCATACTGTACCGAAACAGAGGGCCTGACTGAGAACATCAGGATGACCCTTCATGCCTATAAACTTTCTCTTGGTTTACCTCGTTTCTCCAGCTCTAGCAAGGTAATTTCCTCCATGCCAAGGCTAATCACTGTACCTCTGGATCTTTATCCTGTGCTTCTCATCTACCCTGGGTTCTGGTTCCATTACTTACTACTTCTTCCTGTATCTATGAACTCTTCTTGGCTCTTTTATTGCAGTCTAAGCTGCAGTCTTTCTCCTCTTATTAAAGCAACAAAAGGGAGTAAACACTCCCTTCACCTTGTGTATCCTTCTGCAATCCCCTTTTCTTTTTCTCTTGTCCAGTCTGGAAATCTTTATTTTTAAATTGGATTATTTAGTCCATTTACATTTATTGTAATCACAGATATATTTGGATTTATTTTCACCATCTTATTTTCTTCTTTCTATTTATCCCACTTTACCAGAGATTCAGTATCACTTGTCTTGGGACCAGAGTGTTTTGGATTTCAGAGTTTTTAGGATTTTGAAATATTTGCATGGTACTCACGTGTTGAGCATTCCTAATCCAAAAATAAAAAATCTGAAATGCTGCAATGAGCATTTCCTTTGAGCATTATGTCAGTGCTCAGAAGGTTTCAGATTTTGGAGCATTTTGGATTGTGGATTTTTGGATTAGGAATGCTCAACCTATATTGTCCTTTTTATTTCCTTTCTCAATTCCTTTTGGATTATTTTGTATAATTCTATTTCTTCATCCTCTTAACCTCTAAGTTATACACTCTGTTCCTCTCCTATTAGTGAATACTTAACTGTTAGTAAAGTATGCACGAATTCATACGTAACATATATTTTTTATTTAGCCCTTGATCTTTAAAGCCATTTCTGTGAGTATACAATTTTAAGTTGACTGTTATTTTTCTCTTGGGCTTATTTTGGATTTTTGTCTATGCAGATTATATTTCTTAAAATTTGGTCTGTGAGAATTCCCTGTAGCCTGAGTTCAATTTGGGTTCCTCTACAGATGATTTGCTCTTCCTTCTTCCACGTACTACCAGGAAGTACTATGGGCCTCAGACCACTTGAATCTAAATAGCGTGTAGTTTTTCAGACTGCCTAGATAGGGTGAATTTTGAATAAAATCACATCATGGAGGCCAGCTTGCCGTTATGAATTCTCAGGGGATATTTTCTCCCATTCTCACTCAGAGCCAAGGTTTTTTTGTTTTTTGTTTTTTGTTTTTTTTTTCTTTTGAGACAGAATCTTACTCTGTCACCCAGGCTGGAGTGCAATGGTGCGATCTCAAGAGCCAAGGTTTAAGTCAGGCAGTTTTCCTTGTAGTCTCCTGGAGGAGTGAATTATTTCTTTTTAATTTTTCTTTTCTTTTTTTTTCGAGGCAGAGTTTTGCTCTTGTTGCCCAGGCTGGAGTGCAATGGCGTGATTTCGGCTCACTGCAACTTCCACCTCCCAGGTTCAAGTGATTCTCCTGCCTCAGCCTCCCCAGCAGCTGAGATTACAGGTGCACGCCACCACACCTGGCCAATTTTTGTGTTTTTTTTTTTTTAGTAGAGACAGGGTTTCGTCATGTTGGCCAGGCTGGTGTCGAACTCCTGACCTCAGGTGATCCACCTGCCTTGGCCTCCCAAAGTGCTGAGATTACAGGTGTGAGCCACCGCGCCCAGCCTGAGGAGTGAATTATTTCTGGTCCCTCCTTAGACGATGTGTATTACCCTTTGTGGGTCACAGCCTTGTGCACAGGATCTGTTATTAGACTTCCCACTTTGGATGAGCTTGAGCTCTGTCTCCTGTCCCCTATATCCTGCTTGCCTGTGAAAACCAAAGTCCGAGCTCACCCGTATGCAAAGGCTCTGAACAGAAAAGCCAGCTTTGGTGATTAGCTTTCCTCTTTGATTCTTAGTCTTTTACTTGAGTATTCACTTTCTTGCTAGTTTACTGAGCATTTTACGTTGTTTTCAGCCGAAGATTTGCTCAAGGAACCTGGTTTACCATTCCAAAGGAAATCCAAATTTCCCCCTCCCATCATAGCCAAGTTATTTTAAATAATAGATGATACTCAGTGTTTCTAAGCCTTCACCCCCACTTGTAGCCTCCTGAAGTTAGGCCTTCACCCCATCCTCCACTGAGCCTGCTCAGGTAAACGTCACCAATCAGAAGTTACCAAAGCCCTAAGAGACTCTTGTTCCTCATCTTACTTGACCTCTTGTCAACATTACAAACTATGGGCCTCTTGAAAGCCTCTCTTGCCGTGGTTTCTATTATTCTATTTTTCCCAGGTTCTCTTCCTACTTCTATCACTGTTCCTTCTGTCTTCTTTTTTGCTGGTATTGCTGTATTTCCAGAATTCTCTTGCTCCCTTGAGCTGTTTGAACAACAATGATATGCTGCTAACTTCCAAATCTACATCTCTGTGGCTCCAGGTACCTTCAAACTCAGTATGCCTGACAAGGAACTCAGTTTTTACATTTTTAAAATTTTTTTATTTTTTGGAGACGGAGTCTCTGTCGCCTAGGCTGGAGTGCAGTGGCACAATCTTGGCTCACTGCAACCTCTGCCTCCTGGGTTCAAGTGATTCTCCTGCCTCAGCCTACCAAGTAGCTGGGATTATAGGTGCCCACCACCATGCCCAGCTAATTTTTGTATTTTTAGGGGTTTTGCCATGTTGGCCAGCTGGTCTTGAACTCCTGACCTCAGGTGATCCACCTGCGTTGGCCTCGCAAAGTGCTGGGATTACAGGCGTGAGCCACTGCGCCCAGCCAAGGAACTAATTTTCTTTTTCCCAAACCTGCCCATTCTAGTCTGCTGAATGAAACTACCAGGCAGCTAGTCACCTAAGATTATCCTAGAGTCATATGGGGCCATCCCCTTTCCTCATTTCCCGTATCCAATCAATCTTGTCATTTCTACGTCTTTGAACTCTTGAATCTGTTTCTCTTTTCCACCTTCACATTGCTGCTGCCTGGGGTCAGGTCCACCTCCTATCTTGCCTGGGCTTTGCCTTCTCTTTGGTTTCCTTACAACCAGTCTTGTCTTCCTCCAACCAGCCTCTGTACAAAGTTCAAATTCACTTGGTTCAGCAAAGTGATCTTCCTAACACAATATGATCAGTTTACAAATATGATCAGTTTAGCCTTTCCTAAAATACAAACATGATCAATTTACACTTAGAACCCTTCCAAGTGTACTGAAGAGGGTCTCTTATTAGACTCCCACTCCAGTGTGCTCCATTTCCAAGTAGACTTCCACGTCTGCCTAGCTCACCAACATTACGTTTCCACTGTCCATCATCTTCAGCCTGCATCTTCTGGGTGTACCGCTAGGCTGCTCACGGTTCTCCTAAATGCCAGGCAGAACAGTCTCCTGCCATCTCCTGCCCTCCTGACACAGGCCTATCTGGGGGGACTCTCTGATCTTCCAAGAATCAGCGTAGCCTGTCTCTTCGTGAAAACTTTCTCAACTCCTCAGCCTGTCCCCTCACAGCTGAATCATTCATGTCCCCTGAGTGGCCCTCATTGGCTCTTTACAGGCTTGTGTCCTCGCAGAGATAACCCGTTGTTGCTCTTTTTCTCATGCTTTTCTGTATTAGATTTTAAGTTCCATGAAGGCGAGGACTATGACTTATCCATGTCTATATGTTGTGCCTGGTGTACTGTAGGTGCTTAGTGCTTGTGGAATGGATGAGTGAAGATGAACTATTGCCTTCTTGGGATGAATGACCCTGCTGCTCACCAAGGCAAATGATCCCCTAGGTAGTGGTGTCTCTGTGCGTTGCGACCAATGTGGCAATTGTCACACTGAGTTGTCACTCTAGTCAGTGGGACTAAGGAGTAAGACTTTTTCCTGGAGAAGTGGCTCCTGCTAGCTCTGGGGACTCTCCTGACAAAGAGACAGGGCAGAGGGGAAAAGAAGTTCATAGACTGTGATGTGGGTCCAGCCCTAAGATTAAGACGGTTTACAAGGCCAGGCACGGTGGCTCACGCCTGTAATCCCAACACTTTGGGAGGCCGAGGCAGGCAGATTACGAGATCAGGAGTTCGAGACCAGCCTGACCAATGTGGTGAAACCCTGTCTCTACTAAAAATACAAAAATTAGCCAGGCATGGTGGCGCATGCCTGTAGTCCCAGCTACTTGGGAGGCTGAGGCAGAAGAATCGCTTGAACCCAGGAGGCGGAGGTTGCAGTGAGCCGAGATCATGCCACTGTACTCCAGCCTGGGAGACAGAGCGAGACACCGTCTCAAAAAAGAAAAAAAAAGAAAAAGAAAAAGAAAAAAAAGAAGGCTTACGAAAATGGACACTTACCGGGGCCTTCAGGGATGGTGAGGAGAACTAGCAGGAAGCATCCTTGGGCCAGGCTGTGGGAAGGAGCGAAGGGCACAGGTAGGGATTAGGCAGTCTCTATGTAGCGCGGGACCTAAAAGGAAGGTAGACACATCACCTAGGAAAGCTCTAGTTTGGAGATGCCCCAAACTCTCACAAATGGGGTGTGAGGCATATGATTAACCCCTCCCCTGCTCCACCTCATTTTCCACCTTCAGCTGGGTCCTGAAGACCAGTACCTAGAAAAGCAGGAGATGCTATGGTGTTGAAGAAAGCACAGGACCAGTAGGCTGTGGCTTTAATGATGGATTGTATGTGAGCCTTGGCAAATCGCTTACCTTCTCTAAGTCTCAGTCACTTCATCGGGGCACACTCTGACATGCCTCAACCACTTCCTAGGATTGTAGTGAAGGTCAACTCATAATGATGATAATAGCTATTCTTTTTAGATCACTTCCTATGTGTCAGAGATTATGCTAAATGCTTTACCATATTTTATCAATACTAACAATATCTGTATGACATAGAACTATTATTAGCTCCATTTTACAAGATGAGTAAATTGAGGTTTAGGGAGGTAAAGTATCTTGCCCAAAGTTCAATGCTGTCAAGTGAGCTGATGGAGCTGACGGAGGTGGCATTTGGTCTGTGGAGCCAGCATTCTGGTTCCCTGATCTGTATATTTAGCTGTGTGGCTGACTTTACTGTCTAGGAGTGAAGCAACCACAGGTCCCCTCTGGGACCCCTGGCCTCGAAGCCACAGTGGCAGCACTTAGCAAGAAATAAGGAAAGATACCTCCCTCCCCCCTGGCTTCAGATATGTGCTCCTGAGGGGTTGGCTTTCCCTTCTTAACTGCAGGGGTTGGTGACTGTACTGGGTTGAATAGTGTCCACCCAAAATTCGTGTCTACCAGGAACCTGCGAATGTAATCTTACTTGGAACGAGGATCTTAGCAGCAGATGTAACCAATTAAGATCATTTGCACTCATACTGGATTAGGGTGGGCCCTAATCCAATGACTGGTATCCTTATAAGAAGAGAGGAATGTGGACAGAGATGTAGATGCAGAGGGAAGATAACCATGTGAAGACATGGGGTTATGCTTCCGCAAACCAAACAACACCAAGGATCCTGGGAACCACCAGAAGCTAGAAGAGGCAAGGAAGGATTCTTCCCTAGAGCCTTCAGAGAGCACATGGCCCTGCCAACACCATGGTTTCAGATTTCTAGCCTCCAGAACAGTGAGAGAATACATTTGTATTTTAAGCTACCCAGTTTGGTAGTAGGAAACTAACACAGTAACCTAGCACTGTGTGCACCACAGCTTGGTGGATAGAGCATGGATTGGAAACCACTTAGACGGACTGGGTGGGGTGTGCCTATTTGGGGGAGATGAGGGAGAGGAGAATAAGTTATTTACTCATCCAGCTACACTGACCAACTTGTAGACAATGCCTCCCCATGACTTTATGTGATTGTGTGTACACTGTGTCTGGCGAGTGTGTCTTCAGCTTTATTTTTTCCGGATATGACGATGGGAGTTCTTCAGGTTGGTGAAACTTAGAAGGTGAGAATTCCATTTAAGCAACTGTTCTCCCTATCTCTTGGCCATCCTTTCCACCCCTAGATCTCAGATGGTGAAGCTGTGCTTAGAGAGGTTCAAACCTTGCCCAAGTTTTCACAGCTAGTTAGTAGGAAGCAGAATTCAGATCCAGAATTCTCTGGCTGCAAAAATTCTGCCCTTTCCTTTATATCAAGTTCTTTCTCAAGCTAAAGAAACTGACCTCTTTTCAGAAAGATACGGAGTGATTTGTTTACTTTCTTAAGCATTTCTTCTAGATTTGAAAGTAACATTTATTTGAAAAATATTTAGAAATTATTGAAATGTTAAAAGTAAAAAAATTATGGCAATAACTACTGTTACTATTGGGTAAATATCCTTCCAGTCTTTTTTTCCTATAAACACATATTATCAGTACAATTTGAATAATACTGTAAACAGTGTTGCATTTTGCTTTTTTAATTTAACATTATCTTGTAAGCATTTTCTCATGTCAATAGTTTTTGTAAACAGGATTTTAAATTACTAAATAATGTTCCATCATATGGATGGGCCATAATTTAACATTTTCTATTATTGTCTACTTAGTTTCTACCTTTTTTACAATGATAAATATACAGTTAACATTTTTCATAAACATCTGTCCTCTTATTATTTCTTGAGGACAGGGGACAATACTGGGTAAATGGATATGAAGATTTTAAGGCATTTGATGCATAATGCCAATTGTTTACCAAAAGGGTTCTACCTACCAGCCCAATCAGAGTGCCTCACACGGCACCCTCACCCATACTGTCATCAATAAAGAGCTTTGCTATGTTCTGAAAAGGCGCGTGCCGCGATTCCATCACACAGGCTGCCGCGTCCAGAGGATGGCAGGGGGCGAGGCGAGGCAGGGAAACCAGTTAGGAGACCGCGGCGATGATCCCAGGGGACGCGCTGGGGGCTTGAGGCTAGGCGCAGGGATGGAGGAACTGGAACACGCACGGGATTCGTAGAATATTCGACGGGGGCGGGGGATCGACTCTGATAAGATAATTCTGCACTGCGTGGGGTGCAGGAGAGGGAGGAGACTGCACGTTCGGCTCCGGCCTCCTCCGCGCCGGGCTCGGCACCGATCCGCGAAGTTGGCCGAGGCGTGAGCCCCGCCCACCCCTTTAACAGGGACACTCCCCTTTAAGGCGGGCGCCCGCGCGCGCCCCGGCCCCGCCCTTCGGGGGCGCGCGCGGCGGCCGCGGCGCCGGCTCCGCCGGGAGCGCACGTGCAGGCGCCGGGCGGAGGAGAGGGAGGCGGGAGCCGGGCCGCGGGAGGAGGGGAGGCGCCGGGGGCGCGCGCGCGCGCGCTGGGCGCTGCTGGGCTGCGGCGGCGGCGGCGGCGGCGGTGGTTACTATGGCGGAGTCGGCCGGAGCCTCCTCCTTCTTCCCCCTTGTTGTCCTCCTGCTCGCCGGCAGCGGCGGGTCCGGGCCCCGGGGGGTCCAGGGTGAGTCCTGGGACGGGGGGCGGGGGCCGGGATGGAGAGGGCCCGGCAAGGGCGAGGCCTCGAGCCGCGGCCGCTGGACTACAGCGCGCCCCCTCCCCACGAGCACAATATGGCCGGGTGGGGGGCGCAGAGGAGTCGGGGTGACCCCCAGTCAGCTTCCCCGATCTCCGAGGCGCAGCCGCCCGGCGGCGACGGAGCTCACGCCGGGCCCCTGGGGACCCGAGCCCTGTTCCAGGCGGAACTGGATTCGGGCAGTTCTCAGGGGTCGCGCTCCCAGCGCCCTCGTGTTCCAGAGAGGGGAGTCTGAGCCTCCAGCTCCAAGATTTGGAGGTCCGTGGTTTCTGCCCTTCACCGTGTCCAGGGGCGGGGGGCTTTCTTCCCTCCCTCCAGGTGCTCCTGGGGGGCGTCTTTCTCCCGCCAAGACTGTGGGGTTCGGGCGGTGGGGTCTTAGCCTCTCCGAGGGAACCTGATGTTGAGAGTCCGCGCACCTCAGACTGTAGGGGAAGGGGTCTCTAACCTTTCCTTCAGGTCCTGCACTTGGCGTGTTTCTTCCCCTCCCTCCACTGCCTCCCTAATGTTCTGGGAAAGGGAGTCACATTTCCCCTTCACTCAATCCCTTGAGTTCAGTGGGGCAATCCCCCCTCCGCCCTCCGGCACTCATGCCCCGTGGAGGCTATTTGGAGGAAGTGGGACGAACAGGCCCCTAAACCTTTTTGGAGCCTGGCTTTGGAATCCCTAACCCTATGGAACCGAGTTCCCCAAGGGTTGATGTGAATCTAGGTGTATTTGCTTTCCTCCTCGCCTCCCCCACCCTACCCCGGGGGGCCCATTCAGTTAATCACTTTGTGGATGCCTTTCAGGTGAAATCCTGGAACCTGTCTCCAAACCCCCAAGATTATTTAAAGATCCCACCACTGGACTGTATTCCCGGCCCTTGGTCAGTACTTATTTACCTTCCTACACGATGCCTCTTCCCAGCCCGCCCACCCTCACACACCCCTTACCTCCCAATCCCCACAGTCTGCGGCTCGCCTTATACCACCCCCCCACTCTCCTCTCTGTAGAAGCGGGTACCTTTTTGCGGGACACTTCGCTGGCTGTGTTGTTTTTGAGGCTTTGGGGGCTGAGAAGAGCAGATGAAACCCTAAAATATTTCATTTAAGAGAGTCTTGGCGAATGTGTTTTGGCCTTGGGGTAGCAGATGAAGGTTATATTTGGCAGTTATATTGAAGCGATTATTGACCCACAGATGGATCTGGGAGAGATGATCAGGATTGTATTCGCTCCTGACGTACAAAGCCTGATGCTTTGACTTCTCAGCAGCCCCTAACCTTCCAGCAATGGGAGATAAAGTGTGTTCTGTGGCTCTCTTCTCTTACACTAAAAATAATGATTCTCAGGTGGGTTCAGTCGTCTTTAATAAACCAGACAGTCAAGAAAAGACACCATGCCACTTTGGAATCTCAAAAACAAGTTCATTATCTCCGGCTTTGATATTTGTTCCCAGTGGTGGAGCCTGTGCAGCGGGGTCTTTGTTCACGGGCTAATGCTTCTCCTAAGCACCTCGTGTGTGTTCTTCGGCCTCACTGCTCTGTGGCTTAGGTATCTGTGCTGTGGGGTTTGAGAAACATGGTGAAGGTGTATGAACAGAGCTTGACATTTGTGGTGAGATAATGATTTGCATGAATAAGGATGTTCGTCGGGCCTTATTAAGGGCCATGTTTTTGGAATGTGTAACATAATGTTCTCTACTGGGTAGTAAAAAAAAAAAAAAAGGGAGATTGAACCTCTAGGTTTGTCATTTTATGTGTGTATGTATAAATCTTTAAATCCTCATATAGGAATTTTTATCCTGCCCCTAATATATCCAGGATTTTTAACAGTCATTTCCCTGCTGATTTGATGTAGTGTTTGTGGGGTTTTTCTGGTTGTGAGCCTAGTTAAGAATGTTTGATAATCCAAGTGGTTCTGAATGGGGCAGAGTTCATTTTTTTGTAACCTTCCTAAAATGGATGTTTGTGGGGGTTAAGGTGGGTGAGTAAAATAGGGAGTTCGTTTCTTTTTTTGGTAAATTGGAAATTAGGTTGTGTGTCCAGCAAACATTCTCCAGGGCCTTTAAACTTCTTGGCCAGACACTACAGTTTTTTCCAGGACACGTCTAGTTGCCAATAGTGTATGCTATGGAGACCACTGCTGCAAAGGGCTTAAAGTAAAACGTCAGTTCTGGGAAAATAGAGGCTGTGGGATAACAAGAAGTTGATTTTTTTCCCCTCCCCTGCATTTCCTATATAGTGCTCCCCTACGTGGGCTGGAGGAGTGACAGAGCCAGACAGCTCTGATGCCTGATACTTGGACTTGATGTGAGGGGCAGTAAGGGATAGGTGTTTCTATTAATTAATGAATTAACTAGGACTTAGTAAAAGGCCAGTGATAAGGAGAATGAGTTTCAGTTAGAAATAGCATCCGTTTGATAGGTGTACATGTTTTAAGGCCTGGCTTTGGAATTTTCACATTTAAAAATGTAAAATTGAGTTAGTAGCAGGAGAACATGACATTCATTTCTCAAGACAAAAGCAACAAGAGAGATATTTGACATTCTCATAGGAACATTTTGAAATTTTGTGAGCGGACTAAAAATCTAATTTCAAGCCAAGCCTTGTAATTTTGTTGAGTGGACATGGATTTTAAGTACAGTGGAAGTGCAGTCTTGTAGAGACCTCTGATTAGTTTTGTTTAAACAGCTCCTGGAACAGATGTGATAAAACATATTAAAATGGCTACTCTGGTTAAAGGTTAAAGCCAGATGGAGGGAGGAGGCTGGTTTTCAGCCCTAGAACTTAGCTGCCTTACAAGTTGTCCTTGAACAAGTAACTTAACCTTTCTGTGACTGCCTCAGTTTTCCCTCTGTAAAAATAAGGAAATAT
Organism: Homo sapiens; assembly: GCF_000001405.40. Classification (NCBI taxonomy): domain Eukaryota; kingdom Metazoa; phylum Chordata; class Mammalia; order Primates; family Hominidae; genus Homo; species Homo sapiens. The sequence continues at coordinate 51,954,759 of NC_000012.12, forward strand.
TTTGTGTCACTCTTATTGGGACATTTGTGAGACTGACTTACTGATAGCCAGTTGGCGGGGAGGTATTTTTAGACACAGTTTCTGACTTCAGTGAATAAGCAATGCTGGGTTACTTTTTTATCTTAAGGAGCAGAAAAACATACTCTGTGATTGATAGACGTACAGCATGTCACAGTGTGGTTTTCTTTTTGTGCTTTTTTGTAGACCCCTTTCAGATTTCCTCAAGTTAATTTCTGTCTCTGGCAGGCTCTTACATCGTCGACTAGGCAGCATACCTGTGCTAATCAAAGACAGTCTGGAGGGAGTGACCTGCTTTAGGCTTTATTGGTTTGGCAACGTTTTAATTCTTACGCAACTCTGGGTATGTTTATGGCACTATGTAAATGTTACATAAGAACATGGAGGCTGAGAAGTGGCCAGAATGGTGACTGTGAACACAGGAAGGTTAGACTGAGGACTTTATCCAAAAGGACCTTGGGAATCTGCAATCAGTACAGGAAGAACCTGCACTTATTTTCCTCTAAGAACCTTTTTAGATGATTATGTCTTTCAGGTGGACTGCTGTGTTATAAATAGGTTTATTCTCCACCGGTGAGCTAATTGTAACCTTGCTACCAAAATATGAATCAGTAAACGATGAGACGTGCTGCTTCTTCCAGCATGTCCTGTTGAAGCTGCTTGTTGCATTTTGGAACATGAGTTGAATTGGGTTGCAGTCTGTTCTCATAATAGCTGAGGAGCACAGGGTGTTGAGGTGGAATGGAATTATCAGTTCGTGGTGCTTTAGGTCATCTTAATTTTTGAAGGTTAAATTAGAATACTGAAGTGGCTCTTTATAATTTTGAAATCTCTATTGTTTACTGTTCAATTTTTGCTCAGAGTAGCAGTGAACATTAATTCTGGGATCTCGCCTGTTTGTCTTCAGTTCTTGTGTTAGCTGTTGTTGTAGGAGTTGGTGTAAGAGGGTCTTAATCTCATTTTCCTCTCTGTATTCATAAAAAGGGAATCCTAGAGTCCTTTCTCACCAGTGCTTCTGATGCTGGACATAACTGCAGGCAGCCACAGCCCATCAGTTCCACTTGGACTGGGAATGCGGGAACCTTTTAAGTCCAACTTACATTTCTCTCACTCTGCAGGCACTGCCTCATGGCCAGGTTCAGATACCTGCTCTGAGTTTCTGTTCTCAGTTTTTCACTCTCATGCAGGTTTAACTTGAGCTTTGGCTTCAGAGGCACCATTTCTGTCCATGTCTGCTCTCTCTCCTCTGTTATGGAGAAATGGTGTGCTAAGCAAAAATATGATTTCAGAGAGTATCTTTCTTTCCTTTACTCTGTAGAGTTGCCATACTTTGGTTTAGCTGTGAAGTTTCCATCCCAGGCAATCTTTATCTGCTCTCTAGGGTTCAGAGACAGTGCCACTTTAGGCAACTCTGGGCTTTTTGGTTTTCTTTAGTGTCCACCCAGTCTTAAGCCTGCATTTGTCTCCCTAAATATTTTGAATTTAGCATAATGAAAGTAACTGCCTTTCCCTTTAAACCATAACATCACACCTAATATTTACACAGTTAACATATAGGAGATTTCTTTATTCATTGGATTGGGTATGTGCCTGGAACAGTTTTTGGCATGGGGAAATAACAGAGAACAAGATGAACAAAAGTCCCTAAATCTCTATTATGGAACTTATAATTGCAATGGCTTAGACTGAAAATAAATAAGTAAACACAATTATCAGTCCATGAGTGCTGTGAAGAAAATAAAACAGGATGCTGTGCCATAGTGTGCCTGGAGCTGCCACTTCACCTCTCTATCAGCTTCATTGTTTTATCTGTAAAATGGGGCTAATACAGTCTTGTTATTTGTGGTAGTTCCATAAAGTTGAATTGTAGAACTGAATTACCAAATCTTCAACCATTGCTCCTAGGGGAAATACAGGGCTAGGTTCCTGCGAGCCTCTGGTCACTTTTTCAACCTGTCAATACATAACCTTATTTTATGTGTTTCTTTTTTTTTCTTTTTTTGAGACAGGGTCTTGCTCTGTTGCCCAGGTTAGAGTCCAGTGACATGATCTCACTCACTGCAGTTTCTGCCTCCCAGGCTCAAGCAATCCTCCCACCTCAGCCTCCTGAGTAGCTGAGACCTCAGGTGTACACCACCACACCTGGCTAATTTTTGTATTTATTTACTTTTTGGTAGAGACAGGGTTTCGACATGTTGCCCAGGCTGGTCTTGAACTCCTGGGCTCAAGCAATCCACTCACCTGGGCTTCACCTGCTGAGATTACGGGTATGAGCCACTGAACCTGGCCTGTTTCATGTGTTTCTGTTTATTTTTATTTTTAATTTTTATTTTTTTGAGACAGTGTCCTGCTCTGTCACCCAGGCTGTATAGTACGAGAGTGTATCATAGGCCAGGCACAGTGGCTCACGCCTGTAATGCCAGCACTTTGGGAGGCCGAGGCAGGTGGATCATGAGGTCAGGAGTTCGAGACCAGCCTGACAAACATGCTGAAACCCCGTCTCTATTAAAAATACAAAAATTAGCCAGGTGTGGTGGTGTGCCTGTAATCCCAGCTACTCAGGAGGCTGAGGCAGGAGAATCACTTGAACCTGGGAGGCAGAGGTTGCAGTGAGCGGAGACTGCGCCACTGCACTCCAGCCTAGGCAACGGAGTGAGACTCCGTCAAAAAAAAAAAAAAAAAAAGCCAAAAACATCATAGCTCACTGCAGCCTGAAACTCCTGGGCTCAAGGAATCCTCCTTTGTCAGCCTCCCAAGTGGCTAGGATCACACGCACATGCCACCATACCCGGCTAATGTTTAAATTTTTTGTAGAGATGGGGTCTCACTTGTTGCCCAGGCTGGTCTCAAATTCCTGGGCTCAAATTATCCTCCTGCCTTGGCCTCCCAAAGGGCTGGGATTACAGGCCTGAGCTACCATGCCTGGCTTTGTTTCTGTTTAAAGACACCTTATTTAATATATATTGTTGGTTCATTAACATTGAACTTTACTGACAGCAGCACTATTAACTCATGCCTGAACTAAGCTTCTCTAACATGTATTTTCTCTGTGAGGCATATCACTATCTTCTTGCACTTAGGAACTCTAGACAGCACTTCAGCACTACTTGTGGGGGACCATTTTATACAGCAAAATCATCAATGAAAAGCATGACACTAAATATACTGCAGAAAGGATAACTTGTTTACAGTATGCCAGCTGAAACAAGAAGGCAGGGTGTTGCCTTGTTTGACCTCAGTTGGGAATGCATGTGGTGGGTGTTTCAGATGTTTCACTATTCTGTGCATGGCTGTCAGTGAGCAGGAAGGTACCATGAATGTTGATATTGGGGTTACAAATAAATTTGCATTAACCATATTTTGTTAGAACTGTATACAAAAGTGGTAGAAATAAAATTGTAGAATTTCACTAAACCAGAATTTTAATACATGTAGTTAGAAGTCCCATTTCCAGACTGCAAACTAAACATATGCATGTTGAGTACCTACCATGGTGATCTAGGGCAGTGGTCCCCAATCTTTTTGACATCAGGGACTGGTTTCGTGGAAGATAATTTTCCCACAGGGGAAGTAGGGGAGATATGATTTTGGGATGAAACTGTTCCACCTCAGATCATCAAGCACATCAGGCCGAGGTGGGTGGATCACCTGAGGTTGGGAGTTCAAGACCAGCCTGGCCAACATGGTGAAACCCCATCTCTACTGAAAATAAAAAATTAGCCGGGCATGGTAGTGGCAGCGCATGCCTGTAATCTCAGCTACTCAGGAGGCTGAGGCAGGAGAATAGCTTGAATCCGGGAGGCGGAGGTTGCAGTCAGCCGAGATCACGCCACTGCACTCCAGCCTGGGGAACAGAGTGAGACTCCTCAAAAAAAAAAAAAAAGAAAAGAAAGATCATCAGGCACATCAAGCATGTTAGATTCTCATAAGGTGCATGCAAGCTAGATGCCTCGCATGCGCGGTTCACCGTAGGTTTCCCACTCCTATGAGAATCTAATGCCGCCGCTGATGTGACAGGAGGCAGAGCTCAGGTACCCGCCTGCCACTTACCTCCTGCTGTGTGGCCTGGTTCCTAACAGGCCGTGGACCAGTACCGGTCTGTGGCCCCAGGGGTTGGGGACCCCTGATCCAAAGGGTCCCTTGACACATATTTATTGAGCACCTGTCATATACTAGGCATTGTTGCAGGTGTTAGGGATACAGTAGTAAACGAAAGGAGACAAAATTGCCTTCTCTCAGAAAGCTTACCTTCTGCCAGGTGAGGTGGACAATAAACAAAAGTATAAAATGTAAAGCAGTTGTGCCTACTACAGTCCACCTTCTGCTCCTCACTTCCCCAAGATTCCCCATGTTTGGTGTACACACACCTGCTTCAGGTATTCAGTCAAATGCTAGTCTTTGTAGATAGAATTAAGGTCTCAATCAGTTGACCTTTAGCCATCTAAAGGAGGTTATCATGGTGGGTCTGTCTTGATTGAACTAGCCCTTTCAAAGCAGAGAGATTTCTCAGCTGATTGCACAAGAGGAAATCAGATGTTCCAGCTGGCTTGGAAGCAAGCAGACGTCCATGTTGTGAACTGCCGATCCCAACAGCCACATGGCAAGGAACTGCAGGCAAACTCTAGGAGCTGAGAGTGGTTCCCAGCTGACAGCTAGGAGGAACATGGGGACCTCAGTCCTTCATCTGCAAGGCAGTGGATCTTGTCAACAACCAGTAAGCTTGGAGGAGGACCCAATCCTAGATGAGAAGGCAGCCCTAACTGGCACTGTCGGTGCTGTGCCTGGACTTCTGACCTGTAGGAACTGTGAAATAGTAACTAGGTGGTGGTTTAAAAAATGTATGCATTGGGTGGGGGTGAGTCAAATGGTGATGGTGAAAATAGGTAAAGCAAGAGAGGGGAATAATGAGAAATACCCCAAGATAGGCATGAGGGTACTTGAGACCTGGTGCCCAGCCATCCCATCACTCACATATAAAAATAAATCCTTTGACCACATGTGGCTTTCATCTGACTATAACTTTTTTCTAGATATTTGTGAGTGGAGGGGAGAGGGGATTGTGGATGCTTTGGAAATAAGTTTTTTAGGTGCTTGGGATGTTTGAGTTGAGGAATCTGGGAATTGAAGTATTTTCTGGGTTTTTTTTTTTTTTGTGGTAGAGGACTCACCTTGCCCCACATCCTTGTATATTGCTTTGGTATATGTTTGCATATTACCTTTTATACCTGTAGAAGATAAGATTGAATTGTAATCAGTCAGTGTTCATTTCTGATATCCAGGATGTGCCTAGCACCAAGCTGAATGCTGAGAGGGATCCTGAGGAAAGAGTCTGTCCTTGCCCTTTGGAAGTTTACACACAGAGACCGGCCACAGTGGCTCATGCCTGTAATCCCAACACTTTGGAGAATGAGGTACAGGGGATCGCTTCAGTCCAGGAGTTTGAGACTAGCCTGGGCAATATAGTGAGACCTCGTCTCTACAAAACATTTTTAAAAATTACAAGGGCTTGGTGGCGTGTGCCTGTGGTCCCAGCTACTTGGGAGGCTGAGGTGGGAGGATAGCTTGAGACCAGGAGATTGAGGCTACAGCAAACCATGATTGCACCACTGCACTCCACCCTGGGTGACAGAGTGAGATCCTGTCTCAAAAAAAAAAGTTTACACACAAATGGACTTTTTTTCTGCTTGTTGGAACTACCACAAACTATGAGGAGTTCAGGTGACAATTGTAATAAAAGCATCTGATTTGCTGAATGTTTACTATATACTAAAGTATTATGCTAAGCACCTGTGTTGTATCATTTACTCTATGTAGTTATTCTTTGAGGGGCTAGGGGCTCTTATTCCCATTTTACAGATGAGAAAACTAGGGCATAGAGAAGTTAAGCAGTGGGTCCAAAGTCTATCCAAGTCCAAAACATGTGCTCTAAATATTGTACTGTGCTATAAACTGTGAGTACTGTAAAAGTGACCTTCTAACCAGGCTCTCTGCCTTCAATCTCCCATTTGTTTTCCATCCTACGGCTAGATCTAACTTTGGAAATGCACCCTGTTTGTCTGACCTAGAGGTTGTGTGGCTTCTAGGATCAACTCTAGACCCCTTAGCTTAGCATTGCAATCAGTTTCATCTGGTCTTAGTCTCCCTGACTCTTCTTGCCTTTGGCTGGAACCTTGGCATTGTTCGAACTGTCAATTTACTCTGAACCCAGTGTAGCTAATATTTTTTCACAGCCCTTTGCTTTCCCTTTTCCTTTTCTCTGGAATGCTTCTCCCCACTTCTCTTCCTAGCCAAACCCAGCGTCCTCCAGTGTGGACCTTCGTCCTCTTGTGTTCTCCCGGTCAGTGATTCCATCCTCTCTGCTTTTCCCCTCAGCCTGTATTGGTAGTTGGAGTTGCACTGTTTATAGTTGTCTTCTCCCACTCTCCATGCCCAAAGAATTGGTGCGGGGAGCTGGCTTATTTGTTATATGGCTTCGGCCTGCACAGAGCCTTGCATGTTTCAAGTACTTAATAAGTTTGTTTAATTGAATTAATTCATTTCTTTTCCATCCTCTCAGTAAAATCCTAGGTAAATAATTCCAATTCTGTTTTGCTCTAATGTTATTATAATCTTGTATATATAGTATTTTAAACCTACTCAAAAAATGCCGCAAACATTTGTGAGTTACTTGGAACATCATAATCTCTCTTTCTACCTCACCTCTTTCATCTCTGTTTATCCTACCACCTACCCATTTTATTCCAGCCAAATGAACTTGATCTCTCAACCTCATTAGTTTTATTCTCAGTTTGGCTGATTTCTTTTTTCCTTTTCCATTGTCCCAGTTGCCTGAAACAATCATTCCTATCCCTCTTCTCACTCAAAACTGTGACATACACGGTCTCCTCTCCATTCGTCCATACTATAATAAATAGGTCAGGAAGAAAATACCAGGGATAAATATCCTTCCCTGCTCTATTGAGCCAGAAGTATGTTTATTCAGACTCAACAAAGAAAACAGTGGTTTTACATGTTCATCATAAACTGATATCAAAGGAGAAATGCAATTTCCTGATTGTCTAAATATGACAGCTGAGTCTGCACACATAGGTCCCAGGAACATTGGACACACTCCCTCATAATGAGGCCCACTCATTTCAGTCTTACCTTGACATTCTCTTGGGCAGCAGGTGGGCCCTTGCTAGATGTTCAGGTATTTACAGTCAGCCATAAATTAAGTTGCAATGACAGGTCTCCTTAGCATAAACATCAAACGTCTCTTCTGAGTGAGAACAAAGCTTTCATTCTCTAACTGAGACTTAAGGTTGAACTTGTTTAAACAGCTCTCTAGGGCTGGGTTTGTCTCCAAGTAGAATGTCAGAAAGGCAGTTTGTAGAATGGATATAGTGTGGAGCTGGCTTTCCAAACACCTTTCTCTTATGCAAACCCCATTCCAAGACCTTTTCCCAGATTGGAATTAAATACCAAGCTTATCAAGTGTCTTATTGTTAAATCTGTGTTTCTCCCCACCCCCCACCATACAAATAGCTTCCTTTATTAAGTCAGTTATATTTTTTTTCATAAGTACTTTTTACCAGTACATTTGTTGTTGTTGTTGTTGTTTTTCTGTATACCACCATTGGCACCTGTAAAATTTGACTTTATTATGGCTTGTGGGTACTTGAAAGCTTTTTGTTTTAATGTATTTTTAAAATCTAATTTTGATGATTGTAAAAGGTGAAAATGTAACTTGGGTCTTTTTTTCTTTTAACCAAATAGCATGTGATTGCTTTACTGCTGCAAGATTTTTCTATTTAGGCTAGTTAGAACTTTGCTAGTACAGTATCAGTTCCTAGTTATTGCCTTCCTGCCCCCCAAGAAAGCCACACATTGCCTCTATTTTGTGAACAGTTTAGTGCCAGACATTTTTTAACCTGATTCAGATTTTCATAAACATTTTGGCAGTTGTCTAGATCAGTAGCTATTAACAATTGTCTTTCTTTTTAAGACAGTGGAACTCTTAAAAATGAAAATGTAGAAATGTATATAAAGTGAGTAAAAGCTGAGCAACTCTGGCAGAGGCCCCTCTGCCCCTGAAATTATTAGGCTGAGATCTGTTGAGTGAGGTTTATTGAGCACAGTGCTATTTGCCAGGTGCTGTACTAGATACCAGTGAGAAACTGTTGAAAAGGACACTGGTTTCCTCTTTGTGAGTTCAGAGATTCCCGGACACGGTGGAGAGTCTAGAGATTCAGGAAGAAGATAGTTTGAAAAACACTGTAGTTTTTTTTTGTTTTTGTTATTGAGATCATATTGTATATGTTGTTTGGCAAATAGGGATTTATGGTAGTAATTTTAAATTGTAGCAAAATACGTATAACATAAAATGTACTATTTTAATTGTACAATTTAGTAGTGTTTAAGTACCTTCATAATGTGCAAACCATCACCACTATTTTTTAATTTTAATTTTATTTATTTATTTTTTATGTATTTATTTTTTTTTTGAGACAAAGTCTTGCTCCGTCACCCAGGCTGGAGTGCCATAGCATGATCTCGGCTCATTGCAACCTCTGCCTCCCAGGTTCAAGCGATTCTCCTGTCTCAACCTTCTGAGTAGCTGGGATTACAGGCATGCGCCACCGCGCCCAGTTAATGTTTTGTATTTTTAGTAGAGACGGGGTTTCACCGTGTTGGCCAGGCTGGTTTCGACTGTAAGTGATCCACCCACCTCGGCCTCCCAAAGTGCTGGGATTATAGGCATGAGCCACCACGCCTGGCCGACATTTCATATACATAGAATCTTAATGTGTGGCTTCTTTCATGTAATATAATGTTTTTGAGTTTCATCTATATTATAGCACGTATCAATAGTTTCTTTTCAGGGCTGAATAATATTCCATCATAAATATACCACATTTTGTTCATTCATCATTTGATGGACATTTGGGTGGTTTCCACCTTTTGGCTATTGTGAATAGTACTGTTGAGAATATTCATGTACAAGTCTGTGTTTAAACATTTGTTTCAGTTATTTTGTGTATATGCCTTGGAGTAGAACTGCTGGGTTATAGGGTAATTCTAGATTTAACTTATTAAGGAACCATCAAGCTTTTTTCCACAGCAGTTGTACCCTTTTATGTCCCAGCAATGCACCAAGGGTTCCAGTTTCTCTAAATCTTCACCAACACTTATTAAATTTCTTTTTCATATTGTTATGGCCTTCCTAGTGGATATAAAGTAGTATCTCATTATGGTTTTGATTTGCATTTGAATTTGCAATACATTAGAGATGATGTTGAACATCTTTTCATGTGTTTGCAGGCCATTTGTATATCTTCGGAGAAATGTCTGTTCAGGTCTTTTTCCAGTTTTGTTGGTTTTTTAAAAATTATGTTTTTTAGAGAAGGGTTCTTGCTCTGTCACCCAGGCTGGAGTGCAGTGGTGTATTCTTAGCTCATCGCAGCCTTGAACTCCTGGGCTTAAGAGATCTTCTTGCCTCAGACTCCTGAATAGTTGGGACCGCAGGCATGCACCACCTTGCGTGGCTCCTGTTCAGTTTTTAATTGGGTTGTTGTTGAGTTTGAAAAGTTTTTTATATATTCTGGATTCTAGACCATTTTCAGATGTATGATTTGCGTATATTTTCTCCTGTTCATTGTCTTTTCATTCTTTTGATATTGCCCTTTGATACACAAAGGTTTTTAATTTTGATGAAGTCCAGTTTATCCATTTTACTTTTGTTGCTTGTGCTTTGGTGTCATATCTGACAGACCATTGCCAAATCCAAGTTCATGAAGTTTTACCCCTCTTCTGAGAGTTTTAGAAGTTTAAGTTTTAGTTGATATATTTAGGTCTTTGATCTATTTTGAGTTAATTTTTGCACATGGTGTTAGGTAAGGGTCTGACTTCATTCTTTCGCATGTGGTTATCCATTTGTTCATCACCATATTTTGAAGAGACTTTTCCTCCCCCCTGTATGTTCTAAGCACTCTTGTTGAAAATCAGTTAATCATAGATGTATGGGTTTATTTCTGGATTCTCAATTCGGTTCTGTTGGTTTGTATGTCTATACTTAGCACCATTCTGTTTGATAACTGTAGCTTTGTTGTAAGCTTAAATCAAGAAGTATGAGTCCTCCAACTTTATTTTTTTTTTCTCCCAAGATTGTTTGGACTATTCAGGGTCACTTGCAATTCCATATGAATTTTGGGATCGGCTTTTTCATTTCTGGAAAAAAACAAAAAAAAGGCCACTGAGATTCTGATAGGGATTGTATTGACTCTCATCTGATGTATATAATTTACATATATGATCATATGTTTACTCTATGTGTAATTTATGTTGGTGGACAAGTTCGGTTCTCAGTTTTTCAGTATCAATTTGCAAAAAGAATTCCTTTTGAAAAATAGTATGCCTAAGAAACCCTGGAGGAATATACATCAAACATGTAGTAGTAATTATCTCTGGGGCAGGAATTAGAGGGGCTCTCAACCTCTACATTATATATTTCTGTGGTGATTGAAGTTCTTTTTAAACGAGGAAACATGGATTAATTTGGTAAGCAGGGGAAAAAAAGCTAGTAAAGATAAAGTATATTTAAAAAAACCCTGATATATGATACTCATAATAGCACAACTAACATTTATAGTTTTGGACCCCCCCACCAAGTAGAATTCCTCAAAATGAAATATTAGAATTGAAATGCTTAGTAGCAAGTAAGAACTTTGATGTATTTGATTCAATGTCAGCAGCTGGGTGGGAGGACAACCAGTAGGTTGGAGATATTAGAGTACAGACCTGTGGGGAGGATGCGGCTGCATCAAAGCACAATGGGAGGTAGAAGCTTTACTAGATAAAGACAGTACCATGTGAGATCGTTCAGCGAGGTCCTTTCCTTATATGGATGGTATAGTTGGGCTAGGATAGGTATGATGCAGACCATCTGACTGGGATAATGAGCTTGGAGAAGCCACAGAATTAGGCCGGACGTCAGTGATTAGAGACTGATTATCCAAACACGAACAAGAGAGGAATGTAGCAGTTTTGGTTAAGAACCCATCCTTAGGATACGCAGTCTTAGAACTACTTAAGGAAATACACTGAATTTGATCTTGCATGTTGGATGAAATCGATTACAGACTAAATTTCAAGTAGTCTGGAAGAGGGAATACTTAGTCTTTTCTAGACTAAAGATGTGTGTGTGCCAGAATCTGTGTAGCTAATGGTGTTGGGTTGAGGAGGGGAGTGTGGAGATAGAGGGAATACCTACACAGGACCTGGAAAAGTAGAAGAGGAAAATACTACTAAAAAAAAAAGAAAGAAAGAAAAAAGAATTAACATCACAAAAAGAGACAACTGGAAGTTCTGTGCCTTGTGAGGGATGGTAGGGATGGTATTCATCACTTGTTAGTATTCTAGCCAGAAATTTGAGCCTGAATCACATCAAACCTCTAACTCTAGCTAATAGCTTATAGAAAATACAGAGGAGAGAGGAACATGTTAAATGACACCTTGGAGAGTCAACCCAAAAAATCCAGAATGTGGGAAGCTGCAGGACAAATGGCCTAGATTCTTCAACAGATAACTTGCAAGGAAAAATAACAGTGCAAGCGGGAACCTATAGATTGAAAAAGGTTTTAGGAGATCTCTTAGCTGAGTGCAATGGAAGAACCTCATTTAGATCTGGATTTTCATTTTATTTTATTTTTGAGGCAGAGTCTAGCTCTGTCACCCAGGCTGGAGTGCAGTGATGGAGTCACAGCTCACTTCAGCTTCAGTCTCCTGGGCTCAAGCAATCCTTCCACCTCAGCCTCCTGAAGAGCTGGGACGACAGGCATGTGCCACCACACCTAGCTGATATGTTTACTTTTTGTAGAGACAGGGTCTCACTGTGTTGCCCAGGCTGATCTCAAACTCCTGAGCTCAAGAGATCCTCCCACCTCAGCCTCCCAAAGTGCTGGGATTACAGGTGTGAGCCACCGTGCCCTTCTTGGATCTGGGTTTGAGCCAGTTGTTAATTTTTTCAAGGTAATAAAGGATTTTTGAACACTGACTGGATATTTGATTATATTAAGGCTATTATTGTCAGTTATTTTAGGTATGATAATGATATTGTGGGAAACTGCAATTTAAAATATAACTTGCGGAAGATTGCAATATCAATGACAAAAAATTAAAGGCACTTAAAAACATTAAAGGTAGGCCGGGCGCAGTGGCTCATGCCTGTAATCCCAGCACTTTGGGAGGCCGAGACGGGTGGATCACAAGGTCAGGAGATCGAGACCATCCTGGCTAACATGGTGAAACCCCGTCTCTACTACAAATACAAAAAATTAGCCGGACGTGGTGGCAGGCGCCTGTAGTCCCAGCTACTCGGAAGGCTGAGGCAGGAGAATGGCATGAACCCAGGAGGCAGAGTTTGCAGTGAGCAGAGATTGTGCCACTGCACTCCAGCCTGGGCGACAGCGCGAGACTCCGTCTCAAAAAAAAACCAAACAAACAAACAAATAAAAACATTAAAGGTGGTGCGGTGGCTCACACCTGTAATCCCAGCACTTTGGGAGGCCGAGGCTGGTGGGTCACCTGAGGTCAGGAGTTCGAGACCAGCCTGGCCAACGTGGTGAAACCCCGTCTCTACTAAAAATACAAAAATTAGTTGGGTGTGGTGGCGGGCGCCTGTAATCCCAGCTGCTCAGGAGGCTGAGGCAGGAGAATCGCTTGAACCCAGGAGGCAATGGTTGCAGTGAGCCGAAATCGTGCCATTGTACTCCAGCCTGGGTGACAAGAGCAAGACTCCGTCTTAAAAACAAAAACAAACAAACAAAAATATTAAAGGTTGGGGGAAACCTGCTAGAGAATCGGTGGCTGGTACTAGTGGGAATGTCTGGCATTTAATTGTACACTTAGCTGTATAGGCACTTGGCTAAGAGCTTTATATACTGATTATCTTATTCTTCAGAGCCACCCTATGAAGTTGATTCTCTTAGTTTTCTGCATTTTCTAATTGGGCAGCCCGAGTCCTGTGAGCCCAAGAAACTTGCCTAGTGTTGCTAAGCTAACAAGTGATGGAACCAGGATTTAAGCTTAGGCTGTCTGACCTCAGAGCCCAGGCTGTTAATCACTATGTAATTATATCTCCCTAAAGGTGCTCTCAGTGATAGAGGAGGTAGCAGAGAAACTAAAAGAATTATTTCTGGCTGGGCGCGGTGGCTCATGCCTGTAAGCCCAGCACTTTGGGAGGCTGAGGCGGGTGGATCACCTGAGGTCAGGAGTTCGAGACCAGCCTGGCCAACATGGCGAAACCCGGTCTCTACTGAAAATACAAAAAACTAGCCAGACGTGGTAGCAGGTGCCTGTAATCCCAGCAACTTGGGAGGCTGAGGCAGAATTGCTTGAACCTAGGAGGCAAAGGTTGCAGTGAGCTGAGATTGCACCATGGCATTCCAGCCTGGGCAACAAGAGCAAAACTGCATCTCAAAAAAAAAGAATTATTTCTTCACTCGTATTGAGAAGCGTGCTATGGAAACATACAAGTCCAAATTATTTCGAAGTGAACAAGTTGTAGATGTTAGATACCTCTTGAGGTAAAGGTTTAAAACCAATCTTATATTAATAGTTGGCTTGTAATAAATGTTATTTTATTCTAAATTTAAGTAGTGATAAATATATGGGACGTTTTAGACCTAAAGAAGTGGGTCTTTGTGGCAAATTGTATTTCCTAAATGACTGCAACTATATTTCCCATCCCACATGTTTTTCTTACAATGTGACTTTGACACTCTTTCCAATAGGCAGGGTCTACCCATGTCCCTTCCTTGAATTTGGGTGGAGGCTTGACAGCTTTGATCTATGGTATATGGTGGATGTGATGCTTTCTGGTATCTAAGGCTAGGCTGCTAGAAGGATACAGTTTCTGCCAGGTTCGTTTCCTTTTGGGTTCTTGCTCTGGAGAAGGGCAGCTGTCATGCTATGAGGAGCCTAAGCTAACCTAAGCTAACCCACACAAAGGGACTACAGGTTGAACATCCCTAATCCAAAATGCTGCAAAATCCAAAATTTTTTTAGCACCAACGTGCTCAAAGGAAATGCTCATTGGAGCATCTTGATTTCAGATTTTCAGATTAGGGTTGCCCAGTCAGATATATATGAAAATATTCTAAAATCCCCCAAAATCAGAAATCTGCAATGCTTTCTGGTCCGAACATTTTGGATAAAGAATGCTTATCCTGTAGTTGGAGAGGACCGCATCAAGAAGAACGAAGGTCCCCAGCCAACAGCCAGCATCATGCGCCAAATGTAAGCGTGAGTAAGCCTTCAGATGATTCCAGCCCCAGCCTTGGAGTCTTCCACCTGAAGCCCCAGATGTTGTGGAGTAGAGATAAGCTGTCCCTGCTGCCCTGCCCAAGTTCCTGGCTCATAGAATCCATGCATAGATTAAATGGTTGTTCTATGCCACAAGTTTTTGGAGTAATTTGTTATATGGCCATAGTAACTGGGACAATGTTATTTTTCTTCCCATCTCAAAGGACTTTAATGTTGTCGTCGTAAATGGCCATTTTTGAGCAGATGTTTAGTGTGGACCTACTAGAATTCAGCCCTGGAGATGCAAAGGTGAATGGAACACAGTCTATTTCTTTAAATGGCACCACAGCCAGAAGACTGTTAAATTGACCTGTTACTCCTATATGTGTAAAGAGATTTCCAGAAAGACCCTGGTTGCTATGCTGATGAGACCTATAATAAAAGTGGGCTACTGAATCTAAGAAAACATTATACTACCCACTCGAGAGAAGGTGGCAGTATGGTTTCTCTAAAGCCCAGGCAGGCTAATTGGAATTTTTTATAGAGGTAAGTATGCATGTGAATAAAGAGAAAGACTTGATCTGGACTTTGAAAGACCCTAATAAAGTCTGTACAGGTAGTTATTTTAAAGTCACAAAGGGATTAAAGGAATTTACACTGTGTATAAAGAACTATCTTAGCCAGCGTGGTGGGGTATACTTGTAGTCCTAACTACTGAGGAGGCTGAGGCAGAAGGGATCGTGTGTGGCCATGAATTTGAGGCTGCAGTGAGCTATGACTGCACCTGTAAATAGCCACTGCACTCCAGCCTGGGCAACATAGCAAGACCCTGTCTCTAAGAAAATTTTTTAAAAAGTCTTAAAAAATAAAGTAGGGATAAAGCACCACTTCCATAATATTGGTAGAGTCACCAATATGAAGTAAGGAATTCATGGTGAAACCTTGAGGTTTCCAGTGGCATTGTTATCCCAGGCTGTAACACACTAAATCCCTGGAGATGAACTGCAGGAAGACATGGTGTGGCTCTTTGGTCAGAAAACCAATAGCGCATTTGATACGGGGAGGGTAAGAATGTGTTGAGAGTGATGTGAATGATATTTGCAGGGTGCTGAATCTGATCACATGAAGGTGTTCCTAGTGTGGCCGTGGCCCTGCTGGCTCTGTGTGCCAAGTGTTGTCAGAAAGAGCGTGGTAGAATGCTGTGTGGTGTTGTGGGGAAAAGATCGAACTTAGACCCTGGAGACCTGAGTTGGAGATGTGCTCCATCGTTTTACTGGTTTACCGCTTGTGAGCCCCTTAACTTCTCCGAGGCTTTACTATCCATAAAGTGAGACAGCTATACCTGCCTCAGCTCGTGAGTTCCTGTGGGGATCACAGGAGAGGATGAAAGTGAAAACTCTTGATACAATAACACAGCGTAGCTCTGCACGGTGTTTTCTTATGGGAAACAAACTGAAAACATCCTACCTGAATATAAAACTGATGTCTCTGATCCTGCAATCACAGTTGTGTAGAGTTATGGTCTTTGTTCTATCCGTACTGGAGAGGGTTGGGATAAGGGCCAGGGAAGAATAATTAAAATAATCATGGTTGTATTAGGCTATTCTTATCACTTGGGGCTGTTTGGTGAATTTCTCATCTGGAAAGAGTGCTGAGAAGCAGTTTATGATCAAGTCATAAAATCACGAAGAGTAAGGGCAGAACTAGAAGGTTGCCCGGTGAAATTTGAAAATCTCTAGCGTACCTAAACAGGACAGTGCTCCACAATCAGTACTAAATTTATGAAATTTATTATTCCCAAGTAGTAATTAAGTTAAAATTCATAATTACTATAGCTTCAAAAAAGTTTTAGGTGCGCTCCTGGACCTTCATCTGTTAGGACAAACTTAGACGTTGTGTGCTGTGCCTCTTCCCTTTCACAGGGGGCGCCATCATGCTGCACACTCCCACACCCCTCCTGGTGAGGGTCTGAGGCGGGATGTTAGGCTAAATGGCCATGAATCTGACTGTGTGTGGCGGTTTTTGAGAATTCTTAGCTGGGCCATGGTGTCACTGAGTGGCCTGTCTTTTCTGAGTTCCAGCTGTGTTAGGCGCCTCTATAACACGGAGCTAGACAGTCTGCCCAGGTTGGAACTTGTCAGCCTTACTCAAAACACAGCCTGTCTCATGAATCAAATTTGCATTTACATCCTACCACAAACCACCTTCCAATCATACTTTGGAACCGTGTTCAAACCCTGCCAAGGTGGTTTTGTCTTTAGTTTAAATTTGACTAACTTGTTAATGACAAAAGTCTATGCAAGTAGGGCTTTTGTTCTGACCACTTCCTAACTTGTTTATGTGTAGAGTGATTTTGTTACTCCTGTGATTTGGTTTTCCGAGTTGTGTTATTTCTACTACGTAATTCTTCCGCCTTGGAATAAGGAGAGTTTTAGGTATGTTTATATACACGGTGTGTAAAATTTTTAACCTGATGAGTCACTATGAAACAGATTCTAAGGGGCTGTTATCATTAGTCCAGATTTATTTTTTCAGAGAGAATTGAATTTAGTGTGCGTGATTTAATGAACTAAGATTTACAGTAAATTTAGATGTTTTTATAATTTATCACTTTTGTTTCAGTGGAAAATGAATGTTAACAGAAGGCTAGCCAAAATGTCTGTCTTTAAAAGATGTTTAGGAAAAGGCATATAAAACAGAGCAGAATTGTCCAGTGTTGGGTCAGTGATCAAACAGTGTGAACTTAAAAACAAAACTAGATTCAAACATAGCTGGAAAGGATTTTAGAGGTCATATAGTTCAATCCCTTCTTTCTGGTTAATCATGAGAAAAATGAGGTTCAAAGAGGTTAAATGACTTGCCCAAAGCCATGCAACTAGTTCCTGATAGAGCTGAAACTTGAACAGCAGTTTCTTACTGAAACTTGCCACTTCCTAATTAGTGGTTAAGGAGACACATTTTTACTTGGGTGGTGGCTTTTTGTTTTGTTTTTAGGTTTTACATTGAGGGGGGGATTAATATTTATTGAATATCTACTAGTTGTTAAGTACTTTAAAAAATATATTAGCTGGGCGTGGTGGCACATGCTTGTAGTTCCAGCTACTCAGGAAGCTGAGGCTGGAGGATCCCTTGAGCCCAGGAATTCGAGTCCAGCTTGGGCAACATAACAAAACCCTGTCTCTAAAAAATAGATATATATTTCTTCATGTAATTCTTACATAGCCCTGTGAAATACAGTCACGTGCCGTATAACAGCATTTTGGTCAGTGAGGGACCACACTGTTACATGATGGTAGTCCCATAAGATTATAATGCTGTATTTTTACTTCACCTTTTCTATGTTAGATACAGATGATTCTTGTGTTACAGTTGCCTACAGTATTCAGTACAGTTACATACTGTACAGGTTTCTAGCCTAGGAGCAAGAGGCTACACCACTTAGACTATGCCATCTAAGTTTGTGTAAGTACACGCTGTGAGGTTCACACAGCAACAAAATTGCCTAACGCTGCACATTAACAGCCCCACTTTACAGATTAGGAAACGGGTGCGAGAAGGTTAATACCTTGCTCAAGGTCATGTGGTTAATATTAAAGCTGGCATTTGAGCCTTTCTGACCTGTCCTGCTATGATCCCCACTGTGGCTACTAGTGATGGTAATTCTGACCTTTTCAGGGGTATGGGCAGCGGTGGTAGTTATCTTTAAAATATATCTTTTTCAGACTTCTCACTCTGTAAAATATGTAATTAGACATAGATATGTGTAGAGTGGCCTTTCTCAGAGGACCCGCAGCTCTTAGCAGTTGCTTGGCTAATCTTCATACCATCTCTGTAAGATAAACGGTGTTTTCTGGTTGGGTAGTTGAGGCCCAGATAGGCTCAGGGACTCACCCAGCGCCTTATCACAAACCCACACGGCCCAGCCCCCAGTTCCGTTCTTCGTCCTGTCTAGCATAGATTTCACCACTTTTGTTCTTTCCTGTCTTACACCAAGATTGTTTAAGTACTTCCCAAAAATAATGAGCCACGTGTGGGTGTGTTCGTTCTCCAGAATGAATCACTGTGAAAGAGGTTGTGAACTAACGAAATAAGCATAAGTATCTGGAAGCAGAGGCTCCTGACTATTCAGTCCCTCTAATTGGTGGGCTCTGGAGTGAGCGCTTTTCTGAAAGGCAACTGTGGGTTTGGGCTTGTGTCTCACTGTGCTCAGAATAGTCCTCTCTTGAAGTTGTTACTTTTCCCTTCTTGCTTCCCAAAATAGAACCAATGTTGTTCTCTTTGCTGGACATCACAACACAAATATTGAGAGGTATGCTTTCCATAGAGAACCCCTTTTAAAGTGCCTGAATGTCCCCACTGCCACAAAGGGGAATGGGAGTTAGCTTTCTTAAGATTCCAGTGTGAGTAAAAGAGCTTTGGATCAAGTATTCTGTGAGTTTCAGAAGTAAATGTAAAAGCAGAAAGAATAAGAGAGGGAGCAAACAAAGGTATTTGGAAGGGAAAATGAAGCGATTCCTTAGTCTTTTTTGTGTCTAAATGGGTTAGAATAAAAATTCAGGAGAAATTTACTTTTAAAAATCCCTTTTATGATTTGGATCCTAGTCTAATAGGCACCTACTTTAAATGTTCTGCCTTTAAGAAATAACACTACCCAAACTCTGAAGCAAGAGGCTGCATGTTTTGGAATTTCTCCCAGAAGAAAGGGATCTGATGAAACGTGAAAAAATACAACAGGCCATAAGTGAAGATCTGCACTGTCTACACTGTCTATCCACCTGCCAGGGCTGCCTCCTTGGTTTCCTCGGGTGGGACTAGCAAGGAATCGGCTCATTTATAGAAAGCCTAAGGAAGGAGGGGTTGGGCACTGAGATATTTAGAATCTGTCTTTGGATTTGAAAAGCCAAGAGATGCCTTTCAGAATATTGGAGGAAGAGACGAAGATAGACTGTGTACAGCCTAAATTGGTGAGTTATGACAGGGTGGCTTTTCATGGGACTGCCCATAAGTGTCTCATCTCCAGGGTCCATAGTGTGAATGCATTCCCACTTGTTATCCAGATAGTATTTACTTAGTGTGTGATCTGGGACTCAGTTGGGCCCCCACCACCTCCACCCGCCAATGTGTGAGTGCTTCCTTCAGCACTTCCGAGCCCCAGCCTCAGTGTTCTAGTGGGCAAAGCAACACTCCTGCCCATGCCAAGAGGTCAGAGCTAGGTTAGTCTCATGGGAGACAGTGTTGGGGAGAACCAACTGCTGCTGTCTGTGCTATTCTTGTTAGTTGAATAAATAAAGGATTTCAGATTCCAGGGCTGCTGAAGAGGCTTTCAGAGGCGCCAAATTCATTTGCAGTAATTTCCTGTCAAATGGGACACACTTATGTATGATAGTTACCCAGCAAAACTCATTAATCCCAGAGGTGATTGTGTACACTGCCTGTTTGAAAAAAATTCGTGTGTGTGTGTGTGCGCGCGCACACTCATGCGTGAATGCATGTGCATGCTATCCAGGGGCCTTTCAGGATGGGTTAAATGTATTGTGCACTTTTAATGCATTATCTCACTTAATTCTCACAATAACTTCATGAGGGAGGCTCTCAAGTTCTCTTTGGAGGATATCATTTTTGCCCCTCGTGAATGAGAGGGGCACCTGACTTGGACTTCTAAAGGCAGGAGGACAATAATGGAGTGGTCAGGGAAAGCTTTTCAAAAGAAGTGACATTTGAGTTGAATTTTGAAGGATATGTAAGAAGTAGGCAGGAAAAAAGCATTGCAGCAAAAGAATGTGTGAGAGCATGCATGCTGCAGGAAGCCGTGGGTGTGCTTGGTTCCTGCTGGGGGAGATAGGGCTGGTGATAGCTCCAGGAACCCTAGGTGGCTCTGCATGAAGTGGGGGGCAGCCCCACATTCTCCAAAAGGAAGATGCTTTCCTCTTGTCAGGCATCTCAATTTGAAGAAAAGGTAGTTCCTCTGTCTCTCACAGGCATAAAGTAGAGCACTTAGAGGATAATAGTGGAGCTTCAAAAGCCTTGTTTGTGAGCTAAATAAACAGGTGAAGTTGTGCTCAGTTAAGGATATCTTTTTGGCCCCATCTCTATAAAAACTGTTTTGGAACATCAAGTATGCTAAGGGATTATATTCTAAGTTTGGAAAAGGACCTGCAAAAGATCTCACCATTGATGTCAATGTCTGCTCCCCAATTTCCTGCAGCTCTGCTGTGTGCGTGCACCAGCTGCCTCCAGGCCAACTACACGTGTGAGACAGATGGGGCCTGCATGGTTTCCATTTTCAATCTGGATGGGATGGAGCACCATGTGCGCACCTGCATCCCCAAAGTGGAGCTGGTCCCTGCCGGGAAGCCCTTCTACTGCCTGAGCTCGGAGGACCTGCGCAACACCCACTGCTGCTACACTGACTACTGCAACAGGATCGACTTGAGGGTGCCCAGTGGTGAGTGCATGCCCTTGTTGGGCTAGTGGCTCAGCTTGGAGATAGGGTACCCCGTCATTTCATTTTTTTCTACTCTTGCCCACTCACTTGGTTTGACGATAAAGATGCCTTTTGGATGTTCCCGAAGGTGACAAAGGCTGGGGTTTCTCAGCAGTTGCTTTTGTAGATTAGAGGGTGAGGAAGCAGATTTTCAAGTTAGTCCCAGAGGTGCCCGCAGTGTTTAGAGTAGTGGCTTAGCAGCCATAGGCAGCGGTGAGGAGTGGAAGAACCAGGCAGGGATTCCCACGGGAGGATGTGGGACTGATCCAGAAAGAGATGGCCCCAGAGCCGAGCAAAGGTGACTCCTCAAGGGAGGATGATGGTTAGATGTGAGGAGGGACCAGAATAGGAAAAGGCCAGTGACCAAAGCCGAGAAACACCACATACCATCCTTTTGCAAGCCTACCATTCAGGAGGCATTACTGTGGAGCCCACAGGAAAAGGAGAGAAACTAAAGCAGAGCTTAGAGGAGCTGTGGGAAGTTAAAGGGCAGAAACAGGCATCTGTGTAGGGGCCTGAGGCGGGGATAGTACCACGAAATGCGTGAGGTGACAAAGTGGGTTGTGGGTTTGACTGTGGAAAGAGGTGCCTTAACTAAAGAAGTTGGGCATTTGAGAGCATCTAGGCAGCAAGACTAGCCCAGAAGATTAGAGAGATCAAGGGAGCCTGAACACATCGACAGGGAAAGGGGTCTTTTTCACTCTTCACTTTGAGGGGGGTGTTTTTACTCTTTCCCTTGTTTTTACTTCTCATTCTTTCCCTCTCCTCTCTCACTTGACTCAGGTCACCTCAAGGAGCCTGAGCACCCGTCCATGTGGGGCCCGGTGGAGCTGGTAGGCATCATCGCCGGCCCGGTGTTCCTCCTGTTCCTCATCATCATCATTGTTTTCCTTGTCATTAACTATCATCAGCGTGTCTATCACAACCGCCAGAGACTGGACATGGAAGATCCCTCATGTGAGATGTGTCTCTCCAAAGACAAGACGCTCCAGGATCTTGTCTACGATCTCTCCACCTCAGGGTCTGGCTCAGGTACCAAGTTCTTCAGGGCATCATGTCTGTGGTTGGCTTTCATCAGTTTCCCAGCAGGATAGAGTGCTTGTAGAGAAGGCTGGAGGCCCTGCATTTGTTTCTACCAGCATTGAGTCATTTGGTTTCCTAGTTCCCCTTCTTTTGGAGTCTGACGTGTAATAAGATAAGATAATGGGTTCACAGAAAATCTCTCATTCCGTGGGATTCCCAAGGTCTAGTACACAATTATCCACTACAGAAGTCCTGCCTCTCTAAGCTTTGCAACTGTACGTACATCTATTAAAATTCAGCTGGTCCCACCTGAGCAGTGGAGTGCTCAATTTCAGGGCCCCTTTTGAGAAACAGGAGTGTGCCAGATTCCTGTGAGGTGGTGACAGCTAATCATTGATCTCTGAGCAACCACAAGGGGAGTTTAAGGACATCCAGTAAAGCTTAGAGTTGGGATTTGGTGAATCATTGACTTGTACCAGTTGCCCAAGGGTTTTTGGTGGGGGTGAAAATAAAGGCAGTGTGGGCCTCCAGCATAGCATCAGCACTATTTCCTGTACTGCCTTTTGTTGACCAAGTCTTTCTCAGATGAGGGAAATGAACCAAACACTGGACCTTGGCATAAGACGAGAATTTAAGATAAAGGAGCTCGGGGTTGTTTAGGTCTCAGGGTATAGCTCAGCTAGCTATTAAATGTGAACATGAATGCAAAAGAATTTTTTTACTTACTTATTTATGTATTTATTTATTTAGAAACAGAGTCTTGCTCTGTTTCCCAGGCAGGAGTGCAGTGGCGCAATTTCCGCTCTCTGAAACCTCCACCTGCCTGGTTCAAGTGATTCTCCTGCCTCAGCCTCCTGAGTAGCTGGGATTACAGGAATGCGCCACCACAGCGACTAATTTTTGTATTTTTAGTAGAGACAAGGTTTCGCCACATCAGTCAGGCTGGTCTTGTGTTCTTGACCTCAAGTGATCCGCCTGCCTCGTAAAGAATTTTTTTAATGAAGATAAACCATTATTTTTGTGACAATGGTATTGCATTCCTTTTTTTTTTTTTTTTTTTTTGTTTTAAGATATGGTCTCGCTCTGTTGTTGCCCAGGCTGCAGTGCCATTGTGCAATCACAGCTGACTGCAGCCTTAACCTCCTGGGCTCAAGAGATCCTCCACCTTAGTCTCCTGAGTAGCTGAGATGTCAGGCATGTGCCACCAAGCCTGGCAATTTTTTTTTTTTTTTTTTTTTTTGTGGAAGGTTTCACTTTGTTGCCCAGGCTGGTCTCAAATTCTTGGCTTCAAGTCCATTCTTAAAAAAGAAAAAAAACATCCACAAAGATCACTGTTGCCATTCTAGCTAAAACGCAGAGGATCTTATTTGTGAGAACTTTGCGTGTTTTTATGTATGTTTCCTTGACGTGGGACAAGACTGTTGTTCTGTGGGGAAATTATGCCATCAGTCATGCCCAGACATTCTGCTTGACACGGGAGTACTTTGAGCTGTGACATCTCCTGAATTTCAGTGGCTTTGCTTTTATTAAGCTCTGCAGTAGAGAGCACCAAAATGATGGATATATTTAAAAGCTGCATATTTTTAGAAACAGCAAAAATCTAGGGCTTGTTCCTTGTTGAAAGAGGTAGGGCAGTGGTTAGAACCTCCTGGCTGACTGTGGGAATTGATTTGCTGCTAGAGGAGGGTAGATTGGGTTTTCCAAAGTCTTTTTAAGACCCAGACCAGCTGAAACAAGGGAAGGGCCATGGTAGTTGTTTAGTCGTCTGTGGTAAAATGGTTAATAACTATTTCCCTCTGAGTGGTTTAGTATATTCTTCATTCAGAATATGCAGAGCTTCCAAGGTGTTAGGTTTCTAATAATGTGGTTTTTAAAGTAGTAAGTCCATGCTGCTCATATGACTTTCAATTCATTTAAATAAGTATATACTGAATACCTTCTGGGTGATATGGTTTTAAACAGATTAGAAAGAGCCTGACCCGGCCAGGCGCGGTGGCTCACGCCTGTAATCCCAGCACTTTGGGAGGCTGAGGTGGGTGGATCATGAGGTCAGAGGAGATCCAGACCATCCTGGCTAACATGGTGAAACCCTGTCTCTACTAAAAATACAAAAAATTAGCCGGGCGTGGTGGCGGCGCCTGTAGTCCCAGGTACTCAAGAGGCTGAGGCAGGAGAATGGTGTGAACCTGGGAGGCGGAGCTTGCAGTGAGCCGAGATCACGCCACTGCACTCCAGCCTGGGCAACAGAGCGAGACTCCGTCTCAAAAAAAAAAAAAAAAAAAAGGCTGACCCAGGATTGGATCAGAGAGACAGGAATTGTTGGGAAGAGTCTCACAGAGGAGGGCACATTTAAAGGAGTCTTGAGGCCGGGCAGATCACATGAGGTCAAAAGTTTGAGACCAGCCTGACTAACATGGTGAAACCTCGTCTCTACTAAATACAAAAAATTAGCCGGGTGTAGTGGCACACGCCTATAATTCCAGCTACTTGGGAAGCTGAGGCAGGAGAATTGCTTGAACCCGGGAGGCAGAGGTTGCAGTGAGCCCAGATCATGCCATTGCACTCCAGCCTGGGCAGCAAGAGCAAAGCTCCGTCTCAAAAAAAAAAAAAAAAAAAAGGCCAGGCACGGTGGCTCACACCTGTAATCCCAGCACTTTGGGAGGCCGAGGCGGGTAGATCACCTCAGGTCAGGAGTTCGAGACCAGCCTGACCAACATGATGAAACCCCCATCTCTACTAAAAATACAAAAATTATCTGGGTGTGGTGGCGGGCACCTGTAATCCCAGCTACTCAGAAGGCTGAGGCAGGAGAATCACATGAACCTAGGAGGTGGAGGTTGCAGTGAGCCGAAATCATACCATTGCATTCCAGCCTGGGTGACAGAGCGAGACACCATCTCAAAAAAAAAAAAAAAAAGGAGTCTTGAAGAATGAGTTGGAATTTTTAAGAGAGGCGAGAGGGCAAAGAACATTCCAGGCCAATGAAAATACCTTGAGTAAAAAGACAAAGGCATGAAGGTCCACTGTATGTTTAAAGAACTTTTATGATGAGGAGACCAGCATGATGTGCTTGTGCTGGGGAAGCAGGGGGACGTCAGGCTGCCCCAGGTGTACAGGATCTTGAGGGCTGACCTTTATCTTCTAGGTAAGGGGCTTCTACTGAAAGTTTCCATGTGGGAAATGAATGTTCATTTTTTCCTTTGGAAGGAATTCTGGCAGTGGTGTGGAGGATGAATTCATTCACTACCAGCCTTCTGTTGGGAAGGGTGGGGTGAGGCGGGGTGTGTGTGGGTGCACAGGGCAAGAGCAGGCTGAGATGGGAGGCAAAAGACCTGTTGGAAGTCTTTTAGAGAAGGTCCAAAAGTAGGACAGGCGGACGGAGATGGAGAGGCGGGGGCTAATTTGAGAAACATTTTGGTGGTTCTATACTGTTGTCATTAAAAGCATAGATTATAGAGTCAGACAGTCCTAGATTTTAAGCCCTGCTTTGCCACTTACTGCTTGTATGAATTTGAATATTACATAACCTCCTCTTTGAGCCTTAGTTTTCTTGTTTATAAAATGGGGATGATAACAGCGCCTTACCTTCCAGGTGGTTTGGGGAAGTGAGATAATTTATGTAAAGCCCTTAGCATGGAGCCTAATACATAGTAAGCATGCAGTAAATGGTAGTTCCCATCTACCAGACCTAGGGATTAATAATGTATTAATTATTTGATTGGGGGTGGGAGTAAGACAGTTAAGAGTCACTTGTGATGGTAAGGGTGATTGGATATATAGAGATACATTGAATGAGTCAAATGAAGCAATGTTGAGTTTTATAAAGACAGTAAAGTTAATCTTAGACTAAACATAGATGGTCCTCCATTCTACATCTGGAGTTCGCTTGTGAGCAGAGCATTGCTCTCTTTGGAGATGGGAACCCATGGGCCGCACAGCACTGCCCTCTAGTGGCTAATAAGCAGAACAGCCAGAAGGTGGCCCCCAGCACATGAGCCCACACTTTCATGTTCTCTGCCCTCTTTCCTTCCTCCACCAAAATAAAGCAGATGTGGGTGGATCGGCCCACAGGTGGCTGGCTGAAGAGTTGGTAAATCTGGTCAAACATTTACATTCAAATCTATCATCCGTGCTTACTGAGAGGAGAAATTGCCTAGATAAGGAGTAGCTAATCATACACGTTTCCTGTTTGTGTTCACTCTTTCCCCATCTCTCCGCCTGGCTCAGCCCTCTGGTAGATTACCTAGAAATGTGTATGGGCAGCAGCAGCTCTCCATGGTTAATGGACAGCGTAGGATGAAGACACCATGTTAAGGGTGTTTCCGTTGTGCCAATTAGTGTGGGAGTTGGAAAATTTGTCAAATTTGCAATGTCAGGTTTCTTCCTATTCTTTGGTTCACAGGGTTACCCCTCTTTGTCCAGCGCACAGTGGCCCGAACCATCGTTTTACAAGAGATTATTGGCAAGGGTCGGTTTGGGGAAGTATGGCGGGGCCGCTGGAGGGGTGGTGATGTGGCTGTGAAAATATTCTCTTCTCGTGAAGAACGGTCTTGGTTCAGGGAAGCAGAGATATACCAGACGGTCATGCTGCGCCATGAAAACATCCTTGGATTTATTGCTGCTGACAATAAAGGTAAGGGCTGGGCTTGGATACAGCATTCCCAGATAGAGGATGCTAGAGAAAGTGCATAGCTATGGGGTGCACAGCTCTGTTTGCCTTCATCATTGTAACCCGTAGAAAGAAAACTTGAGTAAGGTCAAGGTTTCCATGCTTTCCTTAAAGTGTGGAGCCTTTTATTCCATGAAAAGGTTATACAAAAATCCAGGTTATCAAGCAAATAAACAAGCAGTTCTTACTCAGATAAACAAGATACACCCCCTCACCCTACCTGCTCAATTTCTCTTTCTCCACTCCCCCAAACCCACCTCCATTGTAGTTCCTGCAGGGGGTCCCGTAAGCTTATTTTGAAAATCACTAGGATGGGCTGGGCGCGGTGGCTCACGCATGTAATGCCAGCACTTTGGGAGGCCGAGGCAGGCAGATCACTTGAGGTCAGGAGTTTGTGACCAGCCTGGCCAACATGGCAAAACCCCATCTCTACTAAAAATACAAAAATGAGCTGGCCACGGTGACACCTACCTGTAATCCCAGCTATTCAGGAGGCTGAGGCAGGAGAATTGCTTGAACCCAGGAGGCGGAGGTTGCAGTGAGCTGGAGGTTGCAGTGAGCTGAGGTCGCGCCACTGCACTCCAGCCTGGGCGACAGAGCGAGACTCCGTCTCAAAAAAAAAAAAAGAAAAAAAAAATCCCTAGGATGAGGAATTGCGGCCTCAACCCTGGCAAGGAGGATAACGACAGAAAAGCCTGTAGTCCACGAAGTGTCGCCTTCGGACTCTGCTCTTGGTCAGTCCTGTCCCTGAGGATTCTTTCCTTCTTCCTCTCCCTTTTATTGCTTTAGTTTTTGAATCTCTTATGTGCCAGGCACCTCCCTATGTTTGAGGACCTCATTGACTAGCAAAGGATGACGAGTAAGGGTGATTAGAGGAGGTAAACACGAGTTGTTCTGTTGAGCACAAATTGGGGCTGACTCGCACCTGAGCCCAGTTGAGACAAAGGTGGCAAGAACTGGTCAGGAAGAAAAATCTTCCTTGCAGGGAAGAGCACTGCAGACATGTGCAAAGGTGAGGTTTGGGGCCCAGCAAGTAACTTGGATGGCTGTGGGTGGAGAGGGAGGCAGAGGCCAGATTATGAGGGGCCTTTTTGAGAGGATTGTATTCCATTCTGAAGATAGTGGGTAGTAATTAAAATTTCATTCATTAATTCTATAACATTTATTGACTGCTGTGGGCCAGACCTCTGCTGGCTGCTTGGACCATCACACATAAGAGCAAGACACAGTCCCTCCCCTCACAGAGCTCCCAGGAAGAAGGGGACAGACACGTGGACAGGTAGTGGCACCCGGAGCACAGAGAGGATGCTGTGAGTGGCTGGTTCACATTGTGGAAGGGTCTCTCTAGCAGTTGTGACATGACTTGCTCCTGTGGCATGGTGCAATTTAGAAGTTAGTGTCTACAAAGCCTACAGAAGATGCTATTTGTTTTTCATTCCTGAAACAACAGCAGACTGCTCATTCCTCACATTGCCATGGGAAGTTGTAATGGTCTCTGCTGCCCCCAAGCTGAGGAGCCTTAGACTCCAATACAAGGGAGGAAGGGGAAGAGCAAGATTTTTATTCCCACTGAGTAAGCTATTCCTTTTTAAAACTATCACCTTTTGATAAAATTTAAATCTTATATGTTTTAAAAGGATCAAATCATGTCTTCTCTTTGAACTTGTTAGCAGGGTCCTCAGGACTTTGGGGCTGGTTAGAGTGCGAGAAGCAGTGTGTTGGGTGGGCCCCTTGTTTGTGATAAGAGAAGCCAAGATGTGTGTGTTTCCAGGATCCATCCCTTTATTGATTCTGGCAGCTTGTGTGAGTAGGGATCTGGCTTTCAAAACCCACCTTAAGGCCAGGGAAGGGAAACAATCAGACTCCCTCGTTCTTGCCTTTTTAACATGGGGTATATATAGTATGGTGCCCTGGAATCAGCGCCAGCCTGGAATTTTGGAGATTTCAACTCAATTTCCAGTCTTCCAATTGACAACGGCATGGCTTAATTCGATTCCTGGCTTTGGTGTTTCTTTTTCTCCCTCCTCCTGCTCTCCTCCTTCCTGCTGTCCCTAGTGTAAAAGAGAAAATAAAGTGTATGCACTCTACCTTCCATTGCTCCTCTGAAGGATGAGATGCCTTTCTGGGAATACTTGGAAGTGGTCTATTCATGCACTGAAAAGCATTTTTTGGCCTGGAATCCAATAATCCATAAAGGAGATCTTTCCTACTCACAGAGATATCATAGCCTGGTAAGAACAACAGACTGAAAAGAAACATTACAGATGAGACAGGTGCTGTGTTTGGGCTGTGTTCAGAGGGTCGCTGGGACACAGGAGGCCCTCCAAGGCTTTCCTGTTTGGTGGTGGTAGATCCAGCTCATTGTGGTTCTCCCGTGCAGATGAGCAAGTCTTGGTCAGGATCAAAGCAGTGCTGCACACAAAGCTGGTGATAGCTGTTACCTTCCCCAGGCATATGCCTCCTCTTTCCTGAGTACCTCACATTTCAAATTTGACATAATGTTCAGAATCCTACAGTTCACCTAAAGGAAATCAGGAGCAGTCCTAAGAAAGAAATGGTGTTCCCCTGTCCTTACTGAGGTCCCAAACTGGTAGACCACTATAAATGAAAGGATGCTAGATGGGGCTTCAGGGGGCATGGAGGTGGGAAATGTGAATTCAGGAGTCTAACCTGATTTTGTGTTGTATACACTCATCCTTACCAACCTTCACTGTTTTGCTGATAGTTACACTTTTTCTGGGACTCATCTGTGGTTCTCTGCAGATAATGGCACCTGGACACAGCTGTGGCTTGTTTCTGACTATCATGAGCACGGGTCCCTGTTTGATTATCTGAACCGGTACACAGTGACAATTGAGGGGATGATTAAGCTGGCCTTGTCTGCTGCTAGTGGGCTGGCACACCTGCACATGGAGATCGTGGGCACCCAAGGTGAGTGGACTAGCGCAGGAGCGGCGAAGTGGTGTAGGCATGAAAGGTCCGCAGTGTCCTGATTTAGTTCCTAGAATTCCTTTTTACTGAGGAAGTTGGGGCTGGACCTCAGGAACTCTAGTTTAATTTAAAGGAAAGGAGGTTTGAGCTTCACTTAAGTGAGGTATCTACAGGGTGTTCCCTTCACCTCTGTCTTGATAGAACTCCCTCAGGAACCCTATAATATCAATATTCAGCTACTTGTCAATCAGTGGCTTGACATAGTCATTTGTTACGAAGGAGTAATCATCTTAGAATCCCACAATAGACATGAGAAAAAATGGAACTAAAAAGATAAACCAGTGTACTGGGAACATCAGTTTAGTGATTTCCATGTTCATTGATGGGGACAGCTGGCTTAAAGGCCACTTGGTGGATTAGATTCTGGGCCTTACTAATCTGGGAAGGTTTTCCTGGAGGAAGAAGACCTGAAGCTCTGCTACTTGTTGATTATCATGTCGGCTCTTTGGGAGATCCTGGATCTTGTCACAATGGCAGGTGTGATCCCTGATGCCTGGTTGACCAGGGCCACAATGGAAAATCACCCGTGAAAGTTGGATCCTATTCCTATAGCCTGTGCGGTGCCAGTTCTCATCATCGGGCCTGTTTCCTTCTGAGAACTAGGCATTGCAGCAACTTCCCTTCAGTCCCTCAGCACTTCTGTACCTGAGCATATTTGCTCAGGGAAGGCGAGTAGTAGTAGTAAATATTAATACAAATATTAGCTAAATACACATGTCCTTCTATGGTCGTAACTTAGCTACATGAATGCATTTAATCCTCACAACAGTCCCATGAAATAAGTAGTCATTCTGATTTTATGGATGAGAAGACTGAGGTACAGAGGGCTAAAGTCACTTTTCCAGGGTCACTGGATTAGCAGGAGGCAAAGCCAGGACTCAAACCTATACAGTCTGGCTGCATAGTCTATGCTTTTAACATTTATATCATCTCTTTGTAAAGATCCCTGTTTTTTTCTCTGCCAGGGAAGCCTGGAATTGCTCATCGAGACTTAAAGTCAAAGAACATTCTGGTGAAGAAAAATGGCATGTGTGCCATAGCAGACCTGGGCCTGGCTGTCCGTCATGATGCAGTCACTGACACCATTGACATTGCCCCGAATCAGAGGGTGGGGACCAAACGGTAGGAGGGCCTGGGACTCTGCCCTTGCTAAGCAGCTTCTACTGAGTATCCCATCTGTGCCGTTTCCCATATGCGCAGGAGAAGGAGGTGTTGAAAAAGGAGGCGAGGACCTTGCTCTCAGCCCACTGAAAGTTGAATTGAACATGCACTCCCCACAATGGAAAGTTGCATCACTGCATCTAACAGATACAAGTGCTGAGAGCACAGCTCCATAAACTGTATGCACATTGGTGTTGGTGGTATTAAGGTCGGAGGGTAGAGAAGGACAATCTAGAGCAGGATTTAGAAGGATAGCAGGCAACAGGTGTGGCTCGGGAAAGAGGGAAAACACTGTCATCTCCTGTGCAGAGAGCTGTGAAGGAGGCAGGGAGCATGTGCTTAGGGACTGGAGACCAGATTTGCCAAACTATAGCAAAGGTAACCCAGGATAGAGATTTGGGGCACCCTTCAAGATTATGGGCCTGCTTCCCACTTCATGCAGAAGTGAGGTAAGAAGTAAGGAGCTGTGATTGCAAATTGACTTCATGAGTTGGAAATGGGACTGCCTTTTAATAGAGTGGAAGAGGTGGAAATCTGCTGAATCTAAATGAATTTAATTAAGATTATCCCCTGATTTATTGTGGGGGCTGGGGTGGCTGGAATCATAGTAATTACTCATAATTACTACTCAGAGTCATTAAGGGTGCCGCTGACCACCTCTAGAATTAATTTTGACATATCTATAGTCAGGTAAGATAACAAAAGCAGTTCGGAATGAAACTTAAGCTCAACCCATCACTGTGACTACATTCAATAAAGTGAAGGACCCTGGTGTCAACCAAATATTAGGTACTGTTACTGCCCCTGTGACCCACATTACAAGTACTTCTGCCAAGAAGTCAAAACATGCTTCAAATAAACAAATCTTTACTCTCTCTTTGTTTTTTTGATATGGAGTTTCGCTCTTGTTGCCCAAGCTGGAGTGCAATGGCACAGTCATGGCTCACTGCAGCCTCCGCCTCCCGGGTTCAAGTGATTCTCCTGCCTCAGCCTCCCGAGTAGCTGGGATTACAGGCGCCTGCCACCATGCCTGGCTAATTTTTTGTATTTGTAATAGAGATGGGGTTTCGCGATGTTGGCCAGGCTGGTCTCCAACTCCTGCCCTCAGGTGATCCGCCCACCTTGGCCTCCCAAAGTGCTGGGATTACAGGCGTGAGCCACCGCACCTGGCCAAATAAACAAATCTTGATGGTTAAAAATAGAGATACACATCAGAGTAGCCTGGTATTGCCAAATCTGTGCTGAAGTATTTAGAATCAAATTTAAAACATGGGAGTTTGCAATGAAGAGATGTGTACACTTCTTCTGCCCCAAGGGACTTTATCAGGGTGATACTCTTCCACATTCAGAGGGCTCCTGAATCAATACTTTGATTTAAAGAGAGCAGTCATCATTTTCTGTGCGTGACCATGTTTGTTTTGCTATTGCAGATACATGGCCCCTGAAGTACTTGATGAAACCATTAATATGAAACACTTTGACTCCTTTAAATGTGCTGATATTTATGCCCTCGGGCTTGTATATTGGGAGATTGCTCGAAGATGCAATTCTGGAGGTACCTTTCTTTTTTGCCTTTGCTCCTACCTCCCATTCCAGGATGCTGGATCACCCAAAGCTGTTTTACTGCCCCCTTTCTTTTTACAACCTGTTGGATGCCTGTTGCCAGAGCCTGAATCATCGTTTAAGGTTGCCATCAAAGGTGTGGAGGTAGCTGTGCTTAGGGTGCGTTTATTCTTCAGGGATCAGTTTGTTGAATAGCGTTGTGTGTTATGGTAACCATTCTGAAGGCTCGTTTGGCTTTATAAACAAACAAACATTGTTTTATTAGTCCGTGGCGGGGAGTGCCCCGGTGCGCATAGCACGGGATTCATGCAGTGGTCTCCTTCACATCAGAAGCAGTATATTCTAACGCGGTGGCTCCCAAGCCACATTCATGGGAAACCCTGCTGTTTCATTGTTAAAATAATAGTGCTAATTTCTAAATTTATAAAAGTGCATAGATTTTTCTTAAAAGTGAGTTTTTTCTCCCATAGTTAAAAATCGTTGGCATTTGCAGCTGCTTATTCATGACAGAATCCAGTAAGAAATAGTATCAGATTTAGCAGAAACACTTTTTATTGTCAACTTAGTATATCAGTATTTTATGATAATTTCCATATATTCTGCCACATGATCAAGTTCCAGGACCTCTAGAGCCCTACTCTCAGCCATTTATCTGTGATATAAGAGATTCCAGGGCAGTGAAAGTGATTGAAAAAAAGAACTGGTGGTGCTCACTTCGCCAGCACATATACTAAAATTGGAACAATACAGAGAAGGTTAGCATGGCCCCTGCACAAGGATGACATGCAAATTCCTGAAGCGTTCCATATTTTTTAAAGACCTAGTATTTGATAGCACCACAGGGTGACTATAGTCAATAATATAATTGTACATTTTAAAATAACTGAAAGAATATAATTAGATTGTTTGTAACACAGTGTAAATGCTTGAAGGGATGGATATCCCATTTTCCCTGATGTGATTATTATGCATTGCATGCCTGTATCAAAACATCTCATGTACCCCATAAGTATATACATCTACTGTGTTCCCACAAAAATTAAAAATTAAAAAAATCTAATCTACAAAAAATATGACAAGTCTTCCAGCAGAACTGTTTTGTATATTAATACCCTTTTCCAGCTTCCATTTATGACATGTTTGGTAAAATCCAAATTATGGAAATAGTGCCCAGGTAGTATTCATGGAATTGTACCTCTTAAATTTTGATCAGTATATGCAGTAAAACAGACTAAGAGGCCAGGCGCAGTGGCTCACGCTTGTAATCCCCAGCACTTTGGGAGGCCAAGGCAGGCGGATCACGAGGTCAAGAGATCGAGACCATCCTGGCCAACATGGTGAAACCCTGTCTCTACTAAAAATACAAAAATTAGCAGGGCATGGTGGTGCACGCCTGTAGTCCCAGCTACTTGGGAGGCTGAGGCAGGAGAACGCTTGAACCCTGGAGGCGGAGTTTGCAGTGAGCCAAGATCGAGCCACTGCATTGCAGCCTTGCGACAGAGCGAGACTCCATCTCAAAGAAAAAACAAACAAACTAAGAAAAATCTGGTCACACAGGTCTTAAACTGTGAATAAGTTTATTTCTTCTTATGACATCCAGAAATTGAGGCTAAATATATAATAATGCTAACATTTATTCACCACTTGCTATGTATAAGCTCATTTAATCTTTACTACTACAAGTAAATAATAAGTAGGTGCTATTATCATCGCCATTTTACAAATGAAGAAAATGAGTCACAGAGAAGTTAGGAAATTTGTCTAAGGTCACATAACTATTTTAGTAAACAAGGGTTCAGACTCGGACAGGCTGAGGCCAGGGCTTAAGCCTGTAACTACCCCTTAGATAATTACCAAGTCCAATTCTCTATTTAAAAATATTTCCCAGGCTGGGCACTGTGTCACACCTGTAATCCCAGCACTTTGAGAGGCCAGGGTGGGCTGATTACCTGAGGCCAGGAGTTTGAGACCAGCTTGGGCTACATGGTGAAACTCTATCTTTACAAAAATAAAAAAATTAGCCAGACATAAAGGCCAGGCATGGTGGCTCACGCCTGTAATCCCAGCACTTTGGGAGGCCAAGGTGGGCGGATCACCTGGGAGTTCGAGACCAGCCTGGCCAATGTGAAGCCCTATCTCTATTAAAAATACAAAAATTAGCCGGGTGTAGTGGCGGGCGCCTGTAATCTCAGCTACTCAGGAGGTTGAGGTAGGAGAGACTCCATCTCTACTTAAAAGAAAAAAAATTGTCTCATTAGCTCAAGACAGCAGGGTTTTTTTGTTTTGTTTTGTTTTTCTTTTTCTGGAAAAGGGCTTGAGAAAAATTAATTGGCTTTTTATTTTTATTTTTTTGAGAGAGGGTTTCTCTTTGTCACCCAGGCTGTATTGCCATGGCACAATCTTAGCTCACTGCAACCTCCGCCTCCTGGGTTCAAGCCAGTCTCCTGCCTCAGCCTCCCGAGTAGCTGGGATTACAGGTGCCCACCACCACTGCGGGCTGATTTTTCTGTTTTTAGTAGTGATGGGGCTTCATTGTGTTGGCCAGGCTGGTCTCGAACTCCTGACCTCAGGTGGTCCACCTGCCTTAGCCTCCCAAAGTGCTAGGATTATAAGCGTGAGCCACTGTGCCTGGCCTAAATTGGCTTTTTAAAACTATCTTTTTATTATGGAAAATCTTTCTAAGTTTGTAGTTCTTAAAGATGAGGACTTAAAAAAATGCAGTGCTATTACCACACTTTAAAAAATGAACATTAGGCCGGGCGCGGTGGCTCATGCCTGTAATCTCAGCACTTTTGGAGGCCGAGGTGGGCTGATCACAAGGTCAGGAGTTTGCAACCAGTCTGGCCAACATAGTGAAACCCCGTCTGTACTAAAAATACAAAAAAATTGCCAGGTATGGTAGCGTACGCCTGTAGTCCCAGCTACTTGGGAGGCTGAGGAAGGAGAATCACGTGAACCAAGGAAGTGGAAGTTGCAGCAAGCCGAGATCGTGCCACTGCACTCCAGCCTGGGCAACAGTGGAGACTCCGTCTCAAAAAAGGAAAAAAAAATGAACATTAGGGGTCAGGTGCGGTGGCTCGCACCTGTAATCCCAGCACTTTGGGAGGCTGAGGCGGGCAGATCACCCGAGGTCAGGAGTTCAAGACCAGCTTGGCCAACATGGTGAAACCCCGAATCTACTAAAAATACAAAAATTAGCCGGGCATGGTGGCAGGCACCTGTAATCCCAGCTACTCGGAGGCTGAGGCAGAAGAATCGCTTGTACCCGGCAGGTGGAAGTTGCATTAAGCTGAGATTGCGCCATTGCACTCCAGCCTGGGTGGCAAGAGTGAAACTCACACACACACACACAAATTTAGTGCTTTTTTTTTTTTTTTTTTTTTTGAGACAGAGTCTCACTGTCACCCAGGCTGGAGTGCAGTGGCGTGATCACAGCTCACTGTAGCCTCCACCTCTCCAGGCTCAGGGGAACCTTTCACTCCAGCCTCCTGAGTAGCTTGGGACTACAGGTGCACCACCATGCCCTACTAATTTTTGTATTTTTTGTGGAGACAAGGGTTTTGCCATGTTGCCCAGGCTGGTCTTGAACTCCTGTGTTCAAGCAATCCTTCCACCTCGGCCTCCCAAAGTGCTAGAATTAGAGGTGTGAGCCATTGTGCCTGGCAAACATTAATGTCACTTAACATCTAGTCAGTGTTGAGATTTCCCCAGTCTCCTAAATTTTTAAAGCAGTTTGTTCAAATCGGGGTTCCAATAAGTTTTATCCCCTGCAGTTGATGAATACACCTCCTACATTTCTTGTCTACATGTTCCCCCTCATTTTTTCTTCCCACTCTGTTTTTTCGGAGAATCCAGGTCATTTGTCCTGTAGAATTTCCCAGGCTAGATTTTGCAGATTGCTTAGGTAGAGTTCACATATTCTACTCTTCCTGGTATTTCCTATGAATTGGTAGTTAGATCTGGCAGCTAGAATCATTTCTGGGGGTTCGGGGACACGTATCCTTCACAGGGGTTCCTCTGTCCTTCTGTGACAAGTTGCGTAGCATTGGTTCTCTATTTTTGTGTCGTTAACGTGCCGTGGTGATATTGTCCAAAACTAAGCGAATGATTACTTCCCCTACATATGTATTTGGTTCCCATGATATATAGTTGGAATAGGAGAGGCAGAAAAAATACTTGATTCTTTCCACTTATTTACCATTTTTCAAAATAATGAGGTGGTTCTGTAGCCTCCCACAGAGGTAGGTGACTGAAATTTCCTTTTTTAGACTTTAAAAATATTTGTTTCCATTGAAGTTATTTGTCTTATTGTTACTTAAAAGTTCCCATCTTTGCTCAGTTGGGAGCTTATCAAGTTGGTGCCTTTTGATGTGACCCCCAGTAGTCTTTGATAGATTCCTTGCTTTGGCTATGAAAAAAAATGTTCCTGGCTACTCTTTTGTATTTCTTTTTGTTTAGTTGTTTTGTTTGAGACAGAGTCTTGCACTCTTGTCCAGGCTGGAGTGCAGTGGCATGATCTCTGCTCACTGCAACCTCTGCCTCCAGGGTTCAAGCTATTCTCCTGCCTCAGCCTCCCTAGTAGCTGGGACTACAGGTGTTTGCCACCATGCCTGGTTAATTTTTGTATTTTTAGTAGAGATGGGGTTTTACCGTGTTGGCGGGGCTGGTTTCAAACTACTGATCTCAGGTGATCCGCTTGCCTTGGCCTCCCAAAGTGCTGGGATTACAGGCATGAGCCACCATGCCCGGCCCCTTTTGTGTATTTCTTGTTCCATACTTAGAATTAACTAACTTTCTAAGGAACCTTAGGGGGTAGTGGTATTTACAGAGCACAGTGTAGGTTTTGTCACCGGCTTCTGAGTAATCTTTTCCTGCTGTTGATAACTCAGGTAGATACTTTCTTTTCTCCCAGGAGTCCATGAAGAATATCAGCTGCCATATTACGACTTAGTGCCCTCTGACCCTTCCATTGAGGAAATGCGAAAGGTTGTATGTGATCAGAAGCTGCGTCCCAACATCCCCAACTGGTGGCAGAGTTATGAGGTAAGAAGCTGGCCTCCTGCGGCTTTCCCATCAGCCTGATTTCTCCACCTTAGAAAAGGGTTTCTTGACAATGGGGTCAGGCCCCAGAGGAGCCCCCTGAGAGTGTCAGTTATTATTTACTATTACGTGCTATTTTACATATCCCAAGCCCTTTAGGGCTACAGTCTCTTGTCCTGGACCCTGTAGGGTGCCATTTGGAGTTCACAGCCTAGAAGAAGAAAAGGCTTTGGGCCTGGTGTGGTGGCATAGGCCTGTAATCGTAGCGCTTTGAGAGGCTGAGGCAGGAAGATAGCTTGAGCTCAGAAGTTCGAGACAAACCTGGGCAATGTGGGGAGACCCCATCTCTACAAGAAATAAAAAATTAGGCTTGGTGGCACACCACCTGTAGTCCCAGGTACTTGGGAGGCTGAGGTGGGAGGATTGCTTGAGCCTAGGAGGTCAAGGCTGCAGTGAGCCATGATTGGGCCACTGCGTTTCAGCCTGGGCAACAGAGCAAGACCCTGTCTCATAAAAGAAAAAGGACAAGGCTTTGTCTCCAAGACACAGATGAGGGAGGTGGTCAACAAGTGACAACTGAACCCAGAGCTGTTAGACACCAAACTAGGAAAGCAGCTCTGGAGCCCGAGCTGAGCTGAGCTCCATGGAAGAGTGAGGAGGAGGTGTCCATAAGAGAAGCCCTGAGACCAGACAGAGGAGGAGGACATGCCTGTGAGGAAAGTGGTCTTTCCAGAAACTCAGAAGGGAGGAGGTGATGTGTATGACAGGGCTGGGATTGGGATGGAGAATGTGAATTTGGGAGAGACGGCAGATGAAATCAGGGGTGTGGGGGAAACAACATTTGGTGGAAAGAGTTGACATGAGGACATGTTTGTGACATACGTACTAATAAACATGGAATTCTAGGGTCTTAAGAGTGTTCAGGGGAACAGGCTTCGCCTAGCTAAGTGCTCATGGGCCTCCTTTTCACTTGCGGTTCTGCATTTCCTTTTACTTATTTTTTTCCCAACTCTATCGAGGTGTGATTGACAAATGAAATTGTAACAAAGGTGTACAAAGTGCTGAATTGATACATGTATGTATTGTGACATGATTACCACACAAGTTAGTGAACACATCTGTCACCTCACCTTGTTGCTTGTGTGTGTAGTGAGAGCAGTTGAGACCTACTGTTAGCACATTTCAGGTGTACAGTATTGTTGACTCTAGTCACCTTGCCGTCCATTAGAGCCCCAGAACTTACCTAGTCAAGTAGAGAGGTTGGCTCTGCCTTTAACGAGTCTAACCACTAGAGGGCATTTCTGCATTTCAGAACAGAATTGCATATTAGCTGATGCTTTCGTGTTGCATCATAGAGCAGCACTTCTCACCGCACTCCTTGGAACCCTCAGGGCAGGG
Organism: Homo sapiens; assembly: GCF_000001405.40. Lineage (NCBI taxonomy): Eukaryota > Metazoa > Chordata > Mammalia > Primates > Hominidae > Homo > Homo sapiens. The sequence continues at coordinate 51,993,389 of NC_000012.12, forward strand.
TTTGCTTCAGAGGGCAGGTGAGACCAAAAGAGCTGGCCGTTAGCTGCAGCGTTTGCCTTTCACTTGTGTAAGCTGTCCCTTAAAAAGGAAGAGCCGCCTGGCGCGGTGGCTCATGCCTGTAATCCCAGCACTTTGGGAGGCCGAGGTGGGCAGATCACAAGGTCGAGAGAGCGAGACCATCCTGGCCAACCAATATGGTAAAACCCCATCTCTACTAAAAATACAAAAATCAGCTGGGCGTAGTGGTGTGTGCCTGTAGTCCCAGCTACTGGGGAGGCTGAGACAGGAGAATCACTTGAACCCGGGAGGCGGAGGTTGCGGTGAGCCAAGATTGCGCCACTGCACTCCAGCCTGGGTGACAGAGTGAGACTCCTTCTAAAAAAAAAAAAAAAAAAAAAAAAAAAAAAAAAAAAAAAGGAAGAGCCAGGGAACAAAGGGAGCCTTGCAGAGCATTTCCCTAAGGTCGGCCGCCGGGTGGATGTGGATCTGCCAGACTGCACTGAGCGGGAGGTGGCAGGGAAATGAGTGAGAGCCTAGGGACCAGAAAGGCTTCTCCAGGGCATGACCGAGCTGATGGCTCCTGGGTCTCTGCACAGGCACTGCGGGTGATGGGGAAGATGATGCGAGAGTGTTGGTATGCCAACGGCGCAGCCCGCCTGACGGCCCTGCGCATCAAGAAGACCCTCTCCCAGCTCAGCGTGCAGGAAGACGTGAAGATCTAACTGCTCCCTCTCTCCACACGGAGCTCCTGGCAGCGAGAACTACGCACAGCTGCCGCGTTGAGCGTACGATGGAGGCCTACCTCTCGTTTCTGCCCAGCCCTCTGTGGCCAGGAGCCCTGGCCCGCAAGAGGGACAGAGCCCGGGAGAGACTCGCTCACTCCCATGTTGGGTTTGAGACAGACACCTTTTCTATTTACCTCCTAATGGCATGGAGACTCTGAGAGCGAATTGTGTGGAGAACTCAGTGCCACACCTCGAACTGGTTGTAGTGGGAAGTCCCGCGAAACCCGGTGCATCTGGCACGTGGCCAGGAGCCATGACAGGGGCGCTTGGGAGGGGCCGGAGGAACCGAGGTGTTGCCAGTGCTAAGCTGCCCTGAGGGTTTCCTTCGGGGACCAGCCCACAGCACACCAAGGTGGCCCGGAAGAACCAGAAGTGCAGCCCCTCTCACAGGCAGCTCTGAGCCGCGCTTTCCCCTCCTCCCTGGGATGGACGCTGCCGGGAGACTGCCAGTGGAGACGGAATCTGCCGCTTTGTCTGTCCAGCCGTGTGTGCATGTGCCGAGGTGCGTCCCCCGTTGTGCCTGGTTCGTGCCATGCCCTTACACGTGCGTGTGAGTGTGTGTGTGTGTCTGTAGGTGCGCACTTACCTGCTTGAGCTTTCTGTGCATGTGCAGGTCGGGGGTGTGGTCGTCATGCTGTCCGTGCTTGCTGGTGCCTCTTTTCAGTAGTGAGCAGCATCTAGTTTCCCTGGTGCCCTTCCCTGGAGGTCTCTCCCTCCCCCAGAGCCCCTCATGCCACAGTGGTACTCTGTGTCTGGCAGGCTACTCTGCCCACCCCAGCATCAGCACAGCTCTCCTCCTCCATCTCAGACTGTGGAACCAAAGCTGGCCCAGTTGTCCATGACAAAAGAGGCTTTTGGGCCAAAATGTGAGGGTGGTGGGTGGGATGGGCAGGGAAGGAATCCTGGTGGAAGTCTTGGGTGTTAGTGTCAGCCATGGGAAATGAGCCAGCCCAAGGGCATCATCCTCAGCAGCATCGAGGAAGGGCCGAGGAATGTGAAGCCAGATCTCGGGACTCAGATTGGAATGTTACATCTGTCTTTCATCTCCCAGATCCTGGAAACAGCAGTGTATATTTTTGGTGGTGGTGGGTTTGGGGTGGGGAAGGGAAGGGCGGGCAAGGAGTGGGGAGGGAGTCTGGGGTGGGAGGGAGGCATCTGCATGGGTCTTCTTTTACTGGACTGTCTGATCAGGGTGGAGGGAAGGTGAGAGGTTTGCATCCACTTCAGGAGCCCTACTGAAGGGAACAGCCTGAGCCGAACATGTTATTTAACCTGAGTATAGTATTTAACGAAGCCTAGAAGCACGGCTGTGGGTGGTGATTTGGTCAGCATATCTTAGGTATATAATAACTTTGAAGCCATAACTTTTAACTGGAGTGGTTTGATTTCTTTTTTTAATTTTATTGGGAGGGTTTGGATTTTAACTTTTTTTAATGTTGTTAAATATTAAGTTTTTGTAAAAGGAAAACCATCTCTGTGATTACCTCTCAATCTATTTGTTTTTAAAGAAATCCCTAAAAAAAAAAATTATCCAATTGAACGCACATAGCTCAATCACACTGGAAATGTTTGTCCTTGCACCTGAGCCTGTTCCCACTCAGCAGTGAGAGTTCCTCTTTGCCCTGAGGCTCAGTCTCTCTCGTATTTTGTCCCCACCCCCAATTCCTTGAGTGGTTTTTGCTCTAGGGCCCTTTCTTGCACTGTCCAGCTGGTTGTACCCTCTCCAGGCATTTATTCAACAAATGTGGGTGAAGTGCCTGCTGGGTGCCAGGTGCTGGGAATACATCTGTGGACAAGACATGCTTGGGTCCTACTCCTGGAGCACTGTAAAAAGAGCTGATTCAAGTAAGTAGATGCCTGTTTTGAGACCAGAAGGTTTCATAATTGGTTCTACGACCCTTTTGAGCCTAGAATTATTGTTCTTATATAAGATCACTGAAGAAAGAGGAACCCCCACAACCCCCTCCACAAAGAGACCAGGGGCGGGTGATGAGACCTGGGGTTTAGAACCCCAGGTGAGACCTCAAATCACTGCATTCATTCTGAGCCCCCTTCCTGTCCCCAGGGGAGGTGTATTGTGTATGTAGCCTTAGAGCATCTCTGCCTCCAACCCAGCAGTTCTCTGCCAAAGCTTGTGGAGGAGGGAGAGCCCTGTCCCTGCCCTCAGGCTCCCCAGTGCTCCTGGCCCTTCTATTTATTTGACTGATTATTGCTTCTTTCCTTGCATTAAAGGAGATCTTCCCCTAACCTTTGGGCCAATTTACTGGCCACTAATTTCGTTTAAATACCATTGTGTCATTGGGGGGACCGTCTTTACCCCTGCTGACCTCCCACCTATCCGCCCTGCAGCAGAACCTTGGCGGTTTATAGGTAATGATGGAACTTAGACTCCTCTTCCCAGAGTCACAAGTAGCCTCTGGGATCTGCCAACACACGTCCACTCCCAAGCCACTAGCCCACTCCCCAGTTGGCCCTTCTGCCCTTACCCCACACACAGTCCAACTCTTCCACCTCTGGGGAAGATGGAGCAGGTCTTTGGGAAGCTCCCACACCCACCTCTGCCACTCTTAACACTAAGTGAGAGTTGGGGAGAAACTGAAGCCGTGTTTTTGGCCCCCCGAGGCTAACCCTGATCCATAGTGCTACCTGCACCTCTGGATTCTGGATTCACAGACCAAGTCCAAGCCCGTTCTTACGTCGCCATAAAGGCCCCCGAACGGCATTCTCGGTACTTCTGTTTGTTTTTGTACATTTTATTAGAAAGGACTGTAAAATAGCCACTTAGACACTTTACCTCTTCAGTATGCAAATGTAAATAAATTGTAATATAGGAAATCTTTTGTTTTAATATAAGAATGAGCCTGTCCAATTTCTGCTGTACATTATTAAAAGTTTTATTCACAGAGCTGCTCTGGTGCCATCTGTCCCACATACGTAGTACGGCCACCCAGCTTTTGTCAGGGGAGTTGGGAATGGGGTGGATGTTCTAAGGTCAGGGTCTCGTGCTCACACCAGCTGTAGCAGACCCCAGCAAGAGGAATGCTGTTCCCAACATCCTGGGTCTTCCTGAGACTGTTGCTTTGTGTTCCTAGAGGGCGGGTCTGGCATGCAAGGGACAGAAGACACAAAGCATCCTTTTCTTGGGCTTTGTCTGAATTTGTCTTCTCACGTTTTTTCCTGTTTACAAAAGAGGGTCATGTTCCTAGTTAGTCACACTCTCTCATGTCTTAGAGGCATGAGCGCTCCTCCTAAGCTGAAGTGAAATTGTGAATTCTGGGATGCTTAGGTGACTTTGAGGAGGAAGTCTTCAGTGGTTACTCCTCTGGTATTCTCAGCGTGTGGTGGGTGTGAATGTCCTCCCTCTCTGGGCTGAGGGAATCTAAAATAACAAGTCCTAGAATCATAGTCTCCAGTTTAGATGAGACCCACAAGATCCCCTAGTTCACTGTCAGGCACTCGACTTCCCTGCGATGTCCCTGTCAGGTGCTTGTGTGGCCTCCTGCTAATGCTGGACCACAGCTCCATCTGTAGGCTCCGTGGCTCAGTGGAAAACCCTTCCTTCTGTAGAGCTGGGCAACTTCCATGAGACTTCCACAGGGTTTTCTAAGCAGTTATTCTGTCTTCCCTTATAAGATCCCTTAAAATATTTACAGGCAGCCGTCATGAATCTTCTGGCAAAGCTCCGAGTTTCTTCAGTTAATATTAGTGAATACTTATTGAAAACTCACTTCGTGCTAAGCAATGTGCCAAAATTTGCTTTACGTATATTAACTGTTTTAATCCTCAGAGCAACCATATGAGATGGGCATCATTATCTTCTCTTTATGGATTAGGAAACAGAGGATTGGAGAAGTCAAATAAGTTGCCCAAGATCACGTAGCTCACTGGTGGAAAAGACCTTGGGTCCGGGATGTTGACTGCAGAGCACAGCCCTTCCCCCACTGCACTATCCTGCTCTGGTTCCATGTTCCTCACCCAGGCTGGCCGCTCTCTTCTGAACCCAGCTAGAGTCTGGGGCCACAAAGGATGTGTACATAACGTTCCACCCAGGTATCAGCAGACATCACAGACTAGAACAAGAACCCCACAGACTGTGTGCTTGATGCCACAGATCACATCCCAGGACTGCATCTCATCTCTTGATTGAGTAAAATCCAGCTACCCTCTCCTGCTTGTATAAGGGAAGTTGGTGTTTTGAACTCAAGTACAGGACCTTATAGTTTTACTCTATTAAACTTCACTGTAGACCATGCCCACTGCGCCAGCCTGTCGCTACTTTTAAATCCTGATTATTACCCAGAGTTTTCCATTGTTCTGAGTTTCCCTGTCTGAGACTCTGCTGGGCTGAGAAAATGAAGTAACTTACTCCTAAAAGTTCGCTTTAAGTTTGGCATCTATCCCAATAATCTAATCAGCTGCTAATTAAATTGTCCTTGTGTCCTGGCCATAATTTTTTATTTTTTATTTTTTGTTTATTTATTTATTGAGACAGAGTCTCTGTTGCCCTGGCTGGAGTGCAGTGGCGCGATCTTGGCTCACTGCAACCTCCAGGGTTCAAGCGATTCTCCTGCCTCAGCCTCCCAAGTAGCCGAGATTACAGGCGCCCGCCACCACACCCAGCTAATTTTTGTATTTTTAGTAGAGACGGGGTTTCACCATGTTGGCCAGGCAGGTCTCGAACTCCTGACCTCAGGTGATCTGCCCACCTCGGCCTCCCAAAGTGTTGGGATTACAGGTGTGAGCCACTGCTCCCAGACTATTTATTATTTTAAATAGAGACAGGATCTCCCTTTGATGCCCAGGCTGGTTTTGAACTATTGGCTTCAGGGAATACCTCCTCCTCGGCCTCCCAAGGTGCTGGGGTTACAGTCATGAACCACTTCACCTGGCCCATAATTTTTAGATGGACAGAGATAGCAGAAGAAGCCCAAGTACTTTGCTAAAGTATCATTGTGGCTCTCTTTGATCTATCTACCTGTTCATTGGAAAGAAAGACAGAGTGGTTGGTAGTGAATCTCGGCCTGGTTCACATGAAGGCCCCTTACAGGCCATCCTGTGAATAGTCAGTCATCTTGCCAGGCATGGACCTAAAATTCACTAGGCTATGATTGCAGGCTCAACTCTACCATTTTGAAAATCAGAATGGCAACCATTCTAGTGCCTCTTCCTGTGCCTTTGAAGGTTGCCAACAATGTTTCATCTTAGTAAGGCCTCTGACACAGGAGGCTTGACTTCATTTGAATGTTGTATCGCTTGGGTTATTGTTTCACATAGCTTAAATTTCTGTCCCCCAGCCCATATGTCTTCTGACCTTTACAGGCCTTAGAACATGCTTGCTAAACACAACCAAACCAGAATGACGAGTGGTGGAGTTCAAGAGACTCAGGAACATAAGAGGAATGCACAGCACAGGTGAGGGAAGTAGGAGAAGCCCTGGGTCAGGCCAGGAACGGTGTTACTAGTCAGGGTTCTCCACAGAAACAGAATCGATAGGATGGATGGACAGACAGACTAGAAAGAGAGATGACTCATGGTTGTGTGGGCTGCAAGGCAGGGTAGCAGGCTCAGAGACCCAGGGAAGAATTGATGTCGCAGTCCTGGGGGCAGAATCCTTTCTCAGGACACCTCAGGCTTTTCTCTTAAGGCCTTCAATTGGTTGGATGAAATCCACCCACATTATGGAGGGGTAATATGCTTTACTCAAAGTCTACTGATTTAAATGTTAACCACGTCTAAAATACCTTCACAGCAACATCTGGAATAGCATATGACGAAACAACTGGACAACTATGGCCTGAAAGTTATTGGGGATTCCTTGGTCAGAGGATGGGGTTTAAGGAATATGGAAGATATCCCTGGGTCCTTCTGAGAATTCTCCTTGGAAGCCAAAATGGGGGGTTAATGGGGGTTTAGGGCAGTTTAAGGAACAATTGGATAGCCTGGGCTCTTTAAATAAGTATTTTTCGAGCAACCTTAATGAATGGAGTGGTAGGTAGAATAGAAAGCTATGGCGAAATCCCATCTCTACTAAAAATACAAAAATTAGGTGTGGTGGCGCACACCTGTAATCCCAGTTACTCAGGAGGCTGAGGCATGAGAATCACTTGAACCCGGGAGGTAGAGGTTGCAGGTTGCAGGTTGCAGTGAGCCAAGATTTCATCACTGCACTCCAGCCTGGGCAACACAGGAAGAATCTGTCTTAAAAAAAAAAGAAAAAGAAAAGAAAGCTAAACAATCCATGGTCCCTGCCCTTCAAGGAGTTTATAATCTAGACAGATAGGATTTGTACAGGCAACAATAGGGCAGATTTGGGCAAATCCCATTACAGAGCAGTATGCAAAGTACCATGGGACCACAGATGAGGTGTCCGGGGAAGAAGTGACATATCCCTGCCCTACAGCGGCTCCCTACCTGGTGGAATGGGTGAGTAAAAAGATAGGATGGAAGGAGATCAGTACTCCCATAGGGATAGAATACTGTGGGAACATAAGAGAGACAGGAGGTTGGGGGCAAGAGAGGGACATCAATTTCGGCCTGCTGACTGAGGAGAGGAGGGGGTTTTAGTCAAAAAGAATTGCCATTCAAGAACCACAGATATTCAGTATGGCGGGGGTGTGATGAGGGAGCCTGCTAGAGCTGTTCCCGTGCTGAGTTCTGAAAGGTCAGGAATTCATCCTGGGGCCAGAAATGGCCAATAGGTAACACCGGTGCCATCACTTACCCTGTGACAGCTACCTCAGACTGTACTAATCTATCAGTAATTTGTCCTCTTGAGTTGGTCTCCACATTTTTCTCAACAGCGTGCTTACTGTCCTGTAAGTTAAAACACATTTGTCATTGTGGATGTAGGGAATAGGCCGTTGGAGGGTGTCTTGGTCTGCTCTGGCTGCTGCTGCTAAGTACCTTAGATTGATGGCTGGACACGGTGGCTCATGCCTGTAATCCCAGCACTTTGGGAGGCCGAGGTGGGCGGATCACTTGAGGTCAGGAGTTTGAGACTAGTCTGGCCAACATGGCGAAACCCCATTGCTGCTAAAAGTACAAAAATTAGCCAGGCATGGTGGTGCACACCTGTAATCCCAGTTACTCAGGAGGCTGAGGCAGGAGAATTGCTTGAACCCAGGAGGTGGAGGTTGCAGTGAGCCAAGATCATGCCAGTGCACTCCAGCCTGGGTGACAGAGTGAGACACAATCTCAAAAAAAAAAAAAAAAAAAAAAAAAAAAGTTAAAAAGTTCCTTGGATTGGGTGATATGGATTGAGTAATTTATAAACAATATAAATGTAATGCTCACAGTTCTCGAGGCTGGGAAGTCCCAGATCGAGGGATCAACAGGTTCAGTGTCTGGTGAGGGCCTGTTCTCCTAGATGGCGCTTTCTGTGTCTTCACATGGTGCAAGGGGGAAACAGGCTCCCTCAAGCCTCTTTTATAAGGGCATTAATTCCATCCATGAGGGCAGAGCCCTCGTGACCTAATCACTCCCTAAAGATCCCATGTCTCAATACTATCACATTGGGTATTAGGTTCCAACATAGGAATTTTGGAGGGACACCATCATTCAGACCATGGTAGAGCGTTTTAAGCAAGGGAGTGATGTGATCCTGCTTGTGTTTTGGGAAAATCACAGTGCTGACTTTAGAAAGGAATTGTACTGGTGGCAGAGTAAGAAAAGCTGGGAAGGGGCGGGGCGCGGTGGCTCATGCCTGTAATCCCAGCACTTTGGGAGGCCGAGACGGGTGGATCACGAGGTCAGGAGATCGAGACCATCCTGGCTAACACAGTGAAACCTCACCTCTACTAAAAATACAAAAAATTTTGCCAGACGTGATGGCACACGCCTATAATCCCAGCTACTTGGGAGGCTGAGGCAGGAGAATCGCTTGAACCTGGGAGGCGGAGCTTGCAGTGAACCAAGATCACGCCACTGCACTCCAGCCTGGGCGACAGAGTGAGACTCCGTCTCAAAAAAAAAAAAAAAAAAAAAAGAAAGACATGCTGGGAAGGGCCGGGTGTGGTGGCTCATGCCTATAATCCCAGCACTGTCAGAGGCAGAGGCGGGCGGATCACCCAAGGTCAAGAGTTCGAGACCAGCCTGACCAACATGGTGAACCCTCGTCTCAACTAAAAATACAAAATTAGCCGGGCGTGGTGGCACGTGCCTGTAATCCTGGCTACGTGGGAGGCCGAGGCAGGAGAATCGCTTGAACCCAGGAGGCGGAGGTTGCAGTGAGCCAAGATTGCGCCATTACACTCCAGCCTGGGCAACAAGAGCGAAACTCCGTCTCAAAAAAAAAAAAAAAAAGGGAAGAAGCTGGGAAGAACAGCAGGAGAAACAGTGGGTAGAATACTCAGGTTTGGGGCATAATCAGATGTGAATGGTGAGGGAAAGAGGAAAGCTGACTTCAGTTTGGAGTAAAAGAGAGAATCTTAGCCTGGCAGTTCCGCATATGTGTTTGGGGGTTAGGGGGTTGGTGCACGACACTGTCCCCTAGGAGGGAACCAGGGATGAAAGAGCAAGTGTGTTTGCCAAGCGGAAAGAGATGTGGGCAGTCTAGGGCCCTAAGAACTGCCATTTTCTCTCTTCACTATATGCACCTGTTCTGAAATGAGGCCGGGTAAGATAACACATACCCTGTGTCTTAGGAGTTGTGTGCAGATGCTGTAGGAAACCTGGAGACTTAACCTTCCTTTCTTCTGCCACTCTAACCCGTTCATGCCAGAGATGCCCTGCCATTTTCATCCAAGAGGCCAGATGGTCCCTGGCCTTTGAACAGGACTAGACCCAGAGACCACCAACATTCAATGCAAATAAACTGCAACATCTACCTTGATCCTACTCCAAGACCCCCTGGGATCAGATCTTTGGACTGTGCCAGATCAACCATACTGCTAGATTCTCTCTCTAGGTCCCCGAACATGCACAGACACTGTCCCATGGAAATGGTCGCGCAGTAGGAGCCACGAAGAAAAACAGCCACTCCCCGCCCAGTCAGCTGCCCACCAGCTGTCCACCGCCCACAAGAGGTGATGTCATGCAACTGGGGGCCCAGCCCCTCATTCCTGACAGACCAGAGAGCCAGGGCCCCAGGCCCTCTTCCCCCCCACCTCCCCAGCTTAGGAGCAGTGACAGTACCCAGTGAGGAACTCCCAGTAAACTATTCATCTCTGCCAGTTCCGGGCCCCACTGATGGACAAGGCCCATGTTAGAGCTCTGAGACTTAGGTCAGACTCCAGAGGGGCCAGCACTAGCCCCTAGTGCTCTGACTTCATCATGGTACCCTAGAGCTTAAGCTGCTCAGTGGAAGACTCAGCTCTCCCAATTTCCTCCATGGGGGGCTGCTGACTGTTACATAGCCAGGCGAGGGGTTGCCCTGAAGAGAAGGGGTGTTACCTAGGCCTTGTCCTTTAGCTGGGCCCCCACTGTCTAATCCCCCACCCCAGGCCAGCCACGAGTGTCAGGAGCCAGGGCAGGCAGAGCAGAGGGAGGGAAACCTGAGAGCTCATTCTGAGAGAGGCTGGCTTGGGAAGAAGGTACAGATTGAGTACAGATGTCTGAGGAGCCAGAGCGGTGGAGGTTTTGTGGGGAGGCTTCCTGGAGGGAGGAGGAGGGGGACGTATCCTGGTATGAAGCTGCAGGTGGTGTGCAGAATGCTTCCCCCACCGCCCAAGCTTTAAAGGGCTGCAGAGGATAGGATGAGAACAGATGCTAGCCAAGAGACTCAAGCTTAGGAGAAAGCTGTGGAGAGTTGAAGGCAAAGCTTTAGAGGCCTCATATATACTGCCTGGCATGCGAAGGTTAGTGCACCAACAAAGCCCGCCAGCTGCCTGCCTTCTCCCTGCTGAATTTCACCTGCAGCAGAAGCAGCTTTGATGCAAAAAACTTCCTAACTGACAGCTGTGAGATTCCAGAATTCAGTGACCAAAGTGGAGCTTGGCATCCCAGTTGTGCCCTCTTGGGAGGAAGAGGAGCCGTGGGGGATCCTGAAACAGGGCTGGGATTCCAGGTGGAGTCTTCCAGCCTTTCCGCCTGGCTTGAAGATTTTCCCCCGAGACTCATGGCCACCAGAGGGCATAACCACTCCACAGTATGGCATCCTGGGCTCCAGGGGCCCCTCCTTGGAGAAACTGGGGAAATTGGGAGGAGGAAGCAGGCAGGGATCTCTGAGCTCTCAGGGAGCTACCAGCAGCTGAATTAAACAGTCTCTGGAGTCAAGAGACTTGGGTTCTAGTGGGTTCTAGTCCCTGTTATGATTCTGTCTTTCTCTCTCTGGCTTCAGTTGCTTCTGTTAAATGAGGGCTTGGACCATACGGTATCCTTTCCAGACCATAAGGCCATTTCTGGCTCTGAAATCCCAGGATTTAAGGAATCACACAAAGAACTTGATAAAAATTGCATTTCCTGGGCCCACCCTTACTCTGGGGTTCTCTAGGGCTTTCTGCCTAGCAAGAGGAGGAAACAAGGTGCGAATTTCAGTCCTCTGGTGGTGTTCACTCACTTGGAGGCCTGGAGGTGGACTGCCCTACATAAACTGGGGAAGTCTGCCTCCACGTCAGCTGAAGGATGACTGGCTCCACAGGCTGTTAGACACAGGGGCTGTGCCACACCTGTGGCATCCACTTCTCCAGGTTTCAGGCAAGGAGACATGTCCATTAGGTAACCCTCTGTGATAGCTGGGGTGGCTCCTTCACAGAGGAGGTTGTGCAAGATGCCCTTTTGCTGGGTCCCTTTGGGGATAAGCAATGGAATGAATGGAATATACATCATTGCCTCTCCGCTTTGCGTCTCCCCCTCCCACCCCCCACAGATGCTGTCTGTCAGGAGCAGGCAACAGACGGTCCTGGGGTCCATCTGTGCTAATGCTTCACAATAGAGTCCCATGTTTCCCCACTGACACCCCCTCGGCCCCTCAGCTGATGGCCACTTGGTGGTGCCAAGGCGGGAGGTGGGAGGAGGGAGAAGAAGGCACTAAGAGAGCTACCTCTTAGCTCCTGGCAGTCCTCAATCCACCCCGGCCCCCCACCCAACAAGCATCCTGCCATCTGGACTTGTGCAATCACTGAGGGGCGGAAAAGCACCCTCTTCCACCCACACCTCTTGTAGGGGATGGGGGCCTAGAGGACTGGGGGTGGGGAGGAGAACACAGAGTCAAGGAGACTAGAGAAGAAGACTGAGCCAGGCGCAAGAACTGAGACAGGCAGGAGGCAGAAAGTCTTTCCTGGCCTCGCAGGTGGACGTGGCCATTGCCCCTCTGTGCTCCTTATGCCACGTGTCTAACACAGCACATGTGCAAGGTACCACTCCCTACCAGGCCAAGAGCCTCTGTAACCCCAGTGCCCAGCCAGTACCTGGCACACAGCAGGGCTTAAATGTTGGACAACATCACAGAGTGGTTAGATTGCAGGCTCTGGAACCAGGCTGCCTGGCTTTGAATCTCAGCTCTGCCGCTGAGTGACTTAGGGCAAATTACTTATCTTCTCTGGGCCTCAGTTTCCTCATCTGTAAGGGAGGATAATGGTGCTTATTTCGTAGGGTTGTTATGAAGACCAAGTGAGTTAATGCATGTATGTAAAAGGACACACAGAACAAACAGTGTGCATAGCACATGCTAAGTGCTCAATAAATGTTAACTGTGAAGGCATAACAGATTTGGGAAGACTGGGGGAGGAGGGAGGGGACAGACAAGGGCACCGCATTGCCGCCTCTGCTTCTTGGCCGATGGGTGTTGGGACATGGAGTCCCCAGCCTGTGCTGCTGACGCCCTGTGGTGGCTAGCCGCTCTTTAGACACCAGACGCTGCCTTCCACTTCCTCCTCTCACTTCTTATTCGGGCACCACTGACGACAGAGACTTCGGCTGGGCCATTCCCGCCTCTCCTACCGCCTGGCAGCCATGGTAACAGCCTGGGGGATGGTCCCTAAGATGGGGTCAGAGAACGGCTGAGCATGGCCATCCCCCCAGCCCTGAACTCCCACTCAGCCTGGGCTCATCCCAACCTCCTGAGTCAAGTCCACAGTAAGCGTCTGTCTCCTGGGAAGGGGGATCTGACCCCGGCATCAGGAGCTGAGGAAAGGTGTTGCCAGCAGGGATCACTCAAGCCCCTTGGAGGGGACAGGCCAGAACTAAGCCTACTGCTTTCAGGGTTTCCACCTCTTCCCTTCTTCCTAGACGTGCGAACAGGGGGCAGCCTCTTTCAGCTCTTCTGGGGCAGCTGCGTCAAGGGAAAATCCTGGGCCCTCTCCCTCCCTGGGGGCTTCTGCGCAGTGAGTTCAGGGAGTCTCCTCCCTCCTCCATCGGGCCTCCACCCCTACTCCTGCGCAGCCCCGCTGCCGCTCTCCCTGCCCTGGAGTCTCCTGCAGCCCCTTGGATCTCCGTGACTCTCCCTACCTCCCCGACTCCCCAGGCTTCTTACAGTGACCTCTTACCGTGCCCCACTCCATGAATCGCCAGAGCTATTCGTCCCTAAATTTCAAACCTTGCGCAATGTCCCTTCACAGACCCCTCCAGGTATCACGCAGCCCCGAGCCCCGAGCCCCGCCCCGGGGGCCTCATCCCGCCCCTTCGCGTCCGCGGCTCGTTTTCCCCCACTGAGCGCCCAGCTCCCGCAGTTTCCCCGGCCGTCGAGCGCCGTGGGCGGGGCTCCAGGGCGGCGGCGCCTCGCGGGGAGGGTCCTCCGTGCTGGGGGCGAGGCCACCCGAGGCAGCTCCCCGCCCGCCCCCAACCCCGCCCCGCTCTCGGAGCCTATAAAGGGAGGCGACCCGCGGCCCGCCCGGCTGGCATCCCCCAGCCGCCGCCAGCCCCGCCGAGGGGAGCCAGCGCCGTCTCTGAGGGGCGTCCGGCGCCGGAGCCATGACCCTCCGCCGACTCAGGAAGCTGCAGCAGAAGGAGGAGGCGGCGGCCACCCCGGACCCCGCCGCCCGGACTCCCGACTCGGAAGTCGCGCCCGCCGCTCCGGTCCCGACCCCGGGACCCCCTGCCGCAGCCGCCACCCCTGGGCCCCCAGCGGACGAGCTGTACGCGGCGCTGGAGGACTATCACCCTGCCGAGCTGTACCGCGCGCTCGCCGTGTCCGGGGGCACCCTGCCCCGCCGAAAGGTGCGTCCCCCGCCCGCCTTCAGGATCTGCTCAGCCCCTCTCCGACTCCCTACAGGGCCTGCTGACTCCGCAGTGCCCTCTCCTCGGCGTCCGCGGAGTCCCCCACCTTCTTCCCCGGCCCGCTGGGTGCCTCGACTCCCCGCGTTCCCCGCTGCTGCGAAGGCCGTGGCCCTCGCCTGCACACCGCGCCCAGGCTCGGTGGCTCTTAACTCCGCGCCCCATGCACGCCCCCTCTCTCCCTCCTTGACTCCTCCCAGCACCCCCCTTCTCCTACCCGCTCCATCTGGCTTTCTGCCCCCCATGCCCCGCCTCCCCGTGGCCAGGTGTCCTGGGTCCCCAGGAGCCCCTCGCCCGAGGGACAGAGACAGCCCCAGGCAAGTTGAAGGTCCGAGAGCCCCCGGTGGGAGAAGCGGGCCGGTGGCTGCGCCGCGTGCGTTCTCACTCTGAGGAAGTGCGTGGGGAGCCGCTGACTCCGGATAGCACACCCTTCCGAGGGGACTCCCCGATTCCTGGGCTGGGGGCCTGCCGCCTGGCCCCACGTCTGACGTACGGGGCGCGAGGGCCACTGCTCCCTGGACTTCTGTCGGAACCGGACGCAGTGGGAGGGGTCGCAGGGCGCCCGCGGGGCAGGAAGGATGCGGGCCGCGCCCACCTCTGAGTCCCCTCTGCCAGCCTCTTCCTCTGGCCCCAGGAGACCTGAGGCTCAGAACCTACACAACACCAGGTTAAGAAGAGGGGCCTGGTGGCCTTTCCTCACCCAGCCGCCCTCCTTCGCCCCGGCCCCCAGCTAGCCCCCACACAATGAACAGCTTGTTGAGAATTTGCATTTTATGAAAATCATGTTGAAAGACAAAGGGGTCTCTCTGTGCTGCCCAGTCCTTCCTCCCTGGCCGTTTGGGAACTGTCCCCACCCCTGAGGCCAATCTGGTTCTGAACCTTCTCTTCCTTGCCTTGGGCAGCTTTGGGGGAGGGTTAGCAAAGGCACAGAACAGAAAGGCCCTGGGCTGTGCAGGCTCCAAAGAAAAGGGCTGCTCTGGGACTGGACCTCCTCCCAGGACCAAAAAGTTAGGGAGGGTGAGAGACTACTTTAGTTTATCAAGGACCCTGAAGAGACAGGAACCTTCATCTCTCATCCTTCCTCCACACCCCCCACCACCACCCCTAAAGAACTCCCAGTCTCGGTCCTTTAGTGAGACTTGCTGACAAGTTTGACATCTAAGATGTTTTGTCCCAGAAAGCACAAAATATATGGCAATGGAGAGAGAGACCCAGGTATAGCTGGGCACAGCTGGTCACCTGCAGCTGGGATCCACAACTGGTCCTTGAAACGGCCTGTACCTTAGGAGACCTGGCACCTCTGACCCCACATTCTGGCTGGGATTGCCAGCCCTTCGGGACAGGGTCCCTGACCCCAGCCCTCCCAAGCCACTGTCTGTAGCTGAGAAATTAGATGGAGAGACCCAACTGGCAGAAGGTCCTCGGAGCACCTTGATAGGTGAGCCCAGGGGACACCTATCCTCTGAATCCCACTGGGGAAGAGCCCCTGCCTCAGCTTTGGGAGTCTGGATGGCCTGAGCCTCTACAGACATGGGCCCTAGGGGTGGAGACCATTTTAGAATAATGATCTCCCCACCTGCTGCCAGTGTGGAAACCAGCAAGGGCTTAGAGGTTCATGGATCTGGAACCCAGGAGGATGGTTGTGTCCCTGCAGTCCCAGGTATGAAGGTAAGGCCTGTAGAGAAAGTTGAGGAGTGGTGCCAGTAGTGGCACTTGGCAAATAGTTCCACCAGCACCAAAACAGGTGTGGATGTGGAGCTGGGAAGGGGCAGACAGGAAGTGGGTCGCTGTGTCCAGGGTAACCTCTCAGTGTCTGCTCAAGGACAGTCCCGCCTTACCTGCTCCTTCTGACCATCTTACTGCCCAGGGCTCAGGATTCCGCTGGAAGAATCTCAGCCAGAGTCCTGAACAGCAGCGGTGAGTCACCAACACCCAGCCCCTGCCATGGTCCAAAGGGGTGAGGTGCTGGGTTGGGGGGTGCCAGGACAGCATCTCAGCCTAGCGAGGGTAGTCATTCTCCTAGCCTTTAAACATGGCTCCCCCGCTGGGAGTGAGGGCAGGTGGGGGTGAGGGCTGTGTGAAGGGGGTGGCAGAGAAAGGAGGTAGGGACTTTTGAGTCATTAGGTGCTCTTCAACACACCCCCAGTCCCTGCCAGTTACCCCTCCCTGGGGAGATCTGGATGAACGGATGTGGGAGTTGGGAGGGGGTGTAGGCAAAGTCTATGGGGAACGTCCTAACCCAGGCCTCCTGGGCTCCCCTGAGCCCTCCTAGCCTTGGCAAACCCCACGGGCCCAGACCTTAGCCAGGCTGTGTCCAGCTGCTTGGGGCTGGCTGCCCCTGCCTCCAGAATGTCAGTCCTCTTCTGGTCCCAGCCTGTGGCAGCCCTCTTAGGAGGGATCTGAGCGTGGGCAGAAGTAGGTGCTGACTCCAGGCCCTGGGACCCCACAGTTTCCCTTCTCTACTCATGTCCCATCCCTGATTTGGGCTTGACTTTCTCTAAAATGGATCAGCAAACTGACCTGCTAGCCAGATTGGCCTGTTTGGCCCTTGAGCTAATAATTTTTAAAGAGTTGTAAAAATAAAAACAAATAACAATATATGACAGAGATCATAAGGGGCCTGCAAAGAAAGCCTAAAGTATTTACCATTTGGCCCTTTGCAGAAAAAGTTTGCTGACCCTTCCAAAAAACCCTAGAACATTGGGGTAGACGCGGAACTCCCAGCCACCCTGCTCCCTGCCCCAATAGTACAGAGAGGGGAAAGGCCTGCTGTTCAGAGTGAGAGGGGCTCGAGCTGGAGTGGGGAGGTGCTGCTCAGCATTTGGGGGAATCTCTGGGTCAGGCTGGAAGCGGAGAAGCCTGGTCTCCAGGGCCTTTCCGAGGCTGAGCTACTTGAAGGGGCCTTTGGAGGCTGCTTTAACTGTGCCTCTGGCTGGGCGGGAAGGAAGGGGGTGGGAGTGGGCAGAGGAAACTCTGGGCTCCCCCAGCAGGCGAGGATCTGGAGCAGCTCCAGACCATTGTGTCCAGCGGGCAGGCCTTCAGTGCGGGAAGGGGCGGCCTCGAGGCTCCCCTCCCCCAGCCCCCACATCTGGTGGGCTGGCCCCAGCATAGCTGGGAGGAGCAGCTGTGGTCTTGCTGAGCCTCGTGACTGGCCTCTGGGGGTGGGGCCAGTCCTCTCTCCAAAGCTGTGGAACAGAGGAGGCTCCAGGCTGTGGCTGAATTTCGGGCCTTAGCTAGTCAGTAAGTGGTACTGTAGGGCTCACTGGAAAGCTGGGATGGGGCTAAAAAACTCAGCCGGCTCATCCTTCAGGGGACCGGCCCTTCTCTGTGCTTCCCTCCCACCACTAGAGGCTGGATTGGTTCTCTGTGGCTCCATGAGGCTGATTTCAATTGGGTATGGGAAAGACATTCCAATAATCTGTGATGAGACTGAGCTGTCACTGGAGACAGAGTCCTGCTGGAATGTTCTAGACCAGTTGCCAATATCCAGGGAGGCCCAAGCTATGGGACTTCTACACCTTTTAATCCTAATTGTCTTGACCCCTGTGTCTCTTGCAGGAAAGTGCTGACGTTGGAGAAGGAGGATAACCAGACCTTCGGCTTTGAGATCCAGGTGGGAGAAGCTGCACACAGGGGTCAGGGGGGTTGGATGACCAGCCTGAGGGATGAACGGACTTGTCCCAACCCTGGGCTGAGGGTCCCCTTGTCCATTACAGACTTATGGCCTTCACCACCGGGAGGAGCAGCGTGTGGAAATGGTGACCTTTGTCTGCCGAGTTCATGAGTCTAGCCCTGCCCAGCTGGCTGGGCTCACACCAGGTGGGGCCTGAGCCCAGGACACCCAGGTCTGGGAAGGGGATATGACCTTACTCCCAAGCAAAGGGGGTGAGCAATCTCTCCTGAAATCAATTCCTCTTCCTTTTCCTTCTTTGAGAAGGCCAGAAAGAAGAATGGATAGAATCTGGGCTTTGGATCTAGGCAAATTTGCCATGTACTGTGTGATCTTGCACAGCCCCATCTACAAAATGAGGGTAATAATGCATCCAAACATCACAGTGCGGCAAGGGGATTCCCTGGGCACACTGCCAGGGCCTAATTAATGGTGGATGATGCTGCTGCTGCTCTGATTCCTCCCAGCAACCCTGGCAGTCAGCATGGGCAGGAGCCAGGGAAGAAGCAACATTCCATTAAGTCTGTTTGATATTGGGGATCAGGCCAATCCTGCCCCAAAATGGGCCCAGTGCTGAGGAACCGATGTTACTCCCTTTTAAAAAATTAGAAACTTTTTTTTTTTTTAAGAGACAGGGCCTCAGTCTGTCACCCAGGCTAGAGTGCAGTGGCGTAATCATAACTCACTATAACCTTGAACTCCTGGGCTCAAGCGATCCTCCTCTTGCCTCTGCCTCCCAAAGCAATATGTTACTTCCTCTAACAAGGAAATTATGCTTCAGCAGGAGATCCCTGGATTGAGCAGATCTAGAGTCCCCAGGTTCCAGGAAGGGCAGCCTGAAACTGTATGAATCAATCCCCCCTCCACCATCTTTGCCCCTAAGCCCCTACCTCCTTCCCACTTACCAGCAGCCCGTGCTAGCTATCTTAGTCCATTTTCTGTTACCATAACAGAATACCTGATACTGGGTAATTATAAAGAAAAGAGGTTTATTTAGCTCATGGTTCTGGAGGCTGGGAAGTTCAAGACTGGGTGGCCGCATCAGGTGAGGGCCTCATGCTGCGTTCTGACATGATGGATGGCATCTCATGGCAGGAACGCCTGCAAGAGTGGTGAGTAGGCACACGCAAAAGAGACAAAACATGGGTGATCTTGCTTTATAGCAACCCACTCGCCAGGTAACTAAACCAGTCCTACCAGAGCAAGAACTCACTCCCCAAAAACAGCATGGATCCCTTCACTGGGCAGATCCTTCATGGCCCAAATGCCACTTTTTTTGAGATGGAGTTTCGCTCTTGTTGCCCAGGCTGGAGTGCAATGGCATGATCTCAGCTCACTGCAGCCTCTGCCTCCCAGATTCAAGCAATTCTCCTGCCTCAGCCTCCCGAGTAGCTGGGATTACAGGCACTGGCCACCAAGCCCAGCTCATTTTTGTATTTTTAGTAGAGATGGGGTTTTGCCTTGTTGGCCAGGCTGGTCTCGAACTCCTGACCTCAGGTGATCCACCCGCCTCGGCCTCCCAAAGTGCTGGGATTACAGGTGTGAGCCACGGCGCTCGGCCCCAAATGCCTCTTAAAGGTCCTACCATCTCTCAGCACTGTTACGTTGGGGATGAAGCCTCAACATGAGTTTTGGGGACAAACAATATTTAAATGGTAGCAGTAGCCAAGTGGTATACTACAACTTCTCAAAGTAGTTTCAAATCCACTCTCCCTCCCCATCATCCCTGAAGCATCCACAGCAGGGATCCATACCCCTTTTTACAGATAGGAATGGGGCCCTGACATGGGGCACACTGTGCTTGAGGTCAGGAAGCTCTCCAGTGGTGCAGGGTAGCAGAACTATCCCTCTGGGGGCCAGTCATTCCCTGTGCTTCTCTCCCACCACCAGAGGCTGGACTGATTATCTGTGGATCCATGAGGCCATGCCATGCCTGGGGCCAGGGTCGGTTCCCAGCTGGGTGCTGCTCACCTGCTCTTCCCTGAATTGACTGGGTCTTATGGCCAGCGTGGACTGGACAGAAATAACCAAATCTGAGGGTAGCCCAGGGTCCTGGGTGGGCTTAGCTTTGGGACAGAACTTCTTTTTTTTTTTTTTTTTTTTGAGACGGAGTCTCGCTCTGTCGCCCAGGCTGGAGTGCAGTGGCGCGATCTCGGCTCACTGCAAGCTCCGCCTCCCGGGTTCACGCCATTCTCCTGCCTCAGCCTCCCGAGTAGCTGGGACTACAGGCGCCTGCTACCACGCCCGGCTAATTTTTTGTATTTTTAGTAGAGACGGGGTTTCACCGTGTTAGCCAGGATGGTCTCGATCTCCTGACCTCGTGATCCGCCCGCCTCGGCCTCCCAAAGTGCTGGGATTACAGGCGTGAGCCACCGCGCCCGGCCGGACAGAACTTCTTGAGGGCAGAGTGAGGGTGTTGGGTGTGTGAGGTCCCCACCCTTTGGCTGGGGTGCTGGGCGTGGACAACCTGGTAGTCACTACAGGCCCACAAGAATGGCTGTGGTTCTGTGTGTTTGGATCGAGTATGAGAGATGTCAGAGGAGATCTACAGAGAACCATGAGGAGTTGGAGGAGGGAGTTCAGGAGTATTCCCTGGAGTTACTACCCACCCTTCTCCCCTTTCTGGCTAAGGTAGGAGGCTGGTATTCTAGCATGCCCCATGGAGCAAATCTAACCCCCTTGTCTGCCTGGCAGGGGACACCATCGCCAGCGTCAATGGCCTGAATGTGGAAGGCATCCGGCATCGAGAGATTGTGGACATCATTAAGGCGTCAGGCAATGTTCTCAGGTATGTCTGGGAGCCGAGGTGCCTGAATTCCTGAGCTCAGCCTCTTGGTATTTCCTCAGCCTGTGGCTCACTCAGGCTTTGATTCTCCAACCTCAGACTGGAAACTCTATATGGGACATCAATTCGGAAGGCAGAACTGGAGGCTCGTCTGCAGTACCTGAAGGTAGGGGAACCTAGATAACGTCCAGCCTCCACCCTCCTCTTCCCAAGCCTCTGCCCTGTGGGGGGTCACTTACAGCTGAATCTCCTGTAACTGAAGATTTCTTTTGTCTACTCCCTGATCCCTCGTCTGTACCCACGTCCTGCTAGTTTCCTGCTAGCTTGTGACAGTGGGGTGGGGACTGTCTCTTGCAGCAAACCCTGTATGAGAAGTGGGGAGAGTACAGGTCCCTAATGGTGCAGGAGCAGCGGCTGGTGCATGGTGAGTAGATCCCGGGGTGTGAGGGGCCACTTGTTCTGCTACAGACACCCCATCTGCGCTTCCCCCTCAGAACTGGCGGGTTCTAGTAAAGAACGGTTTACTAGTAAACCTCCACAGTAAAGCAAGGTTTGTTGAGCTACTACTACTTTGGGTACTGCCGCAGCCACATTTCTGGTTATTCTCACACTAGCCCTCTGCAGGTAAGTAACAGATAGTGTCATCTTCACTTTACAGAGGGGAACACCAGGGCTCAAAGAGTTTGTGTCAATTATTTCCGAGGCCCGTTTGTGCTAAGCGGCCCCCATAAGGATCTGAGTGATAATTCCTGATTTGCGGGTGAGGGAAGTAGGGTCTCAGGTTTGTGCCTGGCCAGGGCCACAGAGATGGTCAGCAGGACGGAGCGGGGACGCCCCGCCCATGCCCTCCGACCCTTTGCAGAGGCCACCACGGTCCAGGCCTGACCCGCCCCCTACCTCTCCCGTCTCTGCGCAGGCCTGGTGGTGAAGGACCCCAGCATCTACGACACGCTGGAGTCGGTGCGCTCCTGCCTCTACGGCGCGGGCCTGCTCCCGGGCTCGCTGCCCTTCGGGCCTCTGCTCGCCGTGCCCGGGCGTCCCCGCGGAGGCGCCCGACGGGCCAGGGGCGACGCCGACGACGCCGTCTACCACACGTGCTTCTTCGGGGACTCCGAGCCGCCGGCGCTGCCGCCCCCGCCGCCCCCGGCCCGCGCCTTCGGCCCGGGCCCCGCCGAGACCCCTGCCGTGGGGCCGGGCCCTGGGCCGCGGGCCGCGCTGAGCCGCAGCGCCAGTGTGCGGTGCGCGGGCCCTGGCGGGGGCGGAGGCGGGGGCGCGCCGGGCGCGCTCTGGACTGAGGCTCGCGAGCAGGCCCTATGCGGCCCCGGCCTGCGCAAAACCAAGTACCGCAGCTTCCGCCGGCGGCTGCTCAAGTTCATCCCCGGACTCAACCGCTCCCTGGAGGAGGAGGAGAGCCAGCTGTAGGGGCGGGGGCGGGCAGGGAGGTATTTATTTATTTATTCGCAACAGCCAGCGCTAAAAGAGGGGGAGGCCGAGCCAAGAGGACCCCAGGAGCCCAGAGCAGCGGGAGAGGGTCCTTCCTAGCCTCGGCCCGCCGGGTCGGTTCCTGGCTGGTGTCTGCTGAGGGAGTGGGGGGCCCAGCCCCTTCTCTTCTCCCCCGCCAAACCACAGTGGGAGCTGGGGCAGGGGGAGAGCCAGGCAATCGGGGGCCAAAGATGGGGGTGCTCGCCTACAGTCTGCATCTGTAGTGCCTTGTGGGGTATCCAGGAACACCCTCCCAGCAGGGGATGGGAACCCTGTCCCATGAAGCCCTCTCCTCAGCTTTACTTGCTCCCCCGCCCTTAGCCTTGGGGAGAAATGGCCCGTGGTGGGCTGACCCCCCACCCTCCACACACACAGTTCCATGACCCAGCGGGCCCCCAGGGGCATCAGGTGCTGGTCCTCCTCCCTCCTGGCCTCGACCCCTAAGGGCTTCGCCCCTCCCAGGGGCCTGTAACTAAGTCGGGTCCTGCCAGGCAGGGGGCCTGTGTTCTGTGCCCCTTGGGAGACAGGAACTGGCGAGTTCAGGTGGGGTGGGGACAGCACAGACTGTTCCACCGTTGTGCATATTGTTGCTTCTGAACCACAAACTGTATAAATGGATGGTTTTTTGCATCTGTGTCAGTGTGGTGACTGCCTGAGGGGGAGGATTGGGCTGGGGCAAGCTCTGACTCCACCATCCCAACCCCCGCCCAACGCACACACATCTTGTTTTCTTGCAGCCTGAAGCCAGGGAAATAGGCTGGGAGATTTAAACTTACATGTATGGGCCTGAGCTGGAGGCCCCACGCTTCTTCACAACTTGAGCCTCCCTCCCCAGATACCCAAGCAGGTGGTGACCAAGGCTTGCCTCAAGTCCTTAGCCATCCCTGTAGAAATACGTGTGCTTGGCATGCCTTTCTTCCCAGCTTCTGAGGTCTCCCTTGAGGGGCACAAGCCAGATCTGTAGGGACCTGAGGCATTACCACCTGGCCTGTGAGGGGCCCAATCACGGCTCACTCTGTTGTTCTAGCAGTCTTCAGCGGTTTCCCACCCCAGGATGAGATTTTTCTTTTTTGAGATGGAGTCTCCCTCTGTTGCCCAGGCTGGAGTGCAGTGGCCCGATCTCAGTTCATTGTAACCTCTGTCTCCTGGATTCAAGTGATT
Source organism: Homo sapiens (assembly GCF_000001405.40). Lineage (NCBI taxonomy): Eukaryota > Metazoa > Chordata > Mammalia > Primates > Hominidae > Homo > Homo sapiens. Next base: position 52,016,421 of record NC_000012.12, read on the forward strand.
CTCCCGCCTCAGCCTCCCGAGTAGCTGAGGTTACAGGCAGGCGCCACCACACCCAGCTAATTGTTGTATTTTTAGTAGAGACGGGGTTTCACCATGTTGGCCAGGCTGGTCTCGAACTCCTGACCTCAGGTGATCTGCCTGCCTTGGCCTCCCAAAATGCTGAGATTACATGCGTGAGCCACCGCGCCCGGCCTCCCAGGATGAGAGTCTGACCCCTGCCGGCCTCTGCTTCTTACTCCCCGCTCTGGCTGCGCTGCTGGCTGTACCTGGCACACTTCAGACCCCTTCTATCAGGGTCTGTGCTCTTACCCCTCCCACAGGTGGCTCCTTCAGTCCTCAGCCCTGCCTCCCGAAGACCTTCCCACCCAGTGGTAAATACAGTCATGCCCTCCCCTGTGACAGCCCTGTTTTATTCCCATCAGACTGTGCATCGCCATCCGAGACTGTCTTGACTTTTATGGGTTTATCTTTGCCTGCCCGCCCCACCCGGGAGGATGCACGCTTCTTGCACAGGGCTCAGGAGCCTTGTCTGTCTTCACTGCTTTTTTCTTGCCTGATGCTAGCACATGGTAGACCCTCAATACAGTGTGTGCCAACATGGTGTGTGCTCAAGCATCTCCAAGTGGTAGTCACGACCTCTTTGAAGTGACCTGTCGGGTCATACAGCAAGCTAGTGTCAGAGCTGGGCCTGGGACTTGAGGCCCCTGCTCCAGTGCTCCTCCCGGGGAGTAACCAGCATGCAAAGGGTGGCTTTGAGAGAGGTCTGAGCAGACCCTCCCTACCTGTCCTGCACCATGGTTCTTGCTTTTTGAGTGGGTCCCATTTCTGTTTCTGCTTTTGCTCCTTGAGCATCCCTTCTGCACACAGCAGTCAGCGTGATCTTTTCAAAAAGGAAACTGGATCACAACCCTCCTCTGCTTAAACCCATTATGCCTTTCCCTGGAATAAAAGAATAAGGTCCAAACTCTTTACCATGGCCTATCCATAACACGTCCCTCCGGGGAGACAAATAACAACACAGCTTCCCTTTCTCCAGGCTGACAGCAGCCACATAGGCCCAACAGTTTGGTAACTGGGAGCCTTTTGTGCAGTACCCAACCTCTGCAACTATATCCTGATGCCCTCCATGAATCCCTCTAGAATCTGGTCCCTGCCTCTCCCTCTGATCTCAAATTGTTTCTCCTTCTATGTCACTTGTTACATCTAAGCACACTATCCCTTCTGCTCCTATTCCTCAAATATGTCAAGCTCTCTCCTGCCTCTGGCCTTCACCCATGCTGTCTTCTCTGCCCGGAACACTCTTCTTTGCAAGAATGATTTCTCTATCCTCACACCTCAGCTGAAACATCACCTCCTCAGAGAGGTTTGCCTTATCAAATAGGAACAAGTTCGCTGACCCCATTATTTATTATTTATTTATTTTTTTGAGACAGAGTCTTGCTCTGTTGCCCAGGCTGGAGTGCAGTGGCACAATCTCGGCTCACTACAAGCTCCGCCTCCCAGGTTCATGCCATTCTCCTGCCTCAGTCTCCCGAGTAGCTGGGACTACAGGCGCCCGCCACTAGGCCCAGCTAATTTTTTTGTATTTTTAGTAGAGACGGGGTTTCACTGTGTTAGCCAGGATGGTCTCGATCTCCTGACCTCATGATCTGCCCGCCTCAGCCTCCCAAAGTGCTGGGATTACAGGTGTGAGCCACCGCGCCCTGCCGACCCTATTATTCTTTATCTTGAGTCTTCTGGGTTTGTTAGTTTGTTTGTTTGATTTTTGAGACAGAGTTTCACTCTTGTCACCCAGGCTGGAGTGCAACCTCTGCCTCCTGGGTTCAAGCAATTCCCCTGCCTCAGCCTCCTGAGTAGCTGGGATTACAGGCGCCCACCACGCCCAGCTAAGTTTTGTATTTTTAGTAGAAACAGGGTTTTGCCATGTTGGCCAGTCTGGTCTCGAACTCCTGACCTCAGGTGATCCACCCGCCTTGGCCTCCCAAAGTGCTAGGATTACAGGCATGAGCCACCGTGCCTGTCTATTCTTTTTTACTTCATAGCACTTTCTCCCAATTGGGAATCACACTGACTTCTTTTGTTTCTGTCTTGCCTTTGTGAGGGCAGGAACCCAGCCTTGTTTGAAGTTGCACCTCCAGGGTCTAACAGAGCCTGGCACACAGGAGGGGCTCTATTAACTCATGCTGATGAGTGAATGCCTCCTTGGGGCCAACCCTGCCTAGGGGTAACCATCACCTCCCCACCTCTGAGCCCCAGGGGCTGGGTGAGACAGCCCCTCTTCTGCTCCATCTGTAGCTGGCATCTGTAGGCCCTTCTCTGAAAATCCCTTTGGGGCTGGGTGGCGGCCCCAGCCAGGGCACCTGCACCTGGCCACCCTGTCCTCCCTAGTCCCAGGAAGGGAGGACATTTGATTAAGAAAATGGAGATTCCCCAAGCTCCCTGTTTTAACAGCTGCTCTGTGACGATGACAAATATTGGCTCCCAGGGGCTCAGGTCTAGGGGAGGGGCCCCCTCACACCTTTGTTCCCAGATACAAGGCTGCCAGGAAACCAACTGCCTGGGCATAGCCTGGCACCTTACAGGGGGTGGAAGGCTGCAGGGGCCTCCCTAGATTTCTCCTCCGAGTAGAGAGTCCAAGTCCCTTGGCCACCAGTCTGTCCCCACCCCCTGCCATGTAGCTATTCCCAGGAGTGATGTCGGTGCCCCCTCACCCAGGCTGATGGGGACTCCTGGCCAGCCGTGAGTTCATAGGGGAGGGTGAGGGGTGCCCAGGGCGGGGCTAGATCCCACCTCTCAGCTGATGGGATGACGGCACCAGCACAGCAGCCTCCTGCCGTGTAGGTGGGTGACAGGGAGTGACTAATGTGCGAGCTGCGATGCTAAAAATTAACCCAGGGATCGTGTTTGGCAGAGGGGGTGGGGGTGGATGGGAAAAGGAGCAGGGACTCAGAATATTGTGTGGTCGGTATTTCCCCTGCCCTGCCACCCCTCCTTTGCCTCCCACCAGCCTTCTGCTCCTCTCAAAGCCTCAGGGAACTCTGTGGGAGCCCCTCCCCCATGCTAGGGCAGAAGGGGCTCCCAACAATTCCAGGGAAGGACAGAGGCCTCCACTCCAGGCTTCATGCATGGTCAGGGGAGGGACATGGCCCTGCTGATAGGGTTCTGGTCTGAGGTCCCCACAGAGCCCTGCAGAAGCAGCCAGTGCGCCTAGCAAGGGCAGGTTCCCATCATCAGGCTCGGGGGTGGGCAGTGGGGGTGGCAGCTGCACCACAAGAAAAGAATAGGTGGCCAGGCGTGGTGGTTCATGCCTGTAATCCCAGCACTTTGGAAGGCCGAGGCAGGTGGATCACCTGAGGTCAAGAGTTCAAGAACAACCTGGCCAACATGGCGAAACCCCGTTTCTTCTAAAAATACAAAAATTAGCCAGGCGTGGTGATGGATGCCTGTAATCCCAGCTATTTGGGAGGCTGAGGCAGGAGAATTGCGTGAACCTGGGAGGTGGAGATTGCAGTGAGCCGAGATAGCACCACTGCACTCCAGCCTGGGCAACAGAGCGAGACTCCGTCTCAAAAAATAAAAAAAAGAAAAGGATAGGTGACTTCTGTGTCCCTATGTGCTGGGCTAACACTTCCACATCCATTACCTTACTGAGACCTCACAGTACATCTGAAAGCTCTCTATTTGACAGATAAAGAGACTGAGAATTAGGTTAAGGCAGCATAGCTGGCGCCTGGCAAGGCCAGGATGCTCTCATGCCTGTTTGTCTCTATAGCTTAGGGTGGTGAGAAGGAAGTCTTCCTGGAGGAAGGGGTGTGAGGACAGGGTGGAAGAGATGGTGAGTAATGAGCTGAACTTCTCAGGCTAGGGGCCTCGCCTGTGGAAAAAGTGGTATTGGCATGGTGGGTATATGAGGTATATGAGAGGTAGGACCCGAAAGAGCAGGTCCAAGGTTTGCCAGGGAGCAGTAGGAGGAGGGGCCAGCCCAGAGAGTTCCCGGTTCCATGCATGCAGGTGCTGTGCTGGAGGGAGGGAGAGCATTCCCATCTAAGGGGAGCATAGGGGGGCTCTGGAGACTTGGTGGGGTCCACAAAACAGGGGAGGTGGGCTTGGAGAAGAGCTCTGCTAACACATGTGGGAAAACTTATTAGAAGGAGTGAACCTCTGGACCCTCCCATTTCCCCTGGAAACCAAACCAGAGACCTTGCGCTGAATGGCAGCAGGAGAAGAGGAAGGACAGCAGGAGGCCCCTTCTGCTGCCCAGCCCAAGCTCATGAGGCTGGGAAGTGAGGGAGGCTGTGGGATTCCCCAGCTCAGGAGAGACGTCAGGCTGGCTGGCTGGGAGGCTGCCTGGTCCTGCACCGACAGGTGGATGAAATGACCGTAAGTGGGGAGTGATGGGCTCAGAGAAGTGAGACAGAAAGGAAGCTGAGGGCTCTGGAGGGGCCACGGAAACCCAAGAGAGTTCCTCAAGAGAGTAAAACAGCCAGAGTGCAGCAGTGTGCTGACCCCTGGTGGGGAGCCGGGACCATACCAGGTGGAGAGGGGCACAGAGCAGGGCTCTCCCATCAGCCAACCATTGGGAGCAGCCTCCCTCCCTCCTTAGAGCCCACCTCTTCAGCCCTTCCTCAGCCTGCTGCACGCTTGTACAAAGTGGAGCCTCCCCTGAACCCCACAATCATTTATCTGAAGTGCTCAGACACCCTCCCACTGCTTCTGGTCCCAGGGCCTCTCCTCACTCCACCACCCAGATTGTGGGCTCCCAAGGGAGTGAACCCCATCTCATGCCAGCACTGATCGAAGGCAGGTACGTCTGAATGAATGAATGAACAGTTGAGTTCAGAACATCTAACTAAATGACTAAATGACTCCAACCAACAGACCTTCTCTGCACAGAACCCTGTGTGGTATGAAAGCTCATGGACTGGGGTTGATAGTGGAGAGGAAACATACTTTTCAACAGCAAGATGCAAGAGTGTTTTTATTATTTATTTATAATTTATTTTTATTTTTAGAGATGTGTCTTGCATGCAATCAATATGGGGACCTCCCAGGAGCAGGAGGCCACCAGGTTGCCTAAGACATATGAATTTTTGCTTTCAGGGACACCTCCTAAGCTTCAGTGATCCATCTTGGAGTTGGCCTTTGTGGGGAGAACATATAAATTTATGCAAAAAGTAAAAATGCAAATACTGCCTCTGGGTCTCTTTCCCAGCTGCTCCCCTACAGAGTCACTTAGCCTTTAGTGACTCACAGTTGATCTGGTCCACTCAGCAACCCACAGAGTGACAGCCCACCCAGGTCCCAGCATACATAGCATCTTCTTCTGGAGCCCCCCAAATCTCACTCTAATTGAGGGCTTGGCTGGAGCCACTCTCTCTGAGGAGTGTGGTCTCTGGGCAAATAAGGCAAGACCAGTGGCTGGCAGCTACAGCAGTCAGTAGGGTGGGGGACATTTAACAGCAGATAGGGCCATACTCCTACTCTTGCCATTCTTTTTACCCTTCCCCTCCCCCTTGCAATTCTTTTCTGTTTTTTTTTTTTTTTTTGGTTTTTGAAACAGGGTCAGCTGGGTGCGGTGGCTCACGCCTGTAATCCCAGCACTTTGGGAGGTTGGTAGATCACTTGAGGTCAGGAGTTCAAGACCAGACTGGACAACACAGTGAAACCCAGTCTCTACTAAAAATATAAAAATTAGCTGGGCGTGGTGGCACATGCCTGTAAACCCAGCTACTGGGGATGCTGAGACAGGAGAATCGCTTGAAGCTGGGAGGTGGAGGTTGCAGCGAGCAGAGATTGGGACACTGCACTCCAGCCTGGGCAACAGAGCGAGACTCTGTCTCAAAAAAAGAAAAAGAAAAAGAAAAAGAAAGAAAGAAAGAAAAAAAAAGAAACAGGAAACAGGGTCTTGCTCTGTCGTCCAACCTGGATGCAGTGGTATAATCACAGCTCACCGCAGCCTCAATCTCCTGGGTTTAAGCGATCCTCAACGTTTGGAGTAGCTGGGACTGCAGGCGTAGGCCACCACCCCAGGCTAATTTTTGTATTTTTTGTAGAGAGAGGTTTCGCCATGTTGGCCAGGCTGGTCTCAAACTCCTGGGCTCAAGCAATTCTCCTAACTCGGCCTTCCAAAGTGCTGGGATTACAGGTGTGAGCCACCACTCCTGGCCCCCTTGAGATTCTGATCCAGGAGTTCTAGGGTGGGCTGGGGCGTTGGTATTTTTAAAGCACCCTAGGTGCTTAGTGAGTCTTTATTGAAAGGATGTTGACTGAAGATAATTCTGGAGATCTCTGAGCTCCCTCCCACACAGATCCTTGGGACTCTAAATACTGGCCGAACTCGGCCCCCTGAGGCTGTGTCTTCTTGGGGAGCTAAGGACCTGTGCCTCCCACTGGCCCGGAACCACTTTCTGCTTCCTGGTGTAAGCTTTGGTATGGATGGTGGCCGTCTCCCTACAGACTGGGAGCTGTTAGAGGGCAGGGATCCTAGCTGACACATCTATGTCCTCGCCTTGGTTGGAGGTAGGTATGGGTGGCGGCGAGGGAGGAGATGGGGGTGGGGCTCAACACACTGTCCAGCCCCTGTCGTCTGGCTGGGTATCGCCAGTGCTCAGGGGCGAGCGGAATGGAGAGGAGGCGGGGCTGGGGCGCACAGCCGGCAGGGGATCCCTGCCGGAGTCTGCTTTTCACGGGTTCCCGTCTAGACCAGAGTTGGGGCTCAGCTTGGAGAGATGGGACAGGTGGAGGTGCTGGGGGTTGGAGCCCCACGCGCTGCTCAAGAGGCTGCAGGCTGGCCTTCAAGGCCTGGGCTAGACTGCGGCGGTTGGGGGCTGGCGGTGCGGCTCGGGTGGAGTCCGCCGGGCACCGCCCTCCCTCTCCACCCTCGCCCACCCCGGGGCCGCGAGGCTGTGGGTTGAGCTGCAGAGGCGAGCTCCCTCCTGGGCGTGCCGCCGCCGCGAGTGGGGTGGGAGCGCAGAGGGGGCCTCGGGGTTATGCTTTGCTGGGATCTGGGAAGGAAGCAGGTGGCAGCGCCGGAGTGAGTAACCGCCTCCCGAGGCAGCTAGTCCCGCCGCCTCAGGAAGTCCTGGCGCCGTAGCGCACCGCCGCCCGCCACACCGGGACCTTCCCCTCGCACTAGCCCGCCCCCACCCCGCCTCCATCTCGCGCTCCCAGCCGCAGACACGGGCGCCTCTGCACTCTCAACCCCTCACCCACGCAGACCCTGGCCCGCCGGTGACCTCCCCTGCGGCTCCTCCTTCTGCCCCGGCCCAGCCCCTCCCCTGCTGCTCCTCCTCCTGCCCCGGCCCAGCCCGTCCACCGTCCTCTCATCCCCATGGCCTCGAACCCCAGCCTGCCGAGCCGCTCCTCACAGGGTGCTGTGGCTCCCCGCTGCAAAGGGGCGGGTCCTGGTAGGGGGCGTGGCCTGGCCGACTTGCGGGGCGGCGGCGCCCTCTGCCGGCAGACTCGGGAACGGCCACACTCGTCACCTCGCCCCCGGCCCGGCTCCTGGACCCCCCTGGACCTCTCTGCCAGCTCTCCTCTCTCCTGGAAATGCGCCTGCAGGACTCGGAACGTGCAGAGGTCGGTCCTGGCCCCAGCCGTGCCACGGGCTATCTGAGGGAGAGTCGCGGCCTCTCTGAGGCTTGGCTTCCTTTCCTGTGAAATGGCTGTGGTGAGGAGCAAACGCTCAGCAGTGAAGAAGGACCCTTTGTAACCGCGAAGGAGCCTGTGAGTGTGAGGTATGGTTGTTATCAACGCTAAGGGCAGTCTTTTGCCTTCTGCGGGGGTGACGACCATCCTTCTCCCTGCCCCAGCCCCACAGTGGAAGGAAAACATAAGTCACCTCCAGAGATTATCACATGCAGTGGATTGCTTTCAGCCTTTTTTCTGAATATAAAATATACATATACGTATTTTAATACAATTGTGGCCCTTCTCTACGTGCTGTTCTGTGCTGCCTTTTTTTCTCTCTCTCCAAGTGCTTAACTTATGTTTTAAAGCCCAGATTCGGCCAGAGGGGTGGCTCACCAACACTTTGGGAGGCCAAGGCCGGAGGATCTCTTGAGCAGAAGTTCAAGACCAACCTGAGCAACATAGCAAGACCTCGTCTCTACAAAAAATTTTTAAAAATGATCTGAGTGTCTGTAGTCCCAGCTACTGGAGAGGCTGAGATGGGAGGCTCGCTTGAATCCTGGAGTTCCAGGCTGCAGTGAGCCGTGATTGTGCCACTGGCCACTGCACTCCAGCCTGGGTGACAGAGTGAGATCCTGTCACAAGAAAGAAAGAAGAAGAAGAAAAGAAAGAAAGAAAAAGAAAACAAAAAACCAAAAAGAAAAGAAACAACCAAAAAACTAGAGTCAGACAAACCTGGATTTAGGTTCTTGCTCTGTGACTTTATATTTCCACCCTTGAGCAAACCACACAACCTCTACCTTCCTCAGCCTCAGTTTCCTCCTTTGCAAAATGGTGGTAATGCCAGGAATACCCACTTCACAGGCAGCGGTGAGGCCCCGCACACAGCCCAGTGCATGCTGGTTAGGGCTCTCCTTTTGCTTCCTGAGACTGCACGAGCTCTGCCTTCTTCATGCACCACGTGGTAAGGAAGGAGCTGGAGGCCTCCGCCTCTCGGACCTTGCTCACTGCTGCTTTTTTTTTTTTTTTTTTGACAGAGTCTCTCTGTCGCCCAGGCTGGAGTGCAATGGCACAACCCCGGCTCACTGCACCCTCCGTCCCCCGGGTTCAAGTGATTCTCCTGCCTCAGTCTCCCGAGTAGCTGGGATTCCAGGCGGCCGCCACCACGCCCGGCTAATTTGTCATATTTTTAGTAGAGATGGGGTTTCGCCATGTTGGCCAGGCTGGTCTCGAACTCCTGACCTCAGGTGATCCACCTGCCTCGGCCTCCCAAACTGCTGGGATTACAGGGGTGAGCCACCGCCCCAGGCCTCTTTCGGCACTGCCCTCAACCACATGGGCCTCACTGTTCTTCCGGCGTACCCAGACTTTCCCCATCTCAGCGCCTTCCCACCGGTCCTGTGTTTCCATGGCCTTTCCCCGGGTAGGGGCCTTTCTTTTCCTAGCTTCGCTCAGTTCCCTGCTACATTGTCGCCTCCTCGCAGAAGCCGTCTCTGGCCGTTCCGTATCGCTAGCGCCCTCTATCATTCGCTAGCAGCTCACCCGGCTCTGTTTTTCTTCATTGCACTTCTCGTTATGTGCCGTTCTCTTATAAATGTTTTTGTCTTTATCCCTCCCATAGAAGACACCTCCATGAAAGGCCAGGGCTTTCCGAGGTTCTTTTCCTCTGTGGTTCCTAGAAGAGGGCCTGGCACATAGCCGGCCTTGGCTAGCTTTTTGCGTAAATGTGAAGGGATCCACCTTCCTCCCTTATAAGAGGTAGCAGTACCTCCTGTTACCAGCAGAGGGCACCACCGTACAGCACTTGGGGGCCGCAGGGGATCCTGCTGGGATGGGAGGTATTTAAAAAGCCCACAGGCCTCTCCTCCCATAATGTGGGCGCTCCCACAGCTGGGACCGGAAGCAGGAGGGCCCCCTGCGCTAATCTGCCCTGGCAGCAGCGAGCTGGCACGCCCTGGGTGCATCATCCGGTGTGCTCTGGTGCCCAAGGTCGGAATACCCTCACTGGTGGCTTGGACACACCCCTGAGCAGCTGATGCTTCTGGACAGATCACACCCTGTCCCGGGCTCTCAAAATGAGGGCAATGACATGAGCTGCACTGCTCGCTCACGCGTTTGCTGTGAGGTTGGGACAGGAGTGCATGGGAAATGTTTTATGAATGTAAACATGGGACAAATATAATTTATGCACGCCTTTATTGGTAGTGCAGCAGATTGACAACAAACGAGGGGAGAAGATAAGGTATTTAAAGGAAATTGCAAGGCTAAATGAAGGTGGGAATTAAGACAGTGAAGGAGAACGAAGAAGTTAAAAATAACAACTACCTTTCACCAAGAGCTTATTAGGAGCCAAGGCAGAGGAAAGTGATCTCCAAACATTGTCTAATTATAGCCAACACTTACATGGTGCTGACCTCATGCCAGGAACTCTTTAAGTGCTTTATGCATAAAAACTCACTGGATCCTCACAACAACTCAGGGAGGTAGGTCATATCGCTGTCCCGTTCTACACAAGGAAACTGAGGCCCGGACAGCTTAAGTGACTGGCCCAAGGCCACATAGATAGACAGGGCTGGGCAATCTGCCTCCTGGAATGTGCTCTTAAAGCCCCACAGTCACAGCCACACCAAAAGGGAGATATTGTTATTATCATTCCATTTCCCAAACAAGCAACTGAGGCTTAGCAGATGTACAAAGCCCGCCTAAAGCCACACTGGGAATATGTGTATTTGAGCCCAGCTTAACCACCCACCAAACTAGGCCTGCAGGAGCTAGGAGGGGCTTCAGGAATGTGCACAGGTTCTCTCGGAGGGCAGCAGCAGACATACCCACTCTTCCTCTGAGCGGGGAGGGGAAGGTGAGAGCACAGAGGCTGGGCAGGGCTGATGGGGTTGAGGAAGAGGCTGCTTGGTGGCCTCAACTCCATGGACCGCAGATGGCCAGGCATCTTCTGGCCAGGAAGTGAGAGGTGTGTTGATAGGCACAGTGGCTGTCCACAGGGATTCCAGCCAGAGCTGTGGGCCCCCCACAAATCTCCATAGGGAGACTAGGGACTGAGGGGTGGGCCTTACAGTGGGAGGTGGGAGCAGCCCCATCCCTACCACAAGTGCCCCTTAGCCCAGCCCTGACTTCCAGCCCGTTACATAAGCTGCTGCATACCCAGGCCTGGAAATAGCTGAGGCTGTACCGGCTGGGCTGGGAGACGTGATGAATGGTCCCCAGGAGCATCAGCTGACCGCCCTGTGCTCCTGAAGTGACCTGAGGGCCTGCCAGCAGCTCGGGTTACCCAGCTCTCCCTGGGAGGCAGCCCTGCCTGGTCTGCTGAGGATGGCTCTGATGTGATTCTGTGTCTGGACATTTATGGTTCGAGTGCCCGCAGGATGGTCCCTCTCCCAAGCCTGAGCAGCTAAGGCAGCTCCCAGCCACGCTGTGCCCACTGGCAGCCTCTGGATGCTGGGAGCCAGGGCCTTGCCCAGAGCAAGCACTTGGATCTCTGCAGACAGTCAGCACTGGGAGGGCTGAGAGCTCTGCTGCTCTGAGTCCTGTGCTAAGGGCCCGCAAGGAAAGAGGAAGAGGAGCCTGAGAAACTCGGGGTGCACGTGGGGGCTGCAGGTGTCATTCCAGGGCTGCACTCCACCCACATCCCCATGCCTCCTGTTTCACGGCCCACTCTGTTACTGAACTGGTGGCCCTGGGCACAGGGGGGCACCCACACACTCTGATGCCCACTGCAGAGGGCAGAGCCACACACCCCTCCAGGGACTAGGCACATACACCCTTACTTCTGAGAGTAACGTGGCTAGGCTCAGGAGTGTAGGAGGGCGTTCTCCCAGCATATGGTGATCATATGTTAAGAATTATTATTATGTTGGTCAGGTGCGGTGGCTCACACCTGTAATTCTAGCACTTTTAGAGGCTGAGGTGGGAGGATTGCTTGAGTCCAGGAGTTTGAGACCAGCCTGGGCAACATGATGAAATCCTGTCTCTACAAAAAATACAAAAATTAGCCGGGCGTGGTGGCATGTGCCTTTAGTCCCAGCTACTCGGGAGTTTGAGATGGGAGGATCGCTTGAGCCCAGGAGGTTGAGGCTGCAGTGAGCCAAGATTGTGCCACTACACTCCAGTCTGGGTGACAAAGTGAGACCCTGTCTCCAAAAAAAAAAAAAAAAAAAAAAAAAAAGAAGAGAGAAGTATGAATGATTATGGCCATGCCAATTCTGTGCCTTTAAGATACCTGCTTAAGGGGCCGGGAGCAGTGGCTCACGCCTGTAATCCCAGCACTTTGGGAGGCTGATGCAGGCAGATCATGAGGTCAAGTGATCGAGACCATCCTGGCCAACATAGTGAAACCCCGTCTTTACTAAAAATACAAAAATTAGCTGGGCGTGGTGGCTCATGCCTGTAGTCCCAGCAACTTGGGAGGCTGAGGCAGGAGACTTGCTTGAACCCAGGAGGCGGAGGTTGCAGTGAGCTGAGATTGAGCCACTGCACTCCAGCCTCGTGACAGAGCAAGACTCCGTCTCAAACAAAACAAAAAAACAAAAAAGATACCTGCTTAAAAGACAAAAAGACCAGGCCAGGCGCGGTAGCTCATGCCTGTAATCCCAGCACTTTGGGAGGCCGAGGTGGGTGGATTACGAGGTCAGGAGTTCAAGACCAGCCTGGCCAAGATGGTGAAACCCCGTCTCTACTAAAAATACAAAAATTAGCTGGGCGTGGTGGTGGGCGCTTGTAATCCCAGCTACTTGGGAGGCTGAAGCAGAGAATTACTTGAACCCGGGAAGCGGAGGTTGCAGTGAGCCAAGATGGTGCCACTGCACTCCAGCCTGGGTGACAAAGCGAGACTCCATTTTAAAAAACAAAAACAAAAACAAAAACAAAAAGACCAAAATTCAACTTCTCCCTAAAAATATTAATGCTTTAAGTGAAATTATCTCTCTAGTATTCCCCAAATCCTTTAGTGGAATAGGCATAATAGGCACTCCCAGGGAGCTAGGACCTGTTTACTCTGATTCCAGGACCTTCTGACAGGTGGGAAGCCCCCAGCTGGAGAAGTGTGGGACATTTTCTAAAAGAGCAGTGGAAAGTGAGTGAGTTGCCCCATCTGCCTGACCACAGATTGCCTGTCCAATGACAGGAGGGACGCATACATGCACACACACTCCACCTCTCTCCTTGGTGCTCAGATGTGGGGGCAGAATTCCCCTCCAAACGCCTGCAGCAGCATTCCCTGAAGACCCTGCCTGTGCCCAGACCCTGCCCATGACTTTGCACCCTCCTTGTGTGCCTGTGGGTCCTGCAGTTCTGAGCCCATGGCCAAGGCACAGGGGAAACAGGCCCCTAATGTACTCCAGAGACGGCCGGTGTGGTGGCCCACACCTGTAATCCAACATTTTGGGAGGCTGAGGTGGGTGGATTGCTTGAGCTCAGGAGTTTGAGACCAGCCTGGGCAACAGAGTGAAACCCCGTCTCTACAAAACATACAAAAATTAGCCAGGCATGGTGGCATACACCTGTAGTCCCAGCTACTTGGGAGGCAAAAGTGGGAGGATCACTTGAGCCAGGGAGGCTGAGGCTGCAATGAGCTATGGTTGCATCACTGCATTCAAGCCTGGGCAACAGAATGAGACCCTGTCTCAAAAAACAAAAACCACACACACACAAGACAGAACACCAGAGAGCTAAGGAATACCTACCCCTCTGCCATATAAACCTGTGTGGGGAAGGGCTTGGCTTCCTTCAGTTCCCTCCCGCCTGCCTCATGTCTCTCCAGGCACTCTCCCTTGAGGGTTGTCACCGGTAACCAGAGCTGGCTCCCCTGGTGAGAGCAGGAGCAGCGTTACTTAGCAACAGGCACAGCACACAAAATCCAGCTAATCTGGGCTGCCCCAGTGGCCAGCCCTCCTACAGCCCTCAGGGCGGTGGCTGCTGGCCAGCAGCACACCCCTAGAAGTGGACACTTATAAACTTCTGCATCTTTCTACCCCAGCAAACCCTAAGTTCCAGCTTGGGCAAGAAGGACTCTTGCACACAAAGGCACAAAGACATGGGCAGGGTGTGGGCACAGGCAAGGTCTTCAGGGAATGCTGCTGCAGGGGCATTTTCTCCGCCCTCCCTGTCCCTCTCCCCTTCCTTAGGCCCTGTCTCCCTTCACAGTATCTACAGAACTCTCTGAGGCGGGGGTCCCAGCTCTGCAGCAAGCCATGAAATGAAGGGCAAATCCCTTCACCTCTGGGTAGCTCAACTTCTCTGGGAAGCAATAACATAGCAGCTCAGTGTAAGGACTTTGAGGCCACACTGGTCTGGATGCAAATCCATGCTCTGCTACTTCTCAGCTGTGTGACACTGGACATGTTTACTTAACCTTTTATTTATTTTTTATTTTGTATTATTTTTTGAGACGGAGTCTTGCTCTGCTGCCCAGGTTGGAGTGTAGTGGTGCAATCTTCGCTAACTGCAACCTCCACCTCTCAGGTTCAAGTGGTTCTCCTGCCTCAGCCTCCTGAGTAGCTGGGATTACAGGCATAGGCCACCATGCTGGGCTAATTTTTGTATTTTTAGTAGAGACGGGGTTTCATTATGTTGGCCAGTCTGGTCTCGAACTCCTGACCTCATGTGATCCGCCTGCCTTGGCCTCCCAAAGTGCTGGGATTACAGGCGCGAGCCACCACACCTGGCCTACTTAACCTTTTAGAGCCTCAGTTTCCTCAATACTAAAATAGTGCCCACCTTAGATGGCTGCTGAAAGAAGAGACAAAGGAAAAAAGTCATCGGCACAGAGTCTGGCACAAGGGCCTGTGGATTGGGCTGAGTGCTCCTCTCGCGCATCCCCAGCTCTGTCCCCCTTAGTCACTGGCCTCCAGCCACTTGCCTTACTCTGCTGCTCTAACAAGCTGGCACTCTTTCATTACTGTTTCCTCTCCCTGCAACTTATCCCTTTCCCCTAACTCTCCACCGACAAACTCCCCTCAGTTTATTTATTTTGAGATAGGGTCTCACTCTGTCGCCCAGGCTGGAGTGCAGTGGTGCTGTCACAGCTCGCTACAGCCTCAGACTCCTGGGCTCAAGTGATTCTCTCACCTCCGCCCTGAAGTAGCTGGGACCATAGTCCCGTAACACCAAGCAGGCTATTTTTTAATTATTATTATTACTTTTAGTAGAAACAAAGTCTCCCTTACGTTGCCCAGGCTGGTCTCAAACTCCTGAGCTCAAATGATCCTCCCATCTCGGCCTCCCAAAGTGCTGAGATTACAGGCATGAGCCTCCAGTGGTGCCCAGCCTTCCCTCAGTTTAAAAGCTACTTCCCGCCAGGCACAGTGGCTCACGCCTGTAATCTCAACACTTTGGGAGGCCGAGGCGGGCAGATCACATGAGGTCAGGAGTGTGAGACCAGCCTGGCCCACATGGTGAAACCCCATCTCTACTAAAAATACAAAAATTAGCCAGGTTTGGTGGCATGCGCCTGTAATCCCAGCTACTCATGAGGCTGAGGTAGGAGAATGGCTTGAACCTGGGAGGCAGAGGTTGCAGTGAGCCGAGATCATGCTACTGCACTCCAGCCTGGGTGACAGAGTGAGACTCCGTCTCAAAACAAACAAACAAACAAATAAAAAAGCTACTTCCTTGGAGAAGCTTTCTCTTATCCATCCCTTGCGAAAATTACAGCTGCCTGTTAAATATCTCACTGACATCCTCCATTTCATTTTCTCTTTATGGTTGTGATGGTTAATTTTTTTTTTTTTTTTTTTGAGACGGAGTCTCGCTCTGTTGCCCAGGCTGGAGCGCAGTGACGCAATCTCAGCTCACTGCAACCTTCGGCTCACTGCAATTTCCGTCTCCTGGGTTCAAGCAATTCTCCTACCTCAGCCTCCGGAGTAGCTGGGATTACAGGTGCCCGCCACCACGCCCAGCTAATTTTGTATTTTTAGTAGAGACGGGGTTTCACCATGTTGGTCAGGCAGGTCTGGAACTCCCGGCCTCAAGTGATCCGCCCGCCTCGGCCTCCCAAAGTGCTGGGATTACAGGCTTGAGCCACCGTGATGGTTAATTTTAAGTGTCAACTTGACTGGGCTAAGGGATGCTCAAATAGCTGGTAAAATGTTATTTCTAGGTGTATTTGTGAGGCTGTTTCTGGAAGAGATTAGTATTTGAATCAGTAGACTGAGTAAAGAAGACCGCCCTCACCGCTATGGGCAGGCATAATTTAATCTGTTAAGGACCTGAATAGAATAAAAAGGCAGAGGAAGGGCAAATTTGCTCTTCTTTGAGGTGGGACACCATATTTTCCCTGCTTCAGACATCCATGCTCTGATTCTTGCACCTTCAGACGCGGACTGGAACTACTCCAGCTTGCGGAGGGCAGATCCTGGGTACTTCTCAGCGTCCATAATCATGGGAGCTAATGCCTCATAATAAATCTTTTTCTATATCTCTGTATATCCATCCTATTGGTTCTGTTTCTCTGGAGAACGCTGGCTAACACCATGGCACTTACTGCTTATGTGCAAGATTGTTGAACATTCATCTCTCCTACTTGGCTGTCAGCCCGGGGACAGGAGCTGTGTCTGTTTTGTTCTGTGCTGTGCTGTGTTTCCAGTGAGAGGGCTGGCCTAGGTGTTTCTCCGAAGTATGTTCCAGCTTTCGGTACCTCTTTATTTCTTATTTCTTCCTTCCCCTGCTCTCCAAGTTGACCTAAATAGTTTTTGCACCTTTTCTTAGGTTCACTGAATCTCCAAGCAGCGAGGTGTATCTGGAAAGACAGCTCAAGAATTAAGGGTGCTCACCCTTAATTACACTCCATTTTCCTCAGGACAGGCTGGAACAGATTTGGGATGGCGAGCCCCCAAACCAGCACTCTACAGATTTCGGGACCCCTCTTAACTCATTTCCCCCATCCTCCCAATGACGTCTATTCGCCTGCAGCAGACCCGAAGGAAGCTTCGGCTCAATGGTTCATTTGCATGCGCCCGTGCTATTGGTCGGAGGGGCGGCACCGTAGCCAATGGTGTGCAGGGGTGTTGACCGAGCCGCAGCTCTGCGCCGCCGGGTGAGGTAATGGAATCCTGGCTGGACCTGCTGCGGCTCCCTCCGGACTGGCTAGTGACGTAGCGGCTTCCCCGGCCCCACCCCGCCCAGCCCGGCCGCCCCCGGGAGCGCAGCTGGGGCTCGGCCCTGTTCCTTCCGGCCCGGCGTTCCGGTCGCGGGCCCCTCAGGGAGGACCCGCCGGGCCAGATCCCATCTCTGGCGACGCGGAGAAAAATCTGGAAGCCGTCGTCGGAGGATGACCAAATCCTCGCTCCTCTGGGAGTGCGATTACGGGCCTCTCACTTCGTAAATCACGCAGGCCTGAAACGCTCACATTTGTTTACCACGAGCATGTTTGATTTTGTAATTTAACAAATAAAATTGCAGAGGATTTTTAAGAGCCCTGGCCTGGATTTAGGGGAAATCTCGCATTAATTCCAGCTCTGCCATTTCCGGTCTGGAGACCTTGGCCACTTTCTCTTGGGGCCCTGACGCCTTCCATGGCAACTAAGTAGAGCAAACGTGGAAGTGCTTCGAAAACACCAAGTGGGGTCTCCTCATCCTTATGCAATCTGGAGAGTGTAACCCCATCTGGGCGGTGTCTCTGGACAGCCCCTGAGCCCTGAGACAGCCCCAGGAAGACCCGTCTTTGTGTCTCTATTTTTTCGGCCCTTAAATTGCTCTTAAGCCTGGGGAGAGGTCGGGGGACCCCGGCCAGGTAGTTCTTGATCCTCAAGAAGAGGAAGGAAACCATGAAGGGAATCCCTTCCACAGCCCCTCTCCTTATTCAGGGCCAGGGCCTGAGCAGGGGAGCCCCTTCTCTGCCCAAATGCCCTAGGGAACCCCCTTGACATCCTTTTACCCCCGCCCCCGAGGGCCAGGATGGAGGTGGAGTGGAAGGGTGTCTCCTAGGTGGGGTGGAGTTTCAGATGCTGTGAGATGGAAGGGCACCTGGGGAGGGCCACTGAGAGTCTGGCTTATGGTCCTGGGTCCTGTGGCTTACCTTGGCCCACTACTTCCCACCCTCAGGATCTCAGCCCTGCCCTGCCGCATACCTAAGGTTTGGGGGCAGCCTCTCTCCTCCATGGAGTGCCTTTTCTCTATACCCTGCCTGGTCCTGTCTCTTCTTTCACACTGGGCCCTACATTCTCTTCCTCCAGGGAGGCCTCTTGAGACTAGTCCTCTAGATTCTACCCCAATGCCAGCTCAAGGCTTCTTGGAGGCCACTTCTTGGATGTCCTGGCAATGTTTCCATACCTATTCTTGTGTCCTGCCTCCCCATCAGACTAGGAGCCAGCTTTCTGTGTAGGAGCTTGTCCTCTAGGAACCTCCCACAATGTGGGGCGTCACTGGCCATGGTGGCCTGTCTCCCCTCTGCTCCGACTCCCTGGGCCATGCACGTTGTTCACCTTTTCTCTCCTCACCTTTCCTATCTGCAATAGGGGCTGTGAAGCAGTGCCTGTAGAAAGGAGAGGAATTAGATATGAAGGAACAAGAGGCTGGGTAGAAAGAGCACTGGCCTGGGAGTCAGAAGACCAGGGCTATGGAGACAGAAGACCAGGGCTATGGTTCTGGCTGGGCAACTCACTAGCTGAGTGACCTGGATCAGGGAGACAACAACAGGGCAGACGTTTACTGGACATTTGTAATGACTAAGAAGCGACATTGCTCCTATCTGTGCAGCCCCCACGGCCCCCAGTATTCCCAATAAACATACTGGCTGGGCAAAGCTAGGGTAAGCACCTTGGATGTACAGCTTCAAGACAAGGTCCCAAGTCCTCCAAGTCCTCCTGTATGGAAATGGCAGATCTGCCATGATGTGCCAGACTCCGCTTCATGCTTTATGTCTGCTCTCAAAGAGGCACTCTCATGGCAACCCTGTGAGATAGGTTTCTTATCATCTTTGTGTTTGAGGTGAGGAAACTGAAGCCCAGAGAGGGCAAGTAACTTCCCTGGAGTCATGCAGCTGGTAAGAGGTAGAGCCTCTTGTGGGTTAGGGAAATGAGACTCCTAGGGCAGAGCAGGGAGGAGAACTAACTCTGAGTGCCTGCTGTGTACAAGGTACCTCCACATCTGTTCAGTCCTCCGACAACCAGTGTCCATCCCAGACCTCTAGAGACTGCTTCTTCCACCATCTCACGCCGCCTCCACATGCCACCCAAAGCGTGCGTGTTCTGGCATTCCACATTTTAGAATATGTTTTATTTGATTATAAATAGGAGAATATATAATAAAGACAAGTTATGCTAAAAGTATTTATGGAAAGGAGAGACCTCTGTGGGCTGGAAGCCTTCATGGAAAAACTGGTAACTGAGCCCTTTTTTTCCCTTCCTGTCTAAATAAATGTATTTCTCCCACACAGGCAAATATTTTAAAATGTATTTCAAAAGTTAGACTTCTGGAAAAAGAAAGGAAAAGAGGGGGTGGGGTAGCTGCTCCTCTAAGAAGCCCATGTGAAAGAAGCTGCTGGGGTAGGAAACAGGAGGGCACAGGGTGAGTGAGGAAAAGTCAGTCCCTTTCCCCCACCCCAACGCCTTGTCATTTTTGAAGCCTCAGTTTCTTTATCTGCAAATTGACCTAATACTTGAACCTGGGAGAGAAATGTACAGGTTCTTGGGATGTGATTTTGAGAGACAAACTCTGCAGAGGTTCTTGGAATCATTATGAAGAATGAGAGAAAGGGAATTCTGAGTTGCGCCAAGAGTTTAGGATTTGTCCAGCAAAGGATTTCTGGGGGTGGGCAGTGGGGTGGAGAGAGGAATGCAGCCCCTGGAATGAGGGCTGAGTGGAGGTGTGGGGCCTCTTTTGGAGAATTTTGAGCACAGAAGAGATTCTTTGCTGCGTGGGGCCTGGGCTGGGTGCTGGAGATTGTATAGCATGCTCATAATTTAAGGTGGCTCCAAAAAGGATCAGGGGCTAGTGGCTGGCACAGCAGAGCACATGACTGGATCCTCCCTAATGGGTGTTCCCCAATGACCTTGCCTGTACGGGGGTATAGGAGCAGAGATGGTAACCCCCAACCCCACCCAGCCAGCCCCAATCCCATTGCTCCAACTTTGGCCGGGCCTTCCTGACCAGCCTCTCCTGAGTGGGCAGCTGCTGGGGGAGAAGGATTTGCTCAGGACAGGATGGTTCTTCCATTTCCAAAGAGGGCTCCAGTCACATGGGAGAGAGAAACCTTCCAAGTGCCTGCACCCCCAGGAAAATTCTTACCATGGAAGCCTGGGCCTGAAGACTCTGGTCAGAGGAGGGTGGGCTTCCCAGGGCTTCCTGGTCACGGTGGTGGGCCTCTGAGTGCATGAAGCACTCCTTTGGATTGGGGAGAGCAGGGAGAACTAACTCAGTATCTACTGTGTACAAGGCACCTCCACAGCTGTTATCATCCTGACAGCCAGATATGGTGGATAATCTGATCATATCATGTTTTAGAGACGAGGAAGCTGAGGCTCAGGAGGTCAAGTGACTGTCCTAAGTCACACAGTGGTATGGGAGCAGCCAGATCAGTGAATCCATCACCTGGGCTTTGCCGGGGCCTGCACCCCCGCCTCGGGAAGTGCCCTCTTCAGGAGAAAGTCCTATTTCTCTGTAAGCTGCCTTCTCGTGTGGAAGCTGGGTGCCCTGCTACCTGGGTTCCTTGCCCTTGGGGTGGCATGAATGCCAAGCGATGCAGGCAGGGCGCCCGCAGACTCAAAGGCCAGGCCCTGTCCTCGCCAGCAGCCGAATCGCTGTGACTTTGGACCGCCACCGAGTCTCTCTGGGCCTCGCTCTTTCCACCTCTTCCTGGGGAAGCCCCGGCTAAGTTTCTTTATAACCTAGCCCCAGGTGCCCAGCCTCGG
The DNA here is from genome assembly GCF_000001405.40 of Homo sapiens. Taxonomy (NCBI): domain Eukaryota; kingdom Metazoa; phylum Chordata; class Mammalia; order Primates; family Hominidae; genus Homo; species Homo sapiens. The sequence continues at coordinate 52,036,910 of NC_000012.12, forward strand.
AAGGTGTGAGCGAGACCTCGGCACCCTCACCTGAGAACCAGCTCCCCGGCTCTGGCCGCGGGTTATGTAACCGGGTGTGCGGCGTGGGGGGAGCCGCGGGGCGGGGCGCTCGCGGCTATTCCGGGCGCCGCTATTTTTAGCCCCATTGATGAGGCTGCGTCGGCCGCCGCCGCCGGGATTCCGGAGACGTCAATGGGCACGCGTCACGGTCCCCGCCCCGCCCGCCGGGGGAGGCGCGCCGGGGCTGGGACAGCGCGCGGGCGGCCGCGGGCGCGGGGGCGGGGGGCGCCGCGCGGCCGGAACTGCGGGCGGGGGGCTTCCCGGGGGCGGGGGGCGCTGAGCGGCTGCGGCGCGGCTGCAGGAGCGCGAGGAGGAGGTGGCGGCGGCGGCGGAACTGGCGGGGGTCCCCTCGCGGCGCCCGGGACCCCCGGCCTCCAGGCATGGGCGCCCCTGCGGTGCAGAGCAGCTCAGGGCCGGCTGGTGCGCGACCCCGGAAAGCGGGGGTGGAGAGGCGAGCGGAGCCCGCGGGGCCAGGTGAGGGGCTGCCGGGGTGGCGGGAGGTGGGCCCCGGAGAGGCCGGGCAATCTCGGGTCTTCGGTGGATGCCTTTGGGCGGGCTCGGGGCCACGCCGGAGTCCCGCTTGGAAACTGGGGAGTCGGGGGGGGGACTGGATTCCCAGCGGAACCGCTGGCTCCGAGTCAGCCCCCAAGGGCGACGGCCAAGGCTTTCTCTCCCCAGTCCGCCAAGGGTGGGGTTTGGCCCACGAGGGGCGCTGGAGGTGGCCAGGCCAGAGAAATTCCTTCCATTTCTCCGCCGGCTGCGGGAACCGGTTCCAGGAGCGCGGGAGCTCGTCTGCCAGGAGACCCAGCCGGGAGGGACCGATGCTGCGTGATGCAACCCCTTCGAGGGACTGAGTCAAGAAACCAAGGCTGGGGGTCTCGTGGAGTCAGGCGGAGCTGGGGATTAGGACTCGGGGCTTGTGTCTCCCAGGCGTGTTTTTTTGTTGTTGTTTTGTTTTTTTGCCGCAACATCTTCCTTATACTGGGTGGGGTGGGGGCGGGGGTGGTCTGTATTTCCAGACCTCCTCCATGGTGGTCTGGCTGTGTGGAGGGCAGGGCACAGTTCCTTGACTTGGCTCATTCCCCCCCAACGCCCCCCCTTTCTTTTTTTTTTGAGATGGAGTCTCGCTCTGTTGCCCAGGCTGGAGTGCAGTAGCGTGATCTCGGCTCACTGCAATCTCCGTCTCCCGGGTTCAAGCGAATCTCCTGCCTCAGCCTCCAGAGTAGCTGGGACTACAGGCACCCACCACCACGCCCGGCTAATTTTTGTATTTTTAGTAGAGACAGGGTTTCACCATATTGGCCAGGCTGGTCTGGAACTCCTGACCTTGTGATCCGCCTGCCTCGGCCTCCTAAAGTGCTGGGATTACAGGCGTGAGCCACCGCGCCTGGCAGGCTCATTCCCTTTTTATGCCTTCGTTTTTGATAGATGACCTGGGGATGGGAGAAATGCTGCAGAGGTGGTTTATTTACAGTGAATTGTTAATTTGGTTGTGGGGCTAGTATTAGGGGCACATTGGGAAAACACAGGCTGGGCAGAGGTTGGTAGGTTCACAACAGTTATGCCCACTGGGTGCTGATGGATTTGGGGGCTGTCGTCGGCCTGGCTTGGGGCCCTAGTGGTGGGGCTACAAGGCTTGCTCCTAGATCTACTCCAAGTGAACATTTAAGATCAGTGACTTGGATGGAGACTTAAAAAGGAAGTCAGCTGACTCCGTGTAGTCATCCAGAGCTGTGAGGAATGACAAGTGCACAGTATAAAATCAAGATTCTAATTGAAGGTAACTGGGCAGAAGGATGGGCCGAGATTAACGGTGTGAATGTGACTGACGATTCCTGTGCTGAGGCCTCTGCTGGACTTAAGAAAGTCAGCTGAGGAGTTCAGGCCCTGTGCCTGGCTCAAAGGCCCAGGGACCCAGGCCCTTAGCTTCTGCCCTGCTCTCTGGATGGAGGCTGTGGGACTGCTCTGTGCAGTGTGAAGCCTCCATCCGCTACACAGGTCCAAGTGGGTGGCAGGGGGAGCGAGAATGCCTGATTCTGGACTCCTTGGTTAGGCTCCCTGGGTTCTAATCCCAGTTTTGCCAATTCCTAGCTGTGTGACCTTGGGCAAGTTGCTTAACATTTCTTTCTGGGCCTTAGTTTCCTCATTGGTAAAATGTGCATAATAATAATCCCTTCCTCATAACATTGTGAGGCTGAAATGAGAAAATGCATGTAAAGTGCTTAATGTATCTGGCACATGTTGTTTAACAAATATTAGCTGCTGTTGTTATTGCTAATAATAGTAATATGCCCACTTCTGGGTAGGGATATTGGCCAATGCAGAGCTTGTACTCAGGAGGCCACCAGGACCTGTCACGCAGAGGGCCTGTCAGCGGTGTCCTGTTGCAAGGGGCAGTTTATTAAGAAAAGACTAAAATACTTGCTAGGAAGGACTAGAATGAGGCTTCCTGTGGGCCAGTGCAGGGGACAGAGCTGGGATCCAGGGCTGGGGACTTTTAGAGTCAGGGATGTGATTCAACATAAGGAAGAACCTCTGCTCTGGCTCTTGGATCTGCCGCCAAATGGAAGGGACAGCTCCTGAGCTGGAATGCTCTCCCCACCTAGCTGACCTTCCTCCCAGCACAGCTCCAATGCAGGCATGTGCATCCACCACCCTTCCACGCACACTTACTGAGCACCTGCCAGTGCTGAGCAGGGTTTAGAGACTGCAGACTCTGCAGTGATTGAGATGGACAGCGTCCTTAGATTCTGGTTGGGTAGACAGGTGATAAACCAGTGAACAGATGTGAACATTAGACCTATGATGAATAAAATCAGGCTAGTGTGGTGGGGTGGGGATGCAAGCTGTTCAGGGAAGTGACATGGGAATGGAAACCTGGTTGATGAGAAAGAGCCAGTTCTGGGCAGAGGGAATGGCAGATGCAGAGGCCCTGAGTGGGGAGAGAAGGCCCACGTGATGGGACCATAGTGAGTGGCTGGGAAATGAGGTTGGTGGGGAGCAGGAGCTGGGGACTGAAGTCTGGCCTGATGGTCCACCCCATTTTGGGGGCCACTTTCTCCTCCTCCAAGCCCACTCAGCCTTTGGTTTGCTCTCTGCACAGTGCAGACTGTACTTGACCTTGGTTCATCCCTTATCAGCTCCTGGGGCTCTGGGATCTTGGTGTGCTCATTCTTGCCTCTCCTGTTGTTCGGGGCACACTGCCTGGCTCCCGGGGGTCCTCAGTAAATGCTTGTGATGTGACTATTGAGGGGGGCATTTTGATCTGGAACAAGTGGGGAAACAGATACCTGTTTGAAGATGCTATGAATCATTTGTGGGCACCACCTGGTGCCAAACTCTGGCCCCCGTTCTGAGAACCAGATGGGGAAGACCTGGGCACTCAGGTTGGGCCTGACTATGGTAGGTGGTATTTGGCCCTCCCTACCCTTCCTCCTCAGCAGTGGGGTGGTAGGGAGAAAAGACAAAGCTGGGGGAAACTACAGACCAGTTTCGGGGGGATGGGAGGATGACACTGTCATCCTGGAAAGCAGGTGTAGTCCATGGGCCGGGGCAGGTTGGAAACCTTGTCTTGCTTTCTGTTTGGGGTTAAAGGTGCTCCAGATGTTCCAGTCTGCCCTCCCTTCCCTCCTTGTCTCCTGTGGCCTTTTCCTGCTTCCCATCATACCCACAGGATCGGGAGGGAGGGGTGCTGACAATGTTGTAAGGGGAGAGCCTGGGTACTGTGGGCCAGAGGATCTTCCCTTGGCCTGTAGACCTTGGGCAAAGGTCAGGTGGGTGAGGAAGCCCATTGCCCACCCTCTGGGGTCCTCCTCCTCTTTGCCCCTCCTAGCTCCCATCATCTCCTTCTCTTTTCCCAGACCTCATCTCAGTCTGAAGGGCAGTCCAATAGCCAGTGAAGGCCTGGTCCTGCCCTCACTCTGGTGCGTAGTCGAGAGGAGAGAGCACTGGAGGGGATGGAAGAAGAGAAGGGGAGATGTGGGTCAAGGTGCCGTGGCTGAATGGGGTTGGGGGAGAGCTGAAGAGGCTGGGGTGTGGGGTGAGGCACACAGTTGGCTTCCACCCTGGAAGGAGAGGCCAGGTGCCCAGGGTACCTTGGACTAGGAACCAGGGGTTGGGGCTAGCTTTTATGTGTGTGTCCTCATTGAACTTCTCCTAATATTGATATGTAGTAGATATGTGTATCCAGCACTGTCCTTAAGTCTTTTACACATTAACTTTTTTTTAAGCCTGCTGATAAGCCTGTGATTGTTAATTTTACAGATGTCATCATTTTTACAGATGAGGAGCATGAGGTACAAAGAGATTATGTAATTTGCCCAAGGTGATAAGCAGTGGAGCTAGGATTCGAACCCAGACGGTCTGGGATCCCACATCCACTCTACTCTAAGTTGAGTGGAGCCCCTGTCTCTTGGGGGCCTCCGAGGCTTTAGGGGCCAAACTGGAGCCCCTTAAGGAGAGTGGGGTATTCCGCTCTGTCCTCACAATAGCTCCCTTTCTGTGCCCGCAGCATGCCCTTTTGTGCATGTCAAAGGCCGAGAGCCAGGAAGGGTATGAGGTGGAGTTGCTAGATGCTGATGTGTCTATATGGCTCTGAAATGCCCCAGATGCTATCAGCAGCTCCTGGCCACACCCTACACCCCTGGAAGCAGATTGCCTGGGGCCTCGGCCCCCAGGCTCCAATGCCTAACCCGGGGAGGTCCTTGGGCGCTGGCTTGTCCCCCTCTTGTGGCCTAGGTCCTGCCACTGCTCCCATTCCTGCGTGTCCTGGGCATGCTGTCTCCAGGGAATGTGCCTGCTGGCTGGTTTCTCTTCACTCACATCGACTCTCCCTCTGTAGGCCTCCACCATGGACAGAGGCCAGGCCCTGCCCCTCCCAGGCAGCCTGGCTCCTTCTGCTGGGCCCTGAAGGCAGACGGGATAATGTGGTTGGCCAAGGCCTGTTGGTCCATCCAGAGTGGTAAGTGCTCTGCTATTGTCCTTTGTACACCCCTCCAGCAGGTGGGGTTGGGGGGCAGAGGTGGGGGTGGAGCTGCCCAAAGCGGATGTGGTTAGGGGGATGGAGGGGAAGCCCTGGGGAGGTGGCAGCCGAGGTGCTGTTCAGTGTGCGGGATCTGATTTCTTTAGAGGTTGGGGTAGTGTGAGTGTGGGGACTGGGGAAGCCTTATTTTCTTGGCAGGATAGGCTGGAGGGCTCTCTGGGCCTAGGTGACACGGGCTGGTGGGAGTAGGGGATGACAGCTGCTCCCAAGGCAGCATGTGCCTGATTCCAGGAAGCAGATAGGGTAGAATAGGGTGTCTGGGGGCTGGGCTGGGAGCATCATGGGGCAGACGTGGCAGCGGGGAACTGGCCTGTCTCCCAGGTGTAGACACTTCTCCAGGTGAGTGCATGAAGGGAAGGCTGGGACCTCCCCTTCCTCGTGGAAAGCATGGTGCCTGCCCCTCCTCACTGTGGCAGGCCAGAGGGCCTATGGAGTCTGTGGTGTCGGGGGTGGCCTCTGTGAATGGGAAGGCAGGGACAGCCCTTCCACTACTGGTGTTCTAGCACATCTCCTTCACTTACAGAAGAGGAGACTTAGGTACAGAGGGGAGAAATGACTTTTCCAGGGGTCCTGCAGTGAGGATGTGTAGAGCCAAGCCCAGAACCATGCCTCCTGGGTGGCTGGCAAGCACAGGCACCTGGTCTGACTGTGGAAGACATACCTTCCTTGACTGAGGGTGCTTCCGGAGAAGGCCCACACTGATCTGGGGCTGAGAGGTGGAGGACGGGAATGGGATTTTCAGCAGGCCTTTCCTGGGGACATGAGATGGGGCCAAGGGCACTGTAGTCCTGGTTCTGTGCCTAAAGGAGCTGGAGCTCTGCCTTGCACCCCAGACAGGGGTCATGAGATTCCCTTCCTCCTTCCCTGGAAGAGGGCCATCTTTGGGCAGCAGCCCTCCCAGGCCTTGAGAAATCCCGGATGAAGCACGCACTGGCTCAGTATCTCCCTCAGCTTCCCAAACACTGTTGCCTCATGGGGGGTCAGCGTTCAGGGTGCAGAGAGCCCCAGAGAGGTGGCTGGGGTGGGGAGGATGGGGTGTCTGGTCCCAGCCTGGAGGGAAGGGGGAAGCCCTGGGAAGCAGGGCCTCCTGTTCTGGGGGCAGGGCTGGGTGTGTGCCTGGCCTCCTGATGGCAGCAGGTGCTGTACCACCAACCTCGGGCTGAAGACAGGGAGAGGAATTACTGTAAGGGGGAGAGGCAGGTGTTCTCTGGTCAGCTGGAGATCTGGACTTGGGAAGCACGTGAGTGAGGATGACAGCAGTGGCCAGGTGTCCCTCCCTCAACTCGGCCCCTACATCCGCCCCCAGTCCAGACCCAGCTTCCTGAGCACTCAGCCCTCCCTCTGGGTACACAGCAGCCCTGGTGGGCAGAATTCCTTGTGTTTACCTCGTTGTCTGGGTGATGGTGGTGATTGGGTGGAACTCCCATGCCAGATATACTGCCAAGGCCACCCTGAGGGGCTGCCAACCGGGGCCCCATGAGTGCTAGAGCTGCTGGTCTTGTGACGTGGGCACCTGTCTGCCAGGCCTGGGCACGGGCCCAGGGTCACGCTCATGCTGGGGCTCCCGTCAGCTGACTATTTTGGGCTCTTGCTGACCTGGGCCAAAGTCAGGTCCAGTCAAGAGGGCCCAAAGTGGCTCCCCCCATCCCCAGAGGCCGGCTCTGGTTTCTGCTATATAAACAGAGGAGGACACGCCGGCTTGGAGGCAGCACCACATCCAGAGCTCGCTCAGCTGCTGCCCAGCCTCGGCTGTGAGGATAGGCTGGCTGGGCAGCACGTCTCTCCCCACAGGGCTCCCTGAGACCACCAGGAAGAGCCCCCAACCAATCTTGGGATTCTCCCTTCGTGCGGTTGTCTGGGACCTTTTTCCAGGGTCAAAGCAGATCGTGAGGAGGAAGCTGGTGAGTCTTGGGACAGGGACATTGAGGAATGGGAGCTGGGCTGTTTGGATTTTTTCCCATTGTGACTGTCATGCCAAACCCTTTGGCCTTGGGCTGCGGGGAGGAAGCAAGGGTGGCCGACAACTGGAGGCATGAGTGTGCAGCTTGACCACAGCTGGATGACGGTAGTTGGACTTGTGAACGCTGTGACTGAGAACTAGGAGAGGTGTACAGAGACAGCTAATGCAGTCTAGCTCCTTTCTCAGAGCTTCCCCACAGGGTGTCCGTCCTCCTCTCCTCTCCACCCCGCCTGGATGAGGCACTGGTCACTGCGGCGAGTTTGGTGTCCATTGGGGTATCTCAGGATTGGCTTCTGAGTGGGGCCCCTGAGCCCCCACTAGTTGGGACTGAGTGGCTGGGCCAGGGGCTTGGCGTTCTGCTGAGCCCTCAGTCCCTGGCCTGCCCCGCTTGCCGGGCCCTTGCCCGGCCTCCCAGCTGCTTTGGGTGCCTGAGAAGCAGAGCTGGAGAGAGGTCTGGCAAGTCCGCCAACCAGCTTGCCACAAACACGCTCCGGGACCTGGGCCAGGGACTCTGGCCCGGCATGGAACAGGCAGCAGCTCCTTACGTGGGAGGCTCCTGTGCTCTCCTTCCCAGTTCTCAAAAAAAAATTTTCCCCTTTCTGAACGTGAGTCTCTAAACGAATCCAGAGCCTGTGACTAAAAATACTTTAACAATAGGAAAGTGCATCAGTCTTTCCGGCTGGGACTCGTTATCAGAGAGTTTTTATTTTGGAATTTGAAATTTTGCCCACGTAGGCTGGGTGGAGACCTTGGGCAGAGGCAAGGGAATTTGGTGGGTGCTGATGTTCTGCAAGGTGGTGGGAGACCCTCCAAGGCGAGAGGAGAAGAGAGCTGGCCAGGAGCTGAAGAGACTGAGAGGGAAACTGAGGGAGGTTCAAGGCGTGGGGCAACCTTTCCCAAAGGAACTCCGTGATCTTGTCTGTGTTTTCCAGCCCCGTCTGGTGGTTCTTCCTGAAGTCTGATCTTATTCTTTTATGCTGTATGTTAATTTCTTCTGGCCTGAGAGGGAGGGAGGGAGGGGTAGAGAAATCACTGGACTGAAGATAGCCTCTGTGGCCATAGCCTGACCTCCTTAATTAACTAGCTCTCTCCAGAGTATTAATTGACCACTCGCTGCATACACAGTCTAGAATTCTCCCAGTGCTGGGTAGAGCCACATCTCTGGGCACACTCTCTTTTCCTCTCACTCAGCCCAGGAGTGGGAGAAGTAGAGATGGGGTTACTGTTTGTCTGTAGTTCCTGGAGCAGGAGGGCTGCCGGCTCCCCCGTCCAGCTGAGGACCCTGCTATCTCCTGCCCCTGCCACCCTCCCTGCCAGCCCCAGGATTCTGCTGCAGGCTGCTGTGGTTGTCCCGTTGCAGACATGAGTTCCACAGGGCCGAGTGTGGGACTTGAGTATGCATGGATTTTGGTATATGTCGGGGTCCTGGAACCCATCCCCCTGTAGCACTTCCCTGTGCCCTGGAGGTACTGCCTGCCTCCCGACTTCCACCCTCACTTGCCATTACAGGTTTCCCATGACAGTGGGGGAGCCCAGGCCCCAGGCAGTGCTACATTTGGATGTGGAGCCTCTCCTTTCCATTGTGAACTGAATTCTACCAGCACTGGGCCTGGTGATGTCTGCATTAGGCAGATGAGGAAGCAGTCTTGGAGAGGACAAGGGACTGGCCTCAGGTCACACATCAGGCTTGCTAGCTCCTGGACAAAGATGCCTCTGATAGCTCTTCCATATTTCGCCCCTGCTGAGAGCTGAGGGGAGGAGTGCGGCCACTAGCTGACCTGCCTGGGTCCCTGGGAGGCTGGTTTTGGGGAGGTAGTGATACATGTGCTCATGGTAGGGCTTGGGCAAGGGCCAGGAGAGCAGAGCCTGGGCCTGACCTTTCACCCCTGGTTCCCAGAGCTGCCCACGGGAAGCCCCCAGGGCAGTAGGCAGTGCTTCCCTGCCCACAGTGCAAATCCCCCTGCCTACTGCCAAAGCAGGAAGAGGAAGTGGCCGGGTCAGGGCTGGCAATAGGCCCTGGGGCCGAGGAGGGGAAGCTCCCAGGGCCACTTCTGAGCTGGAGAAGGCAAAGCTCACTCCTTCTGCCCACCCCAGGGGAAGGGTGTGGAGGCCCATGGGTGGGGACAGTCTCAGTGAAAGTAGGGCAAGTTCCTGACCTCTACTCAGTAGGGGTGGGGCCCAGCCCAAGGTGGAGGGGCAGCGTGGGAAAAGGGCTGTGTAATTCCACTTCCTTCATCCCCTGTTTACCCATCTCCACCCCTACCCTCTGGGCTGGGGAATGGTGGTGGACATTGGCTGCTCACTTGGGGCCTGCCCTGGGCTACTTACTACTGAGGATGCACAAAGGATCTTCCCACCACGGACTAGGAGACAGTGCCCTTGTCCTCATGTTGTTCACATACTGGTCGGTGAGGGATGGGTCTGAGTACATGATAAATCCCTGGGCCCCATAAGATTTGACTAGGAGGGGTAAGGGCCTGGTGAACTGCTCAGAAAATAAACTGTGTTGTCAGCAGGAGGACCCCTTTCTACTATGAGATATTGCATTCCCTGCTAATCATACTTGTGCTCTATCTGTTGATAGAACAAATACATAATGAGAAACAGCCACTGTGCTTTCAGAAGAACACACTTGAAAGAATTTGTTCTCAATAAATTACATCTGCATCTGGATCCATATGAAGAAATACGTTCCTCTCATTCAGGCGTGGCTATTTTAAAATAAAATTTGGGCCGGGCACGGTGACTCACGCCTGTAATCCCAGCACTTTGGGAGTCCGAGGCAGGCGGATCACGAGGTCAGGAGATCGAGACCATCCTGGCTAACACAGTGAAACCCCATCTCTACTAAAAATACAAAAAATTAGCCGGGCGTGGTGGCGGGCGCTTGTAGTCCCAGCTACTCAGGAGGCTACTAGGAGGAAGGGAAACAGTATGCACAGTGGGTGAAACAGTATGTGCAAAGTGGGTGGTGGGAAGGTTTAGCTCAAGGTCCTTATATGGGGTCGGTGGGGAACTGCGGTGATGAGGGCAGATGGATAGGCTGGGCCGTGGTGTGGGGGCCTGACTAGGTGGGGCTGTCTCGTCTCCATCGTGACATCTCTCCCCGCCCTTCCATGTTGTCATGGCCTTGCCTTACCTCCAGGTCCCTGTCTCTAGTTTTGGATACCTCTCTCATTATTACCTGTTCCCTCCTACCCCATCTCCCCGACAATTAGCTGTTCACTCTGACCTTGTTCTTGAAGGTTAGACTTGGAGGGGTGTGTGCTGGGAGTCTGTGGCCAGTCTGGGACCAGCATTTGTTTTAGGCCTCCCAAAGTCCACGTCAATTGTGCCTTTCTCCAAAGTTCCACTAGCTGGACCCCACTCTCTCAGAGGCCCAGGCCATTCTCCCTTGAGGGCCCACAAGGCCTGGGATCCCCAAGCCCCTTTCACCTCTCTCGCCTTTATCTTAGGCTAGGTGCTCCACACGGGAACCTGCATTGGTGGCCCCAGCTGTGTTTCCACAGAGGGACTTTGCCTTTTTCTCCTTATTTACTTATTTTCAGAATGTGGTGTGTTGAGCACCCCCACCATCTCCCACCCCTGCAAGCATGACCAGGTGGCAGCTGTAGTTCCTTATCCTCCTCCAGGCTTTGGGGCAGCAGGACTGCAGCCTCCATAACCTGCAGCAGCTTGGGGAGGTGGGGCCTGGGCTGCAGGCCCAGATCTGGAGGCTAGATGCTGAGATTCAGACCAGGGACCTGGACAGCTCCTCACCACACTCAGTTTTCCTTGGGCTTATGGGTGGGCCTACCCCACAGGATGGTCTGTGCCACTTTTTACAAATGCCAAGTTGTGAGGAGGAGAGGAGGGTGCCTGAGCTTGAGGCTGGTTCAACTCTCAAAGAGCTAGCAAGGCTGGGCCGAGGGCGGTGGCTCACGCCTGTAATCCCAGCACTTTGGGAGGCCAAGGCGGGTGGATCACGAGGTCAGGAGATCGAGACTATCCTGGTTAACACGGTGAAACCCCGTCTCTACTAAAAATACAAAAAATTAGCTGGGTGTGGTGGCAGGCACCTGTCGTCCCAGCTACTCAGGAGGCTGAGGCAGGAGAATGGCATGAACCTGGGAGGCGGAGCTTGCAGTGAGCCGAGATCGCACCACTTCACTCTAGCCTGGGCGACAGCACCATCTCAAAAACAAAACAAAACAAAAACAAAAAACAAAAAAAGAGCTAGCAAGGCTGAGATTGAGCACAGACTGGTCAAGCCACAGATAACGCACTTGTTCTTGCTGGTTGGCAGGAAGAACAATGGCTTGGCTGATCATCTTTTGCTACCTATTAAAATTGGTTTTATTTTGGCCGGGTACAGTGGCTCATGCCTGTAATCCCAGCACTTTGGGAGGCCAAGGCGGGCAGATCACAAGGTCAGGAGATCAAGACCATCCTGGCTAACACAGTGAAACCCCGTCTCTGCTAAAAATACAAAAAAATTAGCTGGCGTGGTGGCAGGCACCTGTAGTCCCAGTGACTCGGGAGGCTGAGGCAGGAGAATGGCGTGAACCCGGGAGGCGGAGCTTGCAGTGAGCCGAGATAGTGCCACTGCACTCCAGCCTGGGTGACAGAGCGAGACTCCGTCTTAAAAAAAAAAGTTAGTTTTATTTTCTAGGGAAGGCCCTGCTGGGGTGGAGGGAGACATCCTGGGGCAAAGTGGGTGCTAGGTGAGGAAGTCAGCCTGTGACACAGCTGGGATCAGTTCCACCCAGCAAGACTTGCTGTGTGCTCCTGAGCAAAGTGTAGCTCCTCTTGGAACCCTTGACTCCTAATCTGCAAAATGGGAGGACTTGAATTCTATATGTGGTTTTAAACCTTTTTTTTTTTTAAGCTGTGGAGTCATTTTCCACAAAAGGATTCCACAAAATCTAAGCAAAATCTTACGGAAAAGCCTAAGAGAAAGAAAAGCAAAACTTTGCCTGAAATGAGGTAGGGATCCTGGATGGGTCCAATTGGCATCATCCTGCCCACACTTCACATTCAACCAGTGGCCTTGAAGGAAGATGGTTTGGAGCAACCCAGAGCTCTCTGCAGATGCATTCACGTTGAGACTGTATGCTGGGATGGAGGGTTCTGGCAGGTTCTGACCAGATGACTGAATGCCATCAGCATTACAGTCACCCCTTGGTTTATGAAGGGGGTTGGCTCCAGGACCCCAACTTGTACTGCGAATACTCAAGTCCCACTGTTGGCCCTGTGGAACCTGTAGATACTAAAAGTCGGCCCTCTGTATATGTGGGTTTTTGGATCCATGTTGGATTGAAAAAAAATCCCCAAATCCCCATATGAGTGGACCTACACAGTTCAAACGTGTTGTTCAAGGGTCAACTGTGTATGAAGACTGCTCCATCTGTGGTGGACAGTGAGGCTTTAGAAAGAGGAGACAGGCAGGCTAATGGATGGTCTTCATGGGTGTGGGAAAGGAGGAGTGGTCACTGGGCGCAGGCAGTTGGTCTGTGGGACCAGTGAGGCATGGGCTGTGGCTGGCAGTAGGAAAGCGGGAGAGGCTGAGTGCAGTGGCTCATGCCTATAATCCCAGCACTTTGGGAAGCCAAGGCAAGAGGCTTGAGCCTGGGAGGTCCAGGCTGCAGTAAGCCATAATCATGCCACTGCATTCTAGGCTGGGCAACAGAACAAGACCTTGTCTCAAAGACAACAAAACAAAACAAAAACGGGGAGAGGAAAGGACCCAAGAGATGTTCCAAAAAAGAATTTCAGGAAACAGTGAAAAGTTGCAAATGGGGCATCAGGAGCCAGGAGCAGAGATTAGGTGGCAGGCAGGGGGTGCAGAAATGACAAGTTCTGTCTGGAACAGATGAAATTTGAGGTGCTTGTGGGACCTTTGAGTGGGCAGAAGCGGGGGCTGGAGACAAGGGTGTGGGAAAACTGTGATGGGGGTTGAGGGTGGAAATCGGGCCGGCAGAGCCTCCGGGGCAGAGAAAGTCCTATGGGGTGACCAGATGAGTTGAGAACTGGGTGGGTGGGTGCAGGCTCAATGGAAGCAGAAACTCATGGATATTGACTTACATGGGAGAAGGGGAATGGATGGGGGTCGCAGTGGGGTGGCAGGGCTCTCTTTTCCTTGTTTTTGTTTTTTTGCCCTTCCCTCTTCTCTTACTTTTCCGTGAGGGCTCCCCAGGCTCAGGAGAGATCAGGGTGGAAGGGTGACGGCCAAACCAGGGAAGGCTCCAGGTGGCTGAAGCCTGGTCTGTGCCCAGCAGGGCCCTGGCGGGCTGTTCCTCACTCCACCGGGCAGGTGATAACTGGTCAGAGCTGCCTCCCCACAGGTGCTGGAGGTAGGCTGGGAGGGCCGGTGCTCCCTGATGTGGACAGGGGGAGGGGTATTGATAAGAGGCGTGGAGAGATCCCTAGAGATGCAGTCTGTGGCCCTGGGTTCCAACCCAGTGTGCCACCACCTGGCTGTGTGACCTTCAGCAAGTGCCATTATTTCTCTGAGCCTGTTTGTTTATAAAATGAGGAAGAGTTGGCACAAGTTTGAAAAGATTTCTCAGGCTCCACCCGGTTCTGAAATTCGGTAATTTCCCAACTAGGGTGCACTCCCCCTGTAAGGGGCTGGGGAGGGGACGGTGCGAAACCAAGTTCAGCTTGTGGAGCGGAGCCAGAGCTGTTGGCCGAGCTTGGGCCTGGCCAACGCCTGCCCTCGGGAAGGTCCTGTGTAGGGAGACTGCCTGGAGGGACTAAGCGAGGGCTCTAACTGACGTCTCAGGGGCAGCCTCTCAGCCTGAGACCCTGCTGGGGAAGCCGCGTCCTGTGCACTAGCTGCGCCTAGGGCTGAGGTGAGGGCGCAGGCTCCCCAGGGTGTGTCCGAATTGCCCGCCTCAGCCCGCGGCCTGTCCTGACCGCCCAGCAGCGGCAGCAGCGACACCCTAGGGCTCCAGGAAGGGCTTGGGAAGGTGTAAAGGCGGGGCTAGGCTCGGAGGGAGCCGGAGGGACCGGGCGCGGTTGGCTCCCGGGAGCAACTGGAGAGTGAGGAGATCCTCATCCGGGGAAGCCCCGCGGCCGCGTCTCTACAGCGCCCCTTCTCGGGCTCTGGCCCTCCCGCTGGTTATTCTGGACCTGGGGGCCCCCAGCTGGGACCCGAGTCCGGTGCGGGGAGCCTAGTGGGCCTGGGAGCTGCTATTTTTAGCGGGCGCGGCGGGCGCGAGGAGCCTATTTATAGATCAAACAATCCGCGCTCCCTGCGTCAATGGAACCCCGCGTGCGTCACGCGCGCAGACATTCCAGGCCCCCCCTCCTCGCCCCGCCCCCTCGGGCTCCCCGGGCCGCACCTCCCCCTGGCCGCCTCCCGCCGGAACCGCACCGCCCCCCGCGCCCTTGTATGGCCAAAGCTCGACGGGCGGCCTGCGTCAGTGGCGCCCCCGCCCCTCCCCGTGCGTCACGGAGCGCTTAAGAGGAGGGTCGGGCTCGGCCGGGGAGTCCCAGTGGCGGAGGCTACGAAACTTGGGGGAGTGCACAGAAGAACTTCGGGAGCGCACGCGGGACCAGGGACCAGGCTGAGACTCGGGGCGCCAGTCCGGGCAGGGGCAGCGGGAGCCGGCCGGGTAGGTTCCCTTCGGGGAACGTGCATCTGTTTTTAGGAGCGGTGCATGAAGGAGATGGGTGTACGCGCGGGCAGAGAGGATGTTGTAGGGCCGGCATGCAAGAGGGTAGGTGTAGTGTGCAGCTGTAGCACAACGGGATGAGAACCCAGGTCAGACTGGAAACTACTGGGTGCGGGGTAGGAGGTAGGGGAGGTTGACTACCTGCAAAGTGGAAGCTGTAGGGGGTTGGGGTTGGCGCCGGGAGTAGGGACTTGTCCAGCAGGCGGCTGGCCTTAGTTCAGTCTCCTAGGGTGCCCAACTGGGCGCACGGTGCTCTGAACTTGGGTGGGTGTGGATGGGGGTCACAGCACCGTGGGGGAACAGGTACACAGAGCTTTGGCGCTGCTGGGATCCGTACGATTCTAACTGGGATTGGATTTCCAAAAGGCCCTCCTTCCTCCCAGCCTGTCAGCTCCCTCCCAGTGTCCCGGTTGTTTTCTTAACACTTTAGAGGCTGTGGCTGAGTTGGCAGGGGTTCCCCACCCTGAACTTTCTGTCTGAGGTGCGTTAGGAAGCCTCCGGATCATTGAAGGAAGTGACTGGCTTGGTGGCTGACCTGTGGAGGGCTGCTTGCTGTGTATTGAATAAAGGAGGCTTCTTGGGGTCGGGGCAGGGTCTCTGTAAGCACAGGGAGAATTGATTTCGCTGGGGCTTGGATCACGTGTGTGTGTGTGTGTGTGTGTGTGTGTGTGTGTGTGAGAGAGAGAGAGAGAGAGAGAGAAAGAGAGACAGAGGTGGAAACCCTTGTCCTTGGGGATCCTGGATAGAAGTTGCCAGTGTTGGAGTCTTGGGGCGGTGCTGCCTAGAGGATACCTCCCAACCATTCCAGCTCCAGATGCTGATCATCCCTATGCCCCCTCCCCCAGTAGTCTCTGTTGGATCTTACAGGTAGGGTGCAGCCTGAGGCTTGTTCAGCAGAACAGGTGCAAGCCACATTGTTGCCAAGACCTGCCTGAAGCCGGATTCTCCCCACTGCCTCCTTCAACCCCGCCTCTTCCTCCTCCTGTGGGACTGCTCCCCCCTCCTGTGAGGCTAGATGTAGGTCCATATCTTGTGTTGTTAAGAACCTGCATGAAGGGGGAGGGACTGATGGGGGTTGATCCGGATGTGGGACGTCCAGGTGGAGAAACAGGATTTGAATAAGGCAGGAACAAGCGCCCAGTTCTGCCCAACTGCTGTCTTTCCTCCTTCACCCCCAGCCCATCCCTGGCCAGGCTGTCCTAGTGCAGGCAGATGTGGCCACCCTCACCTCTCGCAGGGTGCTGCATGCCTGTGGACTGGTGCCACTGGGTGTGTGGGGCCTGAGCTACAAGGGTCTCTGTTGTCTTGGTTGTCAGGCTAGGGGTGGAGGTGCCCTGTTCAGGGCCTGTGGAGTTAGAAGGAAGGCTAGGACCAGAGAGGACTTCCTGGGCTCTTGGCCAGGAGGTGGTGACAGCCTTTGCCCCCATCACTGCACCCCTTGATTATGGTACTCTGTTCCTGCTTGATTTCTTCTCCAGCTTCCCTCATTGACTGGTGAGGCCAGAGTTACGCAGACCCCAGGTGTGTAGGTTGGGAGGGAGACTGTCCTGGAGCCTCCTCTGCATTATTTTTTGACCATTCTGTGAATGTAAGGATCTGCCTGAATGATGCTATCTCTGTTCAGGCTCTCTTCAGGCTCCTCGGGACTGGGGCTGTGTAACCCCCTTTGCCTGAGCCTCTGGATTCTTCAGGGCACAGACCCTGCTTTAGTGGAGGGACCCAGGCAGGGGCAGAATGTCTTCCACCCACCCACCAGCAGGCTTCTCCTTAAGTCTTCTGCTGGACTCTCAGAGTTCTCTTATTAAGATAACTGGGGGCAGCAGAACATTCTTTTTAGGTACTGTTGTCCATTCTCCTGAGAGTCCAGGGGGCTGTGGTCTCCTTCCTCCCCCCTTGCCCTGTCCCCAGCAAATGGCCTTTAAAGGTCTGGAGCCAGGTTACCGATGAGGAGGCCTAGGTTCCCTTCCTCTTTGCTTCTGGGAGCATCTCGAGCAGTGCAGAGTGGCTTCCCAGCCCCAGATGGCAGGATTGGGGTGGGTTTGGGATCTGCTGCCTTTGCTCAGTGTGCAGGGTTGGGGTGGAAATGGGGGACAGGCTAGGGCCTCTGCATTAGGCTGCCTTCTTAGGCAGGTGGGCTTTCACTTCCAGCTCCTCTTCCATTTTCACGATGTCCTTCTTCCTAGGCACTGCGAGGGGAGGAGAAAAGGGGCTTTGCAGAGGCCTGGGAGTATTCCCAGGAAGTGCCTGGTTGGCGAAACAACCAGGGAGCTGCTCCTGGGAGCTGGGCTGAGGCTTTGCTGGGCTGCCTCTCCCACTCACCCTTCTCCCGGCCCCCACCATGCCTTCCCCATGGGGGAGGGGCAGGGGGCTGGAGGAACACAGCTTCCCCCTGTTCTAGCAGAGAAATGCTGGCTGTATGCCTCCCCTAGGGTTCCCAGGCTGACTAGGGTGTGGCTGGCCTTCTGATGGAGCCCACTCATGCTGGGCCGCTGCCCAGGGGCTTTGTGGCACCTAGGTCGAGATGGTACTCAGGCCAGGGGTCAGGATTCCTGGGTGCTCTGGTCCCGGTGCCTCTGTCTCATCTTTAGGCTGGGATTCCTGCCACCTTGCTGCTCTGGGGCCCAAATACTTTGAGACAAGGCTATAGGCTTGTCCCACTGACTCTCCTTTCCCTCCCTGGGGTCTCCTCTCTCTCCAGAGATGCCCTGTATCCAAGCCCAATATGGGACACCAGCACCGAGTCCGGGACCCCGTGACCACCTGGCAAGCGACCCCCTGACCCCTGAGTTCATCAAGCCCACCATGGACCTGGCCAGCCCCGAGGCAGCCCCCGCTGCCCCCACTGCCCTGCCCAGCTTCAGCACCTTCATGGACGGCTACACAGGAGAGTTTGACACCTTCCTCTACCAGCTGCCAGGAACAGTCCAGCCATGCTCCTCAGCCTCCTCCTCGGCCTCCTCCACATCCTCGTCCTCAGCCACCTCCCCTGCCTCTGCCTCCTTCAAGTTCGAGGACTTCCAGGTGTACGGCTGCTACCCCGGCCCCCTGAGCGGCCCAGTGGATGAGGCCCTGTCCTCCAGTGGCTCTGACTACTATGGCAGCCCCTGCTCGGCCCCGTCGCCCTCCACGCCCAGCTTCCAGCCGCCCCAGCTCTCTCCCTGGGATGGCTCCTTCGGCCACTTCTCGCCCAGCCAGACTTACGAAGGCCTGCGGGCATGGACAGAGCAGCTGCCCAAAGCCTCTGGGCCCCCACAGCCTCCAGCCTTCTTTTCCTTCAGTCCTCCCACCGGCCCCAGCCCCAGCCTGGCCCAGAGCCCCCTGAAGTTGTTCCCCTCACAGGCCACCCACCAGCTGGGGGAGGGAGAGAGCTATTCCATGCCTACGGCCTTCCCAGGTTTGGCACCCACTTCTCCACACCTTGAGGGCTCGGGGATACTGGATACACCCGTGACCTCAACCAAGGCCCGGAGCGGGGCCCCAGGTGGAAGTGAAGGCCGCTGTGCTGTGTGTGGGGACAACGCTTCATGCCAGCATTATGGTGTCCGCACATGTGAGGGCTGCAAGGGCTTCTTCAAGGTACCGCGCAGCCCCAGGTGGGGCCTTTTGTTGGAAATGGAGAGAGGCTGGCCTCATCCCATTGGGACCTGTGGTCTCCCCCTGGGTTCTCCTCCTAGCTAAGTCCTGTCCTGCAGGGTGGGATCAGCCCTGCCAGGTGGGCCGCCTTCCTGGAGACCCGTAGATGCCAGGGCTGGAAGCTTTCATTTGCCGGGACACTCGGGCCCATGGGATTGCACAGAGCTGGAGGGAGGGGTGAGATAGGGGCAGATAGGAGCTGCAGGGGTGCCTGGCGAGCCTCTGGTTTTCCTCTGCTCCTCTGCCTGTCCTCTCCCAACTCAAGGTTCTAGTGGGAAGGGGTGCCCCCAGGCTCTCATGTTCCTGGCGTGAGATGAAAGGATCCCTGCGGAGGGTTTGGTTCTTGAGGGCTGGGGGTGGACTTGGGAACAGGCTGTGTGTTTGTCCCAGCGATGGTGCCTGCTTAGCTTCCCGTCCCCACCCCCCAGCCCCTTGGCCCTCTCCTGTCTGCCCTAGGGAGAAGGCAGGTGGACAAGGGCCCATGAAAAAATACAGGTGTCTAGACTGCCAGGGAGACCCTGGCCCCCAGTAGTGTGTCCTGGGGACTTCCTCAGAGCGAGAAACCTCCCCCAATGTCTTCAAGACTTTTCTCTCCCCCCGCCCAACCCCGTCTCTCCCTCCCTTGCCACCCAAATGTTAGAAAAATAGCTGTGAACAGAGAGCGCTTTTGTCTGCAATGGCAGCAGGATCTGGACGGTCCCCTCCCCTAAGTTCCCCCCTCCCCACCCCACACTCTGACAGCTTGTTCCGTGTTGCCCCCCCACCCAGCGCACAGTGCAGAAAAACGCCAAGTACATCTGCCTGGCTAACAAGGACTGCCCTGTGGACAAGAGGCGGCGAAACCGCTGCCAGTTCTGCCGCTTCCAGAAGTGCCTGGCGGTGGGCATGGTGAAGGAAGGTGTGTGGCTGGGGTGCGGCCCAGCGGGGCAAGGGTAGGCTTGAGTGGAGTGGGACCAGCAGGGCCCCCAGGCTTCTGCCCTGGAGGACCCAGAGGAGGGCACGTCTTATTTCCACCCCACCTCTGAACCCCAGGCCTTGGAGGGAGGCAGCCTACACCTGCCTGGATTGTGAGGGTGGTGGCAGGGGGAGGTTCCTATAGGGTACCTTGGATCTCAGGGACTCTGGGTCCTAGGGACTCGGTGGGGCGCGTCTCAGCAGTGGTGTGCACGGCTTGGGCTGAGAGGCCCTTCCTCAGATCCCTTCCTTCCTCACCCCTACCCATTCCTTTGCAGTTGTCCGAACAGACAGCCTGAAGGGGCGGCGGGGCCGGCTACCTTCAAAACCCAAGCAGCCCCCAGATGCCTCCCCTGCCAATCTCCTCACTTCCCTGGTCCGTGCACACCTGGACTCAGGGCCCAGCACTGCCAAACTGGACTACTCCAAGGTGAGGTCCCACCCCGTGTCTGCCTTGGGGAGGTCTATGAGCACATGCAGTGCCTTTGTGCGTGTTAGGAGAGCTACCCCCTCTGGAAGGACTGAATGAGAA
The DNA here is from genome assembly GCF_000001405.40 of Homo sapiens. Classification (NCBI taxonomy): domain Eukaryota; kingdom Metazoa; phylum Chordata; class Mammalia; order Primates; family Hominidae; genus Homo; species Homo sapiens. The sequence continues at coordinate 52,056,748 of NC_000012.12, forward strand.
AGGAGGTTTAAAAAAGAAAGAAAGAAAAGCGACTCCCTCCAGTTCGACAGATCAAAGAGAGGATCCCCCTCTCGGCTGACCAGATGGGAAAATGCACCCCCTCAGGCAGGTGGCCAATTAGAAAAATATGTCCTTTTGGCAGCTGCAGCCCTGGGTTAATATGTGAGACTTGGCAAGTGAGAGCCTGGGCAGGATCTCAGATCCACTCCCACTCCCGGGATCTGGCATCCAAGTGTCTGACACAGCCATACGTGGCAGTGGGTGTAGGAGCCTGCCTGGGGTGCTGACCCCACTGGACCGTCTTCCTAGTTCCAGGAGCTGGTGCTGCCCCACTTTGGGAAGGAAGATGCTGGGGATGTACAGCAGTTCTACGACCTGCTCTCCGGTTCTCTGGAGGTCATCCGCAAGTGGGCGGAGAAGATCCCTGGCTTTGCTGAGCTGTCACCGGCTGACCAGGACCTGTTGCTGGAGTCGGCCTTCCTGGAGCTCTTCATCCTCCGCCTGGCGTACAGGTGAGAGCCACTGACTGTCTGCCCAGCCCCTTTCCCTGATACACCTGCCTGTGAACCACCCTGATCGCTCTTCGTGCCCATCTGCCTGCCAGGTCTAAGCCAGGCGAGGGCAAGCTCATCTTCTGCTCAGGCCTGGTGCTACACCGGCTGCAGTGTGCCCGTGGCTTCGGGGACTGGATTGACAGTATCCTGGCCTTCTCAAGGTCCCTGCACAGCTTGCTTGTCGATGTCCCTGCCTTCGCCTGCCTCTCTGCCCTTGTCCTCATCACCGGTGAGTGACCAGCACCACACCAGGTCCAAGGGAATGGGCGTCAGGGGGTTGACTGGTTCTCAGGAGGGCACTGTCCCAGGGAGTTTGGTGGGCCGGGATCTAGCACTTTCTGGGCCCCTGCACTGCCCCGGGCTCATGCCAGCAGTAAAGTAGGGACCATAGGAATTGCAGATGGGCTCAGCTGCATCCAGCTCTAAAGCGCAAGACAGCCTTTGGTCCCAGACTGTCAGGATCCAGACTGCAGGTGTCATGTATGTGGCCTAGGGTATTGGCTTGTTTTTAAAACCTTCCTGTCAATTATGCTGCATATAGAAAAGTACACAAATGGTAAATTTTCATAAACCGCACTTACCCAACCAGCGCCTTGGTCAAGAAAGAGCACATAACTGCCCCCCAGAACCCATTATTGTGCCCCCTTCCAGTCATTTGCCCTCCCCAAGGGTAACCACTACTTTTTATTTAAATATTTTAAAAATAAGATGGGAATCTCACTATGTTGCCCGAGCTGGTCTCGAACTCCTGGGCTCAAATGATCCTCCTGTCTCAGCCTCCTAAAGTGCTGGGATTACAGGTGTGAGCCACCACGCCTAGCCCTTCACTGTGACTTCTGACAGTGCAGATCAGATTGGTTGTGCCTGTTTTGGACTTTATGTAAATGTAGTTCTGCAGGATGGAATCTGGTGTTGAATGCAGAGGTTTTCAGATTTCTCTGTTTTTTAAAGGAAAGAATCCACCCTCGTTCATTTTTTCACTTAAATTGCACAGGGGACCCAACGATATAGAACACAATCAGAGGTACTCTGGGCTGAGGGAGTGCTGAGTTCTGAGGCTGGGTTTCTCAGAACAGTCTAGATTTTAAAAACCCAATGATCTAGCCAGAAAACGTAGGTTAGGATTTTATTTCCCGTTTGTGACCCTGGGCAAGTCATTAGCCTCCTGGGCCTCGGGTTCTCACTTGGAGTATGAGGATAATGAGGGTTACTGCTTCTCAGACTTGTGACGATGCTTACTAATGGCCAACATGTGAATGCGCTTTTGTGAAGTGCCAGCAGAGCATGAGGGGTGGTCAGGGGCAGCAGTTTTAGGGGCCTGGGGGAGGCTGGGGCTTTGGGGGCCTGGTTCTCAGATGTACAGCTAATCCTGTACCCTTCCCGCAGACCGGCATGGGCTGCAGGAGCCGCGGCGGGTGGAGGAGCTGCAGAACCGCATCGCCAGCTGCCTGAAGGAGCACGTGGCAGCTGTGGCGGGCGAGCCCCAGCCAGCCAGCTGCCTGTCACGTCTGTTGGGCAAACTGCCCGAGCTGCGGACCCTGTGCACCCAGGGCCTGCAGCGCATCTTCTACCTCAAGCTGGAGGACTTGGTGCCCCCTCCACCCATCATTGACAAGATCTTCATGGACACGCTGCCCTTCTGACCCCTGCCTGGGAACACGTGTGCACATGCGCACTCTCATATGCCACCCCATGTGCCTTTAGTCCACGGACCCCCAGAGCACCCCCAAGCCTGGGCTTGAGCTGCAGAATGACTCCACCTTCTCACCTGCTCCAGGAGGTTTGCAGGGAGCTCAAGCCCTTGGGGAGGGGGATGCCTTCATGGGGGTGACCCCACGATTTGTCTTATCCCCCCCAGCCTGGCCCCGGCCTTTATGTTTTTTGTAAGATAAACCGTTTTTAACACATAGCGCCGTGCTGTAAATAAGCCCAGTGCTGCTGTAAATACAGGAAGAAAGAGCTTGAGGTGGGAGCGGGGCTGGGAGGAAGGGATGGGCCCCGCCTTCCTGGGCAGCCTTTCCAGCCTCCTGCTGGCTCTCTCTTCCTACCCTCCTTCCACATGTACATAAACTGTCACTCTAGGAAGAAGACAAATGACAGATTCTGACATTTATATTTGTGTATTTTCCTGGATTTATAGTATGTGACTTTTCTGATTAATATATTTAATATATTGAATAAAAAATAGACATGTAGTTGGAACTGAGATTCAGTCTGTCTCTGATGCCCCCTCCCCACTCCCCCACCAGACACACCCCATCATTACATAAGAGATGGGCTGCTCAAGATGAAACTTGGATGTTACCAGCCTGAGCTGTCAGGCCTCAGTGTACTCATTTGTAAAAGGCGGATAATAATGACACCTGCTTCACGAGGTTGTTATGCAAAGCACTTAGACTAATTTCTAACACGTGGGAAGCCTGCATTAGCTGTGCCTGGCTAGCTGTGCCTGGCTCATTGCTGGGGTCTGCAGTGGCTGACTAGCCCAGGGGTCACTGCAGGGCCCTAGCAATAGACTTAGCCGCAGATCTCAGGGTTGTCATGTTTCCTAAACTGGACATATATTCTCTGATTCTTGATTTCCACATCCATAAAACAAGAATAGACCCAGCCTCACAGAGCTTTTACGGTCAGAGGAGTGTGTGTGTAATGCTTAGCATGGGCTGGGTTTAAGTAAGCCCAAATTGGTAGTAGCTGTTACATTCAGGGTTTTAACATCCCCATTCTCAACATTCCTCCCCACTCTCCTGCCACCCCAGCAAGAAGATCCAGGGATCTGGCGGCCCTCACCTTCTCGGCAAGAAGATTGTACTGAAGTCCCTACCTGTGCCCGTGTCCCCACGTAGGCCCTCCAACCCCCTAGGCTCGTCAGTTGTTTAGTCAGCTGGCTTAAAATGCAGATTCCTGGGATCTACCCCCAGAGACTCAGATCTGGGGAGGTGAGGGGGCCCCAAACCTTCAGTTCTAGCAAGTACCCAGGTGCTTGTGATGCAGGTGGCCTGGGGCCACCCTTCTGAGAAACATGTGGATGGACCTAACCTGAGGCCCATGGGAGTTGGTCATCATGCAGGGTCTGGCACCTTCCTGTGCTCGGTGCTCACCCAGCCTCACTGTTTGCTTCTCTAGGACCCAGCAGGAGGCCTGAAGGCAGTGCCCTCACACGTGTTCCTCACAGCCCTTGGCCCAGGACCCCCCAAGTCTCCACCTCCATGGCTCCTGGGAAGTGGCTGGCTGAGGGGCAGCTCCTACTGGATGGGGCCCGACAGAATAGGGCTCTCAGCTGTGGATGGGGGGAAGCAGGGGCCTTCCCTGGTGCTCCAGCCACAGCTTGCAGGGAGCCCCCATCCACATACCCTCACTCAGGTTCTGGGAGCACAGTCCAGCCTCAGGCCTGCTGAAGGTCCGAGTGAGGCTGGGGTAGGGAGACCACGGTCCCGACCCTGGGACATGCTCCCAGCAGTGCTGTGGACTTCCAAACATGTATCCCTGGCATCGCCCACCCAGCCCCAGACCCCTGAGCGAGGCTTTGTCAGCTGCACCCGCGCCTGACGACATGGGGCCATCAGTAGGTGGGCTTCTGTTTGCCTCCAACTCCATGCTGCTCTCTGAGAAGTCCCTCCTCCTCACCGAGCCTCAGTTTCCCATCTGTTCAGTGGGGAGGTGAGGCTGGTTAGGAGCAGAGCTTGCTGGGAAATCTCCCGCCAGCTGGCTGGACCGAGTCCTTTTCCTTTGTGTCACTCACCTCCAGCTCCCTGCCTTTAGCACAGACAGACGTGAGGACAGGACAGGCACTGGGGAAGGCAAGAGGGCTGCTCAGATGCTCAGGGAGGGGCCAGGGCTGGGAGTGGAGTGGGGCCGAGGGAGCATCTCTATATCTATGGATGAGGCTGGCGGGTATTAGGGTTCACGCTGGCAGATTCTTTTCATCAGACGCTTGTGATTTCCAGCCCTAGCTGCCATCCCATGAAGACAGCCTGGCTATTCCCACCTCACAGGGGCACCATGGGAGAGTGGTGAAAGCAAGGACCCTGGAGCCCGAGGCCTGGGTTTACATCTGGGCTCCAGCTCTTACTAGCTGTGTGATTTGGGGCAAGTTTGTTAATCTTTCTGTGCCTCAGTGTCTTCACCTAGAAATAAGAAAACGAATCTATTTTATGAAGTTACTATAAAGATTATAGGAGTGAATACATACAAAGTGTTTTTCACAGTGCCTGGCACACAGCAAACACCCAATAAATATTAGCTTTTGTTTTTACAAAAGAGGAGAATTCATTTCAGAGAAAGGATATGACTTTCCCAAGGTCACCTGGCTTGTGAGTAGCTGAGCTGGGTGCATCTGGCTACTTAACCACTAGGTCTCCCTGCCCAGGGCCTCAAAAATAAGAAGCTCCATTGATGGTGGTTCCTTTTCAGGACCCTGGCAATTAGGGTACGGGGTGGGGGGCTAGTTCCTCCAGCCCCACCCTGCCCCACCCTGCCCCGCCCAAGGGCTGGAGCCCGGAGGCAGGCCCTTTCTTTCCACTCAGCAACTGGAAGAACTGGCCTCCAACTCTTGCTATGGGATGGGAGGGCAAACAAGGGGGCATTGAGCCTGATGGGGCCTCACAATGGCTGCTCTGTCCAGGCTGGCCGGGGGCTGGGCCCATTTCCGACGGGGACAATAGTCAAAAGGCAGTGACGCCGGCAGGGCCTGGAATCCCAGGCGGGATTTTCCAAGGCCTCAAAGTCTGCTGTTTGTCCTCACGCGGAGACCCAGGAAGCCTGCCTCTCTGTCTCCCCCACCCCACCCACGCTGGGCCCAGTGCCCAGAGGCCCCTGGCCCCCTCCCCAGCCCTGAGGTGCCACTGTGACTGGGGAGGGGTGGCTTTGAGGTCTAGGGACTGAGGGAGAGCTCTGTACTCCGGGGGTCTCTGCCTGTAGCCCTTCCCTGAGGCCAGTGTGGAGGAAGCTGCCCCACACCTGGGCTCCAGCCACCTGGTCTTGGTTATGGAGGGGTGTGGCAAGGGTCAGCCTCCAGGATGTGAGAAGCACCTGAAGGTCATGGGAGACCGTGCTATAATGGGGTGTCCTGTCCACATGGCCTGCTCTGAGCACCCAGCATGCTCAGCTGTGTGGCAGCAGCTCCGCTGCTGCAGAGGGCAGCCTGAGAGAGACTTGTCAGAGGCAGGTGGCCACTGTGTGGTCCCTGGACAGTCAGCAGTGACATCCTTTTGCAGCCATGAGGCAGTTGTGCCAGGCACGTCAGAGTTGTGCCCTGGTGAGGCAGTGCTGGGTGGCCTTGTGTGAGCTGGGCCTGGGATCCTAAGAGAGTTTTAGCTTGGACATCTGGACGAGCCCCAGCCCCTCTCTCACAAGTCCCTGAGTGCAGCAGAGCCCCAGGGCCATTGGGCCTCCTCAGAGGATGAGGTTGAAGGGGTGAGCCCTGGGTGTCTATCTGGCACCCAGCCCTTCAGGGGCCTGGCCTTGCAGCCTCATAGCTCAGGGAGCAGCTGCTCTGTCTTCCCCGGGGCAGCCAGTGCTCAGCTCTGGGCTGCAGTCTCTGCCCCAAACCTCTGCCTCCATCCCTGCTCCAGCTTCAGGCTCTCAGGCCTCTTCCTGGGCCCCAGGATGGGAGACTGTCTGGTTTGGCCTAGGCTGGCCAGTGGGACTTTGAAACCTCCAGCCTCTGATGGTGGGTACAGGAAGGAGTCAGTGCAAAGCAGAGGAAAAGCCCTTTTCACTCTCCAATATCTCCTTTCCCACACAAGCCAGAGACCTTCTGAAGGCAGGAGGCACATTTCCAGGTCCCCAGCTGGACTTGGAGCCGGCGGGAAGCCTATGGGCCCCTGGAGGCCCTGGCCTTGGCTTCCACCTCCTGCCGGCCACTCCTGGGCCCCTGCTGTGTTCATCCTCCCCAGCACCCTGGCTCCCCGTCGTCTCCTCCTGGGCCCTGACCCTGCCAGACCAAGGGTGCCACTTGAGGTCTCCTCAAGGTCTGACCCAGGCGCTGGCACTGTCCAGCCCCAACTCAGGACCATAAATCAGGCCTGGCGTGGCCGCAGGGGCTGGGGGTGGCAGCTGGGACAGGGAGGGGAGTGCGGGGGGGCCTGTCCTGGTACATGCTGCGTTAGCAGGGAGCAGTGCCCAGCTGCAAGCCAGGCGGGCAGGGTGCTGACTGTTGCTGCACTCCTAGCCTGGAGAACATCAGAGGAAAGAGGCCTCCAATCAGGGAGCCCAGCCTTGGCATAGCCAAGCAGGAAACCTGGACTCCACCCCAGGGCCCCAGGTAGCTGGGATACCACAAGGACAGATAGAGATGGCCCCTGCCCCGCAAGAAAGCAGGGACAGAAAAACAGCTCCCCAGTGGCAGATATAGAGACTGCCTTATCTGGGGCAGATAAACAGCCCCCTAACCGTTTGCAAGCACAGTCGCCCAGAATCCTCTTCCTTAAAGAACGACAGATGCTCAGAACGGCCTGCCAAAGGAATAGATCTTGCAGCAAGGAGAGACAGTCCCGCACCCCCGAGGGACGGAGGCACAGAAATAAAGCCCGGCTTCTACCCCAACTTGGCCAAACACAGACCTTTCTGGAAAAAAAAGAAAAAAAGAAAAAAAGAGAAAAAAGCCACAAAACACTTCCCCAACATGGACAGATCCCTGGGTCCTCAGGAGAACAGACAGCACACAAGCTGCTCCCGGCTTGGTCCTAGTCTCCGGGCTGCCTGGTGAGGTTGGCAGGTTGGGGCTGGGAGGTGCCCCTTTCTCACGCTCTCTGCCACTCTTTCATCCGCCCAGACATTTTCCCCGTCAGGGAGGGTGGGGGCTGGAAGTGACATCCCAGAAAGGGTGGGAGGTGGAAGAGCCCCTGCCCACGGTCCAGGGGGCAGATGTCAGAGAGGGACAGCTGGTCCTCCTCACCCCCTCAGCCTGCCCAGGCTGGAGGGTCAGCAGGCAGGGTGCTGGCTTTCCAGCCAGCCTGGCCACCATCAGGAGCCCTGGCCTGACGTCAGTCCCACTCATTGTTGTTGCTGGGGCTTGAGTCACTCCCTGTGACGCCACTGGGGTCAGCGCTGGAGCAGCTGGGGTGGCTTGCAGGGGCAGCTTTGGGGCTCAGCTCTCCCCTGGGCACACACCAGGATGAGTTGGGGCCATTTGAGGCCACATTCACCAGGCGAAGCCAGCTGCCTACTCCCAAGGTCTTGGGTTGGCCTTCAAGGTCTCCCCACAGGCCTCTGCTGCAGGCATGGCTCGGAGAGTCTGAGCCAGTCGCCTGTCTGCTTGGCAGCTGTGGCTCTGGGCTCGGGCTGAAAATCTGCTCTCTCTTATCCTTGCCTCTCTCACCCCCAGAACCCTCAGTTTCTACTCTCTGCCCCCGCCCCCTGTTTTTTTTCTTCCCTCTTCTCCAGGGAGCTTTCCTAGAATAATTCCCACTTCCTCCTGGAATCAACCCCCTTCCCTGCCATCTCCCTAGGTTGCTGCTTGGTGCTCTCTCAAGCTGTCCTCGTTTTCTCCTGGTGCCTGGTCACTTCCCAACTTGCTGAGAGCAGGGCTTGGGACTCCTCTTCACTCTGAATGTGTTGCTTTCTGTTTTTTATTTGTTTGTTTTTTGTTTTTTGAGACAGAGTCTTTCTCTGTTGCCCAGGCTGGACTGCAGTGGTATGATCTTGGCTCACTGCAACCTCCACCTCCCAGTTTCAAGCCATTCTCCTGCCTCAGCCTCCTGAGTCGCTGGGATTACAGGCACGTGCCAGCAGGCCCAGCTACTTTTTGTATTTTTAGTAGAGATGGGGTTTCACCATGTTGGCCAGGCTGGTCTCGAACTCCTGACCTCAGGTGATCCAACGCCTCGACCTCCCAAATTGCTGGGATTACAAGTGTGAGTCACCGCATCCAGCCTGAATGTGTCACTTTTTATTCCAGGTAACCAGCATCTCTCCATCCTGGCCCTCTTGGGTCCCCACAAAACCTGCTGCCATTTCTTTCATACCACTTGTTGGGTTTTCTTACCCACAGGTATCTCCTGGTCCACCTCCTCTGAAGACTCTGAGCTCCCAGAGGGCTAGAACTGTGACTTGTCCCCCTTGGCATCACAAGGTATTACAAGGGCCTGGCATGTGGACAGTTCCACGTGTGGCATGAATGAATGAATAGACGATTACGTCTTGATCATCAGAGGTAGGGGCATAGAATGAGATAATTCATCCCACACAATCCCAGTTTTTTAACCACTCCCTCCCCTCCCTGATGGGACTACCAGAGGGGCTGAGACCCAGGGTTGCAGTGAGAATTTCCCTGTAAGAATTCAGGGAGGTAGGAAGAGGCAAGTGTGGGTCAGCATGTGAGATAAAGAGGTGAGAGGACTCAGCCTTCCTTATGTTCCCCAGTCCAGTAGGCAAGGCTCCATGGAAAGGTGAGTGCCGGAGTAGGGACATAAGTGGGTGAAAACACTGGTGGAAGGAGGAAAGAGCAGCTGCATGGCCTTGGACGTGTACTAGTCAGGGTTCTCCAGAGAAACAGAAGCAGTAGGACATAGACACACATAATGTAGAGAGAGAGTTTCTCCCCCATACATATGTGGCGGCAGAAAGAGAGGGATTGATTGATTGATTGATTGAGATGGAGTTTCGCTCTTGTTGCCTAGGCTGGAGTGCAATGGCGAGATCTCAGCTCACCACAATCGCCGCCTCCCGGGTTCAAGTAATTCTCCTGCCTCAGCCTCCTGAGTAGCTGGGATTACAGGCATGCGCCACCACACCTGGCTAGTTTTGTATTTTTAGTAGAGATGGGGTTTCTCCATATTGGTCAGGCTGGTCTCGAACTCCCGACCTCAGGTGATCTGCCTGCCTTGGCCCCCCAAAGTGTTGGGATTACAGGTGTGAGCCACCACACCCGGCCGAGAGGGATTTATTATAAGGAGCTGGCTGACAAGTCCTAAGATCTGAAGTCAGGAAAGCTGATGGTGTCATTGCAGTCTTGAGACCTAGGAGAAGCAGTTATCTGAAGGCAGTTGGAACCTGAAAGCAGGAAAATACTAATGTCCCAGTTCTAAGACAGTCAGGCAGGAGTTCCCCTTACTCACTGAAGGGTCAACCTGTTGGTTCTACTAGGCTTTCAACTGATTGGATGAAGCCCCTCCACACCGGGAAGGGAAATCGGCTTCACTGTCTGCCAATTCCAATGTTAGGCTCATCAGAACACCCCACAGACAAGCCCAGAATCATACTTAACCAACTGTCTAGGTACCCTGTGTCCCAGTCAAGCTGACACGTAAAATTAAGCATCACAGGAAACCACTATGCATCACTATGTATGACTGGGCTTCAGTTATAATATCAAGTAAATCAGAGAGTGGAGTGTCGGGGAGGTGGACTGTATCTACCTTGAAAGGTAGTTGGAAAAATCAGCACAATAGGGCCTATGAGTGCTGGCATTGTACCTAGCAAGGTTCAATGATTGGTAGTAGTGATGATGATGATGATGATGATGATGTCAGGCTAGTGGTCGCAAAGGGCTGAGTTGGAGTGTGTGGATGGCCAGAGAGATCAGTCACTTCCCTTACTCACTGGCAGTCTCTGGGGATGGGCTCTGGCACCTCCTCCACTCCAGGACTGGTTCCAACCTCCCTTGGTCCCTCTCTCAGCTTCTTACAGACCCTTCCCTCTCAATATTTCCTCCTGATTGCCGTCTGGTTTTGTGCAGCCTCCCGAAGAGGTCGCTGGTGTGTAGGGCAGGCAGCTTTCTCTTTCTCCCAGGAGAGGCACCCACACCTGGGATAAGAGGCAAGGGCTGAAAAAGGGCAGAACTGTGGGGAGGAAGGGAAGAGGATAGGGAGCAGATGATGGTGGAAAGGCCAGCCTGAGGAGGAGCTTGTGCAGCCAGGTTTCGAAGAACTGAATGGGAGGGGGAAGCCTAAGGGTGAGGTGGTGACAGTGGTGTGCTGGAGCCAGCTGGCACTGGCCCTCAAGGGCTGATTTTAACCTTGACGATCAAGATGCAATCATCCATCCGTTCTGGACTCTGCATTCATTGATGTCTTGTAGTTTGAAATCACCTATGATAGGAAATGGGCAAATGCTACAAATCAAGGCATTTCCCTTACCAGAGAGCAGGTGTGAAGCATTTATCAGGACACCACTGGTGGGTGGGGGTGTATTGGAGAGTGGTGGTACATAGGAGAGAGTTGGCTGAAGAAGCCAGCCAGAAAGAGAGCTCCCATAGTGGCAAAGAGCTTTCGATTTGAACTCAAGGCTCTGTTATTTACTGAATGACCTTGGGCCACTTACTTAACCTCTCCCCAGTCACTTTCTTTTTCTTTTTTTTTTTTTGAGACGGAGTCTCGCTCTTTCACCAGGCTGGAGTGCAGTGGTGTGATCTCTGCTCACTGCAACCTCTGCCTCCCCGGTTCAAGCGATTCTCCTGACTCAGCCTCCGGAGTAGCTGGCATTACAGGTGTGTGCCACCAAGCTTGGCTATTTTTTTTTTTTTTGTATTTTTAGTAGAGACAGGGTTTCACCATGTTGGTTAGGCTGGTCTCGAACTCATGACCTCAAATGATCCACCTGCCTCGGCCTCCCAAAGTGCTGGGATTACAGGCGTGAGCCACCATGCCCGGCCCAATTTCTTATCTATATTGCAGGATTGATTAGTATCAGGTTTAAATTTATATGTACACATATATGGTATTTAAAATCATGACCTTTCCATTCCACCTAATAAATGTTATCTATTATCGTTTTGGGAAATAAAAGCATGTGTTAGAAAAATCAGCTTTTTTTTTTTTTTTGAGACAGGGTTTCTCTCCGTTGCCCAGGCTGGAGTGCCGTGGTGCAGTCTCAGCTCATTGCAACCTCCACCTCCCAGGTTCAAGCAATTCTTCTGCCTCAGCCTCCCAAGTAGCTGGGATTACAGGTGCCTGACACCACACCTGGCTTTTTTTTTTTTTTTGTATTTTTGGTAGAGATGAGGTTTCACCATATTGGCCAGGCTGGTCTCAAACTCCTGACCTCGAGTGATCCATCAGCCTCGACCTCCCAAAGTACCGGGATTACAGGCATGAGCCATCACACCCGACTTTTTTTTTTTTTTCTTTTTGAGACAGGATCTTGTTTTGTCATTCAGCCTGCAATGCAGTGGCGTGATTATAGCTCACTGCAGCTTCAACCTCCTGGGCTCAGGTGATCCTCCACCTCAGCCTCTGAAGTAGCTGGGACTACAGGGGTACACCAACACGCCCAGCTAAATTTTTAATTTTTATTTTAAAGATGGGAGTCTCACTATGTCGACCAGGCTGGTCTTGAACCCCCGGCCCCAGGTGATGCTCTGTCCTAAGCCTTCCAAAATGTTGGGATCACAGGCGTGAGGCACCCCAATGGGCCAGAAAATGAGCATGGTAATCCCCAGCTAACACCTTAAGAATGCCTCCTGGCCGGTCGCGGTGGCTCACGCCTGTAATCCCAGCACTTTGGGAGGCCGAGGCGGGCAGATCACGAGGTCAGGATATCGAGACCATCCTGGCTAACACGGTGAAAACCCGTCTCTACTAAAAAAAATACAAAAAAAATTAGCCGGGCGTGGTGGTGGGCGCCTGTAGTCCCAGCTACTCGGGAGGCTGAGGCAGGAGAATGACGTGAACCCAGGAGGCGGAGCTTGCAGTGAGCCGAGATAGCGCCACTGCACTCCAGCCTGGGCGACAGAGCGAGACGCCGTCTCAAAAAAAAAAAAAAAAAAAAAAAAAAAAAAAATACTGCCTCCTATTGGAGGTGGGTGCATTAACCGAGCTCTCGAAGCCCTGTCTGCTCTGGGCTTACAATCTACATGGAGAACCAAATGCGCTCCAGGAAGTTACACAGCACTAAAAATACACTTGTATTCATATTAGACTTTACAGGTCACAGAAATCTTTCATATGAGTTATCTCCTGTGATCCTCACAACAGCCACCTGTTTATAGAGAGCATCAGAAAGGATGAGTGATGTTGAGGGTCACGCAGAGAAGCAATGGCCGAATTACTAGCCTCCGAAGGACTGTCACCAGATTGGTCACCATGGGGTATCAAGTAGTGCTGCTGCATAAAGGCAACACTGAGAGATGAAGCCCCTTTCTCCAGCATCTGTGTGGGTGGAGGGCCAGGGATCCCGTCTGTTACGCACATTCAACAAACTCAAGTTTTGCCATCCACTGGGCGTCCTGCAGTACAGCGGTGTGGGCTCATCTCCAGGACCTCTCTCTACGGGGTACGCCCCTCATCTTGCGGTGATCAGTGTTCCTTCCAGACCTCTCAGTCCGGACTGAGTTGGGCACCGCGTCAGCGTCTCCCGGCCAGGCTCGCCGCCGATGACTCCGCTCGGCCTAGGGAGGCGGCCGAGAGCCCGTAGGGCTCCTCCTTCCCTCCAGTCTCTATGGCGGAAGTGAGTTGTACGGGCCGAAACACCACAGCGTTCTCGGTGGTGGGCTGAATGGACTCGTCCACATGAGGGGGATCTTCATCACCATCAACTCTTAAAATCCGAGACATAACCACGAAAGGAGCAGCCCCCAGATCAGAGAGCAACGCATGACTATCTGCGTGTGCTTCTGTGACTACGCGGATGTTGTGGGCGGCTACATGCGTGCGGGGGCCCGGCGAGCTGGGCAGGTGCCCCCTCCGGGGCCGTGGGATCTGGTGAGCTTCCCGGCGCGCGGGGGGCGGTGCGGCTTCCGGTCCCGGCTCAGCCTCCGACCCAGGTGGTCTGGAGCCTGCCGGGAGAGTGGTGGCATCTGAGAGGCTGGTCGTGGACTGTGGTTGGGGGAGGTGGGAGCTGTTTTAACCGTGTGCCCCCTCTCCTGTGCCGGCGTGGGCATCCCCCGGGGCAGTGGAACGCGGGCGCTCCTCCAGCTTCCGAGTCCAGCCAGCCTGGGCGCGGGGCGCCGCCCCCGAGACACCCGAGGAGTCCGTTCCTCCCTGGTTACGTGGACTGTGGAGGTTCGCGCGTAGTGGCGGCGGGGGATACGGGACCCGGGCGGGAATTCCTTCCTGCGTCCGTCCCGAGTCTCTTGATATGGAGCCAAGTAAGTTTTCTGGTTTTGCTTTTAGCTGGTCTCTTGTGGCTCAGCGCCGTGCGGAGGTTGAAGCGTACCTGCGGAGGTCGCACCAGGGCGTGAGGAGGAGGAGGAAGGGCATGAGCCGAGCTTGAGGAATCCGTGCTCCAAACTCTACACTCAAGGTGGGAATGGGCGCACCCTGTGCTCCAGCCAGGCTTGAGAAGGCGGCTGTTAGCCTCTGCCACTCGGGGGGACAAGAGGGACGAGACTTTCCAGACCCTACTCTGGTGGGCCCTGCTTGCTCACTGCTCACTGTGTGGGGCAGGGGACAACAAGGTTTTCACAGACCAAATGTGGCAGCTGTGGGAAGGAGAATGGGGTTGGTCAGGACTGACTTCTTGGAGGAGTGGATCCTAAAATAGCACGTAGAATGAGGGAGGAGCCCAGGCTTGGGGCACAAGTGAGATGTGTGGCTTGTGTGAACGATTGCGGGGGACACAAGAGGGAGAAGTCGTGGAAGAAAGGGAGCCGGACCAGAGCCGGGAGTCTCTAGATGGGAAGAAAACTGCTGGATGGAGTAAAACTGGAGGGCAAAACGAGCAAGAGAGCCCTTCTCCTTCTTGATCCAAGCATGTAGGAGAAACTAATCCAGCAACCCCTGGAAGAACCTGGAATTCCTGGGTTGGGCTCAATTGAGCAGTTGTTTTGTAGAAGGTACTAGGAATTACCATTATAGTGATGAATGGAATATAGTCTCTGCCCTATAAGCAGAATATAGGAATTGTTTGCCTAGTGGTAGAGACAAAAACAAAACGTGATGGTGCTTGATAGTACAGGTAGACGCGAGCTGATCGCCAGCTGAGAGGCAGAGCTGGCCTGATCTCTGTGCGGTCCACAGACCGTTGCCCTGTATCCTGTGCTGAGCAACAGTTTAAAAGGGGCAGACACAAACTGAAATATACTTTTTATATTCACCATCTGTCAACCAGATGAGTGAAATATACTTAGAGGAGAGCTGCTAGGATTCCATGCAGATAAGATGTGATGTGGAACAGACATGTTTTTGAGGACTGGGGACCTTCAGCCTGTAGAAGGGGTGAGGGGGTGGTGGAATAGCTGCCCCTAAATAAAAACTCACTTGTGGAAAAGAGGTGAGACTTATTTTGTGTGGCTTTGGGTACCAAAACTAAAACTAAAAGTGGTTTGAAGCACTAAGAGACAGATTCTTCAGCAGAAAGAATAACTGGACTGGGTGCGGTAATCCCAGCACTTTGGGAGGCCGAGGCGGGTGGATCTCTTGAGCTCAGGAGTTCGAGACCAGCCTGGGTAACATGGCAAAACCCTTTCTTTACCAAAAATACAAAAAATTAGCCAGGTGTGGTGGTGTTCGCCTGTGTTCCCAGCTGCTTGGGAGGCTGGGATGGGAGCCTGGGAGGCAGAAGTTGCAGTGAGTAGAGATTGTGTCACTGTATTGCAGCCTGGGTGATGGAGTGAGACCCCATTTCATAAATAAAATAAATAAATAAATCAGAATAACTGAATAGAACTTCCTGAACATTGACTGGTTGTTGTGAGAGCTAGTGAATTCCCAGTCAGGGGAGGTTTGCAAGCTGAATACTCTGAGTTATAAGGAACTTGAAGCTCCCTCTCCCTCTGGGCATGTATTTAGTTATTATGTTCTAGTTCTCAAGTCTCTTGTTCTCTCCTTCCTACTCTCTCTACCACTGCTGTGTTATAGCCTTGCATCATCTCTTGGCAGTAACAATGTAATAATGAATTATAGCAGCTAATACTTAGTGGATATTTACCATTTGTCAGGTACTTATTTAAGTGTTTTATACATGCTAGCTCATTCAGCCCTCAACCCTTTCAAGGTAGCCATTATTATCTCTTTTGTATATGTGGCAGATAGGTGTTAAGCAGCTTGCCCAAGATCATGAGCATGGAGCAAGTGGCAGAGCTGGGGTTCCATTCCAGGTTGTCTGGCTTTCAAGTCATCGTTTTCAACCACTATTCTACTGTATTTTACATGTGTTACCTTAATTCTCACTACTATCCCCATTTACAGATAAGAAGTTCAGAGAGGTTGAGTGATTCGCTTAAGGTCATAGAGCAAGATGTAGATGAGGTGGGATTCAAACCCAGGACTGTAGGACATGAAAAACCGCCCACACCTGATTATGCTGCTTCTGTAACTACATCTACTGTAGTGGTCTTTAACTGACTTCCGTGCCCAGCCTTTGTGCCTTAAATCCACAAGTTTTTACCCTGGAGTCTGTGGATGTGGGTGTCTCTAGAAATAGGTGAGATTTGGTATATGTGTGTGTGTGAGAGTCATGTTTTTAAAGCCCAGTCTTCATGGCTTCATTCACTTCTCAGAGCAGTTTGTGACCCCAATACGGTTTAGAGCCATTCTTTGCCCTTTAGCCAAAGGTACTTGTCTTTTTTTTTTTAAATTTATTTTATTACTTTGTATTTTTGTTTTTTTTGAGACAGGGTCTCGCTTTGTCACTCAGGCTGGAGCACAGTGGCATGATCTCAGCTCACTGCAGCCTCAGCCTCCCACATTTAAGTTATCCTCCTGCCTCAGCCCCTCAAGTAACTGGGACTACAGGCGCCTGCCACCAGGCCCAGCTAATTTTTTATATTTTTGGTAGAGATGGGGTTTTATCATGTTTCCCAGGCTGGTCTTGAACTTTTGAGCTCAAGTGATTTGCCTCGGCCTCCCAAGTTGCTGGGATTAATGTGAGCCACCACACCCGGCCTAGAGGTACTTTTTTGATGCACAGATTTGATCTTGGCTTAGTGATGCATTGACTCTTCGCTGCTTTTAGGACAGAGTCCAAATGCCTTAACCTGTTCATTCAAGGTCCCAGGAAATCAGACTCCAATCTTTCTGTACTTCTTACTCCCACCCTGTACTCTCTCCGTGGTGATAATGTTTAGTTGCGTGCTTTTTCTTCATCCTGTCAGCCTGAGGGCAGGGGCCGTGCTTGCCTTTGATGTCTAGTACCTGACAAATGTTGCACAGTGAGCATCTGCTGTAAACTACATTGAAGGCTGTAAAATGGAATCCCAGCCTGTCATTTGGACTGATAACTTTGAAGCTCTTGCACTTTCTGATCCTGAGACTTGATGATTCGTTGATAGTGTGTGCTGCCAAAATGCAGAGAAGGGCCAGTGGAGGCAGAGGCTGAGCTGAGCCTAGAAGGAAGTGAACAGATAACACGTGGACTATTCTTGTCAGCATTCTGACCTGGGCTCCTTTTGCAGGGTGGCCCTTGGGTAGGGTGAAGATCCCCTGTCTTTATCCTAGTTCCACACCTTGGTGTGGGTTACTGGGTGCAGGATGAACTGTCGCTCGGAGGTGCTGGAGGTGTCGGTGGAGGGGCGGCAGGTGGAGGAGGCCATGCTGGCTGTGCTGCACACGGTGCTTCTGCACCGCAGCACAGGCAAGTTCCACTACAAGAAGGAGGGCACCTACTCCATTGGCACCGTGGGCACCCAGGATGTTGACTGTGACTTCATCGACTTCACTTATGTGCGTGTCTCTTCTGAGGAACTGGATCGTGCCCTGCGCAAGGTTGTTGGGGAGTTCAAGGTAAGGGTGTCGGGGAGTTCAAGGTAAGGGTGTGGCATAGCAGATGGCAGGGGGGCCTCGAGTGCTCCTCCACTCCAGCTTGGTGTTGAACCAGCCTTCTCTTCCTGAGTGCGTGAATCGGGTTCTTTCAGGTTCTGAGAAACAGATGTGTTGAGAGCTCCTCTTCAGGGGAGGGCGCGCGGGCGCGTGTGTGTGTGGTGGGGGAGGGAGAGACTCATAAATGTGCCTGGGGGAAAAGGGAGAGCAGGAAGCTGAGCAGTGTTGGCGGCCAGGTCCCCTGGGGCCATCCTTGCTTCTGTGGTCTTGACCTCTCTGGTTACAGCTCTCTCTGCTTCTGCTTCCACTTTTCCTTTCCCACATGAAACTCCCCCAGAGGACGGCTTGCTTGGTTCAGGTGGCTGCCATCCAAGATGGGAGTGTCCCTTTTGGTGGTGTGGCATTGTGTGCCTGGGTAGGAGAAAGATGTAGAAGGGACACGGCCGGCTGCTGCTGTTGGTCACCTCAGGAGGTGGGAGTGGTAGTGTGCCTTCTCCTCTGGTCTTTGTTCAGAGTCACAGTGTTTGACCATTTCATTGAGTGCGTACTTTTACATTTTAAAGTAGCAAAGATAATTTTTCTTTCTTCCTTTTTTTTTTTTGAGACACAGTCTCACTATGTCACCCCAGTCTTGAACTCCTGGGCTCGAGCAGTCCTTCCACTGCAGCCTTCCAAGCAGCTGGGACCACAGGTGTACACCACCACCACCATGCCCGGCTAATTTTTGAAGATTTATTTTGCCAGGCCTGGTGGCTCATGCCTGTTGTCTCAGCACTTTGGGAGGCTGAGATGGCCGGATTGCTTGAGCCCAGGAGTTCAAGACCAGCCCTGGAAACATGGCGAAACTCCGTCTCTACAGAAAATACAAAAATTAGTGGGGTGTGGTGGCACATGCCTCTAGTTCCAGACGCTTGAGCAGCTGAGGTGGGAGGATTGCTTGAGCCTAGGAATTCGAGACTGCAGTGAGCCATGATCACGCTACTGTACTCCAGCATGGGTGACAGAGCAAAACCCTGTCTCCAAAAAAAAATAATTTTTTTTGTAGAGATGGGGTGTCACTGTGTTGCCCAGGCTGGTCTTGAACTAAAGGCTGGTCTTGAATTACTGGCATGAGCCTGAAGGCATCTGCTCTGGGGTTAGAACACGGGGGAGCTGTGTGTCTGACTTTCATTCCATAAATATTTGCAGAGCCCTTCACTGTGCTGGGTACTGTGTGCTCATTGCAGGGGGTTGCCCAGTGTCAGGTGAAAGCTGTCTCTCATTGTCCCGCCAAACCCAGAAAGGGCAAGTTCATAAGTGGTTTCCTAGTCACCCTTAAGAGCAGCAGCAGCACTCAGCCCTGTGTCCTCCAGGTGTCCATGAGAGGCAGGTGGAGCAGAGTGGTGAAGAGCATGGGCTTTGGAGCTGGGGTCTGCCACCCAGCAAGTGTGTGACCTTGGGCTAGCGGCTCCACTCAAAATTGCAATAATAATCTTGCTTACCTCAAAGGGTGTGTGCACTGCAAGGACTGAATAAGTCAAATATGCCCAGTGTTTGGAACAGAGCCTGGCACACAGTAAACATTACAGATGCATTAGCCATTCAAGGTTACTTGACCTTGGTTTGTCAGTGAAGGAAAGCCTCTTCCCTGATGAGTGTGGTTCAGGATTTCAGGCATCCTTACCCTCTGGGTTGGTATTAACTCAGATGGAAAGGAACTTCAGGGTCCTGGCTGCCCTAGGAAGAGGAGTATGGGGCCACTCACACCCATGGGGTGGCAAGGGCAGAATCATTGGACTGGATGGTCCTGTTTGCTTCTCAGGGGAGAAGAGGGAGAAGTGCCAGGTCTGGTCTGTCCTTCAACTTCCCTTCCCCATTCTGTTGCTTGGTTTCCCTCTTTTTGAGCAAGGACCACTGGGCTCTACAGTTCCCTCTTCCTTAGCTCATAAAAGAGACTGTGAACTGGGTGCAGTGGCTTGTGACCGTAATCCCAGCACTTTGGGAGGCTGAAGCAGGAGTATTGCTTGAGCCCAGGAATTCGAGACCAGCCTGGATAACGTAACAATACCCCGTCTCTTAACAAAATAAAAAAAATTAAAACTTAGCCAAGTGTGCCTGTAGTATCAGCTACTCAGGAGGCTAATGTGGGAGGATCGCTTGAGCCCAGGAGTCCGAGGCTGCAGTGAGCCATGATTGCTCCACTGCCCTCCAGCCTGGGTGACAGAGTAAGACCCAGTTTCTTTAAAAAATATCAAAAGAATTATGTTTAATTGGCAGTGGAGAAGACAAATAGAGTTTACAGGGGAAGAGGGAAATGTTGACGAGGTGATTAGAACATTTTGAAGGATATGGGCTAAAGGGGTGGTGTGGAAGGAGGAGGCCCTTGATGCAATGCAAAGGTGAAAAGCAAGGATTTAGAAATCAGACAATCCAGATTCAAACCCTGGTCCAGCCATCCATAGGCATGTGACTCTCGCAAGTTACCTTACTTCTCTAAGCCTCATCGTGCCTTGGTGAAAGCTGATGGGGTTGTTGGGAGGAGCCAGTGGGATTGTGTGTGTTAAGTTCCTAGCACAGAATACGTGCCTGCAGACCAGTAGTTATTCCTGTAATATCAGTTCTTCACCAAGCTGGAGGAGTTGGGCTTGGAGACAGATTTTGTTGGTTTGCTTGAACTACACAATTTCAGGCTGGCAGTTTGCTGTGTCACTAAGCCCAAATCGTTTACCCTCTCCCAGTCTTGTTTCCTTGCCATGCTTGGATGATGACTAGAGCTAAGAGAGCATAATTCCCTGGGGTGTGGGAAGCAGGCCCTCACAGGTGGGAACTCAGAGGCCTTGGCTTGCTCATTCGTTCCCTTCTTCCCAGGATGCACTGCGCAACTCTGGTGGCGATGGGCTGGGGCAGATGTCCTTGGAGTTCTACCAGAAGAAGAAGTCTCGCTGGCCATTCTCAGACGAGTGCATCCCATGGGAAGTGTGGACGGTCAAGGTGCATGTGGTAGCCCTGGCCACGGAGCAGGAGCGGCAGATCTGCCGGGAGAAGGTGGGTGAGAAACTCTGCGAGAAGATCATCAACATCGTGGAGGTGATGAATCGGCATGAGTACTTGCCCAAGATGCCCACACAGTCGGAGGTGGATAACGTGTTTGACACAGGCTTGCGGGACGTGCAGCCCTACCTGTACAAGATCTCCTTCCAGATCACTGATGCCCTGGGCACCTCAGTCACCACCACCATGCGCAGGCTCATCAAAGACACCCTTGCCCTCTGAGCGTCGCTGGATCTCTGGGAGCTCCTTGATGGCTCCCAGACCTTGGCTTTTGGGAATTGCACTTTTGGGCCTTTGGGCTCTGGAACCTGCTCTGGGTCATTGGTGAGACTTGGAAGGGGCAGCCCCCGCTGGCTTCTTGGTTTTGTGGTTGCCAGCCTCAGGTCATCCTTTTAATCTTTGCTGACGGTTCAGTCCTGCCTCTACTGTCTCTCCATAGCCCTGGTGGGGTCCCCCTTCTTTCTCCACTGTACAGAAGAGCCACCACTGGGATGGGGAATAAAGTTGAGAACATGAGTTTGGGCTGAGCCATCTCTCCCTTGTCTTGTGTCTGCCCGACGTGTTAACACTTTCTGGCATTCCTGTGAGGACACAGGTGTGTGTTGAGGGCATTGCTCCAAGATGAGGGGGGTGGGTGGGTGGGATTAAAGGTGTATGAAAATGGACAGATTTTGTACTTGGCTGGATATTCACACAAAACAGGTGTTACCCAGATGTGGCTATAGCCAGTCTCGTGAAGGAAGGTGCATTGTAGGGTGAGGGTCTGTTGCTTTTGGATGTGACTGAGCTGTTCCTCCCTTTTCCCCCCCAGCAATCGACTCCCTATTTCAACACCTCCAAACTCACTTTGCTTTTTTTTTTTTTTTGTAAACTTTTGCAGATTATTTTATCACTCAGGTATTAAGCCTAGTACCCATTAGTTATTTTTCTGATCCTCTCCCTCTTCCCATCCTCCAAAAAGCTCCAGTGTGCATTGTTCCCCGCTGTGTGTCCTTGTGTTCTCATCATGTAGCTCCCACTTATAAGTGAGAACATGTATTTGGTTTTCTGTTCCTGTGTTATCTCCACCTTTTCTAAGGAAGCTGTGACATCCCTGGCCTTTATGTTGTCTGGTCTTGCTTCACCATGGCCCCAGAGAGTATCTTCTCTGTCTTCATAGAGCACATAGATCCCCATGTGCACCAGAAAGGTCATTTGATGTGGGTCATGTCTGGAGACACATTGGCCAGCTTGAGACTATCCGGCATCTGGTGACACTTCTTCCAGCTTGGGCTGGCCCTTGCCATTGCCTCGGTAACTCACATTCATTTCTGTACCCCCATACTCAAGCCCCCATTGTGTGCTATGCTCTCATCAATACAGTCCATGTTTTACAATGCTTTTTGGCTGCTTCTGGGCCAGTTCTAACCAGACTAAATGAATTGTGTGTAGGGAGGGATGCTGAGGGAGAAATGGGGTGGGAGTGGGGGGTCTTGTCCATGGTCCTGGAGCAGGGTAGGTAGTCAGGATGACCAGGAAGTGTTTGCACTTGGAATGCGCTTTTCCCATTCCGAGTCACCCTTGGCCACGTGATGTTTCTACTCTTGATCTCTGGGGCATCAGAGAGTTGGAGGACTCAGGAGGGGGGTTTATAGTTGAAGAAGGCCAATTTCTAGCAAGTCCTTGATAGCATGTGACCCCCCACTTGGCCTGCTGCAGTCTGGGGACTCTTCCTGTTTTCCTACCAGACAGCCATCAGCTAATCTAATCCCTTCTGAGGGGACTGGTACAGGTGGTTGACTGGCAGTGACTTTATTTTTTAGAAGAGGACTCAAGGCTTGCTACAGAATTTTTTGGTAGACCTGGCAGGAGGGTCTTGCTTCTCTGTCCACTTTTCCAGTCTTTCTGCTTTTCTGCAGCTGGACTCTGCTCCACTCTCCCACCCTGGCTTGGCTGTGGGACACCTAGCTGGCAATGGGCTACCCTAGTAGATGGGACAGTAACATTCCCTTCCCTTATGGCATTGCGATTTTCTGAAGTGGGGGACTAATTTATCCAGGGTCAGGACTGCAGTCCTGGTGGATCAAATCTGTGCTCTCCCATTGGTCTGTAAATGTGACTCTCCTTGGCCTATGGGGCCTGAGAAAAGGAGTGGGGGTGGGCCTTAAATTCCCCATGCTCTGCTCTGCTCTGCTGTACCTGAATGTCTCCCTGCTGTGGAGTGTGGAGGAGGCATTGGCCTGCTTGTCCAGCCCTAGGAGGCTTCTGAAGGGGATGATGGACGAGGAAGGGTGGGACTCACTCACCCTTATGGCTGCCCGTGTGCCTCCTGGCTCAGCAGCCACCTGGGCCACCTAGCAGCATAGAACTTTGGTCTAGGGATAAAAAGCCCAAGAATGGGGACAATCACCTTTGTCTTGTGTCCTGCTCAGAGGGGCAGCACCCCAGCCTGCAGCTGGGATGGGGTCTGAGGATCTTCTCAGGGCTCTGCCCAGGTGTACCTCTTGGCCCACTTTGCGAAGGGGAGGGACTCTTGGGGACAGGGCTCCTGGTTTTGGCTGACTGGACTTGCATGGGGGTGCCTGTGGGCCTTGGGGATGAGAAGAAATACAGCAGGCCCGGAGTCCGGGCCTATGGAGAAAGGGCCGTAGCCACAACGGCTGGAGCTCTTTGTCTAGGAAGTGCCCGAGCGCTCTGCGCAAGGGGTAGGGGCGTAGGGCGCCTGGGGTCCGCCCCTTGGTTCCCTCCCCGACGCAGCCGCCGGCCCGCCCGCCAGTCTGGGCTCCTGCACATCTGGCGATCCCGCCACATCTGGGCAGCCGGCGCTGGAGCATGAACGGCTCTCAGGCGGGCGCCGCGGCTCAGGCCGCCTGGCTGAGCTCCTGCTGTAACCAGTCGGCGTCGCCGCCGGAGCCCCCCGAGGGGCCGCGCGCGGTGCAGGCGGTGGTGCTCGGCGTGCTGTCCCTGCTGGTGCTTTGCGGGGTCCTGTTCCTGGGCGGCGGCCTCCTCCTCCGCGCCCAGGGCCTGACAGCGCTGCTGACCCGCGAGCAGCGCGCGTCCCGCGAGCCCGAGCCGGGCAGTGCCAGCGGAGAGGACGGCGACGACGACTCCTAGGCGCCCGGCTGCGCTCGGTGGTCGCGGCCTCCAGGCAGCCCCTGACTCCGAGCGGTCCGGAGCATGCCCGACGGCTGCTGCGGTCCCGACCCCTTACCCGAAGCGGCGCGCCCCACACAGGTGAGAGGGAGGGTAGCAGGAGTGTGGGCGCGGGGGTTCGGGGGGCTACAGTAGCTTCCTTACTGAGGAGGCTTCTTGGGGCGCGGCAAGGCACCTGTCTTTGGAGAATGAGTCGCTCTTCAGCGACTCAGGTTCCCAGCTCTGTAAGTCCACGGCCGGTGGGGCTGCAGCCCACCCAGGTGTGCGGGATCAGGAGGAGGCCGCCCCGCCCCGGATTGTGTCTCCTGCAGCTCTGGCCCCCTCCTCCCATCTTAAGTGTTCCAGCCTTATGTTCTTTTTCTACGAACAGAGGCTGCTGTGTAACTGTGGGGTGGTTGTGGAGGCAGGAGGATGACAGAGGAGAGAGTCTGGAGGCCACAGTGTGCTTTGGGGGCTTCTTCCCTAGCCCCCACCCTCACCTCCATGGTCTGCATCTGCCCCAGCCCCTATAGGTCCTAGGCCCAACTCTGCGGGCCCCAGCACTGCCCACTCCACGGGGCTGAGGAGACAGGCAGGCGGCTCCAGCCTTTGGCCTCAGCTTCCTGAAGGCTTTTCCCTGGGAGGGTGCTTGAGGGAGATTCCTTGCCTGGCCTCCCTCTTGAGACAGGGAGGGGAGTGTGGTCATGTTTGAGGGCAGATCCAGGGGCCTGGGTGGCCCTGGGGAATGGGGAGGTGTGTGGAAGGCCCTTCCCTGGACCCTGCTCAGGTCGTGGGGAGGGGGTGGTGAAGGGTGGGGGAGTAGATGTAGCCCAGAGCAAGGAGCTTTGTGTGGTGTGTGTTGGGGGGTGTGGATGGCAGGGTTCCCCGCAGCTGGGGGGCCTCGGGAGCGCTGCTCCGGGAAGTGGGGCTGAGGATTTCCAGCTGTGGGGGCTCTGTCTGGGTGTCTCCCTCTGTCTCTCCAAGGACAGGAGCCATCTGGAGGGAAGGGCCTGGATGGCCTGAGGACAAGGTAACTACAGGCGAAAGCCACCTGGGACAGAGCCACAGGGGCTGGAGAGGCCTTCTCTGTTCCTTCCCTCTGTTCAGCTTTGTACCTAGGAGCCCTGGGGGTTTCTGTGGGTGGGAGTGTTTGTCAGGGGTGACTTTGGCCTCTCTTGCCCCCCCTCCCCCGATTCTGGAGCCCCTCCCCTGCTTATCTGGGGTAGGGCAGGGTCCCAGTTTCCATCCGAGAAAGGAGTCAGGCTGAGTGCCTGTGAGGGGCAGCGGGAGGGTGTGGGCAGGTGCAGCTAAGCAGCTGCGAAGCTAACGACAACGTGTGATCCCTGCCCAGCAGCCCAGGATTTGGCACTAATCCTGGGCAGCGGCACCACACTGGCCTTGCTGAGCCAGGGACTTCTCACCTCAGGGCCCCCTCAGCTCCCCCCACTCCACCCCCTAGGAGGGAGGGTTGTCCAGGGCCCTGAGGCGTGTGTGTAGTGTGTCTGTTACTGCACCTGGCACAGGCAGGGGGCTGGGCCCAGGGGACATTCCCCCCTCCCTTTGCTGGGGGAGAGGGTGGGAACTTCCTCTCTTGATTGTACCCGGTTTCACCCAGCTGCCTTGCCTGTCACCCTCTGGCCCCATACTCTCCTCTCCTTTCCCAGCTGGGAGAGAGGGTCTCCAGATCACTGGGAACCCCTTTCTTTTACACGCGGGAGAACAGTAAGTGACATGCTCACATGAATGACAGAGCTGGAAGCAGACCCTGGGCCCTGATTCCAAGTTCAGGCCCCCTTCTGGCACTTGGGGGCCCCTCTCACTCTGTCCTCTTCCCTTCCCTGCTTTCTCATCACTCTTTGAGATGCTGGTGCAAAACGCGGCCTCTCTTCATACATTTGCGAATCAGGGATGGACCCCCAAACCCCTGTGCCACTGCCCCCTTCCCATCCTGCTTCCCCGGGGCCCTGCCTACCTTCTTGCTGTGGGGAGCAGTCTTCCAGATGCCGGCAGCAGCTCCTCAGCCAGCTGGGCTCAGCTTTCCTGGCCTGAACCTGAGGGGGGATGGGCTTAGAGGGTCAGCTGGAATAAACATCCGTGGAAAAAAATCCAAGCGGTCAGAGCCGAGGGATCAGGGCCGAAGGCTGATGACCTTCCGTTTGGCCTTTGGGCTCAAGTTCCTGTGGTGTGAGGGTGTAGAGTGATTTGGTGCCGGGAAGGGCTGTGCCCCCAGCATCATCGTGTCTGCTCACACCCAGGACAGGGCTGGGGCGGGGGTGTAGAGGTGGGGGCAAAGGCTTTCTTCATCCAACTTCCTCCCGTTGCTGTTCCTGAGTCCAGTGCTTGGAGGGCAGGGCGTGGGGTGTGCCAGGGACCTCAGTGTTCCTGTGGGAAGGGACTGAGATGTTTGCTGTGGAATTCTGACCCTGGTCAAGGCTGTCAGGCTGAGTGGGCAGGAAAGAATGTGGAAAATTGGGAAGTGGGTGCTGCTGTTACCCCATCAGGCTCCAGCTGGGAGTGAGATGTGGGGGATGGGTGCAGGTCTGAGTGCCAGGGAGAGAAGCCAGGCACCCGAACTCCTAGCCAGCTCACTTAGCCTGCACCGTCCATAGGGGAAGGGCTGGGGCGGCTGATGGGTTCAGATCTTGCCCTAACCTTCCTCCAGCCCCTGAGATTTTCCCTAAGCTGGGAAAGCCTGTGAGAGGTTTATGGAGTCCATTCCTCAGTCTCCACATAGTGCAGCTCCCTCTGCAGCAAAGACGGGGGTGGCTCTCTCTACAGATTCCTGAGCCCCACATCGTCTGCCAGCAAGAGAGCCTGCTCTCCTGCTGCCACTCTGGGGATCCCCTGCCACCTTCAGCCCATTCTTGCTGCAGATGACAGACTGGGAGATACCTGGCTTGTGGTGAGACCTCAACCTGGGATCCTTGCACCCAGCTGCTGCCTCTGAACTGCTCCACTGGACCTCTGGAAGTGCTCGGTGTGGGCCTGGACCTGGGAGACCTGCACTCCCAGCCCGCTTGAGGCCTGCTGCATGTCCTGGGCACTGAAGTGGCCACACATCCTGGATGCCTGGTGCAGCAGGTGCTGGCTGTGCCCCCTGCCTTCTGGCCTCTGAGGACATGAGTGCAGCGCCTGTACTGTCTGGTGTGAGGCAGCAACGGTCTGACAGTGACCGGCCCCTGCTGCAAGTCAGTGCCTCTCATTTGCAGGCCTGCAGCACCCCCTCAATCCAGGAATGCTGCATCGCTTTCTGTGGCCTGTTATTAAATATGCTGGTGATGCAAGCTTCAGGTCTATGATCTGTCTCCAGCCTTTGACTCTAGGAATTAGTGGTTTGTTCCCCGACTCCCCTCCAGTTTTACCTATTTCTAGCAGATATAGCAACCCCAGCCCCTGTCCCCTGGCCTCTCCTCAGTGGTGGCTTTTCCCCTTGCACCTTCAGATCCACATCTTCCGAGGGTGGGTGTGAAGTGGGGGCAGAAAGCCACCCTCACGCCAGCACTCGGCTGCCCCCCTGTGGCCAGTGTGGGCAAGAGCACCGCTTCATTCAACCAGTCACTGTTGGGGTCTGTCTCATCAGAGTCCAGCCTGAGCCTCGGCTTTGAGATGGGAGTGGGTATCGTGAGCATGTGCATGGAATTCTAGATTGCAAAACTTTCCTAAACCTCAGTCTCTTAGTTTATAAAATGTAGGTGACAATATCATAGGTTTGTCATTGATCAAATAGGTAACATGCTTATTTATTGAAAAAAGTCTTTCTGCATAGTAATCATCCTGTGGCATCATTATTTTCCCTGAACCTGACCATTCCTAGAGAGGAGAAGAAGAGAAGAGGAGAGGAGAGAAGAGAAGAAGAGAGGAGAGAAGAGAAGAGGAGAGGAGAGAAGAGGTATAGAACCAGCCCTCTATTCCTGGGAACACTCATTTTATTCTCTTTTCCATGAGTATTTACTGAGTGACCGCTCTGTGCCAGGCATACTCTGGGACGTGGGGATGAGGAGATAAACAAGACAGGGCTGGGTGCAGTGGCTCATGCCTGTAATGCCAGCACTTTGGGAGGCCGAGGCAGGTGGATCACGAGGTCAGGAGTTTGAGACCAGCCTGGCCAACATGGTGAAACCCCGTCTCTACTAAAAATACAAAAATTAGCTGGATGTGGCGGTGCATGCCTATAATGGGGAGAATTGCTTGAATCCAGGAGGCAGAGGTTGCAGTGAGCCGCGATCGTGCCACTACACTCCAGCCTGGGTGACAAAGCAAGACTCCATCTCAAAACAACAACAACATCAACCACAAAAAAAAAAACAAACAAAAAAAAACAAACAAAAACCACAAAAAAACAAGACAGAACCCCTGCCCCTGAAGAGCTCACATTCTAGTAAACAGTGGTGCTCACAAAACTGAAGTTAAAGTAGACAATGAAAAGAGCCCAGAGTGAAAGAGCCGAGAGCAGAGAATGAGAGCTCTGCTGGGATTAGCAAAGCACAACTCACAGAGGAAGTGGCATCACCACTGGGCATTTACCTGGCAAGAAGAGGGCAAGAGCATTTCAGGCAGAGATTTGGAGGTGTGAAGCAGCGAGCTTCGGAAGCAGGGGGGCTGGGGCAGGGCGGATGAGGGAGGTGTGACCAGGGTGGTGGGTAGGGCCAGACTGGGCAGGAGTTGGAGCTTACCCCAGGAGCAGTGAGGTGTCTGGAAGGTTTCATACGGGAAGTGACATGTTAAGATCTGGATCTTAAAGAACTTGGGGGTAAGTCTGTGGTGGGGATAGCAGGCTGGAAGTAGAGAGGAGGCAAGGAGGCTGTTGTCAAAACCCAACAAAAATGATAGTCGCCTGGACCAGGGGTAAGAAGAGGGCCAGGGCTGAGACACCAGCTTTGGTCACTGGTTGGATGTGAGGGATGAGGGAGAGGGAGGAGGGGAGGACGATGTTCTGGTTTCCAGCCTGAATACTGTGTGTGCGGTGGTGCCACCCACTGAGAGGATGTGTTATCAGTTAGAACTTTTTTGGTCTGAATTTATAGAAAACCCAAACTATATTTGGCTCAGGCAGAAGGGAGCGTATTGTCCCATGTAACTGAAAAGTCTAAGGGTGGTTCTGGCCACAGGCCCAGCATGATTCAGGGCTCCATGGTGGGAGCAGGCCTCAGTTTCCCCTCCTCTCGTAGCTCTGCTTGCCTGTGTCGGCTTCTGGCAGTAGAGCCTGGTGGTTGAGAGCAAGGACTCTGGAATCACATGGTCTGGATTTGAATTCTGGCACCGTAGTTATTAGCTGCATGGCCTGACAAGGCCCTGAACCTCTCTGTGGCTCAATTCCCTCCTCTTTAGGGTGGGGAAAAATAGGGCCTAGCTCGTGCCATGTTTTGTTAGGATGAAGTGAGATCCACACATTTAGGGTGCTTGGCACATACCTCATGCCAAGAAAATGCACTGTGAGTGTTGATGGTGTGCGTTCCCGGCCTCCATGTGAGGCAGGACATTGGCTTTAAGCCTCTCAGGTTCAAAGCTATCAGGAAAGAGGGAGGTCTTCTCACATGTCACTTGGGCCAAACCCTGGGGTTTGCTGCTATTGGGCCTGTTTGACTCTGTGCTAACCCTGAAACAGTACTACGCTGAGAGTATGGAATGTTCTAGATTTTGGTAACATGCTGTACTTGGGTTGGGGTAGAGGTGGAAGGAACACCACAGACCACAGGGTCCAAAGCAGAGGGCTGTCTGTGCACCAAATCTGGGCCTGTTCAGTCTTGGGGTGAACAGATGCTGGGTGGCCATGAGATAACTCATGTCCGCTGCTGATGGGGCCATGGGCAGACAGGCGGCTGATGAGCTCAGCTGTGGCTCCTTGAGTTGGAGGCAAGCTGTCAGGTGGACAATGAGTATATAGGACTGGAGTTCAGGAGAGAGAGTTCTGAGCCCTGATGCTGCTGGAGGTGGAAAGTAAAGCTGCAGGAATGCATCAGAATGAGGCGAGAAGGCAGGGGATGCAGGACGCAGCCCTGTTGGACCACCACTTAAAGGCAGGAGCAGACAAGGAGTGCTCAGGGATGGGGGAGGGAGCCCGAGGAGTGGGCTCTCTTGGCAGTTGAGGAAGAGAGGATTTCAGAAACTGAGGGGTTGGCCAGGGGCCTCCATACCCTGAGCAGTTCTGGGGTGCTGAGAGGGGACCTGCAGCCTGGGACCTTGGAAGGAAGAAGTGGGGAAGCCTTCTGCCCATCTGAGCTGCAACCACCACTACCCCTCAGGCTCCAAGAAAAGCTCCACACAGAGGAAGATGGTGATGTGGTTGCCTCTGGTTCTGCGAGCCCACTGCAGGGTGAAGAACAGACTTATTAGAATATACTCTTTCATGCTGTATGAATGCTATCCCAGGCACATGTCTCACCTAGGCATAATAAGACAATAAAAAAATAAAACAAACACGCAAAAAGGATCCTCATCCTGCTCCACAGCTGCCAGGCTGCCCTTCCCAGCCGCAGCTGACTTCCACGAGGCTTCTGTGAGTCCTGCCAAGAGGCCGAGGCTGCAGCCGCACGCCCACGCCCACG
The DNA here is from genome assembly GCF_000001405.40 of Homo sapiens. NCBI lineage: Eukaryota > Metazoa > Chordata > Mammalia > Primates > Hominidae > Homo > Homo sapiens. Next base: position 52,086,625 of record NC_000012.12, read on the forward strand.
GCTCCTCTGGGTGTCCACCTGCCCTGGCTCAGAGCTGCAGCCTCTCTGGAATCCCTCCTTGAGAGGCTGTGCTTTATGGCCATGCCTTCTACTCTTTCAACCTGCTCACTCTGACATTGTCACTCTGGTCCCTTGACCTCTTTTACCTCTGCTTCCTCCCGGACCCTCAGCCTATTCCGGCTGCCCCACTTCCAGTGTAGATTGCTTGGCTCATTACCTCAGTCACTGTCTTGCCCATGTCCTAACTTCACTCCATCCACAGAACCATCCCAGTGAAACCTCATGCCTGGATGACTTCAACTCTCTGTCCTTTGAACTTTTACCCAGGCTGCTGGGTGCCCCCAAAGAACATCACACCCTTGAGCAGACTGATGGCACTGAGAATGGTCACGGGGTCCCACTGCCTGGCCCTCGCTGCAGCCAGCTCTCTCTCCTGCTGCATTACTGCAAGCCTTCCCTGCTCTTTCAAACCTGTCCCTCCCACCTCCCAACTCTGCTCAGGTGCCCTCTCCTCCTCCTACTTCCCATGGAAAATAAGTGGCCAGAGGAGGGCCGGGCCTCCGCCTCTGCAGCCCCTCCACCCCGGTGCTGAGCCACCCCGCTTCCTCCTTAACTCGATTCTTCAGTTGCTCCTCTGCTGGCTGTCACGTCCAAGCATACTCCGGTTTCTGCCACCTTAAAATAGCGCTCTTTGCACCCACTGCCGCCTCCGGTTACTATCCTATGTCTCACTTGCCTTTACAGCCAAACTTCTCCAAAGTTACCCACGCTTGCCGTCCCCACTTCCTTGCCTCCTGTTTATGTCTCCATCCTCTTCAGCCTGGCCTCCAGCCTGGCCTCCACCCGGCTAAGCTGACAGCCAGGTCGTCAGATCCCCTGGGTGGTTGCTCCAGCGGCTGCTCTCCTGGCCACATCTGCTGTGGCTGACCCCTTCTCACAGATCTCCTCCTGCTCCTGTGGCAGTTCCCGAAGAAGCTCGGTGCCATCAACAGGAAAGGATGAGACTTTGGATTCCAGAAGAACACTGCTGGGGCTTCCCCCCGAGTCTGCCACTTGCTGTGTGAGTTAAATCCTCTCCATCCTTAGGAAAATGAGATAGTGATCATGCCCACTTGGCAACACTCAAATGAGATGAAGGGCACCTTAGTGTCTGGGCGCTGGGGCTCTGGAGCGCCTGCTGGGTTGAATCCAGACTCCCTCAGCTCCTAGGCCTGCCCTTGGGGCATCTCCAGTCTCTCCTTGAGAGTCTTGTACCAGGGTTTCCTCTTTCCTGTCCCAACACCAAGTTCCTCTGGGCTCTCTCCTAGATCTTCCCCTGGGCTCCCTGCCCTTCCCTGGATGAAAATCGCCACCTCTCGGCCCGTGGCTCTGAAATCAGCAGCTCCAGCCTAACTTGGCCCCTGAATGCCATGTTAATCTGCCCACCCATTCTACAGAGATTTATTGAGCAGCTACTGTCCCAGGCACTGGAGAATGTGTTGTACATGAGACAGAGGGGTCGCTGTCCCACAGAGCCTGCGCACTTGCTGGTGGGAAGGGCCCTTCAGTGTACCTGTAAGCAAATGCATGAGGTGCCTGCAGAGAGTGATTGTGCTGCAATGGAAAGACAGCAGAGTGACGGGATGGAAACCTGTGGGAGACTTTCGTGAAGGTGGCCAGGGAAAGCCTCTCCAAGGAGGTGACACTTGAGCTGAGACCTGGCCTGTGAGGTGACTTCAGCCAGGGAAGATCTGGGGCACAGTATTCCTGCCAGAGGGGCGGGAAGCTCCTGGGGTGGGAATGAGCCTGGCATGTCTGAAGGGACACCAAGAGGCTAGTGCGGATGGGGAAGGACTGTGGAAGGTGCCAGAGCACACCCACAGCCAGGTTCTTCCCTCGGGAGCCGTCTCCCTGGCAGGTTCTGCATCTTAGAGGATGGTTTCTCCACCCCAGCAGCTGTCCCCGATTCCCCTCCACAGCCAGTGCGTCACCAAATATGGTCCCTTCTGCCTGACGGAAAGCTTTGTTTCATGTCCCCGGCCGCCACCTCGCCTTGCACCTGGTCCCTGTGTCCCTTGGGGCTTCTCAGCCCACCCATCCTCCACACTGTTGTCAGAGTCGTCTTCAGCAGAGGCGCGTTCTGTCTGGCCACACTGTCTGGTCCCTGTTTCACACTCCCTCAATGTGGTGTCCACTGCTCATAGGATGGCATCTTCCTGTGGCCCCCCAAACTGCTGCCCTCTTGATTCCCTGCTCCTGTGTCTCTCACTACTGTCCCTCACGTGCTCCACCATCTCCAGTCTTCTGGGCCTTTGAGGATGCTGTGCCCACCCCTCTGCCAGGCACCGAGTCTTCAGTGGCCGTGGAGGAGTGCTAGGCTCCAACCATTCACCCCTCACTCATCCAGCCGCCGCTGCTTGTAAAGCTTGTACTGTGTGCCAGGCACTGCTCCAGGCACCAAGGGAACAAAACCGGTGGAATTCCCTGCCCCTGTGCTGCCTGCTTTCTTGTGATGTGAGACAGATGATAAAGTACACAATTTAAAAATAGAGCCTGTCAGATGGTGTATTAGCTCCTGGGGCTGCCATAACAAATACCACAAGCTGGGTGGCTTGAAACAGCAGACATTTATTCTCTGATAGTTCTGGAGGCCAGAAGTAGGAAACCCAGGTGCTGGCAGGGCCATGCTCCCTCTGAAACCTGTAGGGGGGTCGGGTGGGGCGGCTCACACCCATAATCCCAGCACTTTGGAAGGTTGAGGTAGGAGGATCACTTGAGTGCAGGAATTGAAGACCAGCCTGGGCAACACAGTGAGACCCCCTTCCCCATCTCTACAAAAACATTAAAAAATTAGCCGGGCATGGTGGTGCATGCCAGCTACTCTGGAGGCTGAGACAAGAGACTTACTTGAGCCTGGAAGGTTGAGGCTGCAGTGAGCCATGATTGTGCCATGCACTCCAACCCGGGCAACAGAGCAAGACCCCCGCCTTCAAAAAAACAAAACAAAACAAAACAAAACAAAACAAAACAAAAACCTGCAGGAGAATCCGTCCTTGCCTCCGCCTCGCTTCCGGTGGTGACCGGTGGTGGTGGCCGGCAATATCTGGTGTCCCTTGGCTTGCAGCTGCACAGCCCAGCTCTGTCCCATCACATGGTGTTCTTCCCGCGTCTCTGTCTCCAAATTTCTTATGAAGACACCAGTCCTTTTGGATTTGGGGGCCCACCCCAGTTCAGTATGACCTCGTCTTAATTTAACTAATTACATCTGCAATGATCCTACTTCCAAATAAGGTCACATCCTGAAGTACTCAGGGTTAGAACTTTAGCACGTCTTTTTTGGGGGGGACACAGTTCAACCTATGGAGCAAAGCAAAGCAGGGAGGGTGCATGGAGAGAGCAGGGGAAAGGCTGGAATTTTAAATGGAATCATCAGGAAGTGTTGCCAAGAAGGTGTTGTTTGTTTGTTTGTTTGTTTGTTTATTTTTGAGACAGAGAATTGCTCTGTTGCCAAGGCTGAAGTGTGATGGTGTGATCTTGGCTCACTACAACCTCCACCTCCCGGGTTCAAGCGATTCTCCTGCCTCAGCCTCCTGAGTAGCTGGGATTACAGGCACGCAACCACCACACCTGGCTAATTTTTTATATTTTTGGTAGAGACGGAGTTTCACCATGTTGGGCAGGCTGAGTCAGGCTGGTCTCGAACTCCTGAACTCAAGTGACCCATCTGCCTCAGCCTCCCAAAGTGTTGGGATTACAGGTGTGAGCCACTGTGCCCGGCCAAGAAAGTGTTATTAGAGCAAAGACCTGAATGAGAATGGGCAATAGAGAGAGTGGGGAGGGGGCGGGGGGGAAGCACTCCAGGCCACGGAACAAGTGCTGAGACCCAGAGGAAGGAGCGCACCTGCTGTGGTCGGGGAACCATGGGGAGGCCCAGGGAGCTGCGGCTGCGGTGAGTGAGCAGGGAGTACCGATGAGAACACAGAGAGGCTGCAGGTGAAGTGGGTCTTCTATGGAGAGCCAGAAAATGGACTTGTCTTGCACATTTTCTCAGGAAGCCACTGAAGAGTGTGCTCTGCTCGAACCAGAGCATCAACCTGAAATGATGGAGGCCTCTTCATGCTCTGGCAGAGAGGAAAGACTGGGCAGCCAGTCTCATGAGTTCTCAGTTGTTGGAAATCCATAGGTGGTTGGAAATGCTTGTTGGCTGGAAATCCATAGATGGCCAGCGAGTGGGGCAGCTTCTTCTTGAATACAGATCCCACGCCTGGCTGCCATCCTCACCATCCTCTCAATACACACTGAACCTCACTGGATGCCCAAGAAGTACTTTAGTGAAGGATCAAGTAAGGGTTCCAAACCCACAAAGGTGATAAAGCTTAGCCAACTCTCTCCTTTCTTGTTTTTGTTTTTGTTATTTTTTTCTTATGAAAACAGGGTATCACTCTTTCACCAGGCTGGAGTGCAGTGGCACAATCATGGCTCATTCTAGTCTCAAACTCCTGGGCTCAAGTGATCCTCCTATCTCAGCCTCCCCAGTAGCTGGGACTACAGGGGTGTGCCACCACATCTGGCTATCTCCTTTCCACCATATAGAGTTCCCTGGCGTTTTTGCTCCATGGTCCCCTCTGCGTTCCCATCACGGGTTTCAGGTTTCAGGTGGCCATTCAGGGAGCTGTCCTCAGCCTGAGCCTCTGCTCTTTCTGCAGGGGGAGCTCCTGGGGGCTTCAACTCAAGCTCCATCTTTGGAATCTCTCTCTTCTTGAGCAACCTAAACCCATTCACCCCTATGAGAGCTACTTTTTGTTGAAATTGAGTCTATGTGAACTCTCCTCTTTTCATGACTTTGAACCCATTCCTTGCAAATAAATCTGGCTCAAGGTGGATGTGTCTGCTTCTTGGACCGGTTTGCATGATAAGAGCCACTATATTCGCTGGGAACTTCCCTGCCCGAGCCATCTGCTCAAATGCCAGCTCTGTTAGGATGGGGATTTCTGCTGTTTTGCACTGCACATGGAGGACCATGGAGAAATATGTTATTGAACGTTATTGAACAAGTGGAACTGCCCCTTAAATTTTTCCTTTGATCATAGAGTGGGGAGGAGGGCGGAACTGTAGATGTATGATAGCTCCTTAACTTTCTCAAACAAAAATGTATGAACTCCCAGAAATGTCCCAGAATCTAACGGAGGCACATTGGAGTTGGTCATATGATATGCTGCTGGCGTGAACAGAAGATTTAGGGAAGTGTTAACAACAAAGTTTAAGGAGGGCAGTTGGTAGACTTACAGATATTGTCAGGCTCATCTTTTGGATTTAGCAATAATGAAGTTTTGTGAGGAAATCAAATAATTCCAAAATGTTTTCAAGGCTGTCAATTCTTTAAATACCACCTTCATGGATTTGCGTTTTCTCCCAGCGTGCAGGCGGAGTGGAGAGTGACACGGCCACGTAATTGGTTGAAAATTTGAACGGCATGCTCTTGTACCTGGGAGGGCGTTCCAAAGGCTATGAAAACATTGGGAACAGACTCAACCACTTCAAAGGCACAGGTGGCTGGTGAATGGAACCCTTTGCTGCCTGCTGGTTCCCAATTTTGAATGTATCTTTTTGTTTAAAATGTCTTTGTTACAAACCAAACGTTACAAGAATTGTAGGGGAAATGAATTAAAAGTAGAAACAATATTTCATCCTTTGTCATTTGAGAGAAATGATGAATATTTCAAAACCATTTGTCAGAAAGCAGGGAGTTATGTCCCACTTCTCCTCCCCCAGAGACCAAGGCGGTGTTTCTTTCAGTGGGTTCCAAGGTCCTCTAGCGCCAAGGGACTTTTATGGGTGTTACTTGAAAAAAGGGTGGTTAATAACTTGAGGATTCTGTGTTAAGCAAAGATAAACAGGCTTCTTTATTGTAGTTCTTTAAAGAGGCATTCCTATGCCAATATTAGGATGAATCTAAAAGGGAGAGGATTTCAAAGCAGATTTGGCCAAATAATTCTTTCACCTCCTTCTTTTTTTAGAGGAGCATCTCATGGGACCACCATTCCAACATTCATGCTTTGGGAAACATTCTAAAACCTTCCCTTTGGAAGAGTAGAACAATTTTAGAAAAAAACAAAACCAAACCAAACCATGCCACTTCAGATGCATTTCCTTTGCTTTGTCAGGACAACAGCATAAAATTAATTTTATTCCCAAGGATTGTAATGCCATGTTACTAAATTTAAATTTACTTTTTTTTAGTAAAGTAGTTTTTTAAAAAACTCTTTTAAAGAGTGATTTAGAAAAAACACATTTTGGGCTGGGCATGGCGGCTCATGCCTGTAATCCCAGCACTTTGGTAGGTCGAGGCGGGCAGATCACGAGGTCAGGATATCGAGACCATCCTGGCTAACACGGTGAAACCCCGTCTCTACTACAATACAAAAAAAATAAAGAAAAAATTAGATTGGTGTGGTGCGGTGGTGCACAGCTGTAGTCCCAGCTACTCGAGAGGTTGAGGCAGGAGAATCGCTTGAACCCGGGAGGCAGTGGGTGTAGTGAGCTGAGATCTCACCACTGCACTCCAGCCTAGCGACAGAGCGAGACCCTGTCTCAACAACAACAACAACAAACAAAAAACCCCACACATTTTGGAACTACAACTTACATAAAACAAATCTCTACAGAGAGTGTTGACCAAGGATGTTCAATAGTTTCATACAGGATGGAAATGTAGCCCCAGAATTTCATTTTTGCCACAACTATTTTACCCAAACTTTGTTGTACTCTGTGGTTCCGGCAACTTGGCTGGTTTTCCTGTAGCACGGTTGTCACAAGGAAGGCCTGTTCCTTGCAGGTGGACTATTTTGTTTGCTGATCTCTGTGGCAGCCCGGCAACCCTGTTGTCTAAAATGAACTGACCCAGAGACTGGGGTCAGTAGGCTGCGCCGTTGGCTGAGGTATGGGGATTCGGGGCCAAACCCAGGGAGCCTAAAGGCCTGACTTGCTGTCTCTGCTGGGAAGTTGGCTGTATTGGCCGAGAGACTGGTAATGTTTTACTAAATTAATCAAGCTTATCTTGATATGTTTTTATCATGTTATACATTTGGAACTTTAGCTTCTGGGTTGTAATGCTGGCTTCTGTGGTTATGGCTGAAGACTGTCAGGTCGGCTCTATTGCTGGACTAACATAATAGAAATGGACAGATTCTTTATTCAATTGGATTATCATTCAACAAAAGCAACCCTTTTGGAAAAATCTGGCCGGGTGGGGCGCGGTGGCTCACGCCTGTAATCCCAGCACTTTGGGAGGCCGAGGCAGGTGGATCACCTGAGGTCAGAATTTTGAGAACAGCCTGGCCAACATGGTGAAACCCTGTCTCTACAAAAAATAGAAGAATTAGCCGGGTGTGGTAGTGGGTGCCTCTAATCCCAGCTACTCGGGAGGCTGAGGCACGAGAATTGCTTGAACTTGGAAGGCGTAGGTTGCAGTGAGCTGAGATTGCACCACTGCACTCCAGCCTGGGTGACAGAGCAAGACTCCATCTCCGGAAAAAAAAAAAAGAAAAAGAAAAAAAGAAAAATCTAACTTGAACAATTCCTATGAAGTTTTTGATTTTTTTTTTTTTTTTGAGACGGCATCTTTCTCTGTCACCCAGGCTGGAGTGCAGTGGCAGCACAGTCTCAGTTCACTGCAACCTCTGCCTCCTGGGTTCAAGCAATTCTGCTTCAGCCTCCCGAGTAGCTGGGACTACAGGCGTGTGCCACCATGGCCAGCTAATTTTTTTGGTCTGTATTTTTAGTAGAGACAGGGTTTCATCATGTTTGCCAGGCTGGTCTCGAACTCCTGACCTCAGGTGATCTACCTGCCTTGGCCTCCCAAAGTGCTAGGATTACAGGCCTGAGCCACTGTGCCCGGCCAACACAAAGCTTTGTTCTTGTTGGATTAAGGCTCACTCAAAGAGGGAAACTCTTCCATGCACATCCAGGTAACCTGCGCCTCTGTACCCCCTGGGATGTTGGTCAAGCTATGGCTTGGCCTCCAAATGCACTTGTGGCTGACCATTCATTGCTCCTCCCTCCTGCTGTGCTCTCACCTCTTGGCCTCTGCAGCGCCCTTTGCTGTCCTTGCTTCCTCTGTTGTTGATCAGTCTAGGTGTTCTTTGGATTTAGTGGAGCTTCTGTCTCTCCTCTGGGTCTCTCATTTTAAAGTCTAGCTTGAGCGTCTTCACATGGTGCTAGGTCCCAAGAAGTTAGCTGATGAACTTCTGCTATAATATGACCAATGGTCAAAGCAGGTCACAAGGCCAGTCCAGATTCAAGGAGAGGGAACATAGACTGCCCACCCCTACACCCCTGCCCCCTGTTTTTTTTTTTTTTTTGAGATGGAATCTTACTCTGTCGCCTAGGCTGGAGTGCAGTGGTGTGATCTCCGCTCACTGCAACCTCTGCCTTCTGGGCTCAAGCGATCCTCCTGCCTCAGCCTCTGGAGTATCTGGGACTACAGGCATGTGCCATCACACCCACTTAATTAAAATTTTTTTTTTGTAGAAATGGGGTGTCGCTATGTTGCCCAGGCTGTTCTTGAACTCCTGGGCTCAAGTGATCCACGCTCCTTGGTCTCCCCACCGCTGGATATTACAATCCACATCGCAGGGGGTCGGGCGCCCCCCGCGATGCGGGGAGTAACATCTCCCCCCTCTCCCCCACTGGATATTACGATCCACATCGCAGGGGGGCGGGCGCCCCCCGCGATTCGGGGAGTAATATCACCCCCCTCTCCCCCGCTGGATATTATGATCCACGGTGGTCCCATAGCGTGTTTACGTTATTGTCAGTAATGTCTTCTCCGCCTCTGGAAATTACCAACTATATCACAGATGGGTGTATATCCTCTGCAGTATTTGCAGTAATAGCATCCTGTTCCCCCTGGATATTAAGAACAATATCACAGGAGTGTTTCTACCCCCAGCGGCATTGGGTGTTGTATCATCCTCTCCCACGTTGAAATTAGGAACAATATCACTGGGGGCGTGTCCACCCCATGCGATATTGAAAGTAATATCATCCTCTTCTCTCCTGGATCATGGGAACAATATCACTGGGGTGGTGTACATTTTCTGCGGTATTGGGAGTAACATCATCCTCTCTGCCTTGGAATATTAAGGACAATATCACAGGGGGGCTGTACACACCCTGCACTGTTAAGAAGAATATTATCCTCTCCCGTCCTGCATATTAGGAAACAGAGTGGGTGTACACCTCCTGCGATATGGGGGGTAGTATCATCTTCTCTTCTTCTGGATAGTAGGAACAATATCACACGGGTTTGTACACTTTCTGTGATATTGGGAGTAATATCAACCTCTCCGCCTTTGAATATTAAGAACAATGTCACAGAATGGATGTACACCCCCGGCGATATTGGGAGTAATATCAGCCTCTCCTCTCCATGGATATTGGGAATAATATCCCGTGGTGGGTGTACATCTCCTGTTGTATGGGGAGTCTTATCGTCCTCTCCCTTCCTGGCTATTAGGAATAATATCACAGGGTGGCTGCACACAGCCTGCAATATTGGGAGTAATATCACCCTCTCCCCCTCCGGATATTAGGAACAATACCACAGAAGGGGTGTACACTTCCTGCGATACTGGGAGTAATAGCATTCTCTTCTTCCGTGAATATTAGAAGCAATATCACCGGGTGGATGTACACCCACTGCTATATTGGGAGTAACGTCATACTCCACCCCCTGGATATTATATTCGGGTCAATATCACCGGGTGGGTGTACACCTACTGCGATATTGAAAGTAATACCATGCTCTCTCCCTCCCTGGACATCAGGAACAATATCACAGGTGGGTGTACACCCACTGTGGTATTAGGAGTAATATTAGTATTAATTATTACTCATTTATTATTAACATTAATATTAAGTACCAATATTAATATTAAGAAATAATTGATAATAAAAAGTTTTTGGATTATTAACATTAATAGTAATTATTAGGAGCTAATATTACTGTTTTCTGATGAATAAGATCAGTACCGGTTATTAATATCAGGCGTTATTAATAATTAATATTAATTTATTGTTATCGTCAGTATAACTATTGCATATTGTCATTATTATCGGTAGTGATTTTAAAAATTATATTATCAGTTATTAATATTGATAATTTATATCAATTAATAATTGATATTATTAATTGCGATACGTAATATTGCGACATTCCTCACAATATCGCAGAAAATGTACACCCCCCTGTGATGTTGTTCCTAATAGCCAGGGGTAGACGATGACATTACTGCAAATATCGCACTGGGTGTACATCCCTTCTGTGATCTTATTGCTAATATCCAGGCGGGGAGAGGACGGTATTAATCCCAATAATCCAGAAGGTGTAGACCTACCCTGTGATATTGTCCCTAATATCCAAAGGTGGAGAGGAAGATATATCTCCCAATTTCGCAGGGGTCGTACACCACTCCTGTGATATTGTTCCTGATGTCCGGGGTAGAGAAAATGACATGACTCACACTATGGCAGGGGGTGAACACCCCCTCCATGATATTGTTCCTAATATTCAGGGGGGAAGAGTATGATATTGCTCCCAATATCCCAGGGGGTGTATAGTATCCCGACCTGTGATAGGCTCCGCCACGATGCGGGGAGTACTATCACCCCCCTCTCTTTCCCTGGATATTACGATACACATCGCAGGGGGGCGGGCGACCCCCACGATGCGGGGAGAAATATCACCCCCCCCCGGATATTACGAGCCACATTGCAGGGGGGTGGACACCCCCAGTGATGCAGGGAGTAATACCTACCCCCCTTCCCCATGGATAGCACGAGCCACATCGCTGGGGTGTGGACACTCCCCGCTGATGCGCAGAGTGATATCAACCCCGGTCCCTCCCTGCATGTTAGCAGCCACTGTGGACACACAGTGTATTTACAATATTTCCAGTAAGATCATCTTTTCTATTGAACCTTATGAACAAGATCACAGAGGGGTGTACACCTCCTGCGATATTGGGAGTAATATCATTCTCTCCTCCACTGCATACTGGGAACAATATCACAGGGGCGTGTATTCCCCCTTCCATATGGGAGTCATATGATACTTGCCGTCCATATATTAAGAACAATACCAAAGCGGGGATGGACACTTTGACGATATTGGGAGTAACATCATTCTCTCTACCCCTGGATATTAGTAGCAATATCACAGGGGGGATGTACATTTCTTGTGATATAGAGAGTAGTAGTATTTTCTTCCCCGCTGGATATTAAAACCAATACCACAAGGGGCATCAAACCACCTGCCAAATTCGAAGGAATGTTATCCTCTCCCCCGCCCCCGCCCCCGGATATTAGAGACAATAACACAGGGGTAACGTACACCCACTGCTTTATTGGGAGAAGTATCATCCTCTCCCTTCTTGGATATTAGGAGCAATATCACAGTGTGCGTGTACGCCTGTCGCGAAATTCAATGGAATGTCATCCTGTGCCTCCCTGGATATGACGAACAATGTCACGGGGGATGTACAACTTCTGAGATATTGGGAGTGATATCATCCTCTCCCCTCTGGAAGTTAGGGACAATATCACAGGGGTAGTGTACACCCTCTGTGATGTTGGGACTAATATCATCCTCCCGTCCCCTGGATATTAAAAACCATGTCACAAGGGGCGTGTACACACACTTCGATATTGGTATTAATACCATCCTCTCCCTCTTTGGATATTCAGTGCACTATTTCAGGTGGGGTATACACCACCTGCAATATTGGAAGTAATATGATTTTCTCCCCCCTGGATATTAGAAACAATATCACAGGGGGTGTGAACAACCCCTGCGATATTTGGAGTAATATCATCGTCTCCCCTCATGAATATTAAGAACAATATCGTGGGGGGGGGGGGACGTACACCCCGTTTGATATTTGATATCATCCTCTTCCCCCCTGGATATTGGAACAATATCAGGAAGGGATGTACAGACCCTGTGACATTTGCTGTCATCTAATTGTCTCTCCCCTAGATATTAGGAAAAATGTAACCGGGGATGTGAACACCCCTGCGATATTGGGAGAAGTATCATCCTCTCCCCCCTTGTATATTAGGAACAATATCACGGGGGGGGGGGTGTACTGCCTCTGCGATATTGGGAGTAAAATTATCCTCTCTTCCCTTGGATATTAGGAAGGGTATCAGAGGGGGAGGGTGTACATTCCCTGTGATATTCAACGTAATCTTAGCCTCTCCCTCCCAGGGTATTCAGAACAATATTACAGGAGGGGTGTACACCCTTTGCGATATTGAGAGTCATATCATCCTCTTTCGCTCTGGATATTAGGAACAATATCACAGGGTTGTGTACACCCCCTGCGATATCGGGAGTAATATCATCTTCTCTCTCTCTGGATATTAGGAAGAGTATCACAGGCTGTGTACACCCCCTGCAATATTGGGAGTAGTATCCTCTCTCCCTCTGGATATGAGGAAGAGTTTCACAGGGATGTGTGTACCCCCTGCGATATTGGGAGTAATATCATCCTGTCGCCCTCTGGATATTAGGAAGAGTTTCACAGGGGTGTGTACACTCCCTGCAACATGAGTAGTAATATCATCCTGTGCCCCCTGGATGTTAAAAACCAAATCACGGGGATTGTACACCTGCTGCGATATTGGGAGTAATATCTTCCTCTCTCTGCCTGGATATTAGAAGTAATATCACGGGTGGTTTACATCCCCTGCGATATTGGGAGTAATATCATCCTCTCTCCCCCTGGATATTAGGAACAACATCACAGGGGGGTGTCCACCTCCTGGGATATTGGTGTAAAACCCCCTGTGATATTAGGAGCAATATCATCCTCTCGCCCTCTGGATATTAGGAACAGTATCACGGGGTGGGGGGTGTACATCCGTGCGATATTGAAAGTAATATCCTCTCCTCCACGGTTTTTAGAAATGAAATCACAGTGGGTTGTACAGCTGGTGCGATATTGGTAGTGATATCGTTCCCTCCTTCCCTGGATATTAGGAACAACATTACAAGGGGGTTGTATACTACCTGCGATATTTGGAGTAATATGATTCTTTGCCCACCTGGATATTAGGAACAACATCATGGCGTGGGGGTCGTGGAAAACCCCGGCTATTTTGAAAGTATCATCCTCTTTTTCCCTGGATACTATGAACAATATCACAGGAGGGATGTGCACCTTCTGCGATATTGGGAGTAATATTATCCTCTCCCGCCCTGAATATTTAGAAAAATATCACAGTGGGGTGTACACCCTGGTGATATTGGGAGTAATATCATCCTCTCCACCCAGGAAATTACTAACAAGGTCACGGGGGGTTGTGTACTACCCCTGAGATATTGGGAGTAATGACATCCTCCCCAAACCTGGATGTTAGCAACAAGATAACAGAGGGGGTGTACACACCCTGTGATATTGGAAGTAATATGATCCTCTCCCCCCCCGGATATTGGGAAAAATATCAAGCGCGGGTATACATTTCCTACGCTGTTGGGAGTAATATCATTCTTTTCCTCTCTGGATATCAGGAACAATATCACAGGGGTAGTGTACATTTCCTTCGATATGGGGAGTAATATCATCCTCTCCCCGCTGGGATATTAGGAACAATATCCCAGGGGGGTGTCCACCCTCTGCGATATTGGGAGTAATATCATCCTCTGTTTCCTTGGATATTAGACACAATATCACAAAAAGGTGTACACCCCCTGCAATATTGGGAGTAATATCATACTCTCCTTCCCTGGATATTAGAAAACAATATCATCGGGGTGAACAACCCCTGCGAGAATGGGAGTAATATTTTCTTTCTTTTTTTTTTTTTTGAGGCAGAGTTTCACTCTTGTTGCCCAGGCTGGAGTGCAATGGCACAATCTCGGCTCACTGCAACCTCTGCCTCCCGTATTCAAGCGATTCTCCTGTCTCAGCCTTCTGAGTAGCTGGGATTACAGGCATGCGCTACCGCGCCCAGCTATTTTTTTTTTTTTTTTTTTTTTGTATTTTTAGTAGAGACAGTGTTTCTCCATATTGGTCAGGCTGGTCTTGAACTCCCGACCTCAGGTGATCCACCCACTTCGGCCCCCCAAAGTGCTGGGATTACAGGCGTGAGTGACCGCGCCCAGCCACCACTTAGCATTTTCATTTTACATTTGTTGAAGTTATAGATTGATACATTGATTGCTGCTTTATTACATACACTTGCATATACATAAAATGGGAAGTAGAAAAGAATAAAATGGGCACAGTATCCCTAAAGTTTCGCATTCTGAGACATTTTAAAAATATTTGCTTTTTAGAAATTTGTTTCAATTAAGAAACTATGGTATACACACATAATGAAGTATTATTCAGCCTAAAAAGGAGTAAAATCCTCTCCACTGCAGAAAAAAATGGATGAGATTACAGGTCTGTATATTAAGTGAAATAAGCCAGGCACAGCATGACAAATATTACATGTCCTCACTTATACGTAGGAACAAAAAAGAAAATCTTGGCCAGGTGTGGTGGCTCAGGCCTGTAATCCTAGCACTTTGGGAGGCCGAGTCACACGGATCACTTGAGGCCAGGAGTTCGAGACCCTCCTGGCCAACATAGTGAAACCCCCGTCTCTACTAAAAACACAAAAAATTAGCCGGGTGTGGTGACGTGTGCCTGTAGTCTCAGCTACTCGGAAGGCTGAGGCCCAAGAAGCACTTGAACTCGGGAGGCGGAGGTTGCAGTGAGCCCGGATTGTGCCTGTATACTCCAACCTGGGCAACAGAAAGAGACTCCATCACACACCTACACACAAAAGGAATCTCAGGAAGGTGGAGAGTATAAAGGGGGTTAGCAGACGCTAGGAAGAAAAGGGGTGGGATGGGGAATGAAGAGAAGTGGATAATTGGGTCCCAAAATACAGAAAGATGGAATAAGTGAGTTCTAGTGTTTGATAGTACAGTATGAAAATTTAACTCACAAGAATTTCTTGCATATTTCCAGACGCTTTGGTAAGAAGCTTCCTAACTTTCTCATTATGCTGGTTTTTAAGCTCTTCTCTTTCTGCTCTTGAAATCATGCTGTTTTTTTGTTTTTTTTTTGTTTTGAGATGGAGTTTCGCTCTTGTTGCCCAGGCTGGAGTGTAGTGGTGCAGTCTTGGCTCACCGCAACCTCTGCCTCCTGGGTTCAAGTGATTCTCCTGCCTCCACCTCCCGAGTAGCTGGGATTACAGGCATGCGCCAGCACACCCAGCTAATGTTGTATTTTTAGTAGAGACGGGGGTTTTTCCCTGTCGGTCAGGCTGGTCTTGAACTCCTGACCTCAGGTGATCCGCCCACCTCGGCCTCCCAAAGTGCTGGGATTACAGGCGTGAGCAACTGCGCTCGGCCCATGCTGTATCTTTATCTGTTGTCTCTTGCTGTTTGTTTGTTTTTGAGCCCAGAAATAACTTCTCACCTATATGTTCAAGTGATTTTTAACATGAGTGCTAAGAAAGTTCATTGGTGGAAAAGCAGCCTTTTCAAGAAATGGTGTTGGAGAAACTTGATCTCCACATGCAGAAGAATGAAGGTGGACCCTATGTCACACCAGGTGCAAAAATTAACACAAACTGGATCAAAGACCTCACCCCAAGTGCTAAAAGTATAATATGCCTAAAAGAAAACATTGGCCACACTTTCATGACATCAGATTGGGCAATGCTTTCTGGGATGTGACACCAAAAGCATAGGCAACAAAAGAAAATTAGATTCCTTGGATTACATCTAAATGACAGACACTTTTGTACATCAAAAAACACTGTGAACTGAGTGAAAAGATAACCCGTGGATTAGGAAAAATATTTGCAAATCATATATCTGAAAAGAGGCTGATATCCATCATATATAAAGAACAGCCAGAACTAAACAACAAGAAACCCAAAGCATCCCATTAACAATGGTCAGAAGATTTGAGTAGACATGTCCCTAAAGAAGATATAGCAATGGCCAATAAACATCTAAAGTGATGTTCAAATCACTAATCATAGGGAAGCACAAATCAAACCAATAATGTGATACCACACATTAGGATGGATATGATAAACAAGCATTGGTGAAACGAGAGGGAAGTAGGAATGCTCGAATATGATTGGAGGGAATGTAAAACCATGAAGGAACAGGGAAAATAGTATGGCGTGTACTGGAAAAATTAGAAACAGAATCATCAGATGTTCCCGCAGTTGCACTTGTGGGTTCCTACCAAAAAGAATTAGAAGCCAGGAGTGGAAGAGATATTTGTACACCCATATTCATAGCAGCATTATTCACAACAGCCAAAATGGGGAAGCAACCCAAGGGTTCGTGGACAGATGAATGAAAAAACACGCTGCAGTGCATTCATACAATGGAAGACTATTCAGCCTTAAAAAGGCAGGCACTTCTGGCCGGTGCGGTGGCTCATGCCTGTAATCCCAGCATCTTGGAAGACCGAGGTGGGAGGATCACCTGAGGTCAGGAGTTCAAGACCAGCCTGGCCATCTTGGTGAAACCCCGTCTCTACTGAAAACGCAAAAAATTAGACGAGCGTGGTGGCGTGTGCCTATAGTCCCAGCTACTCGGGAGGCTGAGGCACAAGAATCGCTTGAACCCGGGAGGTGGAGGTTGCAGTGAGCCCAGATTGTGCCACTGCACTCCAGCCTGTGTGATAGAGTGAGACTCCATGTAAACACAAAATGAAACAAAATAAAATAAAACCAAAAAAAAAAAAAAACCAAAAAACAAAACAGACAGGCACTTCTGACACAGGCTGCAACATGGATGAACCTTGAAGAGATTATCGTCAGTGAAATGAATAAATCCAAAAAGGATAAACACGACCAGACTCAGTGGCTTGCACCTGTAACCCCAGCACTTTGGAAGGCTGAGGTAGGCAGATCACTTAAGGTCAGGAGTTCGAGACCAGCCTGGCCAATATGGTGAAAGCTTGTCTCTATTAAAAATACAAAAATTAGCTGGGTGTGGTGGCACACGCCTGTAATCCCAGCTACTCGGGAGACTGAGACACAAGAATCGCTTGAACTTGTGGAGGTTGCAGTGAGCTGAGATCACGACACTGCACTCCAGCCTGGGCGACAGAGAAAGACTGTCTCCAGTAAATAAATAAATAAATAAATAAACACGGTATGATTCCACTTATATCAAGGGTCTAGAGTAGTTAAACTCATAGAGTTGCAAACTAGAATGGTGGCCCCCAGGGGTGGGCGAGAGAGAGGAATGGAGAGTTTGGTTAATGGATGCAATTTCCATTTTGAAAGATAAAACTGTTCTGGAGATGATGGCGGTGATGGTTGCTAAACAATGTGAATGTACTTAATGTCATTAAACTGTAAACTGAAAAATAGTGGAAATTGTAAATGTTTATACTGGCCATTCTATATGAAATAATATATATTTATAATTTTTAATATTTATATGTGGTATATTTTCCCATAATGAAAGATTAAAATTAAAGCAGTTGGATCTTTAAAAAGAAAAGAAAGAAGTGAATAATACACACCAGCTTTCTCCTGATTAGAGGAAGAGCCCCAAAGCTTCTATGGACACTCACTTTTCTCTTCTTCTTCTTGCATTATTATGAGGAAATCCTTAAAGGTTGGGGAACTTGGGCGACTTTGGCTAATGAGGAGCTCTGTGCCTTGAGCCCCCCAGGCCATAGAATAGTAAATAGTCTGTGCCTCCAGCCCTGCAGTGTGAGGTTCCAGTCCTGTGGGCTCCACACCCATCACCTGTATCAGGAGGCTCATGTCTCACCCTGTCTTCTTGCCAGCCTTGAGGATGGAGTCTGAGCCTCCATCGTGCACCACGCAGGGAGGACAGTGGACTTGTTCTCCGTGGTCATGGCCCAGCAGAGGGGAAGGGCAGTTCAGTGAGTGCTGAGGGACGGTTGGGAGCCTTGTTTTGTATCCTCATCCTCAGGAAAAAAACAGGAGAGTGCGGTGGGCAGATGGGAGGAGACCAACGTGCAAACTGTCGGCTCAGCAGACTGTGGAGTTTCTGTTCTTGGTTATGGTCGGGGGGGGGCGGTCTCAGAAATCTTATTCAAAATTTTGCTTTCCTCCCCCACTGGTTGTCCTTTTCATAGACATCTCACCCATGATAGCAGGGAATGAGTCCCTCTAAACTATTCTCTAAGAACAATAAAAAGATTATGAAGGTGATGATGAGGATAAAGAGGATGATGACAGACACCATGGCATCATGAACCCTTACTGAGGGCTTCCTAAAGGCCAGGCTCTGAGCTCTGTGGTCTATGCAGCTTGTTTCATTTCCTCTGCGTAGTCTCCCAGTTATTAGTGCACATTTCATTATTATTTTACAGACTAGAAAAGGAGCAATGCATTTTCATATAACTTGTACCAGATCATGAAGTCAAAAAGGGTGAAGTCCAGTTTGAACCAGGCAGCCTAAGTCCAGACACATGGCATTTGGCCAGTCCTCTCCCTGCATCCAACCTGCCCTCTCAAATCCTTGTCACTCAGGCCGATGCCCCTGCTCACTGTGCCCTTCCTTTTGGGGGTTCCTTGTAGACCACAGCTAGACCAGTGGGTGCCACAATCACTGTGTCAAGTATAGAAAGGGCAGCTGAGATCACATCAAAGATTCCAGAAAGAATTGGCACAGGATCATTCGGGATGCATCTCTCCCTTGCCCCTGTTCCTGGCTTTCCTTACAGCTCTCGACTTCCTCAAAGGAGTCATAAATTCGGAATTTGGCTTCTCTTCCTGTTGAGGAAGCTGGAAACTGTTTCAAAAATGCTCCTCAGATGTACCTGTGGTTAAGACCTCTGAGCTCTGCTTTAAACTTTTTGAAGCTGGGCGCGGTGGCTCACGCCTGTAATCCCAGCACTTTGGGAGGCTGAGGCAGGCGAATCACAAGTTCAGGTGTTCGAGACCAGCCTGGCCAACATGGTGAAACCCCGTCTCTACTAAAAATAGAAAAAAATTAGTCGGGCATAGTGGCGGGCGCCTGTAATCTCAGCTGCTCAGCAGGCTGAGGCAGGAGAATAGCTTGAACCTGGGATGCGGAGGTTGCAATGAGCTGAGATCACTCCACTGCACTTCCAGCCTGGGCAACAGAATGAGACTCCGTCTCAAAAAAACAAAAACAAAAACAAAAAAAAACTCCCACAACTTTTTGAGAGTTGGAAGACCATGAAGTATAGTATCTGGGACTTAGAGTCTGGCCATTAATTTTGAATACCATCCTTTCTACTTATCTGTATGGCAAGGGGTGAGATGTCCATCCTCTGAGACTCAGCACTCTCATCTGAGTTGATTTGTAGTTGATCCAATGGAAGTGAGTGATGATTAAACCGATCGTGGGCTCCCGCTGCATGATCTCTATGATGGATGCATAAAGTAAAGGTAAAGTGAATTTTAGATACATTTGTTAATATTTTAAGCTTAAACTCCATACAATTCAATGGAAATATCCCCTGACCTGAAGTTCTGGTTTCCCTGCATTCCAGACAGGACATTTTATTTTGTCCTTATCTCAGTAAGTACTGAGTATTGTGAGAGGAACAAGTGAGTCTCTTTTGTTTCTGACTCCCCAGAGCCTACATCTTGCTTGGCACATAGGAGACAGCAAAAGTAAACATCTATGTGAATTATTGAATTGACACTTCCTTGGTTCACAAAAATTGGCTGTCATCAGTGTGACTTCGACTTACGTGATTCTTTTTGTTTTTTGTTTTTTGAGACGGAGTTTTGCTCTTGTTGCCCAGGCTGGAGTGCAGTGGTGTGATCTCAGCTCACTGTAGCCTCTGCCTCCCAGGTTCAAGCCATTCTCCTGCCTCAGCCTCCTGAGTAGCTGGGACTACAGGTGCCCTCCGCCATACCGGGTGAAGTTTTTGTATTTTTAGTAGAGGCGGGGTTTCACCATGTTGGCCAGGATGGTCTTGATCTCATGACCTCGTGATCTGCCCTCCTCGGCCTCCCAAAGTGCTGGGATTACAGGCGTGAGCCACCGCGTTTGGCCAAACTTTCTGATGAAAACTCTAAGTCCCCCTAAGCTAAGGACAGGAGTTATAGCTTACATGAATTTTAAAACAAGACCCACCGATTTGAGTAAGCAATTACTCTCTTGAAGGAGAAAAGTCAGAAAACATAATGATGAAATCACTAGGACCTAACTCGCATGTGGAACTATTTTCTGCTTATGAACTATCAACTTTAAGTTCATTTCCAGATGGCATGGTCTCAGCTGTTATACAGTGTTTATAAATGTTCTAAATCAAGGAAATTTGTATCAATCTATTAGAATAAAAAATATTTGAGTTCTTAATTTTCTTTAGTTAGGATAACCTTTTTCTTAAAGTGAAGAGAATGGTTTTATTACATATTTTTCTTCGGAAAAGATAGGCTGTATTTTCTAGCAATTATGAATTTGTTATTTATGATGATCTGGTTCTTGGAACATTCTTGAATCTAGTGTCTCTAAGGCAGGTATGTACAGCAAGAACTGAATAACACAGAATCAATGATGAAAGCATTATAAGACAATTCATTTTGTCAGAACTGCAAAATATTCCTGAGTGTGGATTGCTCTGGAATCTGAAAACATTACTTGTGAATTGCTTGTATCCAAAATGCAGACACAATGCTGGGTGTTGGTTTACTTGTTTCTGATTTCTCAACGCTCTTTTCTAGGCAAAAGTTGTCCAAACTATACAGACCCACAGAATCTAACAGATGTCTCTATATTCCTCCTCCTAGAACCTCAGAGGATCCAGAACGGCAGCTGGTCCTTGCTGGACTGTTCCTGTCCATGTGCCTGGTCATGGTGCTGGGGAACCTGCTCATCATCCGGCCATGAGCCCTGACTCCCACCTCCACACCTCCATGTACTTCTTCCTCTCCAACCTGTCCTTGCCTGACATCGGTTTCACCTCCACCACGGTCCCCCAGATGACTGTGGACATCCAGTCTCGCAGCAGAGTCATCTCCTATGCAGGCTGCCTGACTCAGAAGTCTCTCTTTGCCATTTTTGGAGGCACGGAAGAGAGACATGCTCCTGAGTGTGATGGCCTATGACCGGTTTGTAGCCATCTGTCACCCTCTATATCATTCAGCCATCATGAACCTGTGTTTCTGTGGCTTCCTAGTTTTGCTGTCTTTTTTTTTTCTCAGTCTTTTAGACTCCCAGCTGTACAACTTGATTGCCTTACTAATGACCTGCTTCAAGGAGGTGGACATTCCTAATTTCTTCTGTGACCTTTCTCAACTCCCCCATCTTGCCGTTGTGACACCTTCATCAATAACATAATCATGTATTTCCCTACTGCCATATTTGGTTTTCTTCCCATCTCGGGGACCCTTTTCTCTTACTATAAAATTGTTTCCTCCATTCTGAGGGTTTCATCATCAGGTGGGAAGTATAAAGCCTTCTCCACCTGTGGGTCTCACCTGTCAGTTGTTTGCTGATTTTATGGAAGAGGTGTTGGAGGGTACCTCAGTTCAGATGTGTCATCTTCCCCCAGAAAGGGTGCAGTGGCTGCAGTGATGTACACGGTGGTCACCTCCATGCTCAACCCCTTTATCTACAGCCTGGGAAACAGGGATATTAAAAGTGTCTTGCGGCGGCCGCACGGCAGCACTGTCTAATCTCAATATCTTCTTATCTGTTCCATTCCTTTTGTAGTGTGGGTTAAAAAAGGCAGCAAGGTCAAATAAGAATGATATCACAGGGTGAACACCCACTGTGATATTAGGAGTAATACCTCCCTAGGATATAAAATATACTGTCACAGAGTATACACACATGCGGTACACCCACTGTGATATTAGAAGCAGTATCTCCCTTAAATATTATGAAAAATATCACAGGGTGTGCACACTGTGTGATATTAGGAGTAATATTTACCCTGGATATTACGACTAATATCAAGGGTGTACACACACGGGGTACACGCACTGTGATACCAGGAGTTGTATCTCCCTAGGATATTATGAATAATATCACAGGGTATACACTATGTGTGTACATCCACTGTGATATTTGAAGTAATATCTCTCTATGAGATTACAAATAATATCAAAGGGTGTACACCCCTGTGACATATTAGGAGTAACATCCTTCTAGGGTATTACAGATAATGTCACAAGCTGTACACCTTCTGTGACATTTTGTACACTCTTTGTGACATTAAAAGAAACATCTCCCTAGGATATTATGAATAATGACACAGGCGGTGTACACACATGGTGTACACCGCCTGTGCCATCAGGAGTAACATTCCCCTAGGATATTATGAATAATATAACAGCAGGTGTACACACATGGTGAACACCCCATGTGACATTAGGAGGAACATGCCCCTAGGATATAGGAATAGTATCACAGATGTTGAATACACATGATATACACCCCCGGTGACATTAAAAGTAACATCCCCCTAGGATATTACGAATAATATCACAGGGAGTACACCCCATGTGACATTAGGAGTAACATCCCCCGAGGATATAACGAATAATATCAGAGGGTGTACATGCATTGTGACCTTAGTAGTAACATCTCTTTAGGATACTACAAATAATATCACAGGGTGTACACGCATTGTGACATTGGTAGTAACATCCCGCTAGGATATGACGAGTAATATCACAGGGTGTACACCCCCTGTGACAACAGTAGTAACATTCCGCTGGAATATGAAGAATAATATCACAGGAAGTACAGCCCCTGTGATTTACGAGTAATATTTCCATAGAATATTACAGGTCATATCACTGTGTGACTCTGTGTACACCCCGTGTGGCATTAGGAGTAACATCCCATAAAACTATTACGAATAATATCACAGGGTGAACACCCCCTGTGACATGAGGAATAACGTAGTTTTAGGATATTATGAATGATATGACAAGGGGTACACAGCCTGTGATGTTAGGAACAATATCCGTCTAGGATATTAGGAATAATATCACAGGGAACACACCCCCTGTGATATTAGGATATTATGAATAATATCACAAGGTGTACACGCATTGTGACATTAGTACTAATATCCCTCTCGTATACTATGAATAATATCACAGGGTGTACCTCCCTGTGACATTAGGAGTAACGTTCCCCTAGAATAGGACAAATAATATCACAGGGGGTACACACCCTGTGACTTTAGGAGTATCACCGCCCTGGAATATGAGGAATACTGTCTCAGGGTATTAACCCCCTGTGACCTGAGGAGTAACATCCCACTGGAATATTACGAATAATATCACAGTGTGTACACCAACTGTGATATTAGGTGTCCTATTTATTTTTAGGATATTAGGATACACAAATTGTGTGTACACCCACTGTGATATTAAAAGTTATATCTCCCTAGGGTATTGCAAATAATATAATGGGTGTACACCCACTGTGATATTTGAAGTAATATCTCCCTAAGATATGACAAAAAATATCAAAGGGTGGACCCCGTCTGTGACATCAAAAGTAACATCTCTTGTGGATATTCCGAATAATATCACAGGGTGTACACAGCCTGTGACATTAGGAGTAGCATCCCCATAAGATATTCCGAGTAATATCACAGGTTGTACACCCCATGTGACATTAAGAGTAACATCTTCTTAGGATATTGTGAACAACATCACAGGGTGTACACCCCCTGTGACTTTAAAAGTAACATCCCCCTAGAATATTACAAAAAATATAATGGGTGTATACCCCGTGTGATATTGGGAGTAACATCTCCCTAGGATATTACGAAGAATATCACTGGGTGTACATCCTCTGTCATATTAGGAGTAACATCCTTCTAGGATATTATGAATAATATCACAAAGTGTACACACACTGTGATATTCGGAGAAATATCTCTCTAGGATATAAGGTATCATATCACAGAATGTACACACATGGTGTACACCCACTGTGATATTAGAAGCAATATCTCCCTATGATAGTATGAAAAATATCAAAGGGAGTACACTGTGATATTAGATGTAATGTTTACCATGGATATTACAAATAATATCACAGTGGGTGTACACACATAAGGTACACCCACTGTGGTATTATTTGTACTTTCTTAGAGAGATGTAACTCTCTAATATAACACAGAGAGCTATAACTCTGTAATATCTCTGAGATATTACAAATAATTTCACAGTGGGTGTAGTGTACACCCACTGTGAGATTTACAGGAATATCTCCCTATAAGACTACAAATATTATCGAAGGGTGTACACCCCCTGTGACCTTAGGAGTAACATCCTTCTGGATATCAGGAATAATATCATAAGGCATACACACCCTGTGACATTTTGTACACCCTTTGTGACATTAAAAATCACATCCCCCTAGTATATTATGAATAATATCAAAGGCGGTTGACGCACACGGTGTACACATCCTGTTACATTAGGCATAATATTTTTCTGTGATTTATGAATAATATCACAGAAGGTGTACATACATGGTGTACACTCCAGGTGACATTAGGAGCAACATCCCCCCAAGATATTAGAAATAATATTACCAGGGTTGCATACACATGGCGTACTCTCCCTGTGACATTGGCAGCAACATTCCCCTAGAATATTATGAATAACATCAGAGGGGGTGTACACACATAACGTATGCACCTTGTAAAACTAGGAGTAGCATCTCCCTAGGATGTTATGAATAATATCACAGAATGTGTACACACATGGCGTATACCCCATGTGATGTTAGGAGTTACATCCTTCTAGTATGTTAGGAATAATACCACAAAGGTGTTCCCACATGGTTAACAGCATATGGAATATTAGGATTAACATCCCTCGAGAATAGTACAAATAACATCACAAGGGCTGTGCGCACATGGTGTACATGCCCTGTGACATTAGGAGTACATTTCCCTGACAGATTACGAGTAATATCACAGAGTGTACACCTTCTGTGACATTTGGAGTAACATCCCCTAGGATAGTACGAAAAATATCACAGGGTGTACCTGGGGAGTAACATCTTTCTAGGATATTGTGAATAATATCACAAAACGCACAGCCCCTGTGACACGAGGAGTAACATCCACCTAGGATATTATGAATACTATCACAGGGAGTACACCCCTTGTGACAGTAGAAGCAACCTCCCCCAAGGATATAACGAACAAATACAGAGGATGTACACGTGTTGTGACATTAGCAGTAACATCCATTTAGGATATTACGAATATTACCACAGTGTGAACACCCCCTGTGATATTAGGAGTAACATCCCATTACAATATGGGGAACCATATCATACAGTGTACACCCCCTGTGACATTAGAGGTAACATTTCTTTAGGATATTATGAATAATATTACAAGGTGTACAGCCCCTGCAATATTAGGAGTAACATGTCCATAAAATATTATGAATAATATCACTGTTTGTACACCACGGGTGACATTAGGAGTAACAGCCCCCAAAACTATTATGAATAACTTCACAAGGTGTACACCCTCTGTGACATTAGGAGTAACATCTCTCTAAAATATTACGAATAATATCGCAAAATGTACAACCCCTGTGACATTAGAAGTAACATCGCCTGAGGATATAAGAAATAATAACAGATTGTGTACCTGCATTGTGACATCAGTAGTAGCATCGCTTTAGGGTATTACGAATGTTATCAGAGTGTGAACACCTTCTGTGACATTAGGAGTAACATCACCCTACAATATTGGGAATAATACCACACGGTGTACACTGCCTGTGACATTAGTGGTAACATTTCTTTAGGATATTAAGAATAATATGACAGGGTGTACAGCCCCTGTGATATTAGGAGTAACATATCCAAAAAAACTTTACAAATAATATCACTGTTTGTACACTACGTGTGACATTAGGAGTAACATCCCCTGAAACTATTATGAATGACTTCACAGATTGTACACCCTCTGTGATATTAGGAGTTAACATCTTCCTAGAATGTGAAGAATAACATCACAGGATGTACACCCTCGTGACATGGGGATCAACATCCCTCTAGGATATTATGAATAATATAACAAAGTGTACACAATTTGTATGGTAGGAGTAACATCCCCCTGGGATACTACGAATCATAGCACAGAAAGCACACCCCCTGTGACAATAGGAGTAACATCCCCTTAGGATAGTACAAATAATATCACAAGGTGTACACGCATTGTGACATTAGTAACAATATCCAGCTAGTATATTGTGAATAATATCACAGCGCATACACATCTGCGACATTAGGAGTAACATCCCCCTAGAATAATATGAATAATATCACAGGGTGTACACACCCTGTGACTTTAGGATAATCATCCCCCTGGATTACTACAAATAATTTCACAGGATGTTAAACCCCTGTGACAATAGGAATAATATACTTCTAGGATATGACGGATAATATCACAGTGTGTACACCCACTGTGACATTAAAAGTTATACCTCCTTCATATATTGTGAATAA
The DNA here is from genome assembly GCF_000001405.40 of Homo sapiens. NCBI lineage: Eukaryota > Metazoa > Chordata > Mammalia > Primates > Hominidae > Homo > Homo sapiens. The sequence goes on from NC_000012.12 coordinate 52,113,098, forward strand.
TATCACAGGGTATACACCACGTGTGCACACCCACTGTGATTTTTAAAGTAATATCTCCTTAGGATATTACGAATAATATCAAAGGTGTACACACCCTATGACATTAAGATAACATCCCTTTAGGATATTCCAAATAATATCCCAGGGTGTACACCCCAGGTGACATTATGAGTAACATCTTCCTAGGATATTACGAATAAGATCCCAGTGTTGACACCCCCTGTGATTTTAAAAGTAAAATCCCCCTAGAATATTACTAATAATTAACACAGGGTGTACACCCCTGTGATGTTAGGAGTAACATCCTCCCAGGATATTACGAATAACATCAGAAGGTGTACACACATGGTGACATTAGTAGTAATATCCCGCTAGTATATTGTGAATAATATCACAGGGTATACACACCTGTGACATTAGGAGTAACATCCCCCTGGAATATTCTGAATAATATCACAGGGCGTACATCTCCTGTGACTTCAGGAGTATCATCCCGCTAAAATATTACGAATAATGTCACAGGGGTTTAGCCTGTGTAATATCACAGGGTGTACACCCCCTGTGACATTAGGAGTAACATCTTTCTAGAACATCATGAGTAAAAGTTATACCTCCCTCATATATTGTGAATAATATCACAGGGTGTACACACATTGTGACTTCAGTGCTAATATCCCTCTCATATACTGTGAGTGTATGAGAGTATTACGAATAATATCACAGGGGGTACACACGCCTTTGGTTTAGGAGTAATATTCCCCTAGGATATTACAAATAATATCGCAGTGTGTACACTCACTGTGATATTAGGAGTCCCATTTTCCTAGGATATTATGAATAATATCACAGGAGGTGTTCACACATAATGTGTACACCATGTGTGTACACCCAATGTGATATTTGAAGTAATATGTCCCTAGGATCTTACGAATAATATCAAAAGGTGTACACCCCATGTGACATTAAAAGTAACATCCCTTTTGGATATTCTGAATGCTATCACAGGGTGTGATATTAGGAGTGTGATATTAGGAGTAACCTCTTCATAGGATAACCCATGTGGTATTAGGAGTAACCTCTTCCTAGGATATTATGAATAACATCACAGGGTGTACACCCCTGTGACTTTAAAAGTAACACCCGCCTAGAATATTACGAATAATATAACAGGGTGTACACCCCTGTGACATTAGGAGTAACATCTCCCTAGGATATTACGAATAATGATGTCACTGGGGGCACACCCTCTGTGATATTAGCAGCAACATCTTTCTAGGATATTACGAATGATATCACAGGGTGTACACTCACTGTGATACTAGAAGGAATATCTCCCTAGGATATAAGCTATCACATCACAGAGTGTACACACATGGTGTACACCCACTGTGTTATTAGAAGCAATATCTCCCTATGATATTATGAAAAATATCACAGGGTGTACCCTCTGTGGGATACTAGAAGTAACGTTTACCAATATCGCAGCAGGTGTACAACCCCCGTGATTTGGTTTTTAACATCCAGGGGGCACAGGATGATATTACTCCCCATGTTGCAGGGAGTGTACACACCCCTGTGAAACTCTTCCTAATATCCAGAGGGCGACAAGATGATATTACTCCCAATATCGCAGGGGGTGCACACATCCTTGTGAAACTCTTCCTAATATCCAGAGGGAGAGAGGATGATACTACTCCCAATATTGCAGGGGGTGTACACAGCCTGTGATACTCTTCCTAATATCCAGAGGGAGAGAGGATGATATTACTCCCAGTATCACAGGGGGTGTACACAACCCTGTGATATTGTTCGTAATATCCAGAGCGAAAGAGGATGATATGACTCTCAATATCGCAGAGGGTGTACACCCCTCCTCTAATATTGTTCTTAATACCCTGGGAGGGAGAGGATAAGATTACATTGAATACCACAGGGAATGTACACCCTCCCCCTCTGATACCCTTCCTAATATCCAGGGGAAGAGAGGATAATTTTACTCCCAATAACGCAGAGGCAGTACACCCCTGCTGTGATATTGTTCCTAATATCCAAGCGGGGAGAGGATGAGACCTCTCCCAATATCGCAGGGGTGTTCACATCCCCGGTTACATTTTTCCTAATATCTAGGGGAGAGACAATTAGATGACAGCAAATGTCGCAGGATCTGTACATCCCTTCCTGATATTGTTCCTAATATCCAGCGGGGAAGAGGATGATATCAAACATCAAAGGGGGTGTATGCCCCCCCTACGATATTGTTCTTAATATTCATGAGGGGAGACGATGATATTACTCCAAATATTGCAGGGGTTGTTCACACCCCCTGTGATATTGTTTCTAATATCCAGGGGGGAGAAAATCATATTACTTCCAGTATTGCTGGTGGTGTATACCCCACCTGAAATATTGCACCGAATATCCAAAGAGGGAGAGGATGGTATTAATACCAATATCGAAGTGTGTGTACACCCCTTGTGATATGGTTTTTAATATCCAGGGGACGGGAGGATGATATTAGTCCCAACATCACAGAGGGTGTACACTACCCCTGTGATATTGTCCCTAACTTCCAGAGGGGAGAGGATGGTATCACTCCCAATATCTCAGAAGTTGTACATCCCCCGTGACATTGTTCGTCATATCCAGGGAGGCACAGGATGACATTCCATTGAATTTTGTGACAGGCGTACACGCACACTGTGATATTGTTCCTAATATCCAAGAAGGGAGAGGATGATACTTCTCCCAATAAAGCAGTGGGTTTACATTACCCCTATGTTATTGTCTCTAATATCCGGGGGCGGGGGGAGGACAGAATAACATTCCCTCAAATTTGGCAGGTGGTTTGATGCCCCTTGTGGTATTGTTTTTAATATCCAGTGGGAAAGATAATAATACTATTTTTGATAGTCCGATTCATCCGCTCCACCTTTCCGGAACTCTGAGGCTGGTACGCGGCATGCCGTTTCCATGTGATGCCCGATACCTTCGCCGTCTTCTGTACCAAGTCAGCCACAAACGCAGGCCCGTTATCTGAGCTGATCCGTAAGGGCAGTCCAAATCTAGGAATCAGATCTCGAAGAAACACACGGGTTACTTCACGAGCTTTCTTAGTTCGTGTTGGATAAGCCTCCACCCACCCAGAGCAGGTACACCCAAGAACTAGTAAATACTTCTGACCTCCACACTTTGGCATCTCTGTGAAGTCTACCTGGAGATCTTCAAAGGGGGCTGCTCCATAAGCTTTTATGCCGGGCGGAACGGCTGGACCTTGCCTCGCATTGTGCTGTCAGCAGGTAACACACCGCTGTGTCACCGTTTTGGCAAGGGCTGACAAATGCGAGATGTAGAAATACCAGCCTAACAACTTTTCCAGTGACTCTGACCTAGATGGGTGGTTTCATGCACAGCCAGTACAACTGCAGCTCCTAGCAGCTGTGGCACAGCTACTCTCCCATCTGGTAACCGAATCCATCCTTCCTCCATCACTTGTCCTTCCCTCTACCTGGAGAAAGTCCTTTTCTTCTTTAGAATAAGTAGGTACAAGATCAGGTGCTTGAGGGAGCAGAGTGGCTGTGACTGATTGCCGGAAGGGGGCAGATGCTGCTTTTCGAGCCTCTGAGTCAGCGCGGGAATTCCCCAAACCCAGCAAGGTGGAAGCTCGCTGATGTCCTCTGCAATGCATACCTGCCACCTTGTGGGGTTTCCATACTGCTTCTAATAATTGCAAGATTTCTTGTTGATATTTTATGTCTTTTCCCCCAGAGTTCCATAGGCCGTTTTCTTTCTATAATGCTCCATGCACTTGAAGGGTTAAAAAGGCATACCGAGAATCAGTGTCAATGTTTACAGTCTTACCTTCATGGAGTTCTAAGGCCCAAATTAAAGCAATGGGTTCAGCTTTCTGGGCTGAAGTGCCCTGGGGCAACGATCTGGCTTCAACAACAGTGTACAGGGTTACCACTGCATACCCTGCACATCTCTCTCCTTGTAGGTTGATGAAGCTGCTCCCGTCCACGTGTAGTTCCCAGTCTACTGATGCCCAAGGCTGGTCCCGGAGGTCAGATCTACTAGAGTCAACTGAGTCAAACACTTCTACACAATCATGCCCGACAGGGCTCTCTGATACTGGGAGCAAGGTGGTGGGGTTTAGGGTGTTCCAAACTTCAATGGTTATACGGAGATTTTCACAGAGCAAACTTTGGTACTTGGTGAGTCTAGCATTCGTTAGCCAATGATGTCCTTTAGTATTCATTAAAGTCAACACAGCATGGGGAGCCTTTATGTTCAGGTTTTGCCCAAGAGTCAGCTTATTTGCTTCTTGTACTAGCAGGGCAGTTGCTGCCAAGGCCCTCAAACACAGGGGCCATCCTTTAGGAACCCCATCTAGTTGTTTAGAGAGGTAGGCCACTGGCCTCGGCCAGGGCCCCACAGTTTGGATGAAAACTCCAACTGCCATCTTTTCTCTCTCTGACACATACAATGTAAAAGGCTTTGTCAGATCGGGTAGCCCCAGGGCTGGGGCTGACATAAGTTTTTTCCTTTAACTCATGAAAGGCTTGCTGTTGTTGAGATCCCCATTCAAAAGGTTCCCGGTCCCCCACTTTGTGACCTCATACAAAGGCTTGGCTAATACTGCAAAGTTTGGGATCCACAGTCTACAAAACCCCACAGCTCCTAAGAATTCTCTCACTTGCCTTCTGCTCTTAGGCTCCAGTAGATTGCAAATGACCTGCTTTCTTTCTGATCCCAGGCTGCATTCCCCGTGTCGGATAGTAAATCCCAAGTAACGTACCTGCTGTCGACAGATCTCAGCTTTTTTCTTGGACACCTTATACCCACAGTCCTCCAGGCGCTGGAGTAGGGCATCCGTTCCCTTGGCGCACCTGACTGCCGTGGGGTGTCTCAGCAAAAGGTCATCAACGTACTGGAGCAACACGCAGCCTAGGTCTCTGGTGGGAAGCTTCTGGAGGTCTGTAGCCAACGCCTCCCTGAAGATGGTGGGGGAGCTCTGGAACCCTTGGGGAAGCCGGGTCCAAGTGTACTGAGTAGTGATACCTGACTCCGGATCTTCCCACTGAAAGGCAAACAGCTTCTGGCTCTCGGGAGCTAATCTGATACGAAAGAAAGCGTCTTTCAGGTCCAAGCAGGTGAACCAGCTGTCCTCAGCTGGCAGCAATCCCAACAACGTGTACGGGTTAGGTACTGTTGGATGTAAAGTCACTGTAGCTTGATTAACCAAGCGCAAATCCTGTACCGGCCTGTAGTCCTTGGTCCCTGGCTTGGGAACAGGCAGGAGGGGAGTGTATACTTGGCATGAAGTACAGCAAATGGAAAAACTTAAATTTTAAAAAAAGAAGAGGTGGGTAGGATGAGGCCAGGCGCAGTGCTTGTAATCCCAGCACTTCGGGAGATCAATGGTGTGAGCCAGTCTAAACCTCCATCTGTGACCTGAAGCTGGCCTATGGGCTGCCGATTTTTGACCTCTGATGACTGACAGGGCTGTCTTCAGTTTCAGTTCCCTCCTGAGCATCAGAGCCATACACAGAACAGCCTACCAGATGCTTTCACTGGGATGTCCTAAGACCTCTCAGTTTCCATGTGTTCAAAACCACACTTGTCATCTCCAAGCTGATTCATCGTGGGTTTCTGTTCCTAGTGATGATACATAAGCACCCCATTGCCCCGGCCAGACCCCCAGGAGACCTCCAAGGCCCTGAGCATTCCTTCCCCTCTTTCAGTGGGTCTCCATGATTTCTTGGCTCTACTCACTTGTGGCATGCCAGGTCTCACGAACGCAGGCCTCCATAACAACTGTTTCAGTACTGGCTGAGTGGTTAAGTTAAATATTAAATAGCCAGTGCCCTGACAATCCTAGAGTCCATGCCCTCCCCATTTCTTTGCCTCCCCATTTCAGGCCCCTACCCTCCCTCACCTGGACCATCTTCACAGCCTCCTAACTGGTGCAGCTATTTACATTTGAATTAATTAAAAGGGGCCAGGCTCAGTGGCTCATGCCTGTAATCCCAGCACTTTGGGAGGCTGAGGTGGTGGATCACCTGAGGTCAGGAGTTCGAAACTAGCCTGGCCAACAAAGTGAAACCCCCGTCTCTACTAAAGATACACAATTTAGCCGGGAGTGGTGTCGCGTGCCTGTAGTCCCAGCTACTTGGGAGGCTGAGGCAGGAGAACTGCTTGAACCCGGGAGGTGGAGGTTGCGGTGAGCCAAGATTGCACCACTGCACTCTAGCCTGGGTGACAAAGCAAGACTCCGTCTCAAAAAAAAAAAAAATTAATTGAAAGGAAATAATGTTTAAAAATTAGTTCCTGCGTCTTACTAGCCTCATTATTTCAAGGGCTCAATAGCCACACTTCCTTACTGCAGAAAGTCCTGTGGGAGCATGTTGCCCTGTGATCATGTTTACTTTGCCTAAGCCCGCCCTGGGGGTCATTTCCCTCCTGCTAGAGTCCAGTCTCCTTGGTCCAGGTTACCTCCCCGCCCTTGTCACCACCTCACCCTCCTGCTGCCCCTCCTCCTGTTTGTCCTCATGTGCACCCTCTCCAGCCACTTCCACCTGGCTGTCTCTACCTTCATGCTCTGGGGCCCTTGGCCCTGAAGCTTGAAGCGCCTCCCGACACTTTGTTTACCGGCTCACCCCAGGCTCAGTTCCAACAGGGCTCACTTGGGGTTTGGTAGCACCCCACCCTCCCCCATGCACCTGCCTGCATCACCCGCACACGCGGGATGCCCTTGAGGGCTCCCTGTAGCACTTCCCACCCTGCTGATAATCTGTCCCCCTCTCTGGGTGAGGTCCAGCTGCGCTTCCTTCCTGTCTGCACTCTCCAGGCCTAGCTCGGGAGGCGGCACTCAGGGGTGGGGCTGGGGTTGGGGAGCTGATGGGAGCCCGCATCTTAAGAAGTGACTCAGGGTTGGCCGCAGATTTTCATTTGCGAGGAAGCACCTCACTCACTTGGGGCTAAGGAGTGAAGGGGGCTTATCAGCCAGAGTAACTGGCCAGTGCAGGGCGGTTTGACTGCGCTCTGGGGTGTTGGGGTCTCCTGTTCCAGGCGGGCGTGGTGCAGCCGCCTGAGGCTGGCGCCCCCGTGTGGCCCTAAGAGTATAGCCGCTCCCAGGGCCTGGGCTACCTGGTGCAGGTCCCTGGCGGGAGGGAGAGACTTTGGGAAGCTCTCCCAGGAGGGCGAGGAAGCAACTAAGAAGCCTACATCAGGCCGGGCGCAGAGGCTCACGCCTGTAATCCCAGCACTTTGGAAGGCCGAGGAGGGCGGATCACGAGGTCAGGAGATCAAGACCACGGTGAAACCCCGTCTCTACTAAAAATACAAAAAAAAAAAAAAAAAAAAAAAAAAAAAAAAAAAAAAAAAAATTAGCCGGGTGCGGCGGCGGGCGCCTGTAGTCCCAGCTACTCGGGAGGCTGAGGCGGAAGAATGGCGTGAACCCGGGAGGCGGAGCTTGCAGTAGGCCGAGATGGCGCCACTGCACTCCAGCCTGGGCGACAGAGCGAGAACCTTGTATGCGCAACCTAGAGCCCATGGAGGAGTCAGTTCCCAACAAAGACGTGGATCGCTTGGGGAGGTGTGTACACCAGAAGTAAAATTAGGGATGTTACCAAGGAAAGGAGGAGTGGTTGTGTTACCAGAAAGGGGTCCCAATCCAGAACCCAAGAGAGGGTTCCTGGATCTTGCACAAAAAAGAATTCAAGGCGAATCCGTACAGTAAAGTGAGAGCAAGTTTATTGGGAAAGTAAAAAAATAAAAGAATGGCTATTCCATAGGCAGAGCAGCCCTGGGGGCTGCTGGTTGCCCATTTTTATGGTTATTTCTTGATTATGTGCCAAACAAAGGGTGGATTATTCATGCCTCCCCTTTTTAGACCATACAGAGTAACTTCCTGTCATTGCCATGGCATTTGTAAACTGTCATGGCGCTCGTGGGTGTACAGCAGTGAGGACAACCAGAGGTCACTCTTGTCACCATCTTGGTTTTGTGGGTTTTGGCTGGTTCCTTTACTGCAACCTGTTTTATAATCAAGGTCTTGAACAACTTGTATCTTGTGCTGATCTCCTATCTCATCCCGTGACTCAGAATGCCTTAACCATCTGGGAATGCAGCCCAGTTAGGTCTCAGCCTCATTTTACCCAGCCCCTATTCAAGATGGAGTTGCTGCGGTTCACACACCTGTGACAGTTGGCTAGGAGGAAAAGGAGGAGTGGCTGGTTGCTGGGGAGGATCTGTCTACTTTCCCACAGGTGGTTAGCCGGGAGGCAGCAGCAACCCTGCCCCCAGGTAGGAGTGGGTAAAAATCCGAGAGGCACCCCCATTCTTTCCCTCCTCCAGCCTCGGGGAGGAACAGTCTCTGCCCACAGCTACTTAATGGAGAAGTTTGGGGAGGTGGTGGCCCCCACTCGCCGTCCCCCCAGCTCCAGCCGCACTGGCCTCCATCTCCTCTGAGCACGCTGCCCTCGCCAGCCTCAGGGCCCTCTGAGGCTGGGCATGGCCTGGAACACTTGCCCCGAGGGTCCCCTGCCCATGCTCCCTTACCCGTGCTGTGGGTGGCTGGGGACCTGTCTCAGCTTAAACATATCCCATATAAGCTCTCAAACACTCTGAAAGGGTGACCAGGGCGTTGCAGAGCCCGCTAGGTTCTTCACAGGGAAGCTGTGAGTCCAGGAAGGCCAACCGCGCAGAGCCCTTCTCGCATTCTGGTTCCAGCAGGCCCTCGGGGACCAGGAAGCAATAAAGGATTCTGGACAGAGTAATGGGGACCTCCGGAGCAGCACAGGCGCCTTGCAAATGTGGAAATGCTCTTTTCTCAATCTCATTAGTCTGAACTTCTAGTCCCTGGGAGATGCTCTGATGTCCGCCGCAGCTGGAGCCACCTGGCAAGGAACCGGCGGGACCGTCGCGCCCTCTAGTGGGAGGTCCTGAGAAGGAACCAAATGCCAGAATTCGGTTCATTGTGGCCCCAGGACCCCCCACCCCTCTCTCCCTCCAAGACCCCACCCCTCTCTCCCTCCAAGCCCCCTCCCACGGTGCTGCTGAGGACCGGCAACAAGGAGTTGCCTCTTCTTCCCCTACCCTCCACTTGCTGAGGCCTGGGGTGCTATTTAGAACCGCAGGACTCAGATCTGACGCTGATGATGAAGGAAGGTGAAGGTGAAGGAGGCTGGGAGCAGGGTGGTTTCCTGACGGGCAGGGAGAGAAGGAGGGAGTTGCTGGGGGGTGGGGAGACCCCGAGAGCAGCTGGAGTGGGGATACTGTGGGTAGGGAGTCACTTCCTTGGGAAGGCCCGGGATCTTTAGGTACATTTTTGCTTGAAACTCAAGGGAAATTCCAAGTCAGTTGGGACTTTAACAGTTTTTTCTCAGAAGAGGAATAATTCCCTCTTGAAATTGCTCAAACATGTCAGTAAAGAAATGTGCATGCCTGGTAAGTGTGTCCTCGGGAGATTTAATGGATGCAGTGGCAAAGGGAGCCCGTGGCACTCATCTTCTTCCACTTTCCAGCAGAGAAGGTGTCAGCCTGCTGAGTAGCCAGGAGGTTTATGGGGCAATCTACGGCTCTAGAGGTGGCAAAACAGCAGTGGGAGAAATAAACCAGAGGACATATACAGTGGTGACAGAGACCAGGTCTTCTGATGGTGCCCAGAGAACAGAGAATTCTGCCAACCCCCCCCTGGGAAGAAAAGGAAGGTTCCAGCTTCCCAGGAGCTCCAGGAGCACAGATGACGGTTCCTTCATGTGTGCTGGGCACAGTGTCCCAGCCCTCAGTACCCATCCTTCCTCCTTCTACATGTCTTTATGGACTGCTGAGATGAGAAAGCCAAATGCACTTCCCAAACTCCCTGCAGCTAGAGCACACTGGGCGCCTCTAATAGACAGTGCTCGGCTGGATTTGGTGTGGTGAAGGCCATCTTCCTGCCGCTGCTTCTGCTGACCAGCAGGGTTGTAGAAAGTGGTTGTGGCCTTTGAACTCTGTGTTCTAGTGTCTGGTCACGAGTGTCCTGGGTGTTCTGGCAGTTATGGTGGCGGCAAAGGCAGTGCAGTGATTATTGATCCGCAGATGGCAGCATGGTGGTGGGTGGGTGTGTCCTCGAGCTCAACAGTCCCACTGGAAGCCTCCTGCCTATCCAGCTGCCACCCACCACCCACTCCTGTGATTTTACAAGCACCTGATTTCCTGTGCCCCACTCGCTCCCACTTTTTTTTTTTTTTTTTTTTTTTTTTACCTAGAATGGTTTGTTTCTGCACTGCTGAGGCAGTAGGTACACAGCAAAAGCTGGCTTGGATGGATAAAACAGGATGTTGAATCTACTTCTAAATAGATCTTTGGGACCATTGGCCGTAAAAGGGAGGGCCACAGTGGACTGGCGGTAGGAAGTAGGAGGAACCCCAGAGGTGCAGGGCTGGATGGAGTCCTGTGTGATAGAAGCCAGTGTGAGGCAGGAGGGGAAAGTGTAGTTGGGGCATAAAGCAGAAGCTCCTGGGAGGAGCAGCCTCTGGCTAAATGGTGACATTGGCTGAGTTGACCTTCAGGACCTTAGACTCTCCTTCTCTCCTCACTCTTCCCAGGATCCTGTCAGGATGGACTTTTGGTAAACACACAATGGCCCAGGTGTTCCATCCTCCCTCAGCCAAAGCTGCTCCTTGCAGAGGCCTGGCGAGCCCACTGACATGGAGGCAGAAGGGGCGTCAGGGCCCAGTGCCGACTCAAGGGTGGTGGTGGGAGAGGGGCTGGGAGGAGCTGCTTTAGAATAAAAGTCCCCTCCAGATCAAAGCCTTTGATCTCTTGCTGGGAATTCCAAGCATCAGCTGTGGGAAGGGGAGTTATTTTTTGATGTTAGGACACGCTGAAATCATAGACCTGAGCTGGCTAAGGAGAGACCTCAAGAGGGAGTCGCTTATGGTGTTATGGAGCATGGAAGTTTAAAACAAGCTCCCGCATTCTTTGACACTCCTCCCACGGAAGTGGGGTCTATGTCCCCACCCCTTGAAACTGGGCAGGCTTGTGACTGCTGCCACCAATAGAGCACAGGGGATGCAAGGCCAAGAGACTTCTTCCGTTTTTTTTTTTTTTTTTTTGAGACAGAGTCTTGCTCTGTCGCCCAGGCTGGAGTGCAGTGGTGCGATCTCGGCTCACTGCAAGCTCTACCTCCTGGGTTCACGCCATCCTCCTGCCTCAGCCTCCTGAGTAGCTGGGACTACAGGTGCCCGCCGCCATGCCTGGCTAATTTTTTGTATTTTTAGTAGAAACGGGGTTCTATCGTGTTAGCCAGGATGGTCTGGATCTCCTGACATTGTGATCTGCCTGCCTCGGCCTCCCAAAGTGTTGGGATTACAGGCATGAGCTACCGTGCTCGGCCCTTTCTTCCATTTTTTTGAGACAGAGTCTCACTCTGTCACCCAGGCTGGCATGCAGTGGCGCGATCTCGGTTCAGTGCAACCTCTGCCTCCCAGGTTCAAGCGATTCTCCTGCCTCAGCCACCCAAGTAGCTGGGGCTGCAGGCGCCTGCCACCACACCTGGCTAATTTTTGTATTTTTAGTAGAGATGGGGTTTTGCCATGTTGGCCAGGCTGGTCTTGAACTCCTGGCTTCAAGTGGTCTGCCTACCTCAGACTCCCAAAGTGCTTGGATTACAGGCATGAGCCACAGCGCCCAAAGGCCACATGACTTCTAAGTGCAGGTCGTTAAAGGCCAGGCAGCTTTGGCCTGGGTCTCTCGAAATGCTGTTCTTCAGGTGTCCCTCTCTGACACTCCCTCTGAGAACCTCACTGCCAAGCTATGAGAAGCCATGGGGAGGCTCCCTGGAGGTGCTTCAGTTGACAGTCCTAGCTGAGCCGTGGTCCCGTCCAGATATGGGAGTGAAGAAGCTGGAGCAGTGAGTCCAACCCAGCCGTCCCAGTCACCCCCAGTCATTCCAGTGCTCCCAGCTGAGGCTCCAGGCTTCACCCCGTCACACCCTACACCCAATTCCAAACCCCTGACCTCCCCAGACTCTGCAACATAATACAGTGATGGCTGTTGTAGTCCATGATGTTGGAGGTGGTTCAGAACACAGCAGCACCTCAGTGCAATGTGGGGTCACTGTCCCTGCAAGAGCCCTGCTGTGGGCTGGTTGCTGACTCCAACATCAGTGGGTTGTGGTGGGGCCCGGCCCCTGTTAGAGTCACATTCCCAGATGCACCTTCTGAGATCTGCCGAATGTGTGGCTCACTTCCCCTCCACTGTATGTGCCACCTTCACGTGGCAGCCGGGTCACAAGTGGACCCCATCACAAGGCTAAGTGTCTTCACCCGGCTCTGCAGAAATCCCACGACTGCAGTGTTTTGTGATGTTTAGGAAGACCTCACTGAGAGGTGCGGAAGGCAGCCTCCCGCCATTGTTCTCACCGGTCTTCCCTTCCCCCCTTCCCCCTCCTTTCCAGCCCCCAACACCCCGTCCCCACTGTTTCTCCCTTTATAATGCAAAGGAGCTTCCCTCTGATTCCTGGTCACAGCCTGCCCTGCAGACCTTAGGTGCTGGCCTGGCCTCCAGACAGGCTTATCCAGGCATTTCCCCACAAATAGGGCCTCCACCGCTAACTGCGCAGGCAGTCTCTGCTTGGCTGAGCAGGTGAACAACAGGAGCCAGCTCTCCCAGGGGAGCAAACACCATGCAGCTGGCAGGCCTGGATTTGGGACTGGCTCCACCAGCCATTGCTATTGAGCCCTCAGGCAGATTTGGCCATTCCTCCGAGCTTCAGTTTCCCTATCTGTAAAACAGGGATGGTGTTAAGTCCCTTGTGGGGGGCTGTTCTCCCTCTGGGAGTGTTGGTAGTGGAGACTGTGCCAGGAAGACATGCAGGTGGACACAGTGCTCAGGTGCCAGCCAGGTGGCCCTGGGGGAAGGCAGTGGCATTTCATTGGTAGCTCCTGGGACATGAGCTCATCTATAGACTTGTCTGTTGCATTAGAGGCTCAAAACAACAGTGGTTTAAACAACATGGAAGCTTGGACTTCTCTCACATAATAGTCTTGGCAGGAGGCTTTCAGGGCTGGAACAGCAGCTGCACAGGGCCAGTGCCTCAGGCTCTTTCCGTCTGGTTGCTCTGAAGGCTGATGGACAAGTTTGATCTGAGATGGCCAGCCACCACCTCCTCTGTGTTCTAGCCAGAGAGAGGGGACGAGGCAGGGAGAGGGTGTCCCCAGCTTATCACTTCTACTCCCCTCTTGTTGCTCAGGACTCAGCTGTGTGACTCTCCCAGTCTCCAGGGGTGCCAGGAAGCACCACAGGCAGCCATGTGCCCAACTACAATTAGGGCTCCATGACTTCTACAGAAGCTAGGGGACAAAAGAAGTGTCTGCCACTTCTTTTGATTGAGGGACCTGCCTGGATCATCCACCCACCCACCCTTTCCAGTCACCTCAGCTGTTGAGGGTGGGGCAGGGGCTGAATTACAGAGATAGAAAGATTGTGTCCCTGTTCTCAAGGGACAACCAGTTCCTGGACTCAAGGGACAACCAGTCTCTGGACTTAAGGGACAGCCAGTTCCTCGGCAAACAAAAGTGGGTGGAGGGTGTTCGGAGCAGGGCTTTGAAGGGCTGAACTGTCCAGCCAGCTGCCGGGTACTCCGAGTTCTGGCCCTGACCAGACCCTCTGCCCTGGGAGAGTGTGTCCTTGGACCACGCTGGCCTCTCTTCTGGAGGACTCTGCATCCCTGAGGTTGTTGGCGTGGTGTCCTCTGTGTTGGTCAACAGTCACATGAAGTATGCTTTCCTTTTGCTGCGAAAGTGATTTTTCAGGCCATAACCAATCCATCGCATCCCTCAGCGTTCCTTACAGGAAGGCCCAAGTGAGCCAATTTTATGAGAATGTATTGTAAGGGGAAAACTTTGTCCCTGCAGAGCAAACAGTCTGCTTCCTGCAGATAGTAATGGATCAGATTTCTTCTTCCCCTTGGCTGCCTCGAGACGTAATCATGGCATCTGTTGCCGCTCGGGTCTGCCTTTTACAGTCTCTGTTTTCTGTGGCCTAGCATTTTACATCTTTGAAGGATGTTGCCTCCTACATTCTCAGTCTATCATTACGGATAAAACAGAAAATGAGGGAAGAAGCAGACCTGGTGGCCACGAGGGGTGGTACCATTGCTGTGCATGAGTATCGGCATTGTCTGTAGTCTCCCAGCAGCCGGGGCAGAAAGGGAGGGTTCACAAGACTTTCTCCGCAAGAAGGAAGCAGAGCAATGTTGTGAGGGAAGCGAGGCAGCAAGCCCTGAGCTTGTGGTAGAGGCCCCTGCAGCAGTTTCGGGTGCAGAGAGACCAGGAATCTGGGCACTGATTGCAGTGCCACCAATCAGAAGCTGTGTGACCCTGGGGGAGTCACTTAACCTCTCTGTGCATCAGCATAGTAATAGTAACTGCTATATGGGTGTTGGAAGAGTTGGATGTTTAAATTAATGCACGCAAAGGGTGAGAATAGAGGTTGGCACTTAGTAAGTGCTCAATAATTGTGAGCTTGCATTATGCTTGTTATGGATGGAGGAAGGATTGGGGGAGGGGTGAGTATTATGGAGACTTCTAGCTCCATAAGTGTTGATACAGTGTTGATAAGGATTTGGGAACCCAACAAAACCTAGAAGGCAGAGCGTGGGGGTAATAAGCTGTGTTTTGTCTCACTGAAGGTGGAGATTGGGATTCACGGGAATGGAGGAATTCAGGGTGGGGGCTCAGCTGCTTGGCACGGGCATGTCTAAGGTCTTCCTCACTGTGAGCAGAGGGGCATCCCTGGGGACCTTCTCGATCCCTTTTGAGGCAGGTCTGAATTGAGTATATGCTGACTCTTTGGTTTTGAGAGCCTGGGGCAACCTTGATTGAGGGTGGGCCCAGGCCCATAAGAAAGTAGCCTGGCCCTTCCACATGAGGACACACTGGCAACGGGACAGTTTCTTCAGAAATGGTCCCAGAGGATTTTAGGGAGGGCCTGGCAAAGGCCAGATCTCCTCTTAACCACCTGTGACTGTTGGACTATTATTATTTGGATGTGAGATGCAAGCAGGAGCTCTAAAGATCAGAGACGCTGGGACCTCTGAGATCACGGGGGAAGGTGGGAGAGAGAGAGTGGGGAGATGATCAAGAGAAGCTGAGAGGAAGGAACACCAGGAAACATCTGAAGTGATGAATGTTTATTTTGATTGTGGTGACGGTATCACAGTGTATGCATATGTCCAAACTCGTCAAATTGCAGACGTTAAACATGTGCAGGTTTTTTTTTTTTGTGTATCAATTATTTCTCAACAAAGCTATAAAAATGAACTGTTATACATCAGTAAGACAAAGATGGACAGCCCACTAGGAAAGTCTGAGAGATTTGAACAGGCACATTACAAAGGATAATACCCAAATAACCAATAAGGATGAGAAGTTGTTCACCCTCACCAGTTACCAACAAAATACAAAATAAAATCACAATGAGGCCGGGTGTGGTGGCTCATGCCTGTAATCCCAGCACTTTGGGAGGCTGAGGTGGGTGAATCACTTGAGGGCAGGGTTGGCCAACATGGTGAGACCCAGTATCTACTACAAATACAAAAATTAGCCAGGGGTGGTAGTGGGCGCCTGTAATCCCAGCTACTCAGGAGGCTGAGGCAGGAGAATCACTTGAACCTGGGAGGCAGAGGTTGCAGTGAGCTGAGATTGCGCCACTGCATTCCAGCTTGGGTGACAGAGCGACACTCTGTCTCAAAACAAAAACAAAAACAACAAACAAACAAACAAACAAACAAACCTCCCACAATGAGATAGCTAGCTCTACATTTCCATCAGCATGGCTAAAACAAAAAAGACTGAATTGATAAGGATTTGGAGAAACAGAATTTCTCACACATTGCTGGGGGTTGCACAAATTGGTAGAGATACTTTGGAAACTATTTTGACATTAAATATCAAAGATGAAGATTCTCATATCCTATATCCTAGGCTTATGCCCAACAGCAATGCATGCATATGAGCACCAAGAGATATGGTCAAGGATGTTCATAGTAACTTTATTTGTAATATCTAAAATGGAAACAACCCAAGTGCCCATCAACAGTAAAATGTATACATAAGGCCAGGCGCAGTGGCTCATGCCCATAATCCCAGCACTTTGGGAGGCTGAAGTGGGCGGATCACGAAGTCAGGAGATCGAGACCATCCTGGTTAACATGGTGAAACCCCGTCTCTACTAAAAATACAAAAAATTAGCTGGGCATGGTGGCGGTTGCCTGTAGTTCCAGCTACTCCGGAGGCTGAGGCAGGAGAATGGCGTAAGCCCAGGAGGTGGAGCTTGCAGTGAGCCAAGATCACACCACTGCACTCCAGCCTGGGCGACAGAGTGAGACTCCGTCTCAAAAAAAAACAAAAACAAAAACAAAAAACTGTGGCTGGGCGTGGTGGCTCAGGCCTGTAATCCCAGCGCTTTGGGAGGCTGAAGTGGGTGGATCACCTCAGGTCAGGAGTTCGAGACCAGCCTGACCAACATGGAGAAACACCGTCTCTACTGAAAATACAAAATTAGCCGGGCACAGTGGCACATGCCTGTAATCCTAGCTACTCGGGAGTCTCAGGCAGGAGAATTGCTTGAACCTGGGAGGCAGATGTTGCGGTGAGCCGAGATTGTGCCATTGCACTCCAGCCTGGGCAACAAGAGCAAAACTCCACCTCAAAAAAAAAAAAAAATGTATACATAAATTATGGTGTATGTAGACAATGGAATTCTACACAGCAATGAGAATTTATGAATTACCTGCAATGCATGCAAAGAGTGAGAATAGAGCCTGGTACTTAGTAAGTGCTCAATAAATATAGCTTGCATTATGCTTGTTATGGATGGGGAGGATGAGCAAGTATTATGAAGACCTCTAGCTCCATAAGCATTGATACGGTGTTGATAAGGATTTGGAGACATTTAACAAGATGAATAACAGAAACCAGACATGACAGAAAAAATATTGTATGATTCTAGTTAGATTAAGTACAAAATCAGGCAGAACTAAACTATAACATTAGAAATTTCTAGTGTAGTAGGCCAGGCACAGTGGCTCAAGCCTGTAATCCCAGCACTTTGGGAGGCTGAGGTGGGTGGATCACTTGAGGCCAGGAGTTTGAGACCAGCCTGACCAACATGGTGAAACCCCATCTCTACTAAAAATACAAAAATTAGCCAGGCATGGTGGCGCACTCCTGTAATCCCAGCTACTCAGGAGGCCGAGGCACAAGAATCTCTTGAACCCAGGGGATGGAGGTTGCTGTGAGCTGAGATCCTGCCACTGCACTCCAGCCTGGATGACAGAGCAAGAACCTGTCTCAAAAAAAAAAAAAAAAAAAAAAAAAAAAAAGAGAAATTTCTAGTGTGGAGATAGATGGGTAGGCATGAGAGAGGTTAGTGGGGTAGTAACAGTTCTCTTTCTTCACCTGTGTGGGGATTAAACAGGTATTTGCTTTGTTATGATTTATTGAGCACATTTAGTTTTTGTGAATGCATGTATATGTACATATATATTTTCTGTACGTGTATTATACTTAATAAAAAAGTTAAAAGTAAACAAATCATACACACACACACGCACACACACAAAAGAGAGAGGCTGAGAGGAGTTGTTCACTTCTTTCGGGGGAGGAGGGTCTCTGCCATCTGGCATCCCACTAGGGGTCCTGGAAAGGAAGGAGCTGAATCTAAGTGCTGGGTTTAGCCCACAGCCCTCGGCGTGCTGCTCACACACCTGCCCAGTTCCGACACAATGCCAATCACCTCCCTGGCTCCTGCTGTGAGTCTCAGGTGGCCCTGCACAAATGCCTCTCTCCTCCAGCCTCTCTGCAAACAAGCCCTGGAAGGCCACTTTCTCCCAGACAGCTCAGGAGCCCAGGCAGCCTGAGGCCTCCTCCCTGCCAGCTTCGCCTTTGCTGTCTGCCTCCAGCTGTGACTTCTGTGCTTCTTGGCCAGAACAGCCATTCAGCTGTTGGTTGTTTCATTGACTCTTTCATTTCTTCTTCTTCTTTTTTTTTTTGAGACGGAGTCTTGCTCTGTCGCCCAGGCTGGAGTGCAGTGGCATGATCTTGGCTCACTGCAAGCTCCACCTCCCAGGTTCACACCATTCTCCTGCCTCAGCCTCCCGAGTAGCTGGGACTACAGGCACCTGCCACCATGCCCGGCTAATTTTTTGTATTTTTAGTAGAGGTGGGGTTTCATCATGTTAGCCAGGATGGTCTCGATCTCCTGACCTCGTGATCCGCCCACCTCGGCCTCCCAAAGTGCTGGTGAACAGGCATGAGCCACTGCACCTGGCCACATTTCTTCTCTTAACAAAACTTTTATGAGCACAAATTATCTGCCAGACACTTTGCGAGGCACTGAGGGTACAATGATGAACAGTTCCTGCCCACACAGGGCCTACAGTCTGGTAGGGTCCTACAGACATTAGTCGGCCAATCCCTCGAATGATGAAAAACTGCAACAAAGGCTACAAGGGAGAGGCAGAGACTTAGCCAGCAGCACAGGGAACTGGAAATGTGTCTGTGCGGAAGTGATGTGTGGCTTTAGTGGATCTGAGGTGGGAGGAGTTAACTGGAGAGTCAGCAGGGGATGGAAGAGCATTCTAGGCAGAGGGAACAGCATGTGCTGAGACTGCATGGTGGTGACAGGTGAGGGTGGTGAGCACCACTGACAGAAAAAAAAAAAAGCCAGAGAGGCTGGTGCAGTGAGGCTGGCTGGGGAGGAGCTTACTGATTTGGGAGCACGCTCCTGAGAGACACGGTTTCACCCCTTGGCAAGGACTCTGGGAGATGGGGTCAACTTACTACTAGGATGGAACCTAGAAGCCCAGAAGAGACGGATTGCACTAAGTGAAGTTGCAAGGCCAGCCTTGCTGTGGCAGAGTAGAGGAGGGGACTAAAAGGCTCTGGGAGTGGGGCATGCTGGAGGGGATACAGTATGTATGGCCAGGAGATTATCCTGATACGTTCTTAGGGCAGGACCAGAGCACACACCATTTACACACCAAGGCAAAAGAAATGGGCTGGAGAGAGGGGCACAGACCCCCTAAACATGTGGGGAGGCCCTCCTTCTCATGCCAGGCTGGTGGTAGGAGGGGCTTTTAGAGACCAGGCTCAGTGATTGCACAGGGAGGGGGGGCGGTGAGGTGGCAGAGGATAGAGCCCTGTCCATAGACCCTGTCCATCATCTCTTGTGATGATTGTAACGAGCACAGGGTTGCAGCCAAGGAAATCTAACCTACAGAGCTAGGAGATGGTTAATAGAATACAGTGTTCCTAGGGGCAAGTTAGATGAGGAGCCAATCCAGAAACTACCCAACTCATGCCATCAGGAGAAACCAAGGATGGATGACCATAAGACTGGGCACTTATGACCCTGTGTTTGGTTTCTTGACCTGGAAGCACAGGAAGAGAATGAAGAGGAGGTTTGGTCTCTATGAGGATGGAACTTGCAACACCACAACAGCCTTAACAGGATTGATATCCCCAGTCCTTTCCCAAAGGGACCTATGGCCATTTGCTTGGAGAAACTGTAGATGGGGGAAATGGGAGTAGCCAAACATTTGAGGCTTTTGGACGTGGAGCCTGAGTTGAGCTCGACACTCAGGAACAAGAAGCATCACCGTTAGAGTGATGTGTGGTGGTTTTGAAGCGTCTCCCTTCAAGAGATGAGCTTAATTACCCTTCCCTGAGGGTGGGTTGGACCTAGTGACTCACTTCTCAAGAATAGATTATGGCAGAAGGGAAGGTCTGTCACCTCCAACGCTAGATGAGGGGTTGGCACACTTTTGCTGAAAAGGGCCAGAGAGTAAGTACTCTTGGCTTTGTAGGCGATATGGATTCTGTTGCAATTGATTACTCAACTGTGCCATTGTAGTTGTGAAAGCAGCTGTAAACAATATGTAAAGGAATGGGTGTGACCAGATTTGGCCCAAGTTGGGTCAGATTTGGCCAGCAGGCTGGAGTTTGCCAACTCCTGGACTGGTTCATAAAAGGCATCCTGACTTCTTCTCTGTCCTCTCTTGTATCAGTCTTTTTGGAGGCAGCCAGCTGCCATATCATGAGGTGAAGTGAATAGCCCAAGGAGAGGTTCATGTGGGCAGGTGCAGGACCTGAGGCCTCTTGCTGGCAGCCACGTACATGAGCCGTCTTGGAAATGGATCCTCTGTCAAGCCTCACCAGCAGCTTAACTGCAACCTCATAAAAGACCCAGAGCTAGAACCAGCTGCTAAACCATGCCTAAATTTCTGACCCACATAAATTATGAGAGGATAAATGTTTTTGGTTCTAGGCTGCTAAGTTTTGGAGTTATTTGTTACACAGCAATAGATGACATATCGGGGAGCAAGTAGGGGCTGGGTAATAAGGTGTCCTAGCCAAGGTCTGGCTTACAATGGCTTAAAGTTAATCACATACTCCCAGTGGCCATTTCCTTGATCCTGAAATGTATAATTGGGATTAAGAGGGTGTGCAACCCCCACCTTAGGTCCTTGGCCTGTAGGCTAGGGCTATCAGCGTGGGAAAGGCCAAGTGGAAACCTCTGAAACTGCCCCTCCCCACCACCCTCAGCCAAGAGTGAAATCAAAACAATATTTCATCCTGGGGGAATGGCCATTAGTGCCATCCTTAATCTTGAAAAAATGCAGGAGTGGTGGTCCCCATCATATCTCCATTTAATTCCCCCACGTGGTCTTAGCAGAAACCAGGCAGAATCTGGAGAGTGGAAGTAGACTACCACATACTTGACCAAGTAGAAGTCCGAATTGCAACTGCCATGCTGGATGTGGTGTCTTTGCTAGAGCAGATCAACACAGCCTCAGACACTTAATATACAAACATGGACTTGGCAGATGCATTCTTTTCTATTCCAATCAGAGAAGAGGATCATAACACAGTTCACATTCATATGAACTGGGCAGTAATATAATTTGCAGCTTTGCTCCAGGGTAATGTTAAATCTCCTGCACGCTGTCATATGATAGTTTTGGTGTTTTTTTTTTTTTTTGAGACGGAGTCTCGCTCTGTGGCCCAGGCGGGAGCGCAGTGGCGCAATCTCGGCTCACTGCAAGCTCAGCCTCCCGGGTTCACGCCATTCTCCTGCCTCAGCCTCCCGAGTAGCTGGGACTACAGGCGCCCGCCATCACGCCCGGCTAATTTTTTTGTATTTTTAGTAGAGACGGGGTTTCACCGTGTTAGCCAGGATGGTCTCGATCTCCTGACCTCGTGATCCGCCCGCCTCGGCCTCCCAAAGTGCTGGAATTACAAGCGTGAGCCACCGCGCCCGGCCTGGTGTTTTTTTTTTTTTTTGACAGGGTCTTCTGTGCTCAGGCTGGAGTGCAGTGGCATGAACATGGCTCACTGTAGTCTCCACCTCCTGGGCTCAAGTGATCTTCTTGCCTTAGCCTCCCCAGTAGCTGTGACTACAGGCATGCACCATCACACCCGCTAATTTTAAAAAATTTTTATAGAGACGGGGTCTTGCCATATTTCCCTGGCTGGTCTTGAACTCCTGGGTTCAAGCAATCCATCTGCCTCAGCATCCCAAAGTGTTGGGATTACAGGTGTGAGCCACCACACCCGGTCTGTCATATGAGTTTGAAGAGATCCAGATTCTCTGGACATCTGCAGATGTTTTATTGATCTGTCACATGGATGATATTGTGCTAATAGGGTCTGATGAGCAAGAAGTGGCTAGTACTCTGGAGGCAAGACACCGTGTGCTTCTGATGGTGGGAGATAAACTCTACAAAGATTGGCCGGGTGCAGTGGCTCACGCCTGTAATCCCCAAACATTTTGGGAGGCTGAGGCGGGCAGATCACTTGAGGTCTGGAGTTCAAGACCAGCCTGGCCAACAGGTCGAAACCCCGTCTCTACTAAAAATACAAAATTTAGCCAGGCGTGGTGGCGGACACCTGTAATCCCAGCTACTCAGGAGGCTGGTTCACTTGAACCAGGTAGGTGGAGGTTGCAGTGAGATGAGATTGCGCCATTGCACTCCAGCCTGGGTGACAGCATGAGATTCGGTCTCAACACAAACAAACAAACAAAAAAACGGTACAAAGATTCAGAGGACTATGAAATTGGTAAAACTTTCAGGGTCCAGTGATCAAGGTACATGGCAGGGCATCCCTCCCAAAGTAAATGAAGGGGAGAAACGAGTCTTATTTGACATGTTAACTTTGAAATGTCCATGAGGCATTCCAGTGGAGATGTGAGTAGGCAGGTGGGGATAAGAGTCTGGAGCTCAGGGGAGACCTTTCACCCCATATACCTCTCATCTGTGTTATCTGTATGTGCATGAAAATACCTATCAATTACTTATCACCATCAATTTATTGCCATTGTCTTTGATGCCTTCTAGTTTTTAGCATCTACCTCTCCTTCTGTACTTTCTTTTTTTGAGACAGAGTCTCGCTTTATTGCTCAGGCTGGAGCGCAGTGGCGCGATCTCAGTTCACTGCAACCTCCACCTCCCGGGTTCAAGCAGTTCTCTGCTTCAGCCTCCCGAGTAGCTGGGATTACAGGTGCATGGCACCACACCCGGCTAATTTTTGTATTTTTAGTAGAGATGGAGTTTCACTATGTTGGCCAGGCTGGTCTCGAACGGCTGACCTCAGGTGATCCACCCTGCCTCGGCCCCCCAAAGTGCTGGGATTACAGGCCACCATGCCCAACCCTCCTTCTGTAGTTTCTATTTCTTTTTTCTTTTTCTTTTTTTTTTTTGAGACAGAGTCTCGCTCTGCTGCCCAGGCTGGAGTGCAGTGGCATGATCTCAGCTCACTGCAAGCTCCGCCTCCCGGGTTCACACCATACTCCTGCCTCAGCCTCCCGAGTTGCTGGGACTACAGGCGTCTGCCACCACGGCTGGCTAATTTTTTGTATTTTTAGTAGAGATGGGGTTTCACCATGTTGGACGGGATGGTCTTGATCTCTTGACCTCGTGATCCACTCACCTCGGCCTCCCAAAGAGCTGGGATTACAGGCATGAGCCACCGTGCCCAGCCATTTTTTTGTATTTTTTAAAGTAGAGATGGGATTTCACCGTGTTAGCCAGGATGGTCTCAATCTCCTGACCTCGTGATCCACCCACCTCGGCCTCCCAAAGTGCTGGGATTACAGGCATGAGCCACTGCGCCCGGCCTGTTCTTTCTATTTCTTATTTATTTCTACTTATCTCCTATGATCCATTGTACTTTGCTGAGTCAAGCTGGATGGTGTTCACAGTGCCACTCCTGAGACCCCAGGGCTCGAGTGAAGGTGGAAGAGAAAAGTCTCATCTCTACTGCATAGGCGAAAACTGGGAAGTGTGTCTTTAGGGACCCCAAGGTCCCCATTCTCTGGCTCCTTGTTGCCTTTTATTGCCTAATGGCAAATATTCTTCCTCTCTAACAGAACCTGGGCACAGGGGAGGCTGGCAGAACCCTGGTCTCTGAGTTGATTTCTACTTCTGACCTTGTGGGAAAAGGTTCTCCCCTTTTTTGGGCCTAAGTCTGTCAAGTGTCAGACTGGGGCAGCTGGATCTGACGTCCTCTGTGACCCCTTCCAGCTCTGAAATTTTTAAAGACCTGCAACCATGGAATTCTTCTCCCAGAGATGTTTTCATTTTAAGGACAGTGTTAGTCTACTGTGGCTGCTGTAACAAATTCCCACCAACTTGGTGGCTTAAAACAACAGAAATGGAGTCTCTCACAGCTTTGGAGTCCAGAAGTCCCAAATTAAGATGTGTGTATGGCTGTGCTCCTTCTGAGGGCTCTCGGGGAGAACTTTCTGGCCTCCTCCAGCTTCTCATGGCTGCAGGCGTTCCTTAGCTTGTGGCTGCATCATTCTAAACTCTGCCTCCATCTTTCTATCACCTTTTCCTTCTCTATGTGTCCATGTCTTCTCCTGTCTCTTAATGACACTTGTCACTGGAATTAGGTCCTACCCAGACAACTTAGGATGATCTCGCCTAGAGATCCTTAACTTGATTACTACTGCAAAGACATTTCTATCAATTAAGATCAAATTCACAGGTTCTAGGATTGGGTGCATATATATATATATTTTATTTTATTATTATTTTTTTGAGATGGGGTCTCGCTCTGTCTCTCAGGCTGGAGTGCAGTGGTGTGATCTTGGCTCACTGCAACTTCTGCCTCCCAGGCTCAAACGATTCTCCTGCCTCAGCCTCCCGAATAACTGGGATTACTGGTGTCTGACACCACGCCTGGCTAATACTTGTATTTTTAGTAGAGACAGCGTTTCATCATGTTGGCCAGGCTGGTCTCAACCTCCTGACCTCAGGTGATCTGCCCGCCTCAGCCTCCCAAAGTGCTGGGACTACAGGTGTGCGCCGCCACACCCAGCCCTTTTTGGAGCCACCATTCAATCCATTATAAGGACCAAAGTTTTGGATCTAAGCAAGGCATCTCTCATGGGTGGGGAGAATTTTTTTGAGTGGGAGGAGAGGGCATGTGGGCTCCTAAAGGTTCCACCTTGTAGAGTGCAGCTTTCCCATCTAGCTACCTCTGGTCCTTTCAGATCTAAACTCCTAAGGGCGAGGGCTAAGCTTCTCTCCCTGCTTCTCCCCTCAGGGCCCAGTGGATGCTGTGCACACAAAGGTACTCAACGCATGCTGAACTGTCTGCCTCTCTCCGAGGGTGCTCAGTGGGCTGGAAGTAGTGTGGGCTGCGGGACTGAGAAAGATGTTGAGAGAGGACTGCGGGTTGGTGGTGAATGGAGCCAGGCAGGAAAGGGATGGGCACCCTTGGCTTTGGGCTGGTTAACTCCCATCTGCTCTGGCTGGGGGAGGGCCTGCCAAGTAAAACCCCTTGGCCTGGAGAGACTCACTGGCAGGACAGACCCATGGTGGGACTCCTTTCCCCCGCTGCTCACCTCCCCACACAGACCCACGGGTCTGCTCACTGGGCAGCTTCAGGGGTTCCCTGCCTCCAGTTGCTCCCTGCTCTGACCACACAGTACACAGCTGCAACACTGACTGGAGCACTCTCCTGCTCAAACACCACCCATGGCTCCCTGCTCTCGCTGGGTCAAGGCTAAACTCCTTCAAGGGCTGCTGTCATGGGGAACTCAGCTACTTCTCCAGCCTGAGAATACAGGATTCCTTTTCTAAAATCCTTCCCCTTCTGGCTGTTCCCCAAACCTCTCCCTGGATCCTCTCCCTCTGGGATTTTCCTGACACTGTTCCCTCCTTCTAGAGCGAGTCTCTTCCTTCCAGCAAATCAAACTCTAGCCATCTTTAAAGGCCTGGCTTTATGCCTTTCCCTCTGAGCAGCCTTTCTGGATTTCCTAAGGTGGAAGCGATCATTTCCCAAGATCTTCCCGAGGAGGAGGTGATCCCCCATGTCTCCCCTATGATGCCTCCCACTTTCTATCTTGTCTGTTGCTGTCTATGGGCAGGACTCATTTCCAACACAGAGGTCATGCTCTGTTGGAAGGAGACACGTCCACCTCACTCCTAGATTCCCAGCAGCTCACACAGGGCTTAGCATGTAGTAGGTGTTTACTAATTATTTTTCAAATGAATAAACTACCCCATGCAGCTCTGTACACTGAACTCCAGCAGCTCCACGGGCAGAGTTCTAAGGCTGGAGTTGCATGTAACTTCCTGATCTGCTCTCTGGGCTGATTTGATTTGCCGGTGGGTGGTGCAGAGCCACAAACTGAGCTTTCCCTGTGGGCTTCTCCTCCAGGGCTGTTTGTGGTTCCTTGTGGGTGCTCTGTTCAAATGCATGATACAGAGTTGGTCCGAAATGGAAAGTTTGTCTTAAAGAATTAATACACTTTAAACAATATATTTCATATCTATAAATATATGCAAAGTTTAATATAATGAATATCTATGTATCCACCACCCAGCTTAAGGAAGAGTGTTGCCAGCATAGTGTGTGGATACCCTCTCCTTTTCCGGAGTCCTGATAAGGTCACTCTTTCAAGTTTGCCTGACACCAGAAACAGGTACAACTTAGCTGCTCAGGGACTATATGAGTCCTTCTGCTAAACTACTGGGTTTCAGAACTCTTTTTTGTTTTTTTTGTGGAGCGGAGCCCAGGTTGGAGTGCAGTGGGGCCCGGAGTGCAGTGGGGCGATCTTGGCTTACTGTAACCTCCGTCTCCTGGATTCAAGCGATTCTCCTGCCTCAGACTCCCGAGTAGTTGGGATTACCAGCATGCACCACCATGCCCGGTGTATTTGTATTTGTAGTAGAGACGGGGGGTCTCACTATGTTGTCCAGGCTGGTCTTGAACTCCTGACCTCAAGTGATCCGCCTGCCTCAGCCTCCCAGAGTGTTGGGACTACAGGCCTGAGCCACTGCGCCTGGCCGGGTTTCAGAACTCTTAAAGTCACCTACATTCATACTAAAAAGGAGATGGGACCCTTGAACAAACAACAGAGTTTTAGTGGCACCGCTCTGCAGCGGGCTGTCTTCTGACGAGTAACTTTAGGAAGCAGATCAAGTGTGCAGTTTTGAATGGCACCCCATAGTGGGGAGGTGAATGGCGCTGGGGATTCTGGGTCTCTGCCCCAGGGCCCGGTGCCACTGCACTGAAACCTCTGCAGTGTACGCTTCTGTCCCTAGATGGCACTGCTGTACTGTGCCCCTTCCCACCTGGTCCAGGTGTTCTGGGAAAAAGAGGCATTTTGTATTTTGGAGACAATGGAAGAGATAAATGCTTTAAATTGAAAGGTGGAACTCTGGCCCAAACTTCAAACCGGCAGAGCTAGGTGCTAATTTCAGCTGGCTGCTCCTCTGAGCATGGCTCCAGAGTTCACATTCTGATCCACTGACAGGATCTGCATGACTGGGTTGGTTGCATATGTGAAGTAAACAGAATAACAGAACCCGACCTATCTAGGGCTTTGGGAATAATGAAATTATTTGCTTTATATAAAGTGCTTAGAACAGTGCATATTACATGGTCATTGCTCAATAAAGTTCAATATTCTTTTCTTTATTCTTTTTTTTTTCTTGAGATGGAGTCTCTCTCTGTAGCCCAGGCTGGAGTGCAGTGGTGTGATCTCAGCCCACTGCAACCTCTGCCTTTTGGGTTGAAGTGATTCTCCCACCTCAGCCTCCTGACTAGCTGGGATTACAGACGTGTACCACCATGCCCGGCTAATTTTTGTATTTTTAGTAGAGACGGGGTTTCACCATGTTGGCCAGGCTGGTCTCAAACTCCTGACCTCAAGTGATCCACCCTCCTAGGCCTCCCAAAGTGTTGGGATTACAGGCGTGAGCCACTGCAACTGGCCTCTTTTCTTTTTTCATTTGCATTGTAGTGATCTATCTGAGAGAGTACCCTCTCTCCCCGAGGGCAGAGACCATAGCTGGCTGCTGATACCTGTGTCCCATGGGCCCAGAACAGAGGAAGTGCTTCAGAAGCTAGTTCTCTCTCCACCCTGCCCCTATCACATGGAGGAGGGGGTCGCTGCATTCCATGTGTCTTCCATGGAGACCAGGCAGGATCTCCTGCCTGGAGAGAGCTGATGGGTGGGCAGATTTGCAATCTGAGCTGTTCAAGAATGGAAGGGGCTTCCTGGTGAGGAAGTAACTTACTGGGCACTGGCAGTGCACAAGCAGAGTGCACTTGCCACACAGGATGCTGCAGAGGAGACCCTGGTTTCAGGCTGGACTGAGCAGTGCTGTCCTATCTGGAGGTCCCCTCTGTGAGTGAAATGCTAATTCACTATTGCAGGAGCTGTCATGCTTCCTGAGGTTGTGAGAGAGATGGGAAGGGGTGGGAAGATCTGAGGGAATCAGGAGGAGAAAGTGCCCTGATTCCAGAGAGCAGGAGAAGGTAAGAGGCAGCTCTAGGCCTTTATCCTCCCTGTCAATATGTAGGAATGGTCGGGCTTCAATATTGGGTGGGGTGTAGGTGTCTGCGGGTGGGCCCTTGACTTTGGCAGGGCCTGTGGTCAGCTTCTGGGTGAAAGCTGCCATCTGTGGGCCCCTCGTCTCCCCATCATTCACCCTGCTCACTCTGTCTTCTTCTGATGGTCTCTGGATTCGTTTGAGTGTCTCCTCTGCCCTCGTGGTTGCCCAGACCAGATGCTTGGCCATCCCCTCCAATGCCTCCACTCCTCCTCCCCACCCGAGTCCAACAGGCCTACTGGGAGACAGAAAAGTGATTTCAAGAAAGTGTTAAGGTGATCTACTGGCCTCTGCCCTTGCCCCTGCAGCAGGGGTCCTGCTGAATCCTTAATCAGGTCATGTCACTTTGCTATGTGCCCCACTATGCTATGATGTGCGTCTTCTGGTCTCAGCAAAGGAAAGCCAGGTCTTAATGTGAGCCTCTCAGGCTCTCAGCCCCCATCTCCCACAATGCTCTCTCCATCCATCACCCCTCCCACCCTCAACCACATGGCTGGCTCTCCCGCCTCCTTCAGGTCTTCAGAGACATTACCTTCTAGTGAAGCCTTCCCTGACCACACTACTTAAATGTATGATCCCTCCTCCTGCCCCTCCATTCCCCTCTCCTGTGTTATTTCTCTCCATAGCCGCTGCCGCCTAACATACTGTCTTTAAGACTGGCTGCATAACTTGTAGTCTCAATGCAAAATGAAAATGTGGGGACTTTCATTTAAAAATTATTAAGAACTCCCAGGCAGCAGAGCGGGACCCTGGGTGGCTGCCTGGGCTGCATGCCCACATAGCGGCCCTCACAGTGTTCTTTTATTTTATGGTCCTTCTTCCTCACCCAGGAGGTAAGCCCTACTAGAGGAGGGATCTGGGCTTTGTCCACAGTAGTATTTTAGGATCTGCAGCATCTAGAATGAAGATGCTTTCTCACTTTTCTTAAAGTGAGAAAGGAAAGAGTCACATTAGAGGTCAGCACAGAGAAGGAGCACCTCACTCAGCCAGAGGGTGTGGGGAAAGGCTTCAATGAGGACGCACGAGGCAGCCGGGTCTGGAAAGGTGGGCGCAGGGCTGGGGGAAGCCGGTTGGGGCCTAGACAGCCTGTGGGCATGAGTGCAAGCATAGGGGTAAGAGAGTGCAGACCCCCGGGCTCTGCGGCTTCTCCATGGAGCAGTGCTGGGGATTCAGGCGTTACCCTGAAGGGTTGGGGTTGCATGTGCCTTGGTTCCAATCTACCTGTGTGACCTCAGTAGATGACTTAACCTCTCTGACCTTCAGTCTCCTCCTCAGTTGTCCTTATTATAGGGATAATATAGGGAATGGCATAGTCTAGAGCATACAGTAAAGTGTTGGGTACAGTAATGATAATATCTGGTGTATTTGGTGCATTTGGTGTCTGGACTGGTGGAAGAGGCTGGAGGTCTGTGTAGCAGGTGTTTGGGGAGTAAGGGGGCTGGGAGACAGTGGATAGGGTAGGCTCAGTGTCAGCCCTGCTTGCTTGAAGGGCTGCCAAGAGGGGACCCTTAGAGGTTAAGGAGATTGGGACCAGGGAATGAGGGAGACTTGTTTTTGAAGGCCTCTAAGATTCTGGCCTAAACAGTGTGGCCTCAGGGCCTGGGGCATGGTGTTTAGAGAGGGAAGAGTTGCTCCCCATCCCTCCTCCTCAGCATCCGGTCACAGACAACTGAGGCTTTGAGGGCTGAGGACTGAGCTGGCCATGGGTGGAGGATGGGTGCTCTCCAGAGCAGAGTTCTCATGCCACGGAGGCAGCGGTGTCTTCGCAGGGAAGCAGAGCACAGCCAGTGCAGGCTTGCTCCTGCTTATAGGGCAGTATTCCTGGGGCCCCGAAATTAACTGGAGGACTTTCTGAGGGACTACCTGAGGCCCTGCAGCACGCAGCTGAGGGCCAGGAGCCTCTCTGACTTGGGCATTGATGTCAAAGTGACCCCATGTTCACTCAGGCTGGTGACCTCCTTAGCAAAGTGCCTAGCACATAGTAAGTGCTCAATTAATGGGAGTTGATAGAACCTGTGTCCTCAGTGTGTGTCCTCAGGAGGGCTCTGCAGGGCACTGAGGCCCGGTGGAGAGAGGGTGGGCGGGTAATGACAAGCACAAGGGCAGGAAGGGACCTTAGCAGAGGCTTATCTGCACTAAGCCCATTTTGAGAAGAGAAGACTTGCACGAGCATGGGGCAGAGGCCAGACAGGGGGACAGTGGGCCATAAGGAATCTCCCCGCTTCCCTGCCATGTCCCTTGACTAGCCAGAGCTTCAGACGTGAGTGTCCCCCTCCTGCTGGCCTCCACCAGGAAGCTGCTCAGGTCCCTCAGACCCAACATGTCTGAGATGAGCTCTTCAGCCGCCTTCCCAGCCCCTTGGTCTCCCCAGCCAGCCAGTCCCAGAAACCTGAGAGTCGCATGAGATCCTTTCTTCATCTCCAGCCCCTGGCCCCTCCATCACTGAGCCCGAGGCAACATCTACACTTTGGCCACGCTGCCTGCCTCTGGCCACTGTGTTTTTGCTAGCGTGGTGCCAGGCCTGACCTCCTCTCTTCTCTTCCCCTGGGTCATGCCCTCTAATTTGGGCCTGGGTGCTCAGTAAGTTCTAGAAGCAGTGGGTGGCCAGGGGGTCTGGGGCACGGAGGACTCTTTTTTTCTGGTCTGGGTCCTGGGTTGGGTCCTTGTCCCCTATGTGTCCCACACCTGTCAGCTGGGGGCGCTCCTGCCCCACAGAACCCCAGCATCCTGGCTCCAAGTGGGGGTGGGGAGCCTCTGGAGCCTCTCCCGGCAGCTGGGCCTGCTTGGCCTGCCCGGCAGGTCTGGGTGTGGGTGGAGAAGGCCAGGAGAGGGGTTGGGGAGGAGCACGTCTGTGTGTGGGTACAGGCCTCGGGGTGTGGGGGTACAGGAGCTGGGTGGGTGTGTACATGCAGCTTAGCTGTGTGTGTGTGTGTGTGTGTGTGTGTGTGTGTGTGTGTGTGTGTGGTGTGGGCAGAGTTCATGGTGTGGGTTCTGTGGAGCCTGGGGACCTCACGGTAGGATTCCTTGGACATAGGTGAAAGGCTGGGCCTGGCCTCGTTTGCCCTCCAGCTCCTTCCCCAGGGCTCCCCACCTCATCACCCACTGGAGGCAGATCTTCAGCAGGCTCCTTTGGAGGGCGAGCTTTGAGGTGTAATCCCCACTCTTCACCTTGGTTCATCCCTAAAACGGTTGTAGCCTCAGTGTCCTTGTAAGTACAATGGGGAGAAGGACACCAATGTTGCAGGACTGTTGAAGGGACAGTGGGAAGCACCTAGGGCCTGGCCTCCACACAGTAGCAGGAGGGATGGAGGTGTCACAGCTGTGCCAGGCAGCAAGAGCTGCGCCCAGAGAGGCTGTGCCCTCAGGAAGCTGGAGGGCTGGAGGGTGGCAGAGGCCCACCACAAAGCTGTGGGGTAGGGGCGGGGAAAGGGCCATCAGACCACAGAGCACAGTGGTCCGGGCTCAGAGAGGGGACGCTCCCCTTGTAGGAAAGACAAGATTTCACCAGGGAGTGCACTCCAGGCCATGGGCGGCCTAGCAAAACCAGGGAGGTGGAAGATGTGGGACCTCCTGACAGCAATAGCGGTCTGGTGTGGTGAGGATCTGTGGGGGTCAGGCTGCTGGGTGGGATGGCTGAGTGTTGGGGCCTTGACCGTTAGTGAAGAGCCCGTAGTGGAGGGCGGGGCCCAGGCAGGGAGACCAGCTGGGGTGGGGCTAGGGGCCCGAGTGGTCAGCAGGCAAGAGGGGCCGGGGCCTGGGCCTGGATGGCAGCTGGAGGGGAGAGGTTCACTGGGAGGAGAATCTCCTTTTCCTCTTGGACTGCATCGTAGGGAATCGAGGTTAGATGACTAGAAGAACTTCCTGGCGCAGATCTGGGGAAGCCCTGGCCCAGAGGCCTGGCCTTTACCCATCCCTGGATCCTCTGCCTCTCCCCAGCTCCCACTGTCCTCAGACACCCCTTGCCCCTGTCTGGGATTCTGGGGGTGAGCCCCGGCCTGGCCGAGGCCTGCTGCAGGGTGAGAGTTATGTTCCAGCTCCATTGAGTGATAAGTGCCACACTGCGACCTCTCTGGGTCTTCCCTGCCCACTACGGTGGGGGCGTGGGGCCCCTGCTCCATGGGCTGGGCTTCTGACAGGACAGTGGCAGGCCAAGGAAAGGACCTACCAAGCCCACCTTGGCTTGAAGGCTGAGGGGGTGAGAGAGGGCTGGGCGGGCCTGGTGAGTCTGGGGCACCTGGGCCTGCCTGCGAGGGTCCCTGAAGCATTGTGACAGTGACTGCAGCAGGAGGACTTCAGGCTGAGGCTGAGGGAAGAGTCCCAGCAGCTTCCTGGGAAGCAGAGGAGGGTGCTGAGCTCAGCTTGTGTGTCCCTGAGTGGCAGGCCTGGGCTTTCTGGGAATGCAGCCTGGGCCTGAGGGCAGGCGAGGGAGGCCAGCCAGGGGTCCTGCACCACCGCCCCCACCCACTGCCGGCCCCAGTCTGGCTAGGAGAGTGGGGGGTCTCCATTTCAGCCTGCTGGGCCTTTAGAGTAGGGCAGGGACTGGGGTGCTCTGGGGGCGGGGCAGGATCGAGGGGTGTGGGGTGAGGGGGAAGATGAGTCCCCTGGGCGTATTGGAACCCATGCCAGGGGCCTGGGTTTGACTCCCTCCCCTAAGGTGCGCATTCCCAGGGCCTGGGGGAGAGGAGTGGGCTTGGGGCTGTGTGCAGTGGGGCCCTGAGCTGGGAAGGCACGGAAGTGCCTGCTCTGACCCATCCCCCACCTCCGCAGGGCAGGCAGGCTGAGGCCTGAGTCTGAATGACCCCCTACAAGTCTTGCCATAAAGCCACTGGTGCTGGGAGGGCGTCTGCTGTTCTTAGTGGGGAACACGTCATGTCCCCAGCCCCTGTCCCTCTGTGTCAGCTCCCAGCCTGGGCGTGCACAGTCGGGTGCAGCAGAGGCTCCTGATGGCTGGACAGGGGGCCAGTGTGGGCGCAGTGTGGGCAGTCTGAGCACAAGTGGGGTTTGTGGGCAGTGTGGATGCTGGGGGGCTTAGCGGAGGGTTACTGGAGACGATAGAGGTGTGCGGTGCTCCTGGGCTATAGAATAGGGAGGAGGATTAGAAAGGGCCTGGGAAGGCAAGGCTTGGAGGGCTGGTTAGGTTTTGGAGCAGTGGTTGGGCTGACAATGGAATTTTGGGCACACAGATGATCTGAGAGGGGTGAGGGTCAGAGCTGGGGTTTAGGATGGGATTGGTTTAGGGCTGGGTTGTGAGGATGGAGTAGGGCTTGAGCACAGAGAAGCAAGTAGAGTTTGGGGCACAGTTCAAATTTGGGGTTAGGGTTGGGATTAGTACCATGTCAGATGAAGGGATGGATTCAGGGCTGAGGGTGAGGGCCATTTGCAGTTAGCACCGGGCACAGCTCGGGGTTGGGTGAGGCTGGGTCAGGGCGAGGGCTTCTGGGGTAGGATCAGGTGCGTGGGGCCTGCTGAGAGTGTCCGAGGATCTGCTCGTTCTGCCCTGTGGTGTCCCTGATGGGCTTTTTCTCCCTTTTTGCAGGGTTGCTCTCAGCTATGGCCTTGGTTGGAGACCCAGCTGGTGGCCAGACCCCACCACCCTTTGGGTTTGGACCAGGGCTCCAGGAGGTGGCATCCTGCAGTGGAGCCCCAGACTCTCCAGGGATGGAGTATCAGCTGAAGCAGGGGCCCCCATTTCACACTGGAAAGGGCCTGGGGTTTGGGGTTCCCCCCTGCCGGGGAATCCAGGGTCCCCACCCCTGCCTGCTGCCTGCCCTCCTGCCTCGGCCTCACTCTGGGTCCTTGTCTGGGAACCTTAGCACCTTCTTTGAGCCGCTGGTGGTGTTGGCGCACTTAGCAGAGCAAGCCCTGGCCCCTTTCCTCACAAACCTCACTCCCAGGTCTAGGCGGGGAGGCTGGGCTGCTCCTCATTGTCTTAAGCAGAGCGGTCACCTGAAGGCCTGGCCGTCTCACCTTGTCATGATTCCTCCACATTTGAGAGTGACGGAGGGGCAGGGAGTCAGGGCTGTGTCCACAGTGTGTCCTCAACCCAGACTGAGCCAGGCCCATGGCTCTCACTGAGGTCCTCTCCTTCTGCCTTGGTTTCCCTCTGAGTCCAGCCCCATGGGGAAGCTGGGCTCCTGGGCCTCAGGCCTGATGCTCCCTGTGCCAGGGCCTGTCCCCTGCTACTGCACTGAGCTGGAGTCGGGGGCCTGGTTGTGGGCTTCTGCTCCTGGTCTCAGCGAGACCTCCAGGCTTCCTTGGGCCCAGCTCCTCATCTCAGCCGGTCGCACCTGGGCAAGTCCAGTCAGTGTGAGGGGCTACTTCGGTTTCCTCACTGTGGCAGGGATTGGGGGAGCTCCTGAGCCCTGGGCTGGGGTGGGTCCGGAGGGGTGGGGGCTCCTGGCTGGGCTGGGTGTGCCTGTATGTGACTCAGGCTGGATGCCCAGGCCCTGAGCTGGCGGCTTTGTTCTCCCACTGGCCGGGTAGGGTGCGTGCTGCAGCCCTGAGTCACCCGGGTGTGGCCGAGCTGCTGGCGGGACACCAGAGCCATACACCGCCACACTCACAGAGATCCACACACTGGAGCTCAGGACACGGCGCCCTGAGAGCGGAGGGCCCCCCTGGTGTGGGTGCCGTCACTGGTGCCTTTCCCTCGGTGGTGCTGTGAGACATTCCCAAGAAGCTCCTTGGTGACTAAGGGCCCTGTGCTCCTGGAGCAAACTCAGCTGTTTGCTGAGAAGGCCTTCCTTCTCTTCGTGGTTACTCCCTGGTTAGGGCCTGGAGGGGGACCTGCAGGCACAGCTGGAGACCCTGAGGGGCACACAGAGCCTTCCCCCGCTGCCTGATAAAGGGCATATGCAGGTGACCATGTGCCATCTGTCCAAACTGTGCACCCACTGGATCCTTGAAACAGTTCTGAGAGGAAGGTGCATTGTTCCCACTTTACAGATGCGGACACCGGGGTTGCTAATAGTTGTCCAGAGTCACCCGACTAGCATGTGTCCCACTGGGACGCTCCTCCTCAGGTGCTCTGTGTGGCCTGGTCCCGGCCCTTCCTCCACTTCAGTCCAGCTCACCACTAGGACCCCCTCGACACCACCCCTCGCTCAGTCAGGCAGGGGCCCACAGGGCCTGGGGCCAGATCTTCCCATGGGGAGTTGTGTCACTGTCCCTCCCAGGCATGGGGCCTGGCGCCCAGGCCCCTCCACTGCCTCTGAGGATGAAGACACAGGGCTCTGCTGGACTCCCTGGAGCGGCCCTGACCTGCTTTCTCTGGGCTAACAGTGGGAGGTCCTGGGGGACCTCCCTACTTGGGGGATCCAGGCCTCACTGCCCCCAGGGACAGCGCAGGAAGTGTGTGCATATCTGTGTGTGTGGGATGGGGCAGGAGAGGCAGCTTGGCTTATACCGGGTGTTGGGGGAAAGCAGTGCAGGTTCGGGGAACCTGGGCCCTGAACTGCATGTGGACAGCCCCCTCCCACAAGGGTGAGGATGGGCACACAGGGGCCCTGCATCCTAGGCCAGGCTTGGGTTCTCGGAGGCCAGCTGGAGCTCGCCTGCTTTTCTCAGGTAGACCAGGGTCTGCTACAGACCCTGCTGCCCCCAGAAAGGCCTAGCCTGGTGCAGTGGGGTGAGCGGGCGGGGTGTGGCCCCAGGAGCTGGCCCCACCCCCTGCACCACCCTGCTTTGTCAGAAGCTGTTTGAGGCAGAGAATAAAGCACCTTATTAGGTAAGAAATGCCTTCTGCCAGGTGGGGAGAGGCCAGGCCCGCCTCTGCCCCCAGGCCTGCCTGCCCCGCCCTGGCAGAACACCAGCTTCTGTGGCATCTCAGTCCTGGCCCGAGCCCAGCAACCCCACACCCCCTCACCCCATGGAGCTCCGGCCGTCCTGCCCCAGACTTGGGTGGGGGCACCTGGCATGGGGAAGCCTGGCCCTCCCACCTGGGAGGCAGAAGAGGCAGCCTCACGAGTGTCAGCTTGGGGGCTGTGTGACCTTGGCCAGGTGACCCCTCCTTCCTAAGCCTGAACTTTCTCTTCTATACAATCAGCGGGTGTGCAAGGGGCCTTGAATTCTCCTGAGGCTTCTTAACCCCATTGGGTGTCCCTCCACTTACAAACACGGGCCCAGGGTGCACCCGTCTCCAAGGGCGTAGTCTCAGCCCCCTTGCTCCAAACCCAGAGCTTGCCTATGGGGCTCCCCATCTCTGTTCCAGGGAAGCAGGGGTCCAGGGCAGGTCAGTCAGTTTTCCAGGCAGGGCAGCCTGCTTGGCTTGGCTAGTTACAGCAATGGGGCCTTGTAGAGACAGGACCTGAGGAAGCTGGCGCTGCCTCCTTAGACCTGTTTCTCTGCCAGAAATGCCTCCATTTCCAGCTGTCAACTAGAAGCCGACCGTCCCCAAAGCCCCCAGGCCAGGCCTTAGGTACAATGTGTTTTGCATCTTCTGTTGCCCGTTGGAACTTGGCTTTGGAGATAAAAGTCCTGACTCCACATTTCCAAAGTGTCTTTTAAGCATTATCCGGTTTGACTCTTATCTACAGGACACTTTGGCAAATGAGGCTTCACAGCATGGCTGGTGCTCTCTGCCCTGGAAAGGACAGTAAAGGAAGGGAGCCTGTCTTGTCTCTGTCGGTCCTGGAAAGATTGGAGCTGGGGGCGTCCTTGGATAATGTCTAGACCAGCCTCCCACTGTGGAGTCCAGATTGGCCTAGAGCCCAGGATCCTGCCCCCTCCTCCTGCCCCCTGTCCTGGCCAGAGGCTGCCTGCTCTCCCTATTCCATGTCTTTCTGGCCCAGCCAGGGGACACAGGGTTGGGGCAGGTTCCAAGCCTCCACCTCATGGAGGATCCCTGCTGTGGGCCTTCCTTCCCTCTGCCTCTGTCCCGTGGAGCCTTCTGGCTTTCCCATTCCTAGCATAGCAATTGCACAGAGGTTTTGCAGGAGGACTGACAAGGCAACTTCTGCTGTGCGAAGAAAACAAGGCAAGACACTTGACCATGGCCGCCATGCACAGCTGCCCTCTCCCGTTCCCAGCCTCCCCTGCATGGAGTGGCCCTCAGAGGCTTTTTGCGCTCCCCTGGCCAAGTGCACAAAGGGCCCTTCAATTCCAAGTTCCTGTGGCTGCACCCCCTCCTGAAAGCCCTGGGGCTCAGGGAATCCCCCAGTATCATGCCAGTTTGGAATCCAGGAAGTCCTAGCAGGAAGTTCTCCCTGTTGCCTGGCTCCAGTCTCTCCTGCTGTGTTTCAAGCCCCTTCTCTTCTTGCCCTGTCCTCTGGAGGGAGCAGACTGCCCAGTGCTCAGGCCACAGTAAGTTGGAGGTCAGAGCCACAGGGGCCCTAGTTCTCTCCTGTTTGTCCCTATCTGTGGGTTTTGGGCAAAGTGAGGCTCCTTGCTGAGCCCCCACTGGGGATGCCCTCTGTTCTCCTTCCACTGGCTTGTCCTGGCTTTCCACACCTCACGCACGCTCTCCTCTCCAGGAAGCACTGCCTGCTGCTCCCCCCCGTCTAGCCTTGATTCTGCATCTTAGTCGGTCCCCGCATCCTCTCTGTGTCCCCTGCCAGCCTGTGTCCCCAGTGCCTTCGACAGTGCCTGACACTAGTTGGTGCTCAATAAGTATTTAAGAGCTTGAACAGTTTCCACAATGGGGAACTCACTACCTCATTATGGCACCAAACATTGTGGGAAGCTCTAATTCTTTGAAAGGTCTTTCTGGCACGGAACTGACACCTACCTCCCATCAACCTCCATTCTGGGGAAGGACACACAGGGTCTCCACCCTCTTCCCAGGCCAGCAGCCCTTCAAACACATGCTGAGAACCATGGTCAGCTGACTCTTCCTGACTTTCCAAATGGAAATTGCAGAGTAGACCCTGTAGGTCCAACCCGCTAGGGCCTTTGCTTTGGTTCACAATGCTTTACCTGGGGGCATCTGAACACCACATGTAAACTTAGACTATCTTTTTCTCCTGGGCTGTAGGCTGATACTAGGCCCTGGAGGGGGTTAGAGAGAAGAGGGGACTGCAGGGTCTCTTCAGATCACCACCCCCTCTGGGTCACTGATGTGCCTTCTTTGGGCCTGGACCAGGATTCATGAGAAGGTTCTAGAAGCCAGGAGGGCCAGGGCATGGGAGGCAGAGGGTGTGGCTTCTCCCAGGGCCTGGGATCAGAGAAGGCCTGAGAGCAGAGTTACAGTCTGTGAACAACTGTTAGTGAGCACTCACTGGATACAAAGCCCCATGACCCTGAGAGAGGAGAGCACATTTTAAAGTGAGTTAGCCCAGGCCCGCCCTGAACCCCAGATGCGCGGGTCTGATGTTGGCCTTAGAAATGGGCTCTTCCAACTAATTCAGGGACTGAGGGCCCAGAGAGGGACATATGCTGCCTTGGGCCACACAGCAGTATGTGGTGGCTGGGACTCGAGGTGGTGTTCCTTCCCCAGCATCTACTCCCCAAGGAACTGCCTGAGCTCCCTGGCAACTCAGTAGCGGGGAAGGGGAGGCTCTGGCCCAGGGAGCAACAGACCGTGCCCAAGGTTCTGAAGCACAGCTGCCGCTGGCAAGGAGGCCCAGAAAGATCTGCAGAAGCCCATTCCCAGGAACATGGAGTTACCGACAGGCACCAAGGGGTGTGTGTGTGTGTGCGTGTGCATATACGTGTACATGTGTGGGTGGCAGGGGCTGTGCAGGGTATGTTGTGGGCAGGTTGATGAAATGTGATAAAGCAGGAAGAACAGTGTTGCCCATAGTAAGTACTATGCTGTTATTTTGAGGGGTCTTAGCCTAGGTAAGGCAAGGACTGGATGGGTTGCAGGTGGGGGACTCTGGCTGAGTTGTGGGCAGGAGGAGTGGGCGTCAGGGGTAGCAGGACACATGGGCTTGGAGGGGTGCTGGAGATGCTGAGTCAGAAAGAGAAGGAGGCTCCAGCTCTGCCCACCTCCTGGGCAAGGGGAGCCCAGAAACTGGAGGCCGCTTCTCCAGCCTGGCTGCCAGCTGTGCAGAGGGCGTGGCTGGTGTGGTCTGTCGCGTGGGGTGGCTCAGAGCCTTGGCAGGTCAGAGAGGGTGGAGGGCGAGGCCTCTGCAAGGCTCTGGCTGTGTCTAGTTCCAAGACTCCCCGCCGCACCTTGGGCACTGGCAGGAAGTGTTTGATGAGTGACTGATGGGGGTGGCGGGACGTGAGTGGCTCCCTAGGGTTGGCGGCTGGGTGGACGCCGCGCCGCCTTCACCCGTGGCCTGCTCGGGGCCTGCAGCAGCCCGTGGCAGCCGGCAGGGGGCGGTGCCCGACCGGCTTTGGGAGACTCCCCTCCCCTACCCCAGGCGGGGCGTCCCAAAGGCGGCGGGGCTCAGTTGTGGCGGCGCCTCCAGTGTCCTGTCCGGTCCCGTCCCGTTCCGTCCTGTCCCGTCCGGGCGGCCCCGAGCGGCCTTCCTGCCCGGACACGTTGGCCTGCGGGCGGGCGGACACCAGGTGTCGGCGCTGCGGGAACAGAGGCTTCTGAGCCCCGCCCAGGGACCTGGCGCCCCACCCTGCCCACCCCACGCCGGGCGCCTGAGGGTGGGCGCGGCGCGGGCGTGTGGTCCGGGAGGGAACCGCCGCGGGAGACAGGCCCCAAGTGCCTGGGTTTGGGGTTCAGGGACCCTCCGCGGGCAGGAACCCAGGGCAGCGTGAGACACACCTGCCCTGTAGGTGGGTGACTGGGGGGCCAGACCCCTAGTCCCAGCTTCATTGGCGTCCTGCCTGTCCTGGCCTGTGCTGGAGTCCTGGCTGGGCCTCAGTTTCCTCATCTGTTGAGAGAGTGATACCTGCAGTCCCAGTTACTTGGGGGGCTCAGACACGAGGATCCTTTGAGCCCAGGAGTTTCACTCCAGCTTGTGCATACTGAGACCCCGTCTCCGAAAAAACGCAAAATCCCAATAAAACAAAACAAAAAAGAGAGTGATGATCCTACTTCGAAGCACTGTGGTGTTGATCAGTAGGTAAGGCTTATGACGTCAGGCACCTCCCTTATCAGACTGGCAGCCCCCCAGGGCAAGGCTCCTCAGGAACGGGCCTCTTGGGGCCCCAGCTTCATCCCATGGCTGCCCATGGCTCCCAGGCTAGGTGAGTGGGTGGAAGGTGGGAGACTGAGAAGGAAACACAAACTTTGGCCTGTTCTGGTACTGCCTGGCCTGGCCTCCCCTGCCTGGTGTCTCTGAGGGGAAGCCGGGGCCATGGGCAGCCTGGAAGGGGCTGGAGAGTGGCTCACCCCTCAGCCTCTGCTGACCCTGCCCTTGACCCGCAGGGCCAGGACAGAGAGGGGAGTGGGAGGCACATTCCTGGCATTTGGAGGGAGAGACTGAGGCCATGAAGGGCAGGCTCTGGCAGCATAGGAGGGTGGTGGGGGGAGGGGAGTGCAAACTTCATTTCTGTCTGACAGATGGGTAAACTGAGGCTCAAGTTCCTCCAGCAAGTTAGCGGCAGAAGCAGGACGAGAACCAGGGCCCTTGACTCCCAGCATAGTGCTCTCTTCCCCTTTCCCTATCTCCACATTTTTTGGGTTGGTTTGAAACGGCAAAGAGAGGGTGTGTGTCTCAGAATATGTTCAGGGTCCCCTTCCCAAGCCCAGGTCTGGCTGTGGCCATACCAGTGACACTCTCCTGGCCATGGTCTGGGCTTCGAAGTTCCAGAAGAGACCTTGTCTGGGCAATGTAAATCCCACTAACCCTAAGGCTCAGCCCTGGGGGAAGGTCCCCCTCAGCCTGCTCCTTGACAGAGGGCATCAGCTGTTTCCACTGGTATATCCCCTCTTTCCCTTTCTTCTCCACCAGCGGGGCAGTGCTAGGACATAGGGCAACGCTCAGAGTTCGAGGGTCACCTGAGTCCTGACCGTCTCCAAAAACTGTGGGGAGGGGTCAGGAGGTCCAGCTCCTGGTTTAAAGTCCTGCTCTGTTGGTTGACAGGCTGTGCGGCTTAGAGCAAGGCCCTTCCTCTCTCTGGACCTCAGTTTCTCCATCTGTAAAATGAGGGGTAGGTGACATTCATGGTTTTAGTATGTTACCCCCTGGAGGATGCCTGTGCTACCCACTATATCCCCAAACCTGAGGTGTGAGGTGGCCCTGACCTATTTTGGAGGGAAATGGGAGGGGATGGGCCTACCTGGGCTGTACCAGCTACTTTTTGGCTGGTTTAGTTTTCAGAGGACTAAAGGAAGGGGATCATTGTCTGCTAAGTATGGCAGCAATTTCTGCTGTTCCTCCAGGCTCCAACGTGCCCCAACTTCCCCTCAGAGACATCAGGTAGGAGAGGCCAGGCCAGGCAGTACCAGAACAGGCACAAGTTTGTGTTTCTCTTCTGCTTGGGGTAAGGTCAGGTAAGGGGAAGGGACCCATATTAGCCTTTTGAGGCTTGATAGGTCGAGTGTTTGGTGTCTGAAAACTACACCTTCTTTTCTTTTTTGATAGGGTCTCACTCTGTCACCCAGGATGGAGTGCAGTGGCACGATCTCCACTCACTGCAACCTCTGCCTCCCAGGCTCAAGCCATCCTCCTACCTCAGCCTCCTGAGTAGCTGGGACTACAGGCACATGCCACCATGTCCGGCTAATTTTTGTATTTTTTGTATAGATGGCGTTTCACTATGTTGCGCAGGCTGGTCTTGAACTCCTGTGCTCAAAGCCATCCACCTGCCTTGGCCTCCCAAAGTGCTGGGATCACACACAGGCATGAGCTGCTCCCAGCTGAAAGCTACAATTTTTTTTTTTTTTTTATTGGAGATGGAATCTCACTTTGTCACCCAGGCTGGAGTGCAGCGGTGTGATCTTGGCTCACTGCAGCCCCCACTTCCTGGGTTCAAATGATTCTCCTGCTTCAGCCTCCCAAGTAACTGGGATTACAGGTGTGGGCCAACACACCTGGCTAATTTTTTGTATTTTTAGTAGAGATGGAGTTTCACCATGTTGGCCAGGCTGGTCTCGAACTCCTGACCTCAGGTGATCCACCTGCCTCGGCCTCCCAAGGTGCTAGGATTACAGGCATGAGCCACTGCACCCAGCCAGAAAGCTACACTTTCGAGGGTTGACCTTGAAACTACGTGGGGCCATGTGGCTAT
The DNA here is from genome assembly GCF_000001405.40 of Homo sapiens. NCBI lineage: Eukaryota > Metazoa > Chordata > Mammalia > Primates > Hominidae > Homo > Homo sapiens. The sequence goes on from NC_000012.12 coordinate 52,155,069, forward strand.
CCCTGATCCCCTGGAAGGTCTTCAGAGTTAGCTTATCAGCTCAAGTTATTCTCCACTCTGAGTACACGACAGGGAACTCCTCTCCCTCAGTGCTTAGGCACTGGGGTGGCCATGGGGGTTGGGGCAGCAGTGGCCTGTCAGGGCAGGGTTTTGCAAGGGGACTTAGCATCCTCGGGAGAGGAGGACACTGGCCATCTTCCTTTTTCCAGGAGGTCATGGGGAGAGTATGTGGTGGGACACCGTGGGCCTCCCTCCACCAGAAACATGGTCTTAGCAGCCACGGGCTTGTAGGGGGATGGAGCTGAGGAGAGGACTGTCAGGCAGGCTGGAGAGCCTCCAGGGGGACCCTAGTCTCCCCCAATCTCAGGGAGCTCCTTAAAGCAGCCACAATCCACTGCAAAAGGGCAAAGCCTATGGGGGGGCCTGGGGGAAGTAGGACTCCAAGGCCTCCATTTTGTACCCCTAAAGGCTGTAGCCAAGAGGAGGAGGAATGCAGGATTCCCCGCTAGGCCCTGTTCTGACAGGCTGGGGAGGAAGGGTGGGGCTCCCAAGTGAGCCCACATGCTCCTGATCTCAGGTCGTAGCTAGGCAGCTTTGTAAACAGCAGAAACACAGAGCAGCCTCTGTGTGTGTGTGTGTGTGTGTGTGTGTGTGTGCATGTGTATGTGTGTGCCTGTGCTGGGGGACTCACGCCCCAGAGGGGACCCTTCTCATTACTTTATAGTCACAGTTATATACAGGTCTGAGGCTGGGGTTCTGCCAGCTAATGCTTGCTGGCATTAGCTGTGTTGCAGGTCTGTGTTGCAGGTCTGCTCCATGTATTGTCTCCTTTAATCTTCCCAACCCTATAGGCAGGCATCCTTATTACCCAGTTTTACAGGTGGGGAAACTGAGGCTCTGAAAGTTGCAGATGCTCAGGGTCACAGAGCAACTGAGTGATAAAGCCAGGTCAGGGTTCAAATTGAGGTCTGTCTGACTTCAGTCCAGTTATACTCCTGGCACCTGTGGACGTGTGTGCATGTGAGCACTGATCAAGGGCTATGTGTATGCACATGTGCGGATGTGTGCTTTGATGGTGGGCCTCAGTCTGCCTGCGCCTGTTGAGGACACCTGCATGTAGGCGTGGATGTCTCCGCCCAGGGATGGAGGTGTGCACACAGATGTCCATTTGCACTTATGTTTGCACAATGCACGTATGTTGGGTACACATGTATGTGTTGTATGTGTGCACATGTGAACATATGCATAAGAACATATGCTTGTGCACAGTGTGCCTGCATTTGTGAGTAGGTGTGTGCATAGGCTGTGCATATGTGTGTTCATATCTGCAGATAGCCATGTCCCCAGGTATATGTGGTCATCTCCAAAGGCTGACCTCACTCCAGTTCACTCAGCCTGTGTCCCCTTCTCAGGCTCCTGACTCACCACATGTGTGGAATCTATTTGCATGTCAGTCCCACTGAGTCAGTGTCACAGCAGGATGTGTGATGGCCTTGCTGGTGGTACAGGGACTTCGAAGGAGGGGCGCTTGGGGAGAGGTAGGATTGGCAGGGATGAGTGTTGAATAGGAAGGTGGCGGATGGGATGAAAGAGATTAAGGCCAGGTGTGGAGGCGGGCCTAGGTGTTTTTCAGCCCCCAGTCAGGGGTAGAGGCCTCAAGGAGGCTAATCCTGCCCCCTGTACTTACCTCTTTCTTATTTTTTATTTTTATTTTTAGATAGAGATGGGGTCTCACTATATTGCCCAGGCTTGTCTCGAACCCCTGAGCTCAAGCGATCCTCTCACCTCGCCCCAGGAACAGCTCTTTGCACTGTCCCAGACCCCAGGCCATAGGTATCTGGTTCCCCATTGGGCGTGGAGGTGCAGATGAGGCAGTGGTCAGCAGGGGGCGCTCAGAGCCTGCAGATGGTGGGGAGCCATGGAACAAGCAGGTGGGAATGGGAGTGGGGAGGGTAGGGCTGAACCACGGGCACAGACCCACCTGCGGGGAAAGGGTGGAGGAACATGAACTTTGCAACATGAGGGGCAGACTCCCAGAGGGCCAGATATACACATCCTCCCCAGAGGGACAGGCCCTCTCCAACAGACTCACAGACCCTCAGAAGGACAGACACAGGGACAATCCCTCACCCTCTGAGAACATTCCGGGCCCAATGAGCCGGAGGGAGGTGAGAGTGACCACACTGGCCTGCATGTCCCTCTGGAGGCAGGGGGTGTTGGCTCTTGGTGACAGTGAGGAGGGGAAGGAAGGCAAGGGCTCTAGAGTCAGGCACGCTCAAGGTCTGACTTCAGCGTTGCCTCTGGGTGACCTGAGCTCTCCTGAATGGGGCAATGTCTTCCAGGTGTCCAGCTCAGGCCTGGACACGCAACGTCACCCTGGAGGTTATGAGAGGTTGCCAGAGCCTCCGTCATTGGTATGTCTGCACATTTCTCCAAGCATCTACTAAGTGCCAGGTCCACTGCAAGGCGCTGGGGATATGGTAATGATCAAGTCACACTCAGTGGCTCCTGCCACTGCTAGGGAGCTAACATTCTAACGGGGGGAGTATCTTAGGATACTTGGGATACAAAATGATCACTATTCCCCCCATTTGATTATTTGAAGTGGAAATTATGGGACAAAAGGCAGAGACTGGCAGGGAAGGCCCTTTCCTCTTTTATTGCTTATCAAATGCAGGCTGAGAAAAGTCCAGATATTATGGTACTGCTGTGGTCCCCTGCCTCTTACTGCAGAGGTCAGATCCAAACCCTCCATCTCATTCAGTCAAAGCTGAGGTTCAACAGTGGCCCCTGAGGCCTAGTGTAGGCTGAACCCCCCGCCTCTCCCCTCATCCCTCCTCGCAAGTCCTCAAACATGATAGGCAGGTTCTGCCTCCGGGCCTTTGCCCTTGCTGTTCTGCCTCTGGGCCTCTGGCCTTGCTATTCTCTCTTCCTGGAATGGTCTTCCCCAGGCTTCTGCGTGGCTTGTTTCTTCATCTCTTGTTTTTTTTTTTTTTGAGATGGAGTCTCACTCTGTCACCCAGGGTGGAGTGCAGTGGTTCAATCTCAGCTCATTGTAACCTCTATCTCCTGGGTTCAAGTGATTCTCCTGCCTCAGCCTCCCCAGTAGCTGGGACTACAGGCACCTGCCACCACACTCAGCTAATTTTTTTGTACTTTTAGTAGAGACGGGGTTTCACCATGTTGGCCAGGCTGGTCTCGAACTCCTGACCTCAGGTGTTCCACCCGCCTTGGCCGGCCAAAGTGCTGGGATTACAGGCGTGAGACACTGCGCCTGGCCAAAATGTTCCTTTCTTAGTGAGGCTTTTCCTGACCTCCCTATTAATCACCCTACTCTCAACATTCCCTATGCTCTTTCTGCTTTAGTTTTCTCCATAGCACTTTTTATCAACGTCTAGTCAGCTATGTCTTTTACATGAATATATTTCTTCCTTGTTTTTTTCTTCCCATGAGAACATAAACTCCATGTGGGCTGGGATTTGGGCAGATTTGTTCACAGCTGTATCCCCAGGGCCTAGAATGTGCCTGGCACATCGTAAGTATCAATAAATATTTGTCAATGCATGTTTGTCAAGTGAATGTTGAGTGCTGGCCTTGCAGTGGCACACCCCTCTTCCTGACGGGGGCTAATGATGGGTCGGGGGTTGGGGGGGCACGATTTAAAGGCTGCAGTTGAGTTGATGCTGGCATAACCTTTTGGGGGCTAGGGGCCTGGGGATGTTAGTCCCTTTTGTGCTGCTATAACTGAAGACTATAGACTGGGTACTTTATAAACAATAGAAGTTTATTTGGCACATGGTTCTGGAGGCTGGGAAGTCCAAGATCATGGGGCTGCATTTTGTGATGGCCTGATGGCTTCTTGCTGCATCATGACATGGCAGAAGGCATCACATGGGATACAGTGCATGACAGAGAACAAGAGAAGGCCAAACTCATTTTTTTTTTGAGACGGAGTCTCGCTTTGTCGCCCAGGCTGGAGTGCAGTGGTGCAATCTCGGCTCACTGCAAGCTCCACCTCCCAGGTTCACGCCATTCTCCTGCCTCAGCCTCCCAAGTAGCTGGGACTACAGGCGCCCACCACCACGCCCGGCTAATTTTTTTGTATTTTTAGTAGAGATGGGGTTTCACTGTGTTAGCAGGATGGTCTCGATCTCCTGACCTCATGATCCACCCACCTCGGCCTCCAAAAGTGCTGGGATTACAGGTGTGAGCCATCGTGCCCGGCCCAAACTCATTTTTATAACAAACCCATTCCTGCAGTAACATAAATTCATTCATGACAGTAGAGCCCCCATGACCTAATCACCTCTTAAACATCCTGCCTCTCAACATGCTGCATTGGGAATTAAGCTCTAATACATGAATTTGTGGGACACACTCAAACCATAGCATTCTACCCCTGGCCTCTAAAATTCATGTCCTTCTCCTATGCAAAATACGTTCATTCCATCCCAATGGCCCTGAAAGTCTTAACTTGTTTCAGCATCAACTCAAAAGTCCAAAGTCTAGAGTCTAAATCTAAATCATACATAGAGAGACTGAAGTTATCATTCACCCTGGAGCACATTCCCCTCCATCTGTGAGCCTGTGACATAAAAACAAGTGATCTACTTCCAAAATACAATGGTGTGACAGGCATAGGACAGACGTTCACATCCCAAAAGGAGAAATAGGCAAGAAGAAAGGGGTAATAGGCCCCAAGCAATTCCAAAACCCAACATGGCAGACAACATTCATCTTTTTTTTTTTTTGAGACGGAGTCTAGCTCTGTTCCCTAGGCTGAAATGCAGTGGTACAATCTTAGCTCACTGCAACCTCCGCCTTCTGGGTTCAAGCGATTCTCCTAGCTCAGCCTCCCAAATAGCTGGGATTACAGGTGTGCACCACCACGCCCAGCTAATTTTTGTATTTTTAGTAGGGACAGGGTATTGCCATATTGGCCAGGCTGGTCTTGAACTCCTGACCTCAGGTGATCTGCCCACCTTGGCTTCCTAAAGTGCTGGGACTACAGGCATGAGCCACCGTGCCCAGCCAACATTACAACTTAAGACTCCAGGATAATCTTTCACTCCATGTGCTTCCTACACTGAGGGATTTGGGCCCCCAAAGGGTTGGGAAAGCCAGTTCCCACAGCTTTGCTGAACTCAGCCCATGCAGCAGCTCTCCCGGGCTGGAGTGGCACATTGGTAGTCTACAGTTCTGGGGTCTCTGAGGTGGCCTCGCTCCCATGGCTCCACTAGGCATTCCTGGCAGGAACTCTCTCTGGTGGCTCTGCCCCTGTGAAAAGTCTCTGTCTGGGCCCTCAGGCTGTCGATGACATCATTTGAAATCCAGGTGGAGGCTGCCAAGGCCCCACAGTTTTTATATTCTGCCCACCTGCAGAATTAGCATCACAGGGATGCCACCAAGGTTTACAGCTTGTACCTTCTGGAGTGGTGGGTCAAACTGCACCTGGACCTGCTTGAGCCATGGCTGGGACAGCCAAGGGGCACTGCACTGGAAATCGGGGAGCAGAGTCTTGAGGTGGATGGGGCAGTGAATGCTGATTTCCCTTGGGCAGCTCTCTGGAAACCTTGCCCTCAAGCTCCTGGTTTGCCTTGAAGATCTCCTAAATGCCTTCAGGTTCATTCCCCCATTGTCTTGATGAATAGAACCTGGCTTCCTTTTATCCATATTAATCACTTTAGCAAATGGTCACTTGGCTATATGCTTAGTGCTCTCACCCAAACATGCTTTTTTTATTCTTTTTTTTCTTTTGAGACAGAGGCTCACATTGTCGCCCAGGCTGGAGTGCAATGGCGTAATCTCCGCTCACTGCAACCTCCGCCTCCCAGGTTCAAGCGATTCTCCTGCATCAGCCTCTTGAGTAGCTGGGATTACAGGTGTGTGCCACCACGTCCAGCTAATTTTTTGTATTTTTTTTTAGTAGGGATGGGGTTTCATGGTGTTAGCCAGGATGGTCTCGATCTCCTGACCTCGTGATCTGCCTGCCTCAGCCTCCCAAAGTGTTGGGATTACAGGCATAAGCCACCGCGCACGGCTGCTTTTTTATTCTTTAAATGGCCAGGCTGAGAGTTTTCCAAATCTTTCTGTTCTGCTTTCTTTGAAATTATAAATTCCATCTTTGAGTCATTCTCTCTTCTCTCACTTTATTGTAAGTGGACAAAAGAAGCCATGCGGCACCGTCGGCACTCTGCTGCTTTGCTGTTTGTTGCTCCTGCCGGATTTCCTAGGTCATTACTCTAAAGTTCTGCCTTCCATATAGTCCTCGGGCATGGACATAATTTTGCCAGGTTCTTTACAACTGTAGAGCAAGGAAAGCCTTTATTTTCCAATAGGATGGCCTTTACTCTATTTTCCAGTAAGATAATCTGCTTTTCCCCCAAGACCTCATCAGACTGGCCTTTTCTGTCTGGATTTCTACCAACATTTTGATCATGACCACATAAGCAATCCCTAAGAAGATTTAGGTTCCCTCTACAGCTGTTGTCTTCTTCTGAACCCTCACTGAAATTGCCCTTGATGCTCCTTTTATAGCAATCTGGGTTTTTCTTTGCCTGCTCCCCCAAATTCTTCCAGCCTCTATTTGTTACCTGGATCCAAAGCCACTTCCACATTTCCAGGTATTGATTACGGCAAGAGACCCACTTCCTGGTACCAGTTTCCTGTCTTAGTTTGTTTTGTGGTGTTATAACATAATACTACAGACTGGGTAATTTATCAGCAATTAGAAATTTATTTGTCTCACAGTCCTGGAGGCTGGGGAGTCCGAGATCAACGGCCTGTGTCTGGGGAAGGCATCACATGGCGAGAGTGTGTGAGACAGCAAGAGAGGGCCAGAACTGCTTTGCTTTTCTTTGTGTGTGTGTGTGTGTGTGTGTGTGTGAGACAGAGTCTTACTCTGTCACCAGGCTGGAGTGCAGTGGCATAATCTCAGCTCACTGCAACCTCTGCCTCCCGGTTTCAAGTGATTCTCCTGCCTCAGCCCCCTGAGTAGCTGGGACTACAGGTGCACACCACCACGCCCAGTTGATTTTTGTATTTTTAGTAAAGACGGGGTTTTACCTTGTTGGTGAGGATGGTCTCGATTTCTTGACCTCACGATCCACCCACCTCAGCCTCCCAAAGTGCTGGGATTACAGGCGTGAGCCACCGCGCCTGGCCCAGACCTGCTTTTCTAACAAACCCACTCCCACATCACATCAATCCATGCATGAGCGCAGAGCCCTAATGACCGAATCACCTCTTAAAGGTCCCACCTCTCAACACTGTTGCACTGGGGATTGTTGTGGGACACAGTCAAACCACAGCGGGGGTGGGGGGTATTCTGGTTCTTTTTTGCTCTTGTTAGGACAGAAGTTGAGTGTTTGGGGGACATCTACCAAACTTACATACCTGAGTTGAGACATGGAGGGGTAGGTTTCTCCCCTTGAAGAAAATTAAATGCCAGGTGCGGTGGCTCATGCCTGTAATTACAGCACTCTGGGAGGCCGAGGCGGGCGGATCACTTGAGGTCAGGAGTTCGAGATCAGCCTGGCCAACATGGTGAAACCCCATCTGTACTAAAAATACAAAAGTTAGCTAGGCCTGGTGGCATGTGCCTGTAATTCCAGCTACTCAGGAGGCTGATACAGGAGAATCGCCTGAACCCGCGAGGTGGAGGTTGCAGTGAGCCAAGATCGCACAAATGCATTCCAGCCTTGGTGACAGAGCCAGACCCTATCTCCAAAAAAGAAAGAAAATTAAAACTACAAGAAAGCTAGCAAATAACGGAAGGGTGTTTATTGTTTGTGAATAGAGGGGTTCTGGCAGGGGACCTGTGGGTGTTACACATTACCCACCTGGAGCACACATGCAGGCTACCTTCTGAAAGCCCACACTGACTTTGGCCGCCTTGTCAGGACAGTTATCCAGTTCTTTAAGTCCCAGCTGTTCCTAATAGAAGGAAAATGTTGTACTCCCTCCAATCTCTGCCTCTAGGCCCAAGAACCAGCCCCCCTGGGGCCCTCGCCTGTGCTCCTGAGTTTGGGTAAGGCCACTTCTTTTAGCTCTAGGGGAGGTATTGTCTGCCGCTGACTAACTTCCACAACACTGCAGCTTTCCTGCTTTGTCCTTGAAGCTTTCAATAGCCACTCTATCATTTCCTCACATTGAATCCCCTGTGTTTGAAATAGCTAGCTTGGCTTCTCTTTTCCTGACTGGACCCCAGTTGATTCACTAGAGAAGAAAGCATCAACTAAAGAGAAAGCAGATTGTGCTGTGTGAAGAGCACAGCACAATAATAATAAGTAAAAATGAAGAGTAGGCCGGGCGCGGTGGCTTATGCCTGTAATCCCAGCACTTTGGGAGGCCGAGGCGGACGGATCACGAGGTCAGGAGATCGAGACCATCCTGGCTAACATGGTGAAACCCTGTCTCTACTAAAAAATAGAAAAAATTAGCCGGGCATAGTGGCGGGCGCCTGTAGTCCCAGCTACTCAGGAGGCTGAGGCAGGAGAATGGCGTGAACCCGGGGGGCAGAGCTTGCAGTGAGCCGAGATCGTGCCACTGCACTCCAGCCTGGGCAAAAGAGCAAGACTCTGTCTCAAAAAAAAAAAAAAAAAAAAAAAAAAAAAAAAAAAAAAAGAAGAGTATTGTGGAGGAAGGAGGGGGCTATCTGAGATGGGCAACAGGGAAGGTCTCTGTGAGGAGGAGACATTTGAGCTGAGACTTGAAAGATGAGGAAGAGCCAGATCTAGGGGTTGGGGTGAGGATTTCACATGGGATCAAGGTCCCTGAGGCCTGTGGGCTGTGGCAGCCCTCTCTGTGGAAGGCACTGAGCCTGTGCCTGCTGGGGAAGGGAGGCCAGGGCAGGAGAGATGGCTCAGCCCTGGGGGATTCTGAGTTTAAGTCTGAAATTTGAGCCTGAGTGTGTGGGGATCTGAGTTCTGGGTTGAGCTCCTGCCCCAGCTGTCTTCTCTCCTCCCCTCCCTAGGGGAGAGCCAGCAGGGCTTACTCAGGCTCCGAAGAAGCACTGTCTTGTCACGGCCAGCAGAGGGCAGAGGTTGCTGTGGTGCAGGCTGGCAGGGCAGGAGCTGACCTTTCCGGAATGGAATGCTGCCTGAGCAGTCAGCTCCAGAAGGGAAGGGGGCGTTGGGCCACTTCCCTCACCCTCTCCAGTCCTCAGCTCCCCTGAGACAGGTCTCGGAGCCCTGGCCTCTCTTGTGGGGAAGGGGGCAGGTGAGGCTGGCTGACTGTGTGGACACTTGCCTGATCACTTCAAGTCAAGCCACCTGGGCCAGGCTGATTCCAACCTGACTAGGGATAAGGTGAAAAGGGGAACGGCTCTCAAAGTTTAGCGTGCTTACTATTTTGTCATTATTAAGCACTTACCATGTGCCAGGCACTGTGCTAAATTCTTTTTTTTTTTTTTTTTGAGACGGAGTCTCACTCTGTCAACCAGGCTGGGGTGCAATGGTGCAGTCTCGGTTCACTGCAAGCTCCGCCTCCCAGATTCAAGCGAATCTCCCGCCTCAGCCTCCCGAGTAGCTGGGACTACAGGCGCCCGCCACCATGCTTGGCTAATTTTTGTACTTTTAGTAGAGACCGGGGTTTCACCATGTTGGCCAGGTTGGTCTTGAACTCCTGACCTCAAGTAATCTGCCCGCCTCGGCCTCCTAAAGTGCTGGGATTACAGGTGTGAGCCACCGCACAGGCCGCTAAATTCTTTTATCATGTATCATCGCTTTAAAGCTTCACAACAAATCTACGAAGCAGACAGACGCTGTTTACCTCCTGGAGGCTATCCAAGACCACACAGCTGGAACCAGGGTTTGCTCTACAGACCATGGTCTCAGCGACGATCACTGCTGCCTCCTGGGCAGGGACCACCCGAGGAACTGAGGTGGGTAGGCAGGCTAAACAGAATTTCATGGTATTGGCGTAGAAGGGATCTGCGGGGTCACTCAGTCTAACATCTTTATTTACAGATGAAGGAAACTCCAGAGAGGGACGTGACTTGCCCCAGGTCCCACACAGCACAGGGCTGACCAGAACTGGGGGGACTTGGGCACAACAGGGAGCCCCAGGCCAGATCCTGGCTACCCCACATCAGTTCAGAGGCGCTTGAGGGCAAGGACCCCATTTCACCCTTTATTCCCTCCTTCTGCCCCACTGTGCCGACCACAGGGTGGAGCACAGAGTAGGTGCTCAAAATATCTTTGGCGATGGACCCACCTCTCATCCCTCTGCAGCTGCAGCCCCCGGCCACTTAGGCCTCTGTTCATGTAGCCAGCATTTAGTAAGTGCCAACTGCATTCTTGGCGCACTACCGGACACTGGGGGACACAGCTGAGTAAGATGCAGTCCCTGCACCAGTTGGCTTACACCTTGTGGGGGCTTCAGGGGTCACCCCACATTACAACGTGTGCTCCCAAGTTTTCCTCATTCTCAACTCAGGTTTCCCCTGCTCCTGTCTGTTAACTCACAGCCCCAGGCTGAAGGCTGAGCAAATCCCTTCCACTTCCCTCCCTTGGGCCGTTTCCACTCCCTTCCTCTTTGCTAGCCCCGTCACCCCTCCTTCCCAGCAGCCTCCTCCCCTCCTCCAGGAAGCCCTCTTTGACTAACTTCCCCAGCAGTTCTGCAGGCCCCAGTGCTGAGGTCTCGAGCTCTGCCCAGGCGGCTCTGGTTGTGTCTGTCTCTCTGCTTCTGTGTGGGTCTCCCTCATCATCTCTGGAGGACAAGGACAACTTTCCCCGCCCCCAGCTATTTTCCCTCAGGCCGGAACAGATGAGGAGAAGGAGCAGGAGGGGAGTGTGCAGCCAGCCTGCAGCACACAGGGCCTGCCTTGGGTTCTGGTCCTGGGTCTTTCTTGGAGGTTTCTCTAGAGCCACCAGGGCACTGACTTGCCAGTCCTGGCACAAGGCCTCTGAGCTCTCATCTAGGCTGAGCCTGGGGAGTTGGGCTGGGCACCACCTCTTGGGTGCCTGCTTGAACCCACCTACATTTTGTGTTTCAGTCTCTGCCTCACCAACTCTTAGGTTTGATCATTTTTTCTGCCCCTATGGCAGGCAGTCTGCAGGTAAGAAATCGTTCCAGGCAACCACAATGCTTCCTTTCGCCTGCCTGGTGACCAAAGTTACGGTGCTTGGCCACTCTGAGTCTCAGCTGATGACAGGAGAAAGAGCCAAACCTGTACAGGGGCTTATTGTTGTAGCCAGAGGAAGGCTGGCACGGTTGGCCAGGGGTTCGCTGAACAACTCAGGAGGACAGGAGTGGGGAGGAGGAGAGAGGAGGTAGTTCTGTATGAGAAGGGGGATCAGACTCTGCACCTTTCAGAAACGGTTTAGGATTTGCTAGCCTGAAAGGGGCAGGAGCACCTCCTCGTTTGGGTAGGGAAGACCTTGTTTCCTCCCATCTGTTCATTCATCCTGCACACACTCACTCTGTTCCTTCAAAGTCCAGGCATTGCACCAGCACCTGGGACCCAAAGGTCAAGAAGACATGTCCTCACCTTTGTAGGACTTTTAGGCTAGAGATCTTGGCTGGGGAGGGACATTGCTCATTCATCCTTTCATTCATTTTGCATTTATTGAACACCTACTATGTGGCAGGCACTGTGTAAGGCCTTGGGAAGGCAGTAGGACATGATCTCTGCCCTCAAGGAGTTTAGAGTCTTCTGGGGATAAAAGTCACAAAAGCAGGTGACTGAAGCACTGCTTAAGTACAGGAGTGGGGAGTCAAGGATACAGAGAGAAATGTTGGATGGATTTAATGTCCCCCTTAGTATCCAGAGCAGGGCCAGTCACAGGCTAAGTATGTGTTCAATAAGTGTTTGTGAAATGAAGGACCCATGTGTGGGTCATAAGTTTCTAAAAACTTATGAGTCAAAGAATCAAGTCGTTGTAACTATACAATAAAAATTCTACAAATGAAAATGACTGGAAGCAGTCAAATGATACTTAGAGGAAAATTTATGGTCTTCAAAGCATCTTATATTAAAAAAGATGATAGAAAATTCAAGCATTTAACTCAAGAAGCTGAAAAACAATAAAAATAATAAACTCAAAGAAAATAGGAAGGAAATAACAAATACGTCATTTAATTCTTTTATTTTTTCTTTTTTAAAATTTTTTTGAGATGGGGTCTTACTCTGTTGCCCAGGCTGGAGTGCAGTGGGTGTGATCATAGCTCACTGCAGCCTCCAACCCCTGGGCTCAAGCGATCCTTTGCCTCAGCCTCCCAGGTAGCTAGGACTACAGGTGCTTGCCACCATACCTGGCTAATTTTTTTTTTTTTCATAGAGACAGGGTCTTGTTATGTTGACTAGGTGGTCTCGAACTCCTGGGCTTAAGCAATCTTTCTACCTCGGCCTCCCAAAGTGCTGGGATTTCAGGTATAGCCATCACCTGGCCTCATGAAATTCTTGACTATGAAATTCATATTCATATTCAGAAATTCAAACTCTGACTCAGAAATTAATAAAACAGAAAACAGAGATAAAATGAGAGAGCTGGTCTCAGCTCTAGGCCTCTCTTGGACGGGTATGTGGCTTATCAGTCTCTTCAGAGTTTTGAGAGTGGAGCCTGCCCTTCAGGGTCTTCAGGAGAATGGATAAACTCAAGCCTCTGAACTTTAGCCCAGGGGCCTGGCTGTGCTGTGCTCTTAGCCAGCACGAGGTCTATTTGCTTGCATTTGAGTCTCCTGATTAGTTGGTCACCTTTAATCCTTAATGTCTGCTGTAATAATCACACCATCACTAATAATCCTTTACAATTGTTGAGCTATTATAGTTCAGAGTGACAGAAGCAAGAGATGTGGCTTTCCTGAAATGAATAAACATAGCCACCTCATCAAATGCCCAAGCACCCCGTGAGTTAAGTAGGGAAGAGGTGTGCCCCATTTTACAGATGAGGAAAGTGATGCTCTATTTGCCTAAAGTCTCCTTGCTGGTGAGTGGGTGGGCCAGGACACAAATGCTGCCACGTCCCTTCCCGCTATTCCTTTCCTTTGAGACAGACACCTGTTCCTGCTTTGGTCTGTCTCCTAACTGAGATCCTTTGTGTTCACTTAAAGTCCCCCTTCTTCTAAGCAGCCTGTTCTGATTCCCTCCACAAGCCCTTCTCTTCCCTGACCTTTATAGCACCCACTTCTGCACGTGGTGACGAAGTCCAGGGTGGCTACCTTGGGTGGATATCTCATCTCTCAGCCTGACTGTGAACTACTTGCGATTGAGGGGTGGACCCCTGTCTTGGAGGAGTCTTAGCACAAGGCTGGGCTTGGAGAAGGTCCTCAATCCTTATGCATTGACTTGGGATTTGATTTGGCAGGATTGGGCCCGTACGCATCAGAATACATTCTGGGCTGTGTCAATTCCCAGTAGGGCAGAAGTGCTTAAGAAGAAACCCTGCCACCACTGGGGAATCCCCAGCATGTGTGCTGGCTAAAGCAGCCTGTGTGGTGCCTGGATATGTCAGGAGGCGCTGGGAACATAGGTCAACGTTGGTGCAGTCTCAGTGCAGCACAGTGTATTAGTCAGCCCAGGGGCCTGGCTGTGCTTATAGTGTGTTCTTAAACACACTATAAAGAAATCCCCTGGCTGGGCGCTGTGGCTCACACCTGTAATCCCAGTACTTTGGGAGGCCGAGGCGGGCAGATTACTTGAGGTCAGGAGTTTGAGACCAGCCTGACCAACATGGTGAAACCCCATCTCTACTAAAAATACAAAAGATTAGCCGGGGATGGTGGTGGGTGCCTGTAATCCCAGCTACTCGGGAGGCTGAGGCAGGAAAATTGCCTGAACCCGGGAGGCAGAGGTTGCAGTGAGCCGAGATCCAGCCACTGCACTCCAGCCTGGATGACAGAGCAGGATTCTGTCTCACACATACACACACAGACACACACACACAGACACACACATACACAAAAGAAAGAAATCCCTGAGACTTGGTAATTTATAAAGAAAAGACATTTATTTTGGCTCACAATTCTGCAGGCTGTACTGGCATGGCACCAACATTTGCTCAGCTTCTGGTGAGGGCCTCAGGAAGCTTACAGTAAAGGCGGAAGGTGAAGGGGGAGCAGGCATATCACATGGCGAGAAAGAGGGGAGAGGTCTCAGACTCTTTTAAACAACCATATCTATGTGAATTGAGTGAGAACTCACTCATCACCAAGGAGATGGTGCTGAGCCATTCATGAAGGATCCTCTCTCATGATCCAAATACTTCCCACCAGGCTCCACTTCCAACACTGGGAATTACATTTCAACATGAGATTTGGAGGGGACGAGCATCCAAACCATATCAGATGGTGAGACAGGAGAACTTTGTGTGTACCAGCTGCACTGGTCTGAAGATATAACTAAGTCCCTGGACTTTTTCTCCCTTAATTGGAGAATTCCTAATGTTCCATGATCAGCCTGATTGACCAGTGGCTGACTGGTCCTGAGAGGGGAGATAAAAACAGACACACAGCTTTCTCCATAGACAAATCTCAACACTTTATTCATCCTGTGGCAGCAAGAAGGGGACATGGCCCCAAGATAGCCAATCAGGTGAGGTGGCTGGAGTATGTGTTATCTTTCCAGATAGTACATACAGACTGATCATGCAGAAACAGGAAGGGAAGCAATAAGTTAAAAGCCACATAAGTTATGAAAAAATAATATATACTTTATATGTCTTGTATCCCCACTGAGGATTTGCTCCCTTGGAAACCAATGAAGAGCCTGAGGAAAAGCACCAATCAGCACCCTCTTTTGGGACTTTGGGGATGAGAATCTCTGAGTTCCCATGGCCAGAGAGTCAGTAACCCTCCAGTGCTCCCCACAGGCCTGGAGGGCCTTGAGGCCTGGGATGGGCCCAGACCTCTGGCCAACATGTCCTGGCAAATGAGATGAATGAATCTAATGCAGTCTAGAAGAGGAGGTGAGGCAAGGGGCAGGGAGGGGAGAGGAGAGTGAAGGAGGGAAGGAAGCTGTGCAGTGGGAGGCTGGTGCCGCTGGGATGCCTCTGCAAGCCTCAGCATTGAGAGCCAAGAGGAGGAGATAGGAGTATGCCTGCCAACACCCCTGTCTTCTGGTGGGATGTGGAATTTTCCTCTCTGGTAGAACCCTTGTAAGGCTGTCATTTGGGCCCCACAGCTGGACCTCAAGGGCTTGGAAGCTCCCAGACTTGCCTGGACTGTGCCTTCTTCCTGGCCTGCTGGAGGCAGGGGGAGTGGGCATGGAGGGAGGAAGGGGAAGGAGTGAGAAGAAAGGAGGAGCTCTAACCCCATAGGTGTGGGGGGTTCCTGGGCTCCCCCATGAATGCCAAGGAGGGGAGGGCCAGGCTATTTGGCCCAGTGGAGAGGAGAACAGAGGCCCTGAGAAGTGAGATTCTTGGGAAGTGGGCCTGGGGCTTCACGGCAGGGGTGGGACCAGGGGTCTCCAAGGCCTGGTGCACCAAAGCCCGGTGCTCAGGCTGGGAACAACCCGGCTGGGGGCACAGAGCTCAGATCCAGGCTGGGTAGGACCCCAGCATGGCAGGGAGGTGAAAGGAAGATCGAATGCTCCTGCCCAATCTCAAGCTGCCATCTGGCTTCCACTCCCAGGGAGTTGATTATGGCAAGAGCAGCTTCCGGAGAAGCTGCTGGGAGCTGGCTGGGGGCAGCCCATCCAGTTCTGACTACTGCCTACTGGGAGGGACCCATGGGAGGAGGAAGGGATGCGGGTGTTCGGGCTGATCTCTGGGGCCTAGGCTTAGGTCCCAAATAGCCAGGGCCCCTCCTCCCTTCACTCCCTAATACTGTCAGGTCTCTGGGGAGCCCAAAGAGCACGGGAAAGCCAAGAGGGTCTTCAGCAGCCAGCCTTCCCAGGAATTCCAGATACAGGACAGGGCCCACGCCGTCCTCCTCGGCTCCCGCACATAGGTGGATGAGCCAGTCCCAGTCCCAGTTCCGAGGCAGAGACAAGGCAAGGCTTGAGATAGGAGTCAAGGTCAAGGATTGGGCAAGAGTCAGAGGGGCCTTGGCAGAGCCTGATGCTGGAGGAGGAGCCTCAGAGGAGCGAGGAGGTGGAGACAAAACTGACCCCTAATTCCGACTCACCCATCAGGAAAACCTCTGGCCAGAAGGTTGGAAGGATGGGACTGTGAGATACTGATATGGAGCGGAGTGGCTCTGAGGAGCTGGTGATGCTCCTCTCCCACCCTGGCAGCCCACAAAACACAGTCAGTTTTGAACCCCTCTCTCAGTTCAATATCAGGTTTTGCCTCTCTTCTCAACCTAGAGGCTCCAAGCTGCTTTCTTGAGTCTAGCTTAAGTCCCTCCTGCTGCAGTGGAGTGCCCTGGGGTTCCTGGGGTCCAGCCGCCTTACTCTGAGACCTCCGACTCCTGCGAGAAGTACTTCTCTGACATTTCGGTGATTTTGATCACGGGGCCTTTGCTGCCCTTCTTCTTTCGGGAGGGGGCCTTGGAGAGGCCTGATCTGGAGGCAGCTACAGGGAACATAAGGGGTAGGGGAGGGAAGGGGCTGGAGGTTTGGGAGCCACTTAAAATGATGCCTTTAGGATCATGATCCCCTACACCCTCACCCTCACCCCACCATGGGTTCTCGGGGCAAGAGGACTCACCGGTTTTGCACCTGGACTGCACAGCGCTGACCACAGTGGCTGAGGGCGAGTCCATCCTGGGGGTGGGGGACGGGGGGGTGGGAGAGGGATATGATGGGATGCGAAGAGAGCCTGTGGCTTAAACTCCCCTGGGGGCTGGCAAGTGGAGGGTAGTTCTTGGTGGTCACTCCCAGCCCTGGGGTTGCCCTGTTGTGTGGCCCTGGCTAGCCAGCTTGTCCTTCCTGGGCCTCTGTCCCATCTCCATGGCATAAATGGCTAATAGCATTGAGCACTGAGTTTTGACAGGCATTTGCAGGCATAATCACATGAATCATCCCTGCCACAGGTGAACCATGTTTATGATCAGCCCACTTTCCAGATGGGGAAACAGGATGAAATGAACTGGGCCAAGGTCCCAGTTTGTAAGTGACTAAGCCAAGACTTAAACCCAGGCCTGGTAGGCTCACTGTATCATATTGGAAAGGAGAACTGACTTTGTGTAGGCCTGGGCCTCCAGCCCTCCTTCCCCTGCAGCCCTTCCTCACCAGCCCTGGCTCTCACCTGCCCTCCTCGCCCTCCACCAGCTTCCTGTAGGTGGCGATCTCGATGTCCAGGGCCAGCTTGACGTTCATCAGCTCCTGGTACTTGCGCAGCTGCCGCGCCATGTCCTGCTTGGCCTGCTGCAGGGCGGCCTCCAGCTGGGCCAGCTTGGTCTTGGCATCCTGGAAGGCCAGCTCACCCTGCTCCTCAGCTGTCTTGATGTTCTCCTCCAGTTTCAGGCACTGCAGCCAGGAGGACAGAGTGAAAGGGCCTGTGAGCAGGGGAAGGAGGAGCGGGCCAGGGCCAGGAGTCGTCTCTGTCCTTGGTGGGGGTAGGTGTGGGGAGGGAGGGCTGAGCAATGGCATTTCTGGGTGTGGTAACTGGTTGCCATGCAGCAAGAGGGAGTTCAGTTAGACCTGAAGAGGCACCTTCCCAAGGCCAGAGGAAAGCACCGCAAGCCACTAAAGGAGCCTGTCCCGGCTGTCCTTATGGGGCAGCACCTGCCCTGAAGGTTTGTCCTGGCTGGAAGCTGGGACTTAGGCCTCTACTCCCTCCTCTCTGTGTAGTTGGTGGGGGTTCCCAGGAGGGAGGCAGTGGGCTCTGGGTGTGTGTAGTGTGGGGGCTTTCTAACGTTCCAGCAGCCTTGACCAGATTACAGAGTATTTTTGTATGCAGAGCGCCTCATAACTACTTTAGGAGGCTGTGCTATTATCCCATTTGACAGATTAGGAAACTGAGGCACAGAGGCGCTAAGCGACCCACACAGGGTCACTCAGTCATGTCTTGCCTGTATTCAGCACACATGACTGTGTGTCTCCCTGCTCTCCTCCCCGCCCCCAGGCGCGTCCCCCAGATACTCACATGGCTCTTGACAGAGAGGATCTGGGACCGCAGCTTCTGGATGCGCACATTGAGATCCGCGATCTCGCTGCGGCTGCTCTGGAGGCTGCTCCCATACTCGGCCGAGCGGGCGGCCTGCTCCTCCAGCTGGAGGTACATGGAGGTCTCAGTGAGGGGCAGCTCAGTGCCGCTCCCAGCACTTGTTACCCGCCTCTGCTTTTTCTTGCATCCTCCAGTCCCATCTCCAACTCTGCAGCCCACCACGCCACGCCAGGCTCCCTCAGCTCCCCCTTCCACCTCCCTTTCTGGGTGGCCTCTCCTGGCTGCCCTAGCTGAGCCCCATGGGCCATGCCCACATCTGGCCTAGCATTGCTGATAACAGCACCACCTTGAACTCCTGGAGGGCACAGACCAGCTTCTGTGGTCTCCCCCCGCCCGCCCCGTCCCTGTGCTTCTCCATTCCTCTCTCATAGACTTTCAGGACAGAGAGCTGCAGGCAACCTCAGCCATCACCAGTCCAGCCCTTCCTGCCACCCAGAGAACTGTCCAGGCTGCTTCTCGTGCCCTGTGTGGTCAGCCCCACCTGGCTCCGAGAGTATGCCTCGGCCTCCTCCAGGCTGCGAGCCGCGACGGCGTCATACTGGGCCTTCACC
The DNA here is from genome assembly GCF_000001405.40 of Homo sapiens. NCBI lineage: Eukaryota > Metazoa > Chordata > Mammalia > Primates > Hominidae > Homo > Homo sapiens. Next base: position 52,173,670 of record NC_000012.12, read on the forward strand.
TCCTCCACGATGCCGCTCAGGTCGATGTGGCAGCGGCTGTCCATGCCGACGGTCACCGACACATCCTTCACCTGTGCTGCCAGGTCCTTCAGCTCCTGACCGGGCACAGATGTGGGGGCTCAGGGCTGGTGGGGAGGGCACAAGGACCCTCAGCCCCACACAGTCACTTTGTCCCCGGGGTGAGCGGAGAGTGGAGCTGCTCCCTTCCTGTCCCTCTGGAGAGATGATGGAAGGCCGAATGCCTCCCTGCCACGTCTCCCCAGCCAGGACTCTCGGAAGGCAGCTCACTGCCCACTGCTCACCCACCCACAGTCCCCCTATCTGAGTGGAGGGCAGGCTGGGACTGTTGGTTTTAAAGGCTACCTGCAAGCTTCCCCACTGCCTGCACTGTTGCCCTCTCCTGGGAGGGATGGCCTACTCCTGGCTGATGGGAAAGGGCCAGAGAAGTCAGGCTCTGGGGCTGTGAGTTGGGCCCCTCTGTTTACTGTTTCATTATTCCTGTGCTGTGGGGTACAGCTCTGCCTCTCCCACTGGACGAGCAGCTCCTTGTGGGCCTGGCAGAGCTGTGTTCATCTCTGAGCCCCCACGTCTGGGAAAGGAGTGCCTCAGTTCATTTGGTAAATGTTGGGAGGGAAGCCAGGGAGTGACCAGGGTGGAGTGGGCTGGAGGCTGACAAACCTGTACTCCCCTCTCCCGGCCCCACTGAAAGCCAACAGCCTGTGAGGAGCCTGGGCGCAGCCTCCAGCACTCTGACTTCAGGGTCCCCCTGGAGACTCAGCGCCCACTCCCTCTCTAGCCAAGGGACATTGCCTGGACGACCACAATATTTTCACCGTCTCCTATCCCTGGAGACTTCTGGAAATGGTAAAACCCACCATTCCCTGAGGAATTCCCTGCAGGCTGGACTGTGCGCTGAGCGTTTTCCACACATCCTCACCAGGCTGGCACTGCTGCAGCCCCAGAGGAGGAAACTGAGGCATAAAGATGTTGTGGAGACAGCGGTGAGTGGCAGGGTGGGCCCCGGAGCCCCTGTTGCTGCTGCTGTGACGCTCCCTTAGCGGATGGAGACAAGGGGCTGACACCTTCTTCATTGTCTTTCTGGCCCCAGACCAGCTTTCTTTCCTGCTCACAGCCTCGCACCTTTCTAGCCAGAATGCTCAGGGGTGTGTAGGGAGGCAGGTGGGACCAGGGATCTCTAGAGGTTGCAAAGGGCCCTGGGCTGCTTATCCTGGAGATGCTGAAAAGGGTAGGGCCTCCTGTGGGAAGGAGGAGCAAGGCGAGTCGACTGAGAATTGCACCGAGTGAGTTGGTGGCAGGGAGGGGGCCAGGCAGGAGGTGGGTGTTGGGTGCAGACACATCATGCTCCTTCTGGCATTCAGAGTCCACCCTGACCCCTATTTCAATCATCAAATTTCAGTCTGCATTCCCATTTTGCTGACCGCCTCATCATTTTTTAAATGTGTTTGTCTGAATCAGGATCCAAACAAGGCCAGTATACTGCAGTTGGTCCATATGTCTGTAGGTCTCCTGTAATCTCCATTTCTCTCTTTTTTGTTCTTTGCCATTGTTCTTATTGAACACACTGGCTGTCTGCCTTGCAGAGTCCCCACAGCTGGGTTTGATTGTTGTACCCTGTGCCAATGTTCAACGTGCTTCTTCCAGCCTCAATATTTTCTGAAAACTGGCCGGTGCACCCGGATGCCTGCTGGGATCCAGGCTCAGCTTTTTAGTTCCTGACTGTGTTCTGATCCTGGTTCCTGACTCTGGGCGCCCTCCTGATCCTCTGTCTCTCTTTCTGCTTGGAGAGTTTGTGCTGAGGCCTCTGGTTTCTGTCTCAGGCGGAGGCTGGACTTCTGAGCTGTAGACGACAGGGATGAGGGGCCAGCTAGGGCCCTGTGGGCAGCCTGTCCGGGAACTGACTCTGCCCACCAGCACCTCCTGGTGACAAGGATGGTGCGGTAGTGGCGGGCATTCGGAAGCCCCTCTGGGGGACAGCCTGTCTCTGCCCTGGAGCTGGCAGGACCCTGAACTCAGTGGCCAGCTGCCCTTGGGTGTCTCCTGCTGGGGGTTTTGGTTGATCTTCAAATGAAAATAGAATCTCTGGGCAAAAGCAGGCTGATGGCCCAACCCGTGTCAGAATAAGATTGATTGTTACCACAGCCCCACCTCTGCTGCCCCAGTCACTAGCCGACATTTCCCATGTGGCACCAGCACCCTGGCTGGGGCTTGGCTGGGGACAGTTTCAGAGCTGCAGCTTTGAGGCTGTTTTGGTTGACACATTGTGGGCATCGGTGGGTGTGGGGGGCCTCAGAGCCCTCCAGTGTGCTTCTACAGGAGGGCCTAACTTGGCATTCGTTATGGCCCCAGGAAAGGCCGGCGCACTGTGAGGACGCACTATAGCAGGACTTCCCAGTCAGGGTGAAAAGACTGGCCAGACATTTTCTGGAAAGAGGCAGGCTAAGCAGGAGCTTGGTAAACAAAAGCAGGAAATGGAGCGTTCAGAACATCCACAGACGTGTTCAGACATGCAGGCCCCTGCCGGGCTGCAGAGAGTATGACAATTCGGGCTTGTGTGGTGTGGAGGTACCCAATGGGATGGGACCCCTGGAGAGCACGTGAGCCTCCAAATGGTTAAGAATTAAGCCGAAGTACAGTTTAGGGTTTCCCTTAGGAGGCTGCTGTGCGTGTGAGCACCCTCACTGTGTTCCCCACGTCAGGGTAGATTGTGACTGTTATGGGGTAACAGTGTTGGAGAGTAAAATATAGCGCTAATGGCTCTGGACACTGAATGCCATCACTTCTTCTTCTTCTTCTTTTTTTTTTTTTTTTGAGATGGAGTTTCACTCTTGTTGCCCAGGTTGGAGTGTGGTGGCGCAATCTTGGCTCACTGCAACCTCTGCCTCCCGGGTTCAAGCAATTCTCCTGCCTCAGCCTCCCAAGTAGCTGGGATTACAGGCATGCGCCACCTCACCCAGCTAATTTTGTATTTTTAGTAGAGATGGGCTTTTACCATGTTGGTCATGCTGGTCTCGAACTCCTAACCTCAGGTTATCCGCCCGCTTCGGCCTCCCAAAGTGTTGGGATTACAGGCGTGAGCCACTGTGCCCGGCCAATCACTTCTTATTAGTTGAGTAACCCTGGTCAAGTTTTTAAATGTGTCTAAGCCTTGGTTTTCTCATCCGTAAAATGGATCTAATTATAGAGCTGAAAACAGATAATGTTTGTTGAATGCTTACCATGTGTCAGTTACTGTTCTAAGTATTTTAGGATATGTTAAGAAAACAAATCCTCACAACAGCCCAGTGAGGTAGATGCTATTATTGTCCCCATTTTATAGATGGGGAAATTGAGGCATATAGAGATAAAATAGCCTGCTCCAGTTCCCACAGTTACTGAGCCAGGATTCAAATCCAAGCTGTTCAAAATCTGTGCTCTCTTAATCATTATCCCTACTTCATAGAGTTGTCGTGAGAATTAACTGAGATTAAGTCCGGAAAACACTTAGCACAGTGTCTGGAATATATTAGGTGCTCACTAAACAGTAGTTAAGGATTCTCTATTATGGTAATTGGTAACAGTGATAAAGCTGGGACAAAGTGTTCAGGGGCAGAGCAGCCTATTCTCGGGGCAGCCTCCATGCAAAAGTTTAGGCAGCACTGGCTTTTCTCTGCAGGGATGGACCTCCCTCGAGGTGTGCCTGGCTGCAGGGGGTTGTCAGCAGATTCCACAGCTAATTTCCCTGGAGCCAGAGTGTAGGGGTCAGGTAGGTGGCATTCCGACTGGATGCAGCCAGGCCCCAAACACACTTGGGAGCTGGACTGTGTCTCAGAAACTGTGGGGGAACCTTCCAGCCTGTGCCCCCAGGGGAGAGAGGCAGAGGGTTTGCAGTAGATGAGGCCTGAGCAGATCATGGCCATGAGCTCCTACTCAGTTGGCTTGGAAGGGCTTTTCAGAATGTATCTTGGCTGTGTGTGTGTGTGTGTGTGTGTGTGTGTGCATGTGTGTGTATGTACACACACACATGTTTTGGAGAGACGAGAGGGCTGTTTTCTGGGACACAGGGGTAGGCCTATATTTCTGATCTGGTGTCTGCTCCAAAGCTGAAACTAGAGTATCAGGGCCTCCTGGGCCACTCGTGTTCTGCCAGGTTTTTCTTCCACCTGAGGCAGGTGTGGCTGGCACAGTCTTTACTCAGAGCTGCTCTGTCCAATGAGGTAGATGTCGAAATAATTATATTTTTGATATATTGGGCTAAATAAAATATATTATTAAAATTATTTTTTCTGTTATTTTAAAATGTGGTGACTAGAAAACTTAAAATTACATATGCAGTTCACATTGTATTTCTATCAGACGGCACTGACTTAAGACACCCTCTGGTGTGGGGAATAGTTTTGGCAAAGAGTCAGCATTGCCCTCTTAGCCTGCAGCAGTGTATGGAGAGAAAGGCAAACCTCCAATTTCAACCCCATCTTGCTGCTTTCAAAAGTAATAATAACTGCTGTGGTTCCCTGGCCCCTACTGCCTCCATCGCAAGCCCTTCTCCACAGCAGGCTCAGGATAGCACAACCACACCTGAAACCCGCTGTTTGCCACCCCGCCCCAGTGCCCACCGAAGGCTGCCTGTCACACTCAGAATGAGGTCCAAGTCGTGAGACAACCCTGTGAGGCACTCTCTGACCCAAAGCTCCCACCCTGCCCCGTGTGCTCTGACCAGAGACTTCTTTCTTTTTCTTTAATCGCCAGGCTCCCCTCCTGCCTTAGGGGCTTTGCATAGCAATTCTGTGCCATCTCCAGTCTCCACTGGGCTGGATCTCTGCCACTCTTAGGGAGGGTACCGCCTGTGAGAGGCCCCGCTCATGGGCTCTGAGGCTCTTCCCTCCTTCCGGCTCCAGCGCAGCACCCGGTTTCTTTGCATCCCAGAATCTGTCACCCTGCGAAGCGATCTTGTCCAGATATTTGCTGACTTGCTTATGACTTGTCTCAGCTAAGTCATGCCCTCCTTGAGAGAAGGGACCTTGCCCAGGCTGTGGTATCAGTGCCTGGCACTTAGTAGGCATGCAATAAACATTTGTTAAATGAATGAGTGGGCTGAGTCCTCCTCACAGCCCTATGAGGCTGGTCCTGTTACTCTCTCCATGCTACAGATAAGGACACTAAGGCACAGAGAGGAGAAAAAACTTGCCTAAAGTTACAGAAATAGTAAAAAAAAAAAACAAGGCCAAGTTGGGATTGGGGCCCAAGGACTGCAAAATCCAAAGGGAACCCACAGGCCTGGCTACTGGGGCAGGGGCCAAGAAGTCTTGTGGGGTGCTCAGGAATATCACTGGTTATGCCCAGCCTTCTTCCAGTTATGTCTCTACAGCTGCAGGGCCTGCATCATGGCTTAGAGCTTGAGCTCTGAGCTTGCTGAGACATCAGTGAGCAGGTAGAGAAACACTGGGCTCGGTTTTCAGAATCTGCACTCCATCTAGGCTCGGCAGAATCTGCACTCACCCATGGACTCAGCCTCTCAGAGGCAGTATGAGTGGGTGGAGGCCTAAGGGTGGCAGAGATCCAGCCCAGTGGAGACAGGAGATGGCCCTGCTGATGCCAGCCTGGGCTGCACCAGCCCACAGTGAGTTTGGGCAGAGAAGCCCCTAGCCCAGTTCCCACCCAGCCAGTGGGCATGGTGCCCTGGTCAGCCCCATAGCACTTGGCCTGGCTGTGGGGGGATTTGTTAGGGCCAGGAAGCTTTTCAGGGCTGTGGGGAGAGCGGACTGCCTAGGAGGGCTGCCTTCCTGCTGCTCCCAAGGGTTTGCTGTTCTCTCTGCTATGCTACCTCTCGTGGCCACAAACAAGACTCAGTTCCACGGAGGCCCCAGCTGGCAGCTGGGACTGCTGGAAAGGACTGTGACCCATGACAGGGCCATGAGGCCCGGTCTTCCTTTCCACAGGATGCAGCCATGAAGCTGTGGTCAGCAGATCATAGGGCCATTTTAGCAGAATCTGTAAGTTGTGGTGGTGACTTTGATCTCAGCCTTGACCTTGGCTGCACTGCCATAGCTTGGCACCAGCAGTGTGCAGCACTTAGGCGGGCAAGCCCTGTTATCTCCAACAGTGGTGCTGCCTGCTCCTAGCTGAACTGCAGACCTCTGTGGAAGGGACTTTAGCTCAGGAGTGTCACCCCTGAACCTCCTCACCCTTGAAACAAGTGGTGTGGAGAGGAGGACACATATCCTGAAGGGTGCCTAGGAGTCAGCAGCTGGCATGGAGGAGTGGTGTCCAGAAGCCAGCGGCAGTGCCCATCTAATGGCTGTGTTGATGCATGCCATGCTGTTATGGGCCCTTGTACACTGGGCCCCACTGAGGACTTAGGAAACAAATGCGAATGTTTCCTCTGTCTTCGCCAAAAATGGGGAAAACGGAAAGGCAGGCCTATCAGAACTAGCACTGTGGGTGCTGTGGTTTAGGCTGCAGGAATTAGGGAGAGATCAGTTCAATCAGCATGCTCGTTCCAGACCCCTGGGTTCCATGCCACTGAGGCCAGCCTCCTGACCCTTGTCCGAGGCACCTGGTCCCCAGCATGCCCTCAGTACTCTAGCACACAAAGGTATAGTTCTTCCAGAAAGAGTGGCCTTTGGGGAACCAGCCCATGTTCCATGAGATGAATGTCCAGGGGTCATGCAGGGTTATTGACACCATCACAGGAAGGGGTTTAGGAAATTATTATTCTGGGGCTGGAAATTGTAAGTGACTGTTGGAGGTTCCATGCCCCACTGGATGGCTGTGCTTCCCCTGTGTCCTTTACCCATGGACCAGCCAGCTCTGGGCTTGGCAAGACACTGGCCCCATCTCACTCACCTGCTCATAGATGGTTTTCATCAACTCCACGAAGCTCTCCAGGCTTTTTAACTTGGTTTCCAGTTCAGTCCGATGAAGACACTCTGCATCCAGGTCCTGGGGTTGGCAGCAGTGGTGAGTGGTGGGAGAGGGAATGGAGGGTCCCAGGGCAGGAGTGGGCTGGGGGGCTGCCTCCTGGGTGAGAGTGGGGGTGATTCCAGAGGAGATCTGGCTCAGAGCCTCGAAAAAGGAGCTGGATGGGGATGGGGGTATCTCCCTGTCTGTCTGTTGGTCCTGGGACTTAAGCCTCTGAGGGCTTTGATTGGGCATAAAGGAGAGTAGGATATCTGGAGGGAAAGAGGGCCCAGGGCCCATGAGGAAGGAGCCCCTGGGGCAGGCTGGGCAGGCTACCTTCTTCAGCTGAACAAAGGTGAACTCCATGTCTGTGCGCTTGGAGATCTCATCCTCATACCTGGGAGGGAGAGAGGGGTTGCTCAGCTGGATATGGTGGGGGCTTGGGCCTGGTGAACTCCCCTTGGTTGGGGCTCAGGGCCTGTGCTATCCCACTTGGGGTCTCTTTGCCAATTAAAGAAAAGCAGCCCATCCTTCTCCCTCTTGCATCTTCTATGACACATCCTCTCTCTCTCCCCCCGACCTCCTGGCATTGGCTCCCCGTTCCTCACTCCCTCCTGATGACACAGTCCTCTCCCAGTGGCTTCTGCCCTTTCCTGGCTCTGCTCCACACCCACTCCCCTCCAGGAGGCCTCCCTGATTGTGCAGCCCCTCACCCTGGCACTTTATCCCCTCATCTTTACCTGACCTCCTTCCCTGGCAATCTCAGGTTCACTCAAGTCCGCTGGGAGCATCTTGCTCACACCTCACCTCTCCCACCTCCATGCCTTCCCTGCAGCCCCAGCCACCACCCCTCTGCTTTGCGAGCCAGTAGGACACCATCCCATTGTATTCCCTCCAAAGGGAGGCTGGAAAGAGTGTGAACTTTGCTGTCAGAGGGACCCCCAGTGTGTTTTTGGGCAAGTTGCATCACCCCTCCTCTCTTGGCTTCCTGCCTCTAAGGGGTAGGCATGTGCCCACGTGTACAGGGGGCTGACAAACCCACCCCTGACGCAGTTGACAGCCAGCTACAGGCCGCATAGGCCATACTCAACAAAGCTCAATAACGCTCTTCTCAGTTTGGACTTCTTACTCGCTCCCACCTTGGGTTTGGAACAAGGACACCGTTGGGTGGGGAGGACAGGACCCCCAGATCCCTGGCCCGACCCTCTTCCTCAAGTCAAGACATTTGTTTGTCTTAGCCCCAGGGTGGGTGTCTGCTGGCTCCAGACTTCTCGCTGGCCCCAGCTGCTGTGGGGATTCAGCAGCTTCTGTTTTTTTCCCTCCTATTCGGGGAATGCCTGAATCACTGGCGGCTCTAATTACAGCCGCCTGCCTACCTCAGGCCCTAGCCTCCCAGCAGGGCTGCGTCACTCATCACCCATTGAGCTGGCTATATCTGGCGCCCCTCATGCCTTCTTCTTTCCCACCAGCCCACCTGAGGAGCTGAGGGGCGTGGACCCAATGGCAGGGCACGTGGGTTTCTGGTCTCAGTGTACCAGGGGCCCACACCCTCCCTGGCCACTGCCTTGGCTGCCAAGAGTCTGTTAGGGGCTTTGATGGTACAGGTCCTGGGGGTGGGGCAGAGGAGCAGGCCGGGGAGAACGTTCTGCTGTCTAGGCATCCCCAGAGAGAACTAAATTGGACTTGAGTGGGGAATAACAGGTGCTGAGTGCTTCACCTGCACTCTCTCTGGTGGTCCTCAGAGCACCCAGCTAGGGAAGTCCCATTGGTCTCATTTTACAGATGAGGAAATGGAGGCTCAAGGAAGGACTGGGGGCTCCTGGAGTGTGCTGATGAAGCAAGGGGACCAGAGCCAGGCTACTTGGGCTGAAATCCTGGCTTCCTTGCTAACCAGCTGTGTCCTGGGGTGAGTTCCTGTGTGCCTCAGCCACGATTATAGTGATGCTGTGACGATTAAATGGGGGCAATTCACAGAGTGCTTGCAGCGGGGGACAGCACCTGCTGGGGCTCAGCCCCTCTGCTTCGGCCTCAGGAAGCCTCTTGGCACAGCACAGGTGCCTCTCTGCCACTCACCCTGCCTAGGGGAACATAAGTAGGGTGAGTTGAGGGAGACAGCTGGCCTGGCAGCTGCCCTGGGAAACCCCCTCTGGCAGAGAAGGACACCAGGAGTCAGGGGACTGGAGGGAGCATCCTCACGGTATCCTGGCTAGGCCAGGTCTGCCTTGACCCTGGACCTCTAGGTGTGCTTTGTGGGTGGGGTGGGAATAAGCCCTGAGCCCCAGGGGAGAGGACCGAGGGGAACGCTGGGCTGCGGCTGGACACTGGGTTCCAGTCTGCAGCCAGTCCCCTTAAGACCAATACTGTTTCATCTCCAGCCTTTGTGCCAGTTAGAAAAAAGCCCCCTTCCTCACGGGCTGTTTGACCTGGTACCCTGCATGGCCTGATGCTTGTTTGGATTTCAGTCCCTATCCACCGCCTGAATCATGCACACTTGTGCAGCGCACAGTTTGCACAGCTGTATGTGGCATCCCTGAGTCACTTGCTGTGTGGCCTTGGGCAAGTTGCTTCCCCTTGCTGGGCCTCTGCTTTGTTCTTAGTAAATAGAGGGCTAGACTGCTGATCCTTGGGGTTTCTGCTACCTCAAAGCCTTCGGAAGTCTCCATCCCCATAGAGGCTTAGGTCCCCTATTCCACTCCCAATCCTCTGCCAGTCTGTCAGCCACCAGCTCCCAAACCCATTCTCAGGCATTTTTTAGCTTGTCACACCTGCACCACCATCCCCACCCCCGCAACTTGTTTATTTCTGGGAGTGAGGCTGATCTCATCGGCTCCGTAGAGACAGGGCACAGCCCTTCCCTACTGGGGCTTGGCCTGGCGTCTCCTGGCTCCTGGGGGCCCTAGGCTCTGCACAGTCAGGCTGTAGCTCCCCTGGCTCTGGCCTGAAGACCGAGAAGCCCTCCAGCCAGGCTGTTTGCCCAGTCTCTCCTTCCCAACTCGGGTGGGTTCCCTACCCAGAGAGAGGAAGAGAGGCTCAGCCTAAGCAGTAGAGTCAGGTAGCAGGCGGATAGAAACCAGGCGGCAGGCCAAATGAGGGGGCTGAGCCAGATTAAAACAACAGGTAGTGTGTGTATAGAACTTCCAGTTACAAAGTGCTTCCATGGACGTGATCTGGCGGAGCTCGTGGGAGCAGCCTTACCCAGTGGCTGGCTGGGGTTAGGGATGGGACTTAGCATGCAAGGCTGTGTAACTGAGGACAAGCCCTGCCCTTTCAGGGCCTGTTTCCTTCCCTGTAAAAGGAGGATCCAGGGCTCCCTCTGGCTCTGGCATTCTCTGAGCCTTTGAGGGCCAAAGATCTACTGGGGATCAGGAAAGTGGGTCACAGATTCTGGTGAGCTGCCCCGACTGCCCGGTCATGGTCAGGTACTAGGAAGCTGGGTCTCTCCGGAGGGGCGGTCAGATGCCCTGTGTGTGTTTCCCTAGGCCTGGGAGGGCAGGGCTGGGGAGAGGCGATGGGTAAACTCAGCTACAGCCCAGGTCTCTGGACTCCTGGACAGGACAGGTGCTCTCCACTCTCCAGCCTGCCTGGACGGCTGCTCTGGAGGTTGTGGGTCTCACCTCAGATTGGCAGGGTTTGGGGCTGGGCCGCAGCACTGCAGGAGGGGAGACCAAGGGTTCAGCCTGCCCTGTCCTCCCCTCACGCTGGCTGGAGGTCTCCTTGCAAGGAGACCAGACCCAAGGAGGTCGGTGCAGGGCACAGCCACTCTCCTCTGCCCCAGGCTCCTTGTTCCTGAAGCCCTGCCCACTACCTGACCACAGAGGGTCACCTCTCCTCTAAGCAGCCCGAGTGACCAGCCTTCCCTTTTAGACTGGCCAATTCAGTTCAGCAAACCTGTGTCAAAGACCTGCTGTGTGCTGAGAACTTCAGCCTTTTAGGGATAGAAAAGCTGCCATTTATAACTGCCAGTCACCATGCCACACTCTCAACTTCCTCCTCAGGTTAGATACCTACTTTAGATTGGCATCAACCATAATCATTCCCGTTTCACACAGGAAGAAACTGAGGTTCAGATATTAAGCCACTTACTGGAGGTCACAAAGCTAGTGATGGGTGATGATGAAGATTAAACCTCATTCTGGGCTAATGCCCAAGCCTGGGCCCATAAATGCTGGGATATACTGCCCAGCAACTGTTTGTCTGTCTGTCTGTCTGCCCCACTAAGTTGTAAAGGCACCTTGCATACTGGGGCTGTTTTCCTTATCTGTCTCTTTCCAAGTCTACCTTGATGTCTGGCATGCATTGCTTCTTTATTCAAATCAAACCCATTCTTTCCATCCCCTTCCTGCTTCCTGGTGGCTTTCCTCTCCTTTCCAACCCAGTCGAGATCAAAATCTAAAGCCACATCTAAAACAGAAACCCATCTGTTCTAGCTAGTGACGTAATTTCCCATTGCCAGAGCAACATGTGGACAAGAGCAAGTGTGTCCATAGGTACAAGAGGACGGCTGCTCGAGGCAGGGGGTGCGGGTTATGATGATGCCCAAGGGCCAGCAGGCACAGGGTTTAGCTGGGAGCCAGCACAAGATTGACTTTGTTTTAAGGGTTGCTATTAGGGAGGGGGCGGCTGTAGGTTCACAGCCATATCCTCAGTATTTAGAATACTGCCTGGCACATACCAGTCCCTCAATAAATGTCTCAGGTAAAGAAATGTTGCAGAACATCTTTCCTCTTTCTCTGGCTTAAGTGCCTCCCATCTGAGCACAGCTTGGTCCCAGCCCTCAGGCCTTGCTCATGGCTCTCATGGGGCTCTACGTACCTGATTCGAAACTCCTCAACCTTCTCCAGCACCTGCAGCAGGTTGGCCTCCAGCTGCCCCCGCTCCTGGCTCACTTTGCGCAGTTCCTCCTGCAGCCGGCCCTGATATTCCTCATAGAGATGCCCGAGGTCGAAGATGGCTGAGTCCTGGCCCTGCAGGAAGCTCCAGCGTGTCTCCAGCAGCTGGTTGCGCTGTTCCAGGGCTTGCACCTGGGAGAGCAGGAAGGCGGCGAATGGGTCAGGTGTGGACCAGTCGGGGGCTGAGGCCCCGGGCTGACCAGCAAGAGCCCACGGAGGGCTCCCTGGGAAGTGGCAGCTCATTTATGCACACCACCCAGGGCGCTCACTCAGCAGAAAGCACCTCCAATGACTGATTGTTAAAACTGAAGATGGTGAGATAAGGACAGGATCAGAGCAAGGTGGAGCCAATTAGCAAAGGTTTCCAGGCGAGGGCAGGGCAGGGCTGGCAGAGGAAGGGGGTAAGAGGGTGTGAGAGTGCCAAGCATGCGACAGGCTCTCCATGCCTGCCTGGGGCTGGGGCGGGAGACCCCAGGGAACATGGGGTGTCAGAGGCCTATCTGCCCCCTTGCCACCACGACAAGTGTGGTCCCATCTTGTCCTGGAAACTCAGCAGGGTAGGGCCTGGTTAGTACTGTCCTTAAGTGCTCATCCTCTCGATGACAGAGGCTCCCTGAACCTCAGTTTCCCCAGCTAGAAGTTAGGAATGATAACACCTGCCTGCGCGGTCCTCTCCTTCCCTCCACCCTGTCCAGCCGAGCTCAGCCTGGGGCTCTCCCTGCCTCCTCCCCACCCTGCCTGTCCTCTCTATTCTCCTTCCCATCACCAGGCCCTCTGCTCTCCCCATTTGTTCTTCCAGCTCCCTCCTGCAGGAAGCTCTCTGTGACTCAGGTTGAAAGACTTCCCTCTTCCCTCCAGCACTGAGGCCTTCAGTTTAGCTGCTCCTCCTTTGTCCTGAGCCACTACTCTCCCCATGAGACTGTGGGGACACCTGGGGATGTGCTTTGGGATACGACAACAGCAGGTGCTCATGTGGCCCCTGCTGTGTGCCAGGCCTTGCTCTACATGCTTGACCCATGAAATCCCTGCAGCACCCCCATGGGTGGGTACTATTATAAGCTGTATTTTACAGATGAGGAAACCAGAGGTGATGGAACTTGCCCAAGGTCACAAAATTAGCAAGTGGCAGAGCCAGGCCTGGAATCCAGGAACTTTGGGTTTAGAACCTTTTAACCACTATGACACATGCGTCCTGTGTGTTGCTGGTCACTGTGGGCCCTGGGATCCCAGCTACCCTTCATGGGCTGGCTTCTGCCTCCAGTTAGGGACAGTTTTGCCTCGAGGTGAAACCCTGGGAGGGCTCTGAGCCCAGCTGCGCCTCTCAGACTCTGCCTACCATATGCCTCTTGCTGGGAGGGTCCTGCGCAGTCCTCTCCTTCCTTCTACCCAGTCCAGCCCAGCTCAGCTTGGGGCTCCCCCTGCCTCCCTCCTCCCCACCCTGGCTGTCCTCTCTACTCTCCTTCCCATCACCAGGTCCTCCTCTCCTCCCCATTTGTTCTTCCAGCTCCCTCCTGCAGGAAGCCCTCCATGACTCATATCTTGAAAGGCCCCCAGTTTACCTGTTTCTCATTTGTCCTGACCCACCACTTTCCCCATCACACTGGGAGCCATCTGCTCCCCCTTGGGGCCTCTCCTCCCTTGGTGCCAGGGATAGGCCATGAGGGCAGGCCATGAGGTTGGAGGCCTGGTTGGGGCCTGGCTCCCGTCAGTGTGGGTTGTTTGTCATGAGGATGTTTTGATAACCAGCCCAGTGATGCTCCCTATGGTCACAGGTGAGTAGCTGGGCCTTCTCCCACCACTGCCGGTGCTGCTGGCCCAGGCTCCCAGAATCGTAGCCTGCGAGAGCTGCCAGCAGCCTTTTGGATCAGCTGAGCTGGGCCCTTCATTTGCAGAGGAGGCAATGGAGGCCAGGGGTGTCAAGTGACTTCTCCAGGGTCACAAAGCAACTCGGTGGCCCAGCTTCCCAGAGAGCCCCATCTGATGGCCACTGCCCTCTCTGCACCTTCGTAGGCTCCCGAACGGTCAGGTGGGGCCAGCCCCTCTCTCTCTGCTCTGCTTCTTCAGGGTGTCCTTGTTTTTCCTGAAGTGCTCTGACGACCCTTCGACATTCACAGCAGACAACGCCAGCAGGAATACTGGATGATGGCGTTTGACGGTATTTGCGGGCTGCCATTCCCCTGCATATCTGTACTGGTAGGTTCTGCTTGAAGCCAACCTTAATCCTGCTCTCTGCTGTACTCACAGCCAAACAGGTTCAGTAGGGATGGAGGTCAAGAGGGTTTCTGCCCTGCCTTGTGAGTGTGAGAGGGAGCGTTGGGGGGGCAGGTATCTGCTCACCCCACCTTGCCTCCGTTTTGACAAGCAGGAGCCCCATGTTTACACTGAGGGTGGAGTGAGAGGAGAGATGTGAGGCTCCTTCCTCCACCCATGAGCAGCAGAGAAATCTTCACACCAGGAAGTTCTTCCTACAGTCTAACCTCAATTCCCTATGCTTCAGCACTAGCTCGCTGGGACATGGTGTGCGTTTGGCCGGCCAGTCCAGCTAGAAGGCATCTGTGGTCTTAGGGGATCAGGGACAGCCCCCTGTTTTCTGCTGCCCTTGGGGGAGTCTCTGGTTGTCTCAGTGGGCGGGGATGGAAATTCATTCCCCACTTGGGACCTTCCTTGCAGAAAGGCTCCTCCCTCTCAGAACAAGGACCTGGGGAGGGCTCATAATCCTGGTGCCCTGAGAGGTGCCAGGTTAATTGCCTCCAACCCAGGAAGACTGCCGAGCCTTCACCTCTGATTCCTCCTCTCTGTTCTGCCTGGCCCTCTGCCCTTAGATCATACAGTAGCAGCTGTAGCAGGGACCTCTCCATTTTACAGATGAAGAAACTGAAGCCCAGTTGAAAAGTAGGGCCAGGTTGGGGCTGAGGTTAGGGGAGAGGCATGTTGTTTTGTGGGGGAAACCGAGCAGCCTAAACTGGAACTCCTGGAGGGAGACAGGCCGGACATCCCAGAGGCTGCAGGTCTTACAGGGGAGTGCCTCTGGGCCACACAGGTAGTGTTCCTTAGCGGGGGCTGTTGAATCCCCGGCCTTCAGCCAGACATTGGCTTTAGCCAGGGAGCCTCAAAGACTCACGAGCAGTGGCTGGTTTGTGCTTTTCTGCATACAGGCAGGGGGAAGGCTGACTTCAGCTCTTCCAGAGGTCACACAGGCCTCGGTGAAGACATTGTCTCCATCCCTCTGTCTCCATCCCTCTGTCTCCAGGCATTTTACCACTGCTCATAGGTTCCCTCTCTACAGCCTCCCCAGGATGAGCTCAGGCAGTCCTGCCTCTTGCCTCTCTCTCCATCCCCTCTGTTGTCTGTGTGTGCGTGAAGGCAAGAAGCCCAGCCAGCAGCCTCTGCTGGAGGTCGGCCTTGCGCCCTCCCTGCCTCCCCTGGCCTCTCCTGCTGCTACTGCTTCTCCTCATCCCCCTTCATCTCATGACTGTTGCCTTACCAGTCCTTCCACTGGGACGAGCTCAGGACCACCGGCAGAGCAGAGCAGTGGAATCTGGGGCGCAGAGAGGGTAAATGACTTGCCCAGGAAAACGCAGCCAGCAAGTGGAAGAAACCACAGTGTTCCAGGGCCTCTACCACCTCCTGAGAGTCTCTGCTCCTCCTGAGTGCTCCCAGGTTCCTCTCAGTTCCTCAGAGGGCCCCCACCCCTCTCCTCTCTTTACCCAGAGCCCCCACCCACTGGTCATGGCGTCTCACCCCTGGGCCTTCCTCTGGGTCCATAATTGCTCAACAGCCCTGCGCCGTACCTCCTGCCCATGAGTCCCTTCACTCCTCTATCCGGCAGGGAGCCTCTCCCCACCTGCTCTCCAGGCTCCTGCCTGGAAGGGGCTAACTGGGTTCTAGCTGCTCCCTGGGCCAGGCCCATTTATTTCATTTTTTATTTAACAGTTATAATATACTTAATATATACCAGATATGTTCTAAATTCTTTTCAAAAATTCTCCCATTTGATTCTAATGAGCCTGCTAACCTAATGTGTGCTGAGGCACAGAGAGGTTAAATAACCTGCCTGAGACAACACAGCTGGTCAGTAGTGGACCGGGATTTAAACCCCACAATGCTGCTCCAGATTTCACATCTTAACCACTTCCTGCTTCCATGTGGGCCCTCACAGCCTCCACAAGGAGGCAAGGAGGGTGGGGCTAACAGATCTTTGCAGAGTTGAAGGGTCAGCTGGGGCCCCTTGGGGCCCTGCAACCAGGGCCCCCAAACGGCCAGTACCCACAGCTCCCTGTGTCCCACCCTGAAGGGCACCCCATCTCAAGGTCAAGGCTAAGGGTTGGGAGGCTCCAATTCTGCTAAAGAACTTCAAGGGCATTGCCCTGGTCTCTGGGCACAGGACCCCAACCCTGAGGGCCTCTTCCCTGTGCTTATATCCTCCCATCCCCATGGCAGGGGCACAGGGTGATATCAGTGCTGGCGTTTGAGGGAGAAAACCACCCATCTGAGCCAAATTCCATAGCTCAGTGAAGCATTCCTTCTAAGGGATTAAACTGGGTTTGGTCAGGAGGTGGCTCTTTAGGGACCTGCCTCCCCAGGGCAGCTGGGCTGCTCTTAGAGGGAGAACCAGCTCAGCAATGCAAGGCTCTGTGCAGTTAGGGCTGGGGGAAGGGATGCTCTGCCTCAGTGGACTGTGGTCCTTCCCCTCTGGGTACCCAGGGGTACCCCAGGTGTGGATGATGAAACTCTGGTCTAGGCACATGAATGGAAGAAGGAAAGAAAAGATTCCCACCACAGAGACCACTGACTTCGTGTCTCAACAGACCTGAGTTCAAATCCAGACTACCATTTGCTGGTTGTGTGATCTTGGGCAAGGCACTTAGCCTTGCTGGTCCTCAGTTTCCTCATCTGCACAGTTGGGAAAATAACAGCCACTGCAGGGTGGCAGTGTGGCTTGAATTTCATTGCATTTGCAATGTTCCTCCAGAGGGCAAGGCATAAGTAGATGCTCAATGCATGTTACTTTCTTCCCTCTGCCCCTCTCTGTGAGCTCCCACCTCATGGGGGAGACCAGCAACATGCAGAGGAACACAGAATCAGAGGCCAAGAGCAGACAAGGACTGAGCCAGGGGCTGAAGGCTGGACCTCTGGTTTACTGGCAGGTTCAGAAATGTACAGTTTTCCTTATCTGTGAAATGGACATAAAATTGTCTTCTCCCATAAGGTTGTTGAGAGAAATACAGATAAACCTGAAAAGCATCAGCACAGTGCCTGGCACATAGTAAGCAATTAACCAATGGCAGCTGGCACTATCATGATTATTCTTGAGGGTGCAGGAGGGTGCAGAGTCAGGAGGAGTTTCTTGGAGAAGATGAGTAAAGAACAGATTTGGGAAGTGGATAACTTCCTTGGGAGCTCCCTTGCCCTGGGAGCAGAGGTGGACACGAGTGCCCCAGACCTGTTGCAGGCCATGGGTAGTGGAGTCTAGGAAGTGTGGTTGTGATGCTGAGGATGCACCTCCCGCAGTCAGGAGGGGCGCAGGGTGCAGGAAGGCCCAACTGGCTTCCCTGTTCTGACTCGAGGCATCGTCCCCTGCATTCCTATCTCCTGACACCTGAGCTGCACCCTCACTTGCAGCAGTCTGGGCAGCAACCTCCTTCCAGCAGCCCCGCACTCACCCTCCACCCTGCTGGCTTTTCTGACTGGGGCAGCTGAGAGAGATGCTGTGGGACCAGAGGCTTGAGGGATAAACAGGAGCGTGGTGCCTGGGAGGCCATCTCCCCTGTCCACTTGCCTCAGAGTAGGACCGCAGAGCATGCCTCCATCAGCCATTCCTGCGAGAGGGCACCCCTGGCCACACTAGGTGGTCCTCCCCAGTCCCTGCCTGGGTGGTGGGTGACCCCAGGTCATGCAGCATGTTATTATCAACACATCCCTCAAAGGCCATCCTGGGGTCCCTTTCTCCCCACATGCCAGGATGGATCAGGGACTTCCCTCCCCCAGCCTCTGCTCAGAGCTAGCCTGTCGGGTTAGCAGTGCCATCTCCCCATTGGCTGGGTGCAGGGGTGGGGCGCGGTGATCGATGCTCAGGGAAACACAGAGCTCAGCTACCGGCCCAGGCCTGGCAGCCCTTCATGTTTGGGACCCCCTACTTGTGCTCACCTTGCCAATTAGGGAGGCAAATTTATCATTGAGGGCCTTCATCTCCTCCTTCTCCTGGTTCTTCAGCTGCTGAACAGCGGGGTCCAACTTGACATCCAGGGGCACCAGCAGGCCGGGGTTCACAGTCACCTTGGAGATAGTGCCAGCCGACCAGCAGCCTGTGAGGCTGCGGGAGCTGAAGCCCGGCCCGGGGGCCCTGCAGCTGTCCCATCCTGAGGTTCCAGGCCGGGGGCTGCCCACCGGGGTCACCTCACAGCTGCTGAGGCTGCTGAAGCCAACCACGCAGGAGCGGCAGGCCATGGTGCCCCCGGCCGGAAGCAGGAGGGCCCAGGGGGGTGAGCGAGTGAGCCTGGGGTTGCGTCGGGTGGCAGGCTCTGGTTGCTCTGGTCACAGCTGGGGCGGGCTGGGGACTGAGGAGCAGACACCTGTTGCACAGTGCTCATTAGCTGCAGGAGGGCGGGACGCCTCCCAGCCTGACCAACCTGTTGGATGATGTGGGTGCTCCCGCCCCTCCCCCAGCAGCATGTAGGTCTCCCTCCCAACAGGTATCTGCATTGCTTAGGGGGCTGGTCCACAGCCCCCTGCCCCAAAGAAAGCAGGCCTAGCTCTGGGGAGGGGGCCAAGGCTGGACTGGCCGGGTGGGTTGGGGGTGGGGAGTTGGCAAAAGGAAGGCCATTCAAGGGGGCAGGAGAGAAGAGAGAGCGCCTCACCGCAGACCTCACTGCATACTTGAAGGCTGACGTATCTGGGCTCACATACTTCTGGAAAAGATGAGTCAAGCATAGGCCTTGAGCTCCCGAGTGTAGGGCAGCTATCCTGGGCACCGTGCCAGCCTGGCACTGGAAAACAGCACTTATTATTTATTTTCTGGCTGCCAAAGAGTCTCCCTGGCTTATCTTCCCCCTTCCTTCTACCCCCTCTCCCTTCCTTCCTTCCTTCACTTTAACTAGCATTGATTGAGGACCTACTATGTACACCCTACTGTCTCAGAGGCTGGGAGGACATAGACGGTCAAGGCCAAGGAGCTCTCAGCATTGGAAATGTGAGACCTGGTTCAAGACTCAGCTGGACTGCTCACCACTCATGTGACCTCAGGCACGTTACTTGACTTTTGTCTTCATTTGTAAAGTGGGGATGAAAACACCCACCTCACAGGAGGTAGCATGTACAAAGCACTTGGTAGAGGACAGGGGACAAAGTTGGCCTCAATCAGTGGTACTGCCTTCCGGGTGCTGAGTCTAGCAGGGGCGATGGGTATGGCTGAATGCAGCTCTGCTCTGGGGCAATGAGAATCCCTGCCTTCCTCACACTCTTTCCTCCCCACTCTTCTTTCTCTTCTCTGCCTCCTTTGACCTCTTTTACACCATCTGTGAAGTAGAAATAGAAAAGACCCCATTTTGCCCCCACAGAGCCTCTGACAGGGCGGCAGAGGCCCACCTGGCCCAGGGCAATGCCTACCTTTCCACAGTTCCTGAGACCCCACTCTCCCACCCCAGGGGGTTACCAGCTCTCCCAGCCCTGCGTCTCCTTTCCTGGCCTGGTGGTCCTGATGTTCTGGCCCTGGTGGCTGGATCTGCATGTCTTTCCTGGACCTGGCTCAATCCTGCTCTGGGTGGCAGGGGCCAGAGCAGAGAGAGGAGTGTGTCTGGGAGAGTCACAGATGGTCAGAGATAGAAGGGGTAGCAGCCCCCTCTGGGCCCAGAGGAAGAGAGAGCCCCTGAGCGGGGAGAACCATTTGCCAGTCACATCGCGGACCCTGGGCCTCCACCTCCAGGGCAGACATCTTTTTCACACACTAGGCACTTCTGGCTCACAAGGGCACAGGACCCTGTCTAGAGGCCACGGGTCCATCCTAAGCCTGATCCCAGGATCTGGTGCCGGGTAGGGTAGCGAGGCACTGGTGGGTGACTGACGTGCGCCACGCTCCCCACTCAACACCCACGTGTGGGGCCACCTTGGCCTCCCACCGTCCTCACTCTGGCCTGGCATCCGAATGGCATGTGGTCAAGCACAGCACCTTGCCCCCCACCCGTCACCCCTGTGTACTCTGTGGGGAAGGGAGGGGGCAGCAGTGGCGTCTGGGCTCTGCCAAGGCCAGAATAACAGCTGATACATCAGATATGTCCCAGATGCTTTGCAGGAATTAGCTCCTCAATCCTGACAACCACCACTTGAGGTGGACACTTTAATTCTCATCACTCCAAATGACAGAGGAGGAGGCTCAGGGGGCTGGAGTGTCTAGTCTAAGGCCACACGATTATGATGGATGGGAACCTGGACAGTTGGGGTGAGGAGCTCTTTAATCTGAGCCTCTAAGTTTTAGGACCCCTAGAAAGGGTAGCGGGTTAGAGAAGGAAGCTGCCTTCTTACTGTCTGGGGTGCAGTTTAGGGCAGCCCCGCCACCTAATTCTCTCGGAGCCGAACGCTTTTTTCTCCCAAGTGCCTGTGCATGACTTAAATCTATTTCTTGCTTCCTTCCTTTGGCCTCAGTCAGCTCCTGAGAGTTGACAGGTCTTGGTTAATTGCCAAGTCCCTGGCTCCTAGGCTGGCTTTGCAGGGCTTGCCTCTTGGGCCCCACACCAGGGGGCTTTGCTTTCGGATGTCTTCACCTCCCTGGAGCAATGGAAGGCATGCTAGCCTGGGGCTCTGGGCTGGGGGAGGTATGTGGGGCTTGCCTGTTGCTTCCTTTCTGGCCGGACAGTCTTCCTTGGGTGCAGTCAGTAGAGATGTCTTTGACTGTCACTGCTGTGGCTGCCAAACAGGAACAGCCACAAAAAAGCCCCAAATAAACAAAACTCCACAAACAGCCCAGCCCTACCTCCTCCCTCTCCCCTCCTCACCCCGTCTCCTTTCCTCCCCCAGCTCATCTTCAATCCTCCTGACAACCACCACTTGAGGTGGATGCTTTAATTCTCATCACTCCAATTGACAGAGGAGGAAGCTCAGAGGGCTTGAGTGCCTAGTCTAAGGTCACCCAGTTATGATGGATGGGAACCTGGACAGTTGGAGTGAGGAGCTCTACTCCCTTTACTCTGGAACTGGCATCCCTGGGGGTCCTGGTCCAGGCTGCACTCTCTGAGCAGGGCTCTCTGTCCCAGCTAGGCCAGAGGGCCTGACATCACCCTCTCCTGGCCTTGGTACAGAGCCTGAACCACCTGGGGGCTTGGACCCCCACCCAGGGAAGCAGGAGGCCTGGCAGGGGTTGGGAGGTGGGAGATGGAAAGTGGGGGAAGGTTTCCGTCTCTCTGAGGATGTTTGGGTACCCAAGCAGTCTCCAACTCCCTCCTGGATGTACAAATAAACAAACCTGCTTGGGGCTTCAGGTGAGGATGGGCTTGGACAACCCCCGCTAGAAATAACACCTGGACATCCTGTACCCTCTGGGACTCCGGAACCCTGCTCTTCTAGTCCTTACATGGTCCAGGGACAGGAATCTACATCTCCCTTTCCTGCCTCTTGAGTCTATCCCCTTTACCCCAGTCCCCTGTCACTGGTAACAGGACACAATCCTGATGATCCAGGAGGCAGAGAAAGAGCAGAGGAGGGGCTGGGCTGGCTAGAGGCGAGGAATGGGGAAGAGGCTTAGGCTGGGCTGCCAGAGCCTCCTGGAACTGGTCTTGAAGTGAGGGGGAGTTTTCTTGTTTTTTCTCTCTCCTCCTCCCATTTCCTTCTCCACGTCACTCCCACCCAACCTGTGGTCTGTCTCCTTCGCATTCTCATCCGCCTCCTCTGTGTTTTCGATTGTCATGCTCTCTCTCACTTATCTTACTGTCTGTCTGTCCCTCTCGGAGTCACCTGCCCACTCAGAGTCCTGGCCTGGAGCTCCTCCTTTCGGCCCTGGGTGGGGGCAGAGGGAACAGGGTTTGTGTCCTTGCAGCCCAGTTGGATGTCCTTATGAGAATGGCATCCCTGTGTCATAGTTTCAGCGCCTCCTCTTTGCCTTGCTCCCCATTTGGCCTGAGGCCTCCTGGCCTGTGGAGCATCAGGTCTCTGGAAATGCTGGATGGCAAGACATAGTTGTTGGGTGAATGTTCCAATGGGCACATCCTAGCCTGGGTCAGGCTCTGGGGCAGGATTTGACTCTTGGGGAGACAGACAGGGACTCTCTGGGCAGGGGAGCCAGCAAAGGGTTTGGAATCTACAGGGGAAAATCTTTGTATCACTGCAGGACATGATGGGAAGGAGGGCCACTCCTCCAAGAAGCCTTCCCACATGAGCCTGCTCAAGTTTCTGTCAATCTTTCATCTTCTCCCCTAAATGCATGTCCCCACCTATGGTCGTGATCTGGGTCAGTGCCATCTCCCTTATGAAGTTAGCAACTCCTGGCCTTTATTCTCTGGATATTCCCTTTGAGCAGGGCTGATCCAGGGTCCAAGTCCTGGGAGTGGGAGGACCTAGGCTGGGGGCTGAGGGTCTTTGGCAGACTGTGGCTATGTGGTTAGAAGTTCTTTTTTTTTTTTTTTTTTGAGACAGAAGTTCTTTTTTTTTCTGAGATGGAGTATTGCCCTGTCGCCCAGGCTAGAGCGCAGTGGCGTGATCTCAGCTCACTGCAACCTCTGCCTTCTGGGTTCAAGCAATTCTCCTGTCTCAGCCTCCCGAGTAGCTGGGACTACAGGCACATGCCACCATGCCCAGTTAAATTTTGTTTTGTTTTGTTTTTAGTAGAGATGGAGTTTCACCAGGTTGACCAGATGTTCTTGATCTCGACCTCATGATCCGCCTGCTTTGGCCTCCCAAAGTGCTGGGATTACAGGCGTGAGCCACCGCACCTGGCCCCCCCTTTTTTTGTAACAGTATTTTACTCTGCCACCCAGGCTTGAGTGCAGTGGTGCGATCTCGGCTCACTGCAACCTCTGCCTCCCAGGTTCAAGCGATTCTCCCGCTTCAGCTTCCCGAGTAGCTGGGATTACTGGTGCGCACCACCATGACTGGCTAACTTTTGTATTTTTTGGTAGAGACAGGGTTTCACCATGTTGACCAGGCTGGTCTTGAACTCCTGACCTCAAGCAATCTGCCCGCCTCGGCCTCCCAAAGTTCCAGGATTACAGGTGCCTGGCCTGTGGTCAGAATTTCTGAGGGTCCCAGAGCTGAGGGTTGGGGACGTAAGTGTAGGTGTGGGAAGGGTCAAGAAAGGAGAACTAACAGCAAGGATAGAGAAATTAAGCCTCCTCCACATGCCAGGCAGGCTATGGAGACATGGAAGAGGCAATGACCCAGGTGACGGTGTCTACGATGCCTTCCCAGATAGGGACCATGAGCTCAGGCCTGAAGGAAGAGCAAGAGCTGTCCAGGCAGGGGAGGGGAAGGGTATTTCAGGCTGGGCCAGCATTATGTGCTGCGGATGTGAGAAATTATTTGTGTGGGGTTTTGACAGAGAATGACAACTGAATGAATGAATGACTACTCCAGCTGGTGTTACTGGAGTGTTGGAGGTACTGTAGAGCTCAGAGGAGCAGTGACGCCCTTGGAGTCCCACAGAGGCTTTCATCAAGGCATGTCTTTACTGTGCATACTATCCTTCAGGGGCTCCCCGTGGCTTTGGGGATGGAAGATTCCTCGGAATGCCAAACCCAATCCTTCTTCCTTGCTGGGTCTCACCTCCACTATGCCTTTTTTCTCTCCACAGCCCTGCCCATTTTCCCACCCGCCGACCCCACCACACTGGCCACCTTTCCCTGCACCTGCTGAGTGGTGTCAGGTGATTGGGTTGAACAGCACAGATATAGAACAATTCCATCATCACATATGGTCCTATCGGACAGTGCTGACCTGCAAAGCAGGCATCTGAGATGGGTCAGGAGGCTGCAGATTCCTGGAGGCTGTGAAAGGGTTCAAGACTGTCCAGCGGGCAGCCTGGGATGTGGCAGGAGCACTGAACCTGGACTTAGGAGACCTGGTTTCTGGTCTGGGGCTCTGCCACTCACCAGCTGTGTGGTTTGGAGCCAAATGCTTGGCCTCTCTGGGCCTCAACGGCCTGTAAAATTAGGTTGTACTACAAATCTTTTTTTTTTTTTCCAGTTTAGTTCAACAAACGTTCCTCAAACTGTAGTGGAGCCTCTTGCTCTGCTGGGTACTTGGCTTCCAGTGCGATCCACGGTCCCTGGCCAAGCAGCATGCTGGGAGGTTGGGCAGGTGCGGGTGTTCTGTAATGAGGCCAGGCCTCTGGCGCCAGGGAGAGGTAGGCATGGGCTAATTACACTTTCCTGTCTTCACAGCACTCAGCCCAATTTGTAATTATTTATTGTTGGTGTTTACGTGTTTGTGTCTGCCTCCCCTGCACAGCTCTGTGAGCACACGGACTGTGTGGTGGCTTTGTTTCTTTAGTGTCCCAATGCCTGGCATAGTGCCTGGCACACATCATAGGTGCTTGATAACTATTTCTTTCTGGAGTGAGTAAAAGGCCACCCTTCCTCCCAGCGCCCATGTTACACTGGATTTCAACACAGGGTACAACCGCAAGAGCTTTGGGATGCTGTAGAGTGACAGAGCCCAGGCAGGATGTGGAAGGAAGTCAGCATGGGTGTCCCCCCATCTCTGGCAGCTAGCTTTGGGGCCCCTGCCCCACCCTTGCTAGGCTGTGCTGGGCTCACTGGGATGAGTCACAGGTTGATACTGGGTCCTCTGCCTGGAGGAGTCAGGCAGACCACCGCCATTTGACTCCTAGGCCTGGCATCCTGCTCCTTCAGCTTC
Source organism: Homo sapiens (assembly GCF_000001405.40). NCBI lineage: Eukaryota > Metazoa > Chordata > Mammalia > Primates > Hominidae > Homo > Homo sapiens. The sequence goes on from NC_000012.12 coordinate 52,198,293, forward strand.
TGGCCCAGCGTCTGGTCATGGCCAAATGCCTTGGAGGGGTGAAAAGATTAGGGTCCCTCTTGCAAAGCAAAGAAGCAGAAGGAAGCCTCCCCAAGATGGCAGAGGCCCCACCAGTCCTAGAATTTTGTCAGACATGTATGTGGGGCGGAGCGGGACCAAGCCTTAGGCCCCCAGGTCCCTTTCCTTTGAGGTGGGACACAGGGATGGAGCATGTTGGGGTGGGCAGCTTTCCTCTGGTCCAGGTGTAGGGTAGGCCCAGCCTTCCTGGGGAACCCTAGACCCTGCCCCACTGTGTGGGTGCTTGGTTCATGCCAGTGGCATTTTGGCAAGGCTGCCAGGCCTGCTTCTGGGTGGAGAGGAGCAGGAAGGAGGATTGCACAAAGGGAAACTGGCAGGAGAGCCCTACTTCCTCCGGCTGCTCAATGCCTTGCAGGGAGGGCCGAGGGGCAGCACAGGTTGCCTTGGTTCCCCAGGAAACACCATGTCCTTGCATCTGTGTCCTCTCCCAGGAGGAGAGGCCAGGTCCCAGAAACAGGGGTCCTGTCATGCCCACTCTCCATGCCACCCTCTGTGCCTGGCTGTGACCCATGAGGGAGGTTCCTACAGCCCTCATTTCTTAGGCCTCAGACAAACACTCAGCCACTCCCCTCCCTCCCTCTGTCTCTGGGCTTCACAGTGGCCCTCAGCCACTTCTCCCTGCAGGAAGCCCCCTCACTTCTCCTTTGAGCAAGACAGCTCTCAAAAGCAACCTCCACCACGGCAGGGGCTGTGTTGTTCACTGTTCTGTTGCCACCGGCACATGGCAGGTGTGCAGTAAACAGTTGTTCAATTGAGACACAGCACGCCCTCTATTATTAGCACTTTCTCTATGGCTCTCTTTAGGCAAGGGTCTCTTCTCTCCCTCCCCCATTAGACAGGGCTGAGGACCCTGTTTCTCCTCCTCCTAGTCTCCCATGCCTGGAATCCTGGTCACTGCAGAAACGGGCCAATCTTACCTACCTCTGCTATTTGGGCATTTCTGAGTCTCTACTGGGTGCCTGTCCCTGTGCTGAGCAGTGGGGCAAATATGAAGATAAGCGAGGCAGGGTTGTGATGGGTGTTCACCCCACAATTCTGGATCCCTGCTGCCCCTGAGACCAGCACTTTCTGAGCTCTGGAGTCTCTTTCCATCCAGCCCTGCCTCCGGGCCAGCTGCCGGCTGGTTGCAGCCTCCTCACCCTTCCACTCCTGACACTGTACACAGCTATTTAGCAGGTATCTTCCTCCCTGGGGCTGCTTTCAGGAAAGAACAAAGAGGGACGGCAAGGCTAGGGAGTGGCAGGGCATCTGGAGACACTTATTTGTAAGCCCAACTAGCTCCCCTGAGCTTCAGCTGCTGCCTTTATCTGGCCCGATAATAGACCGAAACCATAGTCTGCTCCCTGTTGAGTGATCTGTGGGCCTGCCAGGGTGGCAGTGGCCCAGGGTGGCGCTGAGCACTGCTCCAACTGACATAGGGCGGGGAGCCACCAGCCTGCAGTCTGCCTGCCATGCAGGGATGTTCTGTCCATCCAGGGGTCCTCAGTGGCTGTCTAGGAGGCTCAGGACATATCTGGAGAAGGGCAGCTTCATCTATTGTGGTGTGTGGTATTTCCAGCACTGAGCACGGTGCCTGGCATATAGTGGGAGCTCCGTGGCTGAACGTTAAGCATTCAGCACCTATTTATCAGAGATCTATGATGTGCAGGAAGCTGTGTTTTCCCCTCCCCATCCTTCTATATGCTTCCTTCAGCACCTGTTGGGGATTCCTTGATGCAGTGAGAGGTGGGGAGTCTCCAAGGCAGTTGGTCTGTGAAAGGCCAGTCGGGTGCCAGCCTTGCCCACCATGTCTCAGGGAGGAAGCATCAGTGCCTAGGATAACAGCAAGTGCTTGCTCATGTGACCAATGCCATCTCCTCAGCACCAGCAGGCAGGCATGGGGCTGCTGCACTCCCATTTTGCAGAGGAATGGGGCTTGCGCCCAGATTTTCCGCCTCATCCTTCAGCACCCAGAGTGCCGCTACCACCCTGGCAGGCTCACAGATAGCTTAACAGGGAGCAGAATATGGTTTCGGTCTATTATCGGGCCAGATAAAGGCAGCAGCTGAAGCTCAGAGGAGCTAGTTGGACTTCCAAATAAGCATCTCCAGAAGCCCTGCCACTCCCCGGCCTTGCAGTCCCTCTGTTGGGTGGGATAAGAGCTGGGGTTGGGCTGGGCTGGGGAAGGGCAGCCAATGGAGATGAGGTGAGGAGCAGAGGGAGTGGGCGGGCTGGGCCAGTGGGCGTAGATGGGCTCAGGACTGGGCCCCGGCCTGGGCTGCTGGATGGAGCAGGGCCGGCTGGTGGGAATCCAATGACCCCAGCTCCTCTCTGAGCGGCCACTGGCTACCTTTTGAGAGGGCAAACAGTGCCAGGAGGGATCTGGGGCTAATGACTGTTTTCCAGCAGGCGATTCCTCTATGTGGGGTTTATCTGCCTGGGTCATCATTCTGCAGTCTGCACTTACCAGGGTAATAGCAGGCTGGTCTGGGGCCTCTGCCTGCCCATTGGCCTTGGGGCCCTGCAAACAGATGGCAGTAGATGAGGGAGGGGAGGGCAGGAATAAACAGGAGCAGCACCCACTGTGTTTTCTGAAGGGTGTCTCCACAGCTTGGGGCGGGGGGAAATCCTGGTGAGGACGGGAGAGAAGATTCAACCTAGGGCCAGGGGCTGGGTTTCAGTTGCCCTCCTCCTCCTCCTCCTCCAACTCCAGCCTCCCGCTTCCTATCCCTCTCGCATAGGGAGGCGGGCAGAGAAACACGCCTACAGCAGCCCATTTCAGGAGACTGAGTGCTGGGTCACTGCAGCTGTGTCCTCAGCTCAGGGTGTCTCCCCTCACCACAGGCTCATTGCCGCCCAGATCCAGGGAACCCCCACGGACACCCGCTCCCCCCAGTCCTTACCCCAACTGTCGACCCCTGCCCAAGTCCACACGGACCCCTTCACTGGCCTCAGCGGTCCCCCTCCTGCCGCACACTGCTTCAAAGCCATCCTCAGGAAGCCCCAGCTGGAGAGGGCAGTGCTGCTGACTGAGGTGGCCTGGGTGAGAGGCGCAGTGCTTTGAGGACTCACGTGGCTTTCCAAATCCCATGGCCACCCATGTGGAGGAGATATTTTCAGTTTACAGTTGAAGATGCTGAGGCTCTGAGAGCTTAAACGACTTGTCTCAGTGTGAGCAGAATAACAGCCTCCCAAAGCTGTCCACATCCTAATCCCCAGAACCCATGAACATGTTCCCTTACATGGCAGAAGGGACTTTGCAGATGGGATTAAGGATCTCGTGGTGGAGAGATTATCCTGATTGTCTGTGTGGGCCCAGTGTCATCACTAGGGTCCTTTAAACTGGACGAGGGAGGCAGGAGACTGAGGTGGTGTGAGGGAGATGGAAGGGAGCCCAGGAATGTGGGCAGATGTGGGAAGCTGGAAAAGGCAGGAAAATGGGTTCCCCTGTGGAGTCTCCAGGGGGACCTCAGCCCCACACCTTGATTTCAGCCAGTGAGACTGTTTTGAACTTCTGGCCTCCAGAGCTGCAGTGGTAAGTAAGATTTATTTATTTATTTAGAGACAGGGTCTTGCTCTGTCACCCAGGCTGGAGTACAGTGGTAAGATCTCGGCTCACTGCAGCCTCCGCCTCCTGGGTTCAAGTGATTCTCATGTCTCAGCCTCCTGAGCAGCTGGGACTACAGGCACGTGCCACCACACCTGGCTAAGTTTTGTATTTTTAGTAGAGATGGAGTTTCACCATATTGCCCAGGCTGGTCTTGAACTGCTGACCTCGAGTGATCCTCCCACCTCAGCCTCCCAAAGTGCTGGGATTAGAGGCATGAGCCACCACACCCAGCCAGTAAGATTTATTTAAATGAAGAAATAGAGTTGTGTTGCGTGGAGCCCCTAAATTCTGGAAATCTGTTACAGCAGCCGCAGGAAGCTAATACTACCAGCTGATAAGTGGTGGAGCTAGATGTTGAACCCAGAGTGGAGGGCTGGTTTCCAGCCTGCTCTCTTGGCCTGGCGTGGCTGTGCCTGCCACTTTCTCTGCCTCTTGTCCCACTCCCTGCCTGTGTTTTCTGAAGGGCGGCTCCATAGCTTGGCGGGGGGAAAGCCTGGTGAGGACGGGAGAGAAGATTCAAGCCAGGGCCAGGGGCTGGGTTTCAGTTGCTCTACTCCCCCGCTCCTCCAACTCCAGCCTCCCGCTTCCTGTCCCTCTCCCACAGGGAGGCGAGCAGAGAAACACGCCTACAGCAGCCCATTTTTTGGGGGTTCATGTTGGGGGCAGGTCTGTGCTGGCTGTCAGAGCTGGGAGTGTGGAGAGCACTGCGGCGGCACAGCTGACACCGCCTCTGCCAAGGTCCACGCAGCCTGGCTGCCTCCACGCTTCACTGGGTTTTTCCTTCCTGGCTGCTGCATCATTTGATGCAGGGGGAGGGGTGGGATGAGGGGGTGTCTTTGGGTCTCTCCTCGGGGGGCCCCTGAGGTTCTGTGTGGCTATCTCAGGGTAGGGGGTGTCTGGGTGCCTGGTGTGGGGAGGATCCGAGGGCCCTGCCCCTGTGGTGTGTGTGGGTGGGGGGTGTCCCAGACACTGTGGCCCTTTCTGGGCAATGTGTCTCTCAGCCCCTGCGTGTGAATCTGGAAACGTGAGCATGCGAGTATGCCTGTGTGTGTGTGTGAATTTGTTGTGACTGTGTGTGAACATGTGTCCCTGCACCCTGTGCTCACTCATTCCTCTGTGTGAACATGTGAGTGTGCAAATGCGGCTGTCTGCTTGTTCTCCTGTATGTGACTGTGTGAACACGTGGGAGCACATGCCTCCTCACACCCTGCATGTGAATGTGTGTGGACATGTGAGCATGTGAGTGTGCAGACACACCCACTCATGCCCCCACGTGTGGATGTGTGTGTCTCTAGATGTCCTTGTGGGAGTGAGTGTTTGAGCATGACTACTTCCTCCTCTGTGTGTGAACATGTGCGTGTGTGTGTGAGTGTGTGGCTGGGGAAGCGCCACGCCCCAGCCATCCAGCATTGCCTCATCCCTGTGACACAGCCGCTAATGACTGTTTGCCATTGTCTGAGCGGTGGTGGCATCACCCGCACTAATGACAGTCTCCCCTGCCTAATGACCTGGCTCCTGCCCCATTATTTAGGAGCCTCAGGAGCACTGGCCCTGTGACCAGAGAGATGTTGACCAGCTCAACACATTTCCCTTTGGGGTGTTGCGGGGGGGTGGGGAAGTCATAAATCCCACCCCTCCCCGACAGCCCTCAGGGTGCCGGCGTGGGCTGGAATTTCAACTGGCTGATGGCATCCTGGGCGGGAAGCCCCAGGTCTGGCCCTGCCCTCTGTCTCTGGCAGAGCTGGGCGGCTGCTGCCCCTCCCCACAGGTGACCCTGGACCCTGGCAGCCAGATCCATATCAGGTTCCAAAGACAGGGCTTTCCTTTCCACCGTGAAACCCTCAGGCCGTCTCACCTCTGCGAATGGAGATGTCCCTTCTGAGCAGGGCTCTCTGTGCCCAGGAAGCTCTGATCTGCAGCTGACCTTGGGGAGCGAGGGGGTCTGGAGCAGCCAGGGAACCACAGGGTCCAGAGCAGGCTGCCTGCGTGGAGGCCACAGCAGAGCCTGATTCAGCCACACCGTCAATATTTCTTTTATGATCATCATTAAATTAAAATAGCCTCTGGATTATGGAGGAGAGCTGGGCAAGGGGGCTGCCCCCTTTCTGTGAGCCCACAGCCACAGCCATTTCTTCATATTCTCTTCTGGCTTTCAATCTGCTCCTTCCCATTGATGTTCCCCACTTACAGGCAGGCCTCCTCCTACCTGAAGTTTACCTGGATCTGCAGGGAAGCCTAGGACTCTGCCTGGGGCAGGAGGGACTCCTTAAAGGTGTTCTGGGTTGAGAGATGCAGGCCTGCAACTAGCTGTGAGACCTTGAGCCGGGGGTTGGGGGAGCCGCGGTCTCCTCTGCCAATGCAGATGCAGCGGTACCTGCTCCCTAGGGCTGCTCTGGGGAATAGGTAAGCGCTGAGCATTATATAAACCATTCAGCATTATATAAACCATATAAACGTTGCCGGCACACAGCAAGCACATAGTAAATCTTTTTAAAGCCTCTGAACCTGCATTGCCTCCTCTCCAAAATGGAACAGATAATTGCTGGTGCTCATGGCTGTCGTGAGGATAGTGAGAATCCAGGGGAAGCGCCTGCTGCGGAGTGGGGCAGCTCCGGCATCTTTCTCATGGAGTCCTCGGCTTGGCAGCTTCTCTCCTCACCCATGAGGGTCTGAGCGGGGGAAAAAGGAAGGAGTGGTTGCATTGGCTGTTTTCATTGCTGCCTCAGTGTCCCTGTCCTGGTGGGGCACTCCCTCACTTGCCAGCCAGGGACTGTGGCTTGCTTACATTACTTATAGCGGGACTCATCTGTGACTCACTAGAGGGGCGTGAGGAGAGAAAACCAGCCCAGTGCATTACAGAGTATCGTTTTGTAAATGTATGTGTCTATTGGTTGCTGTAAAATGTATTTCTTACTGTGCGTTGAGGTTAAGAAGCTGGAGACACCTGCTCCACTGTCTCTGGGCGGGGCAGAAGCAGGGGCCTGGGGACTCCCTGGTTTTGCTTTGCTCCTCCTCTGCTCCATCATGAGATTCGCACTAAGCGCCCATGTGTGCTGTCCTGGCATGGCTGGGCCCCAAAATGCGAGAGCCCAAGTCCAGCTGGAGACACATCCCTTCCTGCCCCCAACAACCCACAGAAGTGCCCCCTCATGCCATGTGCCTGGGAAGGCCCACACCTGACATCCAAGGTGCTATGCCACCCAGGAGCGGCCTGCAGGCTAGAGGGTGCTGCAGGATAGGCAAGGGTACAACGGAAGGCCTCCCAGGCTTGCCTCTCATCTGGACCTAGGCCCAGATGAGTTTCAGGGCTGAGCCAAGCTGTCCCTGAACCCTGCTCTTTTCCTCATGATGCTGGACACTTAGTCAACCAGCCCACGGGTAGGGCGAGGGCATCAGAAAATGCTTCCCACAAAAGCAGACCAGTTGGTGGTGGGGGCCCTGCAACCCAGGCATGGTTTTTTTCCTTCCCCCAACACAACAGCCACACCCTCAGTGTGGGCCTAAGTGAAAGCTAATGGTGGGCAGGGGCAAGGGGTGTTGGGGCACCCCAATAGCAGTGGCTGCCATTTACTGAGGGAGACCTCTGTGCCAGGCGCAGCACAAATCAACTTCAATCTTTATGACTCTCTTAAAGTGTTCATATCTATAAAAAGGGTGCTCATTTTATAGATAGCAAAGCTGAGGTCCAGAGCAGTTATGTCCACACAATTAGTAAGTGCTGAGAATCAATCCTGGGTTGGTCTCTCTCTGCATCCTTCTGTGGCTTCTGAGGGAGAGACTCATGTGTGTTACTGGGGACACAGCGCTGGCACACAGGCTGGTTCCAGAGGCCAGGAAGAGGGAACTTGGTCTTGGAAGGCTTTGCAGTACACCAGCTGGAGAGGCTTCCTTTGAGGAGAAGCTGACCTCTTCCAGGTACTCCCCAGAGATTCCTTTCCCAGTATAACCTTAGCTGGGGCCTCCCTGGCAATGAAGGCAAGAACTTGCTCATGGGGAGAGCTGCTCCTCATTGAGAGTTTTATCAGTGAGATTCCTTGATTATCAAGAGGAAAAAATTGCAGCAGGGGAGATGTGACTTAGATTCCAAAGTCTTCTTTGGCACTCCTTAAGGGCAGGGACTAATCCTCCAGGGACTAAACTTCCAGCAAAATAGGCTTAATGAACACTGGAGACTCTCGCAACTAGTGATGACTGTGGCATGTGTAGCTCTGTGAGAACATCTGAAAAGTAATACATAAATAAGGGCAAATGAGTACAGGGTAACTTGGGATCTAAGTGCCGAGGGGACGTGAAGTAAGTGGTATAGTAAGTGGTAAAAGTTGGGTGGGGTTGGCCAGGGAAGGCTTCCAAGAGCGGGGAGTATGTGATGGTCTGGGAGGGACAAGGCTTTCTTTGAGGCTGGGGCAGGCAGGGGGAGCAGCTGGCATCTGGCATCCTAGCGGCATCATTCCAGAACCAGCCAGTCCTTGGGAGCCGTACCCCAGAGATGGCTCAGTGACCTGGTACTCTGGGAATTTGCCCTGCCTCCTGGGTGGGGATTGTCCAGCCACACACCTGTCCAGCTCAGTTGGTGCCACTGGAAAATGACATGGAAATGTGGTGTGGCCTTGAGCCAGGTCCCCCTCTCCAGGGTTTTGGCCCAGTTTTGGCCTGTGGCCCATCCAAGTATCTTCTCTGTGAGATGCTGGGGAGAGAAAAGAGGGGAGTGTGGCTTCTGCCAAGGTGGGGCTGAGGGAGATTCTGGGAAGTGGAGTGGGGAGTGCTACCAAGGCCAGCCATCCCCCTCCTTAGGAGCCAGAGGCCAGTCAGGAGTGTGTGTACCCTGTGGTCAGCCTGCTTCCAGACTCGGCTGCATCCGGGGCGGAAGCCCGGACCTGAGGCCGTGGAGAGAAACCTCAGATTCACAGAGCTCCTGGGCTGGAGGGGACTTGAGTCTCCCCAGTTTCCTTACAGAGAGGGAGGTGGGGGCCGGGGGTTGGGAAGGGAGGATAGAGCATGTATATGTGTGTGTGTGTGTGTGTGTAGGGTGGATGGACCCAGGTCATGAGGTTTCTGATTTTTGAGGAATTCCCTGAGGGTGGGGGAGGCTGGTGTCTCTCAGACCAAGGTCTGAGGTGGGAGCAGCAGGGGCACCTGGACTCTAGTGCTGGGGTGGTGGCTGCAGAGGGAGAGACAGGCAGAGCCCAGGTGGCTCCCTGCAGGAAGGGTAGGTGAGGAAGTAGGGCCAGGAAGCTGGAAGGGGTAGGACCTAGGTGAGGAGATCCTTGGTGGGGACAAGGAGGCACGTGTGTCTGGCTGCGCTGGAGCTGAAGGCCTGAGAGCATACAGTGAGATGGGGAGCAGATAATGCACCCTGAGGGCAGAACTCTGGGCCATGTGGAGTCCTCTTCCTGTAATCAGAAGGCAAAGGGAGCCCCTGGTGGTCCAGTAGGACCAGATGGCCCCTTCACCTGGGGCTGCTAGCCAGGCCTGCCCATGCTGTGTTCCAGAAGCTGCAGCCTGTCCAGCCAGGCTCAGGGGAGGGTCTTTGGATCCCCAATGGTGGATTTTGGGGTGGGTGGAGGGGATAATTTGGGGAGAGACATATCCAGGAATTAGCTGGGGAAGGAGAGGTTGAGGGTCAAGATACAGGAGACCTTGCGGTTGGGGTTGACTCCTGGTCTGTCTGATCTCTACGGACATGCTGAAACAGAGAGAGAGCTGAAACAGAGAGAGAGAGGCATCTCTTTGGGGATTATAGTCCCTTTACAGCTGGCATTTAGGTGCATGCCTGCAGCAGCCTCAGGAGTGACAGCATTTGGCCACCTATCTCCTGCACAGCAAACTTCCTGTGCTTTAAAACAAGGGTGTCCTGTTCAGGGTCAGCAGAAAGAGATGCAGGGGAGGGACTGGCCCCTGGCGAGGAAGAGAGCCTCCCCTCCCCTCACCCATTGTCTTTTGGGGTGAGGGGGCAGCACGGGGAGGCTACTGGGGAGCATGGAAGGGCCTGGAAGGAGGGACAGAGATGGTGAGTCACTAGCTAAAGGCCACACGTGGAGGCTGGAGGAAGCTCGTGTCTGAGCCCCATGGGGACAGCTCTGTTGCCGGCTCTCCACAGCCTTTCCGTCTTGTCTTGGGCTTCTTGCCCAGGCCCTGCTGTCAGTACCTGCTCCCTGAGCCAGTGCCTGGCGCACACAGCCATGAGATCATGGGGCGGGGTAAATTGGCAGGCCCCCGATCTCCCCTGGAGCTGTGGCAGGTGCATGTTGGAGCTCTGGGCTTGGCGCCTCCGTAATCTCCCTCCTGGCCCCTTGCAGGGAGGTGGCTCCTCCAACCAGCCAGTTCTGCCTTTTCCACCTAAGTCCCCAGACTCCAATAAAGGTGGAACATTGGCCCAATCCATGGCATGAATTCTTGAGATTAGACTTCAAGAAGGACTTCCTACTCAACCTATGGGATGGTGGGATAAAGGTAGAGGGAGTTAAAATTAGGAACAAATATTAATAATAAGTGTATTATTCATCATCGAGGGCTTATTCTGTGCCCTGCTCTGTGCTAAGTGCTTTGCAGGTAGTTCTCATGTAATCTTTACCATAACCTTGTAGAGCACAGAAACTCAGGCGGAGCTTTCGCAGCCAGTGAGCAGAGGAGCTAGTGCTTGTGCTGAGCTTCTAGCTGTGGGATAAATCTGGAGGGTACAGTGAGGCTGGCCACTGGAGGATCACGTGGGCTCCCAAGTGCCCATGATCCATCATTTAGCATTCAGTTGTGAATAAGACAGGGGTATGGAGGTCAAACATATAGGAAAGGTAAGAGCTGAGTTCATGTTCCAGAGGGCGAAAGTCAGGACGCAGAGGTGGGTGGGACTGTTTCTGTTTGGCATCTCTTGAGTCAGAAAAGAAGCAAGCACATCAGAACGGCAGCAAGAGGGATCGAGGTGAGACGGCAAGACGTTCTGACTTCCAGGGCTGCATGTCATCAACACGTGAGGGGCGTGTTTCCTGGAGAGGGAGAGCTGCTTACCAGCTCAGTCGGGAAGTGGGAGGATGGACGGCCCACGGTGGGGTCTCTGTTCAGGCTTGTGTGTGAGCACCTGTGTGTGCATCATGTGTGTGTGCCCAGATATGTGTGTCCACAGTCTTTAGTGAGGCATCTTCTGCCTCCACGGGCTCTGAGATCTCCAGCAGTGTCTGTTATTGCGAGCACAGGTCCCCCCGGAGAGGACTGTTTCCTTTGCTGATGGTCTGAAAGGTACTTTATGTTCGGATGCAGTGCTGTCTTGATTGGGGACCATTCTTTTTCCTCAAATGTCCTCCAATTTGGCAGACCATGTATTCCAATCTGGAAAACTCCACCCTTACTTTCAGGAATTTTTCTCTGCCCCTTCTCTAAGGACCTCCATTCCCTTTGCCTTTCCTTGAGGATAAACGCCTTTCCTTGATATGACTCGTTCGTCCCTGCTGCGTTCCAGCTTCCACAGGATTGGATCCACTGTAGCGAGTCCACACATGCTTAGTAGCACGGATGCAGGGGGAGAAGGGGTGCATGAATGACTGTGTGTGGCTGAGGACAGCCCTCGGGTGCTCTCTGTCAGGTGTCATGTTGGCAGCTGGCCCTGTCTGCCCTTGGTGTCCAAGCCTGTGCCCCGTGTCAGGGTCTGGGGTCAGATTCTGTGTTTCAAGATCCAATAGCAACACACACACACAAATTCCTGGATGTCAGGGCCAGGTGGGACCCCAGAGACCACCTAGGTGCATCTATCCTTCATTGATATACAAGGCACCCCCCAGAGAGGGAAGGGCCTTCCTTGCCCAATATCACACAGGAAGTTGAGGGGATACAGCCGGGTCTCCTGACTCCTAGTCACAGCTCTCTTCACCATTCCACATTCTCTCCCTAATTTTGACAACCCCCTGTCCCTTCCTCTCTCTCTCTCTTTGCTGTCATCTCTGTACTTTTCTCATGCCCTCCCCTTTCAGAACCTGCCCATTTCTCAAGGCCTATCCTGGCCCTCCTTCACTCTGGAACCTGCCTGATTCCTCTCCCCTAACTTCTTCTGCACCATTAGTGACAAGTCCTGCTAATTCTCATCCCCTAATTGTCTGTAACACAAATTAATGCTTGATTACTTGATGCTCTAATGACCTGGGCTCTAACCAGGCTCAATTGCTTTCTAGCTGCGTGACCTTGGGCTACTTACTTAACGTTCTTAGTCCTCTGTTTTGTCATCTGTAAAGTGGGGCTGGCTTTTGAGCCTGAGTAAATAGCAGAAGCCAAGACTCAGAGGGGTAAACTTCAAAAACGGCAGTGTTAAAATCTAAGGGCAGTGTTAAAATCTAAGGTGTGATGGTGGTGTGTTGGGAGCAGTGGTGAGAAGGCAGGCAGGGGTCAAACTGGGGGAGCCTCAGCTGTGGGGGGCTTATGTTATTGGTAATGGGGCTTCCATGAGGCTTTTTGGAAGGGAAGTAACAAACCCCTACCTAGAGCTTGAAGTGGGGTAGAAAGGGCACCGGCTTTGCAGCTGGCAGATCTGGATTGAAATTCCAGCTCTACCACTGACTAGCTGTGTGATGCTGCACACATTGCTAGATCTCTCTGAGCCTCCTTTTTCAATCTATAAAATAAGGATTATACTCACCCTATGGAATTGTGGTAAGGATTAAACAAGAAAAGGTCTATTAATTGCTTAGCTTGGAGTCTTGCACTTAGTAAGTACTTAACAAGGAGTAGCCGTGATTACTGGTGCTGTCGTCATTACCCAGCAGCGCGTGTCTGCCTCCTGACCTGCCTCTGTCCTGGGTCTCTCTGGGCCCTGGGTGTCAGGCTCATTCCTCATTTCCCAACCTGGAAGCTTCCCAAGGGCAGGGCTCACATGCATCATCTTCTCGCTCTGGCTGTTTCAGGAAGTGATGGGAGTGGGGAAGGCTGTTGAACTGGTGATGTCACAATTTGGGGCTTCTGGGTGGTTCTGCAGAGGCCCCAGGGACCTGTAGGCAGGTGGAGAGGGGATGGGGGAGGTCTCAGGTCCTCTTGCTCACCCATCAGCTGTGTAGTGTCTGAAGTGATTAAGGAGCTTGGGGAGGTTGGTGTTGACAAGATGTTAAGCCATTTCTCCCAGGGACAGTCCCTGGGGCCTCAGGCACTGTGGTGGGCCTACCACTGCTCCGGAACCCCATGGTGGGGGCAGGCCCGTCCCCCAGAGAGGGAGCATGGAGGTGGGAGCTGAGGGGAACTTGACTGACAGCTTCCCCACCCCCGGCTGAGTGTCTCCTTGGCCCATGCGGATGGAGGGGGGAGCCAGACCACACTATCAATGAAATAATTAGAGCCTAATGTTAGACAGTGTTTCTTTAACACCTACTAGGGGTTCACGGGTGTGCTGGGTGCAGAGGACAATCATTTGGCAAGGTTGGCTGGGCCCCTGCCTGCAGAGAGGTTACAGTTTAGAGGAGGATTCAGACAAGCACACAGAGGATACGCACCAGGAAGGGAGGAAGCCTGGGGGCTACGGGAGCCCTGAGGGGTGCACTTGGCCTCTCTAGAATGGCCGTGTGAAGTTTTGTAAGGGTGAGACATAGCTGGCCCTGTAGGCTGAGCCAGGGACATGCAAGCAGTTGTGTGTTTGGAAAGCAGACCAGGGTGTTAAGAGGGTCGTGTGGAGGTGATGGTAGGGGGTGACAGTGGCTGGAGATGAAGCCAGAAAAGTATGCGGGGCTCTTGAATGCTGACATGAGGAGTGAGCTTTCTGTTCCAAGGGAAGCTGGGAGCTGTTGAAGAGTTTTAAGCAGGAAGGGATGTGGTCAGATGCAGGGGCTGCAGTGCTATGGGAATGGGGAGGATTGCGAGGGGTCTGCCTTTGGGTTTCATGGAGCAAGGGAGTGATGGCAGGGGCATGCTCCTGCAGAGGGAGGAGGGGATGGGGTGTGTGGGTCTAGAGCAGGCAGTCTGAGGTGGGCCTGCCCAGGTGAGAGGGTGTGGGGACTCCATCAGGTCGGAGTTTGGAGCCCAGGGCAGGGCTGAGGGAGGGGGAAGGGTGAGGTGGAGGGCTGGACTGCAAGACCAGGCAGGGGAACCGCGGCTTCAGCTCTGCCAGCACTTCCCTTAGGCCTCCCAGGCTGGTCTGCTCCACTGGCCCTCAGAAAGACTTGTCGCCTCGCCGAGCCTCAGTGTTCTCATCTGAAGAATAGAGTGGGCAAGGCCTTTCTCCTACACACTCAGGTGTCTGATTAGTGAACAGTCACGGTGTCTCCAACTGGGCCCTGAGTTATGGGAGAGGCAAGCCCATGACCCACCAGGCCCCACCAAGAGCCGTGCCACAGCCTGAGGTGGGCTCTCGGTGTTGACCAGCTCTTGGAGTACTTCAGGAGGAGGTGGAGGGACTGGGGAGTTCTAGGAGTGTGTCCATGATAAAGAGCCGCAAACAAGATCCCAGGTCCAAGGCTGCCTCACCTCCCCTGTGACATGGGGTGCTCTCTCAGACCCTTCCAGCTCATTGGGCTTTTGAGCCACCCCTGCGTAGTGGGACCAGGGCCCCCAGGGCTGGGAGGACAGGGAATATGGGGTTGTAGCTTAGGCGTAATGGGGTGAGGACCCCAGGACTCACCCAGCTCTGAAGGTTGCCAGATCTTTGCATCTTACTGTTCATCTTCTGCCTCTGCAGAGCCCTGAATGGGAAGAAATGGGTTCCATGTGCAGCAAGCCAGGAGAGATTTAGGCAACGAGAACCTCCAGTTCTGTCTTAGGGTTCCCAGCTTTCTCCTTGTCCTGAGGGAGCCGCTGAGCCTGTGGGAGATGAGGGGTGCCCATTCCCCAGTGCTTCTCACCCTCCCCCACCTGCCCTCCTGGGGTACCTTTGTCTGCCACTTGCATCCTATTGGAAGCTGTCCCCAAGTGCGTGTTAGGCAGGTGGCAGGTGCTGGAGCAGAGTGCACCACCCTCCGGCGATCACTGTGAGTTGGGGTAAGAGTGGGGTGTTCCTGCCAGCCCCAGGAGAGGGGAAAGCAAGCCCCCGTCCACCCTTGTGGGTCTCTGCTCCTGGAAAAGGTGCTCTAGCAGGCTCATCTGTGTGAGTCACTGTCTTCCATGTGGGGTAAGTTGAGCCCTGCCTTTTGGATCTCAAAATCCAGGGATGCCGACATCCTGGGTCTGGAGAAGGGAGGAGGCACAGGGCAGCAGAGCCCTGGCCTGTCTTTCCTGACGGGGTATGGAGCTGGCAGGACAGGGAGGCTAGGTGGCTGGTGGTGCAGGGCGTGCCCATCCCTCTACCTCCTTCCTCACAGCCCTGCACTGCTCTGTCCCGGTCTGGCCCCTCTTCTCTCCTCACTTTTTCTTCTCTGCTTCTCTTCTCTCTCACTCCCCTCCTATCCTCAACCTTTTCGTCTCCCTCCCCGCAGTCCTTCCCTCTGCCTCCTTTATTTCTTCCTTAACCCCCTGCCCTTCCATTTCCCATCTCCTCCTCCACCCTCCAGTTCTATTCCATCCACTTGCCCCACCACAGACCCGCCTCCCTGAGTTCAAGCTGCCCATTCTTCCTTCTTGCAGCCCCTGCCCATCTGAGCAGCAGAGTTCATCCCATACCCTGCAGGGAGTCCAGCGCCACCATGATGTCCCTCTCTTCCCTCCTTGAGGCTGGCTGGGTCCAGCCTGAGCTGTGCCACCTGCTGGCTCAGGCCAGTGGGATTGTGCCTCAGGCAGGCTCCTGCCCTTCCAAGCCAAGGGCTTGGCTGCAGACCCGACAGCGGCTCCCAGAGGTGAGGCTGGGGATTGCAGCATCCTGCCAGCTGCAGTTCCCTCCCTGCTGTACTCTCGTTCCTGATGTCCTGAAGGTCCCGCTTACAAGTCTACTGGTGGGCATGAACGTGCGAATGCTGTGTGGACACCTGGGCATAGTCTGTTGTTCATGCATGCACGTGCGCATCTGGTGTGTGTGCATGATTTGAGTGTGTACCTTCTGCCTTGAGTGAGCACCACCCCTGGGAACCGCAGTGTATGTGTGAGTGCTGAGTGCACATGACTGTGCAGGTGTGTGATGGAATTCAGGCTCCTGCAGACTTTGCATATTTGTGAGTGTGTACATTTGGGAGCATGTGCGATAGCACAAAGTCATGTGTTTCCCTGAGTGCTTGGAGAAGCTTAAGTGCCCTGCCAAGTGTGTGCTTCTCTGTGCCTGGGGACACCAGTGGGCACCGGAATAGCATGAAGCCACGTGGACATGTGTGAGGTGGGAGGGGGCTGTGGGCACTTACACAAGGCTGCTTGTAGCATGCACCTGTGTGCCCAAGAGGGACTATCTGCCTGTGTGAGTTATGTGCACATGTGTGTATTCACTGCACGTGTGAGGGATATGAGACCATATCCCTGTGGCACCATAAAGGCACATGTGAGCAGTGAGCAGGGCCTGAGGAAAGCTGTCTGTGTCTGCATGAGGAGATGCATCCTCACAGGCCCAGGGTGTGGCTGTGCTGAAAGGGGACATATTTAGTGATTTATGAACTTTTAAGGAAAAGCCTCAGCCCCCATTCAGGCCCCAGACACAGTGACCCCCTGCCCCCACTGCCACATCACTCAGGCCTGACATCAGCCAGGCACCTGAAACCACAGGAATGAGAGGTGATCTCCTTGCTCCTGCCACCTCACCTGCTCACCCACTGCAGGGCTGATGCCAGGGGACAGCAAGGATGCCTCCCGAAGCACCTACTGGGTGCAGGAGTGTGCTGCCAAGACCATGCTGCAGTCCAGGCCAGAGACCCCTCTGCAGCCATGGAGGCCACGCTAGCCCCACCCGCTGGCTGAGAGAGGGTTGCAGGGAGTAGGGATACCTGTCTCTGCCTTGGTGGACTTGGGGTGCAAGTGCCCCCTTTCCCAGGCAAGCCTGACTCCTTCAGGAGAGCTGGTGGGCTTCCCAAAGTCTGCCCTCTGGGACTGACTGGCCATGAAGCAGAGGAGAGGAAGCCGTTGATAAATGTGGGATGGAGGAATGAATGAAGAAACGGTGAGGCTGGGTGAGGTGGCTCACACCTGTAATCCTAGAGCTTTGGGAAGTTGAGGCAGGAAGATTGCTTGAGTCCAGGAGTTGGAGACCAGCCTTGGCAACATAGTGAGACCCTCTCTCTGTATTTTTTTTTTGAGACAGAGTCTCAGTCTGTCGCCCAGGCTGGAGTGCAGTGGCACGATCTCGGCTCACTGCAATCTCTGCCTCCCAGATTCAAGCGATTCTCATGCCTCAGCCTCCCAAGTAGCTGGGATTATAGGATTGTGCCACCACACCCAGCTGATTTTTTGTATTTTTTAGTAGGAATGGGGTTTCACCATGTTGGCCAGGCTGGTCTCCAACTCCTGACCTCAAGTGATCCGCCTGCCTTGGCCTCCCAAAGTGTTGGGATTACAGGTGTGAGCCACTGCGCCTGGCCCAATCTCTCTCTCTCTTTTTTTTAAATTTTAGAAAAGAAACAGTGGTTCCCAGGGGTGGTGGTGGCTGGCCCCAGGGAGTGCACTGAGGGTGAGTGGATGGCTGTGCTCGGTGCTAAGAGATTGGCCTTTGAATTCACTTCTGCCTGATCCTCATTTTTCTCCTTTCTACGAAAGATCAGAAATCCCCTTCAAGTTAATTATACCAATGAAATTCAGAGGTGTGCCTGGTGCCTGGCACATGGTAGGTGCTCAGGAAATGACAGGTGTCTCCTTCCTGAGAGCTGACAGCTGTCCTGAGCCCCTTCCAGAGCAACCCCTGGACCAGCCATGAGTCAGCTATGGCTGGGCAGCAGGGATCCTCGAGTTCCTGTTCTGGAAGCATGAGTCAGGCCCAGGTGGGAGAGGAGGGAGGTCATACTGGGGTCAGATGCCGGACCCAGGCAGGATCAGACAGGCGCCTGGCTGCCACCTTATCATGATGCTTGTTGCTAGTAACTGGATCTCAGAAGATAAGGCCCTGGGGCTGAATGAAGCATTCCAGCTCTGTGGGCCGAAATGTTGTTGACATGGGCTGTACGATGCGTAGATGCTTTTCAGATAGCACAGCCTGAAAAGGGCCAGCAAGCTCCCGAAGGCATTGCCTTCACAGCTGCTTTTGCCACTACTGCTGGGGGCAGAACCTCCAGCCCTAGAGCTTGCCCAGCCTGGGGACCCCATCACCTCCATGAGAGCTCCTGGATCTAGCTTGCCAGCCCAGAGCCCATCTCTGATTTCTTGAGAGCCTCTATTCTTTATCTAGATCATAGCAGTCACCAGTGAGGACCCAGATGTGCTTTCCACCAGGCTTTGGAGAACATCTGAGGAGTGGAAATTCCTATTTTAACCCTCTTTCCCACACCTCTGACTCTTGAGCAGGGGTCCATTGTCCGCTGTTGCTGCAAACTGTGACCGTTCAGTACAATGGACAGTGCTCATGACTGGGGTGGGGTGGGGACAAGCTTCTCTGCGCTGTGCAAAAGTCAGTGTTTCAGCCACACTAGGCATGTGCCCAGTGCCCAGCTCCTTATCTCTAGGAGCCATTGTCTCACTTGTTTCTTATGGCAGATAAAGATGGCTTATCCATCTCTTAGGAACAAAGCACGCCACTTTAGACAGTCACAAACATGAACGACCTTATTTAGGAATCAGGTGCCTCAGAGAGAGCCTTTGCAGGCTGAAACATGGAGGGAAGTGGGGACTTATCTCTTTGCCCCCCAGATATGCAGAAAAAGGCAGTGCGGGAACACACACACACACAGACACACACACCTGGACAGAGAAACAAAGCATTCATTGAGCGCTTGCTGTGGACCGACCCTTATTAGGCACTGGGAGGGAGTGTATAGAAAAGTGAGTTTGCACAGCGCTTGCCTTTAGCAGCTCACAGTTGCATGGAGAAGACATGCATCAGCAAATGCTTACTGCTTTTCCATTTTTGAAATTTGTAGGACTATCCCAGGGAAAACATTGAAACTGTTAAAATATGCAAAAAGTGAAGCAGCAGCTTTGCTGTGGGGAAAAACAAACCTCAGAAACCCTTAGTGACAGGCCACTGAACACTGGTTCCTAAGGCAGTTCTCTCCTGGTTCCACTGGCAACTGCACCAGCTGGACCCCTGCCACCCCTGCTGGGGAAACAGTGAAGGGGAAATGGCATAGAGGGCCAAGGACAACAGGTTCTGGTGACTTAGATTTTATATATATATATACACACACACACACATATATATATATACACACACA
Source organism: Homo sapiens (assembly GCF_000001405.40). Lineage (NCBI taxonomy): Eukaryota > Metazoa > Chordata > Mammalia > Primates > Hominidae > Homo > Homo sapiens. Next base: position 52,217,130 of record NC_000012.12, read on the forward strand.
CACACACACACACGTGTATATATATGTGTATATATATGTGTTTATATATATAATGTGACAATACCAGAGAGCAAAGGCACTGCTCTCTTCCTCTCCCCTCCTCCCTTCCCTAGGCTCCTCCTTCCCTGAGCCTTCAAGGCCTGATGGTAAGGTCTCGGTCCCAGTGGAGGATAGGAAAAGTCCCGGTTTGCTTCACTTCCTATCCCAAGCCCTAGAGGCCACAGGCCACCGACCTCCTCCTGGAGTGCTTAGTGCTGAGGTTCCTCACTGGAGCCTTGGCCTGCAGCCAGCATCCAGCCCTCCCAGGCCAGCCTCGGGCCTGAACCCCTGCACATGGAGGTGTTTGTCTGCCCACGCCTGGCAGCCTGCCCCAAGACAGTCAGGATGAACAGGTTTGGCCACCTGAACTGGCTGCAGCCTTTGCCTTTAGTGAGATAAAGAAAGACTCAGAGCTTTCAGCCACAGCCAGAATGAAGTTTTGGGACTTTTTCTTCCCCTTTGAAATAATTTTTAACTTATGAAAAAGTTGCAAGAATAGTACAAAGGACTTTTTTTTTTCTGTATCATTTGAGAGTAAGTTGCTGGCCTGATGGCCCCTCACTCCTGAATACTTTAATGTGTATTTCCTCAAACAAGGACATTCTCACTCTCACATAACCACAACACAGCCATTAACACCAGGAATTTCATCTCAATACATTACTGCCATCAAGTCCTCAGACCCCATTGGTTTTTCCCAGTTATCCCGGTGATGTCCTTTAGAGCAAAATGTTCCAGTTCGGAGTCAGGGGGTTGCGTGCGGCTGTCATGTCTGGTTAGCGTTCTCGAATCTGAAATAGTTCCTCCGTCTTGATTTCCATGACCTTGACACTTGTTTTTTGTAGTACGTCCCTCAATTGGGGTTTGTGTGATGTTTCTCCATGAATAGATTCTGATTCTGCATTTCTGGTAGGAAAATCACAGAAACCATGCTGTGTTTCTTCCTATGGCATCCTGTCAGGCCCTGCACCATCTTAATTTGTTCCATTACCGGTGATGTTAACTTTGATCGCTTGATTAAGATGGTGTCTGCCAGGCTTCTCCGAGGTAAATTACTTTTTTCCTCTTTGTAATTAAAAAGCACTTTATGGAGAGATCCTTTGAGACTATGTAAGTATCTTGATCTTCATCAAACTTCCTCCCACTAGTTTTAACACCATTGATGTTTCTTGGCCTAATTATTACTGTGATAGTTGCCAAGTCCACTATTACTTCTGCATTTATTAGTTGGCATCTTCTGTACAGAAAAAGAAACTCTCTTCTCTACATTTATTTATTCATATTTTTATTTACATTAGTGTAGACTCAGGGATTCCTATTTTACTCTTGATTTATTTTGGCTTTATTTTATTAATTTTAATTTATTTTTGTTAATTTATTTTTGAGATAGGGTCCTGCTCTGTCACCCAGGCTGGGGTACAGCGGTGTGATCGTAGCTCACTGTAACCTTGAACTCTTGGGCTCAAGCAATCCTCCTGTCTCAGCCTCCCAAGTACCTGGGACTTCAAGTGTGCACCACCATGCCGGGCTAATTTTTTTTTTTTTTTTTTTTAAAGACACGGTCTTGTTACGTTGCTCAGGCTGGCCTTGAACTCTTGGCCTCAGGTGATCTTCCTGCCTTGGTGTCCCAAAGTGCTGGGATGACAGCACCTGGCCTCATTATTTATTTTGATGCTGAAAATCTCCCTGCTTGGCCAAGGGGTCACCCCTTCAGCAGGCTTCTGTGTCCTTTTGCCATACCCCCTCCATTCTTTAGGCACTCCCTTGCTTTCTAAAACAAGATGTTCCTGGCTCATCTTGTGCTTTCCCTATCCCACCCATGGCATTGGCCATCTTTCCAAGGAACAGTGGTTTCTCTTGGTGGAGAATGAGATATGGAAACCGAGATCTGGGCACTAGTTCCCCTCATTGCTTTTGAGAGTCGTTCAGTTTGTCAGTGATTCTTGGACTGGAATCAGGGGAAGGATGTTTCCTTTAAGCTTTAATATTCGAAACCAGCAACTCTAAGTCTTGTTTGGGTGGTGGGCAACATGGAAATAATGAGACCTTTAATGAAAAAATATAATCTATTGATTGAATAAACAATGTTCTACAGGAAATAAAATCATCAGTGGAGTTAGCAAATACATGTGCATATCTGTATATGTGTTTATGTAAATATACATCTACACAATTTAAATCTGTATCTATCTATCTATCTATCTATCTATCTATCTATCTATCTATCATCTACCATCTATCTATCTATCCATCATCTATCTATCTATCCATCTATCTGTCTATCTGCCTATCTTGAAGGCCTTGAGTCCACACTGAAAACTCCAATACCAAACCCATGATCACATGGTTCATTCAGTTCCTCCCTTTCCATACTTATAAATCCTTTCTCCCTTAGTGAGAAGTGTGTCTTCCATCATACCTGTGTGTATAATCAGTCTGTCTGTGTAGCCACCACTGCCAGCACAGGTGCCCTTGTCTGTACTGGGACAAAAACCCTCCCAGCTGCTGCCCTGGCACAATGTCTGCCTTCCTGGACCCAACTAATAGCTTTGGGACTAAATTATTTAGGAAGGCAGGCAGCTCTTTGGACATTTTGCTGACCAATGAATCATGACTTTTCCTGATCTTTGGAATGTTTTGCTTATAACTTTTTCTTAAAAATGATATGTTTTGCCATTTTTTTTTTTGAGACAAGGTTTCACGCCTGTCACCCATGGTGGAGTGCAGTGGCACGATCTTGGCTCACTGTAACCTCTGCCTCCCAAACTCAAATGATTCTCCTGCTTTAGCCTCCTGAGTAGCTGGGACCACAAGCTCATGCCACCATGCCCGGTTAATTTTTTTTTTCCTGTGGAGACGGGGTTTTGCTATGTTCCTCCAGGCCGGTCTCAAACTCCTGAGCTCAAGTAATCTGCCTGCCTCAGCCTCCCAAAGAGCTGGGATTACAGGCGTGAGCCACCGTGCCTGGCCTGTTTTGCCATTATTAAAGTACCAAATTTCATGAATAACTTCTGCAAAGGAGAACCATTTATTTATGCACAACACTTCTGACAGCAAATGTGTGAGTTTTCTACACAAAACAATTCTCCAGTTCTCTGCAGACACCAACTGGGTGTCCTACAATTTAATTTAGTTTGAACACTAACTACCCAGGGTAGGGGAGAGCCTGCAGGTTAAAGTCTCAGTCCCACAAGACTGCTCCCATTTCAGATGCCAATCGCAAGTACTGGGTACTCACACCTCTGTGTAGTTTGGCCACCAATCCAGGGTTCCCACAACCCGCTCCTTAGGTTCAATAATTTAATGGCTCACAGAACTCAGAGACACTTTCTTTAGGTTTACTGGTTTATCATAGAGGAGATTATAGAAGACAGACATGAATAGTCAGATGAAGAGGAAATAGGACAAGGTCTGGAAGGGTCCTGAGTGCAGGAGCTTCTGTCCCTGTGGAGTTGCGAGGCACCGCCCTCCTGGCACATGGATGCATTCTCCAACCTGGAAGCTCTCCTACCTCATAGTTTAGGGATTTTTATGGACACTTCAACACATAAGCATTATCAATTATTACTCAATCTTTAGCCCCACTCTCCTCCCCAGAGCGTGGGGAATGGGGCTGAAAGTTCCAAGCTTCTAATCAGACATTGACCTTTCTTATGACCAGCCCCTATCCTGATGCTCTCCAGGAGCCCACTGGCAGTCAGCTCATTAGAACCAAAACCCCACTCCTATTGTCCAGGAAATTAGGAGCTCTGTGTCAGGAACAGGGATTGAAGACTAAATATTAGAAAAAAAGTTGCTCCTAGCACCCCTATCACTCAGGCTATTACAAGGGTTTAGGAGTTCTGTGTCAAGTGCTGGGGGCAGAGACCCAATATATATATTGAATTATGACATAATTTGGAGAACAGAGAAAGGGAGTCAATCATAATTCCAGCCCTCAGTACAACCATTGTTTAGTATTTAAACATATTTCATTTTAGTTTTTTCCTCCAGTGCACCTGTTTTTCTTTTAAGCATAATTGTAAGTATAGTGTTGCTACCTCTTTCCATTCTCCATGTTTACTTAAGACAATAAAAACATTCACTGCTTATGAAATACCTGGCACATACCAAGATCTGTATAGATTGTTTTCTCTTTCTCATTTAATCCTTAACATAATCCTGGGAAGCAGGCATTTTCCTGACACTAGAGATAAAGAAACCAGGGCTCAGGGAGTCTCAGTTGCACTTTGGATAAGTGATAGAGCTAGGATTGGAACCTGGATATCTTTGACTCTGAAATCTCTGCTCTACCCATTGTGATATCCAGCCTTCCCAAGGCGTAAGTATTTTTTTTTTTGATAGTACAACACTATTCCCATAACTCTGATTTTACATGCAGACATATTATGCTAATGAGAGATGGTTTCACAACTTAACCACGCCTCTGTTGTAGAACACATGAGCTACTTTCTCTCACTCTATAAATAATGCCGTGATTGATATCTTCATGGATATGGCTTTTAACCAAATTGTTTTTCTAAAGGGTTGCCCTAATTTGAATGCCAGACTTAAACCGTAATAGCATATTATTATCTAAAAAAATAGTTGGTGCTTTTTTAGGCAACAGTATCTTGGTTTAATCAGCACATAGTTGAATACAGGCTTGGCTTTATTCAAGAAACATTTAAAGGGTACCTGCTATATACCAGGAATGATGGTAGGAATGGAAGATACACAGGTGTTTGCATTATACGACTCACTCAGAAAGCCAAAACCAGGGCGTTTCAATTACTCTAACCCATGACTCACTCAGCTGATGGTTTCAGGGGCTGTGCTGAAGAAGCCTTGGTGATATGGGTGCAAATGCCAAAAACATGGGTAAGTCTCACTGGCTCAGGGAAAATGTGATGCAGAGTAGGTGGCATTGCCAGCTGATGAGTGTGACAGTTACTAAGTTACTGTCTCTAGCTCCAAACCCACACTTAGACTTTCAGCTTTGGGGTGCTGGAGCCGACTCATACGGCTCACATGTGCCTTGTCAGCTGGCTTCTGGCTGGGATGTGCAGATAGGGGGCGCCAGAGGGAGACTTCGAGGCGTTGCTTTCTGTGGGCATCCCATCTGCTTGCTGTTCTTGTGGGCAGTGCGTCTTCACCCTGCCATCCGGTTGGCAGTTTTCCCTACACTTGGAGAATCAGCCTCATTGTGCCCTCCCACTCAGAGATGCCAGCACCAGCCAGCCTGGTACTGGTACTGTACTACCCCTTTCTCAGAGCTCTGGGCCCCAGGCCCACAGGGCCCTGCTTTTAGCACCTGCCGAGCAGTGCTTCCTCCTTAACAGTTTGAGTTTCAGGGGCTCCTCCTCTAAGTTTCCAAGTTTTCATAACCTCTAACTTCTTCCCTCTGTCACCTCACCCCTAGCTATGGTAGCTACTTCTGCTAGTTCTGTGATATTTTAGAGTTAGTTACTCTTTCACTTACCCAGTCAACAACTCTAAACCTAGTTAATAATTCTATTTATGTATTTATTTTTTGAGACAGGGTTTCATTCTGTCACCAAGGCTGGAGTGCAGTGGCGTGATCTTGGTTCACTGCAACCTCTCCCTCCCGGACTCAAGCCATCCCCCTGCCTCTGTCTCCTGAGTAGCTGGAATTATAGATGTACACCACCACACCTGACTAGTTTTTTAATTTTTTGTGAAGACGGAGTTTTGCAGTGTTGCCTGGGCTGGTCTCAACTCCTGGGCTCAAGAAATCCACCTGCCTCTGCCTCCCAAAGTGCTGGGATTACAGATGTGAGCCACCGTGCCAGCCTTAGTTAATAATTCTTTACTCTGTTCAAAGAACTGGTGTGGGTATTGTCTCCTTATTGAACCTGACTGATAATGGACAGGCCTTGAGCCCCCAAGTTGCTGAGGCCCTTATGGTAACCACATGTGTTATTTTGTTTTAGTTAACAGTGTACACAGAGACATGAGGAAATTGTAAAGTTGATTTTAAATCAACTTTAAATCAATAAAGTTGATTTAAAAAAAATCTTTGAGGATTGGTTGAAGTCTGTTTAATAAGCCATTTGAACTTGGGATCCCCTACCCCACTCAGAATAGCCAAATTCTGTCCCTCCTCTCCTCAGCAGAGGTTTATTCTCCAGAGATGGCTAGATAGAGGGTCTTTGTAACAAGGTACGGTACATCCTATTGAGGGAATAGGCACCTTACTGAAAAGATAAGAGAGTAAGTGAAGGTTTACAACTGAATGCTGAGACCCCTCTGTCCTCTTCTTTCATTTTGTTTCCAGAATGCTGGAAGCCAAGCTTGCACATTCTAGGCAGCCATTTGGAAGATTCTTCTCTGCGCATGACCAGCTGAAAAGGAAAAACCCCGAAACATTGGCACTGTGATTTCTCCATGTGAACAGTTTAGTTCGCCGAGGTGGACATGCCTCATTCATGCTTATGGAGTGACCGACCAGCCTTTAGTGACACCCCCTGAAATGTGAGTCATCCATGGGTCACTAGTCATTGGAGAAGAGCCCCTTATACAAAACTTGGAGCTCAGACCACAAACAACAACAACAATCCAAAAAATAAAAAAATGAAAAATTAGGAGCAGAGACTAAATGGAAAGATGGAAATATTAAAATAAAAATATTATTTTAAAAATTAATATGTATTAAAATTTTATTTAAAGTAAAAATAAATAAAATAAAAAAATTAATATTAATTAATACCAATATTCTCCCTTTTATTAATATCATCAGAAAAAGAAGATATTTCATCCTGGAAACAAGAGCAGAATGCAATAAAAAAGGTGTAGTCAAAAAACAAGATGAGCCCTAGGAAGTTAAAACAATGATAGCAGAAATGAAAAATTTAGTTAAAGGCTTTGAAGAGAATATGAAAGAAATCTAGAGAGTAGAGAAAAAGGACAAAGTGCTAGGAAACAGGAGAGCAAAGATTAGAAAATCAGAGACCCAGTTCAGGAGTTAGTTCCAGCACTGAATAAGGAGAGTCCCAGAAAGAGAAAACAGAAAGAATGTAAAGGAAGAAAACTCAAAGAAATAGCTTGAGAAAATTTCCTGAACTGAAAGATATGAGCTTGTTGATGCAATAGCCCACGAAATCCCCAAAAGATCGAGTCATTTCACTGGCACAGGGAAGATTCAACAAACTTATGATTGGGGGGAGAAGATTTCACATGAGAAATCTAGAATCAGAATGGTTTCAGACTTTTCAGTAGCAATACTGGTGGCTAGAAGGCAATGGGCACCCTTAAAATACTGAGGGCAAACATTTTACAACTCGGAATTCCACAGCTGCCAAAATTATGAATTAGTCATGAGAATAAAAAGATTCAGACACATACTTTCTCAACACATTTTCCTCACAAACCTCAGAAAGCTACCAGAGGATATGCTCTATCAAAACTAGAAAGTAAACTAAGGAAGAGATAGAATGTAGGAGAGAGAAAGTCCCCAGCAAGAGACAAATCTTAGCCTGATGATGGTGATGGGAGGTACCAAGGTGAGAGCAGTGCATCAGGTCTAGAGACCACCCAGTCCAGGTGGGAATGGGGAGAGACTCTGAGGAAAATGGCTCCAGATGATGAAATTGATAGAATCGTTGACATGTTCTATCAATCTATCAATGAGGGAGATTCTGGAATGATTCATTAACTCTGGGAAAAGTGAAAGTAGGGAAGCATATTGATTGAATGGTTCCAAAAGTAAATGAAGTATACTATACTCCTTTGCTCTGAATATCAATTAATGAAATAATTCTATCAGGATGAAGGGAGATGGGAAATACAGTGGCCCTGGGATGGTTGTTAAAGAGAGGTAAATTCTTACTTTTCAGAGTGAGAAGTCAATAGTTAATGCTCAAACCTGAAAAGTCGAGAAGTAGCAGTATAAATATGTTATTTAGAGATATGGATATAAGATTTAAAATAGAAGGCTAAAACTTGAATGTGGTTGCCATTGGGGAGTAGACATCGTGTGTAGGTAAGAGCTGTTACTTTTCATAATGAGTCTTATGGTTTACTTCTTTAAATCACACATGTATAAATGTGTTTTTTTGAAACAAGGTCTCACTTTGTTATCCAGGCTGAAGTGCAAAGGCATAATCATAGCTCACTGGAGCCTTTATCTCCCGGGTTCAAGTGATCCTCCCACTTCAGTCTTCTGAGTAGCTAGGACTACAGGTGCATGCCACTTTGCTCTTCAAAAAAAATTTTTTTTTTTGTAGAAACAGGGTCTCACTATGTTGCTCAGGCTGGTCTTGAACTCCTGGACTTAAGTGATCTTTCTGTCTTGGCCTCCTAAAGTGTTAGGATTACAGGTGGGAGCCACCATGCCCAGCCAGCATGTATAGCTTTGATAAAAATTTATATATCCATATCAATATTTATCTATCTATCTCTGGAGCATATTGGAAAGTGGTGGTTGAAGTGGAGAAGGGTGACTTTTTTTTTTTTTTTCCTCGTGCTGCTGGGAAAATTAGCCAATAGTATAAAAAGCTAATCAGCTAATGGTGGTGGATGGGGAAGTTTGGTCTTTTGCTAGAGCCCAAAGCAGCTTCATCAGAAGCTTTGAGTTCCTAGAACCCTGGACCCAAAGGCCTTGGGGGAAGCTTGTTTGTCTAGAAGAGCCAAGATCCTCTGAGTTGCCTGAGCTGGGTGGATCCATTCTCTCAGGACAAGAGAAGGATCCAGCCCTGGCCATAAAATCTGCTGACACTGGCTGCCCTCTGCAGAGGAGGGGCTCACTCTGTTTACCTGAGCTGGGAGAAAAGTGCCCTTACCTGTTAATACCTGGAGCAGCGAGAGAACTTAGGGGCTGTCCTCCCTCTTCAGTGTGCTGCCAGCTTGAAGGATGGAACCAACAATCAAACAGATGCCTCCTACTGAGGACAACGGAACAAAGAAAATAGAACTTGTTTTTGTTTTTCTTTTTGTTTTCTGAGATGGAGTTTCACCGTTTTCGCCCAGGCTGGAGTGCAATGGTGCGATCTTGGCTCACTGCAACCTCTGCCTCCTGGGTTCAAGTGGTTCTCCTGCGTCAGCCACCTGAGTAGCTGGGATTACAGATGCCCACCACCATGCCCAGCTAATTTTTTTGTATTTTTAGTAGAGATGGGGTTTCACCATGTTGGCCAGGCTGGTCTCGAGCTCCTGATCTCAGGTGATCCGCCCGCCTCGGCCTCCCAAAGTGCTGGGATTACAGGCATGAGCCACTGTGCCCGGCCAAGAAAATAGAACTTTAAAACAATCTACAGCACCAAATATAACCTCCATGGGCATCCAGCAGCACATTACTAAGAAATGACCTGGAAATAAGAATGAGGTTTTGGCAATTAAAAATAAATCTTAAAATTCAACGGAGGAAGTAAAAAGTAGAATAAATACTGCTGAGCCATGGGAGAGGTCATCTAGAAGGTCGAATGGAGGAACTATGTTGCAACACGAAACAAAAGCATAAAGAAATGGAAATAATGAGTGAGAAGAGCAGTGATGCTAAAGCTAGGAGATCTTGTATCTGAATAATATTTGTTCCAGAAGAAGAGAAAGGAACAAACGGAGTAGAGCCAATAAAGAAAGAAACAAGACAAGAAAACTTCTCTGACCTAAAGAAGACTTGAGTATTGAGCTCAAAAGCATTCTTTGAGTGCCTAGAAATAGTAACAAAAACAAGACACATACCTAATCACATGTTGGTGAGATTTCTGAACTTCAAAGGAACTTCAAAAGAAAAAAATCCTAAAAAATTCCAGATGTAAAAACAACCAACAACAAAACCAGTTACCCGAAGAGGAAAGAGAATCAGAAGGCCACTGAAGGCATCTTTTGCAATTTGGGAAGCCCAAGGACCATGGAACAATACTCACAATTTCTGGGGAAAGTTCTCAGATCTAAGAAGCTTGGCCAAAATATTATTTAAGTGTGAGGGGAGAAGACAGACATTTTCAGATATACAAAGGTATCCCCATGAACCATTTCTAAGGAAACTATCCAAGAAGGTAGTCTAGGCAATTGAAACTTAAATTTGAAAAACAAATGAGCAAAACAATTTAAAACTCACAATAGGGAAAGACAAATAGCATGAGAAACAGTGGAGACCAATACATCTAGTGGAATATGTATTAAATAAATGAATGATGAATGAAAGAGAAGACAGGGAAGAAAAACCGTTAGAAATAGTTTGAAACTAAAATGACAGGTTATTTCCACCAAATCCAGGATTTGGGATGGAGGGGCTTGTGGGGGTGAGGATGGGGAAATAAAAGGTGCTATAGGTGTGATCTAAATTGAGGGGATTACATTACTGTATGCTTTTGGTATGATGATAGTGAAATAGGGGTTCAAATATAACTTGAAAGATGAAAGTAACTGTTAGTAAACTTGCGGTAGATAGAAAAACTTCCAAATACCAGGCAGGGGAAACATGAGTAGCTACAATTTTCCCCCCTCTATGTTCTTTAATGGTTTTGTTATTATTATTATCATTATTTTTGAGACAGGGTCTCACTCTGTCACCCATGTGGGAATGCAGTGACACAATCTTGGTTCACTGCAACTTCTGCCTCCTGGGCTTAAGAGATCCTCTCTCCTCAGCCTACCATGTAACTGTAACTGGGACTACAGGCGCGTACCACCACGCCCAGCTCTTCTTCTTTTTCCTCTTCTTCTTCTTCTTCTTCCTCCTCCTCCTCCTCCCCCCTCCCCCTCCCCTCCTCCTCCTCCTCCTCCTCCTCCTCTTCTTCCTCTTCTTCTTCTTCCTCTTCCTCTTCTTCTTCTTCTTCTTCTTGGCTTAAGAGATCCTCTCTCCTCAGCCTCCCATGTAACTGTAACTGGGAGTACAGGCATGTACCACCACGCCCAGCTCTTCTTCTTCTTCTTCTTCTTCTTCCTCTCCGTCTTCTTCTTCTTCTTCTCCTCCTCCCCCCCTCCCCTCCCCCTCCCTTCCCCCTCCCCTCCCCCTCCCCTCCCCCTCCCCCTCCTCCTTCTTCTTCTCCTTCTTCTTCTTCTTCTTCTTCTTCTTTATATTTTGAAGAGATGGGGTTTTCCATGTTGCCCAGGCTGGTCTTGAACTCCTGAGCTCAAGCAATTGCCTGCCTTGGCCTCCCAAAGTGCTGGGATTACAGGCATGAGCCATCACACCTGGCCACTGTTCTTTAATTTTTGAATTCTTTTTAATGACGAGGCTGCATTGATTAATTGCCCTTATAATTATAATCAATGAAGTAAGAAACACTGAAAAGTAAATAGTGTTCAAAGATACCCTGTGGTGCCATAAGCAATGTGTTTGGAGAAACTCCTTTCTTCCATCTCTTACATTCTTTCCCTGTATGCTTCCCCCGCTATCCAGAAACAATGACTAATGACTGTCACTAGGGAAAAGGGCTAGAGAATGGCACGTAGGTGACTTTGTGAGGGCCCAGAATAAGAACTGAATAACATATGATGCCAATAAAGATGGCTATCTGTGTACTTACAAGTTCTTATTTGTTAGGGAAGGGAGATGTTCTGGCATGCACTATAGGGAATTTTTAATCCTCATCTTTAGAAAACCGGACTCTGTGATGGGATTTAGAAGACACCAGGTTGAAAGCCACCAATGGAGCAGCATGGTGAGAAGGTCTCTGGCCTAGAAATTAAGGTGCCTCAGTTTAGTTGTGTCTCTGCCATTTTTGTGAGCCATGTGTCTTTGCGTAACTCATTTAATCCCTCTGAGACTAATTTTCCCACTCCAGGAAAACTGTGTTGCTACACATAGTCAGCACTCTTAAAATCTCTTGAAATGTCTGTTGAATAAATAATGAACAAACAAATGAGTAAAGTGACTTGTCTAAGGTCGCCCTCAGTGTGAGCTGTGCCTGAGCCCACAGGTGTCCGGATGCAGCCTGATACTCCATCCAGGTTAGCACACCTCCCCCACTCACTCACCGGTCTCAGCACTCTGCACACCTCATGGAGACTCTGCTCCAGGTTCTTCACAGAGCACAGCACCAAGGTGCAGACCAGCATGTCCACAGAGCCATCGGCCACCTGGTGCGTGTTCTCCCTGGCAGCTACCACAAAGCGCTCAAACTGCAGGTGTTGGTTCTCTGCAATGCTTTTGATCAAAAACTTCTCAAAGTTGGGGTTGGGGTCAATACAGGTCACCCTGCACCCAGGTGGCTAGTACTTGAAGTTGGCCCCCATGCCACAGCCCACCTCCAGCAGGGAGAGCTTCTTGGAGGGGCCCACAAACTCCTGCAGGTTGCCAAAGAGCTCCTGCTTCTTGCTTGCCATCTGTTCTTTGTACATCACAGTGAACCTCACCAAGAAGTAGGGGAACCATTTTTGCACATCCAGTTCTACAAGCCCATAAAGTTCAGCAGGTACATGGGAAATGCTAGGATGTCAATGGCCAGCAACGAGGAGGCCCAGGAGACACTGCTGACCAAAGGCAGAGAGAAGTGCCCAGTGGCAAAGGGGATACCGCTCAGATGGGGATTGCATTGGTGGTCACACCCGACCCCAAGGATGTGGCTTTCTCCAGTAATGCTTTGCAGGCTAGAGCTCGAGGAGAGGAGTCTGAGGTTTAGGCTGAATAGGGCTGGAGATTTATCCACGTGGGGACTGAAGAGTCAGGGGTCAGAGGGTGAGAGTAATGGTCAGGGAGCCTGAGCTGGAAAGAAAGGTGAAAGGAGGGTGGTGGGTGGGGAGAAAACGGAACAGCCAAGTTCAGGACTGGGGGTGCTGGTGTAGCTGAGGAATCCACCAATGACAGTGAGAGTTATTATCAATGGTCCTGCAGTTTAGGATCTAGAATGTGACCTCAGGTGTAGGCAAGAGAAAAAGGATGCAGTGAAAGAATTGAGGAGCTCAAGGAACTCAAAGGGTAAGATGCTGGGTGGGTCATTTGCACTGAGAATGAGGGAGCCCGGGGTGGAGAGGAAGCAGGACCCAGGTGCCAGAGTCCACAGTGAGCATGAAGGGAGTCAGGTCAGTAGGTGGCTGTGGGGCCAGTAGGGATCAGCCTCAGGGGAGAGAGGCAGGAGTGGTGCAGCTGGATCACAGGAGCCCACAGGATTTTTAGAATCACAGTGATCTGTGCAATCAATATATAAAGGTTAAAAACTCAATCAGTATATAAAGGATTTTCTTTTCAACCAATAGCATTCCAGTGAATGGTCAATTCACTGGATTAAATGAATTGGTCAATTCCTTTAATCACTTCCCTATTGACAGGCATTTAGGATGTTTCTATTTTTTCACAAATATACCACATTCCAATTCGAATTCCAAGATAATGAAAAAATTAATATTTTTTTTCTTTATGAGTCAGAGGACGTGTTTTTAGGGGATAGACAATGAGTAATAGTTCTCTAAGTGCAGCAAGGAGCCAAACAGAATGCCTCCTCTCTGGGAAAGGAGCAGCAGGGGCCACTGGGGCAGAGGTGTCTAGGGCAGGTTTAGCAGAGCCAGGCAATGTGGAGGACCTGGGGCTGCTTTGAGTTCATAGCTCAGTTCTAGAGCATGAGGTGGGACAGCTAGGAGGGTGGTGGGAAGACAGTGGGGGTGTGCTTGGCTGTGTGTGTGTGACAGAGTGCTACGGAGACAGGAGCCTGCATTTGGGGCAGGCAGATGACCAATGGGGAAAGACTGTGGGAATAACTCGCCTCATGATTCTGCCCAGGATTTCCTAAGGTGGTCTTGGTGAGGCCAACAAAGTCCGGGTGGGGTGGAGACAGAGGCTGGATGGATGGGTGAGCTGTGAACTCTTGTGGGCAGGAATCTTATCTGCAGCCTCTCAGGTTGGCAGCGCTTTGGGAAGCCCTCCAGAGGATGTTTGCGTGTGCCACCTGGCACAGAGTGGGCTCTTAGTGCTGGCCTGTGAATGGAGAGGCAGGAGGAGACTGGCCAGGGCTGGAACGGCCTGGAATGCTTCAGAGAGGGGAGGAGAGGCCAAGGGGTGAATGTCAGGCAGGCCCTGGAATGCAGAAATGTTGCTCAAAGTGGCCCCCACCCACAACCCCAGATGTGAGCCTGAAAAGCCCAGAGACCTTTTCTCCTTCCCATTGTCCTCCCCAGTCCTCTCTAGGTATGGAATCTGGAGATTTCATCTTGGGTGAAAAATCCATGGCCCAGGGAGGGGCAGTGACATGTCCAGGGCCTCAAGGCAACAGCAGTGCCCTGACAAAGATTTCCCAGCCAGGCTTTAGGGGAGAAGTGGATGCAGGAACTCCTGGTCTAGGTGGGCACAGCCTCCAGAGCGCAGATCCTGTAGGGGGCTGGAGATGGGGACGGATGAGAGGGCCAGAGGCAGAACTTGTTAGTGGAGGTATGGGAGAGCAGGCGTTGGTGTGAGAGGCAGTGGTAAAAACAGAGTTGAAGATGAGCCCTGAGGGGTGAGGAAGTTGGAGTGTGTGTGTGTGTAAATTAAACAATTGGTCTTTTTTGCCTGCTTGGGCGTTGGGGAAGGAGGGCAGTGAGATTCCTATGAATGCAAATATCACAGGACCAGGTAATCCGTATGCTCTTCAAGCTACAACCAGGCACAATTCCAGGTCGAATCTCTCTCGGTCTTATGCACACATACATGCTCCACAGCCGATACCACAGCAGGTCTCCTTGGGCACCCCTCCGCCTCTGGCCTGAGCTGACCCAACACCAATGGCTAGGGTCAGGAGGGGAGGCAGGGAGGGAGGCTGGTGAGCCTTCACTAAGATCACTGAGAAGGAGTGACAGTCTTTAGCCTCACTGGAAGTCCTTGTGCTTTAACTGAAATGGCCAAGCAGGAAGGACATTCCGTCCCCACCCTTGTCTCCCCCAAGGGCTTAGGTCTGAGGTAACGAACCTGGCCAGCTTATTGGGAGGGGCTAGAGGTGGGCTAAGGGCAGACGGAAGCCAGGCCTGAGAACAGGGTGTGGCAAGCATGGCTGGCCCTACCGGGAAGTGAGGCCAACACTCAGGCTTTGTCCGGTATTCGGTTCCAGCACTAGGATTACCCCTCTTGACTGGGTTTGAAACTGCTGGGAATTGTTTGGTGGTGGCTTCACGGGAGAAAGATGATGAAAGCTGAGGGCCTTTAAACAGGAAAATGGTGGAGGGAGCGGGAGGAGAGTTGAGTGCTAACAGAAGCACACGCACTCAGGCAGGCATGAAAATGTGTGCCATTGTGTAGCCACAGCTGCCCCCTCGCCCAGGATGCACGCACAGACCCCCATCTGTGTAAGCAGGCTCAGACATGCGGGTGCATATGCCTGGGGGTGTGAGCACAGCAGAGCCCAGAGGCCTGCAGGCGTGTGCACACATCCACAAAGTGTCCACACATCCACAAAGTGTCACAAATACACACAAGTGTCCCCTTCCTGTACAGGGACGCATAAAATAAATGGGCAGGAATATGAGTGGAGGGTCCGGGAGGTGAGGGTCCAGGGTAAGCATTCCCAAGGTCCCTGGGATTCCGATGCCTACTGGAGTGGGGAGGGGAGGAGCCAGAGGTGCGGTCGGTCGTGTGTCTCTCTCAGCCTAGTTTCTATGGGAAATGAAGTAGGAAGGAACGCAGCCAGGGAAACTAGCTGGGCCAGGAGGGGTCAGACCCCTGAACAAGTGAGCTGATCTCTCAAGGAGGAGCTGGATCGGTGTGAGGGAGAGCGGTAAGGAATGCCTTTCTGGCTTCAGCAGCCTGGAGGATGGGGACGTCTGGGCGTTGACTCCTGGGTTGGAACTTTTCAGCCCACCCCTTCCCCCAGTCTCTTGCCACTGGGTCTCTCTGCTTGGGCCTCAGGGATCTCTAGGTTCTTCACTCCCTCTCCAAGCATCCTCCTCCGGGAAGCCTTCCCTCACTGAGTCCGTTTCCAATGGGCTGGAACTGCGGTCCCCCGCTGTTCTCTGCGGCCGTCTAGGGATGGCGCTCCTGCCTACTCCGGACCATCCCTGCTTGGACTGAAAGCCTGGGCTTCGGCGGGGCGGGCGGGCAGAGGGCGGAGGGCGGCCCCAGGAGGGGCCTGGCAGCAGAGAAAGGTGGCCCGCGGCAGCCCCGCCCCTACCTGTGGAAGCCCAGCCGCCCGCTCCCGCGGATAAAAGGCGCGGAGTGTCCCCGAGGTCAGCGAGTGCGCGCTCCTCCTCGCCCGCCGCTAGGTCCATCCCGGCCCAGCCACCATGTCCATCCACTTCAGCTCCCCGGTATTCACCTCGCGCTCAGCCGCCTTCTCGGGCCGCGGCGCCCAGGTGCGCCTGAGCTCCGCTCGCCCCGGCGGCCTTGGCAGCAGCAGCCTCTACGGCCTCGGCGCCTCACGGCCGCGCGTGGCCGTGCGCTCTGCCTATGGGGGCCCGGTGGGCGCCGGCATCCGCGAGGTCACCATTAACCAGAGCCTGCTGGCCCCGCTGCGGCTGGACGCCGACCCCTCCCTCCAGCGGGTGCGCCAGGAGGAGAGCGAGCAGATCAAGACCCTCAACAACAAGTTTGCCTCCTTCATCGACAAGGTGAGCGGGACTGGACCTCGCCTCTCCTCGAGCCGCGCTCCAGACCACACCAGCCGCCCTAACTAGCCCTGCCTGCGCGCGGGCCAGGCGCTGGGGAGCACTGCCGCCCTTCTGTCTTTCCGCCAGTGTTGGGGACACGATCTGGGGGTCCTTCCTCCTTCGCATGAACCCCGTGGCTATTTTATCCCCTCGGTTTCCAAGCCCTCCCTTCCAGCAAGCTGCCCAGCTGCCCCTCCCTTTCCTCCCGGAGTGCGGGCCTGAGTCCTGTAGGGCTGCCCTCGCTGGCTGCCTGTTGGTCACCTGGACCAGTTTTGCCTCGGACTAGGAGTTCCAGAGGCCTAGGCCAGGAGTTCTCTCTCTGGGACCCTTTCCCTGAGAGAGGACCGTGTGGAGTCAGGAATGGAGTTGGATGGCACGCCCTTCCCAGAGGGGGAGACCCAGGCTCTCTCAGATGCTGATGCGGATGCAGATGCTGGAGATTAGAGCGGCAGTCGGTGGGGCGGGGGAGGGGGGGGGGCTCCCGCCCCTCCCCTCCCCCACCTGCCTGGTCCTCCAGCCTCCCTTAGGTGGCAGGAGGAGAGGTTATACCTGCCCTTGAAGACAGCCCAGTTGGGGGCAGGGAGTGGCAGAGAGGGCCCTCAAAAAGGGGTCCATTTTGGAGATATTTTTCCTGGCTGTTGGCCTCCGCCACACATGGGGCCGCTGGAGGGGGCGAGGGCAGACTTGACTGGTGGGTTTGGGAGGAGTGCTGCCAAAGCCAGGAACTCAGGGCTGGCCCTGCTGGGCTGTTCTGGCCAGGGCCCCCTTCCTCAGCTTAGACGAAGTGTACTCCCACACCCGCCTCCCTCACGTTCTCCTTTCCTTCGCCATTCACCCAGACCGGTCTTTTAGATTTCATAGGGGCCTCCCCAAGCTGCTCCAGGCCCAGGTTCCCCCATGTGTTGAGCTGCACCGTCTTACTCTCTGTGGTCCCCAGGGCCTGGGGCCCTGAGCTGCTGGTTTTGCAGAGGCCTCTATTGCCTCCCACCTCCAGTCATACCGGCTACTCCTTAAGGGCCTTTGTGGGCTCCAGGCTGGGGTCATTTTACCATGGATTGACTGTCCTGAGGCCTTGCTGGAGAAAGGGGAAGGAGAGAAAGGATATTGAGGAAGGAAGAGAAGAGGTCCCAGACAGAAGGGAGGGCTGGGCCTGGTCATCCTCATGATCCATTGACAGGAAGAGGTGGCTGTTCAGATAGGGAGGTGGAGAACACCACCTGTAATGTGATGGGGAGTGAAGTGGAGAGGAGGCCCTGGAGCACATTCGTCGAGAGTCAACCACGGGGCACTTCCGTGCACCAGGCAGACCTGCTTCCTGGATCACTCTGTAGGACACTTGATTTGGAGTCCAAAGGGAGAGGGCTGGAAGCCCCAGGCAGGGAAACAGCCAGGGGGAGCATGGCTCTGCTAAGTGGCTAAAGATGATGTTCCTCAATCCCGCTGTGGGTGGCACGCTCTGGCTCCTCTTGAGTTTCCTCCTTCTCGCCCGTTCTAGGTGCGGTTTCTGGAGCAGCAGAACAAGCTGCTGGAGACCAAGTGGACGCTGCTGCAGGAGCAGAAGTCGGCCAAGAGCAGCCGCCTCCCAGACATCTTTGAGGCCCAGATTGCTGGCCTTCGGGGTCAGCTTGAGGCACTGCAGGTGGATGGGGGCCGCCTGGAGGCGGAGCTGCGGAGCATGCAGGATGTGGTGGAGGACTTCAAGAATAAGTAATGCCCCCTGTGCCACATGCGAAGACCCCTGCCCCGGGCCAATGTGACCCTCATGAGCTGACCCTGTGCAAGTCCCCCTGCTTCAGGAATCAGCATGCAGCTGCTCAGTCCAATAACTCCCTGAGGGGCCAGTCTTGACCAACACATTTCCTGCCTTTCCTCTCTCCTCTTTGTCCCTGGGGGCTGTTTCCAAATCATTCTGGTCTTTTCCCCTGACTCAGTCCCAGTGAAATGTCTCAGCCCAGCCCTGACCTGCACTGTCTCCTTTGGGTGTCTGACCAAGGCCCCGAGAGAGAGTAGGGCAGAAAGTGTCTTCTGACAGGGGTGCTTCAGAACTGGTATGACCTTCACAGATTATTCTAGAGCAACTCTCTTTTGTTCAGGTGAGGAATTAGAGACCAGAGAAGTTTAGGGACTTGGTTGAGCTCACACTGCAAAGGTCACTGGGAGAGCTGGGACTTGAATTTTAGGTCCCTGACTCCTAGGAGAGGACACAGAGCCAACTTGGGAAGCAAAGAAGCAGAGAGGGAAAATGGTCATTGTGAGCCATGCGAGGGCCGCAGAGGCTGAGGGTGGGTCTGGTCATGGCAGGAGCCAGAAGGAGGCTCAGGAAGGCTGGGACTGGGGCTTTTGAGGACAGGTCTTTTTGCACTCTTTTCTCATTGAATAGAAACAAAAGCCTGAAGCTCAGGCTGGGCCCCACCCTGGCACACCTGAGGGGCACTGGGGCAGTGAGTGAGTTCTGTCCCCTGCCTGTGGCTGTGTGACTAAGCAGGAGTCACACATTGGCTCTGACTGGAGGAGAGCAAACAAGGTCTCTGTGGAGTGCCCCCCCCCAACACTCCCACTTCCCTAGGGCAAAAGTCAACAGGATTAGTCCCATAGCAGGTGGAACCAGACAGGTGCAGAGTAGGGAAGGTGTGGGGCCATCATTCAGCCCCTGTTGTCAGGACTAACGTGTGTGCATGCGTGTGTGCATACCTGGTGCCCACCCCCATACTCCCCCCACCCCAAACCCTCAGAGCACCTTCCTGTGGAGCCAGTCTGAGATCCAGGCTGGGACTGAAAGAGGAACTGGAAGGGAGTCCAGGGAAGGAGTACAGGGAGGGTCCCTGTGTGCAGCTGCTCAGGGAGTTCCGATCTGTGCACCCTCTTGACCTGGCTGTGCACTGCCAAGGCAGGGGTGGACGGAAAGCCTTGCAGATATTTTCCAGCTTCTACAGAACTTGAGGGAGTGCAACTTTGAGGGTATGGGCACCTCCAACCCTGAGTCTGGGCTCCTGAAGGGGCTTGGCCTACCTGGATGTCCTGCCTTCCACCCCAGGTTGTCCCTACTGCTTCCAGCAGCTCTTGGAACTCTTGTTTCCAACACCTTTTTTTGAGTCTCAACATAAACATTAGATTAAGCCATTGTGGTCTCTTCCTCTGTGCCTTGTTTGCCCAGGTCCTCCTAAGGGCCAGGAGTGGCTCCTTGGGAGGAAGAGTGATGGGAGCTATGGGAGGAAGGATGGGGGCTGGATCATCAGGCGGGACCTGGTTCTTTCAGGACTTTGTGTATCCCTCATCCTGATTCTACAGGGTTCCTCCCCTTCAGACTCCTTCTTTGCCCCTGAGGGGTGGGATTAGGTAGTGATTAGGGCATGGCTGGAGTCAGCTGCCAAGGTTCAAGTCTGGGCTGTGCCACTTAGCAGCTTAGTGACCTGGGCAGATTACGCTGCCTCTCTGTGTCTCTGTTCCCTTCTCTGATAACCACAGTACCATCGTTATAGGTTTGCTGTGAGGATGAAATGAGCTCATGCATAAGAAGCACATAATGGTGCACACCCCATAGAACACAGTCTCATGCATATGGCTGTTATTATTTGCTTTTTTTCTCCCAGGACATGCAGCTTTTGTGCTGTCATTCACATGTTTCCTATGTGCCCCACCAACAACCCCCCATGCCAAGACTCAAAGCCCTAGGAATGGCCGCGTGGAAGTCAGGGAAATTTGGTTTTGTAGCTGACACCTGTTTTTTCAGGTGTGTCTTTAAAGAGTAGGGGAAGGGAGGCAGGGCAGATTTCACAGCTGCATATGGCGGAGGGGGGACGGGAGCATGGAGGCAAAGCTGCATCAACACCAGGCCCTCCTCTACTGTAGGTACGAAGATGAAATTAACCACCGCACAGCTGCTGAGAATGAGTTTGTGGTGCTGAAGAAGGTGAGTGGGAAAGACAGGCTCGAGGAGGGTTGTCTGAAAACATGGGACAAAGGACCACAGGATCCTCTCACCTGAGCAGCCCATGGGGACCTCTGGCCAAGGCCTGCCTGAGCTGTCCAAGAGGAAGTCTGCACAGCCTGTCCTGTGGGTGCGTGTATGTGTGTGTGTGTGTGTGTGTGTGTGTGTGTGTGTGGTGACTGATTAGACTCATTTCTAGGCCTCTAGGGGTTAGAACTAAGAGCAAAGGATGGAGATTATAGAGGGAGATTTCAACACTGAATAAGGAGTGCTCTATTCAAGCCAGAACATTTTCATCACAAAGGTGTTGCTTGGCTGGCCTGAAATGTTTGCTGAATGAATGCAATGAGCTGCCTCGAGCCAGCATGAGCTCTCTGTTCCTGCAGATGTGCAAGCTTGGAACGCCTTAGAAGTATCTTAGGGGTCTTGTCTACATGCCCTTTAAGATTCTCTTCAATACACTGAGCAGTTGGTGTTCCAGGCCAAACCACAGAATTGCAACTTGCCCCTGGGAGCTGGGCCCTTGGAGATTCAGGAATGAGTAAAAGTGAGGCCTGTCCGTAGGAGTTTAAGCTTGAGAAAGTGCAGCTGGAAGAGGCTCAGACACCATCTTCACCTGGGGTGTTATCTGAGGCCCACCTGCATCATAGTTACCATGCTGCAAATTAAAAACATAGCTTGGAGATTTTCCATCTCTGGGAGCGGGGCTGGGAATCTGAATGACTTTGTGTTCTGCTACTGACTGACGAAAAGTTGAGCTCCCAGAGTTGAAGTGATTTGTTCCAGGTCACACGGTTAGTAGGTGGAGCTAGTGGTGTTGAAACCATCTAGGTCTTTAGGAACTGGTCAAGTGCTAGGTTGGGGCTTCAGTTGCTCTGGGATACCAGTGCTGATGCCCACCATGCAGTCTGGAGGGTCAGCAGGGCAAGCTTCATGCTGTGACCATGTACAGCAGCTGTAGAAACTGTTTCTGGGTAGGGCAGTAGTATTTGGCCTGTGGGTTGGACAGGGCAGGCCTGCTTCCACCCCTACTAAATGTTCCCTGTACTGAGGACATGGTCTCCCTCTGCCCCATCTTGCCCCAACCCCCAGGATGTGGATGCTGCCTACATGAGCAAGGTGGAGCTGGAGGCCAAGGTGGATGCCCTGAATGATGAGATCAACTTCCTCAGGACCCTCAATGAGACGGTGAGGACCATGGAGCTGGGTGACATGTCTTATCCTACCCATTCTAACCAGGGAGCCATCTGGTCCAGCCCCCCGCCTCTGTGTCAGTCCAGATATGTGTCAGTGTGAGAAACAAACTCATCCGTCCAAACCCAAAGAATGGACTCAGAGACCTGGAGAACAGCGAAAGTGAGATTTTAATGACAGTCTTGCAAGATGGGTGTCTGATGGGCAGGCATGCCCAGCACAGCCACAACAAGCAATTTATCCTCTAGTGCACAGGTCCCTCCCTCCGTTCCTCACAGGCTGAGTACTATGGGGTCACGATCTTCCTGGACGTTGTCTATTGGTTGTTGGGTTGGGGCTTTAGGTGTTTTTTTTTAGGTTGTCTTGCTGCATTTTATTGCAGCCTACAATGCATTGCAATCCTAGTCAGCTCAAGGGCTCTTTAAGTATTTGACTTATGACCTAAGTAGCTGGGCAGGCTGATAAGAACAGAAAAAGTGAGCCATTTTGCAGGCTAGAAAACCTTCATTTTAGACTAAACTTCTTTGGTTCAGGTGAGGGCAAGAGAAGCTGGGGGCTGACAAGCAGGCACTGGCTATTCAAGCAAAGGGCTAGTATATCCTATTTCTTCTGTAGTTTGCTGACCTAAGCCAATTTAAAGCACTTTGTCTTGGAAATGGACCATTATATACATTATTTCCTTCATCAGGGGTTGCGAGGATTTATCCTGCCCTTTATCCCTTCTGGACTCAGGAATTCAGGACAGGCTAAGGATTCGGGAGGAGGTGGGGGTGAGTCAATCAGGATTGACCTTGGAGAGACATGGGATGATCGCAGCATTTCTAAGGAAGGGGGATTGGGTGGGACTGGAAGGAACCAGGAGGAGGTCAGGGGACTCCAGGTTGTGACAGGGTTCAAAGGTGGGCTAGGTAGGGCCAGCAGGGGAGCCCAAGTCAGGAGAGACTGGATTGCCTGAGCATTTACTCCCAGAGGGGCTGGGTGGGTAGCTGCCTGCCAACTCACCACTCTAATGTCCTCCCTTCCCTTCTTATTCTCTCCCTCTCACCCTTGTCCTCCGGGGTTTCCAGCTCTTTTTCTTCAAGGGGATTTAAAAATCTCTCCACTCTCATCAGTGTGAGTCTCTGGCCTTAGGCAGAAGGTAGGGTGGCCAGTCACCTGGCAGAGGCTAGGCTGGGCATAATTAGCTTGTGAGGTTAATTACAAACCAGTTCTTCAGCCTAGTCTTTGCCTGAACGTCCAGTCTCCACCAGCCCCTCAGAGCAAATGTCCACAGATTCATTAATTTCAGGGGAAGTTTCTTTGAGGCTTGCTTCAGGCACTTCTAATCTCAGGTCTTCCTGGGTCTATCACATGGTTTATTTATGTGTAAACACACATGTGTACACACACACACACACACACACACATATATATAAAGTTTTCTTTTCATGGTGAAAGTTTAGTTTATTTATGTGTAAACACACCTGTGTGTATATATATAAAGTTGTTTTCATGGTGAAAGTAATACATACTCATTGCAAAACAACCAAAAAATTAAGTAAATCGTAAATTGAAAATGGATTACTTGGCCAGGCGTGGTGGCTCATGCCTGTAATCCCAGTAGTTTGGGAGGCCGAGGTGAGTGGATCACCTGATGTCAGGAGTTGGAGACCAGCCTGGCCAACATGGTGAAACCCCGTGTCTACTAAAAATACAAAAATTAGCCAGGCATGGTGGCGGGTGCCTGTAATCCCAGCTACACGGGAGGCTGAGACAGGAGAACTGGTTGAACCTGGAAGGTGGAGGTTGCAGTGAGCCAAGATTGTGCCACTGTACTCCAGCTTGGGTGACAGAGCAAAACTCTGTCTCAAAAAAAAAGAAAAAAAAAAGAAAATGGATTACTTATACCCAATGCTACCATCTTTGTGTCTACCTTTCCAGACTTTTCTGTGCTTACATATACATAAAGATATAGAAATATACATTTTCAATAAAAATAGCATCATGCTTTATTTTAATTTTTATTATTATACTTTAAGTTCTAGGGTACATGTGCACAACGTGCAGGTTTGATACATAGGCATACATGTGCCATGTTGGTGTGCTGCACCCATCAACTTGTCATTTACATTAGGTATTTCTCCTAATGCTATCACTCCCCCCTCCCCCCACGCCCCCGACAGGCCCCGGTGTGTGATGTTCCCCGCCCTGTGCCCAAGTGATGTCATTGTTCAATTCCCACCTATGAGTGAGAACGCATCATGCTTTTTTTAATGCAACAGTATACCATGGGCATATTCCCCACAGGTAGTTGGAGCCATATCATCGGTGTACAGACTGCAGAGTATTCTGTAGCATGGTGGAATATGATAATTTCATCCATTCCCCATGGCCTCCCTCACAATAGAGCTCGTGCACCTACAGAACCTCACAGTGAGAAGTCACCACAGCGCACCACACTGTCCCTTTCCTTATCCCCTTTAACCCTGCCAGATTCTCGTTTGAGACACTGCTAATGGGCCCTCAGGGAGCCAAGGGTGGGCAGAATGAAGTAACTTAATGTGTGCTGGGTCTGGGCCCCCTTGCTGCCTGGTGACTCAGCCCACTCCCAGCTGTTCTCTCTTTTCTTTCCTTTGTGAGTGGGGAATCCCAGGGTGGGCGTGGGCATAGGATCCTGCCCTAAGTCCTGATGTCCCGTCTGGTCCCTACAGGAGTTGACAGAGCTGCAGTCCCAGATCTCCGACACATCTGTGGTGCTGTCCATGGACAACAGTCGCTCCCTGGACCTGGACGGCATCATCGCTGAGGTCAAGGCGCAGTATGAGGAGATGGCCAAATGCAGCCGGGCTGAGGCTGAAGCCTGGTACCAGACCAAGGTGTGAGGCCACCAGGGGCGTATTTCCTCCTGCCAGGGTCCTTGGTGGCAGCTTCCCTTACTCCTCAACTTGTCTCAAGCCTTCAGGGCCTGGGTCCCACTGTTCTGGCAGGCACCAGTGGTTTAAGTCTGTGGTGCTCAGCCCTGGAGAAAATCCCAAGATGGGAGGACAGGGCAGAGGAAATAGATATGGATTAATCATTATAATAGCTAAAATATGGCAAGTACTTACACAGTACTAGGCTCATGTAATTATTGACTCATGTAATCCACAGAACAGCCCTATTAGATAGGCATCATTATTACCCCCATTTTGTTTTATTTAATTTAATTTATTTTATTTCTATTTTTTGAGATGGAGTCTTGCTCTGTCACCCAGGCTGAAGTGCAGTGGTGCGATCTTGGCTCACTGCAACCTTTGCCTCCCTGGTTCATGTGATCCTCGTGCCTCAGCCTCCTGAGTAGCTGGGACTACAGGTGTGCACCACCATGCCTGGCTAATTTTTTTTGTATTTTGAGTAGAGACGAGGTTTCACCATGCTGGCCAGGCTGGTCTCAAACTCCTGACCTCAGGTGATCCACCTGCCTCGGCCTCCCAAAGTGCTGGGATTATAGGCGTGAGACACCGCACCCAGCCTATTACCCCCATTTAAAGATGAGGAAATTGAGGCACAGAGAGGTTAAGTAATTTGCCTAACTGCATACAGCTAGTAGATGGAAGAGCAGGGACTAAATCCTGAATGTGAGGGCCCTAGACCTGGGAGGCTTAATCATCACATCTACTTCATGGTGGCAGGACAGTTGATGGTGCAGGGGCTGAGGGAGCAGGAGTGGGTGCTGGGGTGAACCAGTGTTCCTGAAGAAGGGATCCCGAGGCAAGGATTGAGAGGTCTGCCCCTGCAGAGATAGAGAGTCATTCATGGTGCCTGGGTGAGAACACAAGTATGCCAACAAGAAGACCTGGGTTCAGGCCCTCGTTCCATCACTGATTGGCTGTGTGATCCCTGGGTGGTGCTTTCTCTTCTCCAAGACTCACTCTCCTCACCTGTGAAATGGGTGTTCTGGGTGTTGAATGGGTGCGAATCTCAAACTCTCAGTGATTCTCCAGCAGAAGGGCATGGTGGGAGTGGAAGAGCCCTGGGGTCCATGGGGATGGGACTGCGGAGCCTTGTCTGTCCTCCCTGCCTGGCTTGGAGGAGAATGAATCCCTTCCTCACACTGCTGTCTGGTCTCCTGGCATCGGGCAAAGGTTGATGGGAGTCAGACTGTCCTTCCCTGAAAATATAAGTTGGGAGGGGCCTTGGGTGGGGAGAGGGATGAGTTACCTGTACTCACTGCCCATCTCTCTGCCATAACTCTCTGTATGGCCCCTCCAGTTTGAGACCCTCCAGGCCCAGGCTGGGAAGCATGGGGACGACCTCCGGAATACCCGGAATGAGATTTCAGAGATGAACCGGGCCATCCAGAGGCTGCAGGCTGAGATCGACAACATCAAGAACCAGGTGGGACAAGTCCTCCTGGCTTCCCCTGCTACTTGGGGCATGCAGGGGTGGCCAGCTGAGGCCAAACTCAGGATGTGGAGCAGGAGGTTCCCATCTCCCGGCCAAAGCTGGTGCCACTGTCTCAGACCCCCTTGTGAGATCTCCAGCACAGAATGTTCTTGGCCAGGTCCTGGCATGGGCTGATGGGAGAAAGGTCCTGGATGTGCACAGAGCCTGTGGAGGGAGACTCAGGCTGGCTGGCCAGAAGAAAGCCACCACTGGTTCCACATTGATACTGAGCACTCTGCTTGCACCTGGTTCTGGCTGCAGGGCGCTGTCCCTGGGAGCTCATCATTCATTGCAGGGACAGAGGACAGCAGAAGACCTTATAATGACTCACATGGCCCTTTCCCACCCACTCCAACCTCACTTTCCACGATTCCCCTCACTCTGCTCTGGCCATGCTAACCTGCTTCCTGCATCTTGCATTTGCCAAGAATGGTCATGCTTCAGGGCCTTTGCACTTGGCGTTGCCTCCCCCTGGAATGTGGTTCTCCCAGCTCTGTCCATGGTTGTTGTTTTCTCCTCCCTGGGGTTTAGGAAAAGACCCCTTCTCAGAGACGGCACTCTCAAACACCAGCCCCTCTATCGGCAGCCTGTCTGAAGTTCTTTGAAGCCCCTGTCACTCTCTGAAATGTTCTGTCTTATTCATTAAGTGATTGATGGTCCCTACCTCCACTGGAATATAACAGATGCCTGGAGAGCAGGGACCCTGTCTGTCTGGTTCACTGCTCCTCTCTTCCAGCACCTGGCACATGGCAGGGGCACGGGTCTCAGATGAGAGACTGCCTGGGAGGATGAGCTTTGCTGGAAGCTGGGGTTGGAGGTGTTGATGGGGGAAGGGCCCCCAGCCCTGGCTGAGTAGTGTGTGGCCAGGGCAGCTCAGCCTGTGCAGGTGTCTGCAGTGGAGAGAGGGGGAGGGCACACATGTGGAAGCTTCGGAAAGCTGATTTCCAGATGAGCTGTGGGTGGTGGGGGGATGTGAGGGTGATTTACCCACAAATGTCCTCCCCTTGGAGCCCTGTGGGCCTGTTTACAGGAGGGCGGAGGCTGCCTTGGGGCACAGAGGCAGGGCCGTGAGTCACCCCATGAAGTGGGCCAGCTTCCAGGCCAGGAGGGGAAGCACAGAATAACAAATGGTGGTTTCCCAAACCCTGCAGCCTCTACTACATCCGGTTCTCCTCTCACACAACAGGGCGGATCCAGGCCTATAGCCAGGTGTCTACCACCACTGAGGGGCGTCATGGGGAGCTACAAGGGGTCTCCAGAGGCAGCGGGGATGGCGTTGGCTCTGGGGGCACCAGTGTGACAGGGCAGGGCACCGAGCTGTGGCCGAGGGGCAGAGTGTCAGAGGGCCTCCTGGGGAATGCTGTCTCTGGCAGAGAGGCAGACTGCCTCCACTGAGGGAAGAGGATCTGAGGATAGAGAATGGCCGGTAAGAAGGGAGAGAAGTCCTTGCCCAGGGGACAGGGATGGTGGTTTTCTGAGCTAAACAAGATGAGGCCTGGGACTATTCAGGCTCCTGGCAGTGGGGGCTGAGCCTAAAGCAGAGGGCACTCTAAGGCCAGGGAGAAAGTGGCAGCTGCTCCAGGCAGGCACAGGTCTGGAACCAGAGCATCCCTGACCAAACCCGGGGACTGTGAGTCATGCATCTCATGGCATCTGGGGGCATCTAGGAGGGTCTCTCTGCTCCAGGCCCTCCTATTCTGCGCCTGCTCTCAACTGGTTCCTATTTTATAGGTGGTTTCTGGTCTTTGTCAGCTGCCTGACATCTGGAGACTCAATTAAGATCCCATGGTCTTCGAGCTCCTGCAGCTGGGGGCTGGGGCTGGGGGACTGGGGGTTTGAAAATCATAATAGCATTCATTAAAAATGATCACAATAGCATTTATTAAGCACTTGCTGTGTGCTAGACATTGTGCCACGGACATCTTGTATATTATCTCATTTCATCCTCAAAATCTCCTGATGTTCTCTTAGAAAAGAGGGGACTTTGGCTTAGCAGGGTTGATTCATCCATGGTCACACAGCTAGTAAGTGGCAGAGCCAGAACTGGAACATAGGCGTTGGATATCCAAACCTATGTGTTTAACCCTTAGGATTCTCTGGTACTTGGGGGAGTAGGTGGTGCCAATGAAGCCACCTTAAGCAAGTTGCCCGGGTGCTCACTGCAGGATGGGCAGGCAGGAAGGCAGACTGGTGAGCCCCAGCTTACAGCTGCACTGCTGCCCACAGCGTGCCAAGTTGGAGGCCGCCATTGCCGAGGCTGAGGAGCGTGGGGAGCTGGCGCTCAAGGATGCTCGTGCCAAGCAGGAGGAGCTGGAAGCCGCCCTGCAGCGGGGCAAGCAGGATATGGCACGGCAGCTGCGTGAGTACCAGGAACTCATGAGCGTGAAGCTGGCCCTGGACATCGAGATCGCCACCTACCGCAAGCTGCTGGAGGGCGAGGAGAGCCGGTGAGGACAAGGAACCTGGAAAGGGGATGCTTCTAGGGCTCCGTGGGGTTTGGGGCTTGACATTCATCCATTTACAAGCATTTCCTGTATGCCCCTCCTCTGCAGGGCACTGGGTGTGGGGATGCAGGGAACACAGAGCTGATGCTTGCCTCTTTGCCTTCAATGAGATGACCTTCTAGAAGGAAAGACCATGGAGTGTGAAGCTCAGTGGGCAGGTTGAAATGATAACAGTCCCTTTGTGTGTGCGGCTTCTTAGGGTTATCATATTTGATCCTCAGCACACATTCAGGTAGTCAGGTCAGAGACGATTGATTCCTTAGTCTCCAGAGGGGAAAGCTGTGGTTGAGTTTCATTAATTGAGGGAATAGGGCCAGAGTGCAGTCAGGGTGTGCTGATTCCTGCTCCAAGGATCTTCCAGGACGCCAGGCTGCTTCTCACTACAGAACTAAGTGCTACATCATGTGGGGCTAACTGACTGTGGTGGAGGGGGATCGTTTTGTTTGTCCCCAGAGATATTTGCAGACTCACTTGCAGTCAGAGAGGAGGCTGGAATGGGGGAGTCTGATAGCACATTCTTCATGAACCGCATGCCACCTCTGTCTATGCAGCTGGGCCTTCATGGGCATATTGTTGGGTTCGAACTCAACCTCTTCATTCTTGGCTTGTTATAAGACACCATGGCAACAGAGAATACGTAGGACATGTTTCTGCCCTCAGGGAGGTTGCAGAGGGTGGAGGAGACAAAACATCCACAGAGGAAACCCCCAGAGACCAGTAACTTACATTTGTAAAATGCTGAGTGTATACAAGAACTTATTCTTTTCTGAGTATTATTCCTAAGGGGCCAGAGAGAGACATGACGGAGGATGAATGGAGCAGCAGGGAAGGGAATGGGGAGTGAAGGGGTGCTAGGGCCGAGGGCCTGGGTGCTGGGAGGAGAAGAGGAGACACAGGGCCGCAGGGTATGAGTAGGAGGCGGAGAGGAGGAGGAAGGGGCTTTGCCCCTGCTGCTGACCCGCCTTCTCCCTGGGTTAGCACCCAGTCTTCTTTGTGGGAAGAAGAATTAACACCAAAAGTCTCTGGGAACACAGAAGCTGATCTGGGCACAGGGAGCTCCAGCCAAGATGCCTCTCTCTGCTTTCGCCTCTCCCACAGGCACAGGGCCCCCAAATTCTCTACAACCCATACCCTGGGCCTTCTGTTGTCATAGAAGTCAGAGTTGGGGGACTCTTAGAGTGGTACCTGATCTGGCTTCCTCCCATGGGAAGAAAAGGGGACTGAAGCTCAGAAATGGTCAGTAGTGTGCCCAAGGTCACACAGCACGCAGAGACATCCTCTTCTGAAAGCTTAATCTCAGTCTGAGCTGCTGTAACCAGGCTTAGATCCGGGTACTCTGAGAGGATATGGTTCCCCCAACCCTGGGGGGATATGGAGGTAGATACCTTGCTTTTATCTCTTAACTTATCAGAGTTGTGGTCCAGAAACTCATTCAAACTGGGAGGCCTACTTTAAGAATACAAAGTTACCAAAAAAACCCCACTTACTTAGAATGAGAAAAGTCACACAGATCACTAGAGCCTTGGACATTCAGGCCTCTTCCGTCTGAGTTCCTTAGGCATCGTACCAGAAATTCTTCGAGTTGCTGCCTGACTGCAACCTGGCTCCCTCTCCCCACCCACAAGTGCCAGCAACTCCCAGCACCAGCAGGGGCCATTTAAGCAAGCCCCCTGGAAGCTTTCAGCAAACCTCTCTCTTTCCCTCAGCCTTTGCTCTGCCTGCTTCCTGGGCTTGGGGCCGCAGAGGCCAGCGAGGCTCCCTTCATTCCCTCCACCAAAGCGAGGTCTTCCCTGCCCCCACAGAGCAAACTGATCCCCAAGGCCAAGGCCTTGGTGACAATGGGACTGTGAGTCACAAAACAAACATAGCCAGCTGTCCCGAATGGATTTTTAATTTCTACTGCAAGACCTGTTTCAGCCCCACTGGCTGCTTAAAGCCACCCCCACTCCCTGCTCCTTCCTTAGTCCTGGCTGGAGCCCCATTCAATCAGTCAACGATTCACGAATTATTTTGACATATATTAAGCAATGACTTCTCCAGGCCTCATACTGGGGATAAAAGTATCAATAGGCCACAGACACCTTTAGGATTTTATGATACGGTGAGGAAAGGCAGCCATCTACATAAATAACACATACAGCTACCATTCACCGAATCCCAGGTGCTCAGGGCTTTAGACAGATTATGTCATTTAACCCTCACAGGCCCATGAATTTGGTCCTGTAGTTGGGCCCAAGGCATAGGTGGGAAATGGAGGCCCTGAGACATTGCCTGGGGTCAGGTGGCCAGTGGATAGAAGGGCCAAGGTGAACACTCCCTTCCTGCATGCCTCCTCGCTCCTTTTACAAGGCTGAAGGCAGGCTGGAAGTGTGGGGCAAGAAGGAAAAATCAATGATCCTGCTTGGGGCCTGGAAGGAGAGAGGGCTGAGAGCGCTTCCCTCCCACGCTAGGAAAGAGCCGTCCTCACTGTCTGTCCTCTGCCCCCAGGTTGGCTGGAGATGGAGTGGGAGCCGTGAATATCTGTAAGTCCTTGGCTGCGGCCCATGGGAAGCATCCCTTGTGCTGTTTAGATGGGGCTGGGTCTAGAGAATGGCAGACTGGCCCAGGGCCCTGCTGGAGGGGCCAGGAGACTCCTTCCTTTCTACAGGGATTGACAGGTCCCCTGGAGCACATACTGCCAGGCTCAATGGCCTGGGAAGCACTACAAGAGGGCAGGGTGGGGCCAGGAGCACCTGGGGAGCAGCCCTACCCCTGTCAGATGCTCCTTCTGGGTTGGCCCATGGAGGGGGGCAGGGGTGAGGGAGAGGGGCAGCTGGGGCAGGAGGGTGGGGTGCAGTGAAGGGATGGGGTCCCTGGTAGGGAGCCTCACGCTGAAGAGAGCCCTCCTCTTTTCTCTCCCAGCTGTGATGAATTCCACTGGTGGCAGTAGCAGTGGCGGTGGCATTGGGCTGACCCTCGGGGGAACCATGGGCAGCAATGCCCTGAGCTTCTCCAGCAGTGCGGGTCCTGGGCTCCTGAAGGCTTATTCCATCCGGACCGCATCCGCCAGTCGCAGGAGTGCCCGCGACTGAGCCGCCTCCCACCACTCCACTCCTCCAGCCACCACCCACAATCACAAGAAGATTCCCACCCCTGCCTCCCATGCCTGGTCCCAAGACAGTGAGACAGTCTGGAAAGTGATGTCAGAATAGCTTCCAATAAAGCAGCCTCATTCTGAGGCCTGAGTGATCCACGTGCCTGGTATCCTGGCTTCATGAGGCTGGGCAGGGGAAAAGACGGGACTAGAGAAGGCAGGGTCTCCCTGGTGACTAGGAAGCCTTTTGTGCAGGAGACTGAGAAGGCACATGGTGGGATGGGGTGCTGCTCTAAGGAGCAGGACGCTTACCTAGGGTGAGCCTTGGCCTCCAGGTCTGGGGCTGATCCCAAAGATTCTCCTGAGGAAGCCCAGAAGAGCCACGGGGAAATGCAGGCTCTGCCAGCAATTGGGCCTTGGAGGGCTGCCCTGCTAAGGGGGTGGAAAGGCTGTTTGCCTCCCTCCCCCCATGCCCAGAGCTGCCAGAGCACATTCCTTTTGTGAGGAGGCCACAGACGTTCAGCTGCCCCAGCTTCCAGTTTCGGGTGGCCCAGCCAACTTTCATGCCAGCCGTCCTCAGCCCTTCCTGGTGCTGGGTCTGCCAGGCTCATGGTCAGCCAGGCCTGGGGCCCTGGAGAGGTCCTCTGCATCTTGAATTCTGTGGAGGTAGTGGTTGTGGGGGGGAGGTGTGTGTGTGCATGGGAGGAGGGTCCTAGAGTCTAGATCCCCGGTAACAGGTCTGTGCCTAGGACCTTAGTGGAGGGATGGGTTTGTATCTGGATCCATGGGAGTGGGGAAGGACATCTGTGTTAAGTCAGTGCTTGATGGGGGCTTCTATGTCAGAGTCCCCGACACACAGGTCTGTGTGTCTGTGAGTGTGGCAGGTGTTCTGTGGCAGGGCCTATGCATGGGGAAATGTGTCCCTGATGGGCAGCAGCACATATGATGGGTACTGTGGAGCCACAGGGAGGTCTCTGTGTCTGGGACCCCAGGGGTGATGGTGGTGGTGTGGATGGGGGAGCTATGTGGGATGTGTTGGCTTCTGGGAGGAAGTCTGTATATTTGACCCTATGGTCAGGGAACTTTCAAATGCTGAGGTGGGGGCTGGGGTGGAGAGTGGAAAAAGTGGACCAGCAGCCACAGTGATGGGGTTCCCACCCAAGGTGTCAGGAGATCCAGGCCCTCTCCCTCCCGACTAAGAAGACCAAGTGGGCAAGAGGAAGGAGAGACTCTCAGGGCACAATGCATATGATCAGGAGCTTTACTGGAAATGCTGAGACAAGCACAGGGGAGAGGGAGGGAGCCAGGCAGCCAGGCAGGAGAGGTGGCCTGTCCTGCACGTGTATTAGAAGACATTGGATTAGAAGGCACAGCAAGTCCACACCAAGGGGCTCCAGGCCCATCTGTCCCTCAGAAGCCACAGGCATCCAGGCCTCCGGACCGGGGTCTTTACCTAGGGCTGCGAGGACAGTCCTTTAGATTCGGGGGTTGGGAGAGCTGCGGGCTAGGAGCCCTGTGCTCTCGGAAGCAGTGAAGGGACTAGCGGGCGGGGATGCGAGACAGGAAGGCGCGGCGTGGGGGCCGATGGGGAGGCTGGGCCCCGAAGCCCTCCTTCCCCACGTCTGGGGACCGTGGGAGCTCCGGGCTGCCTCTGGAGGCAGAGGCTGCTGCTGGTGAGGCGGCGTCGGTACAAAGTGGGGCGCTCAGGCGAAGCGCACGGAGCGGCCGCTGCCGCTGCTCTGGCCGCAGGGCGCACACAGGCCGGTGCTCACCGCCACGTTCCCGCTGCAGGGGGCACTGCAGACGCTGCCCGTCACCGGCCGGGAGCCCGACACGCACAGGTCCCCGCATAAGACCCCGCCGCGAGAGCTGCTGACACCTGCCAGAGGGGGAGGACAGGGCCCAGTCTCCTGGCGGCCAGAGGCCCCTTCTGCTCAGAGCTTCTCCCCTCTGTTTCTATGCGCGCCCCTCAAACCCTCACATGGGCACTCCTTCCTGCAGTCTTAGCCTCAGGCGTCCTTGATACACTGTTAGCCCAGGTCCTCTCTATAGGCAGACATAGCCATGCTTCGCCTCACAACAGAGACATGTTCTGAGAAATACAGCATTAAATGATTTTGTCATTGTGCGAACATCATGGAGTGCACATACGCAAACCTACATGTTGTAGCCTACTACACACCTGGGCTCTGTGGCGAGGGTGGCCAACCTTTTTTATTTTTTATTTTTATTTTTGAGACGGAGTCTCTCTCTATCGCCCAGACTGGAGTGCAGTGGCGCGATCTCGGCTCACTGCAACCTCTGCCTCCTGGGTTTAAGTGATTCTCCTGCCTCAGCCTCCCTAGTAGCTGGGATTACAGGTGTCCATCACCTTGCCCGGCTAATTTTTTTATTTTTAGTAGAGACGGGGTTTCACCATGTTGGCCAGGCTGATCTCAAACTCCTGACCTCAAGTGATCCACCTGCCTTGGCCTCCCAAAGTGCTGGGATTACAGGTGTAAGCCACCACACCCAGGCCCCAAGGGTGTCCAATCTTTTGGCTTCCCTGGGCCACACTGGAAGAAGAAGAATTGTCTTGGGCCACACATAAAATACACTAATACTAACGGTAGCTGATGAGCTTTAAAAAATCACACACACGAAAATCTCGTAAGTTTTAAGAATGTTTACAAATTTGTGCTGGGCCACATTCAAAGCCGTCCTGGGCTGTATGCAGCCTTCTGGTCAGGGGTTTGACAAGTTTACCCTATAGCATAGCCTGTTGCTTCTAAGCTACAAATCTGTACAGCATGTGACTGTACTGAAGACTAAAGGCAACTGTAACACCATGGTAGGTATTTGTGTATCTGAACATAGCTAAACCTAGGAAAGTAGAGTAAAAATATGGTATAATCTAATGGGACTACTGTCCTATATTCCATCCATCCTTGACCTAAAAGTCCTTATGTGGTACATGACTGTAGCTAATTAAGTTACTATAAGCACTCACTGCCCCACTCCATCTTTCCTTTTAGAGTCTGCAAACTACGGCCACATGCAGGCTTCCTGTTTGTCAATCAAGTTTTCTTGGAACCCAGTCATACCGCTTCCTTCAAGTATTGCCTTTGGCTGTGGCTGCTTTACATGACAACGGAGTGGAGCAGTTGAGGCAGAGACTACATGGCCCACGAGCCTAAAGTTTTTACTATCTGAAGCTCTAAGAAAAAGTTTGCCTGCCCAGAACCCCAAGCTGTTATTTCAGGACCCACAAAATGGATTACTTACAGACATTTACAGCACCAACGCCCTCACACAACCTTATAGGGAAAGCAAAGAGACAGAAATTAGTTGTGGGGAGCAAAGCTGGTGAAATCTGTTTAACCTGCAAATTCTCTCCTCCAATTAGCGTTGATGCACATTCCAAGTAAATAATATGCAGACATGCTCCTGGGTGTTGAAGCACTGCAGCACTGCCTGGGGGAAACTGAGGGGACACCCTCCCCACAGCTGTGGTCCTCACCTCTGCTCCTCGCCCTCCAGCAGGCGCCTGTAGGTGGCGATCTCAAAGTCCAGGCCAGCTTGGAGTTCATCACCTCCTGGTACTCCCTGATCAGGCAGGCCATGTCCTGCTTGGCCTTCTGCAGGGCACCCTCCAGCTCGGCCAGCTTGCAGCGGGCATCACTGAGGGCCGCCTCACCCTGCTGCTCAGACTGGGCCACCGCGGCCTCCAGCTTGGAGTTCTGGGAGGCAAGGGAGGGTTATTAAGGATCTCTGTTCTGGCTTCAGGGTCAGAGGCCAGGTAACCACTGACCACTGACTAGCAGAAGAAAAAGAGGCCTTGTCTATTTGTTAGGCCAGGGGTTGCAAATTAGTGCTCCCAGGCATGTTTGCACAGTGTCTTCAATTTTGGAAATTTAACACAATAATTGAAATTCTTGGCTTCTTTCAAAAGATCAGAGGATCTGGCCACACTGGACCTGCATTTCTGCATGGCCTGCCTCAGTTGGATCTGCCTAGCCCTGCCTTTTGTGCTTTCCAGTTTACCATAGTCCCTATCATACCCAAGTGCCTTGGGAACAGCTTGCTTGCTTCGCTCATTTACTAACCCCATTGATGTCTGAATGTGTGATCACTGATCTAGAACAACAGGCCAGAGAGGTTAAATGCCTTTCCCAAGTCTCATGGCAAACTAGTGGCAGAGCTTGTTTGAGAGCCCAGGTTTCCTGCCCCTTAGACTGGTGCTATTTCCTCTGCCCCACTCTGCCCTTGGAAGCACCTCATTCCCTCCATATTGCCCCAATGCCTCCATTCAGCGAGAATGGAGAACGTTTTCCATGGAGGAGGCTGTCTGTCCTCATGCTGGGTGTTTGCCCTTGTCCCCACACACTGGCAAGGGGTCTAACCCAAATCCCTCTCCTGAGGGCTAACCCCACTCTCTTCCTACACTGAGGGGTGGGCTGGGCTCCCATACCTGGCACTTGGCGTTCTCCACCTCGGCTGTCAGCCTCTGGATCATGCGGTTCAGCTCGTTGATCTCCTCCTTGGTGCGGCGCAGGGTCTCCCCGTGCCTGATCACCGTGGCCTTCATCTCCTCACACTGGGGAAGTAGAGTTGCTTATGAGGCTCAGGGTGGGACCTCCCATCCATTCAGGACACCACGGATGATTGTGCAGGTTGTGCAGTGCTCAGCCTGTGCAACCACACATGGCAGTCCTGCCCTGCTACCCCAACCTCAGAGAGGCAGCCCTTATCTTCCCATCCGTAGGGACCAGAATCCCCAGAAAAGGAAGCCTATTTAATAGGTACCTTGCATCCCTCCAACTGCCATGTCTAGCAGGCAGGTGTCCTGTGCCACTCACCTTGCTGCGGTACCAGGACTCGGCCTCGGCCCGGCTGCGGGTGGCAATGTCATCGTACTGAGCTTTGATCTCAGTGATGACACAGTGCATGTTCAGGTCCCGACTGTTGTCCATCTTGACGACCACTGAGGTGTCTGAGATGTGCGACTGGAGAACGCGGATCTCCTGCAGGAGATGGGGAGTGGCAAGAGCTTCTTAGACCAGAGCCCTACTCTTGGTAGCCCACCCTCATCATCATCCCTTGTCCCCTTTCCCTGCTTCTTCGATGTCTGAAGCCCCACCCTCCCAGTTACAGTCTTCCACCTCAACCCTGGGACCCCCTCAGGACTCCTCAAGCCCAGAGTCCTGAGCCTAGAGGACTTGGAGGTAGAGAGTCCATGTCTGAGGCCCAGTGCCTGATTTTAATCAGGACCTTCCAGCTTGAACCTTTGGGTCTAGGACCAGAGTTTACCACCTTGTGGCAATTGTCACTTTAGTAACCAGGAACACCAGGTTGCCTGGGGCATGGCAGTGGGAGGTCAAGCCACACTTCTTCACCTGCTCATGGTGAACCTGCCTGGGGTTTCTCCCCTTGTCCCACCATAGGGTCAGAAGCTGAATGGTGACAAGTATTTTCCAATGTCTAACTCATATCCTCCTTGCTGCCCCGCTGCTTTGTGACCCCGCACCTCCTCATATAGCCGCCTCAGGAAGTCGATCTCCTGGGTCAGGGCCTCCACGTTGGCCTCTAGGTCTGATTTGCGCAGGTAGGCACAGTCCACATCCTAAAGGGGAGAAGGTGGCACAGGAATTGCACTGGGAGACAATTCAGAACCCTTGTTTTTTTCCTACCAGGGAGGGGCACCCCATCAGGCTGAGCAGCTTCCCTGGAAACCCTCTGTACGTGCTCATCCCAGTGCCTGGTATCATGCCTTGGTGAAGCCCCTTATACAGTTAGTAGTGGCGTCAAGAGCAGGTTTGGGTAAGGGAGGGGGACACTGAGGTTTGCAGGTACTTCCTCTGGCACCCACTGGGATGATTTCTCTAGAATCCATGTCATGCACTATCACCAAAACTTAAGATCTGGTGTACAGTGGGTAAATTCTAATGATGCCCCACCCCTCTCCGCTCTGGAATCTCATGGAAGATAATCTAGATCTGTGGTCAGAAGAGGGCTCAGGGCTCAACTCTGTCCCTTCCAAGTCAGTGTCACTCTGAGCAGCCCCCTTAACCTCTGCACCTCATTTTCTCACAATAACCCCTGCTTTCCTCATATGGAGGTGGCTGGAAGGGCCTAATGAGAGTCCAGGCACTTGTACAGAGTCAAGTCTAAGAGGCAAGGAATGACGGTCACTGCCCCTGCCTGTGGTTCTGAGCTGTTGCTGGCCTGAGGATGCAGCCATTGTCTATAATTCACCTGCTCTTTCACTCGCAAATATTTACAGGGTGCCTACTCTATGCCAGGCGCAGGGCCGAAGGAGGTGAAAATCTGGTGGCTATATGGCAGCAACCTCAGATGGGGGAGAATATTGCCCTGCCTGAAGCAGGCAGTGTATTCTGCTGCCAGAGGCACCCAGGGAGCACTGGAGCACTGGGGAAAGGAACAGAAAGAAGCTGGGCCGTGTGATTCTAAGGGAGTCCCTCCACCTCTCCGAACTACAGAGAGCCTGATGTTAGTCAAGGTCTCCCAGCTCAAACCTTTGGGTCTAGGACCCTTCTGTCTCTGGCCTCCATTCTGAGTTAGGGGACAAGGATTCTGGGGTCACTCACCTTCTTCAAGGCCACAAATTCATTCTCAGCAGTGGCCCTTAGTGCCACCTCTTCTTCATACCTGGGGACAAAACACACAAGGCTCAGATCTGGGGAGGAAAAAAAATGGGAATGAAGGCACAGGCAAACACATTCCGGGAACTGGATCTTTTGGAGGTGGTCACAAGAATCAAAAAAGTGTTGGACTGAAGGGAACTTGTCCATCCCTTTCTTCTGGGCATTCAAACCAACCCATGTTACTCAAAGCTCTTTCTATTTCAGGGACTTTCATTCCTGATGTGGGTCAGGGTGGGGGCCCTGCACATTTTCGAAGACCTCCTCTCTGTTTCTGGGCTGTAACTCCTTTGGGGCAGGAACCCTGCCCAGTTCTGGTACCTCTCCTTTCTCCTCCTTCTTACTTCCTTACTCCTTTCCCACTCAGAGCCCAACATAGCACCTACAACATTGAGTAGATGCTCAATAAAATGTTTGATGAATTAATGAAATAAACATAATGATGAAGTAGCTGGAGCAGTTCAGAATCTCCAATGTTTAAACTCCCAGTCTAGAAAAGAAATTCCCCCCACCCCACAGGATTATTGTACTATTTTCTTCCTGTTGGGAAGTTCCTCTTATGGTCGAACCCAAATCTATCATACTTTGACTTAATCCCATTTAATTTCTCCAAACCCTCCTCCCACTGCACTTACTTCTTCTTGTAACCCTCCAGCACCTCCTGCACGTGGTTGAGCTCTGAGGCCAGCCTCCCACTGTTGGCTTCCATGCACTCGGCCTCCCGTCGCAGAGTTGTAGCCCTCAAACAGAGGCTCCAGGTTGCTCTTGCAGCACTCACGGTTCTGGAAGAACTGCAGCTTTGTCTCCAGCAGCTTGTTCTGCTGCTCCAGGAAGTGCACCTGGTGTGGAAGTGGGAGAAATGTTGGTTGGAGGAGCCAATATCCCCAGCCCTCCTTGGGGAACAGCCAGAGTCAAGACAGAACTGGCAGTAAGATGTGCAGAGGCAAGGGGTAGACCACATGGCCCCTGCTGGTCTCTCCTGGCCTGAGGATGCAGCTGGAGAATCCTTGTTTCATAATTGCTTATTCAGGGCTAAGTGAGGGTCTGTCCAGGTGGGCCTGGATGGGATGAGCGACAGACTGAGAGGCCTGTGGGCTGTGCTGGGTTACTGTCAGGCTAGCGGCGGACAGATGGGGGTAGGGGGTAGTGACAATTAGGGAAGACTTCCTGGAGGAAAGGAATGTAGAGCAGTGTTGGGAGGGATAGAGTAGGGAGAATGCCTCTCACTATAAGCTCCCTCAGGGCAGGGCCTATGGCTTATTTATTGATGTCCTCATAGCCAGCCCTTGGCTTGGTGAACATTTGATTGAACAGATGGTCAAGGTGGGAAGGGCTTCCTAGCTGGGGAGGTCATAGAGGCTAGGCTCTTACCAAGCAGGACGCCTGGGGCCTGAAGAGGCATCGGGGAGTGTGGGGCATGGTCCTAGGTGGCCTAAATTCTTATGTTGGACACTGTGTCATATGTCTCTGGGGGCCAGACATATGTAATGTGAATGGGGGGAGGTTTTGGAAAACAGAGAGGGTGAGGACCCTAGGGAAGTGAGGCTTGTACGCTTTTCCTGGATTTCACTGAAACTGGAGGAACACATGGCAACAATACATTGTGCTGGCCAGAAAGGATGTCAGCAAACAAACTAGGGCCCTTGGCTTCCAGTTTTCCACTTCTCGTACATTTGAGCTGGAGCTGAGATGTCTCCTTGCCTTTAAGCCCTGGGGTCCTTTTCATCCAACTCCATGAGTGCAGCTGGGAATTCCCAGGTTGGAACTTGCAGACATGGGGAGTGGGGACTGCTGATATTACATGGCATAATTTCAGGTGGTCCTGGCTATGGGGTCTCATGGCTGCCTTGGGCCCCATTTTCCCTTTCAGAGTCATGGCCAGCTCACACACTGCACCACACACAGCCCTGGTGAGGAAGCCACTGGGGTGGAGAAGGGAAGCCTCTGCCCAGTGCCACACAATGCGTCAGTAGAGGAACTTAACTGAGCATGGAGGCCAGGTGGCCTGCTCCTGGGCCAGTGTCCATTCCACGAGCCGCTCCTGGGTCACCTCTCCAGCGTGCAGTGCCTGTTGAGGTGAACCAGCCCCTTCTAGAGGGAGTGGGGCAGCTGGGATCCCAAGCTGTGGACCTTCTAGCCCAGGGGCTGGAGAGTTGGAGAGGGCCTGGGCTTGGAACCCTGTTCTGGCACCCACTCTCTGTGGGCCCTTGGGCCAGCCCCTCACCCTCTCTCTGCCTCCTTTCTCTTCTGTGTACACCCAAGGCTGACTTCAGGATTTTGCCATCCCATATACTATTTTACTCCTAATTTATCTATAAGTGGATTCAATTAACATTTACACGTATGGGGTTAAAAGAGTAACTTCATATGGCCACCAGAGATGCAAAACCATCATTACTAGGCATACATAAAGGGAAATTACAGATCATTAAATTCTAGTAGAAACAGTTGTCCTAGACAGTTCTGAAGCCGGGGCTTGCTCTCTTTATTAGAAGCAGGAGGGAAGCAAGTATTAGAGAGATGCTAAAAACATTAGCATCCAGTGATATTTTTTTCCCACCTAATCTTAAGGATTGAAACAGACATTAAAGAAGATGTATTTTCTTACCACGTGTTTCAATGTTATTTAATATGATGGGCCGGCACCGCCTAACATTATATAAAATATCAGCCATCCTCATTCCCCATTTCTAGAGAGACCACTGGGAATTTCCATCTCCTTCCAGGACTTCCAGGTTCAGGAAAGGTGTGATCCAGGACACCCACCTTGTCCATGAAGGCCGCGAACCTGCTGTTGAGGGACTTGATCTGCTCCTTCTCCTCCTGCTTCACGCACTGTGCGTTGGGGTCGATCTCCAGGTTGAGGGGCGTGAGGAGGCTCTCGTTGACCGACACGGTGGCGATGCATGGGGGGCTGGGTCCGCACACGCCCCCGGAGCGGTAGCCGAAGCTGCGTCCGCAGGAGCCGGCGCGGAAGCCCCCGCACACGCTGTGGCTGCCGAAGCCTCCGGTGAGGCCGCGGTAGCAGGAGACGCCGCGGTAGGGGGCGGCGGTGATGCAGCAGCGGCCGGGCCGGGGCCCGCAGGCCGAGATGCAGCTGAAGGCGCGGACCCCGCAGGGGGCGCTGAGGCGGGAGTAGAGGCAGGACATGGTGCGGTGGCGGCAGGGGCGGGCGGCTGGACCCCAAGCCGGCGCTGCGCCTTATATGACGGCCCGCGGGCCCGGGGAGGGAGCTCGCGGCCAAGGCGTTTACGAGCTTGGAGGGCTCGGCCCTCGCGCCTCGCGGAGCCGGGAATGAAAGCGAGCCAGGCCGCCCGGCCGCCTGCATAAAACGGCGTTCGCCTCCCGCCCGAGTTTTATGGGGCCGGGAAGCGCCTGGTCAGCCCCGCTGCCCGTGCGCTGCGGTCAGTGCGAGTGGAACCCCTCCACCTGTCCGCCCCTCCGCCGGGACTCCGAGCTTTGCCTTGTTGGATCCGGCCTCCACTTCGGTCCCAGTCCCATAGCCCCGGTCCCCCGCAGCGGGCACCGTGTGTGGGGCGAGTGTGTGCGTGTGTCGAGAGTGTGGGGCCTCTGAAGTCAGTCCCGCAGGTTCATGTCATGACCTTGGGCAGCTGAATAACCTTTCTGAGCCTCAGTTTTCTCACAGGCAAAATAGCGATAATAATAGTAAGCACTGAGAGCCGTTGCCAGGATCTAATGAGATAATGACCAGAAAGCATTTAGGGCCCTACCTATCACTTAATAAGAACTGTGTAAATGTT
This sequence comes from Homo sapiens, assembly GCF_000001405.40. Lineage (NCBI taxonomy): Eukaryota > Metazoa > Chordata > Mammalia > Primates > Hominidae > Homo > Homo sapiens. The sequence continues at coordinate 52,259,165 of NC_000012.12, forward strand.
TATTTATTCATTATTTGTTCTATTTATTCTATTGTTAATTTATCATTCATCCTGTGTCCCTTTGGGCAAAAACTTTCTCTTCTCTTCTATCTCAGGACTCAGCTCATACCTCCTCTTCTCGTAAGCGTCCCTCCTTCCTGTACCCCTCTCCACTCTGCTTGGGCGAGGGGAAGGGAGTTTTATTCATGGAGTGCCCGCAATGTGCCTAGTACTGTGCTGAGGCCTTTTTATACCATATTATTTCCTCTAGCTCCCAGGGCGTCCTTCTGAGTTTGGTATTATTGTGCCCATTTACCTGATTGGGAAGGTGAGCTCAGGGTGGTCCAGTGACTTGTTTAAGGTCATGCATAGAAGGATCCATAGAGGGGCAGAGTTGGAATCTGAAAGGCCACCCCTCCTCCAAGCCCTCCTCCACAATGGTCTCACCCAGGGTCTGAATCTTTGGGGGCTGAGTGAGGGTTGAGTTCTTGTTGGCGGCAGGAGCACAGACTGCTGCTGGGCTTTGGGCCCTTGGAGAAATCGGCCTGATCCAAGGCCTTCCCCTCAACTGAGGCTTGGTCATGGCCACCAACTCTAGAAGGCCATAATCCATTATAAAGGAAGTTAATTATGTGTCCAATTATTGGCAGAGGAAACCAGGAGTGTGCACTCAGCAGCCAGCATTAAAGAGAAGCATGCAAATCACCCTCGGCTTCCTTTGCTTTTAAATATGAGTTATTATTGTGAAAGCAGTAATTAAATCTTAGAACTCCAGAGGTCACCACAGCCAGTCCTGGCTTTGAGCTGCCTGGCATCGCATTTCCTCTTACCCCTTTTCCTGTCTTTTCTGCACTCTCATGGGCTTGGATTCCTTTGGCCCAGCCTTGGTCTGTTTTGTAGCAGTTTAAGGCCAACCTTCATTCAGTCCTCTGTAGAAGTTGGAGCCCAACCCCACAGGCTTGTGCCCCTGCCCCGGCTTCAGCTGGGAGTCAGTGTAAGAATTAAAGAAAGACGAAAGAAACATGAAAGGTGGCTTGCCAGTCAAGACAGGTTTATTTTAGAGAAAACAAACCTAAGAGGGGTGTCTGGCCGAGTTAGGTCAGAGGCACATCTCTTACAGACTAAGAGTTTTTTTTTAAGGATTCAGGGTGGGAGAGTTTAGAAGAGGCTTGGACTGCTTCTGTGTCTTTGTTGTGCTTATCTGGGAGGGAGAAGTGTGTGTCTGTTCCCATACATCTTTCTGCAGCTTCAGGCATATCCCCCGAGTCTGCTTTTAGCTTCTCTATCTTAGTGCACCTGAAGGGAAAGGAACGTGCTTATTAAGGCCCACTGTTTTACTGGGGCCCATTGTATGAGGGTGAAGTTTGGCGGTTACCCACAAGACTTTCCTCCTACTTCCCTCTGTGCCCAAGCTGTCTTATCTGTGTTTTACTGCCCGCTCTTTCTGTCTGCTTGTAGTTAGAAGAGAAGTGATTTCCTTGAAATGCATGAGGCTAGAAAGGGAGCTGGAACTTAAAGTGGTGGTGTTTGTCCGAGATGACAGTGCTCCTGCTGTGTCAGTCACCAGCTGTGTGACTAATGCTTGGCTTCAGGATTATGTATTTCGATTCCAATTTTCTTTTGAGAATAAGTAGTATTGGAGGAGTGTTCCCTTGGTGTCTCCTGGACGAGAGGATTTGGACTTACCCTGGAGCATGGAAGATTTAAATTAGACTTGTGGAGGCACTTACATGATTCTTGCTTGGACCCCTTTCTGGGTTCTGGTGGGTGGATAGACTGGACTTTCTATGCTATTACAATCAATGAGGATGTTAATAATCAGCCTTTGTCCACACAGATAATTATGTGCATTTAAAATCCAGAGAAACAGAAGATCTGCAGGCTGCATTGTTCCCGCTAAGAAAACAATGTGAAGGGGCTGGAATGGAGAGGTTTGACATCTGGATCACAGTGGTCTTCCACAATGTTAATGCTAATCCCTGGCCCAGCCTCAGGGAAACATGATCCCTCGTGGTCTGTTTATTATTCTTGGAACTCAGGGGAGAGAAACAGGCTGAAACCTGAGAAATTTCAGAAACAATTAAGGACATACTTCTTCATAGAGAGGGTTGGTTGTCACAAGTGCCAGGGAAGAGGAGGGCTTCTTCATCATCAGCCAGATCTTCTAGAAAACATCCCCCCGCCCCTTTTATCACCAATATACCAGTCTATCAGTGAAAACCTAATGTCCTGTTTGGGTTATCATGCCTCTTCTTTAACCTCCCAGTGGGTCCCAGGGGCTAGTTCAAGGCAGGAAGCAAACATCTACTGAATACCATCAGGAACCAGGCTCAGAGCATGAAGGAGAGACTGGAGTCCTCAGGCAGTGCAGGCATGCATACAGAGGACCCTAGTGCAAAGCTGAAGGGGGTCTGGCTATAGTGGAGCAACACCATGCCATGGGAGCTTGGGACCAAGGGTCAGAGCAGGGTTCTTGGAGATGACACTTTGGTTTGGCCTGAAGAAGGTGAGGACTTGGAAATGCTGAGATGAGAGAGGGGAGGATTCAGGCAGAGTGAATGGTGTAAGCAAAGACACAAAGCAAGGGAGGCCAGAGGATGTGAAGGGAATAGTGGGTCATCTGCTTTGGCTGAAAAATAGGGTTTGATGAGAGCAGGGGGAAGGAGGCTGGCTGAGGCCACATGGTGAATATGGTGGATGGGCAGGATAGGCTCAGAATATCAAGCGAAGTGCTGGAGGTGCTTGACCTGCAGAGGGCCATGCTCAGAGGTGTGTGAGTGAACGGAACATGGGGATAGTACACAGAGAGTGTATATGTGTAAAAGTGTGTGTGTGTGCGCACGAGCATGTGTGTTCTTCTGGTAACTTTGTTTTGAAACATCTTGAACACCAGTGTGTCCATTTCAGAAATACATTTCTTCCTTCTTTATGGTATAGTGATCAAAAGTGTCTCTGGAATCAGACACGCCTGGGCTCTGCCACTTACAATGTGGGTGAAAACTTGCACATAACCCCGTTGAGTCTCTGTTTCTTTTGTATCTAGAATTGAGGTAATATAACTTGCCAGGGACATGGCAAGGATCAGGTGAGGTGTATGTAAAGCACTAGCATGCTGCCTGCTGTATAGTAAGTGGTCTGTACATTCTAGCCACTGTTGAGTGCTGTTGTTATTTCACTGTCCTGGTCACCATCCAGAGCCCCCCAGCCCCCTGCCCTGCTCTTTCAGGTCTGGGGGCTGTGGCCTCCTCCACGCTGTTGCTCTCCTGGCTGGGGACCCCCACTCCCATGCCTCAGTTAGGCTCCTGTGGGCCTGTCTCAAAGCTGATGGGACAGGCTTTCTTGAAGGGTATCTCTGATAAAGAGGGAGCCTTTGCAAGAGACTGGAGAGTGTGGCCCTGTGCTTCTGGTGGAGTTGTGGGAGACACCGTTGGGTGGGGGTGAGGAATCTTAAAGGCACATGGGAAGGAAGGGAGGTGGGTGGGCAGGCAGAGGGATCCAGATACTTCGAACCCTCAACCAGATGCTTACACACATCCACCCATGCGGGGGTCTGTCTGGCAGACCCTGACCCAATGATGGATGAATAACATGCACCAACGCAGATATTATGCTTGTCAGTCCAGCTGAGAGTCCGGGCCACTTACAGACTCCCTGGAGAGTGCGGTAAACAGTTGTGACCATGGCCTCGACTAGCCAGTGAGACTCGCATTTATTCAGTAAAGATTAATTGACAAAGTCTTGAGTCAATGCCACTAGAGGGTAATTGACCTTGTGGACCTCCCGAGTAGAAAGCAATTAAGCACCCACTGTAGATCAAAGGTTAGTCTTAGGACTACATGAGTAAACAAGCTAGTTAGATAAACTCTCCCACATTCCTTTGTATCTACTTTTAATCTATTTAACTGAAGGAAAAGGGACTAGGCTGCCTTCAGCCAGATCTATTACTGAAGTTATGCCAACTGTCAGGCCTTCCAAGAGGCTTTGTGGCTATTATAACTAAAATTTTTCCCATCAGCCTGACTGAACCCCCACATACCCACTTCATGGCTCCTATGGCAAGAAGAGCTGAACAAAACTGTTTTGGTTGTATGGTTGACTCTTCCATGTCTTGGTAGAGGTAGACACAATCTCCTACTGGCCATGCCAGGAGTCAGGTGTCACAGGCTGCCTTTAGGACTCAGCCCTAGGGCCCTTCCTGGGGAGCCCCTGGAAGTCTCTTCCACTTGAAGGAGCCAGGGCTTACCACCCGGAGTGAGGATGGCCTGTCCTTTGTCCCTGGTTGCAGCTCATCTGATGGCCCAAACTGAAAAACTGTGAGGTTGTGAGCTCAGCTAACCACCTGAAAGGAAGTGTCCCAACCTGGCTTCCCCCTGGCTCCACAATTACTTCACAAAGTGTGGAGTCCACAGGTTTTGGCTGACCTTGACTCCTGGACACCATCAGCCCTCAGCTGTGGAAGAAATGCTGCCAATGTTTCAGAATTGCCTGAGTGTAGGATTTTCCAAAGCCCCATATTGATGATGTTACCCCAGGAGGGAGGAGAAATGACTGTGAAATTTCCCAAGCTCATAAAAGTGACAATATGGCCTCTCCACATGGGGAGGCAGACAGACCCAGGTGCCTGGGTTTATAAAAGGTGCTAGCAGTGAGGGAAAGGTCAGAGTCCTCTTCTTCCTCTGGCTTCATGTCCTCCAGCAGAGAGTCGCCATGACTTGTAGATTGTCTTGCCTAGGCTCCTGAGCGGAGTCTGCAAATCCAGGTCCTGTGCAGCCACTCAGAGATATGGTTATGACCCCACCCTCAGCTGCATCTTGCCCTCCGGGCCCTGGTCTGGTGGCTGCTGCATCACGGCAAGCCCCTGCTACCATGGCCTCACTGGGGGCTTTGGCACTGGTTCCTGTGGACACAGATTCAGCTACCACTCTGGCAGCACATGCGGGCCCAGCACTGCCTGTAACACCATTGTGTTGATCAAGGAGAGCCTCCTCATGCCCCTCAACCTGGAGATTGCACAGTGCATAAAGCAGGAGGAGGAGAAGATCAAGTGCCTCAACAGCAGGTTTACTGCCTTCCTCCACAAGGTGGGTGTCCTGGATCACACCCTTCCTGAACCCCCACCATGTGCACAACCAGGACTGGGCACTGAGGAAAGAATCAGAGGCAGGCAAGACCCTGCGTGCCTGAGGTCCCAGTCTGATGGGAGAGGCACACAGACAGACAGACAGACAGACAGACAGACAGACAGAGGCACCCAAGGCCCAGAAATACTCTGACAGTTCAGATACGGAGAGCTTGTGGAGGAAAGATGCCAAATTTCAAAATTTCAATGAATTTAGTTTAAAGATCTTAGTTGGATTTTATATGCAATTTTAGAATTGGGCAGCCCTTAGAACTGATCAGAGGAACTCTGGCTGCACTGCGGTCCCACAATACTTATGGACAGAAAACAGAAAGTGACACATGGAAAACAGAAGTAACAGCTGGATTGTTTGCAGCTGGTGTTTGTGAACATTTGGCTGCCTGTGATTGACTGAAGCTCAGTTACTGTGATTGGCTGAGACTCAGCTATTTGTTACAAAGGAAAATTCTGAAGTTAGGTTTGTAAGGGATAATTGGAAGGACAGCCGAGAAAGGAATAAGGCCAATAGACCCAAGTTCAGGCAAGCTGATTTACTGTCAGTCCTGCCGGGCTACCTCCTGACAAAAGCAGAGGAGGCAGCCCTGCTTATAGGCTATTGCAAGGTTTTATAGGGCATGTATTCCTAATTCCAACTAGGAATGTTGGAATTAGCAGTTTCTGGCCAAGGATCTGAGGTACAGTTATTATAGGTTAAAAGAGTGCTGGCCAGGCGCGGTGGCTCACGCCTGTAATCTCAGCACTTTGGGAGGCTGAGCGGGGGTAGATCACGAGGTCAGGAGTTTGAGACCAGCCTGACCAACATGGTGATACCCCGTCTCTACTAAAAATACAAAAATTAGCTTGGCGTGGTGGCACGCACCTGTAATCCCAGCTACTCCAGAGGCTGAGGCAGGAGAATTGCTTGAATCTGGGAGGCAGAGGTTGCAGTGAGCTGAGGTTGCGCCACTGTACTCCAGCCTGGGTGACAAAGCAAGATTCTGTCTCAGGAAAAAAAAAGTGCTATAGTACCCTGGCACATAAGTCAATTTGCAAGAAAATCTGTTTGGGATTTTGGTGCAAACTTGCCTTGCAATATACTCATTAGTCTTGGTTCTTGAATCACATGACTGGGTTAAAGTAAAACAGGTCATGAGAACAAATGAGTCTGGAAGTCTAATTCCGTAATAGGGACCACTGCTATAATACATCATAGATTGATCCCTTATGAAATAGCTACTGGAAGGCCTATGCCCTAATAATAGAACTCATTTATTTTCTACTCCCCTAAACTCTGACATAACTAAATGCTGCAAGGTTTTAATGCATTATGCCAAAGTATATTTTCACCAGGTAAAGGAAGCTTTTCAAGATCTATCAACTGAGGACAATCAAACCCTTCACAATCTAGAATGCAGAGATCAGGTCATCTGGAGACGATATCTGAGAAAGACTGCCATTGAGCCCCATTGGAGGGGGCCATATCAAGTTCTTCTCATCACCCACTCTTCAGCAAAACTTCAGGGCCTTGGACCTTCGGTCTACATCTCGCAACTCAAAAGGGTCCATTCAGACTCTTAGAACTGCACATCCATTGGAGACCTTAAGATAAAGCCAAGCAGAGAAGTTTCTTCCCAGAAACAGACAGTATTCTAGATGTGGACAGCTTTCCCAAGACCATGGATCAAGACTTCTCTGCCGTCATGCAACTCTTACCTCTCTTAATTTTTTCCTTGCTTACGCCTTCCTCATTCACTTGGCAGGATAATGCTGTAATTCGAATTTCATAATCAGTAGCTTCTGAGAGTAATTTTTTTTTTCTTTTTGAGACAGAGTCTCTATTGCCCAGGTTGGGGTGCAGTGGTGTGATCTTGGCTCACTGCAAACCTCTGTCTCCCGGGTTCAAGCAATTCTCATGCCTCAGCCTCCCAAGTAGCTGGGATTACTGGCATGCGCCAACACACTGGCTAATTTTTGTATTTTTTTTTTTTTTTTTTTTGGTAGAGATGGGATTTCACCATGTTGGCCATGCTGGTCACAAACTCCTCACTGCAGGTGATCTGCCTGCCTCAGCCTCCCAAAGTGCTAAGATTACAGGAGTAGGCCGCCATGCCCAACCTTCTGAGAGTAACTTGACGGAGTGTTGTATCTGTCATGTCAAACTCAAATCTTTACATTACCTACAAAGTCCACCTATTGGCCAACTTCAGCAACATCCCTAATGCAACTATTTGTTCAAATTATAGCTATGTTCTCAACTTAAGTCACTGCCCCCACCTCTTGCAGGAGATCCATGTTCTCCAATCCCACATCTCAGACACCTCTGTGGTTGTCAAGCTGGACAACAGCCAGGACCTGAACATGGACTGCATCATTGCCGAGATCAAGGCACAGTATGACGACATTGTCACCTGCAGCTGGGCCAAGGCTGAGTCTTGGTACCATGGCTGCCTGCCAGATGTGGCACCTGCCTGCTAGATGTGGCAGTTGGGAGGGCAGGATGTGAGATACCTATTAGATAGACTTATTTTGCCTGGGGATTCTGGATAGTAGGCCAATAGCTCTCAGGTTGGGGTGGCAGGGCAGGACTGCCATGTGTGGTTGCACAGGCTGAGCACTGCACAACCTGCACAATCATCCCTAAAGGAAGGGATATCCCACACTGAGCCTCAGGAGCATCTCTGCTTCCCCCATTTCGGGGAGATGAAGGCCACGGTGATCTGGCACGGGGAGACTGTGGGCTGCACCAAGGAGGAGATCAAGGAGCTGACCCACATGATCCAGAGGCTGATGGCCAAGGTGGAGAATGCCAAGTGCCAGGTATGGGGCATCTGTGCCCAAGGCCAGAGAGACTTATGGCCTAACCTTTGTCACACAGCCTATGTGTGCCCTACGTGGATCTCAGCATTCATTCTCCAGTCCCTTTGTCCATGTAGAGTCCCTGGTTGTGGTCAGTCAGGGAGTGCCAGGATGATGAAGGCAAGAGGCCTGTTTCTGAGGTGCTCCCAGCTGAATGGCAGACTGGACATATCCAGGTAATGGACAGAGAGACCGTAACCTATCTTGTTCTCTTCTGGTCCCCCAGAACTCCAAGCTGGAGGTGGAGGTGACCCAGTCTGAGCAGCAGGGTGAGGTGGCCCTTAGCGATAACCGCTGCAAGCTGGTTGAGCTGGAGGGCACCATGCAGAAGGCCAGGCAGTACCAGGAGGTGATGAACTCCAAGCTGGGCCTCAATGTGAAGGCTGCCTCTTCTTGCCACCTTCTAGATGGTGAGGAGCAGAGGTGGGTGCAGCCTGCAGAGCTGGGCCCAGAGCTCATCTGCATAGACCTGCCCCACTTTTTAGCACCATCACTTACCCAGCCCTCACTACTACTTCTGTTTTCATCTTGGAACCCTTTTAGGACCTCTACTGGTATTGAGCACAGTCCAAGGAGCGGAGTCTTAGTTGAGTCCACAGGCCGATTTCCAATAGGCTCCTTGCATGATCTATTAGGGACAATGGTTTGTCTCAGAGAACTTGTTCTCTGAGATAAACAATGCCCTAATTTATAACACTTACCGATTTCAGAGTTGTATATACTTCTGTCATGGCTGATTTCAGGCTGTTGCTGTGACTTCATGTAGAATTGGCTAGAAATGTGCACAATAGGCTCTTGTGAGCTGGTGGGAGCTGGTTCAAGAACAACATTGGTTGGGGCTAGGATGGAATGGTGTCTCACACTGAAAGACAAATAGGAAGATATTTGTCTCTTCTCTTAGATGAAAAACCTGAGGCTTAGGGAGACTGTGGGGGTTGGGGAGTCCGCCTGGTGTGGAGTTATTGGGACAGTTGGAGAGTTCTTTTGTGTCCTGCTGCATTTTCACAGGCTCCACTTCCTGGGGGGATCTGGGAGAGCCTGGCACTTGTGTTGTTTTGGGACAGGGTTGGGACGATGCTGGGCCTTTGAGGGTGCTAGACCCAGGTCTTCCCTCCTCTCACTTTCTGGGAAGGGCTTGGGTGACCTCTTGGTTGACTGAGTTCAGAGCTGGTGACCACATGGTCTCTGGTGTCATTGTCAGGAATTAATGCCCAGTGCTAAAGCTGACCTTTTCTCTCCTGCACCAGGCTGTGTGATGGCATCAGTGCTGTGAATATCTGTGAGTAATTCTGGCCCTGAAGGGAGACTCTGAGGTTTGCCAGTGGGACGAATTTTTTAGCTCTGAGGGTGGAAATACCAAGGAAGTGGTTCCATTCATTTACAGCTGCACAGCTACAAAGAGGGAGCCAATTGACAAGTCTTGAGTGGAATCATTCCTTACGCCAGACTTGTCAGAGTGGCAGTCTTATTATCCTCACCATAGTGAAGGAACCAGAATGTGTCACCTCAAAATATGTATCTTTGACATAAATATATATCTTTTCTTTGAGACAGGGTCTCACTCTGTCACCCAGGCTAGAGTGCAGTGGTGTGATCATGGCTCACTGCAGCCTTGACCTCCTGGGCTCAAGCCATCCTCCCACCTCAGCCTCCTGAGTAGCTAGGTCTACAGGTGTGTACCACCACACCTGGCTAATTTTTTTCTATTTTTTTTCGTAGTGATAGTGTATTAGTCCGTTCTCTTGCTACTCTAAAGACATACGTGAGAGTAGGTAATTTATAAAGGAAAGAGGTTTAATCAACTCATAGTTCATCATGGCTGGGGAGGCCTCAGGAAACTTACAATCATGACAGAACGTGAAGGGGAAGCAAGGCACCTTTTTCACAAGGTGGCAGGAAGTAGAAGTGTCAGCAGGGGAGATGCCAGATGCTTATAAAACCATCAGATCTCATGAGAACTCACTCATCTTCACGAGATCAGCATGTGGGAAACTGCCCCAGTGATCCAATCACTTCTCACCAGGTCCCTCCCATGACATATAGAGACAAAGGTCTTTCTATCCTCTCCGCTTTCCTGCCTAAAGCCAAGATGTAAATTCTCCTTACAACCATTATGAGCTTAGAGGTGGCGCCAGAGGAATGTGGGTAGACTTTACTCCATTAGTTTATCCATAAATTTACCTTCCCACCTTTTCTCACTTTTGGAAGCCTTAAACTGCTTTTCTTTGTCTTGTCATTTCTCTAAAATTGATTATTCCTTGTCGAAGATGAATATACAGTTGGCCCTCTGAATCTGTGGATTCAACCAACTGCAGGTTGAAAATATTTGGAAAAAAACTGTACTGAACACGCACAGACTTTTTTTCTTTTCATGACTCCCTAAACAATACAACTATTCACATAGCATTTACATTGTATTAGATATTATAAGTAATCTAGAGATGATTTAAAGTATATGGGAGGATGTGTATAGGTTAAATGCAAATACTATGCCATTTTATATAAGAGACATGAACATCTTCAGATTTTGATATTTGCAGGTGTCCTGGAACCAGTCCCCCATGAGTATCGATGAATGACTACATAAGCCACAGAGCCTGTGTGTGCCCTTCCTGGATCTCAGCATTCATTCTCCAGTCCGTTTGTTCATGTAGAGTCCCTGGTTGTTACTTTTCTCCTTCCATGACGTGCACTGCTCCTGTTGGTAAACTTGCTTGTTTTTCTCTTGTTAATCTGTCTGTTGTTGCAGGAGTCTGTCTCAACTACGAATTTATGTGGGTTGAGGAAAATTATAATTTCTCCCCTTCAGTAGGAAGCTCTTATTCTCTCCCTGTCCAAACATACTTGTCCATGTTCAAGATGTCAGTCACTTTACTGGATTAAAACATGCATTTAATCTTCTTTAAATACATGTGGATTGAATGAGCTGTAATCAAATCCACATGTTGTGGATCCTAAGGTCATCCTGATTTTTTTTTTTTTCTTTTGAGACAGGGTCTCAGCCGAGTACGGTGGCTCACCCTTGTAATCCCTTTGGAACTTTGGGAGACCGAGGCAGGTGGGTTGCTTGAGCCTAGGAGTTTGAGACCAGCCCAGGCAATATAGTAAGAGCTCATATTTACAGAAAGAAGGGATTGAGGCTGGGTGTGGTGGCTCACACCTGTATTCCCAGCACTTTGGGAGGCTGAGGCAGGTGGATCACTTGAGGTCAGGAGTTTGAGACCAGCCTGGCCAACATGGTGAAACCCCATCTCTACTAAAAATACAAAAAATTAGCCAGGCATGATGGTGCGTGCCTGTAATCCCAGCTACTTGGGAGGCTGGGGCACAAGAATTGCTTGAACCTGGGAGGTGGAGGTTGCAGTGAGCCGAGATCGTGCCACTGCACTCCAGCCTGGGTGACAGAGTGAGACTCCATCTCACAAAAAAAAGAAGGGATTGAGATTAAACCCCAAGATGGAGTCCCTCCTAGTCAGGGTGTCAGTCCCTCGCACAGACTACAGGGAAGCAATGCCATCTTCACCCCTGGAGATGGAGGTGAGAAGAAGCCATCCTCCTGGCTGCTCCCAGCTGGTAGGAAGCCAGTGCTGATTGGAGGTGGGGCTTTTTGGGACCAGCTCCCACCCCGACCAAAGGGTTTAACTTCTTATGGCTGTCTCTGTGCAGGTGTGAGCAGCTCCTTGGTGGGGTTGCCTGTGGGGGCCTCTTGGCCACCTGCACCTGCGGCATCAGCTCCTGTGGGATGGGGCCTGTGGCAGCAGCTACAGGAAGTGTTAAGTTGGCAGAGCTTGAGGATGCACCCAGCCCAGCCTCTCACCCTTGCGAGGGTCCCAGCTGGCCCTACCTGACCTTGTGCAGCCTGGTGGCAGGGCGCCACTGCTTGACCCACCCTGATCCACGTTGTCTGCTTCCCACTTCTTACTTCTTGTTGTGTGGGAATCTCTCTTCCTTGGCCCCTGCTGCCCTCAAGCTGAGAAAGGCTATTGAGAGGAGTGGCACGTAGCCCATGGGCATGTTCTGTTTGAGGATTCTGACCTGACTGAACCCACGAAGAGGATAGCCTCTCACCAACCATCTTTCAACCTTCTGCTTCCCTTGCTGTCTTGCTCTTCCCTTCCCTTCTCTGGTCTTCTTTTCCTCCTTGCTTCTTGCCTCCTTTAGAAGGCTAAAATTTAATAGACTGACAATACCAAGTGTGAATCAGCTGAAACTTTTGTGGAGTGTAAAATGATTGAGCAACTTTGGAAAACAGTTTGGCAATTTCTTATGAAGTTAAACATGCACTTATCAAATGATGCAGCAATTCCACTCCTGGGTATTTGCTCAAAAGAAATAAAAGCAGATCTATACAGAGACTTGTACATGAATTTTATAGAAGCTTTATTTATAATAGCCCTAAATTGGAAACAACCCAAATGTGTACCAGCAGATGAATGGATAAACAAATTGAGATATAGTCATACAATAAAATATCATTCAGCAACAAAAAATAATGAACTAGATTCATTCAGTGGTGATTAGATTGGAGCATACATCTGTCAAAATTTGTTGAACTGTACTTTTAGAATGTGTGCGCTTTATTGAGATACAATTGTATGCAAATTATATGTCAATTAAGTTGATAAAATAATGATTTAAAATGCATAAGATACTTAGAAATAAATCTAACACATATGTGAAAGACTTACACCTAGAGAAATATAAGCGTTACACAAAATGTTATAGGAAAGAAAAGATAAAGAAGACATAATTAAATGAAGAGCTATACCATGTTCTTAGATAGGAAGCTTTACTATCATGAATATGTTAATTATCCTTACAGTGATCTACAGAGTTGACGCAACTACACTCAAATTCCAAATGAAGATTTACATAATTCTTGACAAGTTGATTCTAAAATTTATGGGGAAGAACAAAGGTCAAGAACAGCTAAGGAATGATGAGAAGGAAGAAATAGGTACTCTCTCTTTCAGGGATTATAATGTATTATAGAGTTATAGTAATTGAGAAAGTATAGTACCCACACAAAAATAGACAAACTGACCAATGGAACAAAATAGCCCCTAAATTTATTTATAAATAAGTAAATGATTTTGTTGTAAAATAGAAGTGGTATGGCAGATCAGTAGTGAAAAGGACTATGCATTGGTTAACCACATGTAAAAAATAAAATTAGATCCCTGTTTTCTCTTATACACAAAATCAGTTTCAAATTAATTTAAATTACAAATGTCAAAAGCAAAACTTTAAGAATTTTAGAAGAAAATATTGGAGAATATTTTTCTGACCTTGGTGTAGAGAAGGATTTTTAAACATGTCACATAAAATGCTCAACATAAAAGATTGATAAATTAGATTACATTAAAACTAACAACTTTATTTTTCAAAATAGGTGATAAAGTGAAAAGATAAGCTGTAAACTTGATAATATTTGTGATATATGTAAGTGATATAATAGTAATACTCAGAAATATAAAGAACACTTATAATCCTTTAGAATACAGCAAAAACCCAATAGAAAAAAATGGACAAAAGAAAAGGAAATACACATGTAATAGACATTTAAAGAGATATTAAACTTTAACAGTAATCATGAAAATACAAAGCAAGACCAAAAATGAGATTGCATTATTTAATTGTTGAAAATTAAGACACATTAAAGAGGATACGAATCTTTTTCACATTGCTGAGCAAAGTGTGAATTGTTATAACAACTTTGGAAAATAATTTTATATTATCTTATAAAGTTAACACCTTTATAAGATTCTGACCATCCTATGAGTCAGAAGTTCTGTTTGTAGTTGTATACAAATCCTCACATATGTGCATCGGAGGACATGTAGAAAAATGTTCATGGCACCACCTTTGTAAGAGAAAGAAACAAAACAAAACAGTAATAGAATTACCTAAAGTGTGGTATAGTTACACAATGGAATACTATAAGAATGGAATATTAATATTATAATGGAGGAATACTAGCAACATAATGTTGAATAAAACAAGACCCTGTGTGACACACTTTTTATAAAAAAAGAACAAAAAAACTGAAACAAATATATATTGAGGCATATGCATGTATTTGATAAAGCTAAGAAAAAACAAAGGAATTATATCAACTTTAGGGAAGTGGTTACCTCTGGGGTGGTTAGGAGAGGACAGGGTAGGGAAGGAGCATGGAGCTAAATGTAAATTACTAGTAAGATTTTAGTTTTGGGATCAGTAAGTAGGTTCATGAGTATTTCATTTTCATTATATTATAATAATAAAGTAATATGCTAGTTATAAGAAATAAACTTAAAACATGAGGACATAAGTTGAAAGTAAAAGAATGTGTTAAGGTGATTGGTTAGATCAGATTGCCTTACACATAGTAGAAGTAAATGATTTTTCCATGAAACTTATTTCAGTAGATGTGGTGTATTTGTACGTAGGTAGTGATTCATGATACAACATATATTTCTTATTTAGAGTTGAGGTTAAAAAACAGTTTGACAACTAGTACCCCAAAGAACCTCTTGTTGAGGTCCACCAGCAGATATGTACAAGAAAGTTCATGGCAGCATTGTTTGTTACAACAAAAACAAAAAACACATGTGCTACCTATAGGAAAATAGAGATATATGTATATGTGTGTGTCTATATCTGTATCTATCTATATATATGTAGTCATACTTTGGAATACTATACAACACTGAGAAATAAAACTACATGCATCAAAAAGATGAATCTCAAAACTAGTATGTTGAGGAGGAAAAAGCAAGTCATAGAAATGTACAAGGTGTAATTCTATTTATATAAAACTTAAAGGTAGGCAAAACTCAACACTAGTTTATGGATACACGTTATGACATAGTAATAAAGAAAAGCAAGGGAATGACCAATATAAAAACTCAGGACAGTGGTTACTTTGGGGATCAGATGGGGTTGGAGATGGATCAGCAAAAATCCCGCAGGGGGCTTTGAAGGTACTGGTGGGTACACAAGGATTTGTTTTATTATTGTTGCTATTGAAATCAATAAATGTAGGTTTTGCATACTCTTTTGCATATATGAGAAATTTATAAAACAAAAAGAAAATGCTGACCACAGCTTGTGCTCTCTAGCCCCTACTCATTCCTACAGGTTAAAGTCATTGCCCTACCCAAGATTTCCTACCAAGTCTTGGGACTGGCATCCCCAGTCCCAATTTCTTGCCCTCCTGTCAATCTTCTGCACTGCTTCTAGACAATCACATCTCATGTCAGGCCACTGTCCTG
Source organism: Homo sapiens (assembly GCF_000001405.40). NCBI lineage: Eukaryota > Metazoa > Chordata > Mammalia > Primates > Hominidae > Homo > Homo sapiens. Next base: position 52,274,375 of record NC_000012.12, read on the forward strand.
CTCAGACACCCTCTGTGGCTCCCCAGTGCCCATCCATAAGCCTAAGCTCCTCAGCTCCACACATTTCCTCCACCTGAGGTAGCCTTCCCCTCCTCCACTTTCCTTTAAGTTCCACTTCAGCCCAGAAACTTCCATTTTCCCACCTGGGGTCAGAGTATGGCCCTCTTCTACCCTATGCCCCTGAGGCCTCCTGGGCAGAACTCTGTGATTGTAATGAGATGAGGTCACAGAGCCCCCAGGAAGAAGAGGCCCTAGTCCTCAGTGGCAAGGATTCTGGTAGCTCTTGGGCTGAAGCTGGGCTTTGGTGCTCAAGAGAGGCTTGGAGGAGACCACAGTTCTTTCTCCATGGTGAGACTCATACACGTGGCTCCCTGGTCACACAGGGATGAGGTGTCTTGGACTTCACCCAGATCTGTTGGGCATACAGCTTTTGGGAACAGGAGCAGAAAAGTTGGGGGCAGTGGGAACACAGCAGAAATTGAGATGATGTTTTGAGGTCTGTTCCCCCACACTCCATCTGCCCTAGAAGAAAGTTTGCAATGGGCTGGTGTGAACAGTTCTTGCTCTCTGGGTTGAGGGGGTGTGTATAACCTTGGTGGAGAGCAAAGAGCATGGGCTTAAAATGTAGTCTGGCTCAACTGTCGGCTGGCAGGGTCACTCACTCCCCTCTTGCACGTGGTGGATGGAATGAGCCCCAGTTTGCCTGAGGAAAGACAATGGGAAAAGTCACATCCATCTGGCCAACTTCATGGGTGGTTGTGAGGCCCCAGTGAGATCGTGGAGTAAAAGCTTGTGAAAAGCATCAGGCACTGTGCAAGTGTGAGTTATTGTTCCCTGGCTATTCGTGTATTGAATGCACATGGGGGCGAGGTGCAAGAAGGGAAGTGGTCCCCTGATTTCATAGACAGCACTTCCCATAGCAGCCTTGGGTTTGGGGAAGAAGCTGGAATCTAGATCACTGTCCCTGGTTTCTGATTAATGGCATTCAAATTAAGGACATTTCTTCCTAATCCTAGATTTTAAAATGTGTTTTTTAAATTAGGAAATATTGAATTTCATTAATTTTTTTTGTACTAATTTAAATGGTTAGATGTTGTAAACTACAATAATCAGTTTCCTAGAGTTTAACTCTCCCTGTTCCTGGGATAAACCCTATGTGATCTTGGTCCCAAAGCTCCCCTCAACAGATCACTGCCCTGTGTTGCTGCCCTTCCTGCCTGAGTTCAGGCTTCCTTTGGCATCTTCTGGCCCCATGGGCACAAGGCAAGCTCACTGTGTTCTTTCAACAACCTTTGGAGATAGGAAAAATGATCACTCCCATTTCACAGATGGAGAAAGGGATGCCCAGAGAAGCTAGGTGACCACTGGTGACAGCAGGTGGATGGGCAGCCCTGTCTGGCCTCCTCACCTCCTGACTACAGCTCCCCTCTGCCGTCTGCTCCACAGTGTGAGGAATTAAAGGCAACTGTGCAGAAACACACGCAGAGCCTGAAGCCCAGCAAGGAGGATCTGAACAGGCTTAATCAGGCCATCCAGTGGCTGACGGTGGAGGTGGGCAGTGCTGAGAGTCAGGTGAGAGGTGGGAGTGGGGGGCAACAGAGTGGCCATGGTGGGATGGTGACCATTATTTATGACAACTGCCCCTCCCCACCTACCCTTTGGATTAGATGGCTACACTTTCTCTTAGTGAATGTCTAAGCATACAGCAGTGCAGCTGCATGCATATATCATGCTTACCTCTGCCTAGGACATTGTGTATTTTATGTAAGTAATGAACATGTAGGTAAATCTGTATGAAGATATATGCTTGTTTGTACATTATTATCTTTTTACTTGTGTATGTTCATTTTTATGTCTGTGTTTTGTTTTTCTCGCTCAGTATTACATTTGAGCCCATCTTCAGAAATTGCAAGATATTACCTAGAAACCCAGTTTTCTGGGTTCTATTTCAAAATGTGAAGATCTGGCAATGTTAAATTATGATTCTCAAATGGCAACATTTGGCTAGAGGAGAGAGGCCTCTATCATCTCTCTCTTCTTCACATGCGGTATAGGCTGCCTGGTGTGCCGCAGTCCCCACCACTCCCAATCCCATCCTTTGGATGTGAGGCAGAGGGTCCCTTGCCATTTATCACTGTCCTGGCTGCAAGTTATTATCCTTGTAGAAGAGAAAAGGTGCTGAGTCAATGTCGCCAGAGAAATGCAAGTCTGAAAATATAAAAGAGGTGCTGGTGATTTCAGGAAATGGGAGAGGGCAGATGTATTTGTGGAACTGGGTACTCCTGATGTATATTTAGCCTTCACCTTTTGATGCTTCCAGCTAGGCCTCTGCAAGCACTTGCATTTGTGAGCCTTAGAAAGGAGCTAGTCCTCCAGGATGTTTTCTTTCTCCCATTCTCTCTTAGCCTCCTCTCTTAACCCACCCACCTCCCAGCCCTCTCACACCCCCGCTGGCTCAAGTCTCACTCCATGGAGGGAAGGGCTTCTGTTCCCGGTCTTTTCTTGCTTTCTGCAGATGCAAGTGTCTCAGGCTTGGAAGGGTATTCATGGAGAGAGATCTCCCTTGTACAGGAATGGGTGACTCTGAGAAGGGATAAGCTGCTGAGGTTCTGAGGGGGCAGAGTGAGTGGGTGGGCCATCATGGTCAGGGTCCCACCAGCCACAGCTGTTCTGGTTCCCCAAGCAGCAAATACACTTCACCAAGGTCTTATTATTTTTCCTCCTGAAGAGTATAAACTCTAGGTTCCCGTGAGGAATGGATATTCTTCTTGCTAGTTTTCCTTAGGAAACAATAACCACAGCATTACATGCCAAAGAGCATTGGATGCTTCTGGGATCCTGGCTCATATTAGGAGTTTCTCCATACTAGACGTAAAAGGCTCTCTCTCAGCCATCCTAGATAGCCGGTTTCAAATCTTCACCCTGAAGGTAGACAGGTGGGCAGGTTCTTTTCATCTTGCCATACAGACAAACAAACACAAGTTTTGGAACAGGTGTGCTCACTCCTTGCAACCATGGACAATCTCCAATCCCTCATTGGCTCTGCAGCCTCAGAGCAAGGTCTGGATCCTTAAGGGGGAAGGAGTGAGGGCCAATAATGTCCTTCTGTCCTTGGTCTACCCTTCGCTCCCTACGCCCTGTGAACTAGAGGAAGTCAAGGACCCGCCAGCTCTGCAGGAGGAGGGTGGCTCTGGCAGCACCAAGGGCAAGCTGGCTTGGCTGGAGGCTGCCCTGCAGCGAGCTAAGCAGGATGTGATGTAGCAGCTGTGTGAGTACTGAGAGCTGTGATCGTCAAGTGGGGCCTGGACTTTGAGATTGCTGCCTGCCACAAGCTGCTGGAGGGTGAAGAGAGTGGATGATGGGTCAGCTGGGAAGTGCTTCAGATGTGGCTGCAGTGAGGAGTGCAGGGGCACAGGGCAGCACCACGCTCATCAGCCAGGGAAGGGTGGAGAGAGATGACCTAGGTATCCAGGAACTCGTTCCTCTAGAGCTAGGTTTCTCTCACCATCTTACAGCCCTTTGAACAAAAAGTTCTAGCTGATGTGTACTTTTGGCACCTGGGACGGGGTGACCCATAGTCATCCACCCCAGTATCAGAGACCAGGGGCCGGTTTGTCCATGGAGACAGCTGCAGGGACCAAGGCCTAGCCAGTGGGAATAAGGTCTCTGTGTGAAGTGCCTTCTTCTCAACTCTGCCCCTCTCCCCAGGCCTGGGGAAGGTGGGGTTACATGACCAGGTGGGGCTTGGCTTTCAACTCAGTAGACAACAGTAGGAGACAAGGGCTGTCACCAGGCTAGGGGAGGGAGGGGGAACTGATCACCCATGCCACAGGCATATTGCATTGATCACCTCCTTTAACACCTCACAAAACCCTGGCAGGGAGGTCCTATTATCCCCATTTTACAGATGAGGGGTAAGTTTCAGAGAGGTTAAGTGACAGCTTTAGGGACACACACTAGTCTTCAGATTATGGAGCTACCTGCTCTGGGGTCTCCTGTAGAGGTTTAAAATGTTCCCTCACGGTCTCACCTTCCAAGATCAAGTCAGGCCAAAGAAAGTGTAGTTTTTTTTTTTTTTTTTTTGGTCTTCTCTTTCCTCCAAAAAGTCATCAACAAAAGTGAGTTATATGAATTTAAGGCAGGAGTGATCAGAGAGCGCCAGGGAGCTTGCAGGGTGGAAGGACTGCTGTCTGGGAGGGTCAGGAGTGTGTGTCCTGGGGAATGCAGAATACCAAACCTAGTAGACAGATGGACTCACCTGCTTCCTTCTTTCCGCTGGCTTGGTCTGGGATTTGGGGCAAGGAGCATCAGTAAGTAAACAGTAGGCTGGCATGGTCGGATCTTATCTTATTATCTTATTCTCCTTATTCCCTCCTTCCCCGTCCACACCTTGGCGTGCCTCCTCTTGAGAAGGCAGAAGGGCTGTGTTTCTGTTCCTGTGTCTGTGACAGCTCCCTCTGTGCCTCTCCTTTTGTCGGGGGCTATTTCTTCTCTCGGGGGTGACTGCGTTTGCGTGTGTGGGGAAGGGGGTCCTGTGGTCTGTTCTCTGGGGAGAGGTCTGTTTACCTGTTCCTTTCGGGGAGTTTGTACATCTGTCTCCTGGTGGGGAGGAGGGTCTGTGTATCTGGAGGAGATGTCTGCAAGTCTGTCTTCTGGGGCTTGGGGTGGGGGGAGGAAGGGCTTTCCTCCCTCGGACAGTCGTCCTCCGTTCAGCCGGGCTCCGCCTGCCTGCTCCAGCCCCGAGCAGGCTCCGGCGCCCTGGAGACGAGCGCCCCTGGCGGCGGCTACGCGCTCTGCGGCTCTCCCGGCTGTGTCCGTGGGCTTTAGCTACACAGCTCCCGCAGATGTTGAACCCTTCCCGCCTCCCTCCGGAGAAGACAAGGAACCCTCAGCTTCTGCCCTAAAGACTTAGCCCTCTTGTGTCAGATGCCCCCTCCCATAGAGCTGACCCCACATCATCTTTCCTTTTTGCCTCCCACACCGGGACGTGAGGCGTTGGAGCACAGCTTACAGGACTATGACTGACCATCCCCAGTGCAGATGGCCTGGACGCTGGTGCCATTGGGTAGAGGTGGCCAGCTTACCTGGACCAAGAACCCTGCCCCTCTGAACTGTTCCCACCCCTTCTTTCCAGGGACTTCTCTGCAATAAAAAGTTGTGGAGTGGTCTGAGCTGCCAGGAGTTTAAACCCGGATTCTCCAGGCCATTCCCAGAGCACAGACAAACCTGGCTGCGGTGGAGGGGTCAGGGCGAGAACAGTACCAGGAAGCAACCTCCTCCCCTCCTGCTGTGAGGGTCTATGTGACTTAAGTATATGATGATTCGATATTATAGAACCAGAGTCTTTAGGATGGGGAGCCCGGAGTCCATGGGGAAAGCGAGAGAAAGGGTTCATTCATGCAGAAGAGTCTAGCCTGGGGCCCATAGCTTCTGGGCAGCAGAGCTGAGAATTCCATTCTCCATCCATCCATTCACTCTACACATACTTACTGAATGGCCTCATAGTGCTTGGTTCAGGGGACAGGATGGTGAGGAAGACACTCTAGGATTCCTGGAGATGAGGTTCTGGGTAGGGAGGTGGGCCATAGACGAGGAAACCGAGCAGAAACAGAAAAGGGTGAGATGGGGATTGGGCCAGTGCCTTCTATCACCCTGATGGGGCATTTGAAGACAGGTGGCCCTTGCAGATGGGGGCTGGAGAGAGATGAACACAATTGGGTGGCCCAAGCTTGGGTTCTGGTTTAACACACAATTGGGCCACCGAGTTGTGTTAATATGATCTGGTGGCGGGCAGAGGAACAACACACTATGGTGGAGGAAATTGTGGGCTGTGAAATCAGACGGAGGCTCCAGCTCTGTCTCTACTTCAGATCCAGGGTGTAAGTTGGTCCGAGTTTTTACAAGGCATTGGATTTTGGTGGTCGGAAGATAGAGTGGGGTGGCTAGATAAAGGCTGGATTTCTGGGTTCTTTCCCTGCCACACAGACCCAAGAGAAGCTTCTGTACAGTGAGCCCACATTCCTTTCTATTGCATGAAATTACATCATCAATGCAACAATAGTTTCTGCTTTCTATGTCCCTGGGTGGGGCTGAAGTGCGTCATTGGCCAGAGGCTTGGGCTTTACTTTTTAAGGCACTCTAGTGCCAGAGTGTCTGCTGTGTTCTTCTGGGTGCCTGCCCAGAGGACAGGTATCCAAAAGGCCCTCTTCTTGTGTAAACAGAAAAGTCTCATGCAAGAGGAATGGGACTGAAACTTGGCTAGCCGGATGCCACCCTCCTGAGGGGTAGGGGGCATGACCCCACTGGGCTCACACATCAGCCCTGGTTGATAAATACTGACCTGCCAACACTCGCAAATGCAAACAAGCTGCCTGAAGATTCTTTCAAGATTCTTTAGTCCAGCTCTGTGCTCCTTGCATTTTGCTAGGGGATCATGAGATTCTCTGCTATTCAAGCCCAATTTTCTCCAGCTCCTGCTATGATGATCATGTCAACAAGGGAACTTTGTGGGAATTGTAGGCAGGATCTAGGATGTACATTCTGCAACCTGCGTCACTCAGGACTGTTGCTCACATTTTCCCTTTTCAAATACCGAACCTGGACTTGCCTGATGTCAATCCAGAAGATCCCCAGGGCTTTGGGGTCAGGTTTGAGTTTCTTCCTGGGCCAGGGCCCTGTGGATCACAAGCAATGTTTGTGGTTTGGAGACTAATTCCCTGAGAGGCTCCCCTGGCCATGGGCCACATTCCAGACTGGGGTGGGAGGAAACTGCCCAGTGCATTTATGGAGAGTCATTCCCCAGCCCATTTATAAGCTTTGTGAGTCGGGTGGCTTCTGAAGGGAGGAGGGCTGTCCTCAGTTCAGTCATTGCTTCTCAGCAGAAGGGCACTATAAGGTGTGAGTCCTCTGTTGGCTCTGCATGCCTGCCTCACACTCCGTTGTATTTAAACATGTCAGATGCTAACTTGGCTGTGGTCATGTCTCTATCTGAGCCCCAGGAGGGCAGTGAAGGTCTCATCCATCCTCAGGGTCTGCCACAGAGTAGATGTGATGGGGTTGAGGCTGCATGGTCCTGGTTGGTGTGTCCTGTCCTGAGATGTATTGGGCCCTGTTTTTGACCATTGGCATGTGGCATTCTGCATAACCCCTTGGAAGTCTCTTGTGGAGTCTAAATGCAGTCCTTCCTGCTGTGATTTCAGCTGTAAGAGATCAACCAGACCAGCCTGGAGTAAGGAAGGAAGGGCCTTGATCCTGTTCCCAGTCTTATTCTTACCTTGTCCAAACTCTTCACCTGTTTCTGGGCCTCAGTCCTGCCCTCCTCTAGATCTAAATTGTGAAGATTCTTTTTTTCCTTCTTATTTAATTTTAAATTTATTTTTGTAGTGATGAAGTCTTGCTCTATCACCCAGGCTAGAGTGCAGTGGCAGGATTATAGCTCACTGCAGCCTCAACCTCCTGGGCTGAAGCGATCCTCCTGCCTCAACCTCCTCAGTAGCTGGGACTACAGGCACATGCCTCCACGCTCTGCTAATTAAAAAAAAAGTTTTGTAGAGATGGGGTCTCACCATACTGCCCAGGCTGGTCTCAAACTCTTGGCCTCAAGCAATCCTCCTGCCTCAGCCTCCCAAAGTGCTGGGATTACAGATGTGAGCCACTGTGCTTGGCTTTCTTTTTCCTTGTTTTCTTCCCTACTTAGTCCCTCTGAGCCAAAGGTTAGCTGCAAAATAGAGTAACTATCAGAGGGTTGTTTGAGAAAAGGTATTGCTGCATGTAAAGTGCTTAAAGCATAGGAAGTTATGTAAGTGTAACTATTATTTCACTTACTGGAATTCTTTAGAAGGTTTTTGAGCCCCCTGAAACAATTTTTTTTTTTTTTGAGACAAAGCCTTGCTCTGTCGCCCAGGCTGGACTGCAGTGGCGCAATCTTGGCTCACTGCAAGCTCCGCCTCCCGGGTTCACACCATTCTTCCGCCTCAGCCTCCCAGATAGCTGGGACTACAGGCGCCTGCCACCGTGATGGGCTAATTTTGTTTTTGTATTTTTAGTAGAGACGATGTTTCTCTGTGTTAGCCAGGATGGTCTCGATCTTCTGACCTCGTGATCCGCCCGCCTCAGCCTCCCAAAGTGCTGGGATTACAGGCGTGAGCCACCGCGCCCGGCCAAGTTTTGAGCCCCTTTAAAGAAAGCTCTCCAAAGTCCAAGGGTGGCTGAACTCCATCTGCCCCACCTGGAGTGAGAGTGACCATAGGGCAGGAGGAATAAGTAGGCAAGCCTAGGGGTTAGAGCAAGGGCTCCTTGGCCAGAGGGCACCTCCCTAGTATGACCCCCAGCAGCATCTGCCCATCACTACGCCCACTTTAGCCCCACTCCCCATCGGTGACCCCTACCTCACCAGCACACATGGGTCTACCCATGTACCCACACTGCACTCACATCCACATGTACCCACAAATCTCCCTTTTTCAGCACATAGATGCACACATGTCCACCATGTATAATCACACATTTAGAAACCCTCACCATCTCTCTCACACACACGTTTCCACACAGGTGCCTGGAATGTGCATGTACCTGGATGCAATCATATTGCTCCACTCGCAGTTACCTCTAGGCATTGAGCAATGCAGAATGAATATACAAACAACATGCGCATACACTGCACAGTTGCATGAAACCTGGACTCCCCATTTCCCTCTAGCCCCTAATCCTGTCCCACCTCTCCCAAAGAATAACAGAGTTGACTGGGTGCGGTGGCTCATGCCTGTAATCCCAGCACTTTGGGAGGCTGAGGTGGGTGGATCACAAGGTCAGGAGTTTGAGACCAGCCTGGACAATAAGGTGAAACCCCGTCAGTACTAAAAATACAAAAATTAGCCCGGTGTGGTGCAGGCACCTGTAGTTCCAGCTACTTGGGAGGCTGAGGCAGGAGAATTGCTTGAACTAGTGAGGTGGAGGTTGCAGTGAGCTGAGCCTGCACCACCGCACTCCAGCCTGGGCAACAGGGTGAAACTGTCTCACAAAAAAAAAAAAAAAAAAAAAAAAGAATAATAGAGCTTTAAATTGGTAAGGGATGTTAGTAGCCACCTAATCCAAGCATTTTTTTTTTTTTTTTTTTTTTTTTGAGACAGAGTCTCGCTCTTGTTGCCCAGGCTGGAATGCAATGGCGCCATCTTGGCTCACTGCAACCTCCACCTCTCAGGCTCAAGCAATTCTCCTGTCTCAGCCTCCCAAGTAGCTGGAATTACAGGCACATACCACCACGCCTGGCTAATTTTTTGTATTTTCAGTAGAGATGGGGTTTCTTCCTATTGGTCACGCTGGTCTCAAACTCCTGACCTCAGGTGATCTGCCCACCTCGGCCTCCCAAAGTGCTGGGATTACAGGCGTGAGCCACCACGCCCAGCCCCAAACATTGTATTTCATTAGCAGATACACTAAGGCCCAGAGATGGGAGGTGACTTGCTAAAGGTCACACAGTGAGATGTTCCATTTTCTTCACCATTCTGCACCCGGGGCATTATGTGTTTGATTCCTTCCCGCCTTGCTCCTCTGTCTGAGCCTGTGCAGGAATGGGAACCTAGAGGGAGGTGAGGATTGTGGGGCCGGAGTAGGAAGGAAGAGAGGGTCAGAGCTAGAGGGAGAGTGAGGGAGTGAAATACGGCAGGTCACTAAGGCCCAGCTAGGCTGAAGTTGGAATAGGTGAGAAGTCCATCAGGACTGGAGTTGTAGTTGGCTTCTGAACTAGGGAGGGATGGAGCTGGTGCTTGAGTCTCAGGTCTGGACTCCTGACAGGGGCTGCTGCTGCTGCTGCTGCTTCTTGTTTTTTTATTTTTTTGAAACAGGGTCTTGCTGTGTCGCCCACGCTGGAGGCAGTGGCACAAACATGGCTCACTGTGCGGCTTCAACTTCCTGGGCTCAAGCTGTCCTGCTTCGGCCCCCTAAGTAGCTGGGACTATAGGTGCACACCACGTCGCCCAGCTAATATTTTTATATTTTATAGAGATAGAGTCTCACTGTATTGTCTGGGCTGATCTCTAACTCTGGGGCTCAAGCGATCTTTTCACCTTGGCCTCCTAAAGTGTTGAGATTATAGGTGTGAGCCACTGCACCTGGCCTAGGGCCAGCTTCTGAGCTGTGTGATGTCACAGCATACAGGGCTGGTTGGAATGATTGATCACAAATTCTGGAACTTTCTAGGATTGTGTCCCTCTCAGAATTCCATCAGGGGTGGCTGAGAGACCTTGGTTTGATTCTAGCTTTTACAGGAGAATTTGTTCTTTTCAGTCCACTCACTTCTGGTCTCTTAATATTCTTAATAATTTCTAGTGCCCAGAAGGGTAGGGGTGGGGGACTCCCATTTCTGCTGTATTTTCTGGGCCTTGGACTGGAAGTTTAGAGATTCACTCCGGCTTAAAGATGTATGTTCAGGGAGTCACCTTGGCCCATAGTGGGGCTGAGCTGTCATCTTCCCCTTCCCCTACCTCGTCAGTGTCAAGTTAATACTTCCATGCATGAAGGAGCTGAATGGCCCTGGTAACCACGGAGGTTTCTCTCTGTACTTGCAATCTCTGATCACAGATATCAATGTAATAAGAGGTTGGCCATAAGAGGCCCTGATCCCTAGAGGGACTTCTACTTTACATTCTGCAAAAGAATAACACTAATGATAAAAAATAGAGTGATAATTTTGTGGCATGCACCATCTAAACCTTTTACGTATATGAAATCCTTTAACTCATCAACTTATGAGGTGGTTGCCCTTTCTATCATCCTCATTTTGGAGGTGTGGAAACAGGCACAGAGAGGGTAAATACATTGCCCAACCCACTCACCTAGGAAGGACCAGGGCCCAGCTTGGGGCCCAGGCAGTCTGGCTGGAGTCCGTGTCCCCCCTCTATGCCACATCATCTTGCTATGTGCTGTTTTCTGTCTTTGAGGAAAATGTATCAGCTGTGGCAGGTCTCCAAAACCCCAGAGTGATGCCATTTAAAAAAAAAAAAAAGAAAGCCAACATCAAAGGCTTTTTGAAACTTTAAATCATATTCATGTATTCACCTCTTAAAGAATTCCAATAAATTACTCAGGCATGAGTCTTCCCTACCAAAGCAATGGGTGATGTTGCCTCAAGCTTTGAGTGATTGGTGAATCTGATTTTCATGATCCATCAGTTTGCAGATATGCATGAGATGTTTTCTGAGAGACAGCTGCAGTTTAGTGAAATGAGCACTAGCGACACACACAGGGCTTAAACCCCAGATGAACCACCCAACTAAGTGGGTGACCCTGCCCCAATTATTGAGTGCCTCTGAGTTCTGGCTTCTTCATCTGCAAGGTGTATCATTAGGGTTGTGTGGATAAAGTTACATCAAATAGGGGCCTAGCACAACTCTTGGCTAAATCTGAACCTTCTATGAGGCGGGGGATAGAAAACTGTACTGGAGACCCTTGGCTTGGCCTTTTGCTGCTCCATGTGACTTTGGGGACCCTCCCTAACCCCGACCCCTGAGGAGGGTAATAGAGACACACACAAGACCCAGGTTGGCTACATTAATTTATTGAAACACAGATCAAGAGCAGAGGAGGAAGGGGAGAGGCAGGAAGGCAGTTGCCGTGGGCAAGGTTCTGGTCCTGGCCCTTCCTGCTCCTGAGGCCCCTTCCTATGGGTGCCAGCGGACTTCTTTCTAGGGTGGCCTTTCCCACTGTGGGGTGGCAGAGCCCAGAAGTGGGGGATCACACAGAGAAATGTGAGGCCAGGAGTGGGAGGGGTCTTTCAAAGTGCAGGAGAAGTAGCTGAGCACTTGCTCCAGGCGCCTGGACTGGATGGGCCAAGCAAGGCAGGGCAGGAAAGATGCCTGGGGCCTGGGACTTGAGTTGGGGTGCCTAACATTTCCGGCAGCTGCTGCCGCAAGACCCCACACCCAGGGAGCTGATACCACAGGAGCCCACGCCGCAGGAACCCCCTCCGCAGGTGGTGTTCAATTGGCCGCAGGGCGCACACAGGCCGGTGCTCACCGCCACGTTCCCGTTGCACGGAGCGCTGCAGACACTGCCAGTCACTGGCCGGGAGCCTGACACGCAGAGGTCCCCGCACACGACCCCGCCCCGGGAGCTGCTGACACCTGTGAACCCCGAAGGCTGAGTCAAAATTCTGAAGGGCAAGCCATCCTGCCTTCCTGACAACCGCCCCTGCCCAAGACCTGAGCTCTGGTATGAAAAGTCAGAAGCATCTTTGTGGACAATTCTAGGTCCATCTAGTCCAAGAGCTGGGGTCTTTTGGATGTCTGACCCCAAATCCCTCCTGTTGTGATGCCAGCCCACTCTTTTATATTCAATCTCAGTAACACTCCTTTTTCCAAACTCTGCCCTCCATCACAGGTAGTTAGTAAATCTGTCCACACTGGACCCCAAATACTCACAGACATTCACAGCCCCAATGCCTTCACATAGCCTGAGGGCAAAAGAGAAAAAGGCAACATTAGTGACTGCCCCAGAGTGGCTGAAAAAGCTCCCCAGTTCATAGGGTAGGGTCCACAACTGGTCAATTAAGAACAGAGTCTGAGGGAACAGCTTGCCTCAGACAAACTCACACACCAGCCCTCCCCACACCGGAAGTGAATAATAATATTTTTTTCCCCCAGAGCCCTGGCCATTGCTCAGCCAAGGCCAAGGGTAGGCTTGTGCCAGGGATGGGGAAGGGTGGTTCTGGGCCACCCTTGGTTGGACCCACCTCTGCTCCTCGCCCTCCAGCAGGCGCCTGTAGGTGGCGATCTCGATGTCCAGGCCCAGCTTGGAGTTCATCACCTCCTGGTACTCCCTGATCAGGCAGGCCATGTCCTGCTTGGCCTTCTGCAGGGCGCCCTCCAGCTCGGCCAGCTTGCAGCGGGCATCACTGAGGGCCGCCTCACCCTGCTGCTCAGACTGGGCCACCGCGGCCTCCAGCTTGGAGTTCTGAAGAGAACAGAAAGAACAAGGTAGATTAGAGTCCCTGGGTCTCTCTGATGCTCATCCAAATGAGACCACACTCCCCACCAAGCTGGGAGCACCCCAGAACAGAGCCTCTTGCCTTTATCACCTGGGACTCATTGAGAGACCACGACCAGGGACTCTACATGGACAAAGGGGGTGGAGAATGAATGCTGAGATCCAGGTAGGGCACACATAGGCTGTGTGACAATGGTTAGGCCCTCGGTCTCTCTGACCTTGCGCACAGATGCCCCATACCTGGCACTTGGCATTCTCCACCTCGGCCGTCAGCCTTTGGATCATGCGGTTCAGCTCATTGATCTCCTCCTTGGTGCGGCGCAGGGTCTCCCCGTGCCTGATCACCGTGGCCTTCATCTCCTCACACTGGGGGAAGTAGAGATGCTCATGAGGTTCAGGGTGGGACCTCCCATCCATTCAGGACACCACAGATGATTTTGCAGGTTGTACAGTGCTCAGCCTGTGCAGCCACACATGGCAGTCCTGCCCTGCCACCCCAACCTCAGATTGGCAGCCCTCTCTTCTCATCCCTAGGGACCAGCATCCCCAGAAAAGGAAGCCTATTTAATAGATATCTCACATCCCTCCCACTGACACGTCTAGCAGGCAGGTGTCCTGTGCCACTCACCTTGCTGCGGTACCAGGACTCGGCCTCGGCCCGGCTGCGGGTGACAATGTCGTCATACTGTGCCTTAATCTCGGCAATGATGCAGTCCATGTTCAGGTCCCGGCTGTTGTCCAGCTTGACAACCACGGAGGTGTCTGAGATGTGCGACTGGAGAATGAGGATCTCCTGCAGGAGGTGAGGGCAGTGACTTTAGTTGAGAATACAGCCCCACCCACCATGTCCTGACTCCACCTCCTCAGGCTTTCTCTGGTCCCCAACCCTGCCCCCTCACACAGCCTCAGGGACTGCAACCTCTACCCACATCCTGTCCAACACTCCCACCCCCAACTCTCCTCTCTGCTGGCTGCCAGGTTTCTGTCTGGCCCCTGAGCCCGCACCTCCTCATACAGCCGCCTCAGGAAGTCGATCTCCTGGATCAGGGCCTCCACGTTGGCCTCCAGGTCTGACTTGCGGAGGTAGGCGCAGTCCACATCCTGGAAAGGTGGGGAGTGTTGGAGCTCAAGGACCCTGGTGATCCAGCCCCCAGACTCCTCTCTCTGCCCATCCATTCCATGTAGCCAGGGGAAAGCAGTCCCTGGTGTCCCATTCCCATGCCTTTCCTCCCCTTCTGCCCTTCCTGGGATGAGCTGGCATCCTCTGTCCCTCTGATGACAAACCCTGTTTGCCTTGACCATGCCTCACCAGCCTTTCACCCCTCCTTGCCCTCCTGTCTCTCCCTTCTCTCATCTCCTGCTCCAGGAAGCCTGCCCAGACTGACCCCCCAGCTCTCACACCCTGACCCTTTCCTGTCCCCCACAAGTGCTCCAAGAGCCCAGTGGCTGCTCCTGGTTCTTCTCCATCCCCCCTTAGACCCTGGGATTGTGTCTCTGCCTCAAGGTCAGACTCCCCAAAATGCTAGACAGACTGCACTGTCTCTCAGCAGAGACATTGTATCTGCTATGGCTCCAGGGGCCTCAGCAATAGACCACAACCTCTGGAACAGAGCAGGACACACAGAGGACAGTGCAGCCATCCCCTTGCCCAAGGTAGGTGCTGGTAGATATTCCCAAGTCATTGCCCTTTGTCAAGGCCCTGGATGCTCAATACAAAGGCCTGCATCTGGGCAGTCCTAGCCTGCTGTGGAAAGGTCATTGTGCCCCACGCTGAGGTTGAGACCCCCTGTGTGTCCCCAGGAAGAATCTGTCATTCTGAGATCCCACAGATCTGTGCTTCTCAATCCTGTGTCACTTGCCTTCTTCAGAGCCACAAACTCGTTCTCAGCTGTTGCTCTCAGAGAAACCTCCTCCTCATACCTGAGACAGAGCAGAGGGAAGAGAGGGGAGGTCAGGGCAGGGCAGGTCTCTGCAGAGCCACCATCACATCACACTTCATCACAGCCATGGGGACAGTACTAGAAACACCTCCACACAGCCCCGGCCTGGCAGCCTAGCTTAGTGCTTTCTAGTTGGATGTGGGATGTGTCTGGGATTCTCTATCCACTTTGAACTGGGGATGGAGAGTGCTCATCTGGGACCTCCCAGTCCTGTTCCCAAAGGGGCTCTGAGGTCCCCCAGGAGGCAAATAGGACTCAGCCCCCAGCCCCATCCTGGGAGTGGACAGCGTGGACTCTCAGGGCCTGTAGCCCTAGCCTCCCCTCACTGGTATCAATCCCAGCTCAGGTATGGGGCCTCCTGGACCCGCAGACCCTCAGGACTTAGAACCTAAGGCAGTGGGACACCCAGAGCCCAAGACCTGTCACTCATGAGAGACCCTGGGCTCACATCTGACAGGTGCTACAAGTATAGGGGCTGAGGGTCAGGAGAGAAGGCCTGGACCCTGCAGAGGCTTCCTCCCCACCCAGCGCAGGGGAGAGCTGCTGGGTGATGTGGTTCAGGGAGAGAAGGCTGAAGTGGGACAGAGACAGGTCATGGGAGTCACAGCCCTCCTCTTACACAGGTGTCTGGGCAAAGATTCCACAAAGGAAAAGACCCCGCCACCCTCGGTCAATCTAGTGGTCATGGCCACTCACCCTACCTGGGAGTTCTTATTGTCTAATCCAGTGTATTTAACCTAAACCCCATTCCTGTGCCCAGCATCCCTCTTGCCCGCACTCACTTCTTCTTGTAGCCCTCCAGCACCTCCTGCACGTGGTTAAGCTCTGAGGCCAGCCTCCCGCTGTCGGCCTCCACGCACTCGGCCTCCCGCCGCAGAGTCTCGATGTAGCCCTCAAACAGGGGCTCCAGGTTGCTCTGGCAACACTCGCGGTTCTGGTAGAACTGCAGCTTTGTCTCCAGCAGTTTGTTCTGCTGCTCCAGGAAGCGCACCTGCCATTCGGTGTGGGAAGGTGGGGCAGATGGTGTCTGGTGCCCCAAAGCCAGCTCTGGGGGCTCGCAGGGGAGGTGCTTTAATGGGAACCCCCAAATCTGGAGCTTATCTGAGATTGAGTAGAGGTGGGCAGTGGGAGACAGACAATTTCTGGATTTCCTGGTCATGATCTGTGTCTAGATTTCCCACTCAGGAGTGGAGCAAGGGCTGGGTGGTGTCAGTGCCTGCTCCCTGGGGAGTTGAGTGACCCCCCCCCCCCAACCCAAGCAGATGAACAGAAGTGGAGGCTCAGTCCCTCACTATGAAACTAGGTGATCAGCAACCCACACAGGCAGAGTACTCAGGTTCAGATCACAGATGAGGTTTCTGGGGATGGTGCCAGGAAGAGGGTGTCACAGGCCATCTGGAAGGGAGCTCAGCTGTCCCAGCCCTTCCCCTGTGTCATCTGGAAGTCAGTGCACCCTACTCTCTCACCCTGGGGCTGCCCAAACCCCTCTGAGTTCAGCAGCAGTGGTCACATGCCCCCCTCCCCCAACTCCCTGATGTCTAGCTTGTGCCCCAGAGCAGCCTGGCCACACTTTTCCTTCACAAGCTCCCTCTATCTGAACTGTCAGCTGAGTCTGCATCTTGAGTGCCTGTGTGTGTGTGTCTGTGCATGTGTCTGTCTGTCTGTGTGTCTGTGTGCCTCGCCCATCAGACTGGGATCTCAGGCAGGCAGAGGTCTTTGTGCCTCTGACTCCATCCTTAGTGCCCGGCCCTGGCTGTGTAGGTGGTGGGGGTTCAGGAAGGGTGTGATCCAGGACACCCACCTTGTCGATGAAGGCCGCGAACCTGCTGTTGAGGGACTTGATCTGCTCCTTCTCCTCCTGCTTCACGCACTGCGCGTTGGGGTCGATCTCCAGGTTGAGGGGCGTGAGGAGGCTCTCGTTGACCGACACGGTGGTGATGCATGGGGGACTGGGCCCGCACACGCCCCCGGAGCGGTAGCCGAAGCTGCGTCCGCAGGAGCCGGCCCGAAAGCCTCCGCACACGCTGTGGCTGCCGAAGCCCCCGGTGAGGCCGCGGTAGCAGGAGATGCCACGGTAGGGGGCGGCGGTGATGCAGCAGCGGCCGGGCCGCGGCCCGCAGGCCGAGATGCAGCTGAAGGCGCGCCCACCAAATCCTGATCCGCAGGTCATGATCCTCCTGGACGTTTGGGTTGCAGAGGACAGGATAGGGGACCTGGAGTCCTGATGGAAACTCCAATGTGCTCCTCAGGGCACCGCAGCCCTATTTATGCGCAGATTCTGAAGGGGCTTGGCTGTGAAGATGATGTTGGGGCAATTTGCGCTTTATGGGCTTGGGTGGTTAGCCGGGTCTAACGCCTCTCCAGAATGTGCTTTAATGGGGGAGTGGCCTGCACCCTCTTCTTTGTAAAAGATGTCAGTCTTGGGCTCTGGGGGAGTCAGCATGTTTCATCTTCAAAGTGTCTTGCCAGCAGGGCATTCCTTCATCTGCAGGCATTGGGGAGGGAAGGGGAAGGCAGAGGAGAGGACGAGAAGGAGGAGTAGAGCCTGGCGAGGGGAAGAGAAGGGAGGCCAGGTGCTGGGAGAAACTGGGAGGAGGAGACCTGTGTGTTAAGTGTGATGTGGGGAGAGGGGTTTCAGGAAAGGCTGAGGCATTAATAAATACCATCTCTCATTTCCATCACAGCTGTGGCTAAAGTGCTCCTGAAACACAAATCTGGATTTCCCCATCTCCAGATTTTTCAGTTGGCAGCTGAAAACCATCTCACTTTTCCTACCATGGGAACAGTCAGCAGATTATTAAATATTTGTCTTTTATCTTTTTTATGATGAAAGCTTTCAAATATTGAGGAAAATTGGAATAATACAACACACATGCATTGATGCTCCACCTGTTTACCCCGATTCAACAGTTAACATTATACCATATTTGCTTTCACAGTTGCCCAATTATTTGAGTGGCAGAAAGCATGGCATGTCACCCTTAAATACATCAGCAGGAATTTCTTAAGAATAAGGAGAGTACTATTTTCTTATTCAGGAAAATTAACAATAATTCCAAAGCACCACTTACTATTCATCTCAGATTCAATTTTCCTAACTGTCCTAAGGATTTTAAAACTACATTTTACATAATTTAATTTGTGGCTCTAGCCCTTGTATTTTCTATAAATTAGAAAGTAAATCTTGAGCTGGGATGTCCAATTTGGTAGACAATAGGCAGATGTGGCTACTTAAATTTAAGTTAGTAAAAACTAAATAAGTTAAAAATCTAGTTATTCAGTTGCACTATCCACATTTTGAGTCCTCAGCAGCTACCTGTAAGTAGTGCCTACCTTATTAGACAGTGCATATAAAGAACACTTCTTTATTATTTATTTTTATTTTATTTATTGTTTATTTTCACATAAAATTCTGTTGGACAGCACTGGGCTAGAGGCTGGATTAGGTTTAAATTAAACATTGTTGGGACAGAATACTTCATAAAATATGCTGTGTAACTCTTATTATATCACCCCAGGAAGCATAAAATGTCAGATTGGTGATGCTAAATTGAATCACAGCTGGGCGCAGTGGCTCATACCTGTAATCCCAGCACTTTGGGAGTCTGAGGGGGGTGGATCACCTGAGGTCAGGAGTTCAAGACCAGCCTCAGTGGAGGAGTTTAAGACCAGAGATGGTGAAACCCCGTCTCTACTACAAATACAAAAATTAGCCCGTTATGGTGGCACGTGCCTGTATTCCCAGCTACATGGGAGGCTAAGGCAGGAGAATTGCTTGAACCCAGGAGATGGAGGTTGGATCACTTCAGTACATTTCCCCCTGTATTAGGAAAAACTGTATAGAGAATTAGAATTAGAAAGAACTGTGTAGAGAAACATGGATCTTAGTTTGATAAGAATATGTTTCTTTTTAATTGGTCACCTACTATGTGATCATCATTATATATCGTAAATGATCTCTAATTCTCACATCAATCATATGAAGTATGTGCCATTATCCCCATTTTACTGATGAGGAAACCAAGGGTCAGGGAGGTTAAATAACTTGCCCGAAGTCTCCCAGCTGGTAAGTGATGGAGCCAGGAGTTGCATTGCCTTCTCACTTATAAGCTGTGACAACCCCTTGACTTCCTAATCTTTGGATAAGTTCAAGAGGGTAGTGAAAGTTGTTTACAGGGGAGTATCTGTGAATTTAGGGTGTGAGAGAGTCCATCTAAGGAAGACGGGCAGAGTCAGAGTGGATTGGGATGGTTAGAACCATGAGGGGTCATTTAGGGACACACGGCGATGTGAGGCTACTTGGGGGCTGGGAAGGAGTATGAGTTAGATGTGCAGCACCCCGTGGCTAAGAATTGAAGGACGGGGTGGAAAACATCAGTTTTAGTTATTTGCATACCTCTGGTATATGGCAATACTTTGATAGACTGTACTATGTTCTACTTACCCAGTGAACCACCCCCCACTCCAATAGAGCAGGTCCTAGAAAAATTAGCTCGTAAAGTACAGAGGTTTGCATTAAATTGAGGAGAAGAAAAGAGAAGTGAAATGGCCTGGCTTATAGCCCCCTGGAGCTGCTATGCTTCAAGGGCAAAGGCAGGCAGAGTAGACTTAGGGAATGAGAACAGAAGCAGGATTGATGGGAAAAGAGAGGAGAGGAAAAAAATAGAAGAGAATAGGGCTCTCAGGGTATCTGTGCAAAACATTCAGAGTGTGGCCTTGTGCAGGACAAATGTGGGAGGTCACAGACTGTGTTGAGCTATCTGGTCACCCCAGAGAAGAGTATGGCACCTGCTGTCCCTTTGTGAGTTCAGGGCTGCTGGGCCAGCACTTCTGAAGCTCTTTGTACCCTCATCTGGAATTTGGGGCACTGCTCACAATTGAGCAGTGATGTCCCCAGTAAACCAGCGGTTGGGTGTCCTGAGGAGCACTGTGAGTCAAAGTACATCTCATCCACACTTCACCTTTTCTACCAGTATAACTCCTTATAAAAACAACATGTATAAACACAAGCTAATTACTAATGGCTGGTCCTTACTAAGCAATTTTAAAGATGTAAGAATATGAAAAATTCAAATGTGACACCATTTCATTAAACTTCAGGAATTAATTGCTGCTAATTTTTGAAGACCTAAAAGGACATTCAACTTGTTTTCTTCAGAGTGAAAAAACCTTGTCATGGGGAAGGGAGGAGGGGAGGGAAGGTGGCAGGGAGGAGGGGAGGGAAGATGGCAGAATCTCCACTCTATGGTCTTGGCTCTGGCAAGGTAAAGAGGATAGATTTTAACTTTGTGGAGATAACAATTATTTTTATTGTGAAATATTTCAACACAAAAAATGCATAGGTGGTTAGATCTGTAGCAATACCTACCACTTATAGGAAAAAATAGAACATGTGTGTATTTCAGGAGCTTCCTATGTACCTTGTTCTGATTGTACCCTACTCCTTCCTGGCCTAGGGTGACTCCTCTCTTGCATTTTGTGTTTAATTATTCCTTTGCTTTTCTTACAGTTTTAGAACCAATGCACCCATCTTGCAATGACATATTGTTTCTTTTTCCAGCTTTTGAACTTCACATAAATGGACTCATGTTGCATGGATCCTTGTGCATCTGGTTTCTTTCATTAAATGTTGCTTCCTGTAGCTGTCCTGTGTTCATTTTCACTGTGGATTGCACTCATTGCATGGCTATACCACAGTTTATTTGCCTTTCTACCTCGATAGCCACAAGGTTGTTTCCAGAGTTCTGTAGATTGAACAGAGCTGCTATGAACATCCTTTCTCATGTCTTCTGGTGCATTTATGCAAGAGTTTTTCTGGGGTATGTGGCTATTTTTTTTAAAGTTATGTCAGTAGTAGATGTTTCATGTAGAAAGCTATTTTATGACTATTCTTCCAAACTTAATAATAAAATCTTTTGATGTTCATCTTATACCACACTAGATACTATTTTAAGAGTCCAACATGCATTAACTCATTTAATTTTTACAGTTGCCCTCTGAGGTTGGTGTTATTATTCTCGTTTTATAGATGAGGACACTGAGGTCTAGGGAGGTTAAGGCTCAGGTTGCATGTTAGTAGCAGAACTGGAACCCAGAGCCTGTGTGTCTGATCCCAAAGGAAGGGATGCGTTTGTCCCATTGCACTCCCTTCTGTACACCATCGGCCATCAGTAATAAGTATCACACAGTAGCTGGTGTTTGTACATAACATAAAAACACAAACACTCATCTTGCCCCATGCCCTCTGCAGGGCCCTGCAGGTTGCTCTCAGGGTTCAGGGCCAGAGAGTATAGGAGAGCTCACCCTTGTTCTTGGCAAGCTTCCAGTATTAAGAGAAAAGCAGAGACACATACCCAGATAATGAACAAAAATGGAAACCCTGCAGCACATCAGTGTGTACAAATGTTTTCTTCGTGGATATATTCCAAGGGCTTGTCACATAGTAGGTGCTCAATAAATATTTTTTGAATGAATGAAAAGAATACCAGCTGCATATTAAGTGCTGAGTAATGGAGCCATCAAAGCTTGGTGGTTTATTGTGCAAAGCTTTGTGGTAGGATAGGGTGGGGACACATGAAGCAGATGATGTGGCTATTCCTGGGGGTGGGGGTGGAGAGGGGTGACCTTCCTTGCTGGGGCCTGAAGGATGAATGAAGTGAGTGAGATGTGTCCTTCAACCAAGCAAAGTCCTTGGCTTGGGCTATAAGGGGGTGGTGGGGAAAGTCAGCCAATGAGAACAAGGATCTTGAAGGCCTTGGGGCAGAGTAGAGACCAGGTGTCGGATTGGAGAAGGAAAGAGAGAAGCAAATCAGAGGAGATTTCTAGGAAAAGAGGGAGAAAGAAATACTTGGTCTTAGACTATTATTCTCAGGGTGACTTAGAAGAAGAGAAGGAGAGTGCTGCATGGGTGGAGAAGAAAATGAGGGAGAGATCTTAGGAGATAGTCAGGAAGAGGAGGAAACTGGAGGACAGTGGAGGAAAAATGGGAGAAGATCTGGGAAGTATGGTGGAAGGGTCACTCCAGGGATGAAAGAGCAGAGGAGGAGGAGGTGGATGGGGGAAGCAGCACAGCACCAAGGGAAAGTGTGTGTAGGCCCACTGGAAGAGGTGGGCACTGTAGTTCCAGATTTATAGTAATGAACCCTCACAGGGCAGGGACATGGGGCGAGGGAGGTGCAGGCACCCAGCTGGTTAGTGGGATGAATGTTACCAGGGTGGAGCTTTTGAGTCAGGCTCCAGCCCCACCCAGGCATCTTACAGGGGCCTTCTGGCCCTTTGTCCAGTGGGACTCCTCTCTGGTGAGTTCTGATGGATAATTGGCCAGCGTCCTGGGCTCTCTTGGCTGAGAAGGCAGGGCTCTGACTTGGGCTCTCCCCAATCACCCACCCAACTGGCCTGAGGTCAATTCCATTATCAACATCTCAACATCCCAGGTGTTGTGTAAGCAGCCACTCCACTACCTCTCAACTTCCTTCACTGGACCCTGGCCTGCACCTGCTTTCTATGAGTAGAAAGCATGAGCCAGCTGCAAGGTTAGTAAGGGCATGGCCCTCTGGAGACCTGTAAGCCCAGCATGCAGATGCTCCAGATGTAGAGCCTACAGGCTGCCTTCCAGCCCACAGCTGTGTAGCAGAGTCTCAGGGACGACACTGTCCCTGCTTATGAGGGCTGTGCCTCAACCGGCATTCTCCCTCTCTCTCCGCTGTCACAGTATCTCATGATCCTCTCCACTCCTGCAAGGGCCCACAGGATCACCTGTTGTCCACCCACTAGCCCTGTCTCATTGTCTGTCACTGTGTGAAATGCTTCCATGCACATCTTCTCATCAACACTGTCCTGCCCGCCTTTTGCCTAAAGCTTGTCCTCACCCTTTCCAGGGAGCCTTTCTTGCCTTTCCCATCAGACTAGCTGCAATTGCACATTGTCCCAGAAAGGACACTGTCAGCAGTCATTGCATGCCTCAGTATCTGACAGTATGTATGAAAAGTAGCCCTCTTTAGACTTCTGGCCTTTCTCATGAATTTGGATATGCTCTACCAGACTGGGAGCTCCAGAACCCATGTTTCCTTCCTCCTCTTAATGCCTCCTTCCCTCCAAAATTAAGACAGGATTGAGCATAGAGCTAGGAAATATCAGTCACAAAATCCCCGAGTCCCCCATCTGGAAAATGTTGTCTAGTCTAAGCGATCAACTATCTTGAGGAGTCTGCCTTATAATACCCTCCAGGGAGCAGAATGAACCGAAGGGAGCACTGAACAAGAACTTTCTAATGTTAAAACCACCTAATTTGCCCATTCTTTACAAGTGCCCCTTGAAATAAAGGTCCACTTGGGCTAAAAGAAGAGATTCTGATCTCCAGATCTGAAGGTCTTTTGGTTCACCTTGTCTCCACAAAAATGGTGGCCACTGCAGAATAAGAAGTGTCTTTCTTTTACTTAAAGCCTCCCTAAATGGAAGAGATAATGCAAGCTCCTTTAGAAAGTAATGACTACTTGTCTTCTGGCAAGTTCTTCCTCAACTCCAACTTCCATTTGTCCATCTGCAATGAAAGCTTGCCTTCTCTTGCTCTCATTGGAGCACCATTATACTTGGATGAATTATCAAGTCCATATCCCCCATCCTCAACCTCATGAAATCCTCTGGCTACTGACCAATCAGGAGGTTTTAGGATCAGGCAAAAATAAAGATGAGTGAGTGTGCCATCATTTAATTTATGACTGAGGATTTCTGATGGTCTGTTAAGTCCAAATAATAAATACACACTTATGAATTATTCACAGATTACAGAATTTTTAGATTATCCAAGCCTCTCTTCTCATCCAGTAGTATGGTTACCCAAGGATTGGTGGTGTGTTCCTTTGCCAAAGAGAAGAGATTCTCTTTGGACCTTCTCTGAGGCAATCAGGCTGGAGCAGAGATTGAAGGAGGGGCATGTGTTTTGGGGTTCTTTTCGAGGACAAATGGAGTAACCATGGCCAAACTTCTCAGATCCTCTGCCCCTTGGACTGGCTCCCACTGTAGAATATAGTAGATAACATTTATTGAGCATTTTCTATGTGCCAGCTGCTGTTAAACATTGTCCATGCATTATTTCATTTAATCCTTCTACAAGTTCTTTAAGATAAGGCGGTTAATGAAAACTGGACACAGATGGCTTAGGCATGTGGATGAGTATATCCCATCAATGCTGTTGATACGTCTGCAGCAGCAGCATCAGCAGCAACAACAACAACAACTAATATGATTACACACTTAGAGTGTGCCAGGCTTAGTTCTCAGTGATTTACATGGATTAACTCTTTTAATCTTTACAACTTTATGAGGTGGGTACTATTATTATCTTCATTTTAGAAATCATGAAATGAGGTACATAGAGGCTAAGTAATTGCCTGAGTTTACACAGCTAGAGAGTGGCAGAGCTAGAATTCGAAACGAGGCAGTTTGGAATCTGAGTCTGTGTGCTTAACTAATATGCCATGTATTCAAACTTTTTATTTATTTATTTATTTATTTTAATGTTTTCTTTTTATGGGTACATAATAGTTATACATGTTTATGGGCTACATAAGATATTTTGAGATAAGCATAAACTGTGTACTGATCAAATCAGAGTACTTGGAATATCCATCACCTCAAACATTTATTATTTCTTTGTGTTGGGATCATTCCAAGCCTACTCCTTTAGTTATTTTGAAATACACAATAAATGATTAACTATAGTCATTCTATTGTGCTACTGAACACTAGATCTCATTTCTGTTATCTAACTGTATTTTTGTACTCATTAACACGTCTTTATCTTCCCCTCCCCATTACCCTTCCCAGCCTCTGGTAACCATCATTCTACTCTCTATCTGATGAGATCAATTTTTTTAGCTCTCGCATATGTGTAAGAACATCTGAAATTTGTCTTTCTGTACCTCAATTATTTTCCCTAACATAATGTCCTCCAGTTCCATCCATGTTGTTGCAAATGACAGGATTTCATTCCTTTTTATGGCTGAATAATATTCCATTGTGTATCTGTAACATACTTTCTTTATTCATCCATTGATGGACACTTAGTTTGATTCCAAATCTTGGCTATTGTGAATAGCGCTGCAATAAACGTGGGAGTGCAGACATCTCTTTGATATAAGAATTTTCTTTCTTTTGGATGTATACCTAGTAGTGGGATTGCTGGATCACCTGGTGGTTCTATTTTTAGCTTTTGGAGGACACTCCATACTGTTTTCCATAGTGGCTGTAGTAACTTACATCCCACTAGCAGTGTACAAGTGTTCCCCTTTCTCCACATCCTTGCCAGCATCCATAATTTTTTTGTCTTTTTGATAAAAGTCATTTTAATTGGGTTGAGATGATAATCTTATTGTGGTATTGATTTGTATTTCTTTGATGATATGTTGAGCATTTTCAATATACCTGTTGGTCATGTATATGTCTTCTTTTGAGAAATGTCTATTCAGATCTTTTGCCCATTTTAAAATCAGATTATTTGGTTTACTTGCTATTGAGTTGTTTGAGTTCCTTATATATTGCAGCTACGAATTCCTTGTCAGTTGAATAGTTTGCAAATATTTCTTCCATTCTGTAGGTCATTTCTTCAACTTGTTGATTGTTTCCTTTGGTGTGCAGAAGTTCTTTTAGCTCGATGTGATCCCATTTGCCCATTTTTTGCTTTGGTTGCCTTTGGTTTTGAGGTCTCAATCAAGAAATCTTTGTCCAGGTCAATGCCCTAAGCATTTCCTCAATGTTTTCTTCTAGTAGTTTCATAGTCTGAGGTCTTATATTTAAGTCTTTAATCCATTTTAATTTGGTTTTTGTATACAGTGAGAAATAGATATTTCAACTTTTCTGCTGCAACTATAATAAGAAATAATTTTACATGGTGACTGAGTATGCACATACATATACATAGGCCATACAACTGAAACAAAAAGGGCATGTAACAAGTTATTCCCATGACATAAGGTGCAATCTGCTATTTTCTGGTCTATTCTACTCTATTTGATTTTCTCATAATCAATTTCATTAAAATAAAATTCTGGTTGGTTCAATTAGTGGGTCAGAACATGAATTCTGAATAAACACTGCCCCTGAGCCCACCGCTTCCTAATGATTGTAATGAAGCCCATCTGCTCTGTGCTCTGGAGTCCACTGAGCATGTACACATTTCTGTAACTCTAAGGCAGTAGTAGGAGGGAAAGCCTTAACCTATTTCCCAGGAGAGTCAAGTGCCTTCCCCTAGATCACACAGGGGTACTCAGGGCAGAGCCTTGGTTCCTACCCAGCCTTTGTGAGTTTAAGACCCACACTATTCACACTGGATGGATGGCACATACAAATATAGATCTGTTCTCTGGCACCTGCCAAGGGTACTGACAAACTTCTGTGCAGGAGTTTCAAGGAGTATAGTGCAGAAAGCAGCAGGGACTCAGGGGATGATGGCAGGGGCTGGATGCTCTCCTCATGTGGCTCTATTTGATCTCATATTCTGAGCCAGATACTGTATAGATGCATAACAGTGGTGCTCATCCCAGACCTTCTAGGCCCTGGAGGTTACACAGAGGCCTGAGAGGACATCCAGACATTCAATCCTTGTCTAGGGCCTTGTGGGAGGTAATTGTGCTTTCCTGGGGCCAGTGGGCTAGTGTGTGCTCCTGAGGCCGCATGGGACACTCTGAGGGAGGGAATGCCTCCTCTCAGCCGAGGCTGGCCAATATGACCTAATAAGGTGGCCTGAGGACTAGTCTACATGCTAGTTGAATGTGCAGGTGAGGACCTGTGAGTGTGTGTGTGTGTGTGAGATGGTGGGTAGAAAGGCCAGCATGTGAAAGCATTGTGTGTGTGAGTGTGTATGTGAAAGAGAGAGGGGGGGTTGTGAGTAGGAAGGCCAGCATGTGAGTGCATTGTGTGTGAGTTTGTGTGTGTATGTGTGTGTGCACCAGAGAGTGGGAGAGAGAGAGAGAAAAAAACATGTTGATAGGTATAGATAAGGGATTTGGGAGTAGGTGTGGAGGAACTGGGTCCCTGAGAAGGTGACTAAGTTAGAGATTCTGTAAACGTGGGTCTTTTGGGGTGCAGAAACAGGTCATCTAGTTCGGAGAAACCACCAAGCGCCCCCCAAGTTCCACATCAAGGGATTCCCCCTCCCAACATTCCTGGCTAGTCCTATGAGCACCGCGGACAGCGGCATTGACCATGTCAAACCCCGCAGGACAGAAAGAGCAGCAGCCCCGCCCCTTCCCTTCCATTCCAACCTGAGTCACTGCCCACTCCTTCGTCCAACGTCAGTTTCCTCAACTGTGTATTGGGAGGTTGAGGTGGGTGTGCGGGACGTGAGTTGGTCCTTTGAAGAAGAAAACTGCAGTTTAGGGCAAGAGATCATAACATCTGGCTGCTTCTGGGCACCAATTAAGTACATTAAGTGGGGAGCGACAGCAGCTAAACAACCCAAGCCCATAAAGCCTTCTAATTGCTCCGACCCACGTGGTCACAGTCTCCCCACTTATATAAAAGGCCTACAGAGGTGCAAGTAGTGAACGCCTGACGCCCCGACCACTGTGCTCTCCATTCGGACGTCTCCATCCTCAGAACCTCCTCTCTTCCCCAAAAAGCACCATGACTTGTGGATCTTACTGTGGTGGCCGCGCCTTCAGCTGCATCTCGGCCTGCGGGCCCCGGCCCGGCCGCTGCTGCATCACCGCCGCCCCCTACCGTGGCATCTCCTGCTACCGCGGCCTCACCGGGGGCTTCGGCAGCCACAGCGTGTGCGGAGGCTTTCGGGCCGGCTCCTGCGGACGCAGCTTCGGCTACCGCTCCGGGGGCGTGTGCGGGCCCAGTCCCCCATGCATCACCACCGTGTCGGTCAACGAGAGCCTCCTCACGCCCCTCAACCTGGAGATCGACCCCAACGCGCAGTGCGTGAAGCAGGAGGAGAAGGAGCAGATCAAGTCCCTCAACAGCAGGTTCGCGGCCTTCATCGACAAGGTGGGTGTCCTGGATCACACCCTTCCTGAACCCCCACCACCTACACAGCCAGGGCCGGGCACTAAGGATGGAGTCAGAGGCACAAAGACCTCTGCCTGCCTGAGATCCCAGTCTGATGGGCGAGGCACACAGACACACAGACAGACAGACACATGCACAGACACACACACACAGGCACTCAAGATGCAGACTCAGCTGACAGTTCAGATAGAGGGAGCTTGTGAAGGAAAAGTGTGGCCAGGCTGCTCTGGGGCACAAGCTAGACATCAGGGAGTTGGGGGAGGGGGGCATGTGACCACTGCTGCTGAACTCAGAGGGGTTTGGGCAGCCCCAGGGTGAGAGAGTAGGGTGCACTGACTTCCAGATGACACAGGGGAAGGGCTGGGACAGCTGAGCTCCCTTCCAGATGGCCTGTGACACCCTCTTCCTGGCACCATCCCCAGAAACCTCATCTGTGATCTGAACCTGAGTACTCTGCCTGTGTGGGTTGCTGATCACCTAGTTTCATAGTGAGGGACTGAGCCTCTACTTCTGTTCATCTGCTTGGGTGGGGGGTGGGGGGGGGGTCACTCAACTCCCCAGGGAGCAGGCACTGACACCACCCAGCCCTTGCTCCACTCCTGAGTGGGAAATCTAGACACAGATCATGACCAGGAAATCCAGAAATTGTCTGTCTCCCACTGCCCACCTCTACTCAATCTCAGATAAGCTCCAGATTTGGGGGTTCCCATTAAAGCACCTCCCCTGCGAGCCCCCAGAGCTGGCTTTGGGGCACCAGACACCATCTGCCCCACCTTCCCACACCGAATGGCAGGTGCGCTTCCTGGAGCAGCAGAACAAACTGCTGGAGACAAAGCTGCAGTTCTACCAGAACCGCGAGTGTTGCCAGAGCAACCTGGAGCCCCTGTTTGAGGGCTACATCGAGACTCTGCGGCGGGAGGCCGAGTGCGTGGAGGCCGACAGCGGGAGGCTGGCCTCAGAGCTTAACCACGTGCAGGAGGTGCTGGAGGGCTACAAGAAGAAGTGAGTGCGGGCAAGAGGGATGCTGGGCACAGGAATGGGGTTTAGGTTAAATACACTGGATTAGACAATAAGAACTCCCAGGTAGGGTGAGTGGCCATGACCACTAGATTGACCGAGGGTGGCGGGGTCTTTTCCTTTGTGGAATCTTTGCCCAGACACCTGTGTAAGAGGAGGGCTGTGACTCCCATGACCTGTCTCTGTCCCACTTCAGCCTTCTCTCCCTGAACCACATCACCCAGCAGCTCTCCCCTGCGCTGGGTGGGGAGGAAGCCTCTGCAGGGTCCAGGCCTTCTCTCCTGACCCTCAGCCCCTATACTTGTAGCACCTGTCAGATGTGAGCCCAGGGTCTCTCATGAGTGACAGGTCTTGGGCTCTGGGTGTCGCACTGCCTTAGGTTCTAAGTCCTGAGGGTCTGCGGGTCCAGGAGGCCCCATACCTGAGCTGGGATTGATACCAGTGAGGGGAGGCTAGGGCTACAGGCCCTGAGAGTCCACGCTGTCCACTCCCAGGATGGGGCTGGGGGCTGAGTCCTATTTGCCTCCTGGGGGACCTCAGAGCCCCTTTGGGAACAGGACTGGGAGGTCCCAGATGAGCACTCTCCATCCCCAGTTCAAAGTGGATAGAGAATCCCAGACACATCCCACATCCAACTAGAAAGCACTAAGCTAGGCTGCCAGGCCGGGGCTGTGTGGAGGTGTTTCTAGTACTGTCCCCATGGCTGTGATGAAGTGTGATGTGATGGTGGCTCTGCAGAGACCTGCCCTGCCCTGACCTCCCCTCTCTTCCCTCTGCTCTGTCTCAGGTATGAGGAGGAGGTTTCTCTGAGAGCAACAGCTGAGAACGAGTTTGTGGCTCTGAAGAAGGCAAGTGACACAGGATTGAGAAGCACAGATCTGTGGGATCTCAGAATGACAGATTCTTCCTGGGGACACACAGGGGGTCTCAACCTCAGCGTGGGGCACAATGACCTTTCCACAGCAGGCTAGGACTGCCCAGATGCAGGCCTTTGTATTGAGCATCCAGGGCCTTGACAAAGGGCAATGACTTGGGAATATCTACCAGCACCTACCTTGGGCAAGGGGATGGCTGCACTGTCCTCTGTGTGTCCTGCTCTGTTCCAGAGGTTGTGGTCTATTGCTGAGGCCCCTGGAGCCATAGCAGATACAATGTCTCTGCTGAGAGACAGTGCAGTCTGTCTAGCATTTTGGGGAGTCTGACCTTGAGGCAGAGACACAATCCCAGGTTCTAAGGGGGGATGGAGAAGAACCAGGAGTAGCCCTTGGGCTTTTGGAGCACTGCTGGGGGACAGGAAAGGGTCAGGGTGTGAGAGCTGGGGGGTCAGTCTGGGCAGGCTTCCTGGAGCAGGAGAGGGGAGAAAGGAGAGATAAGAGGGTAAGGAGCAGTGAAAGGCTGGTGAGCCGTGCCCAAGACAAACAGGGTTTGTCCTCAGAATGGCAGAGGATGCCAGGTCACCCCGGGAAGGGCCAGAAGGGAAGGAGAGGGCATGGGAATGAGACACTGGGGACTCCTTTCCCCAGGCTTCATGGAATGGGTGGGAAGAGAGAGGAATCTAGAGGCTGGATCACCAGGGTCCTTGAGCTCCAACACTCCCCACCTTTCCAGGATGTGGACTGCGCCTACCTCCGCAAATCAGACCTGGAGGCCAATGTGGAGGCCCTGATCCAGGAGATCGACTTCCTGAGGCGGCTGTATGAGGAGGTGCGGGCTCAGGGGCCAGGCAGAGACCTGGCAGCCAGCAGAGAGGAGAGATGGGGGTGGGAGTGTTGGACAGGATGTGGGTAGAGGTTGCAGTCCCTGAGGCTGTGTGAGGGGGCAGGGTTGGGGACCAGAGAAAGCCTGAGGAGGTGGAGTCAGGACATGGTGGGTGGGGCTGTGTTCTCAACTAAAGTCACTGCCCTCACCTCCTGCAGGAGATCCGCGTTCTCCAGTCCCACATCTCAGACACCTCCGTGGTTGTCAAGCTGGACAACAGCCGGGACCTGAACATGGACTGCATCATTGCCGAGATCAAGGCACAGTACGATGACATTGTCACCCGTAGCCGGGCTGAGGCCGAGTCCTGGTACCGCAGCAAGGTGAGTGGCACAGGACACCTGCCTGCTAGACATGGCAGTGGGAGGGATTTGAGATTATCTATTAAATAGGCTTCCTTTTCTGGGGATGCACTAGGGATGAGAAGAGATGGCTGCCACTCTGATGTTGGGGTGGTAGGGCAGGACTGCCATGTGTGGTTGCACAGGCTGAGCACTGCACAACCTGCAAAATCATCTGTCATGCCCTGAATGGGTGGGAGGTCCCACCCTGAACCTCATGAGCATCTCTACTTCCCCCAGTGTGAGGAGATGAAGGCCACGGTGATCAGGCACGGGGAGACCCTGCGCCGCACCAAGGAGGAGATCAACGAGCTGAACCGCATGATCCAGAGGCTGACGGCTGAGGTGGAGAATGCCAAGTGCCAGGTATGGGGCATCTGTGCCCAAGGTCAGAGAGACCGAGGGTCTAACCATGGTCACACAGCCTATGTGTGCCCTATCTGGATCTCAGCATTCATTCTCCAGCCCCTCTGTCCATGTAGAGTCCCTGGTTGTGGTCTCTGTGAGTCCCAGGTGATGAAGGCAAGAGGCTCTGTTCTGGGGTGCTCCCAGCTTGGTGGGGAGCATGGTCTCATCGAGGTAAGCATCAGAGAGACCCAGGGACTCTAATCTACCTTGTTCTCTCTGTTCTCTTCAGAATTCCAAGCTGGAGGCTGCGGTGGCTCAGTCTGAGCAGCAGGGTGAGGCGGCCCTCAGCGATGCCCGCTGCAAGTTGGCCGAGCTGGAGGGTGCCCTGCAGAAGGCCAAGCAGGACATGGCCTGCCTGATCAGGGAGTACCAGGAGGTGATGAACTCCAAGCTGGGCCTGGACATCGAGATCGCCACCTACAGGCGCCTGCTGGAGGGCGAGGAGCAGAGGTGGGTCCCATAGACCTTTCCCTTTCCCAGCCCTGCCAGGGTTCTCAGTGTGCTCTGTCCTCACACTCCTGGCAGCATTTAAGTTTTGTTTCTTAACCTCCCCACCCTGCAACCAGACAGGTAATTTGTGTAAGTCCTTTAAGTATGATCTAGCCCCGTTTGAGTCTCTCATGTTCACCCAGGCACTGATCTGAGATTGCAGTCTTGTTCATCTCAGTTGAGATCCAGTAATCTGGCAGCAGGTATTCCTGTTACTGAGAAGCCTAATTAAGGCTTGGGGTCAGCTTGCCTGGGTAGTGCTTCTTCCCTTCCAGCTGTAGCTGCATGTGCTTCTCAGGATTCCTTCTCTTTTTCCTAGTCTGGCCCTGGCCCCATCTAGACCTGGGAGTTCAGATGTATCCCATAAGGACAGCTTCAGATAGATGACACTATCAACTCATGCTTTTCTATTATAGTGCCAATGAGCATCCCAAAGTGGTATTCCATTGTGGCAGGTGGGAATGAGTTAGGCAGAGAGCAAGGACTTATCCCTTGGGGCAGTTATGCCTTGCTTTCAGGATTTTTGCTTGTTTGCTTGCTTCAGAGGTGGGGGGAGTGGAGAAGACCCATTGGTCACTCAGCCTTCCTATGGCTGGAGGCCAGCGATACAGCTGGAGGGCAGCTATACAGCTCCTGCTCCCAGAAGGACAACACTCCCAGAATGTGAGCTCATTCTTTGCCCTTGGTTTCTTTCCCCTAGTTGGTCAGTTGGTCTCACTCGAAGCTCCTTTTTTTTTGTGGACAGTCAGGCCCTTGGCCCTGGGGAGAGGAGGGTGAAGGTTGGGGATGCAGAGGGAGCATCTTGTTTATTTGGGAAATGGGGAACACAGGTTTGGGACCTAGAAACTAAAGTGACCATATGACGAGATTTCCACCAAACTCGAGTTGTTCCATTGGAAAGCTCAGAGGCAGGGGTCTGTCTGGCTGGGCCTGGGGAATTTCATAAGTGAAGAATTCTGGGAGGAGGAGTTTTCCAAGTCTGAATTTGGAAGTTGGAGAAACACATGGAGATGGCATTGGAATCTGAGTGGCCCACTCCTCCATCACACGGGGCTCTTGGAGTGAACTCAGGAGCTTTGGTATGTGTTACCTAGGGAACCTGGGCATGGAATGATTTGATGGTGGCCATGGCTTCTCTTATCTGAAGCTGATTTAACCAATCCTTGGCCAGTGTGCTTTCAGGGGAACTCCATTTTCTTCCCTTAGGGGAAGCTATTGGGAGGGAAATGTGGGGTGGGTAGAAATGAGTGTCTGGGGTGACAGCCCTGCCTTGTCATTGGATATGTCCTCCTTCTGGGCCTCAGCCTTTCCATCTGCCGGATGAGAGGACTGTGGTGGGCAGTCTCTGAGCCTGTTCTAAAATCCCATTTGTTTATCTAACAGTTTTGTATTGAGCCAGGCATTGTTTTTAGGTGGTGCAGGAAGGAATAGACAAAAATGTCTACCCTCCTGATGCCTATAATCTAATGACACCAATCAGACTGGATTTCAGAAGTTAAATCTGCTCCCCTCAAATGCACCTGCAATTCAGTCAGAACCAACTTCGAGGTAGTGGCAGCTAATAGCTCTTAAGGGCTATGAGCCAGGCACTAAGCACTGGACGCTTCTTATTTGATTCAGTCCTCGCAAGAGATCTACGAAGTAGGTTTTCCTGATGAGGAAGCCTAGGCTGAGGTTGGCCCAAGCTGGGGTTGCACAGCTCAGAAGCAGTGGAGAGCGAGGCACTCACAGGCCTTCTGTCTCCAGACCCTCACGGTGACCCGAGTCTACACTGGCTCCTGGCCGAGAGCATTTCTTGCCCCTTCCCTTGGGCAAGTGCCCAGATGGAGGGCCACAGATGTCCCCCTCCACTTCAGTCACGGGGGCCCGGCGCCTTTTCCGCGGCACTGACCTCTCGCCTTCTCTCCCTGCAGGCTGTGCGAGGGCGTCGGCTCGGTGAATGTCTGTAAGTAGTGGGGTCCGTCCCCTCCTCCCGCTGGGCGGGTCTGGGAGCCTCTGGGCAAAGGGCGCGTGGGCTCGCAGCAAAGCCACTCACCCAGGTCGCGGCTGCGCCTGACGCGCGCCTCCGTCTCTTTCCCCTGCAGGCGTCAGCAGCTCCCGCGGTGGCGTTGTCTGTGGCGATCTCTGCGCCTCCACTACTGCCCCTGTTGTCTCCACCAGAGTCAGTAGCGTCCCCAGCAACAGCAACGTGGTGGTGGGCACTACTAACGCCTGCGCCCCCTCCGCCCGGGTTGGCGTCTGCGGCGGCAGCTGTAAGAGGTGCTAGGAGGCTGCCGCCTCCGCCAGCGCCTGTCGCCGTCACTCTCCACCCAGCCAGTACCTCGCGCCACCAGAACGCGCCGCCCGCGCCGGCCTCCCAATAGCCGCCGCCCGCTGCCTGCACTCTAAGCGCCCTCCCCACCGCTCCGCTCCGGGAGCCATCCCCGGTCGCAGGAGTCCGGGGAGGGCCGGGAGGCGCCATGGTCTCTCTCTGTAGCCTTTCCTGGTAGTCAATTTGTTGTCCCGAGGATTCATCTTTTTCTTCCGCCTGCCTTCTGTTTTTTTTGCTGTATACATTGGTCTTGCCTGAGCTCTTCCCCAAAGCTTGGAGGAACGGGGGAGGCCCGGGAATGTCCCTGTCTGCACGACCTGGGACTCTGCCCATGTGCTTTTGCCTGTGGAATGGAGACGCGGACCCTGGATAGTGGTTCTATGACTCTGCGAGGGACAGGCCCACGCGTGTGGGGAGAACATCTCCCTTCCGGGGCTGCCCTCAAGAGCTTCTGAAAAACTAATGACTCTGCTGCCTTCTCCTTTGTCTTTGTTTCACTCTGTGTTTCCAATAAACTCATTGTAGCGAATCAAGCCTAGTGTCTCAGAGTCTTGAAAATGCCAGGGCCTTCCTGTGATAGGGGCTCCTGCCAGAGCGCCTCAGGACCTGTTTATCCACTATTTTTCAGTAGCTAAAAATGACCACAGTAGGTGCTGCCCATCTGTACTTGAGCAGCCCAGGCCTTGGGGAAAACGAGAGAAGACTCACGGAGCCAGGGAATCTTATGGGGTCATGGGTTTCTCTAGACCAGGATTTATCAACTTCAGCACTATTGACAGTGTGAGCTGGGTCATTCTTTGTTTTAGGGCTGTCGCGTGCATTTGGTAGGATGTTTAGTAGCATCCCTGGCCTCAATCCACTAGATGCCAAGGGTCCTCCACCACCCTCTTGTGACAACTAAAAATGTCTCTAGATGTGGCCATATGTTTTCTAGGGGTTCTCAACCAAGGTGATCACCCGCCGCCCCCACCCCAGGGCCTTCCTGGAGGGGAAAGTGCATGGGGAAAAAGACGGGGTAAGAATGGAAGGAAGGTATGTGAGAGAAGCACTGTGCAGGGAGGAAGAGCCTTGGGTTGAGAGGAGAACTGGGCTTCTCATTCCGAGCCTTGATGGCCATTTGCCACATGTGTGACTTTGGGCAAATTGCTTCCATCCCCTGATCTTCAGCTGCCTTGGCTGTGGAATGGGGAGATTGGACAGTATTCCTAAGATCCTTCTAGCTCCCTATGTGAGATTGTGTTTGAAAGGGCTATGTTAATGCCCTTTGAGTTTGAGTGCCGGTTCAGCCATTTACTAGTCTGTAACTGTGGGCAAATCACTAAGCCTCACTGAGCTTTAGTTCCTTCACATTTAGAACGGGATGATGATATCTACTGGGCCATAGGGAGGTGTTTCAGATATCTATTACACACAGCAAGTCACCCACATGGAGAGGCTTAAAACAGCAATACTTTATCATGCCTCAGATTCTGTGGGTTTACTGAGGAGTTCTATTTTACATGATGTTGTTTGGAGGGCTAGAATGTCTGAAAGGCCCAATATGGCCAAAATCTCACATGGCTGGACTTGGTGCTGGCCACCAGCTGGGAGTTCAAGTGACGTGCTTGGCCAGGGTGTATCAGTCAGGGTCCAATCAGAAGACAATAATTTGAACAGAGAAAGTTTAACATAAAGCATTATTAACCATAACAGAGATTGGCCAGTAAAAAGCAAGAACTCTAAAGCCCACAGCAGCTGCAGCCATAAGAAGCAGCCCCTACCCCCAGGCCTTTTCTCCAGCATCCAGTGATAATTTCTTTGCTGGCTCTCCAGCTTTCACTAATTGTCTCCTTGAGCAAATTTAGGCTCTGCCTGATGCCTGGGCCCAAAGTCAAAGACATAGGTTTTGAGTTTTGTTTCAGTAGCATCTCTCTGCCAGGTACCAACTTGCCCTCCACTTATCTATTGCTATGTAACAAGACATCCCCAAATTTAGTGGCTTAAAACAACAATATTTTTCATAGTTGTGTGAATTGCCTAGGTGATTCTTCTGCTTCATATCATTGACTGGGGCTCTGGTACTGCTGAAAGGTCCAGGATGGCTTCACTTGTACGGTTGGCATTTGGAGCTAGCTCTGGTCAAGAGCTCAGGAGCTGATGGCCAGGGCCTCTGTTCTTCCCTACGTGCTCCAGTCCCTTTGAGGCCATCTGGGCACGGAAGCTGCAGAAGGTGCTTTCCATCAGATTCTATTGGTCAAAGCAGTCATGGAGCCAGCCCAAGATCAAGGGGAGGAAAAACAGGCTCCACTTTTGATATGAGCAGTGCCATGCACAGAGAGGGAGGAGCTGCTGGGGGCTCATCTCTGAAGATAGCTACCACAGGACGATTAAATGAGACAACACAAATAAGTTTGAGGTATAGTGTGGCATACAACAGATACTAAACAATTAGTGTTTATGACTGCTCTTGTTGTTATTACTATTACCATGACATCATAACAGTGTAGCATTCTCAGCCTCTGAATAGCAGGGGCAGAGTGGGCTGGTAGGAAATACTGGGAGCTGGAGGTTTGACATCCTAGCTTTTGTCAGCAGGAGTGTGTGGCCAAGCTCCTTCAGCTTTTGGAGCCTCGGGTAGTTTACCCACTTAAAGGCAGGTGATAGCAGCAGCCCACTGAGTGAATGAGAGCTTCAGCTGGTGTGCAGAGAAGGGTGGATGTCACAGCACTGTTAGTCTGGGTACTGGCACTACCACACTGGCACTATCTCAGGCTTGTCAGCACAGAGGGATCCACCATCCAGCTAGCTCACATTCCTCAGCAGCCAGCAGGAAGCTTCCGGAGAAGAGGCAGCTGGCTCTCTGTGAAGCATGGAAGGCCTCATGAATTGGCCCATAGCATCTACCTCTGCAAGAGGATTGGAAAAGTGCCTGGAAGGAAGGAGGAATGAGAAATGCTCTTGGGTGAAGAAAGCTTTCATGGAATGGAGTTGGAGCTGGGGTAGGAGGGGCTACGGAGGAGGAGGTAGGAACGAAGTGCTCATTTTCAGCTTTTAGAGGCATTGGAGAGCAGCCCCCACTCTCCTTGGTGGCCTTCCTGACGCATCAGAGCTCCTGGATGGCCCCATGCTCCTTTTCCAGCTCCATCTTTATCTCTCACATACTGTTCCCATGTCTGGAGCACATCTCTCATCCTGGCTAACTCCTTACTTCAGTTCACTTCTTGCTTTCAAATGTAAGCTTTGCAGGGACAAGCATCTTTAACTATTTTTTTTTTTCACTTATAGGAACCCAAGCTTGTGTAACAGTACCTGCTACACAGCAGGTGCTCAATAATGATTTGTTGTTGGAATAAATGAGCTCCTGGTTTTCCTTTAGGTCTCAGCTTCAATGTTACCTCCCTTAGGAAGTAATCAGCTTTGCCTGCTTAACAATCCTCCAGCTGTGCTTCTCTTTTTCTCCCAGCACCAAGGCTTAGGGCTCTTCATAGCCACCCCCTCCTTGGTGTAGAGGTGGTAGTGGTGGTGGAGAAGATGGGGCTCAGGGACTCAGGACCAGAGGCTCCAACAATCTTGTCTAGCCCCTTGAGCTGGTTGGGTGGAAGGAAGATGCATCACTGCCAGAGGCATGGAGTCTCTGGGTTCCCCCAGGTGGCACGTCCATGACCTCCCGAGGCTGGCAGTCCTTACAGTATCCTCCTTAACCCCTGAGAAGGGAGTGTTAAACCCCAGAGGAGAAATCGGAGCCCCTTCCCAAGACGGGCAGAACTGAAAAGGCCCCTGCAGAGCCTCTGGTCCAACCCCTCACTTGACAGGTGTTCAGGACATCTTGAGCCAGAGTAGGGGAGAAAGGTGGGGGGCAATGGGGAATAGGGAGCAGTGAGAGGCACTGAGCTATCAGTCAGAGCTAGACATACAGGGGATGTACATTGTGTACATTGTGTTTAAGTCTGGACTTTGTCCCGGGGACAGTGGTGACCCACTGAAAGCTCAGCCTTGTGTATGATGAAGGTCTCTGGCTGCTGTGAGGTGGGGCATGGAAGGGAGAAGAGCAGGACTCCAGGCAAAATGGTGATGGCTGGGTGTGCTGGCAGCAGTAAGGAGAGAGGAAAGAGGGGGATGGAGAGCTATTTAGGAGGCAGAAAAAGAAGTCCTTGGGTTTAGTGAATATTGAGGGCGCAGGCATGGATAAATCATAGGTTCTGGTTTGGGCAACTGTGTTGATGATCTTGGCAGGAGAGACTGGAGGAGACTCCGGTTGAGAGGGTGGGAAGCAATGAGTTAAGCTGGAAGGTATGCTGAGTTCGAAGCATCTCTAAAACTGACAAGTGGAGGTGTCTTGTAGGAACTGGAGCTGTTGGGTCTAAGCCGAGGAGTGAGGGTAGGAGGAGAATCATCAGGGCTCTGAAGCCCAGGTGGGGGATTTTAACCAGGGAGGACATTAACTTTGGGTGGTAGCTGAAGGCGAGAGGCTGATATGACTGCCTGGGGAGAGTGCAGAGAGGTGGGAAAAGGCCCTGGGGTAGTTGGATGCTTGAGGCAAGGTGCAGGGTGAGGTATGAGCCAGTGAGCAGAACTGCCTGGGAAGAGCTGAGAGCCTGGCCTGGGAGACAAGGAGGTGAAAGGCCCGAGACTCAGGAATTGGGAGGTGGGAGGGAGAGAAGGCACTGGGGAGCCCCTGGACTTGGGTGGAGGCTAAAGGGTCCTGGGGAGCCTGGAGATTCCAGGGGAAGCAAAGGAAGGGGGTGAGTCCTCCAAGGACATCCTGGTGAGATGGGTGGGAAAGGCCAGGGGCTGGGTGAAGGGGAGGAATGAAGAGGGCCAGCAAGGAAGGCAGTGCGCTACCCTGGAGGTGGGCTGCAGCCTTGCAAGGACTGTTCCAGGCCTGATTCCTCGAGGGTGGGGTTAGGGACTTCTCAAAGTCTTCCAGAGCTCTCCAGAGCTTTCCAAGAGGAGGACAGGAGAGATTGGGCCAAGCAGCGGGCAGAGGAGCCTCTTAGCCTTGGGGTTGAAGCTGTGAGGTATCTCGGATGAGGGCAGTGAGTGGGGCAGTTGAGGGAGTGAGTAGAAGGTGTCCTCATGTCAGCTGTGGAGAAGGCTGCCAGGTACTCAGGAGGTGTATGCATGGGGGAAGGGTGGGCCAGGGGCAGGTGCCAAGGCTCTCATCTTTCCCTGTTTGGTGGGCAGCATGAGGAGGATGTGGCAATGGGGTGGGGTCCAGACTGACACAGGGCAGCCCCCAAGGGTGGCTGCTGGCACTTTTGGTGGTTGTTGCTGTGGTACCTACGTGGAAGGATGGCTGGGGGGCAGAGTGAAGATATGCTAGGAAGAGAAAGTGGGGACCGTGTATGCAAGAAGGGGGCAAAACTCAAACACACACACAAGCACGCATACACGTGCACACATATAAACATGCGCATGCACATGCACTGCCTTCCGGCTGACTTCTGGCCTCCTCGGTCCCCTTCAGAGCCATCCAGACTGACAGGTGTGACAGGTAGAAGGTGCTGTGAGCACAGTCAGCACTGCCTGGCCAGGAGATGACAGAACCATCTGGGGACAAGGCCCTACGGGTGTCCAGGCGGAGAACAGGCCAGAACGACTCTAGTCTTCAGGCCATATCATCAGGCTGGGGTGCTCACCACTTGGTGGGTGTGGGGAACCCCAAGAAAGCAAGACATTGCAGCACACAAAGCAGGTCCCCAAGTTTATTGGAAAAGGGGAGACAAGAGGCCAGAGAGGCAGGGGGAACAGTCTCACAGTGCTTCTTCCAGGGAAGCAAGGCCCTTCTCCCCGGGAGGGGCTGAAGGCTGAGACAGGGGAAGGAATGGGTCTATTCCCCAGCCACAGGCCCCTTTCCAGTGGGATGAAAGGTGGGGAGGAGCCGCTGGTGGGAATGAGCCGATGGTGTATTCTCAGAACACAAGGGGAAAAGCCAGCGATGTGCTGCTGTTTTCAGCTGGTGGTGGGGCAGTGGCACGTCTGGCAGGCAGAAGGGGCTCCCCTGGCT
This sequence comes from Homo sapiens, assembly GCF_000001405.40. Lineage (NCBI taxonomy): Eukaryota > Metazoa > Chordata > Mammalia > Primates > Hominidae > Homo > Homo sapiens. The sequence goes on from NC_000012.12 coordinate 52,314,617, forward strand.
CTCTTTTGGGCCACTTAATGCCTCCCCTGGCCGCAGGAGCCCCCTCCACAGGTGGTGTTCAGCTGGCCACAGGGCTTGCACAAACCAGTGCTCACCACCAGGTTCCCGTTGCAGGGGGCACTGCAGACGCTGCCCGTCACCGGCCGGGAGCCCGACACGCAGAGATCCCCGCACACAACCCCACCCCGGGAGCTGCTGACACCTGTGGGAACAAGGGCAGGGTCAAGAGACCCCTGCTGATGGCCATCCCATCCAGCCACCTTCCTTTGGTCTGTCTGATGTGTCGACCATCCAGGGAAGGATGCAAAGAGCCTCCAGTTCTATTCTGAAGGAGGGAACCCTAGCCTGGGAGCCAGCAGACCGGGGTTCTGGTCCTGGTTCTGCTTTGTGACTTTGGGAGTCCTTTCCTCTGTCTGGGCCTCAGCTTTCTCACCTATATAAGGTGAAGGTTATGAATGACATCTGAGGTCCCTTCTTGCAATGACATCTTATTATTTTTTCCCCTCCCCAACACATTCAGGCTGTGAGGTTCTTCCTGCGAGCTAACCTCAGTCTGTCTTGCTGCATGACCAACCTATCCTCTTTACTGGGGGAATTATTGGAAACACTCCTCCCAAAGTCTCTGCATATATTCATAGTCAAGAAGTCCTTTGTCCCCAGTCTACATTTTCCTTTTCAGGGCTCAAGATACTTACAGACATTCACAGCTTCAACACCTTCACACAGCCTGAGTGGGGAAAAAGTAAGGAAGGGGAAGATAAAAGAAGTCAGAATGAGGTCATCGAATTTCCGCTAGGTGCTGAAATGGGTCATCTCAGGGCTATTTCTGACCTACATTTATTCCCTTGTGCAGCTTAGAAAAAGTTGCCTTTCTGGCAGTTGAAGCAACGTCAGGTCACACTATTTAGCAAGTAGAGTATGGTTGGATTTCAATTCTTATTTGTCTCTCAGCTGTTATTTGCCTTTGTGCAGTGAACAACCTGAACAACCATATCTGTCAGGTCTAGATAGGCTCAACTTTCAGAAGGAGAAGGCCCTCTTGGGAAGACGAGGTCAGGGGTGGAGTTTGGCCAGCAACCCTGCCCTAGAATAGGTGATGTCCAAGAAACCAGGCAGGGTATGGATCTTGGAAGAGTTGAGAATGAGACAACTTGAAGATATGGATCTGGGATCCATAGAGGCAAGAATGTCACCTGGGGACTGAGACTGAGATAGGGAAAAATCAAAGGTGGGCAGGTCTATGCAAGTGGAGTGCTTAGGGCTGGGTTGGACCCACCTCTGCTCCTCGCCCTCCAGCAGGCGCCTGTAGGTGGCGATCTCGATATCCAGGCCTAGCTTGGAGTTCATCACCTCCTGGTACTCCCTGATCAGGCAGGCCATGTCTTGCTTGGCCTTCTGCAGGGCGCCCTCCAGCTCGGCCAGCTTGCAGCGGGCATCACTGAGGGCCGCCTCACCCTGCTGCTCAGACTGGGCCACCGCAGCTTCCAGCTTGGAGTTCTGGGAGGTAGGGGGAATATGGAGAGGATAAAGTGAAGTTTAGTTTCTTGAAATCCCAGCCAGTCTCCAATAGGATCATTCAACTTCTATCTTAAAATATTATCTCTCCAATCAGCTTCCTAACCTTCCTTCCCTCCTCACTTACACTACACACACACACACACACACACACCACACAGATACACACACACACCTTGGCCAAGACAATCAGAAATATTTCAGTAGATTTCTCATCTTACTCTGTCACCCATGAGACTGCACTGGGAAGACTTTTCCAGAATCTAACTCAAATCCCTCTGCCGAGGGCTAACCCCAGTCTCTTCCTACACTGAGGGGTGGGCCGGGCTCTGGTACCTGGCACTTGGCATTCTCCACCTCGGCTGTCAGCCTCTGGATCATGCGGTTCAGCTCGTTGATCTCCTCCTTGGTGCGGCGCAGGGTCTCCCCGTGCCTGATCACTGTGGCCTTCATCTCCTCACACTGCAGGAAGCAGAGATGTTCATGAGGCTCAGGATGAGACATCCCATTCATTCAGGACAGCTCAGATGATTGCACAGATTGTGCAGTGCTCGGCCTGTGCAACCACACGTGGCAGTCCTGCCCTGCCACCCCAACATGAGAGCTATTGGTTTTTCTCTTACCATCCTTAGGGATCAGAATCCCTAGACAAAGAAGCCTTTTCTACTAGATACCTCACATCCCTCCCACTGCCATGTCTAGCAGGCAGGTGTCCTGTGCCGCTCACCTTGCTGCGATACCAGGACTCGGCCTCAGCCCGGCTACGGGTGGCAATGTCATCATACTGTGCCTTGATCTCGGCAACGATGCAGTCCATGTTCAGGTCCCGGCTGTTGTCCAGCTTGACAACCACGGAGGTGTCTGAGATGTGGGATTGGAGAATGCGGATCTCCTGCAGGAGGTGGGGAAAGGAAGGACAACTCACTTATCTGGGCTTCTCCTAATCCCTGGATGCCTATCATCCTTTTGGCTCATCGGGAGTGAACTTCTCATGTTTAGAGAAACAAACCTGATGAAATCACATAACTTTCTGCACAAATAGGAAATCCCTTTAGAGGAAAACACAACCACTTCTCAACTGCTTGCTTTTGGAATTATTCAGGCCCATGTGCAGCCAGCATGGTCCAGATGCTTTCCAGGGGCTCAGACCCTGTATGGGGGGCCTCTTTCCATTCTCCTAGACCAACCCCATGTAGGAAGGCTATTGCTGCCAGAGAAAGCCCTGGGCCAGAGCAATGGGTTCAATTCTGTTTGATGCTGTGTGGGGTCTATGCTGCAGTCCACTGGCTCAGGGGAAGGATGCAGGGCAGGTTCCCAAGGCACAGGTGTCTGGGGTGCTCACTCTCCTGCCCCTTACTAAATTTGTTCCTTTTTGGCTTTCCATCCGTTTGCCTCCCTGTTCCTTCCCTCTCCTTGCTCCCTGCCAACCCTCCAGCCGTGAGCCTGGGTTCATATGTCAGCAGGCCTGGTTCATGCCTGTGGGTGTCTGGGCAGAGGGTCAGGGATCCCATGGGGGGATCTGTGCCCACCATGGTTGAGAGCCCCTCACCTCCTCGTACAGCCGCCTCAGGAAGTCAATCTCCTGGATCAGGGCCTCCACGTTGGCCTCCAGGTCTGACTTGCGGAGGTAGGCGCAGTCCACATCCTGGGTGGGGTAGAAGGGGCTGTGAGGCCGGCTTTCCTCAGAGGGCTCTGAGGACCTGGCTGCCATGTGGCAGGACAAAGAGGATGGGTGGCGGGACTCAGGGCGGGCTCAGGGCCAGCTGGGCTTCACTCACCTTCTTTAGAGCCACAAACTCGTTCTCTGCTGTGGCTCGAAGTGCTACTTCTTCTTCATACCTGAGGTGAGCAGGGAGAACAGGACCTTGTCTGAACAGCTCTTGATCTTGGCCATGAGCATATATGCAAAGGAGTCTCTTTCCTAGACCTCCCCCTGCTTGTCTCCTGCCCCCAAGTGAAATGGGTGGGGCTCTGCAGGAACCAGGCTGCTGGCCTGGGTACTACTGGGATGCACTGGAGAAATGAAGTGCCTACTCCCCTGTTTTTTTTTGTTTTTGTTTTTGAGATGGAGTCTCGCTCTGTCGCCCAGGTTGGAGCACAGTGGCGCGGTCTCGGCTCACTGCAAGCTCCGCCTCCCAGGTTCATGCCATTCTCCCCTCTCAGCCTCCCGAGTAGCTGGGACTACAGGTGCCCACCACCACGCCTGGCTAATTCACTCCCCTGTTTTGGTGGAGGTTGGGAGAGCAGGATCTGGAAGCTGAGTGTGTGAATGTGTGTGGTTGGGGAGTGGGAGGTGCTGTTTTTCTCGCCTAGGTCTCCATCTTTTCTTCCTTCGAGCCCTCCCCTGCCCCCACTCAGCTGCAGGTGGTGGGATCCTCGCTCTGTCTCTCCCCTCCTGGCCTGAGCTGTGGGAGGCAGCTCAGAGACAGGGAGGGAGGGGTATGCTGGGCCTGGGGAGTCCATGGAGAGAATGTTACTGAAGGAAGCTGGCCACCCCTCAAAAGCAGATTCCTTCTGAGGATCCAGTGCGTATTCTTCATACCATATATCACACTTTGTAGCTGAAGGGCTAGATCTGTGGCTCTGTCATGACTGCCTTCCAGCAGACTGCAGGCTCCACAAGAACCCGCACTGTGTGGCTTGCGTGGCCCTGTGTCACTATCACCAGCACAGCGTGCTGCATGTGGTAGGTGATCAGATAGTGTTAGCTGAGTGAGAGAGCAAACTTAGGAAGACACATGTCCAGGACTTTGAGATCTGGTCTCAAAGGGACCCAGGAATACAAGTTTTTGTGAAAAATGGATGGAGAAAGGGAGAGAGCATTGTTTCCCTGATCTGCTGGTGGAAAGACAAGCTGAGCCTCCATCCCCCACACCCAAGGGACCCCTGTGTCTCAAACAGGGGGTACAGGTTCTTCTCCACTCTCAGGCAGAGATGCCAGCTGCAGACTGGATACTCCTCCGGGCTCAGGGAGCTGCCACCATGCTATTTCCTGTGCCCAGAACCCCTCCTGCCCACACTCACTTCTTCTTGTAGCCCTCCAGCACCTCCTGCACGTGGTTGAGCTCTGAGGCCAGCCTCCCACTGTCAGCCTCCACGCACTCGGCCTCCCGCCGCAGAGTCTCGATGTAGCCAGCAAACAGGGGCTCCAGGTTACTCTGGCAGCACTCGCGGTTTTGGTAGAACTGCAGCTTTGTCTCCAGCAGCTTGTTCTGCTGCTCCAGGAAGCGCACCTGCCACCCAGAGGCAGAGCCTAAGAACCTCTTCTTGCAGCATCAGAGGACAAAGAGGGGTTCCCAGCACGAGGGCCTGAAAGCCCCCAACTCTCTGACCCAGAGTCTTCCCTGGAAGGCGTTATGTCATCTCTCTCAAAAATGCCACCAGGGCTTAACCAGTTCACCACCTGGAAGTTCTTCCTGGGAGTTAATCTCTTCTAAGTCAGTTTACCTGGTGTCATGGAAAATGCTTGAAGAGTCCAGATTCTGCTGCCACTTGTTAACATTGTGCCCTTGGATAAAGCACTCACCTCCTCTGTAGAGTGGCGAGGTTAAAGCTCACCTTACTATGAGGATTAAAAGAACCCTTTAACAGAAAGGCACCCCACACTGAACAGCTACTGCTGTTCAATCACACCAAGCCAGGTGGACCTTTTTAGAAAGGCAAACTGTAAAAGTTGAAAAATAAAGCATGTGCCAATTATTCAAACCCTACAACAACAATGCAATTAGAATAATAGTCACCTGCAATATGAGAGTAGGAATGTCCTGTGCTCCAACCCCCTTATTTTACTGATGAGGCCAAGGAGGTTCCCTGACTGCCTGAGAGCTCACAGTGGCAGAGAAGAGCTCAAACTCCGATCTTCTGCGCTGCAGGGGGTGTCTTCTCTCCCTTTGACAATTATAGGAACATCCCTCTCCCAGCGATGAGGTTGGCCCACTACTCCACTCAGCTTCTTTTGTCTAATAACTTGGCCACACCCTTGGTAGGTCCTATCTTATGCTATCCTTGGTCTCTCATGCTATTAGAAATTCCACATTTTTTTTTCCCGATCCTTTCTGGTGGGCATCTCTCTAGTGTGACTCCTCTCTTGAGGTTTTGGCTCTGGAGGGCTCTTTCCAACCCCAGAACATGTTCCTAGTCAGAGCCTTTTCTCCCAGTCTCTCACATCACTGCCACATGGTGGTTGCCTGGATTCAGTGGAGAAGGTGGCTGCAAACTCTAGTTGGACACTGACTACACAGATGGTTTCAACCAAACCCAGACTGTGCACTGCCTGCCTCCCCATAAAGCCTGTGAGGATGGGGACCATGACTCTTGCTCACCCCTGGATCCTGAGCCCCAGGAACAGTGGCTTGGACAAAATACTCTAGACCCTGCTCAGTGGCCAAATCACTGTGTGGTATAGAAAGAGTTCTGTGCCATCCACGAGACCCACTTCCAGACAGTTTTCCAGCACCACACTTATTAGCCCTGCCTTGATGGAGACAGCATCTCCTTGGCATTTAAGCAGTTATTTGGCTTCAAATGCCCTGAGCGCCCACACAGTGGTCCTTTGCTCACTAGGTGATATTATCACTCAGTGTGGAAGGCTCTGCCCCTCGTTCTGCTTTTGTGTTTTCAGTTAATCTCCCCCATCAGTCTGGTAGCTCCCGGTCCCATTTTTGTCTTTCTGTCTGTGTCCTAGAAGTATGACTACCTTTCCCTTTGGCCTGGGAACTTCTGTGGGCAAGTTCTTGCCTTTGACTTCCCTGTCAGTGCCCAGCCTGAGTTCTGAACATGAGTAGGGGTTCAGGAAGGGTGTGATCCAGGACGACACCCACCTTGTCGATGAAGGCCGCGAATCTGCTGTTGAGGGACTTGATCTGCTCCTTCTCCTCCTGCTTCACGCACTGCGCGTTGGGGTCTATCTCCAGGTTGAGGGGCGTGAGGAGGCTCTCGTTGACCGACACGGTGGTGATGCATGGGGGGCTGGGTCCGCACACGCCCCCGGAGCGGTAGCCGAAGCTGCGTCCGCAGGAGCCGGCGCGGAAGCCCCCGCACACGCTGTGGCTGCCAAAGCCCCCGGTGAGGCCGCGGTAGCAGGAGATGCCGCGGTAGGGGGCGGCGGTGATGCAGCAGCGGCTTGGCCGGGGCCCGCAGGCAGAGACACAGCTGAAGTTTCCAGGGCGGAACCCACAGCCTATGGAGTTGAAGCCACAGGTCATGACGGAGGTTAGGAGGTGTCTGAACAGTGGAGTAGATGGCAGAGGATGGAACCAAGGGCCTGTGCTCCCTGGCTGATGGCAGGCCCTTTTATGTGCCAGGGGCAGCTGGTGTTAAAAGAGGGAGCAAAGAGACAATAGCTGAATTTTATTGGCTTGGCATCACCCTGGCCTCTTAAGCTAGAACCCTGCTTGCCTCTTCAGTGTGGCTGCATCAACAATCCCTGGCCACGGGCCCTGTTTCATCTTCAAAGCCCTTTATAAGCTTCCTCCTTGCTCCTGCCCCTCCCACTGGCACTGCTGTGGAGCGGGGAGAGGGGTTCCTGAAAGCATTAGTTGCATTCTGCGGTCCAAGCGAGGGGAATGGGTGCAGTGACCTGGGGTAAAGCCTGCTCTCTGAACCCTGTTCTGAAAGGGGCAGAGCTAGGCTATGGGCCCTGGACCCATGGCCAAGCCCTGGGGTGGAGTGGCTGGCCTGTCCCAAGGAGGGGGCTGCCTCTGAGACAACCTCTTGCTGTAGGCTTTCCTGTCTTTTTCTCAAAGGCGGGTTCCTTTCCTCATTGTCAAGATTGGCCGCTCCTATCCTATTCCTGCTCAGAGCCTGGTCAAGGATGGGAGTGGGGGTAGAGATTTGGGGTGGGAGGAGGGCATGTTCTTTGCACTTTGGGTATTCCTAGTGCAGGGACACCATCTGGGACATGGAAGAAACTGATTCAGAGAGTTCAGGACAGTGCCAGGGCTATGCTTCAGAGTTCCAGGTGTCATTGCTGATGGGATCAGGAGCGGGGAGTGTGGAATACCTCAGAGCTCCAGGGACTCATGGAGGAGAGTGGGGACCTGGGCTTGAGGAGGATTGGGGTGGGGTAGTACAGGATTGAGAGATGACCAGAAAAGAGTCTGGCTCTGATTTGCAGACTAGACTATGTGTATTCATTTATTCATTTATTCATTTATTCATTTATTCAGGAAATACTTATTTGGTGCCCACCAACTATGCACTAGCCACTGTGCTAGGTTCTGGAAATCCTACAGAGACCTGGGGTGTTTGGAGGTAGCATGCATGTGGGGGAGCCAACATTTGGCTAGGGGGAAAGATGAGAAGCCACAGATGGGGGGAAGGCCCTCACAATGTCCAGGCTGATTGGTGTTCTTTAGGTTCCCAGCAGGGAAGCTCAGTGATGGGGTCTTGGGGTGTATGTACTCACCAGGAAGGAGGGAAGGTGCGGGAGGTGAGGGACATCAGCAGGGTCCTTAAATGAGATCACTCTCTCACCTCAGAGAACACACTGGGTGAGAGAAGGGTGCTAGCTCATGTGGCTGTTCCTAAAGCCAAGCTCTCTTACTTTGGGCCCTTGTTCCTTTGGGTTAGGACAGGCAATGGCTTTGATGGATGGACAGTCGGACCGAGCCAGGAGGTTTGCCTTAACCCGAGGACCTGAGCCCATCAACCCTTCCAAACACACATCTCTGGACTGCTTTCGTCAGGAGAGGATGAGGAGGACTCCACTGATGGACCTGTGTCCTGACCCAGCCACAACCCAACACTGACCCACTCTGGGCTAATAGTAACCCTCCTGTGACTCTCATCTTTTGCCCTTCCCACTCCCGCTCAGGATGAGTGGGCCAGTTATATCCCAGAGTGGGGATCTGGGGATGATGGAAGAGGGGCCCATCTTCTGTGGGCCTGAGGGAGGGCAGGCGATGGTGCTGTTGAAATCTCTTAGGGAGCTGGACATCTGCCATGGATCCAAAAAAAGGACTCTCCTAGCCTCTCTTCTTGGGTCCTGTGGACAGGCTTCCAGAGTCTTGTGTCTGGGGCAGGAACTCTGGGGGTGTGGGCTGTGTGATAGGGGATCCTGGTGTGAAAGACACACCAGGGAGGCACAGCCTGAGGGTACCTGGGGGGCCTGGGGGTGGCTGACTGCAGCTGAGTGGCTAGTGGGATTTTGGGAGCATCTTTGAGGGAGGCTGGGCTGGCTGGTGCTGTCATGTTCAGTCTTGGTTGGGTCAAACATCTGCTAGACAGCCAAGAAAGACCAGGCTCTTCACCCACCCACACTGGAACCAGTGAGCACCTGGAATGCTCTCCACACATATCCAATGATTATGGGGGATCTGTTTCTTGGTGAAATGCTGAGGACTGCAGGGCAGTGAACCCTCTGTGAAGCATTTCTCCATCACGATGCTGGAAACTGCGCTGCTGTCTTCTGACCTGGCTCATCTGTCTCAATCCAGCAGGCTTGGATCATGTTGGACCCCTCCACCGAGGGGCTCTGTGTAGACACATGACCTCCTTGGGATGGGGGAGCCATGACCATGCCCACCCCTGCCCTGATTGGCTCTGAAGATAGCATGGACCCTGGAGATAAAAAGACACAATTCGAAGCCCAACTATATCTCTTACTAGCTTTGTGCCATGGCACAGGCGTTTTCCCCCAGGGTCCTTACTTGTGAAATATAAATGGTAATCCACAGCTTGCTGGAGGTTGGGAGGACCGAGCGAGTGCCTGGTGGAGGGAAGCGCCACCCCCACCTCACTTTGTGCTAGCAGGGTGACTGGGTCTTGGTTGCAGGCACCTGGCAGGGCCTTGCAAAGGGACAGTGTACACGGCTAGTGAGATGCAGAGTACCATTCCTGGGTAAGCAGAAAGCAGTTTTACAAGGCAATCATTGCCGCCTCAGAAAGCCTTAATTAGAGCATCTATTTGTAAATGGCTCAGAACAAAGAGAACTGCAGACCAGGAGTCCCTTGAAAACAGACTTAGACAGGAAGCTGACAAAGAGACAGCAGCACCCAAATCCCCAGGCTGCCTCTTCCCTCCTGGGCTCCAGGCTGTGATTGGTTCCCGCCCTAACCATGGGCCCATAAAGGGTCCGGCAGAGCCACAGGCTGTTTCAGTCACCAGGGCCTGGACTCTGTGCCTGCCCTTCACACCTGGTCTGGGTTGGCCTGGAGGAATGACCGCTTGCCCTGTTGATCTGGTCCTCAGATTCCCACCTGTCTCTCTTGGGGTGCAACCCCCTGGCCTTATTCCTGTGTGCTTTTCTGGTGTCTACCTGCCTGTCTGCTGGGTTTCTGACACTCTGATACTCTGACTTTTGTCACTTCTTTCTTGCCTTAATATCCATGTTGCTTCACATTTTTTGTGCCTTCTTAATGGATTTTTGATAAACAACTCTGAAATGAACATTAGTAAACACATCTTTGGGCACCTGTCTAGTAATTTCCTTAAAACAAATTCCTGGAGGTGAAATCGTTGAGTAAAAGGGGACTGTTCTGGTCTTCTCCAGGTGTGCCTGGCCACAGGTCTGTTGCTCACCTGGCTGTGGAAGTGACATTTCCATGGGAAGCCTGCTGCAGTGAAGTCATTAGATCTGGGAGTCCTGGAAATATGGCTGCAGCTCTCATTTCAGTCACTGTGTGTGTGTGATGCTTTAGCTAATCTCTGTAAACCTTGTGTCTTCATCTGAAAAATGAGGATTCTAATACTGGCCTTTTTGGCCTTTGCGAAGATGAGCTGGGGTGGTGCATGGGAAGCCCGTGGAAGGCACGCAATCCAGGAGGGTGGAAGGTGCATGCGGCTTCCTGCTCCAGGCAGGAAGAATTCTTTGATGCCTCCAGTTTTGCCTTCTGGCCTTGAACTCACAACACACCTCCAGAGCTGATAAGATGTGGCACCTTCACATACTCACTACTATTTACTATGCAAGTTCTCTGTACCGAAGAGGAGGGAGAGAGATTTAATACACAGCCCCCGTCCTCAAGGATCCAACAAAGTAGTTGGGCAGATTTGTAAGTATGCACAATTTGTATTCTGGATGAAGCAGTTCTTCAAGACTCCTCTTCCTCGGAGTGGGAGCTTGCTTTGGGCTGGAGCAGTCAGAGGCTTTGTAGGAAAAGTCAGACTTGAGCTGAGATTTGAAGGATAGAGGGGTTTGGAAAGGTCAGAAGGGTGGAGGCAATGCCAGGCAATGAATGGAAGAAGAGCACAGACGTGTTCACAGGGCGGTGGATACCGTGGTTGAAGCTTAGAGGATGTCACACCTAAAGGATGAACTTGAGGCACATGCCAATGAAGACTGAGAGCAAGACAAAGGTGTCCATTCTCAAGGCCATGCTGTAAAATACTAGAATTCCTGGCCAAGAAAAGAAATGTCTGTAAGAATTGGAAGAGAAGAGATAGAACTGCCATTATTTTCAGACAATGGGATCAGCTGTGTAGAAAACCCAACACAGTCAACTGATACACGGTAGAAGTAACAGGAAAAGTTGAGCAGTGCTGCTAGTTACAAAGTCAACTTACAAAAATCAAAAGTGCTTTTCTTTATCAGTGACAGCTAATCAGAAAATATATGGAAAATATGGCTGGGCACAATGGCTCTTGCCTGTAATCCCAGCATGTTGGGATGCCAAGGCAGGCAGATCACTTGAGGTCAGGAGTTCGAGACCAGACTGGCCAACATGGTGAAACGCTGTCTCTACTAAAAATACAAAAAAATTAGCCAGGCACGTTTGTAGTTCCAGCAACTTGGGAGGTTGAGGCAGGAGAATCGCTTGAACCCGGGAGGCGGAGGTTGCAGTGAGCTGAGGTCGCGCCATTGCACTCCAGCCTGGGCGACAAGATCTCAAACAAGATGTCATTCCTAAGACAGATTAAAAACAATAAAGTATTATATAACTTTATAAAGTATGCACAAGATGTCTATGGAGAACAATATAAAACTCTATAATGAAAATAAAAAACAAAATCTGATTAAATGGAATTATGCTATATTCAGGAATACTTTGACCTAGCATTCTAAAGTTATAAATTGCCCCTAAATTAGTTGGCAAATTCAATGCAAACCCAACAAAAATTCCAGCCGGATTTATTTTGAGGAACTTGATAAAATTAATTTTTTTCTGAAAGAGTAAAGTTTATTTATAGCAAAGCCAGTTATGAAAAAGGAAAGGAAAGTCTGAGGACTCGAGATAAAATAGTAATAATAAAGTGTGCAGCAATATGTAGATAGACTAATGGAGCAGCACAGACACTCACAACAGGCCCCTTCCCATCAGTAAAGCTTGGTATTTAATGAGGGTTGCAACAAGCAAAGGGCCATTTATTCAGTTGGTGAGATTTGTAAAAAATAGACACACCGTATGGAAAGCATAGAGCTGGAGTTTAGTTCATACCATGTCCCATGGGAAGCCTCGGATGAATTAAAGGCCAGGACAGATAAAGCTAAAAGGCAAGCAGAAGCCATGTAGGAGAATGTCCTTACTTATGGGTGGGGAAAGATTTCTTAAGCAAACCTTGAAAATAAAGACCAGGTAAAAAATGGATCGACATGACCACATTAAAATGAAAAATTCCAGTTTAGCGAAAGACTACACAGAAAAAAAAATAGTTGGTAGTTGATAGCCTGGGAAAAGTTATATATTTATATATATATATATTCCTTATACGTGTGTGTGTGTGTGTGTGTGTGTGTGTATAAGAAACGTCTATATATATAAGGAATGCCTGCAAATCCACAAGTAAAAGAAAGGAAATCCAGTAGAAAGCTAGTCAGGGATCTGAATAGACAGTTCATCAAAGGGAAAGCCCAAATGGCTAATAGGAATATGAAGAAATGATGACTGCCCCCAGTCCTTAGAAAGATGCAGATCAGGCCACAAGTTATGTTTGTACCATCAGAATGGCAAGGATCAGAAAGGTGGATGTGGAGGGGTGGGAGGATGAGAACCCTGGGGCACTGTGGTTGGGAGCGTGGGGTGGTGTAGACATTCTGGAAAGCAACGTAGAGTTGTTCAGTGAATTCAGGCATGTGTAAATGTGTAAATGACCCAGCACTCGCACTCCTGAGAGAAATCCAACCCCACATATGAAAGCAGTCCTTATGCAAAGAACAGGTTATTCATTGTGGCATTATGTGTAGCAGAAGGAAGTTGGAGGCACCCTAGCAGATGAGTTAGAGAGCTTTGCTGGGGCCAGCCTGAAAATCAGGCCCAGGAGCCTTCAGATGTCTTCTGCTGAGCCTTTGGTGCCTGGGGAGATGCATCTTGAAAGTGGAGCTTTTGGGAACTAAAGCTGCGAAGGCATATAATGGGCTGGAGGAGGGGAGACTGGCTCATAAGATCTGTTTAGAAAGTTAATGTCTGGGGTGGAGGCGGTGGGTTGCCCACGGAGGGGTACACGGCCGAGTGCTGAGCACATGTAGAGAAGCCCCTGGGAAAGTGAAAAACTCCAGGCAGGGAAGAGCCACGAAAGCCACACTCCACGCTGATCAACATAGGAGGGCTTCTTGTAGGAAAAGGGCTCTCCTAGATGGCAGCACTGGGTACCTCCTGATGCCAAGCTAGGGTGCCCTCTGGTGGGAACATTGTGGCAATCCTGGCAGTCCAGGACATCTTTTCTAAGGCACCTTCTGCAGCACAGCTATGACTCATATGGCTTCTCTGAGCCACAGAACTCAGGGTTTCGGTCTATGAAATGGATGCATGCCATGCAGGTGTGATGAAGCTGGGTGAGCTCCAGCTCCGGGGTAATGACAAGCATTTCTGGGCCAAGGTTTTCTTCCTGTTCGTCTCTGATACTCCTCCCACAAGCCTTCTGAACGATTGGAGGGGGTAGCCCTGGAGGGCGTCATGTCCCACCCCACCCTCCGTGCTGTACCACTCCTGCTGGATCCCTCCAGGAACAGGGAGGCTTTAGCCAGGCTGGGCAACCTGAAGTGGGCCTTATGTTGAACCCGAAGCCAAGCCCTGTGCTTGAGCTTGTTGGTCACCCTCCACCTGTCTGGTTATGCCCCACACATTAACCCGGTCCCCCAACAGCCTTGCTCAGCACCTCCCAAGTCCTCTCCACCCTGCACCCCACCCACTCCCATGAGATGCACACCCATCCTGCTCTCCTCAGGAGCACTCACAGTGCAGGATTTCAGGGACCTGGGTGCACAGAGCACCCCTCTGGGTGCTATCTGGGCCAGCAGTGTCCTCTGGAAGCAGTGAGGGGCTGGGGCTGGCCACTCTTCCCCTCATGGGTCTGAGCAGCAGGGGAAGGGTGGCCACTGCTCCGGACGCTGTGAGTCTCTGGGTGCTGCCTGAGGGTGCAGGAGCTCCTTAGAACAGACACAATGAGCTCTCCCTGCTCGGACTGCAGTCCTCAAGTAAGACAAATTTGGTTGTTAAAGCTACTAAATTTGAGGACTTAGTAACTGCTGTAGTAAAGTGGAACAGACTTACCTGGATTCCATAATTTGCAATCACTGTTGAGTATTGGCATCATTCCAGAAATTAAGACAATCGAAATTCATTGTAAGTTTTCAGTTTTAGCTCCATTTAAACCTCTTCTGTCTCCCCCCGCCACTAGGCCACCTCTCCACATGCCCAAACTAACATATTTATGGCTCTCATGGCCTGGTGGGATGGGGGTCTTTTCATCACACACTTCCACCTTCCTTCTCTTTTGAGATTTGCAGCATGTATTGAGTCAGGGGAGGGACTGTCAGGCAGGGCTCCCTGCCTAGGTGATAGCTTGTTAGGGCAGCAGGCTCCGTGGCTGCCTCTAAATTTAGGTGGTGGCCCACAAGCCTGTTGTTGGAGGGTTGATTTCACAAGGTCCCCTACCCTGGTGCTGCCTTGCAACATATGGCCACATCTTGCCCTCCATGCTGCTGGATGGCTCTTCCATCTCAGTTGTCCTCTGAGACCATCTTTTGGGCCTATGGCTATGAGGGGTGGTGACCATGTGTGTGCAGCTGTCTTAGAAGAGGAGGGATGCTGACAACCTCTTGTGCTCAGCTTTAGGCCTTGGCTGCAAATCGGGGAACACAGGAAAAATGCATCTGCTCTCCCCTTCCTCACACAATACCACAGCGAATATCCTAGTTTATTGTACATAGCCATCCATAGGATTTTAGGTCTACTTCTTCACCCTAGAAATCAGAAGAGCCTGTGTCTCCCTTCCCCATCAGATGCAGGAGACTCTAAGCTGCTTTCTCAGACACCCCCTTTCTTCAGCCTGGTCATTGTACACTCTCTTCTCAGAACTCTGCATCCCAGAAACACTGCTTCTGCCTCCATGCTGCCTCAGGTGTAGCTGCACCCTCCCCCTTCTTGTCCTGGGTCAAAGCTCTTATTCTGCCCTGGGCTCTCTGTCCTCTCCCCCAGCTATCAGTCTCACTTACTTTGGAAGCATCTTAGAAGCAGGGTTCTAATTCACAGACAGGGACCTTCTACTGATCTAGAATTATGAGAGAAAGAGGTGTTACTTTATAAGGTACTAAATACATGAAGTTTCACTCAAAACTCTTCTGTGGGGACAAACATATTTCTAAAGTGAATTACTGGCTTTCAGGCTGCATTAAGTGCATTGGATATAACATGAAGTTTACTTGGAGGCTCAGGGTCACAGAGACCACGGTGCAGCCCCCATGGGCTCTCAGGGACCATCCTGTGCAAGCTTCTGCTTTTATGACACTCTGTTCTTGCTATGTTGCTGCCTCATTTTTGCATCAGCCAGTAGGATAGCGACTGTGGTACAGCGCTTCACTGATTATGACGTTTTGCATCTGGCCTGCACAATGACCCTGAGTTTGTCCTGCAAACCAGAGATAGTGAGATGTGTAGAATAATTTGTAGCCATGCTAAATTAGGACCCCATAGTCTGTGCTATTTTCAAGTTCACATTGGCTTGAGATGTCTGTGAGACCCTAAGGTGGAGATAACAGTAGAAGTTACCATTTATTGAGCATGCAGTATAGTATATGTTACTCACTGTGCTAAATACATTGCACAATTATCTCATTTAATCCTCTCAACCAGCTCAGGAGGAGCTGTGGTCAATCTTGATGCTTTTAATTGACTTATACTGTATACAGGGAGGGCATGACATTGGGTGTACTGCCCAGAGAAGGGCATTTGGCTTGTGTTTGCCATTCTGTTGTCTTACCTGCTTATTCCTGACACAAAACTGTACCTTGGATGGTGATACAGTTTGGCTGTGTCTCCACCCAAATCTCATCTTGAATTGCAGTTCCCATAATCCC
Source organism: Homo sapiens (assembly GCF_000001405.40). Taxonomy (NCBI): domain Eukaryota; kingdom Metazoa; phylum Chordata; class Mammalia; order Primates; family Hominidae; genus Homo; species Homo sapiens. Next base: position 52,330,366 of record NC_000012.12, read on the forward strand.
TACATGTTGTGGGAGGAAGCCGGTGGGAGGAAATTGAATCATGGGGGCAGTTTCCCCCATGCTGTTTTTGTGATAATGAGTGAGTTCTCATGAGATGTGATGGTTTTATAAGAGTCTGGCATTTCCCTTGCTTGCACTCATTCTCTTTGCTGCCGCCTTGTGAAGAGGTGCCTTCTGCCATGATTGTAAGTTTCCTGTAGCCTCCCCAGCCGTGTGGAACTGTGAGTCAACTAAACCCCTTTTCTTTGTAAATTACCCAGTGTCGGGTATTTCTTCACAGCAGCGTGAGAATGGACTGATACAGATGGCAAGATGGCTTTAAGTTCAACCTCCAGGGAAGCATAGTTCACTTAATAGCAAGCTCTTAGTTGAAAGGCATTCAGCAGAGGTGTTCCAAATGCCAACCATCGTCCTTGTTGCGGTGGGATGTGTTGAGTGCTTGTCATTAAATGGGGAATAGCGGCAACTGAGGACTCCCATCTGCCCAGGTGCTGTGCTGTCACATCCAGCTTCCTCTGGACTGTCAGCCAGAGTGATGTGGGGTTTAGGAGACTGGCCTTGGGCAAGCTGGCTCTTGTACTGACCTGCTGGTGACCAACCCATTTAGCTGTGCCTTAGTGACCTCTGGAGTGAGAATACTACATCTTCTGGAGGCTGTCGTTAGCCTGGCCACCAGATAGTTATAGGTCTCCCCATTTCCAGGCACATGGCAGGATTGCCTTTCCCTGCCCTTTGGTGTGACTGGCTCCAGCCATGAAGTGTGAGCAAAAGTGATAAATAGCCTAGCTCGTCCTAGGCTATTCCAGTCCTGATGCTGCACTGTCAGTGTGTGATCCCCAGACCTCTCTGTCCCTCTGCCACAGCAACTGGAAAAATTCCAGGGAGTGGTTGCTCCATCATGGCTGTTCCAGTGACCTGGAGTAAGTTTATTAAGAAGCAAAGCCCTTAGGCCACAATGGTGGATTTGGAGGATAAGTTAGAAGCAAAGCAATGTTGTTTTAAGCCACTGAGATTTTAGGGCTGTTTGTTGCCACTAAATAGCCTAGCTCATCCTAGCTGACACCCTCCCACACTGGGTTTTGGGAAGATTAAACAAACTGATGCCTGGAAAGCACCGAGCACATTCTGCCCATAACACATACTTGATACAACTTAGTGTTTTCTGTGCTTCTCCATCTAATGTCCCATGGGCATTTCAACCTCAGCATACCCAAAACTGAGCTCGGACACACATCCACAAATACCATGCCTGCACTTCCTCCTGCTCTCCATGCAGTGAGATTGTACCACCTCCCAGTCTCTCTCACAAGCTGCCAACCTGAGAACCATCATCTGGACCACTCCTTTTCTCTCCCCTGACATCCAATAAATTGATGGGCCTTCTAGATACCTTGTGGTTCTTTCCATTTCCTCCAACACTGTCTTAGCTCAGGCCTATGTAATTTTTCATTTCATTTCATGTGTTGGCTTGCTAGCTGGGTTTCCTGCTTAATTTATTATGCTCCACAATCTGTTCTTCACCCCACTACTTAGTTGATCTGGCCATGCATCCAGTCTCTCCTTCTTCTCACCCATCCATCAATTCATTCATCCTGATCCACCCACTTCTTTGTGTCACTACCACACAGAAGAATTGAAAATTCTTCACTGTTGACAGGAGAAAGTCCAAACTCCTAGGGGTGGCACACAGGCCTCTGTGTCCTGTCCTGGCCTGTTTCCAACCTCATTTCTCGTCACGCTGCAGGGAAACACTCTGTTCCAACTATGCTCAACTGCACTTCTCCAAGGGTCATTCTTGATCATGCCTCTCTACCTTTGTATGCATTATCCCCTGGGTCTGGAAACTCAAGACTTGGTTCAGGCGTCATTTCCTTTCAACAGAGCTGGGCATCTTTGAACATCTCTATTAAGATGTTACAGTAGTCATCACACTGTACTGCAGATGTTTGATTTTCCATCTTGTGCAGTAACTGTGAGACTCTTGAGGGCAGGGACTGGCTGTGGTCCATCTTGGTGTCACCAGTGTCTAGTGTGGTGACAAATAGACACTGGATAAGTAATATAGATTGAATGGATGGATGAGTGGATGAGGTTGGGCCAAGGACTCATGGATGAGGAGGAAGATAGGCACTCATTGACTACTATGTCACACCTATAGGCCACAGAGCACCAGCTTGCATGGCCACGATACCATCACCAGGCACACCCAGGTAGCTACTGAGTAAAGGCTGGCTGCCAAAGATGAATGCCAGGCAGGGCAGCTTGGGTGGGCCATGAGTGGGGCTCCCTTTGTAGTTTTGTTCTCTGTTGACAGAGACCTCCAGTCCTGGTGGTTTCCCATCTGGGGAGTATGGCCAAAAATTGTCAGCTTTCCTTCAGGAGCTGAGCATATCAGAAGATCCAAGCTGAGATCTACCTATCTGGGGTTTTTTGTTTCTGTTTTTTGGACACCCTCATAATGTTGCCAATGTTAGTAAAAAATCCAGCAATACTTAAGCTGGAGGCAAAAGAGAAAGGCCATGTAGTGCATTCTTCTCTTAGTCCCTAGAATAGAAGATTCTTAGCTTTTCTTTGGCAATTTATCCAGCATCCTACAGCTCAAAGCCTTGCTGTATCTTGCAAGGTGAGGTAAAGAATCGCAACATCAGAACTTGGTTCCTGAATGACTGTTTGGAAGAGAGTTGCCCCACTGACAATTGTACACGCTCAGTAGTGTCAAGTGAGAAAAGAACAAACTTTTATTGTGTTTGAGCCATTCAGTGGTGTATAGGGCTGCATGTAGGGGCAGTGGGACCGTTCCACCCTAGGTATAGACCATAAGGAGTAAGTTTTTTTTTTTTTTACAGAATTTAACAGCAATAATAAAATAGACTAAATATTGGTCTTCATTATCACCAGTCACCAGCAATTCTAAACAATGTCAATGGTAATAAATTCTTCCCCATCAGAGCAGACTTCTTCCATCCTCCATTCCCCTTTGATGATTTATCACCTGGGATATTACACATTTTTTTTTAAATAGCAGCTAGCTTTGTTTACACTACATGAATACAATAGTGCATTTGGTTATCCAGGACATTCTGCCTGCCCTGCACTTAGGTCCTTCGGTGGAAAGTGCTCCCAGATGCTTATCTCTCTATAAAGCTGCCATGCTTTGTGCTGCGTGACCCTGGATACGAGATTAGCAAGATTAGGCCAGAAATTGGGCCAGAGGTAACCATGACCAGCATGGATATCAGGGAGAAAGCCAGTCTTGATGGGAGACTCTGCCTAACAGGGGTGTTGCATATGAGATGCAGATCTACTAGCCCAACCCAGTTTTCTATCTTTGAGAATATACAAGCACAGCCCTCTCAGAGAAAGTGGGGGGAGCTGCTCCTGAGAAGATGACACCCCACGTGGGCTACTGGAGATGCCGTTGATACTGAACAATGATAAGCCTTCTCCCATTAGTCTTTGCACACCGTGATGCTACTGCTGAGATAGATGTCTTTTCTCCCTAATGTCCTCAGGTAGCCTCATCATATTCCCCCATCATCTAAATTGCTGAGACATGGGTCTTCCTTGAATTCTGAAAAAGCATGATGAATATAGGGAATTAGCAGGTAAACATGGAATGTTAACAAAAAGAGATAATTGTAAATTCATCGGTTGTTGGGGTGGAACTCATGACTTAAGGACAGACTATGAAGAAGGCATTTGAAAATCTTATGAAATCAAGGAAGGAAGTATTTAAGTGATGATAAATACTTTTGCTTCTTTTTCTAAGAAGCAAAACTGCACAGAAAACTACCTCACCAGAGAATGGAGATGATGCTTTAAAAACTACAGACTGTAAGGCTTTAATATTGTTGAATGAACAATTTCCTGTATCAGAATACGTGCAGATACCTGAACACAGATGTTAGGAACAGAGCGCCTGCAATTATTGAGATCCCTCCCCAACAGTTTTATCTCCCAGAGGGCAGAGGAATCCATGAGACTAAGTGCTTTCCTGGTCCAAAAAGCTCTAATTGCTGATATGACAATAAATAAACCTAAGAGAAAGAAACCTTGTTCTTTGCTTTTCCATCACAGCAATGGAAGAACATTTTTGGACCGTAACTCTAGAAAAGTATGTTTTATAATTAAATTTCAAGAAATTATTGGTATGACACATAGTAAGAGACCCTAGGAAGAGGAAGAAATATAAAATAAAATTCTGCAAGTATTTTCATAAATAATTTTAATGAAAAAGGAAGGAGCTAGGCATGTAAAGAAATCAATGTTGCTAAAGAAAGAGATATTTGAACCCAGATTTTTTTTTTTTTAAGATGGAGTTTCATTTTTGTTGCCCAGGCTGGAGTGCAATGGTGCAATCTCGGCTCACCACAACCTCTGCCTCCCGGGTTCAAGCAATTCTCCTGCCTCAGCCTCCCGTAGCTGGGATTATAGGCATGCGCCACCACACCCGGCTAATTTTTTTGTATTTTTAGTAGAGATGGGGTTTCTCCATGTTGGTCAGGCTGGTCTCAAACTCCCGACCTCAAGTGATCCACCCACCTCGGCCTCCCAAAGTGCTAGGATTACAGGTGTGAGCCACTGTGCCTGGCCTGAACCCAGATTTTAAAAGGCTACCTTTATAACAGCCTGAAGGCAGGCTACATAATATCAATTTCAAAGACAACAAAGTAAGTTGGCTTTTATTTTCTGCAAGTAATTCTTGAAACCAGAAGCAGCTCAGGGATGCACAGGTGAGGAATGGGGCACAAGGTGAGGAACAGATCTATTGGTTGAGGAAGAGAGTGTGACATTAGCAAATAGAAGAAGCAAAGGAAAGCACTCGGGGCCTAATTTGCTTCTTTCTTCCTCATCAGAGTGAAAATGGTCACTCTTGAAAAGCAGGAGAATGTCATTTGGTGAGCTAGAGGTCAAAGGCATGACACTGAGGCTTCATCTTGATGGCTTAGAGGCCTAGGGCTCAGATAATATCACATTCGGGGGACCAAAAAACGTGTAGAAATGATGGAGAACAACTACAAGAAATATTGGGAGAGTGATGTCAGCAAGATAGTGGGATAGTTCCAGCCCTTGATGTCCCCGGAGAAATACCAATTTAACAACCTTCTATGGGCAAAAATATCTTTATGAGAGCTCTAGAATCCAGGTGAGAGTTTATAGCACCTGTGTAGGGCAAAGAAATAAGAAAAGATGTAACGTGTATTGAAAAAGGGTAAGAAGGACAGCTTCTTTTTACCGATGTCACCCCTCCCCCAAGCTTACATAGCACAATGCAGAGAGCAAAGAGAGGGAGAGAGAGGGAGAGAGAGAGAGATCCTCTCAGCCTGAGAGTTCTGCTGTGAAAGGGAGAGTGAAGTGAACTTCTGACTTTTCTACAAACCCTGGCATTAAGCCCATATAACCATAGACTCTGGCCCCTGGCATTAGGTCCATCTGTAGATCCTGGCACCAGGCCCCACTGATGATCCCAGATCCTGGCACCAGGCCCGCTCAGCTGCAGACCCTGGCACCAAGCCTATCTGCCCACAAACCCTGGCACTGGGCCTACCTATGGGCCTTGACACCAAACCTGCCAGTCTGTGGACCCCAGCACTAGCCCCACCTGAGGACCCCGTCACCAGGTCTGTTTATGGATTCTGGACCCTAGCACCAGGCCCACTTGTCTGAGGACCCTGGCACTGAGCACACCCTCCTGTAGACTCTGGCACCAGGCCCACCCAGATTGCTGACTGGGGTGACTGCTGAAGGGCTTTCCCTGCCAAAGCCAGCCTAAAAAGACTGGAAGAGGTGACGGCTTCTTCAAATGCACAGACATCAATGTAAGGCTACAAAGATAATGAAAAATCAGAGAAACATGATGTCATCAAAGGAAGAAAATGAAGCCCCAGTAACTGATCTTAATGAAATGAAGATCTATGATCTGCTTGACAAAGAATTCAAAATAATGGTTTTTTTTTTTTTTTTTTTTTTTTTTTTTTTTTTTGTTGTTGTTGTTGTTGTTGTTGTTGTTGTTGTTGAGACGGAGTCTTGCTCTGTCACCCAGGCTGGAGTGCAATGGTACAATCTCAGCTCACTGCAACCTCCACCTCCCAGGTTCAAGTGATTCTCCTGCCTCAGTCTCCCGAGTAGCTGGGATTACAGGTGCCCACCACCACACCCAGCTTATTTTTGTATTTTTAGTAGAGACAGGGTTTCATCATGTTGGTCAGGCTGGTCTTGAACTCCTGACCTCAGGTGATCCACCTGCCTCAGCCTCCCAAAGTGCTGGGATTACAGGTGTGGGCCACCGTGCCTGGCCCAAAATAATAGTTTTAAAGAAGTTTGGTTAATGATAAGAGAACACAGATAGACAACTAAGCAAATTAGGAAAGCAACACATGAATAAAATGAGAAGTTCAAGGAAGAGATAGAAACCACAAAAAAGAACCAAACAGAATTTCTGGAGTTGAAGGACAGTTACTGAACTGAAAAATTCAGTAGAGAGCTTCACCAACCTATGCAATCAAGCAGAAGAAAGAATCAACAAGATCAAAGACAGGTCATTTGAAGCTAGCCAGTCAGAGGAACGAAAGAAAAAGAAAAAAAAAAGAGTGACAAAAACTCTGGTATTTTTACAGGACACCATAAACAAACCAATATATGCATCATAGGAGTTTTAGAAAGAAAAGAGAAAATGTACAAAAGATTTATTGAAATAAATAATGGCTGAAAATTTTCCAAATGTGGGGAAGGAAATGGACATCCAGATTCATAAAGCCCAAAGGACCCTAAATAGTTGAACCTGGAGAGGTCTACACTGAGACACGTTATAATTAAATTGTCAAAAGTCAAAGACAAAAAGATAATTTTGAAAGTAGCAAGAGAAAAATGACTCATCACTTTCAAGGAAAATTTCCTCCTCACTGCCCAAGACTATTAGCAGATTTCTCAGCAGAAACTTTGCAAGCTAGAAAAAGTGGGATGATATACTCAAAGTGTGCAAAGTTTTTACTTTGCTCCAAGCAAAAGTTTTTACTTTGCCACCAACCAAAAAGTACTATATTTGGCAAAATTGTCTTTTAAAAATAAAGGAAAGATAAATACTTTCTCAGACAAACAAAAGCTGAGGGAGTTTATCACTAGCCCTGCCTTATAAGTACTAAAGGGAGTTCTTCAAATTGAAACAAGAGGATGCTAAACAGCAACCTGAAAGTACAGAAAAATATAAATTTTACTGGTAAACATAAATATATAGACAAATTCAGAATAATATAATATTGCATTGGTAATATGTAAATCACTTTTAGCTCTAGCATAAAAGTTAAGAGACAAAAGTATGAGGAATAACCTATGACCATAAAATTGGTTAATGGATACACAATATAAAAAGAAGTGAATCCTGACATAAAGTGTTGGGGAGAGGGAGTACAAGTATAGAGTTTTTGCATGTGATTGAAGTTATCAGCTCAAAATAGAACAGTATAACTATAAAAAGTGCTGGTTATATAAGATGAATAGGTCTGAGAGATCTACTATACAGCATAGTGCCATAGTTAAAAATATTGTATTGTATACTTAAAAATTTGCTCAGCAGGTAGATCTTATGTTAAGTGTTCTTATCACATAATAAATAAATAAACAGGGTAGAAGGAAACTTTTGGAGGTGATGGATAGATTTATCGCGTAGATTATGGTGACTGTTTCACTAGTGTGTACACATCTCCAAACTCATTAAGTTGTATAGATTAAATGTGTATAGCTTTTTGTATGACAATTATTCCTCAATCAGACTGGGTTGAAAATGTAAGCACACGCACAAAACAAACAAACAAAACAAAAAAGAAATCTTGGTACTTAGGGAACAAGACGGGGGCTCTGAGGTTGGATAGATAGTGATCTCTTGGTTCTTAAGCCTGGAAAGAGGACAAATGCCAAGGTGACTCTCAAGGATTTCCAACAAAAAGGAGACTGCATGGCTTCCTTAGGAAATGTTGAAGTCAGCCGGTCCAACTCTTGCTTGTACAGTTGAGAACACTGGGGACCAGAGAGGGTAGGTGACTTGTGCCAGGCTGCACGAGTCAGCAAAGCCACGATGAGCATTGAGCATTTGGGGCACTCGCCTTGGCATTTGTCTCAGTGTGCTACTGCTTATCTTTGTTGCAGAGACAAGTTTAACCTACCAGAAAGTGTGGAGGCGTTCTTGACTCTTCCCCCTGGCTCACATCTCAAATCCAGTGAGTCAAGAAATCTAGTTGGCTCTTTCCTCAAATTCTATCCATAGCTGGCCACCTCTCACGCCCTCCAGGGATTCTCATACCCTTCTCCCTGGCAGGAGCCTCTGCCATCTCCTAGGATTGACCCTTCTCCCTCCTTTCACTGTCATGTCGCCTACAGTCTGTTTCCCAGGCAGCTGTCAGAGTGATCATTTAAACAAGTCGGGTCATGTCAGTCCTGTGCACAAAACCTTCCAAGGCTCTACACCGCACTCTGTGTGGGAACAGATGTCCTTACAACAGCTCACTGGCCTTCCATGACCTGTGTGGAGACTCCTCATCGCTGTATCTCTCTGACCATGCCCATACTCACTCCCTCACTCTCACTGCAAAAACCACACCAGCCTCCTTGCTCTTGGTGGGAACACCAGGCCTGTTTGTTCCCACTGTGGGTCTTTGCACAAGCTCTTTCCTCGGCACATGTGGCTTGCCCTTACCCCCTTAAAACCTTTGTCCAAATGTCCCCTTCTCAGTGGAGCTTACAATAACCACAGCCAAAATTGTACCCACTCTTTCTTCCAGCTCTCCTGATTTCCCTTAGCCGGTTTCTTTCTTCTTTCTGTAACACTTATCGCCATCCAACATATAATTTATTTATCTAAGTTTACAATTTGTCTCTCCCACTGTAATGTGAACCCACAAAAATATGTGTTTTTGTCTATTTTATTTACTGGTATATTCCCAGTTTATCTAAAGGTGCCTGGCATATAGTGGGTGCTCAGTAAATGCTGGTTGACTGAAAGAAACAAATAGAGACCAGCACGAGACAGGCCCCTCCAGAGCATCAGCTTTGAACTCTGGTTTCTATTTTGCTTCCCTTGTTTAGTGTGTCCACCATGGAGGAACCCTCTCACCTTCAGACACACTCAACTCTTCCCCATGGGTTAGGGTTAGTGTGGGAGTTGTCCTTCTGTGGCCAGCAAGTGGTGAGGGTGCCTCCCCAGGCCTCCTCTGTTGTCTTGGTTCCCCTTGGAGCTCTGTGCTGCAGGTGCAGAAACAAGGCCCTCATCTCAGACTGATGCTTCCTGGGGCTGGGCTGGAACCTGCTCCCTCTGCGTCCATCCTTACGCTCTGCTCCTAGCTTGTGACTCTGTCCTCTGTGTCTTTCTCTTGTGAGGAATGTGTGCATGCATGCATGTGTGTGCATGTATATGTGTATGCGTGTGCACGCATGTGAAAGAAAAAGACCAGGAAGACTCCTACTCTTTCCTGTGGTGTTTGGCTCTTTTCTAGTGCCCCTTGTTCAAGCCTGCTTCTCTGAGAGAGAGCTCCAGAAGATTGTTTTTTATTCTTGTTTTCATGCACAGAGAGCTCTACTCAAGGGCCTGGGGCTGAGGCGGTTTGGCATAATTGCCTCAAGACTGCTGCTGTGCTGTATAAAAAGGCAGTCCCATTTCCATCCTGTTCTTGGTGTGACACAGAAAGTGCCCTATAGGATGGGGTGGGAGGCAGGGGTGGGCTGTCCCTGGCCGAGGGCCCTGCTTTGTGAAGGATCTCATGCACTGGTTTATTTCTCTGGGAATTAGGTTTGTGCTCTGCCTGGAGACTCTGCACCCCCGCCTCTGTTCTCCCTGAAGAGTTGCCATCCTCTGGGACCTGACTTCGGTCTTGCCTCTTCTGTGACCCTCTGGCCAGCTATAAGTGACCTTCCTAGGAAGGCTAAGAACATGCTATCTGTGCCCCTTACCTGGTCATCTTTCCTTCTCTGGCTGTGACTCTTCCCTGCCTCTGTTTCTTCAGTGAGGTCAGGTTCTTCAAAGGCAAACTGTCCACCTAGCTTTATTTCCCCCAGCCTGTAGTTGAGGGCCTGTTCTGGTGGGACCTTACCTGCCAAATGAAGGCACCTGCTCCAGGCCGGCTCCTGAGGCCAGTGACCAGGCCTGGCACATAGTGGAGGGTCAGTCAGTGTTTGTGGACTAGATAAAGATGCTCTGCAGACGTTGGCCCCTCCCTCCTGAGTCCAGTCCATTCATTTCAACCAAGGCTGCCTGGGGACCTGGTATTTACTAGTTGCCAGAGGGGATATAAAGGTGAACAGACATGACTTCTGCCTTCAAGAGGAGCAACACAAAGTCCAATGGCCACCCTATAAGACGAATTGTAGCTAATAGCAATCATAGGGAAAGGCTTGAAGGGTCTGAACCACAAGTGCCTAACCTGAAAGGATGGGCTTGGTGGAAACCTCGTGGGACATAGCTTGGAGTTTCAAGAATGTGCTGGCTCAAGCCTCGACTTGACTGGTGGGATGATGATTCCTGGTCCTCTCACAGGTTGGAGGGGAATTAGGGGCTTGATAGATATGTCTAGGCCTGTGAGGTTGGAATGGCAAGGGCAGGTTTATTGGGAAGCAGGGTCTCTTTGATATGCCTATTAAAAGAGGCAGGTTGCAGTTTCCCTTGCGTTCTGCCTAGCGGGAGATTCCTATGCTCATAAATGGCATTAATAATGTTCTCTGCCTTTATGTTGTCAGGAGGCCTGTCCCCTGCCCAATAAAAGGCAGGAGCAGTAACAGGCCTCCCATGTGAGACCGTGTCATCCTTCAATCCTCAGTCCAGGGGACTGTCCCGCAGAACAGAGGCATGGCGAGCCAATCCTGCCACATCAGCTCTGGCTGCGGGGTCAAGAACTTCAGCTCCCGCTCTGCCACTGTGCCCAAGCCTGGGTATCACAGCTGTGTCAGTGCCATGGCCCATCATGGGGTCAGCCCTGGGGGGCTAGGCTCCAGGCGCCTCGGAGGCTTTGGCAGTCAGAGCCTGTGTACGGTGGGGTCTCCCCGGATCGCGGTGAGTTGTAGATGGCCCCTACACAGCAGGGGCAGGTTTGGCTACTGGGCAGGGGGCCTTTGCAGGCCCAGCCCACCCCGCATCACATCTGTTACCATCAACGAGAGCCTCCTCATGCCCCTCAACCTAGAGATCGACCCCAATGCCCAGTGTGTGAAGCATGAGGAGAAGGAGCACATCAGGTGTCTCAACAAGTTTGCTGCCTTCATTGACAAGGTGGGTCTGTGAGCTGTTTCCTGGGACTGTGGCTTAGGAAGGGGAAAGGGACTTGGAACCCGATGATAGGGTGGTTCTAATTCTCCTGTTACTGACTAGCACGTGGCTGTGAGAACGTGGCTGAATCAGGGTCTTGGTTTTCAAATGTTGCCATGTCAGTCAAATGCAAAATGAATCTGAAACCACCAGACAGAAGAGGGGTGTTTGCTGCTGCTGCTCACAGGCAAGCAGCAAGCATGATGTGTGTGCACCGTCCATCTTCCCGATCTCACCGGCACGCAGTAGGACAGTGTGGCAGAGCGGGCCACTCTGCCTAGGCCTGTCTGACCTCCCGCTTAGAGGAGATGCTACCGTCCCTAGCATGGAGCAGGAGCCAGGATGCAGAGGGGTCAGAGGCTCCTTGCCTGCTCCTCCGTGGTGGGGACATCATAGGAAGGCTGTGAACCCTTAGGACTTCTGCCCGAGGCACTTTATACCCTGCAGCACATGCATAGATTAAAGGCAGTGAGTTGAGAAACTTAAAGCATGGTCCAGGGAGAGGCTGTTGAATTGACTTTTCTGATGCTGCAGTTTCAGAGTCCTCCTGGTTGAGTGTATAGCTCTGGTTTCCTTTAACCTAATGATGCCCTCCCTAGGAGCTCACAGTCTTTGGGGGAGGACAGCCACCAAAGTTTAAAGGAGGAGAAGCTCGTCTTCCAGGGCTGAATGGTGTGTATATCTACACCCTGGGACTGCATAAGAAGGCACAAACCAGGGCGATGGTGGGTGGAAGTTCTGCTCTCAGATCAACGCTACATCAGAAGTGGGCATATCTGCACACAGAGGTGCTGGGTGTCCATTGTTAACATACCGCTGGCTGTCCAGATTACTCTTCCCTTCCATCAGCACAAAGAAGCTCACTGTAGAGTTAGGCAGGTTATTCATTGCACAAGGACACCTAGCAAGAGCAGGGGAGGTTGAAATCCAGCCCAGGCTTTGCTTGCAGAGCCATGTGCCCTGGCAGGGGGCTGGAGGCATCTTTTCCTAATTTGCTCAAAAGCACAGTGAGAACCCTGAGAGTGCATGCTCAAAGGGGTCTCTGCATGTGGCCTTTTGGGCATCACCCATGAATGCTGCTCTCTCCGTTGAGAGGAACCAGTTCTGGGTCTGGGGAGAGGAACTTATACCACTGCACCAGGCTGGCTTTTCCCTCCCTTGGGGTTGCTGATGGCCACCCTCTTCCCTCCAGCCTTCTTCCTGCAGGCTCCAAACTGCATTGAGCTCCAGACTACAAAGTGCATTGATATGGTGGGTTTAATCCTGCCAGAGGGCTGTCCCATGACCTGGGTCTGCATGTTGAAATCCAAGGCAGATGCCTTTTGGATAATCAGAGTTTTTGTTCCTTGTCCCTCAAGCACGGACAATTGGACAGTTGAGGGTTTGTACCAGGCTTGTACTCCCAAGAGGTTAGGGTTGGAGAAGAAATCACCTGCTTTAGGGCTGGTAAATGCAAACTTCAACGGGGGCTTGGTGGGTCACATGAATGAAGCCAAACTTGAGAGGCATGCCCACCTAGAGGGACAGTAGCTGCTGCTCACTCCAGCCACAGGCCTACCTAGCCTTGCCAGAACTTCTGGTATGTCAAGAGGGTCAGAGAGATCCAGATTCTTACTTGAAACCACTCAGTTATTAAGTGTTGGCAACTAATCAGATCTCTATAAAACAGTGTGCAAGGCAAGTAAGACATGCCTGTGGGCCTGATAGGGCCTGGAGCTGCCAGTGTACCACTGCTAATGTATTTCTCCTGTCTTGTTTTACAATGCAATTCAGTGAGAATGAGGCAAAGTGGTCTGGTTGGTGGCAGAGTTAGAGTGAGAGGTCTCCTAATTCCTGGTCTGGGATACTCTGTCCTGGGCTTCAGTGCCCCAGCACCAGAGGTAAGGAAGAGTCATGGTATGTACATTTAAAAATTGCTGTTGTACAAATGCCCACAAACTTAGCAACTTAAAACAACACAAATTTACTACCTAAAAGGCTGATGTTAAGGTGTCGGCAGGGCTGCATTTCTTTTTGGAGGCCCCAGGGGAGCATCTGTTTCCAGGGACATTTAGGCTTTTGGCAGAATTGAGGTCCTTGTGGTTGCAGGACTGAGGTCCCTGTTCTCTTGCTGGCTGGCTGCCAGAGGTTGTTCTCAGCTTCCAGAGGCTATCCACATTCCTTGGCTTGTGGCCCCCTCTTCCTCCATCTTCAAAGCCATAATAGCGGGTTGAGTCCTTCTCATGTTTCAAATCCCTCTAGTGCAGGCACCTTTGGGGGGATCATTATTTGCCTAGTATGCATAGTATGAAATATTTCTGCAGGATGTTAATTTCATTCTGTGTAGAATAAACGAACGTTTATAAATAGTGTGCTCTTTCTGGGAAGGGGGGTGGGTGGAGAGAAGTTACTTGGGGACTACTTGTGACCTGCACTTTCAGACTTTGCCAATAATTTGGCCTCCTGGGGAAGGTCACAGGCTGCTGCAGGGCGGGGGCCATCCTCAATGGCAGAAAGAGCTCTGGGGGACCAGGCAAAACCTGCTCTCAGGCTTTCCCCTCAGTCTCTTTCCTCCTTCCTGAATGGCAGGTGCGCTTCCTGGAGCAGCAGAACAAACTGCTGGAGACCAAGCTGCAGTTCTACCAGAACCGCGAGTGCTGCGAGAGCAACCTGGAGCCCCTGTTGCAGGGCTACATGGCGACTCTGCGGCGGGAGGCTGAGTGCGTGGAGGCCGACAGTGGCAGGCTGGCCTCAGAGCTCAACTGCACGCAGGAGGCGCTGGAGGGCTACAAGAAGAAGTGAGCATGACAGGGCTGGGATGGTTCTAGGCAGTGGAGTCAGTCTTAGCTGAGATCACACAACTCCTCCAGAAGCTGAGACTGCTGAAGGCCAGGGTTGCCCTGACAAGCTATCAGACACTTCTGCTTTACCGTCTGCTTTATCTCGTGTCAGCTCCTAGTTCTTACACCCCTGTGCTGGGGGCTGGGAAAAGATTTAGAGAAGAGTTCCCTGTCTGGGAGGGATGGGACACACATTCAGGGTACAGACTGATGCAGAGATGAAGAGATAGGAACAAATGAAACAGGAGGAGCAAGGACAGCAGGGCTGGAGAGGAGGAGCCCGGAGCAGTCAGAGCTAGGACGGGGGGAAAGGGAAAGGCCCTGGAGAGGTATCTGAAAATGAATTGGCTGAAGCCATTCCAAGTATCTGATGAACTTGGATTCTTCCTTTATTTATTCTGCAGATAAACCATCAGGTTATCGTTCTGCAGGGCTCCACAATTCAAATACCAATGTAAATTTGGGTTTTCCTGAGTTATTTAGCTTGTTCATTACCTAGTCTAAACTCACCGGGTCACTGTACTTACCTTGTAGATACAGACAGAGTGAAGGGTGATTTTGACCTCAATCAATCCTGGTAATTCCAACCCTGCTTGGGATTCTTGGAAGTTCAGGTTTTACCATCTGGCTGGACCCAGCAGTGGGTCCTCATGTCCCTTGGGGTGAAGCAAATGTAGACACAATCCTCAGTGTGCAGGCGTCAAGGTCTGTCTCCCACTCTGGGGGTGTGCGGGCTGGTAATTATAGAGCTGAGTGCTTACTGTAGCCCCAAATGACCATGGAATTCAAAAGTTATGAAAACAGGCCGGGCGCAGTGGCTCATGCCTGTAATCCCAGCACTCTGGGAGGCCGAGGTGGGTGGATCACCTGAGGTCAGGAGTTCAAGGCCAGCCTGGCCAACATGGTGAAACCGCGTCTCTACTAATAATACAAAAAAAATTTAGCTGGGTGTGGTGGTGGGCGCCTGTAATCCCAGCTACTCAGGAGGCTGAGGCAGGAGAATCGCTTGAACCCGGGAGGTGGAGGTTGCAGTGAGCCGAGATCACGCCACTGCACTCCAGCCTGGGCAACAAGAGCGAAACTCCGTTTCAAAAAACAAAATAATAATAAAGTTATGAAAACCATGCTCTGGGCTCTGGGAACTCTGGTCTTCTTTGTGGGGGCAGGGCTGCTCCTGGGCTACAATCTCACAGGCAGGAGGAAGAGGGCTGGGCTGCTGGAGGAGGGTGGGGGAATGGCTTGAAGAAGGGGTTGCTTCTAGGAATTCAAGTCCTTGGATATTGGGGCAGGGGGAATAAAACCTCATGGGGGTGGCTTCATAGAGCTTTGTGTTTTGTACAGTGTAGAATTTAAAGGCTCTGTGGAATATCTGTCTGTTTTTAAATAGTTCCACAAATATTTATTGAGTGACTCACTGCACTTCAGGTGATTTAGACCAAGACACAAAGAGATTAAATGTCTTGCTTCAGGTTTTGCAGCAACTTCAGTTAAGCTGGGACCAGATACCAGGGACCTGGACTTCAAGTCCAGTGTCCTTCCAATGGGTTCTTTGTGGCTGGGAAATAGAAGTCCAGAGAGGCAAAACCTCTTCTCCAAAGGCACAGAGAAAGGAGAAAACCAGGGAGTTTGGCACACCTGGGCTCTGGCCTGGCCAGGTCCTCAGTCCCAGGGGCCTTTCCACCTGGGTTGTTTCTCCTCAGGTATGAAGAAGAGCTGGCCCTCAGGGCCACAGCTGAGAATGAGTTCATGATGCTGAAGAAGGTGAGTAACTGTTCTCACATGGGAAGAATTAAATCCTGGACACCGGACGCTCTGATGCTGTGGGCCCTGTCAGGTTCCCATTAGCCCAATTGTTGGTGGTAAGGTACTGGAGCCCCTGGCACAAGAAGGTGGGTTAGTTTGGTTGCAGAAGCCATCATAGAGCCCATGCAGGAATCCAGACAGTGCCGATAGAGCCTTCATAAAAAGAAAACCTCACCATGCTCCTGCTTGACTTTTTTTAAACTACTGGATTGGCTGAAATGTTCAATTTTAATTCCGTCTTGGTTTTTTGCGGGCATTGCCTCCCCCTGTTATCCAAGACTAGGGGTTGGTTCTCAGCTTGTTAATGATTTCAAAGTGTGACCATCATTCAGTGCAATTGGTGATGATGGAAAAGCCCTGGGGAATAAAACTGTGAATGGTTTCCCTTTTGTTTCATGTTGCTGAGTGAAAGTGCATGTGAATGTTCTTTAACAAGTAATGTGCTTGCTTGCCAGCCTCCTTATTTGTGAGTATCACAGGGTGGAGTGAAGGCTGGTGACAGATCTGCCAATAGAGGCTTGGCCTTGGTCTCAGGCAGGAGAGTCAGCTATTTGAGTGCTGGTGGTTTCCTGGCCTGGGCTCTGAGGACAACCTACAGAGAGGCTCTGTGACTGTCGCATGCTTGTACTCTGTGGGTCAGTCTGGCTGGGAGGCAGCAGCCTGACGTTCTGGGCCGTGGTATGAGGCTTCCTTCTTTGGCAAGGTCCTCGGCTCTCCACTTCATTTCCCCAAGTGGTCTCATTTATGCAATGGGAGGTAACGTCACTGGCAGACAACAAAGGCTCTGTCCCTTCTAGGGGGTCCCTGAAGGTGAAGATCAGAAGTCTAGGTTAGACTTGTAAGTGAAGGGTGGCTGGGCAGGGTCAGGCCAGAGGCAGAGAGGTGGGCCAGGAGGTGGCCTCAGGGCCCGCTGAGGAGAGCCGAGGCTCAGGGGCACAGCGAGGGGGACAAAGGTCACTCCACATCCTCTTGTGTCTATCTCCACCAGGATGTAGGCTACACCTATCTGCACGAGACGGACCTGGAGGCCAACGTGAGCCGCTGAAGGAGGAGTCAGTCTTCCTGCAGTCCCTCTACGGGGAGGTAAATCTCTCCCCATCTCTGGAAGAGCAAGTGAGAGAGGAGACAGGGGAGGGTTTCCTTGGAGTGTGGCCTGTCCTGGTTCCTGGGTTCTAGGAAAGCTGTACATTCTTGACTCTCCTAGGCCTGGATATTTTTCCTTATGTGACCAGAGGGGATTTTTCTCTTGTTCGGGTGGAACTGGGTGATGCCCTTCCTTTAAGATGATTTGAAAGAAAGTGGTTAATTCCCATGTCATGAAGTGGAGATCTGACAATTAATTTATTAATTTAGGTAGTGTAAAAACCCAAGCAGATAATCCAGGCCTCTCCCTCTGGCCACAATCTGGTTGATTAGATTTGTGCATAGAGCTATAGCTGATCTGGATTATTCAGGCCCCAAGGCGGGGTGAGCCGGGGTGACGGCATACACATAAATCCAGCTCTGTTGATCCCTGTATTAGTAGAATTCCACGTTACTCATTGCTTTGAGGCCACAGTCCCAATTCCAGCCTTTTCCTCTTAGAACTACAGTTTTTAAATTTTCCTGACTTGCTGGTAGTTTTCTAATTTCAGAGTTGGGATATTTTTTTTTTTTTTTAATTTCCTGAGAAGATAGGATCAGAAGGGGATTTGGAGTTGAGGGCACTGGTTGCTGTCTTCTACAGGAAATCTGCCTCCTTCAATCACAAATCTCTGACACCTCCATGGTGGTGAAGATGGACAACAGCTGGGAGCTCAACATGGACTTGGTTGTGGCTTAGATCAAGGCTCAGTATGATGATATTGCCAGCTGCAGCCGGGTGGAGGCTGAGACCTGATACCAAACCAAGGTAGTCTGGAGGGCAGGGCAGCCCCACTGAGACAGGAGGATAGCTGTGAGCCTCGAGTTTCCCTGGGAAACGCACTCCTGCACTCTAGAGGGGCTGCCGCTGAGGTCCTGGGTAGAGCAGGGCCAGAAGGCGGGAGAGCTGTGGAACAGTAGGCTGGCTGATTGGGTCGGGGACAGCAGCCTCTAGCCATTGTTTCTGCGTGTTTGCCTCTCAACCTGCAGTGCGAGGAGGTGAAGGCCACAGTGACCCAACAGGGTGAGAACCTCCGCAGAACCAAGGATGAGCTCAACGAGCTGAACTGCATGATCCAGAGGCTGACGGCAGAGGTGGAGAACGACAAGCAGCAGGTTGGGGGGCGCCGAGACCCCGCTCCATACACCTGCCACTTCTTGTCTGGTTCCTGCTTCCCTCCTATCTTCAGGGACTGCTACCATTTGGAGAGGCGTGTATTTGAACTGTGCCAGAGTACACTACTATAATCAGCATGCAAGGGCTCCTGTTCCAACACCCACTATTATCAAACTTCCAAATTCTTGTGGATCTGATAGGTGTAAACTGGCACCTAATTGTTATTTTAATTTTCATTTCTTTGGTTAAGTAGTGATATCAAATCTTTCCTCATACACTTACTAGTTATTTGTATTCCCCTTCTAAGACCTGTCTACTCATATATCTGCCCATTTTTCTATTGTGGTTCCTTCCTTTTTTCTTAGTGATTTGCAGTATTCCTTTGTCCATTCTATCTGGATTGTAAGCCTTTGTCAGTACACATATTGCAATTAACTTTCTCTCAGTCTATCACTTGTCTGTTTGTCCTTTATTGAGCCCAAATCTTTAAGCTGGATGTGCCCAAATCCATCTTAAGTTCTTCCTTTAATGGTTTAGACTTAGAAGGTATTGAGGTAATAGAGGTAGCCTCTTAAATTTCTCCCCCCGTTAGTTTTATAGTTTTACCTCTTGCATTTAGGTCTGTGATCCATCTGAACTTTATTTTTTTTTTTTGTATACACAGTGAGTAGGGTTCTAAATTAATTTTTCTACATATCATAAGAAAATAGATTATGTAATCCATCCTTTCGCCAGTGATTTGTAATACTACCTCCAGCACAACACAGTGCTCCCACACATGCCTGGCTTAATCTCTGTCTTCTGCCTTCTGAGTTGCTGTTCTTCATCACTGCACAGGATGTATCATTAGTAATTTGTTGTGGTTAAGACCTGAGTAATGAAATATGCGAGTGGTTTACTTTTTAGATGTGAAATTAGAGAAGATTCGAAGTTGTCCCGTGATAACAGTGCTTTTGTTCATTTGCTTCTGATATGCTTTCTTAAGCGGGGTGAAGGGAGGGGCTGTAGTTAGTGTGTCCGGAGTTGTTGCACATGGGAGCTTCTTTCAGCAAGATGATCTCAGCAGGCCAAAGAGTGAGACCCTGCACAGTGGCCTTTGAATACCTGAGCTTGGTGCTAATTAACTGCATAGCTTAGGGCAAGTCACAGCTTTTTGGAGTCTTAATTTCTTCATTTGCATAATGGGAACAATAATGCCTGTAGTGACAAGCTTGCAGAATAACTTTGAAGGTCAAATAAGATAACATCTATGAAAGTACCTTGTAAACGAACAACGGTATATACAAGTATAAGGTAATATCACTAATAATGATCATTCCTATTTCAGTGCTAACATTTCCTCCCTCTAATGGCTCACCTGCCAAACTCAAGTCAGTTTTATGATAAAGTGTACAAAAATGAAGGAAAAAAATCCAAATGGGCCATGTCCCTGCCTAGTTAATTTTCCATTTATATGTATTTCTTTTAAATAGTATTAAGTTTAAAAATTAACCGTTTTGAATGGAGATAAAATAGGATGACCAAGGCCACTGGAGACCCACCAGAGTCCCCACAACCTGCACCCTTTTTAAACTCCTTCCCTTCTGTCCATCCCCACAGCGCTGCAAGCTGGAGGCTGCGGTGGCCCAGTCTGAGCAGCAGGGTGAGGCAGCCCTCAGCAATGCCCACTGCAAGCTGGCTGAGCTGGAGGACGCCCTGCAGAAGGCCAAGCAGGACATGGCCTGCATGCTCAAGCAGTACCAGGAGGTGATGAACTCCAAGCTGGGCTTGGACGTGGAGATCGCCACTTATCGCAAACTGCTGGAGGGTGAGGAGATCCGGTGAGGACAGGGGCTCCAGGGTCCCTTCAGGTTCCTACTCAGAGCTGGACTGAAATATTCCAGGCAGAGAATGTTCAAACTGGGAAAGACTCTAGAAATCATGGACTCCAACCATGTCCCCATTTTGCAGATAGGGAAACTGACATCAGAGAGGGGAAGGGGCTTGCCCAAGAGCACAGCCAGTTAATGGCTCACCTAAAATGTACCAGTCTCTGGGCTGGCCACCAATGCTCTTCTCCCTCCTGCACGGCCCCTCAGGCTGGAATCTGGATCTCATTCCAAGGCCACTACTTTACCCTCTTGACTGAAAGGATGTTTCTGCAATCAGCTTCAGTGGGTTCTTAAAGCTGGAATCATTCAGAAAATTAGTTAAAGGCCATTTGATTTGGGATGTGCAAAGAATCCTATCAACCTAGATAGCCTGGTGTTCAGGACCAGGGAATAGAAATGAGCGGCACAAGTTCTGTCCTTGCAAAGGAAGACAAGACAGACATACATCAGTCCTCCAGAGCCTGGGGTTAGTGGCCCAGGGAAGCTGTCACAGAAGGAGGCTGCCTTCTCAACAGCTGAGGAGAAGCTATGCTGACAATTTGAGCCAAGAATTGAGGGCAGGTGAAGCCAGTGTGGGGCAGAGTGATGCGTATTTACACCTGGGATGGTTGCATGGTCCTCTGGACTTGGGACGGCCACATCGTTAGAGTTTCTAGCTGGGTCCCTTCAGGGCGGGGAGGCTAGACTGGGTAGTAGAGTATACAGGTGAAGAGCACAGGCCATGAGCCCACTCTGGGTTCAAATCCCAGCTCTGCCACTTATTAGCATGTGACCTCTTTGTACCTCAGCATCTTCAGCTGTAAAACAGAGATAATCACAAAATCCACCTTGTAAGGCTGTTGCAGGATTAAGTGAGTTTTAATGGAACATAGTAAGCCCCAGTAGGAGGAGGTGATTGTCATGAGATGATGGCCAGGCTGGGCTGCCCCCATGAAGAGGGAACTCAAAGGCCTGGTTGGCTTTGGAAACCTTCCATGAAGCGTCACTGATGGCAGCCCGGCCACGCTGCTGGACTTGCTCCATGCTTGGCTCAAGCACACACACTTTTCTGCCAGCTTCCTTGGGGCTTTGGGTGAAGCCACTGGAGTTCTGTCTGCATTCGGATACTTAAGCCCCCAACCCACTCACTAGCATTCAGTGAGCAGCTGGCACTTGCACTGATTTTCATTATGATACTAATAATTAATGGATTAATAACTCAATCAGAATTATTAGTACACATCCCCTATCCATGTGATTTTAAAGTCAATTTAGCATATTGTGCTATGTGTACTGTGGCCATTGACCTTTTAAGAGACTGCCTCCTCTTGGCATTTAAAATATTTAATTTAATTACATAAGTAATGCTCGCTGCTGCCAATACAGAAAATAAGAAAACAAAAGCATTCAGAGCCACTCAACTCAGAGATAGCTGTCGCCAGCATTGTGGTTTGACAGGCACCACCACGGGCACTGTGGGTTCCTTGAAAGGGCACAGTCGTAAGGCTGTGGCAATGCCAGACTGAGTGGCAGGAAACCGAGCCAGATGTGTACATCCTCACTCAAAAGATGAGTGAAGAAGTGTTTTGAGCTGGGCAGAATGAGGCAGGGTAGAGCTTTCCTGGGGAAAAAGGTTTGAAGTGGGAAGCTACAAAAGGGGAGACAGAACAGAAAGTGCAGAGAGGTGTGAGGGAGGAGGGAGTGTTTATAAAAAGCCCACTGTAGTGGTATATATGTCTCATCATAAATAATATCCACATATTTTTTGAGACAGAGTCTCACTCTGTTGCCCAGGCTGGAGTGCAGTGGTGCAATCTTGGCTCATTGCAAACTCCTCTTCCCGGATTCGAGTGATTCTCCTGCCTCAGCCTCCCAAGTAGCTGGGACTACAAGTGCCTGCCACCATGCCTGGCTAATTTTTGTATTTTTAGTATAAAAAGGGTTTCGCCACGTTGGCCAGCCTAGTCTCGAATTCCTAGGCTCAAGTGATCCACCTCCCTCAGTCTCCCAAGGTGCTGGGATTACAAAAATGAATTGTTTATAATGTTGGTAGCAAACATATTGGATTTCCTTACTATGTGCCAGTCTCCATTTTAGGCACTTTCCATGTAGAACTCAATCGAACTTTACAATAATCCTTTCAGGCAGGTATTATCACCCCCATTTTATGCTGGAGAAATTGAGGCACAGAAAGGTTAAGCGACCTGCCCAAGATCACCCAGCTAGTAAGCCGCACAGCCAGATTTAAGTCCAGGCAGCCTGGCTTGAGAGTCCAGGCTCTTAACCACACCATACTCTTCAGCCTCCCTCTGCATTGAATGAAATCAGATAGATGTCTGGGGTACCATTTAAAATCATGGTATAAAAATGAATCTGTTTGAGTAATAGGCAAGCTTTTTCCTGCTCAGAGACGTCTAGCTAGGTAGCAGCAGCTTCCATCACCACTTTGGCTTTGCTGGCATTTCCAGCCAAGGGACCAGGAGGATGCCCCCCTCATCTCTACTTCCCAGTTCACCAAATTTCCATGGCTGAAAGCCAAACATGGCATAAAGTGGCATTTTGGATCCTGTAAGCTAACATACTCCTGTCCTTTTGGGATCCCAGCAAGCAGGACCAACACTGATGCTGTCTGCAGCAGGTGGGTAGCTTCCCCCTGCCTCTTAGGGCCCTTCTTCTCCTTCAGCATGGAGGAGAATAGGTTTGGTGCAAAAGCAGAGGAACTCAGCACTAACCGTACACTCTCTCCTCTCCCTGCAGGCTGTGTGAAGGCGTGGGCTCAGTCAATATCTGTAAGTTGGGTGTGTGTGGGCATGGCTTTCTGGGGTTTCAGCAATCTTAGTATTAGATTGCATCTAACTGATGACCAAGCCTCTGTCTATGGAGTGGTAGACAAGGGACTCCTGAGCTGATGTCTCTGGGATCCAGACAAACTGATGACCTCAAATATTTGACCATACATGGATCCATCTGGAACACCCATGAAGTCTAAGTTAATGAATGGTGCAAATTCTGAACCCCTATTTGGTTCTGCAAAAATAGCTTAAGCCTTTTAGTTACACACAGAATACTACTCAAGTGGTAGCATGTTCTAGTAAGAAAAAAAGCTAGGTTTATATTCTGATCATGTGGGTCTCTGCAGGCAACTTGTAAATCTCTATCTAATAATCCAATGTACACACAGCCCCTGGGCCAGGTGTCTGATTCCCATCCCTCCATTCCCCTCACCTCTCTAGCAACCATATTTCTAGATGACTCCTCTAGTGTGATCTATCAGTTTTTGCTCAAAGATTGTATGAACATGTCTCAACATCAGCCTGGTCCAAGTAGAGTTTGGTGTGCAATTTGCTAACCACACTCCTGAAGAAGCAGATGGCAGTGGGTTCAGGTTTGCCTGTAGTTTAAAAAGACTCATGTTGCTGGTCCCTCAGAGAAGGAAGATAATTAATCATTGGTTCTAAAGGATTCTGGGTCATAACATGTCTGAGATGGAAGAGAATTCTGACCTGTGTCTCTGTCCACATGTGTGAGCCATTCCCAGGGTGGTGTGGTCTGCGGGGACCTGGACTCCACTGCCTCCTGTGGCTCAGGGGGTGTGGCCATCAGCAGTGGTGCACTGTGTTGCCCCTCTGCAGTGGGGGCCTGCTCCAGTGCCCAATCTGTGCGGTTTGCATAGAGGGGGTGGGACTCTGGACGGACCTGTTCTGATGGGGGCAGTGTGGGTTGGGGAGTGGAAATCTTTTCTCTTGCATGACCAAATGTCAGTTTAGTAATTTCCCCTTACAGAGAACCCAGAACTAACTCTCCTGTTTCCTTCTTATTGGAGTTAACAATTTACTTTCTCTGTGTAAACCCTGGGTTTGACATTATTTTCACTTCCATTGCTTCTCCCCTTCCCTGTGGTTCAGGAATGAAATAGAAAGGCTTTTTTTTGAATGAATTTCTCGGTCATTGTCTTCCCCAATTAACTTCAGGCCAGCAGATGTTAAATTAAGTCCTGACTGTGTGCCAGATCCTCTTGGAACGGAGCCAGCTAGAGGGTGTGGAGTATGTGGGAACATCTCTGCGCTTTGCCCTCGGATGACAGGGGCTCCAGATGCTGCCTCAGCATGGAAGGGTGGTGTGGGTGTGGAGCTGGGCTCCTCACTTGCTCTGAGAGATTGTATATTCCCAGAGTCCCCCAACTATTCATATGTCCAGATTGAAAGACTGACGGAGGCTAATCAGCTGGGTTTATACTGTTTGTTGCCTGGAAGTTCATTGTATTTGCATGATTCCTGTATGGTTCCTTCTTTCTTTTGGTGTGCTTGATTAAATATCAATGGCGAAAGGCTTTTTCTTAGTAACCAAGTTAATGCCTGCCTCCTTCATTGTCTTCCCAACCCACCCAAAGCCCTGACTGTCTTGGTGCATCTCACAATGTGGTCCACCGACCACCACCTGCATCAGAATCCCTGTGGGGTAGTTGCTAAATGTGCAGATCCTGGGCTCCATCTGGAACTCTCAATCAAAAGTTCTAGGGATGAGCCCAGGAATCTGTATTTTAAGAAGCTTCCAGGTGATTCCTAGAAGAACTAAAGCTTGAGAACCACAGGTTGATGTGGGTAGAGGGAAGAGGAGGGTCGGATAATTCTGGCCATGGAAGTGACTGTCCCTCTGATTCTCACTGGATCGGTCTAGCCCCTTTGCATTTCTCCTTTGTCTGCGGCTAAAAGGTCAGAGCCATGGTCTGGGCCACACACACACCAGGGCAAGGTGGGGGCAAAGGTACAAAAGGGGTGAGGAAGGGAGCCTGTATTTGTTAAACACCTGCTAGGTGTCTGGCACATTATATATGTATTTCATTAATTTCTCACAGCAACCAGAATATTATCCTCATTTTACGTATAAATAAATTAAGGCTCAAAGAAGTAGCTTTACTAAGTTACCCAGCTAGTCCAGAATTCAAACTCATGTCTAGGGAATGCTGCTGTTCATAAATGTTTCCACAGCATTTCCCTAATTGCTCCTCAGGCTAAACATTCCGGCTCATCAGATGCTTCCGGAGGAGTTCTGCCTGATGCTCCTTCACCAGCTGTCTGACACTTTGGAGATGAGATGGAAGGTGACACATGGGACCTCCTAGAAGCATTTGTAGAAACATCTCCCCGTAGGTTCTGTTCTCCAAGAATCTCGGACAGATCGTACCACGGGGCGGTTAATACAAGCCTTTTATATGGGAACCCAAGATCAAAGCTCAGACACGTGGTTGGAAGGCATTTGCCCTGATAACCTGGTCAGAGGCAATTGATTGGTGAACTGTATGTCTGGCCTACTCTTGAACTGACAGTTCCCTAGAAGTCCTACCTAGGGCTGTCTCACCTGTATGTGATGAATGGAGACAGGGGTTTCTGAAGGTCAACTTTCTTTCACTTGTTGTACAGGAAGAACTATTTCTCCCACCTTATTTTATTTGGAACTTTTTTTTTTTTAAGCCTGACTGGGTAGGAAACATTTTGCCACAAGAATGCATATCTGATCTCATGACATAGAAAAGTCTTTAAAAGGTTTTTTTTTTCTTTTCTTTTCCATGGTGCTCACGCACATT
This sequence comes from Homo sapiens, assembly GCF_000001405.40. Lineage (NCBI taxonomy): Eukaryota > Metazoa > Chordata > Mammalia > Primates > Hominidae > Homo > Homo sapiens. The sequence goes on from NC_000012.12 coordinate 52,355,948, forward strand.
GCCAAACCTTCTGGTACCAGCTCCGGACCTGCCAAGGCAATGGCTTGGCACCCCGGCCTAGGGGTGGAGTCTGGGGGAGCAGGGCCTGGCCTTTTGACTACCTGCGGGTTCGCTCCCCACATCCCATTCACTGCAGACGGGCGACCCCCGAGGGTCTTTATAAAACCTCTGTGCCAGGACGCACTAGGCACCTAGACTTCGGAGAGGAGGGCGCCGACCCCGGCCACGGTGCTATGGGCATGTCACGGGGCAGCCCTGAGCAGCCAATAACCCCCAAACACCCTGCCCACTACCCCAAAACGGCGGGCAGGTGGCGCCCAGCTCGCCCTCCCGTCCCTCCCGGCGCCCAGCCCCTAGGCCCCTCACCACTGGGGTTAGAGGCTAAGGGCGGGACGCGGGGCGTCTCGGGCAGGGGTGAAGGAGGGCAGCCGGGGCCCAGGCGTGGAGGGCGGGCGCGTTTGAGAGAGGCGCAGGCGGCGGGATCCCGGCGGACGGCAGAAGACTCAGGAACCAGTCCAGAGGCGCCGAGGCGCGAACCTTGCGTGAGCCAAGGACCCAAGGCCCCTGTGGATCTGATCCCGCGGGCTCCAGCAGGGCCCGCGCCGTGCATCTGGAGATGGGCCCAGGATACCCGGTGGCTGGACGTGACGGTGGGCAGGCAGGCAGGGCAGGGCACGGGGCGACCCGTGAGCAAAGCGAGGGTGGGGGTAGGAGGGGTGTGGCCCCTGACTCTCGTGGGTGGGGAGATGGGGGACAACGGTGGCCTCAACGGGAGACGGGGCCAAAGTGGGGACCTGCAGGGAGGACCTGCAGGCCCCTTGTTACACTGTAAACTGTCCCCACCCAGGTGGCCTGCGGACCACCGAGGCTGAGGAAGTCCTGCTGGCCTGGACGGTGACTCGCCTTCCCATCCCGAGTCTCTCGCATCCAGAGGGCCAGCACTGCACGGGCGACATAACAGAGAAGAGCCTTTGAATGGTTCTCCTCGGCCACGCAGTTCTTCTGATGTCTTCAGACTCTGTTTCAGTGACCACAATGGCCAGGCAGTGACTTGACCTGGGCGGACAGAGGTCTATCTTAGTAGGGTGGTGCTTCCCTTGTCTCTGTCTCCCGGACCAAAGGGTCTTGCAGGGGCCTGCCCATCACAGTCCGGATCCCACCAAGTTTGAGCAGCAGTAAAGCCAGGTTAAAAGGGTCACCAGAGTGACTCTGAGGAGGAAACGGTGTCTCAGGGGGCATTGGCTGCCCTGGGGCATGGGACTGTGGACTGGGGAAGGGTCTGTGTTTCCTTTTGATGGTGGTGGAGGGTGGCTATTTGTCTATGAATGCCTTGGGTATTTTCTTCATTTTTAATGCGTAAGCTTATCATGCTGTCCCCGCCTCACCCCACTCCCTGGCTGCTCCCCTGCCAACATGGGGGAGCCCTCGGTTTTTGAACAAAGCGGAAATGAGCAGGGATTTCCAGGCATGCACAGGTTGGGGGTTGGGGGTTGGGGGAGGCAGGAAGGTGGCCTGAGGCTCTGTGAAATAAGCCTCTCCCATTGCTTGTTCTGCCTGGCATGTCCCTACACCCAAGGAGTGTGGCGCTTAGTGCCCATGTCGTTGTTGCTCTGATCCTCAATGAGCAAAACACTTAGTACAGTCACTTCCTAATGCTCATGTTCCCAGAGAGAGACAGGAGTGTGAATAACCCAGACAAGGGGACATTAAGTCCCACATGGTCATGTCCGTGTCTACACAGAACATACTTGGTAATTTTCTTGATAATATGGTTAATTTGTGTTCCTCACTATGCTTGGCTAATGTGAGTAGTAACACAAAATTCTATTTTCTGAGATCCCAAAGATTGAAGCAGGGAACAGTTAGAGACACGGGCTGGGGGAAGGAACTCTCTTGGGCATAGGTGTTTGTGAGGATGGGTTGAAGCAGAGTGGGTTGAGAATTGGTGGTGGAGTGTTAGTGGTTTCAGGAGAAAGGAAAAGATGACAAATCCCAAGCGTACCTGTTTCTTTGAACAGGTTATTATCCATACTTCTAATCCTCTGGAAGCTTTGTGTGTTTGTGGGGAAGGATATCACTAACATTTACATAAGAATTGAATACAGACAGCAGGTCTGATTTTCTCTGATGCTGGTGTTAGCTTGGTTTGTGATGTTTCTAAGCAGGAAGGAGCCCAGGGCAGAGATCTGGGATCACTCCCATGGCCCACTTTATTGTTTGGGCCTCTTGAACTTCTGGCTTTTCCTCGATCTCTCAATTTCAGGTCACTTGACTTCTTCAGAATTTTTTCTTTCTAATAAAATGTTAATCCTTAGTTACCCTTGGACTGTACCCTTTGCATTCCGAGGGGAATAGTTCTTTGATCAGGAGAGAGCTGCAGGAGCCCCAGCATCCTTTGAGCCAGAAGAGCTTGCTGTGGTGGGTTTTTGCTGTTGGCTGCAAGGAGGGCTGGGGCAGAGGCTTACCTCCCCATAAGCAAAAGGCACCTCTGGCCAGCTGAATCTGTTGAATGGTATTTGCACACAAAGCACGGAAATGTATTAAAAAATTCATTCCTATCTCCCAGGTTCTGGCTGTTTGACTTTTCAATCCATGGTGCCGTTATTTTTTGGGTATCAGATTTGGCATTTTTGTTTTGCTCAGCCCAGATCCATGGTAACATGAAGCTGTTTTCCCCAAGCATAGACTCTCTGTAGCATCTCAGAACCATAGGAGGCAGCAGACCTGGTAAGGACTCTACCCACTCATCTCATAGACCCCAGACTGACATGCAAAGCATGAAAGCCACTTCCTGCCCAAGGACTCACCGAGACCTGGCAGTCTTGGCAGAATTGGGGCTCAAATTTCCATTTCCTGATGTTTCAGCCCCTGGGATTTAACGTTTCCTGTGGGTGAATGATGTCCCCTAAATTGAAAGTTGGCCTATTGTGATTGTCACCATGCCCTCAGGGCCCAAACAGCTGGGAAAAAGGAGGCAGCAGGCAAGAGACCTGGAGGAGGCCCGCCAGGTGTCAGCCAGCAAACCTCAAACAGAGCAGCAGCCTAAGCACTCAGAAGCAGCCAGCAGCCTCCAGTGGGGCTACAGCCCTTTGGGCCTAAAGTGAGGATGCACAAGGCCCTATCTTCTCCTCTCAGAGAAAGAGGCTGCAGGATGGGGCAGCAGGGGGCTGGCAGACACCTGCTTGATGACGGTGACAGCTAATGGGGAGATGGAGCTGAGGGCAAGAGGACTGGATGTCTCTACCTCCTGCTGCACCAGCTGCCTGCATTCATCCAGCACATCCCAGGCCTGGCATATCTTGGAGCCCCATCCTGGGACTCAGTGGGAGGTCAGAGCCAGGAGGAGATACTTCCTGTCCTTATGGAATTTCCAGCTTGATCCAGACACACCCGTTGACATCCCTGGCCCAGATCCGCAGAGACAAAACCAGAGATTCTCAGGGTTCCAGACACTATATGATGGGGGCGGGGGAGGGCTGGGGGGTGTAGGGGTGAGGGTGGTAGCTTTGGGGAGCAGAGGAGGGCCCTGAGCAAAGGCAAATGGGAGGAGGGATGTGGGATGGCCTATGTGTCCACAAGGGGTATGTAGGAGAGAGTGTCTCTGGGCTGCCTCAGAGGGTAGACTTGTCTCCTTGGGGTGGAGTCCATGACTGGGAGGATGAGCACCGCATGGAGGGGTTGGACAGGGCTGAGGAGTAGCTGGGGAAGGAGGTGACAGAGGAAGCCTGCATTTGGCATAAGAAGCACACACATGTGCCAGGAAGTGACTTGAGCCAGGCAGGAGAGGGTGAGAGCAGTGAGTTTGGGATGGAGTTTTGGCTGCTGGGAGTACGCAGGGTGGGTCAGGGAGAAAGAGGTCATTAGTGGGGAGCTGGGCTGTAGTCCAGGCCTGAGGGGACTGAGGGCGACTGAGTGGAATCAGACTGTGGAAGTGGACAGGAAGCAGCAGAGTTTCTGGGGGGTGACTGGGGAAACACTGCATGGGGCTGGACTGGGATTGGTCATCTGGAGATGAGGCAAGAAGGGAGTGGAGAAGTTGCTCACAAGACCACACGCTCTTGCATTGCAGCGGCATTTATTGAAACACAGATCGAGACAACCCAGAAGGCAATGCACCCATAGACAGTCACAAGAAGGAGACCCAGGAAGTGGCTTAACTCTCTGTCCCGCCAGCTCTGCATTGGACAGTCCCCACCTGCACCCAGCAAGGGGGCATCTGGAGCAGCCATGGAGTCTTCTTTGAAATGTACAAAGGTTCACTGAATAGCAAGACCTGTCCAAAGTGCCCTAACCAGGGGCTGTAGGCAAAAGGATGCCCCACGATAATGGGCTTCTCAACTGCGAGGTCACATGAGGAGCCTGGCTGGAACAGGTTAGCCCAGAAGCAGGAAGGCAGTCTGAGAGAGAAGCAAAACATGAACAGGAATGAACAGGCAAGTGCTTGCTGGGGGACCATTCTTCCCAGCCAGGAGGAGGGGGCTGCTGGGGAGGGACTTTCTCCCTGATTCTCGGGTTGTGGGTGGCCTGGCTGGATGGTTAGGATGGCGCCTCCACCCAGAAGGTGGAGCTTCCGTGCTGACCACCACGCTGGGGGACTGGTCTTGTCCCTGAGAGCTGGGGGAATAATACAAATTGGATACAGGTATTTTGGAGCTAAGTAGGAGTTAAGTGAAGGGCTGGGAATGCCTCTGAAAACAGCTGCCAGGAGGACAACTAGGATGCATCTCCCTAGCATGAAAAGGCGCAGGGGAGCGGCCCGAGGGTCTTTCCCTCTGTAGGTCTTTCCCTCTGTAGGAACATCCAGAAGATTCTGGAAGCAAGCACACATTTTCCATTCACATGCCATTCAGTGCAGTGATGCAGGCAGGCAGGTGCTTGGCAGGAAGCCCTGGCTCCATGACTCTACTAGGCAAAGCGGACCGACCGGCTACTCCCGCAGCTGAAGCTGGAGGAACGAGGCTGGCAGGGGGCACAGGAGTCAGGGGCCACCACCGTGATGCTGCCGCCTATGGCTGAGGGGCCAGAAGTGATCTGGCGCCCTGGGGTGGTGCTGTAGGAGAGGCCCCCACAGGAGACTCCACCACGGGAGCTGCTGACACCTGTGGAGAGAGGAGACATGGAGGGGTGAGCAGCTCCCTGCAATCTCACCCACCCTACAACAGGCCCCAGGGCACTGCAGGAGCTGCCTCCCTCTCCAAGGAATTGGTGGTCAACAATGCAGGCCCTGTCCCTGAGATGCACAGCCCATCTAGGGAACTGGGGCAGGAAGGAAGTGAGGACCCCTGGACCCCGGGGAGCAAAGCTGCCAGGCCACAGGTCCATGGCCTATAGCTCACTGTCAACACTTGCGAAGAGCACTCAGCTCAGCTTTCTCTAACACCTGTCATGGCCCCCACTGAGGAGCCAGGGGAGGGTGAAACAGTTGGGGGAACACTCGAGGCTCCATGGGTTAGGCCAATGAGTTCAGCTTTTCTATCAAAAAAGCCATTTTTCCAGGAGAATTTCAGGCAGATACTCACAGACATTCACAGAGCCCACACCTTCACACAGCCTATGGAGAAAGAAAACTCTGTTAGTTCCAGACACTGAGTTGGATTCCTTGAGACTGATGGTTGCTTGGGGACAGAGAGGGTCATCCTGTGTACAGAGTCTACCCCTGAAAGGCAAGAAGGGCTCCCTCAAATCTGCATTAAATGCTTTCTTTCTTTGATGGTTTTAACCATGAAGACAAGGCTTTCTGATTTTCAGCAGCAGTGGGTAAGATTATGAACAGTGCCCCTAGTTTGAGTGATGGTGGCCAGCCTGGATGGTGCCAATCAAGCTCACAGGAAGGAGAGTTGAATCAGATACACCAGGGTGTGAAGGGGCTTTGTGGTTGATGAAGAGCTAAATGCATATAGAAGTGCATCATCATCATAACACACAGGCCTGTGTGGCAGCAGCTTCAGTAGGAAGCTATTCAACAAGGACGGATTTGGGAGGCATGAGACTTGGGTGCAGGTCCCAGCTCTTCTGCTTATTAACTGCGTAGCCATGATAAAGGCACTGAATTCTGAGCCTGCTTCTTTATCTAAAGATAAAAAGATGGGAAAAACCATATCTATCTTATTGGATTGTGAGGATTATAAAATAAACACTTAGCACAGGTCTAGCACAGAAGCATTCAGTTATTATTATTATTATTATTGAAGCTATTGTATTAGCCATGGCCAGAGTTGTAGCTCACACTCAGCTCAAGGAAATTCACTCCTGGAGGACCACAGCCTCCACCTCTGAAACCCCACAAAGTCCTCTTAGCCCCACCTGTGTTCCTCGCCCTCCAGCAGGCGCCTGTAGGTGGCGATCTCGATGTCCAGGCCCAGCTTGGAGTTCATCACCTCCTGGTACTCCTTGAGCAGGCAGGCCATGTCCTGCTTGGCCTTCTGCAGGGCGCCCTCCAGCTCAGCCAGCTTGCAGCGGGCATCGCTGAGGGCCGCCTCACCCTGCTGCTCTGCCTCAGCCACAGCAGCCTCCAGCTTGGCACGCTATCAGGTGGAGATACAAGGGCCAGGATGAGAAAGAGAAGCCACAGCTTGGCTCACCCAAGCTGATGGAGCCAGGGCAGGGAGAGGAGGGTCCTGGAGAGAAGGTTGGCCCGTGGCCAGGTAGTTAATGGGGCTGTGAATATGAGGGAGGAGATGGGTGGGCTTTTCATCATCTCTCCTTGATGGCGGTCACAGGGTGGCCAAGGAAGGGGCTGGATCCTCCTTTGGAAGTCAGTGACATGGTCTGATTGCTGTGAAATATGATAGAGCCCCTCCCTTCCCTCTGGGTCCCTGCTTCCTCATGGGCACACTGTGAAGCCTGATTAGGGCCAGGTGCTGCAGCCTGCCTGTGCTGCGTATTTGAATCCTCCACAGACCCCACCTGGCACTTGGCATTCTCAATCTCGGCCGTCAGCCTCTGGATCATGCGGTTCAGCTCGTTGATCTCCTCCTTGGTGCGGCGCAGGGTCTCCCCATGCCTGATCACCGTGGCCTTCATCTCCTCACACTGGAGGAAGTAGAGATGCTCATGAGGCTCAGGGTGGGGCCCCCCATCCATTCAGGACACCACAGATGACTATACAGGTTGTACGGTGCTCAGCCTGTGCAACCACACATGGCAGTCCTGCCCTGCCACTTCAACCTGAGAACTACTGGCTTTTCTCATACTGTCCTCATGGGTCAGAATCCCCAGGCAAGAGAAATCTTTTCTAATAGATGCCTAACTTCCCTCCCACTGCCATGCTTAGCAGGCAGGTGTCCTGTGCCACTCACCTTGCTACGGTACCAGGACTCAGCCTCGGCCCGGCTGCGGCTGGCAACATCGTCATACTGAGCCTTGATCTCAGCGATGATGCAGTCCATGTTCAGGTCTCGGCTGTTGTCCATCTTGACTATGACCGAGGTGTCTGAGATGTGGGCTTGGAGAACGCGGATCTCCTGTGGGGCCAACAGCCAGTGCATTTGCTTCTAGTGCCTGATCTGGGCCACGTGATCCACCCCAGGGGACAATGTCCACTTCCCAGACCGGGCACTGGTCATGAAGGTTACATGACTCCTGCTCCTACCACCTTCACTCATGCACAGGCTCCTTAAAAACAACAAAGCTGAAAGGGGCTGTAGAGGCCATCTGGGAACAGTGTCTGCCTTAAAAGTGGGAAAACTGAGGCCCAGAGGGTGAAAAAGATCTGGTCCAAAGTCACCCAGCAGGGGAGCTGGGGTTTGGAGGCTAGGATGAGTGATTAGTCAGTCCATTAATGAGGACCATGCCCTATGTGCGAAGCCATCCTGACCCCCACCACACATGCACACTCTCTTGCCCATCTGTAGACTGGCACTCACACAGGCAGCACACCAACATGCAGAGAGGTCACAGACACAGAGCAGCCCAAGAACATGTACACCCCATGCTCCTCTCACACATGAACGTGGACATGGCCTCTGTATTGTGGGCCCCAGCACGTATGTGCAAGCTCTTTTCACACTTACATTGCACATTGGCAAACATAGGCACACACATGCACCCTTGCCTCACTGCTCCCCTGTCTCCAAAACACCCCTCCACCTGCCCTGGCTGGGTGGCAGTTGCCCCCTTACCTCTTCATAGAGGCGCCTCAGGAAGCTAGACTCCTCCACCAGGGCCTCCACATTGGCCTCCAGGTCTGATTTCCGCAGGTAGGCACAGTCCACGTCCTGGCCGTGGGACAAAGAGGAGGGGACATGCATGTGAGAGGAGACCAAAGAAAGGTGCCTTTGGTCAGCATGGTGACCCTGCCCCTCGCTGGAGTTTGCACTGATGGGCCCCCTCCTCCTTGCCCCATGACCAGCCCCTCACCTTCTTTAGAACGACAAACTCATTCTCTGCTGTGGCTCTCAGGGCCACCTCCTCTTCATACCTGGGTGTGGGAGAGAGAAGGTCTGGAGCTGAGAAACTGGACCTTGAATACCATCCCAACTCCTGGGCAAGTTCTTCCGGGGATTGAAAAGGGATTAATCCCCTCCAGATGTTGTCTTGGCCCCTCCAGGATCTATTTTTTGTATTATTCATGGGCCAGCCCTTGTCCTAGCCTGGCTTCATTCCGCCGCAGTCCTTCTGCCTCTGAGATGGGGTTAGGAATGCACATTCCTTCCCCCAAGTCTAAAATCATCTGTGCATCCTAGGTCCCAAGAGAGCTGGTTCCATTGGCAGGGAGATCACAGAGCCCATGTCATAAAGGTAAGCTGTGAAGGACAGGGACATAGAGAGTGCTAGAATTCCACTGGATTTCCTCTCTTCATTCCCCCAGAAGTAGCTCTAAGGCTCACAGGGGTGGAGTCTTAGAGGTGAATCCCAGGAATCTGAAGAAATCTAGGCCCCACTGGATATCTGCTCTGGGTTCCAGGCAGCCTGCTAGAGGAATCTGAAAGAAGCTGTGGCAAGAGGGCTATGGGCAGAGCCTCCCAGCATTCTCTCTGAGTTTCCCCTGAGTCCCCCCAGCTTGCTGCACTCACTTCTTCTTGTAGCCCTCCAGCACCTCCTGCACATGGTTGAGCTCTGAGGCCAGCCTCCCGCTGTCGGCCTCCACGCACTCGGCCTCCCGCCGCAGAGTCTCGATGTAGCCACTGAACAGTGGCTCCAGGTTGCTCTCGCAGCAGCGCTGGTTCTGGTAGAACTGCCACTTGGTCTCCAGCAGCTTGTTCTGCTGCTCCAGGAAGCGCACCTGCCATTCAGGTGGAAAGAAGAAGTCAGAGGGAGCCTGGGGGGAGGCACCTGGTCCCCCACAGTCTCTCTGCCCTCGGGTGCTGGCTGAATGGGCTGAGCCATAAAGCTGAGTGTCTGCGGCTCAAGGGGCCCATTCCCAGGCCCCCAGGGAGGCAGTTGTGGGTGTGAGGGAAAGCAGTCTGACTCAAAGCCAAAGGTCTGTTTCGAGCCCCAGTTTTGATACTTTAGAGAGCAAGTTGTTTAACCTCCTGGGGCTCAGTTTTCTCCTTTCCAAAATGGAGCGAATAGTGTCTGTCTTAGCACTGTTGTGAAGCTTGAACAAGTTAATGCATATCAAGTGCTTAGAACAGTCCCTGACACGTAGTAAATGCTCAGTCTATTTAACTATTATTATAATTACCAGTTGCCCTTCACTTGCTCATTTATGCAACAAACACTTATTAAATATTTACTACTTAGTGCCAAGGCCTGTGGTAAGATATACACATCCATGTCTAATGTCTGTGTCTATGTCTATATCATCTAACTATGCATTCCATTCAATTATCACAGCCCTGTGGGATGTAGATATTACTTACCCCATGTTGCACATGGGGAAATTGAGACCCCCAAGGTGTGAAATGCCCAGCTCATGGTAAGCGATAGTCTTGAGATAGGCATGCTCTGCCTCCCCCTACAGCATGTCTGAGATGCTCGTATACACCCCCTTAGCTCCAAGTTGCTGTCTGATAAGTGGAGACGCTGATACCCACTCCAACCCGTCACTGTGAGGATGGACTCAGATCACTAAAGAAAGAGTGAAAACGTGAAGGTGACTGCCTCTGCCCCCAAACCCTGATCCTAGGCCCCCAAAGCTGCTCCTTCTGCTCTGCTAGAGGCCTGTGGACACAGGAGGAGCCTGTGAAGGAGGCTCCCAGCCTCCCCCGACAAAACTTTCTTGGGAGGCAGCCTCACAGCTATGCAGCGTTCTCCACACTCTGGCTGCATTAGGGGGCCTCCTCCTACCAGCCTGGCCACCTCCCTGTCTGCATTTCAGCCCTCTCTCATGAAGGGGCTGCCAGGCCTGGGTTGGCTGTCACACCTCCTCACCTACCACTGTCCTTGGAAAATAATGATAGTAGCAGCTAACATGTATTGAGTGCTGACTATTTGCCATCATGTTTCATGCATGGACTCATTAATTCCTCACAGGTGGATGAGGCAGTCCTGTTATTCAGCAGAGTAACCTGCCTGGGGTCTCACACTGCTGAGTGATGCAGCAAGGACTTGGGAGAGGCAGCATGGCTGTGGGCATTACCCCAGCCCCTTCACGGGCTGCCTGGCTAGGAGCCACAAGGTCTTTTGGTCTCCCCGTTATCTCCCACTCTTCCAGCACCTGCTGCCCAGTCTGGTTTTTCAGACACAGTTCTGATAGTCCTATGTCGTCTTGGCTCAAGAAACACACACACGCTCACACACATGTACACACTCACATGCATACACACACATATGCTCACACACATGTACACACACACATATACACACCACACACTAACATACGTACAGGCGCACACACCGCTACACACACACACATGTACACACACACACATGCACACACTTTGGATCACAGGCTCAATTTCTAGACCACACCTGGACCTCGTTAAATGCTGCGGGAGTTAAGTGATGGAAACTGACCCTTCCACCTGTATGGGTCTGCACGTCATTCCCTCTGCTGCCTCAAACCGGCAGCCATCCTGTCTCCTCAGCAGACTGGGACCTCCCCAAGGGAGGACAGGGCTGGAGGCTTCTCTGGGCCGTCTCAGGCCTCACCCACCTTGTCGATGAAGGCCGCGAACCTGCTGTTGAGGGACTTGATCTGCTCCTTCTCCTCCTGCTTCACGCACTGTGCGTTGGGGTCGATCTCCAGGTTGAGGGGCGTGAGGAGGCTCTCGTTGACCGACACGGTAGTGATGCATGGGGGGCTGGGTCCGCACACGCCCCCGGAGCGGTAGCCGAAGCTGCGTCCGCAGGAGCCGGCTCGGAAGCCACCTACAGCTATCCGGGGCCCGCAGGAGCCCAGGTTGCAGAGGCTGCGGCTGCCGAAGCCCGTCAGCCCTCGGTAGCAGGACACCCCTCGGTAGGGGGCGGCGCTGATGCAGCAGCGGTTGCCAGTTTTGGGGGCCACAGCTGAGCAGGAGCTGAAGTTCCTGGTGACCCCGCATCCTGAGCTGATCCTGTAGGAGCGGCACGACATCGTGTGAGGCTGAGCAGAGTCTGAGAGGCAGCGGAAGGTGGTGCGGGCGGCAGAGTGCGAGGCTCAGGATCCTTCTGCTCTCTCTGATCCTCCCTGGTCCTTTTATTGGTGGGGAGAGCTGGGGTTGGCTGCATAAAAGGAGTGGAAAGCCATTTTATGTTGTTTATGGGCTTGGGGAGTTTGCCAGCAACTCCCCACGGACTCATCTTAAAGGTGAGCTCAGCAGCGACTCTGGGGCTCCCTGAAGTCTTGAAGATGTTATTAAGGAGACTGCATTTGAACTTTTCATCTTCAAAGCTCGTTTACATACATTAAGTAATTAATTTTCTCACAGTCTTTCTGTGAGATGGCCTCAACCCACACTTGGAGACGGATTTGAACTCCACAACAGCCTGGGGGTGGCTGGGTTTGGGATACAGGCAGGAGCCATTGTCTCAAGGGAGAGGTTGGAGGGTCCTGGGTTAGGTGAGACTTGGGGGATCATTGCATTCATCTATCTGGTTCCACAGAGGACACATTCTCAAGTAAATCATTGCATTTCAGGGGCCAATAGGTCAGGCGAATCCCACCCCATCTAGGCAGCATTGCTTGGAAGGTGGTTCAGGACCAGAGCGGTCATTTTGACCATGCCCGTGCCAGGATAAAAGGCTGGGGCAGATGATCTCTTGGAACCTTCTGGATTCCAGCCCAGAAGGCGCTGGTCCAGAGCTTTCACTTCTCACCCAGCAAAAGTGCAAACCACAGAACTCTCAGTGGCCACAATAATGGCTACTTGCGGATTATGGGGAGACTCCCTCTAGCCACTTTCTTCCATTCGGTCAAAAGGATTGGAGAACTCAACCTTGGGATAACCTGGGGGCTATAAATTTGCTGTGGGCACCTTTGCTTTGCTCTTTAAGAAGAAACAGGTCATGTGAGTCTCCCTTCCCAGACCACCAGCTACAAGAGGTATTCCTTCTGTTGGCCAGCCCTTGAATTGTCATCCCTAGAGGAGTGTTTAGAGACTGCATTGCACAAAGCTGGAAGTGGGATAGTGGTTTATTCTTGTCTAAGGTGGCTATGACTTCTGGCTCCTGGGGGTTCTGGGAGCCCCATCCTTCTAGTTTCTGCTTCCCTGTGTGTCCTTGGGACACTTATTAGGATAACAAGTGCTATTCTTTTAATGTTTATGGAGTACAAACCTTGGGGATGTGGGTCTGCCCCCAGGAAGGTTAGCCAGACACCCAAGTGTTAGGAACTTAAGGAAGAAGAGCCGATGAGCTTCCTCAGAGGGTGACTCCTCCTCCAGGAAGCCTTCCATAACCAAACACTGCCATCATGCTGCTGTTCTCATAAGTCCTTCACGAAATGCCCTGTACTCTGTCCTGCATCTGCTCTAATCTCCACAGCCAGCTGACCTCACCCAGGACCTTCACCCAGGATCAGGCTGATCGATTCCCACCTCACCTCCACATTCCACATTGTTCTTCAGGGCAGGGTAGAGAGACCTTGGCAGCTGGTGGGGGAAGAGCAGGTGGTCTCACCAGCTGACCCTAGAACATATGCAGATCATAATCATCCATGGAAAAGCAACTGCGTTTGGCAACCCGGGCAATGGAATCAAAGCTGGAAGACCTGGTTCAAGGGCCAGTTTGGATCCTTCCTAGCTGTATGGTTTTGGAGGAAGTTCTTAAACTCTCTGAGCCTCTGTTTCCTTAACTGTAATGTGGATTCATCCTTACCTTCCCGGGCTGTTGGGAGGGTGAAGAGGATGATATGTGAGGGAAAGCTCTGTGTAAAGGAAAGGGACTGTTGCTTTCCACGAGAAACATTCCCACCTGCCTCACCCAGCAGAAAGGGCTGTTCCTTGCCCTGCCACAGCCTTCACCTCCTCTGCACATTTATGACTCCTTCACCCTTTCAAGACTGCTTTTAATGTTTTTTTTTTTAGTCTGATTTCACTTGTATAGCAATTTTGGGTGGAGTCTGGGGACAGAGAGAGGAGGCTGTATGGGGGAGCTCAGTGTGGGGCCTATTGCTGGGATACAGGGATGTTTGGACAGTGAGTTCACTGACTGACTGCCATGTAGACCTGGAGCTGGTGTGGTATGGGCCAAGAGGGATTCCTGGAGAAGGGTGGGGTCCGAACGTGGCAGGTAGAGGGGACTGAAAGCCCAGAAACACCTGCCTCTCTCCACAACTCCCGTAAGCCTCTGCCCTCCTCCAGGTTCTTAAAGATGATGGGACCAGAGACATTTCTCTTCCTTCTTGGGGGCAGGAGGTTTTGTCCTGGAGGGAGGCTCCTGTTTCAGCTGCTTTCCCTTGCACCCAACACACACCCCATCCAACCCTCCACCCTAAATGGGAAGGGAAGGTGGGGCCAGGGGATTCAGGAGTCTGGGGGTATTCCACTGTTTCCAGAGCTAAGATACCTCTACAGGACCAGCAGGTCTGTCCAGCCCAAGGGTATGAGCCCCTTCGAGGGTGTGCGGGGGTGAGACAGGCCCACCCTGCCCACAGGAATGTGCTCGTGCGTGCTGGGTGAAGCTTGCATCACTGCTGATGGCAGTGCTGAGCCCAGGGCTGGGGCTGGGGGCTTCCCAGGATGCTGTCCAGGTGGAGCTTCGGATTGGAGGAGCTGGACTGAGGGCAAAGCCTTGAGGGGAGCAGATTCCTTACGGGGCTGGCCCCAGGTGGTCCAGGGCCAGGGAGCAAGTCAGGCCAGGTGGATCTGGCACAGCTGCCCTGGAAAGACCTGGGCCTTTGCTTATGGTTCTACCCAGGGAGGACACAGAGAACACATAGCCTCCTGCCTGCCTCTAGCCATCACCCAACCACTCTGCCCAGTGGAACCCAAGTCGTTGCCCTGAGAGTCAGGATCTTTTGGGGGCTGGGAGCCCCATCTCCTTTCAGTGTCTCACCCTCATTCACTGTGCCCTCATTCACCTGTGCCCTATTGCATCCCTCTTCCTTCCACCAACCTTCTCCCTGTTACACCTTGGCCTGGAATGTCTCAGAATAGCTGCCTCTTCCAGGAAGGCTTTGTGAGCTCATCGGGGGAGGCTGTGATTTCTCCTCCCTGCTGTCTCATAAATGCCCTCTCTGGGGCTCCCCAGGTAACTCCATTTATCCCCTTCTACACTCTCTTGTCCTAAGGACTGTCACTCATCACCTCCTTTGGCTCTGTCCCCTCTTGTACCCTGCACCTTTTGAAGGCCCCATCTAGTTTCGGGAATCTGAAGAATCCACGACCTTCCCATAATTTAAACTGCTCCCAAGTGGCTTCTTCTTCCAGAAAGTCTTCAAGAACTACTTGAGGAGAGAAGTTCTTTACTCTACCCTGGAGCTCCAGGCAACCTCTGAGACCTCCTGTGAATCTGCTCCACTCCAGAGGTACATATTCTGGGGTTTTCTCAGAGGCCTCACTGCTCCCACCTCAGCCCCACTCTCAGGCGGTGCTTTTTACCTGAGCTGGGATGCTCCCTGGGGCAGCTGGCTCTCCCCAACCCCAGAGGCCCACTACCTCCCTTCCCTTCTGCTTTTTCTACTGTGCTAAAATCCCCTCCTTCCAGGAAGACTTCCTGGATTTGTCCAAAGACAGGAGGGTGCTGACACCTTCCCCATCCTGCACTGTCTGTCCTCCCAGTTTTGTGTTTGTGCCTGCCTGGGCTCTTGTGGGTTGTCTTCCCATCCCTCCTAGTGGGCTGGTCCCCCTCAGTCAGTCCTGATGGGCTCCCCATGGACAAGGCCTGCACAGCTGATTCAAACTGGGTACCGCCCTTTGCCTCTGCTGGCCACACTTTTATTATGCATCTAAGGCTACGCCACTGCCGCTGCTGAGACGCAGCTCTTGGAGGCTCTTCTTAGCCCTCTTTCCCTCTCTTTGACTTTCACAAGACTTGGGCATGATTCAGGGACCCTAAGTGAGAGAAAGGAGGGTCAGAGCAACTCTACGTTCTCCAGTGTGTCATGGCGGGGTTCCGTGCCCAGCTGACACAGCTGCTCCCTGGCCTGCTCCACGGCAACTCCAAGAAACTCCATTCTCCTCCCGAACTCTGTCCACGTGCCTTCCTATTGGCAGCATTCCCTGGTGCTTTGCTGTTTTCCATGGTTACTCGGGATCAGAGCAGTGGCTCAGTCGTTACAGAGCCTCTGATTTCAGGAATGTACTGCATGAATGGTTTTGAAATGTTTTCTTTCTTTTCTTTTTGGCAGTTGAGCCATCTCCCCAAATCCTAGGAGGAAAACAGCTATATAAAGCCATGTATTTACTTATGTAGTTATAGAATAGATAAGATTGACATGCTGGTCTCCCTGTTTGCCCCTGGCCCTCCAACTCCATTCTCAGCCGAGGAGAGTAAGCCCCGTAAAACATAAGTTGGATCATGTCTCTACCCTGCTCAAACACCCAATTCCCCATTTTGCTTGGAGTCCTAACAATGGCCAACAAGGCCCTGCACTGCCTGTCTGTGTTGTGGCCTTTGTCACCGGTCTCCCTGTGTTCAGCAACCACAGTGACCTCCCACTGGAGCACCAGGACAGGGTGCACTCCTGACTCAGGGCCTGTGCCCTGCTGTCTCTTCCACCCAAATGCTCCCCTGTCATCCAAGTGGCTTGCCCATTGCCTCCTGCAGGGCTTTGCCCCTATACCATCTCTCTGACCCTTTAAAAAAATGGCAACCTGCCCTCCACCCCAGGGCACTCTCCATCCAGCTTATCTTGCTCTTATTTATTTATTTTTCCATCACACTTAACACAGTCCAGAATTTACTTATTTATTCTATTTGTGGATTATTGTCTGTTTTTCCCATCACCCCAAAGTAAACTCCATGGAAGCAGAGATTTTGTCTGTTTTGTTCATTTTGTTCACCTAGAAAAGTGCTGGGAATATAGTAAGTGCTCAGTAAATATTGTTGACTGATGAATGTATAAATGAATGGCTATCTTGGATACTTTAGATATTTGAGGTTTGGCAGAAAATGACAGCTTGTGGGAAGCCTTGGCCCTTGAGCCCCGAGGAACACATGCAGTTTGAAAGCCATGGGACTAAGACCCCTCCCTGGCTCTTTCCTGCTTCAAGGCTGTGGTTTTCTGAATACCCATGGAGACAAAGAACACAGAACGGTGAAAACGGCTGGGTTGGGCTGGTGAGAAAGGAGATAGATTTATTTTTAAAAGCTGTTACTTATTGTTTTTATGTTTGTGTCCTAATTACAAATCTGGAGAAAAACAAAATGGTTTTACAAGACTCTAAGCTCCCTCCTCTCCTTGCTATATTGCACAAGCCAATCCTGCTGGTAGCCTGCTTTGAAAATCTCCTACGCCTTCTTGTCCGAAGTTGGTGGCCAGAAGAGGGCAGCAAATTCCCACAGCTGGCCTGGCAGCAGTTCAGTCGTGGCAGAAGCAGAGAAGGCCAGGGATCTGCCTGCAGCTGGCTCTGGTTTCCAGATCTTTGGAAGCTGGAGACAGTCCCTGACGCTTCTGCATCCACCTGTGGTTGGTACTGGAGTGGCTGAGCTGCTGACAAAGCTATTGTTCATTGACAAAAGAGAAACACCACCACCACCACCACTACTGAAGCAATTGTGTACCCACTGTGGGCCAGGTTGAGTGCCAAGCACCTTGGATTACCATTGCATGTCATCCCCACATCTCTTTGAGGTACGACATATTTTTCCATTTTACAAATGAGGCAAGAGGCGTATTGAGATTACGTGACAGGCAGAACAGCACAGTGGTGGTGAGCATGGGCTCAGGAGTCAGAGCTCCTGTGCCTCACCACTTATTTAACCTCTCTGGGCCTCAGTTTTGTCATCTGTCAAATGGGAAATAATAAAAGCACCTACCACCTAAGGATATTGAAAGAATAAAATGAGTTAACCTGTGAGAATTATTTGGAACACTACTCAGTTCAACATATGTTAGGTATTATTGTTACCTCTCATTACCTTTGGTCACGCAGCCAGTAAGTGGAAGACCTGGGATTGAACTCAGGTCTGCCTGTGCCCTTGTCCATGGGTTTGACCCCTATGTCATCTCTGGGAGATAACTGACATATTAATAATATTGAGTCTTCCAGCTCATTAACACAGTATATCTTTCTATTTATTTAAGTTTTCTTTGATTTCTTTCATTAATGTTTTGTAGTTTTCAGCATACAGATCCTCATATACTTTTTAAAGGTTTATGCCTAAGTATTTATCCTTTGGAATTAAATGGTACTATTGGAAATGATATTTCAACAATTTTTTAATTTCCATTGCTGGTGTATAGAAATACAATTGATTTCTGTATATTGACCTTGCATCCTGCAACCTTCCTAAAGTCACTTATTAGCTCTAGTAGATATTTAAATAAAGATTTCCTAGAATTTTCTATATAGAAAATGAAGACTTCTGAGCTGTATTTCTTCCTTTCCAACCTGTATATTTTTGCCTTAGTTCAGTGGCCAGGACAGCTTGTACAATACTAAGAGTGGTGTAAGCAGACTTCTTTATTTTGTATCTAATCTTAGAGAGAAAGCATTCAGTCTTTTACCATTAAGTATGCTGTCAGCTGTAGGTTTTTTTTTTTTTAGATTTCATTTGCCAGGCTAAGAAAGTTCCCTTCAATTTCTAGTTTGCTGAGAGTTCTCTCTCTTTTAAGCCAAGAATGGATGTTAAATTTTGTCAAATGCTTTTTCTGCATCTGTCAAGATAATTATACTGTTTCTCCTATTTAGTCTGTTGATATCATGAATTACATTAATAGACTTTTGAAAGTTGAACCAACCTTGCATTCCCAGGCTAAACTGTCATTGGTTATGATATACTATCCTTTCATTTGTTACTGTGCTTACTTTACTAATGCCTTGCTGAAGATTTTTTCATTTCTGTTCATTAAGGATACTAGTTTATAGCTTTCTTTTCTTATAATGTCATTGGGTTTTGGTGCAGGGTAATGCTGGTCTCAAAAAGAATTGAGACGTTTTCCCTTCTCTTATGTTTTCTGGAAGAGTTTGGGTTGAATTCTTTCTTAAATGTTTGGTAGAATTCACAAGTGAAAATGCTTAGGCCTGAATTCTTCTCTGTGGGAAGGTTTAAAACTGTACATTCAGTGCACACTTACTAGATATAGAGCTATTCAGGCAGGACTGGCTACATAATTTACAAGGTCTATCTTGGTGAATGTTCCCTATTATCACTTGAAAAGAATGTATACTTTTCTGTTTGGGGTGGTGTGCTCTATAAATGTCAAGTAAATGAGGTTGATTGAAAGTGACACAAATTACCAAAGACAGTGACAGTAGGCATTAAACTTTCCTTCTGTTAATCTGTCTTTGGTCATCTTAATTCACAGACTCCAAGCACTAAAACTAAGTGGGTAAAGGAAAGCTTTTTCTCCCTGACAGTGTGTTTCGACCATTTATGCTATATGTAATTATTAATATTGTTTTATTTAAGGTCTGTGATTTTATTATTTGTTTTCTTTTTGGCCTTTCTGATGTTTCTCTATTCTTTTTTATCTTCTTTGGATTATTTAGATATTAATATATTTTCCTTTGATCTATGACTTAAAAAACTTATTTATTATTATAATTATTCTTATTTTTGCAGAGAAAGGGTCTTCTGATATTACCAAGGCTGGTCTCGAACTTCTGTGCTCAAGTGATTCTCCTGCCTCAGCCTCCTACAGTGTTAAGATTGCAGGCGTCAGCCACCACGCCTGACCTCTATTGATTTTTGAGTGTATCTCTATGTATTACTTTTTAGTGGCTACTCTAGAGATACAATGTATGTAATCTACTTTTTCACAGTCTACTTAGAGGTGATATTTTATCACTTACGTTTACCTTCCCCAGTTTATGTGACAGTCATCATAGATATTGCATCTATATAAATTAAAACCCCATCACTAGTTATCATTTTTATTTTCAATAGTCATATACATTTTAAAGAACATAAAAGAAACAAAAATAAATTTTATATTTACCCAGATATTTACCATTTCTGTTGTTCTTCCTTTATTCCTGAAATTACGTTTCTCTCTGATATCGTTTCCTTTTAGAGCAAGTCTGCAAATGGCAAATTCTCTTAGTTTTCCTTCGTCTGAGAATGTCTTTTTGTTTCTTTGTTGGTTTTGTTTTCTTTTTGCCTTTGCTTCTGAAGGAGACTTTTGCTGGCTGTAGAATTCTGTGTTTACAGTCCCTCCCCCCTCCACAACCCTTGGCACTTTAAATGTGATGTGCCACCATCGTCTGTCTTTCATGGTTTCTGATGAGAAATCTATGATAATTTGAACGATTATTCCCCTATATGTAATGTGTTATTTTCCTCTAGCTTAAAAAAAACTTTAAAAAAATCTTATGTTCTCTTTATTCTTCAGATTGGATAATTTCTATTGATCTGTCTTCAAGTTATTGACTCTCCTTTGTCTACTTCTTTTTGTTATGGGCCCATCAATGACTTAAAAAATGTCAAATATTAAAATTGCCCCCAAGGGGTGTGTGTGACTTTGCACGTAGAAGATGAGGTGGGAAGTCATGAGCTCCTGGAAGCAGGAGGGCCAGTGGCTGGTGACCCCACCATCATGCAGGGCCTGAGGCTGTGAGCAGGGCAACCTCTACATCCTCAGGGTGCTGGCTGGGGTCTTGGCAATGCAGAACATATAAAAATGAGAGATGTGCTTCCTGCTCCCTCAGAAGAACTGTCTTGGAGTGAGGCTGACCAGCAAACCATTCCTACTATGAGACATGTGCCCCAATGGAGCTGTGCTGTTCGTGACTGTGCCTTGGCTGACTCCTGTCCCCACCTGACGCTATGTCTTGCACTCTATGCTATAGTCATGGCCAATTTCAACTCCAGGCAAATCCTCAAACTTCTGCTCTCTCCAACGTCTTGGTTTTTGCACATGCTGTTGTTGCCTCTGCTTGGGACACTTCTTCCTTCTTAGTATGGCTAATTCATCATCCTTCACACCTCTGCTGGGACATTATATCCTTCAGGAAGCATTTAATGTTGCCCCAAGTCTGGGCGGGGCCTCTTGTCTGGGTAGTACAGCATGAGTTCTGCTTTTAATATAGTACTTAGCATATTGAGTCAAGTGCTTATGCACTTGTCCATCTATCAGACATGTGCACTTGTCCATCTATCAGACAGGACTGTAAGCTCTTTGAGGGCCGGAATTGAATCTTGTCAATTACCATTTTCCCAGCATCATGCCTGGTATGTGGTAGGCACTTCTCAAATGTTTGTTGGATGAATAGACAAAAGATGAGAGGTGGGCAGTGGGCTGTGTGGAGGGGATGGCTGGAGGTGGAAGTCTACGGGCAGATCACACAGGGCTTGTATGCCATGTTAAGGAGCTTGGGCTATTTCTGGGAGGCAACGGGGAGCTACCGAAGGATATGAGCTGCGGGGAACCACAGTCAGTTTTTTATGTGAGAAAGGCCTTTCTAGCAGCATCGTGATGAATGAGTTGGATGGAGACACGAGTGGGAACAGAAAGACCAGGAAGGACCTATAATGAACTGATGAACTGGGGGAACTGAGGGTGGGTGAGACCTGGGGAGCAACAGATGGCAGGGTTCACTTTGGTCAGGGGAGGGTGCCTCTGAGCACAAGGCTATTCCCAGTGGTGGGGGGAAGTGGGCAGTGGGCTGGCTGCCACTTGTTTTTGGAGCCTTTGCTACCTCTCCTATGCCCTGCAGAACTGTCAGTCCCTCCAGCGAATGGCCTGGGCCCTCTTTCCTCAGTGCCTTCCCTGTGCCCAGGACACCAGTCTCTGCCCTACCTCAGCTAGGCAGGCTGTGATCTGGTGGAGTCTAGGAGGCAACTCCTCCAACCCCAGTGTGATCCAGAAGGAGAGGCCAGAGTCCCTGTGAGGTGAGCTTGGCAAGTTTATTGAAAACCCAGGAACACAAAGAGTAGTGCACACAGGCAGCCCACCCCACCCAACCCCCAGGCCTCCTTGGAGCTTGCAGACACAACCCTGCAGTGGACAGGGCTGGGCCTCACACCACGAGCAGGGGCAGGAGTACGGGGATCATTGCAAAGCCCGCCTGTCCGCCTGCACCCCACCTCGT
Organism: Homo sapiens; assembly: GCF_000001405.40. Taxonomy (NCBI): domain Eukaryota; kingdom Metazoa; phylum Chordata; class Mammalia; order Primates; family Hominidae; genus Homo; species Homo sapiens. The sequence continues at coordinate 52,377,448 of NC_000012.12, forward strand.
GGACTTGCATGCTGGAGTTACACCAACAACCCAGGAAGAGAAACAGCCGGAGAGAAGCCACTGGGAGAAAAGCCATCTCGGGGTTTAGGGAGCCTGGGGCCACCAAGGACTGGGATCCCCTTCATCAGGGAGAGAAGGAAAGAACCTTCTCCTACCAGAGAAAGGAAGAAGAAGGAAGTGAAGGATGTGGAGTTAAGGATGCCTGCAGTGTGGACGGTCAACTCCATTCTCCAAATTAACCCAAAGCCACGGGTGGTGAGGGCACTGGGTGGATTGTTGTTATTGCACGGAATGTGCATTTCTCCAGGCTGTTGCTGACAGGGAGAGGAGTGATCCAAAGGACAGAAATTGGGAGGCAGGGAGAAGCCAGCTTAGCTGGAACTGCTAATGGAGCATCTACATGGCAGAAAAATCCTCCAAGAGGACATGGGGCCAGGCAGAATAATCGGGGGAGTGCTAAGGGGTGGCTTCCTGGCAGAAAGGGGAGCTGGAGACCGTCAAGCCCAGAGCCCACGAACCCTGGGGGCAGAAGCAGGAGCCGTGGAGCTGGTTCTTCTCTGGGCAGCAGCTGTCTGGGGCTGGGCTCTCAGTACTTGGTCCGGCAGGAGGTGGTGGTGGACACAAAGCGGACGCTGGAGCTGCGGCCGCCGCTGCAGCTGCTGAAGCCCCCCTGGGTGGGCAGGGGGCAGGGGACGCTGGGGACACAGGCCTCGCTGATGAGCATGGAGCCACTCCTTGTGCCAGTGCTCAGCAGGTCCCCAGTGGCCGGGGCGACCCGGGCTCCACCCAGGCTGGGGCCACAGGAAGCCAGGACCCCACTGGTGGCACAGACGCTGCTGCTACCTGAGAAGGTGACCCCGCCGCGGGAGAGGGTGGAGCCGGCAACCAAAGGCTCAGGCCCGCACACCAGGCCGCCCCGGGAGCTGCTGACGGCTGCGGAGAAAGAAAGCATCAGGGAGGCTGCCGACACCAGGGCCCTCCACCTCCATGCTACCCCTGGGCTGCACCTCCGGGTCTGGTGGGGAGGGAGTGGGGTCAGGGTTGTGGCATCTGGGGAAGTGGTCCCTATTGTCTATACAGTCAGTATACACTTTTTCCCTCTCTGGATGGCTCAAAGACTGTGACTACATTAAAATCAAACATTCAGATGAAAATGACGACTTCATCCAATTCCCCAGATGTTTGCATGCATCCATAGGTTGACTGTCATTTATATACGGCTAAAGTCAAGTTGGGTTGTGAGATGTAGGTAGTGAGCTGGATTATCCAGACAGCTGGAACAGCAGCTTCCACAAAGCCATGGGCCTTTTCTCTTCCAGTTGTATTATGCCCCTTGGTGGTCTCCATATTTCCCCTAGCCCAGCACACAGGAAACCCCTCCAACACTAGTCCCTTGTCGCCTCTCTCCTGACCCACTGGTGGCTGTGCTCTGTAGCCCTCTGCTCTCCCTTGGACACAACTCCATGCCTCAGGACTCAAATCCACAGAAGAGCTTGCTAGACCAGCCCCATCCATGGAGGGGTACACTCTTTCCTGCCCTTTCATCTTACCCAGAATCCTTCCTGCCATCCATGATGTTCACTCAAGCTTGACCTCCTGCAGAAAGCCATTGCCTGTGGCTTCCCCTGACCACTCACCGCCTCCATGGGAGTGGGAAGGGACACTGTCTTCCAAGTACATGTAGCTCTGACTGTCTGACCCACCCAGTTTAGCACTCGGTTCCACTACACGTCAGTGTTCATTTGTGTTTTTGGAGTCAGAAATCTGGGTTTGAAATCTGGTTCGCTTTGTAAGTTCTGGCAAATCATGTACTTTCTCTGAGTGGGCAAAACAGGGATGCCAGTATCCGCTTTTCTCCCCAGGGATCCTTCCAGTGTTAGGTTGATGGTGGCTAGGACTCATCTTCTCAAGAAGATTCTATTTCTAGAGAGCGTGGGCTGGGTCTTGCCTTGCCAGTGTCCCCAGACTGCCATGCCCGGCACACTGCCCTGCGTGCTTTGGGTACAACCCATGCTTCGGCTGCAGCAGTGGGGAGACTTCCATTTGGCCTTATTGCGTTCCCTGCCATCAGGGGATGAGAGGCTCCCCTGGCAGAGGCGTCCCATTCCTTCTAAGTCCCAGTCCTTCTAAGTCCTTCTAAGTTCCCTTGAAGGACAAGGCCGCTCAAAGCAAAAAAGCTGGCTGTCCTCCACTTTGGAGGCCTTGAAAACCTTTATGAATGTTTTGCTCTGGGGAAGGCAGGCTCTGGGGAGATCTCAGACCTCAGCTAAGAAGATGCTCCCCATCCAGGGCTGGATGGTCCCAGCTCCCCTGACTGTCGTGGCCAGACCGGCCATGTCGGACGCCTCCTGACCCCAGTGTGAGCCTGAGTTTAAAGGAAGTTTGAAGAGGAGAGAAATGTGTGAAGAGGAAAAAACAAGTTTCTTACATATGTTTACTGGTCCAACACCTTCACAGAGCCTGGAAAGGGGAAGAAACAAATCATTTCACATGCACTATTGTTTCCTGAAAACCTATTTGCCATAAAAAGGGCTTTCTTGTTTGAGTAGATCTGTGGAGCAGTAGTTCTCACCCCTGGTTATACACACATCTGGGGAGCGTTGAAAAACACGTTCTTAGACCCTATCCCAAAACCATTAGATTAAAATATTTAAGGAAATTTATCATTAGTAGTAATTTTAGCAAAATTACTAATGATTCTGGTGCAGCTTATCTAGACTTGCATTTGAGAATCACAGGTCTAGAGCCTTCTTCTGATTCCCTGACAAGGGCAATGCAACTAATGTTTGCAGAGAAGGTATTGTCATCTTTAAAGACTATGTATTTCTGCAGTTCTTCACTGTCCCCTTCTCTTCCTTAGTCTTTCTAGATGCCTAAGTCTGACTTCACTCTCCTGCTGGACTGAGAGTACTCACCGGCTCTCCTCGCCCTCCAGCAGGCGCCTGTAGGTGGCGATCTCGATGTCCAGGCCCAGCTTGGCATTCATCAGCTCCTGGTACTCGCACAGCTGCCGCGCCATGTCCTGCTTGGCCTGCTGCAGGGCACACTCCAGATCTGCCAGCTTGCATTTGGCATCACTGAGGGTCGCCTCGCCCTGCTGCTCGGCCTCGGCCACTGCAGCCTCCAACTTGGCACGCTGCAGGGAAGGCAGTTTGCAGGTAGGCTTCGGCAGTGCCAGGGCATCCCCAGGTTGGGTTAGAAACACGGCCCCTCTTAGTGGGAACATAGCCTGGGGCCAAGGCAGGGATGGACCCCATGGTGGCTGCTTTCCCAGGCACTGGAGACCCTGTAGTTTGATGTCACTATGGGGTAGGGCATTGCTGTTGTTTCCATCCCCACTGACTTTGTCACTGCTGATTTCAGCTGCCCCAGAGTCATGGCATCTAGAGGGTAAATTTATTCTTTCTGTACCACCTTCCCTGCTGGGTCTGCTCTAGCCCTTTACTTCTATGTGGGAAGCTCTCCTTCCCTTCCATATTTTTATCCTCCAGAAAGCCTTCCTGGACTGATCCCTCCATTCCTTGGTTTCTGGGTCTTGATGGTCTCCCTCACCTCATTAGACTTGGGGGTTCCCAAAGCCTGAGGCCCTGGTTCTCCCTCATCTGAGGCTTTCCCTCCTTTCCTTTGCCCACCTGAGCCTTGGCGTGCTCAATCTCTGCCTTAAGCCTCTGGATCAGGCGGGTCAGTTCGTTGATCTCGTTCCGTATGTTGCGCAGGTTGTCACAGTGTTGGCCAGCTGTCACCTGCATCTCTTCATACTGCGGAGAGAGGAGGGTATTTTGAGGGTTCGGAGGTCAGGTCAGGATCACAGCCCCCACTGAGTTGGGGGCTTCAAACCTCCCTGGGCCTGATCTGTTATATATGAGTCATTCCCAGAGCTGCCTACATCCCTTCCCCAGCCTCCACTGCCCACCTTGGTCTGGTACCAGGCCTCAGCATCAGCCCGGCTGCGCCTGGCCACCTCCTCATACTGGGCCTTGACCTCAGCAATGATCCCATCAAGGTTCAGGTCACGGCTGTTGTCCATCTTCACAATGACCGACGTCTCTGAGATGTGCGACTGCAGCAACTGGATTTCCTGTGTTGGAGGATTGGGGAGACAGATGTGCTTAGAGTCTCATTTAGTAGCTGGGACTCTGCCACAGGGGGCCCAGGAAGTGGTGCCAGGGGCAGAGAGCATCACTCATTGGTTCATAAAAAAGCAAGACCATCTAAATTGATGATAAAGAAAAAGACATGTCTGAGAACCATCTCAGGCTGACTTTAGAGCTCTTGTGATCTACTCAGAAACATCCCTTTAACACACTACTTTGCTCAGTAAGTATTAAAACCATGGGGATCTAAGAACATGGTGGAAGAAAGTGGGAGCCACTCTAGGGCTTAAACTTTTCTTAGATTATCTACAAAGTGGCTGGGCTGGTCACAGACCGTTGAGACCTGACAATATTTTAGCACATGGTGGTCTAGGAATTCCTATATCCCAAGCCCTTAATAGAAGAACTGAGGGGCTTGGGACTGGCCTGCAAAGAGAGTTCCAGAGGAGGCTTTCCTCAGCCTCTTCACTTAGAGCTAGCAATTCAGCTCTGGCTGGGCCTATACCAGACTGGACAGATTGTTTATGAAGCAAAAGACAGCTGGTTTGGCTAATTAGGTCAAACACATTTTTTCTTACCTCTCCTGGCAAATCAATTTTTCAGTCTTCTTGTCAGTACACAGGAAGTGACATTTCTAGATCCCAGTCTTTAAATTGGTAAATAAGGAGTTGGATCATAGATCCAAGGAGTTTGACTTGCATCAGGCTGCTGAAAAGCCTGCTCACCTTCCCTTCCCCATTTGAAGACATATTGGCATATATAGCATACAGATTTGAGTGAGAGGAAAGATATATGATAGCAAATGTTTGAAAATATGCTAGCCCAGGCTAAGCATTCAGGGAGTCCAGGCCAAGCATTGATCTCCTTGGGTGCCCTAGAGAAGATGAACCCTCACCTCCATGTAAAGCGTTTTTAGAAAGTCAATTTCCTGAGTTAGGGTATCCACGTTGGCCTCGAGATCAGACTTGTTCATGAAAGCTGCATCCACATCCTGTATAAAACAGAGAAGGATAAATACTCATCGCCTGGGCACTGTTTCACCTTCCCACCTGTGTCTGGAGATGGGTGCAAAGAGGCAGCCACTTCCCACAGATGGTAAGGTCGCTGGGTAGAAGTGAAGCTCAGCAACTTTTGCTCATTTCCCTATTACAATGCCAACATTCCCCCAGGGGCTGCTGGACATTTCCTGATGTTCAGTTAGAGGCAAAGAAAATCTAGATAATCCAAGATACTTAGGTCACCTTTTCATACCTCTGCTCACATGTGACCCAATCCTAAAGAATCTGAGGCTGAACCTGAACTTTGTAGGAAATCTCTTGTTATCTCTGAGATTCCACTGTCTCCACTGTCTTGATGTGAGTAGTCCCAGACTCCACAGGGCTGCCTGAGCAGTTTCCTGGGGAGTCTTGAGAACATTTGCCGGTCCAGAGGAGAAGTTGGCCTGGTCTGTGGTTCCCCCTTACCTTCTTCAGAGCCACAAACTCATTCTCAGCATTGGCCCGACATACCACTTCCTCTTCATACCTGATGATAAAGGTTAAGAGGGTGAGTGCTTACTCTGAACTGAGAGGCAGTTACTCCCAACTCCCCAGTGAACCTTGCAAGATCTCTCAGTCTGTGCAGGATCATGGTTCCCTATTGCTATCTGAATGCTATAACATCATCCCCTCTGTCTCATCTTTATGACCTTTCATAAGCCAGTGCCTCTCAGTTTCTCCAAATCCCTTCCACTTTCTTAATGTGGGTTTGGGATCTGAAAACCTGGTCTATTGCTATGTTCCTCTGACAGAAATAATGTAGGATCATTGCATTTGACTATAGAGCAAGTAGGGCCCAACTGAAAAAGATACTGAACATGGGCACCTTTTTCCTCAGGAGGGCCTCCTCTTCTCTGTTCACATATCTCTACCCACCCCCACCTCCCCAGGCTTGATGTGGTAACCAGCATTCAACCCTGATCCTTCCAGCTGCTCTCATCTGAGCTTGGCAGCTAATTCTGGGGCCAGGCCTGGCCTGTCACTGGTCTGTGCAGCTCAGATGTCACTCACTTCTTCTTGAAGCCCTCTAGGACATCCTGCAGGTGGTTCCTCTCAGCCTGGAGCCGGGCCTGATCACTGACCAGCACCTCCAACTGCCTCCGCAGGTTGGTGATGTAGCTCTCGAAGAGTGGCTCCAGATTGCTCCTGATACATTTCTGCTCTTGGAGGAAGCTCCACTTGGTCTCTAGGAGCTTATTCTGCTGCTCTAGGAACCGAACCTAAATCCACAGGGCACAGAAATGGCATTTGAAGTGCTTGATAGGGTTCATGCCTTGACCAAGCTCTTGAGATGGCCAGCGATGACTTGACCACATGTCGACAGGGTTCTCTCCTCTGCTGACTTTCATTCCTCCACTAACTCAGCAGAAGCTGGAAGGGCAGGTTGTGACTCCCTCCTTGTGCTCGGCTAGGCCTAGTTACCAATATGGGGTTTTGAACCATAGCACTTCAGTACCATTCCCCTATCCAGTCTCTAAGAAAGCTGTACACTGGTACATCAGGAAGTTGGAAGGGTTGATTCTATTTAAGCTCTGGTTTGCCTATATCTGAAAACTGATGCCAGGCATCCCTGGCAGAGAATGGGGAGCAGAGTAAACTACATTTGGGGTGGGATATGGTACTGGGAGGTAGGAATTCTCAGATTGTAAGTCCTATCCAACATCGCAGATATTCCATTGGCTATGTGTAGAGCTGGAAGAGAACTTACAGACCCTTTACCCCAGCCCCTCATTTTAGAGAGGAAGAACCCAAAACTTACAGAGGTTATCCTTCATTCTCAGACATAACCATTCCATCTCCACATAGACATGGTGTGTGGGATGTCAGTTCTTTTGGGTTATCCACATCACTGTTCCCACTCATCTGCCTGGAAGCCAGTGACTACCAGTGGTCATTCCCTGCAATTTCCCTGAATCTAGGCAACTTGGCCGAATTTTGATACCCCATGTGGGGGTATGAATTCTTCTTCTTTTTTTAATTACTCAACTCCATTCTCTACTTTTCTAAGCCTGAATAGATGAGGCCACTCAGCCTCAGAAACTATGAAAACTTCATAAGGAACAAAAGGATCTCAAAGAATAAAACCTCTTAAGCATATACCAGCCAACACCTGGCTAAAGTCCCAGTGTTTCCAGCCTGTTTCAGAGACATTTCTAAGTGACCAGATGCAACATCTTAGTTTGTCGAGATGCCCTCGAGTTTGGCTGGATGCTCCTCTGTCCTCCAGAAGATATCAACACTGTCGGAATCTATCCCACCATGCAGCTCGTCCTCTGGCTTGGCCTTGCTCTGCAGCAGAGCAACCCATAAAGCATACCACAATGCCTGAGGTAGGCACTTGAAAGATCTGAGGTCAAGGTCAAGTCCCCAGAACCGGGCCAGTTCTTTTTAAGGGAAAGAGCACTCTAGCGCATTTTGGCTGTAATATTCCTAGACCCAGAGATTCAGCTATCATAGGTACCTTGTCAATGAAGGAGGCAAACTTGTTGTTGAGGGTCTTGATTTGCTCCTTCTCATCCTTCTTCACCCTCTGGGCATTGGGGTCAATCTCCAGGTTGAGGGGGGTCAGTAGGCTCTTGTTCACAGTCACAGCTGTGATAGATGGGGCTGCTGGGACTCCAACCCCTCCAACTCTGTAACCAAAGCCAGGGCCACCAAAGCCATAGCCAATGCCACTGCCAGCTCCAAAGCCCAGACCAACACAGCTGTCAGCCCTAGGCCCCAGACCAACACCTCTCCCATCACCAAAACCCATCCCACAGCCAGCACCAAAGCGGACTCCACAGTGGATGGGCCGAGAGCCTACAGCTGCTATCCGGGGTGAGTACGATCCAAAGGTGATGACACTCCGACTACCAAAGCTGCCAAGGCCCCGGAATCCAGGCCCACTCCAACAGGAGACAGAGTTGGCCCGGAAGCGATTCAGGTTCTGTGGTGTCATTGCTGAACAAGAGCTGAAGTTGCCCACCCGGTGACCAGAGCTGACTCGGTAGGAGCGGCAAGACATGATGGCTTCCTGGTTGGGAGCAAAAGAGCAAGTGTAGAATGGGTGAGCTGGAGCTGGGAGTCCCTCTGAGGCCAGTGGAACCCTTGCACCCCTTTTATGTGTGTGGTGATCTGAGGCTTGGCCCCATAAAAATGAAAAAATCCATTTGCAGGCATTTATGAGCTTGGGTAGTTAGCAGAAACTCTGCATGCCTATAACCTCCTTGACAATGAGTTAACTCAGACACACCTAGTCTCATTGGGATGAGGGCTGTAACAGCAAACCAATAAACATTAAAAACACATAAACATATAAACATTATAGTCTTTTTTTTCCCTATAAGTCTACCACAATTGCCATTAAGGGGACATTAATTTGCTTTGGTCATAAATGCAATAGGTTTTTTCACTGTGAGTGTGGCTAACCACCAGAAAGTTAGGATGGCGACAGCTCCAGCAAGAGGCTCACATGGGATGCATCCATGAAGATATAACCCCCTAAAGAGGTGGGAGTGTGTGCACATCTCCAAGTAAGAAGTGATATGGAGAAAATACAGTTTGTTGCATTTCTGCAAATCAATTAAATCATCAAAAAACCTTCTGCCATGTTTTATCCAATATGGCTGTTTAGTATACAAGAGTTGAATCTACAGTAAAGCTCATTTGGGCTAGTGTAGACACATCTGTGATTTGAGACACTCAGAGATATTCATTCATTCTACAGTTTTAGAGTGCCTGCTATGTATCCAGCAGTGTGCTTGCTGCTGAGGGTACAGAGATTACAAAGACAGTCTCTATCTTCATGGTAGTAGGGGAAGATTTATCTTAAATTTTTTTTTTTTTTTTAGAGACATGATCTAGTTGCCCAGGCTGGTCTTGAACTCCTGGGCTCAAGTGATCCTCCCGCCTCCGCCTCCCAGATAGCTGGGACTACAGGCATCCACCACCATGCCCAGCAGAACATTTATCTTGAGGATTTCCAGCAGTCAACACTTTGTGGCATGATTTGAGGCCAAAGCATTGGAAAGTTTCTGTATAGAAAGCTAACTACATGATTTTTAGCCCCCAAATATACCATAGGTGTGATTTATGGGCCTGTCCATTTAGGTTCCTTGAATTATTGATGAATCTTTGGTTAGGATAGAGAGACACAAAGCAATATACATCTGGATAGAAAAGGAAAAGTTCTCAGCAGCTGAATATTATCATTGTTAGCAATATTGCAGCTCTTTTAGGACCCTGAGCCAGGCTGGTGTTTACCTTTTCTATTCTAGTGCATCCTTTGCCCAGGGGAACTCATGTTTGACTGGACGCTTGAGATTCTTTGGGATGCTTGCAATTCCACTTGGAAGGGGATGTATGCTTTTGACCAGAAGCATCCAGCTCATTTGTGCGGTATTTTCTTTTTCCAGCTATCAGCTGTATGTCTAAGGGGGAAATGAAGCAGAAAAACAATAAGAAGTGCATACTTCTCGTCAAGACCACCAGTGGCCTCCATGTTAAATTCAATGGTCTGTCCTCAGTTCTCACTTTCTTCACATAGCTGACCATGCCCTTTCTCTTGAAACACGCTCTTCTTTTGATTTTCGGACACTACACTCTCTCGATTTCTTGCCACACTCTTTTCAGTCTTCTAAGCCAGTTCCTCCTCATATCCCCAACCTCTAGACACTGCAGAGTCCCTGGCTCAATCCTTGGGTATCTATTCTCTTCTTTAGACTCATTGCCTTGGTGATATTATACAGACTCAGGACTTTAAATACCATCTGTTCATTCATGACTGCCAAGGCACAACTCTATCCCAGACCTCCCTACCCCTAAACGCCACACATATATTTTAACCAACATCTCTATTTGGATATCAGATAGGCATCTCAAACTTAATACAGTTGTCCCTTGGTATCCCCAGGTAGTTGGTTCCAGGACCCCTTGTGGATACCAAAATCCATGGATGTTCGTCGAGCCTCCGATATACAATGGTGTAGTATTTGCATGTAACCCACACACATCCTTCTGTATACTTGAAATCATCACTGGATTATAATACCTAATACAATGTAAATGCTATGTAAATAGTTGTTATACTTTATTGACAAGAAAAAAGTCCGTACTTGTTCAGCACAGATGCAATTTTTTTAAGAGTTTCAATCTGCAGTTGGTTGAATCCACAAAGGTGGGAGCCACAGATACAGAGGGATGACTTTATGACCAAAACTGTTCTCCTAATTGTTCCTGCTAAATATGTTCCACTTGCCAACATCACTATCTCTGCAATAGTTCATGCCAGAAATCTTGGAGTCATCCTTTTGTCCTCTGTTTTTTATTTCCCTTTTCCCACATTCAATTCATTGGCAAATTCTCCCTTCAAAATATATCCAGACTCCTACTCCTTCTCACCATCCTGCTGCTCCCATGCTGGCCCAGGCCCATCTCTTCCCACAGGATCTTCTGAACTACACTCCCAGCTGGTCTCCCAGCTTCCTCCCTTGCCCCTTCAGGCTTTTCTTAGCAGCACAGAGTGATCCTTTAAAAACATGTCAGATCATGCCATTTCCATGCCGAAACTCCTCCCATGGTTTCCCACCCATTCAGAGTCAATGCCCTGTAAGACACTATGCAGTGTGCCTCCCTCTTCCCTGACCTCATCCCCTCCACCTGTCCCGCTGCCCACTCTGTTGCAGCCACTTGAGCATCCTGGCTGTCCATCAAACAGGCAGAATGACTCCTGCCTCGAATGCTTACCCCCTTGCTGTTTTCTCTGCTGGGAACCTTTTTCCTCAAATAGCTGTATGGCTGGGTCCCTCAACTCTTCCAGGGCTTTGTTCATATGTCATCCTCTTAGCTTCTATTGGAAACTCCCTGTCCTCCCTGTACACCTGCCCCGCTTCCTTGTCGCCTTAGCATTTACAGCCATCTGAGGTCCTCTTCTTGGGTGGATTTGCCTGTTGTTGTCGTTGACTTGTACTGGCTGGAGCAAAGCTTTAGGAGGCAGACACTGCTGTGCATTTTGCTCTCTGAGGGGTCCCCAGGACTCAGAGTGGGGCACATGGTGGGCATTCTGTATAGTTTCGTTGAGTGAATGGAAGAGGCTGTGAAGATTAAAAGCAGGAGGAGAAAGAAATAGGAAGTATGAAGAACAGGAATTTGGGCATTTGATTTTGCAGATATTTCGGGAAAAAGAGACTCCAAGTTCCCAAATGGACAGGAATGGCCCAGGAGGGGACGGTGGGGCAGAAACTCAAGAGCTCAAAGGAGAACCAATCCAGTTTGTCCCCCAGTTCCAGCCTCTTGGGGTTTGAGCCAGGCTGCTTGAACGAAAGGGCATCCCACTCCTCTGAGGCCAGGCGAGGGGTTCCAGGAGATTGGGGCAGGGGGACCAGAGGCTGTCTGGTGGAGGTGAAAGGGGAAGGGAGTGGGAGGGATGGCCTGCCTAGAGAACCCTGGTGGGGACCCAGAAGATGATATCAATTTTAGAGTCAGATGGACCTGGGTGAAACTCAGATTTGTCACCGACTAGCAGTATGATCTTGGATAGTGCTATACCAAGGGCAGGGTGGTGGCCAGGTTCTGCTGCAGGTGCAGGCACTAGGGGAACTTTTCTGCAGAGAACTTTAAAACCAACCAATCAGCTTATTAACAATTTTCAGCATGCATTGGCCATTCTAAATAATGGTAGTAGTCCCTTCCACCCCTATGGTATACCAATGACCTTGGGGAAATTGTTTAACCTCTAAGCCTCAGTTTCCTCATGTTAATATGGAATATTCCCTGTTTCATAGTATGATGAGGATTGACTAGGAAGTGCCTGGGATGTGCACTGTGCAGTGCCTGGCAGCTGCTACTGTACTCCATTCCTTTCCCTGGCTCTTTCCTCCCTCCCTTCCTCCCTTTTCTTCTCTGTTTTGCACAATCCTCCCTTCACTTCTACACAGTCATCCCTGTTCCCATCCACACCCGCCTCCTTCCTGCTCCCATGGCAGATGCATTCATACCCCATTAGCCATTCCTGTCCCATGTCCCAGCTTCCCTCAACCCTGATCAGGCTGGGTGGGGTGGGGGTAATTGTAATTGGGACCAGTCAAGCATAGTCCCTGCTCTGTGATGAACTGTCACCATCAGCAGTTTGCAGTTTGGAGGCATTATTTCGCCAGACGATGCATAACACAACCCTCAGTCATTTTTTAGGGGGTGGCAGGTGGGGAGAGGGGGCGGAGTTGCCCTGGCAACTTTGGGTAGGAGGTTTTGCTGCTGCAACAGTTTCTTCTTGCTGTTGTCAGTCAGCCTGAGTGTAACTCCAGAGACTTGCGGGCTGAGCCCAGGCTCCGTGGCTGCATTACCATGCCTGGCTGCTGGGTCATCAGGATCCTATCTGTGGAGCAGGGAGGAGGCAGAAACGCTGAGCAGAGGAAAGGGAGGGGAAGGGCTGCCTGAGGGAGGGGGACATCCTGGTTGGCCATGCAGGTTCTGGGAACGCTGTTTGCACTGTGGCTGGGTGTGTGTGTGGGAAAGGGGATGACAGGGGAAGCCCAGATTCTGAGAAGGCTTCAGAGGGCTTCTGTTTAGCCTGGGGACGAGTTTGTGCTGGAGAGAGGCACTGGCTGGAGAAGTTTTCATGCTAAGACCTGCTCCTGCTGGGAAAGGAAGCTTCAGAGTCCCCCCAGCAGGGGTGGGGGTCGGGGGGCAGGGGGTGTGTGTGAGAGGCTAGGTCCACCCTTGCCAGTACCTCCTCCTCTCTCCCCTCTCAGATGAATGAACACGCCTCCCCACGGAAGATAAAGCACCCCCTTCTTGTTTTCTACCCACCCCTCTCACTTCTTCCAGGAAGGATGGTTTTTTCAGGTTTAATGCGATGTCTCACATGGCCCACATGGTTGTCACCTGTCCAGAGTGAAAATGTTGCTCCTGGTAGACATCTAGTTCAGTTTGCTTCAACACACCTTTATTGGTTGCTAATGTGCGCCTGGCATTGCACTTAGGTGCTAGGATGGCTAGGACAGCCTCTTCCAGGTTCAGCGACTCCAAGCACCCCCTCCTCTGCTCAGGGTGCCATTTCTAGAGCCATTTTCCCAATTCCAGCCCCTGCCAGGATTCTTTCTGGGTACTTGGTGACCCTGGCTGGAGTGTGGCAATCGTGGGTGGACCTGGGACCACAGATGTGACTGGTGTGAGGAAGGGCCATTAGGGGCAGAGTCACCCAAGGGAGGGGCCAGGGGAACAAGGAGGAGCTGTGTGGGAGGGAGAGAAACTCTGGTGAGCACTTGAAAGCTTCAGGAGGAAGAGGGCCAGGAAATGGGAGACTTTCTGTGGAGACAGACACAGAAATACAGAGCTCCAGTTCAGGTCCCCCCAGCCTCCCTAGGCCTCTCTGGGTTGTTCCCCATCCTATCCTCACTGGCACATTCTGGAGGGGCTGGGATTAGGAGACTCCAGGCCAAGCCGAGTACAGTGAAACTCTGGCTTCATGCAGACGGTTCTCTTTCTCACCAGGGCAGGGGGCCGGGGCCTGTTCCTACTGTATTCCAGCACCCATTGCAGGGCTGACCCCAGAAGACACTCAGGAGGTGTTTGCTGTGTTGAATGGAATGCAGACATCCCAGCCACCACCAGGAGGCACATCTGTCCCGCCTGTTTTGAATGTCTCCTCTCCTGGGGAGGAAGGGGGAATGGGGACACAGCTGCACGATGCTGGGGAGTCCCTGGTGGGTGTCCTGGAGGGGGTGCCCTGGTCTCTGTGCTCACATCCAGGGCTGAGCGTGGGAGCACACTCCTGGGATGAGCAGTGCTTATGGGATGACTCCAGGCAGCCTCCCTGCCCAGCAGACACTTATCAGGGGCCAGGCACTCTGGAACCAAAATCCCAAAAGGGTGGTTACCAGGCCCCGAGCCTACCTCACCGCAGTGGGGGGAGTCTTCCTTCCCTCTTCTGCTTCATTCTTAGCTCAGTCCCAACACCAAGGTGGGCCGTTTCCTGGGCCTCGAGCAGCCATCTGTGAGATGGGGTGGCCAGTCTCCTTGGAATCTGTTTGCTGACTACAGGGCGGAGGGTCACTCTGGCTCTAGGGTGCTCTGAATTAGTCCTCAGCAGGGAGTGGAGCTGGATCCAGGCCCAGGTCCAGAGAGACGAGGCTTCAAGTGGGAACAAGGCTCTCAGATCCATCATTTCCTTCTCTCTTTCCCAGCATGTGGATGTGCATCCCCGGAATCACACTCACAGGCCCCAGCCATGTGCTGCGTGCCCAGCTGGCAGCTGTGATGCCCCAGCCTGGAGCCTGCTGCTGGCATCCTGCCCAGACAGTCCCGTGGGCCTCCAGGACTCAGGCTTGCCTGCCCCTCCTCCTGGGAGCTTCCAGAGCCTCAGGACTAAGGTGGGACTCTCAGTTCTGTCCCCATGGCCTTCTGCTCTGCCACCATCACAACAGTCCTCACAGCTGTAATTTTGTGTCCCCGGTCTGTATTTCCCGGTAGGCTGTAAGCCCATGGGGCATGCGGCCAAGGCCCCATTTAAAAAAAATAGCCTTACTGAGATATAATTGCTATTACTGTATATAATTCATTCATTTAAAATGTAAGAGTCAATGGCTTTTAGAGTGTGCAACCATCAATACAGCCAATTTTAGAACATTTTCATCACCCCAGAAGAAACCTTTATTTTTTATAAAAAAAAAATGTTTTTTAAGCGACAAGGTCTTGCTCTGTCACCCAGGCTGGAGTGCAGTGGTGCGATTATAGCTCACTGCAATCTTGAACTTCTGGGCTCAAGTGATCCTCCTGCTTCAGCTTCCCAAGTGGCTGGGACTGCAGGTGCAGCCACCACACCGGGCCAAAGCAACCTTTAGCTGTGGCTTCTATGACTCCCCTAAGCTCTGTATTCTCCTCCTTCCAGCCCTAAGCAGCCACAGCTCTGCTTTCTCTGTGGATTCCCATATTCTGGACATTCATACAAATGGAATTGTAAAATAGGTGGCCTTTCGTGACTGGCTTCTTTCACTTTGCATAATGTTTCCAAGGTTCATCCATGCTGTAGCATGTATCAGCACAGGACTCCTTTATATGGCAGAGAATATTCCATTGTGTAGGTGTGCCATATTTTGGATAGACACTGTGACATGTCTACACAGTGTTGTTTCCACATTTTAGTTATTAGGAGTAATGTGATAAACTTTCACGGGCATGTTTCTGCATGGACATAGGTTTCTATCTCTCTTGGATGTATGCCTAAGAGTGATAGTGCTGACTCACCTTGTACCTCTGTGGGGACCACGCTCAGGAACTGCCAGGCTGTCTTCCACAGTGGCTGCCCCATCTTACATTCTCTACCATCGGCCCCACATACAGTGTCTACTGCGCTTTATGGGGTAAACTGGCCGTGACCAGGGCTGTCTCATTCCGCACTGAGTCTCCAGGCCCTGGGTAGCCAGCCCCATAGCAGGTGCTTGAGAGATGCAGAATGAGCCAATGAGAATGTGAAGGAATGGGTTCTGCTGACTATGCTTGCTCTCAGATCTGACTCTAGACTTCCCTTCAGCCCCTGTCCATACAGTCTTCCCTGTGATCCTGTCTCTGACCCTCGCCAGGCAGTCGTGAGCTGCTTCTTGGGGCTCCCATGCTGTTTGGCCCTCATTATTTATGAATCTTCTCTCCGGGAGGCTGAGCGTCCTTCCAAGGTTAAGAGGGAGTCTTAGTCAATTCTGCAGCACCAGCCTCTAATGCAGGGCTTGGCGCAGCATGGGTGCTCTTTGGGGAGAGTGGGGAGTCATCCCAACTCTCAGGAGAGGGGAGCCATAAGGGGGAAAGCACCCCCCAGGAGGGGCTGTTTCAGGGGGTCGGTGAGGCAGAGGAAAGGGGACTGAGGCCTCACAGAGGGTGGAAGCACCGCCGCCAAATCTCCAGGTCTTGGGCTCTCTAAATGGGGAGAGGAGACTGGAGTGTCCTGGTCCTCCTCACTCCATGGGCTGCCACCATCTTCACTGCTTTCCTGGAGCTGGGGGTATCCAGGCACTGAGAATGGTTCGGGATAGGGACAGAGCCTAGGGCTTGGGGGCTGCTAAGTCTAGACACAATAGAGGACCCCAAGGATTTTCTCTAGGATGTGTATAGGACACCATGTAGTGAGGAGGCCTGTGTGCAATGGGCTTGTGGCTTTTAACATGGCAAGTGACTTGCAAACCATTGGGGTGTGACGTGCAGGTTTTAAGTGTGATTTGTATAGAGCCCTATTTCTTCCACAGGCAATTTGCAAATTATTTACATGTAGTGTTTCTGTTTGTATAATAGTCTTCATTTCTGTTCCGAAGACTCCAGTCCCAAAAAGCTGCTCACCAGTTCCCCCTCAGCCTTATCACACTTTCCACAGAGCAGAGTAAATAATCCTGATTGCTATAATCCATGAACAGAGTAGGTTTATTTTGAACAGAAGCCCAGATGTTCAGGGCAGAGGCCCTGGAGCCCCAGTGGGACAGGCTTGGCATGAGGGGCTTCTGGGAGGTAGTCAGCCCACACCTCCTCCATCTATGAGCTCCTGAGCCAGGGCCTCCAAGTCAGCTGGGGCAGCCCCACATCACTGTCATATCAGACTCAAAGCAAAAGGAGCTAAAGGGTTGGGGAACAGGAAGGGGCGGCTATGTACAGAAGGGGATGGGTGGAGGGGGAACTGATTCCATTGAGAAAATGGTATCTGTTTTTGGTTTTCCAACTGTCCAGTAAACATTCCATATCCCTTTGCCCTTTGTTCTAGGCATTGGCCTGACATCACCTGCCAATGTGAGCTCAGGAGAAAGATTTATTCTCACAGTTTGGGTTCAACATACCTGAGAAAGTAAATCTACTGCCCAAAGGCCACCTCTTGATTCTCTGTGCTGAGAGGACATTGGCAGGTCCTGACTGATCCTGAAATCGTGGCACTTGGCTTTGGAATTTAGAGTGGGATTTGGGGGTGTCTCCTTTTGATATTTGCAGTGTGCATGTTTCAGGCGGTGTTAAAGGAAATTCACTTTTCTTAGGGGCATGAGAGCCTAAAGTAAGGGCAGTGTGAGCCTGTGGTGGGAGAGGAGCTGACTTTGTGAGGAAACTTCCATGGGATGATCCACAGAGCAGAACTGTGGTGTGCCCATTTGACCTTTTGGGGGTTATTGCCATTCTGCGGTTAAGAGCAATGCATGCTCTTTCTCTGCCGTCTGTCCCCACCATCTGGGCCTAGCTGAGGGTCTGCACACAGGTGAGTGGAAGGTGACTCATGAGGCAAAGGAGGGGTCCTAGGGGCAGCTCAGCTCTCAAGGAGGGAACACTGGAGGGGAATGTGGAGTCAATAAAGGGAGGTGGGGTTTTGGAACATCCTTGTCTTCAGCCCTGGTGGGAGTGTGACATCCAGGGCCATGGGGCAGGGGCTCTGTCTCCTGGATGTCTCGGATCATGCTAATGCTTGTGGCTGGGGGAGCTGCCCCCAGCTCCTAGCGTCATGCTGGATTTCCGCCCGCTCCCACAGCTCAGTAGCCCCTGGGGCTCGCAGGGGACATAGAGTTCACCAGTGCCCACGATGCTGCAGCCCCCATTGCTCCTGAGGACGCCAGTGCTGAGGACAGGCGTGCTGACCCCACATGGCTCGTACAGGAAGGCGCCTTTGGAGCTGCTCACTGCTGTGGGAACAGGAAGGGGTGCTCAGGGCCCCACACGGTGTGGCTCTCAGTGTACTGCCCTGAAACTACTCAGCCAGGCCATTCCTCCCACCTCCTGCCACTCACCTCTACAGACACCCCATTCCAGCCTCCAGCCTCCGCGTCTCCCACCCTAGCCACATAAAGTGCTTGCAAGGTCCCCATGCACCTCTCTCCTTTCCCTAGAGCCTGGGCAAGGCCAGGCTGGATTCAGCTTCACCATTTCTCAGTTTCTACTGGTCCCTCCTTCCTAAGCTTGCTTCAAATCCTCTTCCTCTAGAAGAGCATCCTCTTGTCAGGGTGGTTATTTGTGGCTTCTGGGCCCTGAAGCACTTGGACCATGTTGTTGCAAATCTGCTCCTAGTCTGACTCCCAAAAGATTTGGATAGCCCTTTCCACCAGCCTGGGAGCTCACGGCAGACAGAGCTCTTCCTTTGGGGTAGGGGAGGCATCAGAGGTCTAGGAAGGGGTGGTGTGGGCTGCCTGTGTTGGGGTGATCAACCCCCAAGACTCCAGAGCCAGTGGGGCATGGCTCATCTACTTACAGATATTCACGGGCCCGATGCCTTCGCACAGCCTGGGGATGAGAGGAAAAAGAAAACAGGTATCTACATCAAACAGATGCAGGTAAATGCAGCATCTCCCCGCTCCCGCCCTCATTGTGGACCATGTGCTGCTGTGGGTTTTCAATGAATGTGGGTAGGGGACGGGGTGAGAGATACTAGCAGCCGCCACCAGAGGGCTGGGTAATGGCCATACCTGGTAGCCCATCTTTGACCCCCTCCTGGAGGAGCTCACCTGTGCTCTTCACCCTCCAGCAGGCGCCTGTAGGTGGCGATCTCGATGTCCAGGCCCAGCTTGGAGTTCATCACCTCCTGATATTCCTTGAGCAGGCAGGCCATGTCCTGCTTGGCCTTCTGCAGAGCCTCCTCCAGCCCTGCCAGCTTGCACTTGGCATCATTGAGAGCCGCCTCGCCCTGCTGCTCTGCCTCAGCTATGGCACCCTCAAGTTTGCAGCGCTGTGGGAGGGGCGCAGAAAAGCATCACTGGGGGCCCTGGAGCCCCAAGCCAGACTCGCAGAAGAGCAGAGAGAACACGGGGGTGGCTACGTGCCAGGCTCACATTTGCGAGCTTCATCCTAGGATTGCGACATCTGGTTCCTCCAGGGAACTGGGATGGGTTTTCTGTCTAAAATACCTCCAAGAGAGCGGGGATTTTCCTCTTAAGTATGCTGAGAAATTTCTGTGGGGTTAATATGTTTTAAATGCCCAGCTGGTCTTCCCTAGCCCAGGAGAATGGAGTGGGTCTGATTTTATGAACAACTGAGAGTCACCTTGAATTTCAGGATCATAGAATCACAGTCTTTGGGTCTGAAGGGACCGTGGAGTGCATCTTTTCTATACTTGCACCTAGTGAAGCATCCTTGCTTCTCATCTTTGACATTGGTCACCTCGTTTCTGTTGGGGACCTGACTATTTCCTGTGGCTGCTCATCCTGCTGTGGGTCAGCCCTTTGGTAGAAAGGGCTTGCTTCTGCTTGAGCAAGGCAGCACAAGTTTATTCCCTCTTCAATGGCACTCACAGCAAGGATTGAACCCGCCCTGCACGGCACAGACTGGCCAGTCAGCCCAGGATGGCTGTTGCAGCAAGGAAGTCCTCCCCAGCCTCACCTGGGCTTTGACATTCTCGGTTTCTTGCTGCAGCCGCTGGATCAGTTTATTCATTTCCAGGATCTCGTTCTTACGGTTGCGGAGGTTGTCACAGTGGTTCCCAGCTGTGACTCTCAGCTCCTCATACTGCCAGGACAGAGAGGTCAGAGCCCCAGGCCCCACAAGATGGCATCTCCTAGCCTCTTTTCTCACTGTTCCCAGTCTTTTCTCCCGTGACTTCCTAGTTCAGGTGTTCTCTGGTTCTCATACTGGTTCTGCTCCTTTACCTTCTTCCGCTTCTGGGCAATTTTGGGTCCTTTATGTGGGCTGTTCCTGATTCCCATCTCACCCCATCCCCAGCTCCAGGCTTGTTAGATTTTTCTCCAGCCTCTGAGATCCCCTCCTCTGTTGAGCTGTTCTGTGTCTGGTCCTTTTCTCTGTCCCAGAGCCCAAGTTCACCTGAGGGCTCCCTCCCTTTTAGATATGCCTCTGGAACTTGGAAGGGGTTTCTGTGCTCAGCCTGGGTTGCCTAACAGACCAAGGACTGCCCATTAGGATGGGTCTGCCCATCAGGATGAGAACATTTGTATGTTTTCCACAAAAACAATAAAAAAAACAAAATGCAATTTATGTCCTACCTTGAGGTAACACTTTTTTATAAAAACCTTTGCACTCTGAATCCAATTTCTGAATAGTAGTGTGTACAGATTACATTTGTAAGTTTTAAAAAATTAGCTGACTTTAGATTTTCTGATAGTGAGTGGGAGCATATTATATAGAAAATGCAAAATGAGAGATAAGCACATAATCACACTCATTGGCTCTTTTGTTATTTGGTTACAGTAGGAAAGTCTGCAGTTGCCTAGTAAATATCCATTGTCCTCTTCTTAAAACAGAACCCCTGGCTGGGCTCAGTGACTGACACCTGTAATGCCAGCATTTTGGAAGGCTGAGGCGGGCAGATCATTTGAGGTCAAGAGTTCAAGACCAGCCTGGCCAACATGGTGAAACCCCATCACTACTAAAAATACACAAATTAGCTGAGTATGGTGGTGCATGCTTATAATCCCAGCTACTTGGGAGGCTGAGGCAGGAGGATCACTTGAACCTGGGAGGCAGAGGTTGCAGTGAGGCGAGATTGCACCACTCACTGCACTCTAGCCTGGGCAATAGAGCAAGACTCCATCTCAAAATAAACAAACAAACAAAAAACAAAAATAACAGCAACAGAAAAAACCCAGAACCAAATAGAACACTGCTTTTATTTAGGGTAACAATGAGCCCAGATAAGAGAATATTTCTCAGTCTTCCAATCAATGAGATCTATGACCATGGCTGGGTAGGGCTTCTGGGTAAGCTCTTTAAAGGGGGGAATGACCCAGTTGGCTTTTTTTGCCTCTGTTCTCCTTGCTGCCAGGCGTAAGCATGTGAGATTGGAGGTGCTGCAGCTTTCTTGGAACATGAGGCAACCAAGAGGATGGAGCATGTATTACAGATGGCAGAATGGTGAACTCAAAGGATCCTGGGTCCCTGATGATGTCACAGAATCTCTGTGTCATCCTGGGCAGTCTATTTTGTACTTCAAGCTACTTTAGAAAAAAGTAAAAATTCAATTTTAACTTTTTTTTTTTTTTTTAGAATTTCTGATCCTGGTAGCCAAATGCAATCTTCAACTAATAGAATTTTCTCTAAGATTCTGACTTAGCAGGATGGGAAAATGAGGTGGTTGTAATCCTGAACCCAACATGGCTGATGGTTGTTGCCAGGGGCAACCAGAGGAAGGGCCAGCCAGAGTGAAACCTGGCCGTGGGTGGGTCACAGACAGGTTCACCAGGAGCTGACTCCATTTCAAGTTTTCATACTTCCAACCACCATGGAGCTCCAGAAAATGGGCAGAGCATCACTTTGGGCACTCCCTGGGCAGTGGCACCCACTGCCTTCAGAACAAAGCCAAATGACTTAGCACAGCCCTGCAGATGCTGTGACCTGGCCTCAAGCTACCCCTCCAGCCCGATCTCCACAGCACATGGCACTCCAGGCCCCTCAATTTCTGCTGCTGTGTCCTAGCACCTGCTGCTCAGCCTGGCACACCCTCCCCCCATCTCCCCTTTGAATCTTATTTGTCCTTCAAGATTAGATCAAATGACAACACCTTTGCCTTTGTGACACAATTTGTTCCCTCTGTCATCAAACTCCCTTTACCTGCTGCTCCACCTTTGCAATCACTTCCTGCTAGCTGGTGTTTTGGTTTGGGAAGCACATCCTTGCTGGCCACCCTAATTGAAACTGCACTCCAACACTCCCTACCCTTCCCCTGGTTTATTTGCTTCCTAGCACTTGGTATCACAGTCTAACATACATCCACTGCACTTATGTGCCTTGTTTATCATCCATCACCCTGCCCCTCCAACCCTACCCTGGAACCCAGCTTGTCTCTGGAATGAAAGCGACATGAAGGCAGGGACTAGTGTCTGTTCTGTTCCCTGCTGTGTCTCCAGCTTCTAGAACTGTGCTTGGCACGTGGTTGATGCTGAATACACAGTGTTGAATGAGTGGACCAATGAGTGCATGCATGCATGGCGCCTTTCACAGGCAGGGCAGGAGAGGCTGAGATGATGATATTTGTTAAATCTAATTACCCTTAGGGCCCCCCTGCCCTCCAAGCAAGCCCCTAATTATTAAGTCTGAGGCCATCTTAATCACTGTTTCTGCTCTACCATTAGTAGCCACCCCATGCCACTAGCCTCCTCCCACGCCTCGAAGCTTAGAGCCCTCTTTGCCATCATTACAGTTCAGTAAAACCAATTAGTGTTTACTGAACGCTGCCTACAGGAGCACTTCCAGTGAGTCTGCAGGTAAAAACTGCTGGGCGCCCTGGCACCCTGATGACAGGCCTGGATTGTCCGGGGCGGGGAGGGGTCCCTCCCACGTGCTCTGCAGGGAAGTGGCCTGGGGCCTGGCAGAAACAACAGCAGCTGGGCTTTATGGGATTCCCTGTGTCTGTGGCATGGCGTGGCTCTCATTAGCTCCTCACCCACTTCTGCGGAGAAGGAGTCTGGGGGTCCTCCCCTCCCCTGGTTTGTCACCTCTCCAGTCTCCCTGCCCCCAACCACAGGGCCTCACCCGGCACTGGTACCAGGCCTCTGCTTCGGCTTTGCTGCGGCTGGCGATGTCGTCATACTGCGCCTTGATCTCAGCGATGATGCCGTCCACGTCCAGCTCCCGGCTGTTGTCCATCTTCACAATGACCGAGGTCTCAGAGATCTGAGACTGGAGCAGGCAGATCTCCTGGGGGCAGGGCCCATGTGAGAAGGAGTGAGCTCTCTGAGCGTCCGGGGACAGGAGAAGGGGAGAACCCGTTCTGACCTTCCCAGAGCAGAGTGCATAGAACTCTGCTATGGCTGTTCTGGGCTTCAGTCACCAACTGACTCCTTGTCCCCACCCTCTGGTTGCCCAGAGCTTGGTGGAGACTTTCCCAGAGGGGCCTGTGAGCCATGGCCTGGATGATCCAACTTCTGTGAGTCTCACCGCCTGAGAACGTCTCTACAGTGCGGACCTCTTTCCATGCTTGCCCTGAAATGTACCCACTGGGCGGCCACTCTGCTGCCCTCTCGATCCCTTGGCTCCAGCCCTGACTAACCACCCAAGGTCAGGGCTGTGGGTACCTCCTCATACAGGCTTTTCAGGAAGTCGATCTCCTGCACGAGTGCCTCTGCGTTGGTCTCCAGGTCAGCCTTCATCAGGAAGGCTGTGTCCACGTCCTGCAGCAGAGCAGGGACAGAATGTGACCTGGCTGGGCCACCTCCCAGGCAAGCTGGTGGCAGGGGGAAGGCGTGGGGCTCACCTTTCCTCACGAACACCCATGGGCATCGAAGGGGTGATGGAGCCGAGGTGGGGAAAAAGGGGTCCCTAGCCCTGGGACCCCAGGCCTGGGCCTGGCTTCCTGATGGGAAAGGATCTGAAGGGGGTGGGGCTTAAATGAGCCTTAGCAGCAGCATCTCAGAGCCCACTTTGCAGAGCCTGGGCCTGGAAATACCTGGCTACCTGTCTGAGGAACCATCGCAATTGTATTTGGGGGCTTGCGGCAGAGCTTTTGAGCTTTTGTTTTGGTTTGGCGTTGGCATCTGTCCCATCTCCAGCTGCTCGGGCAGGGTTAGACATGACTTTAACCCAGCTTCGGCCTGCATGAGTGGGGAAGTGGAGGCCAGGCCAATGGCTGGCCTTTTGCAAGGGGACAAAGTTGGGGGAGAGGAGGCCGGCCTTCCTCATTCTCAGAGTTAGTGGGGCTGGCACAGGAGTCTGAGGGGCGAAAAACCCTTTTTCAGAGTGGGTGGGCTGCAGACACGTTTGGACTGAGTTCAGGGCTAGGTGGCCTGGGGCAACGCAGGCCAGCTCAGGGGCTCTGCCTCTCTGAGCTTCCTCCTTACCTTCTTCAAGGCAACAAACTCATTCTCAACACAGGGACGCAGGGAGAGCTCCTCTTCGTATCTGATGGAAAAGGCAGGAAAAAATGCTTTAGTCGGGCTTGTGGATTTTGGAAGAGATCTTGGCATCAGGCCTTTGGGGGCAACTCTGCCTGTCACTGACTGAATGCCCTGGGGAGTGCCCAGGTCCAGCCCTGTCTTGGCAACTCTAGCTCCTCCACCCACTTGAGATGGATGAGTAGCCACTTGTCAAGTTTACTCTTCTCCCCATTCCTCAGGAACCTTCTCCCGCGATGAGTCCTCCCTGGGAGATCCTCCTTAAGGCTACCTTCATTCTCTCTTGCTGCTGAGGAGGTTCACTTCACCTAGTGGCCTCCCTTGGGAACGTAGAAGAAGGCTGTGCTGCTGGCCTAGCTGTTTTTTTCTGAGTCACTGAAATTCCCGGCTGACCCTGTGCATCCTCCTCGCTGGGAGGGTTCAGAGCCTGGCCTCTACCTGTGGTCCATTTGCAGAGGTAGCAATTATCCATCTTACCAGACCCACAGAGACAGCCAGGCTATTTCCTCAGGCTCCTTGGGGCTCCTCAGCCCACTCACCACTCCCCTAAGGCAGAGGGAATTGGTCAGGGGGTTCAGTTTGATAAGCAGCATCAATTCATTAAAAGCTTCTCTGCTTCATCATGTCCATCTCTCTTTTTTTCCAGCAGAACTGCTGCAGCAACGGCCCTGGACTCTGGAGCCTAGCCCCCTGGGTTTGAATTCTGGCTCTGTCCCGTGCAAGCTGTGGGCAAGTTGGGTAAGTGACTTGGCCTTTCTGCCTCATGATGCACAGCTTCGTCATCCATAGAATGAGGCTAACACTAGTTCTGCCTCACAGGGCTGTTGTGAGCTAACATGTCACATGCATTAATACCTGAAGAGCACTAGGACAGTGCCTGGTACAGGCTCTGTACTGTGAAAGTGTTTGCTATTATTCTTAAAATACCAGTTGGACCTCATCCTTCCCCGATTGTCTCACTTTTAAAAGCCAAAGTTCTCATCTTGAGCTGCAAATCCTGTCTCTTAATCTCACCTTGCTACTCACTCCTCAAGAAAGGCATTGCTTCTGCTGACAGGCTGGCCTCCAGCCCTCCCACAGCCTCACTGCATCTCACCTGTCACAGTCTGCTAGAGTTGTCCCCTTCACTTGGCAGGCCCTTCCTCTTTCTTGCCACCCATTCCTGTCCTTTCCCCATTTCCAAAATGGAGGATAATGCCATTGGAATGAGCCATTATCCTCCAAGGGCCAGAGCAAATCGCACCTCCTCCAGGAAGGCTTCCTGGACTCCCGCTCTTTCCCTTTCTTGGGATTCCTCTCCCTTCTTCTCTGTTTGTGTGTAGGTGCAGGTGGTCTGTGCACACTGGACTGGGAAAGAGTTAGCCTTTTTTCTTTCAATAGCACCCACACTTTCTAGCACAGTGTCTGGCATTGAGTAGGCATGTGGTTGACACCTGCAGTGAGTGTCCCCAACACGGCTCCACTTCACTGACCCAAACCCTTATGACCTGTTGCTCTCAGTATATTTGCCCTGTTTCTCCTCAATAGAAAGACACCTGTTTCAACTTGCCTGCCTCTAACATGCACTCCCATAGGACACTGGACTGTCACAAGGCACTGGATTCCCATGGGGCACTGGATTCCCATAGGACACTGGATTCCCATGGGGCACTCAGCCCGGGACCT
This sequence comes from Homo sapiens, assembly GCF_000001405.40. Lineage (NCBI taxonomy): Eukaryota > Metazoa > Chordata > Mammalia > Primates > Hominidae > Homo > Homo sapiens. The sequence continues at coordinate 52,403,008 of NC_000012.12, forward strand.
GGTGAGAAAATTTATCTGGGCCTCAGCCTCTTGAAAGCACTTAATTACCATATGCTTATCAACCACCTACTCCAAGCTGTGAATTAGACCTGGAGCTCATCCTCAGGGGGAGCAAGTGTGGCAGAAGACAAAACAGGAACCACAAAGAACTGGGAAGTGAGGCAGAAGGAGCTAGAGCCTGATATGCAGGGAAAGGGCAGAAGGGCTGTGCAGGAAGCCAGAGTTGGGGGTGAGAGAAAAGGTGGGCTGTGGTAGCTTGGACATGGAGCAGAGAGATGCTGACAGGGGTGTGTCAGGCAGGAGAAGCAGCAGGAACAAAAGCCCGGAGGGAAGAGGCCTGGGGATCTGTCTGTGGAATAGGAAGTAGTTCAGGATCTGCAAAGGCACAACAGGCAGTTTCAGCTGGAAGCTGGAGCTCCAGAAGCCACACATGAAAGAGCTTATTTTACAGAGAGAGAGAGATCTGAGGGCTTTATTTAGGTGGAGTAGTGGGGAGAGAGATGGCAATACACAGTCTCAGAGCTCCTACCGTGTGCCAAGTGGGGTGCCCTGCTGACACCATCCCACCTAACTGTTCTGCCACCCAGTGAACTAAGTTTAGGCTTCCCATTTTATAAATGGGGAATCAGGGCCCAGACTGTTTCTGTCCCTTGCCCCAGGTCCACCAGTGGGGTAAAAGCAGCACTGACTCACTTTTTCTTGTAGCCCTCCAGTGCAGCCTGGAGGCTGCAGAGCTCTGACTCTAGCCTCACGCGGTCCCCGGACACACAGTCCAGCTGCCGCCGAAGGGCGCTGATATAGCCCTCGAAGATGGGCTCGATGTTGGTCTGGCAGCACCTCTGCTGCTGCATGAAGTTCCACTTGGTCTCCAGCAGCTTGTTCTTCTGCTCCAGGAAACGGACCTGCAGCCAAGAATGGAATATCACCAGGCAGCAGAGATCCTGGGGACCATGACTTAGAGAGGGCAATGGAATGAGTTTCTGCCCTGTCTCCCAACACATGGCTACCAGTGCACTAGAATTTGCAAAAATCAGGGTCTCTGCATAGACTGGCATCTGAGGGCATGTGTGTCTGTGTCTCCCCTGCCTGGGAGAGCCTAGTGGACCCCTACTTTCCACTCAGAGGTTGCGTGTTGTAGTGGATGGTACTTCTCCAAGAGGCCTAGGCAAGTCCTGTTTCAGCACTGCCTGCCTGCCTCTCTCTATCCTCGTGACCTTGACCAAGACATCCTGTCCCTTCAAGCCTCACTTTGCTTCCCAAAGCTCCTACCTGGGACAGTGTATGGGAAGGGACTCTGTTAACTTCATACTAGTGTCAGAGGATGTGAAGCTTGGGGGTCGAGGCTTTCCTTTATGACAGCCTAGGGACACTCAGGGGAAAAGACGGATCAAGGGACTCTAAGCTCTTTTCACCTACTGTGCTGCATCCTACATGGCTGTATCTGAAAAAAGTCCAGGTCCTAGTAATGTGGACAGCTGCTGGCCTCCTCCTCCCTTTTCGTAAAGTGGAAACTGAGATTAGGAGTTGAGTAAGTTCACCATGGCCACCCGGCTGGACATTGACTAAGGGAACGTGGTCTCCAGCCCTTGCTCTGGAATTTTCCACATCGTGCATTGTCTGTCAAGAAAACTACAGAAGTATCATTGCCCTACTTCTGGTCAGTGGCTGCATCAACAGGAGGCTCCCAGCCTAACAGAAGGTGGTGTGATGTTGTTGCTAATTCGGGCCCATGTTTTTGGAATAAGTTTATAGCCAGAACTTAATAAGCTTTAGAAATAAAACTGTAAGTTTGACTAAACAAGTTCCTCTGTGAAGCACTTTGGCATATATTACCTCCTCTAATCTCCCACCGTCATTCCTCCCCTTCCTCACTGGGCAGCACCGTCCAAAGGCCAAGAGGTGAATGGCTTGCCCGGGGATTCCGGGTGTAGGAGTAGAGTCAATGCCAGTGGCCAGGGCTCCTGACCTCTGGCCCAGGACTCTTGCCCCTAAACCTTACGGTCACCAGAAACACCAGCTCAAACTGTGGAATGAATCCTCACCCCAAGAGCCTCCCTGGGGCGTGGGATGGACCCAGAGGCTGTTGAGTCCTTCAGCACCTTCAGAAGGCATGCCACATCTTTTCCTGCAGTGGGTGCTGTACTGTAGATGTGGGAATCTGCGCTCTTCCTGCAGTGGGTGCTATACTGTAGATGTGGGAATCTGCACTGTTCCTGCAGTGGGTGCTGTGCTGTAGATGTGGGAATCTGCACTGTTCCTGCAGTGGGTGCAGATTCAGTTCAGCACCTTCTGAAGGCATGCCTTCCTAGCAGCCTTTCAGTGGCTCTGGAGATGACAGATGTAAGACTTTTGTGACCGTCACCCTGTGCCTCTAGCTCTGACTGTCCACTTTCCTCTCATCCCAGGCCTAAAATGATTGGAAACTCTGAGGTCACAGTGTCCATCCTCACCTTCAGGCTCAAGAGTTGTGACACAGCTCAGGCACACAGAAGGCGGTTCTACTGTTAAAGCCTCATCAGGAAGGGCATTTCTCTGCCTCTCTGGTCATTCCTTTCAGTATTGCTTTGGAAGTTCCTCTTATAGTCTGACCTCAGGCAACCTTGGTGATTGGTGATTTTGTCAGATAATATTCAGAGAAAGATGATATATTTTAAGAAAGACAAGGAAGCAGAAATGTTTAGTGCAGAATCTGATCTAACTGGCTTTCAAAGGCTGGTGGTCGTGGAATGTGAGGGAGGCCACTGGATAAACTGAGGCCTCCTCAATGTCAGTCTCCTCCTGGTTCCCTTGGACCAGAACAAGACCAGACCCCAGATCTGCAGTGGGTCCTCTCACGGCCCTGGGCCACTGCCCCCTTACCTTGTTGATGAAAGATGCGAAACGGTTGTTGAGGCACTTGATCTGCTCCTTCTCATCCCTCTTTACCCTCTGCACAGTCGGGTCTATCTCCAGTGCCAGTGGGACCAGCAGGCTCTCATTGATGGTGACAGGGGTGATGCAGGCAGAAGGCCCACAGGTGGCTCCCAGTCGGTACCCGAAGCCAGGCAGGGTACCTCCACACCTGGAGGCTACCCGGGGCCTCCCAAAGCCCACGTTGCACAGGCTCCGTGAGCCAAGGCAGCCCAGAGCTCGGAGGCCCCTACCACCCCCGGGCCGGCATGGCCCCTTGCTCACTGCATAGTGGGTGACCATCCGGGGCATGACAGCCGAGTATGAGCTGAAACTCTGACTGCCACACCTGGAGCCTGGCTGGAAAGAGTGGTACGACATGGCAGGAGAGAGAGGCAGAGAAATGCGGCCCTGGAGGAAAGAACCGGGGCAGGATGATCAAGTCAGGCTCAGCTTCCCCCCTTTTATCTGGTAGGGGGATGGAGGACTGAGATGTGTCAAACCCCAAATCACCATTAAACTAGGTTTATGAGCTTGGGATATTGGCAGAGCTAAGTAGCAAGGTGGATAATTAGGGTAGCGAAGAGCAAAGAGAAGGGGCCAATGGTCAGTGCTGGTGGGCCCTATAAAAATCCTATTTGTCCTCCTTCCTTGATTGTGGGGGTGATGAAAGGGGCCAACCAGACAGATATGTTCCATGTATCCAGTGGCTCAGCCTCAAGGAAAGGGAGAGTTGGGACTACGTCATTTCATAGGAGGGGAGGCGTGCCATGAATTATACACCCTGGCTTCTCTGGGATTAGAGGGCAAGTCCCATATGCTTAAAGATGCTCTGGCTCTTTCCCCAAGGCTGCTCCTAGGCTTTTTTGCAGATCCTCAACCCAAGTGCCCTCTGTGGGCTCCTAGGTGAGTCAGGAAGTTCCCAGGAGGAAGGCTTTTGGGGTGGGAGAATCCTCCCTACAACAGGCCGGACCTTAACCCTCCTGAGCTCTGGCTCAGTGACCCACTGTCCCATGAGGGTCTTGAAGGTAGACAGACTCCAGGCATAGACACTTTTCTACAGGGCCCATCAGTCCACAAAGGCTGCAGGGAACTCAAGAGGAGAGGCCTGGTGCTTGAGAAGGGCAGAGGAAGGGACGCTCTCCTCAACACTTCTGGGGCCCCCAGAAGGCATGATTTCAGCATCAGGTCTCGGCTTCCATGTGGCTGTTCCTTTCCCCTTTTGCCCAACCCAGCCTGAGTGTCCCTGAGGTCAACAGAGCCAGCTTTGGCCTGAGGATGTCTCTGGGGAGAGTTGTTGCCCTTGGGAATTTTCAGGTGGAGGTGGGATTCAGGTTTTCTTTCCAGCTCAGGTCGCAGACACAGCTCTTTGGAGATGTCTGAAGCCCCCGCCTCACTCTCTTTCCTCCTCTTTTCCATCAATTTCATCAGTGAAACTTTTGCCATGGCCGAATGGCCTTTCCCTTCCACACTGAGACTTATCACCAGGTCAAAATCAAACCAATAATAATAATAATAACAATAATAAACATTTATTGGGCATTTATTGTGTGTTGGGACCACTCCGTACTCTTTACATCCATGGTCTCATTTAATTCTCTGACCACACAATGAGATAGTTACTATGCCACAGACAGGAAAATGGGAAGCACAGCAGTTAAGAGCAACATCCCCAAGTCACACAGCTTGTGGCTGATCAGCTGGGAGTCCATCCTGTTCCTTTTGACTTCACCCTGCCATGCTGCTCCACAGCAGGGAAGCCCAGGTGAGGAATTGGGAATCTGCTGCCCATAAATGTTCTGTTGTCCCTGTCCGTCAGCCTTCCAACCTGTGGATTAGGAGACTGGAACTCAAAGGTTTCCTGAGCCTCAGAAATTCTCAGTCTCATTGTGACATTTCACACTCCCTGTCCCCTTTTTCATAGTCCTGACTGTGGGCCCCAGAGTAGTGGAGGAGGAGGGGTGCAAGGCGAGACCACAGGCCACAATGGGAGGCAGAAGGTTGGGTGAGGGGGTCCAATTGCAGGGTGTCAGGGGAAGAAGACCACACTCTTCCCTGGACTGAGTCCACAGAGGGGGCCCAGGATGGTGTGAATGTTGATGGAGACACTCAGAGGCCCCACCAGAGAGCAGATTCCCACTAGAGGGGGTGAGGGAGACAGTGAGCTGCACCGGAGGGCAGGGGTCACTGCAGCAGTGGACACAGCAGAGTCTCCCCGCCATGTCCAGGCCAGAGGAGGGCCTCAGTGAGCATGTTGGGCTCCTGGAGTCCAGAACCAGAGCTCAGGAGCAGAGGGCAGGGCGGTTCCTTGGATTCATTGTGGGAGGGAGGCACCTGTTTCCTGAGCCCCCCGAGTCCAGGGTTGCCCTCTGAGTGTGAGCTAGGGCAGGACTCAGTCAAGACCTAGACAGTTTGGCGGCATTTTATGAAAGTGGGTTCAGGAACTAGGGGGCATAAGGGAGCAGGCAGTTGAGAAGGGTGTGATTTTCTTCTGGAGCAGTGAACTCCGTCTTCACTTTGGCAGTGCAGTAGACAATCTCTACCTGCCTTTGGAATGCGTTTTGGCAGGTGTCTTGGGGGTTGATGACTCTTCAAATTAAATACAGAAACCACCCTTTGAAGGCCTCAAAGAAGAATCCCATGCCTACCTCACTCCCAATTCCACGCCAGCCTCCTCCTGTGTCCTTCTGGGGCTCAGCAATGTGTCCCCTCAGAGCGAGGAAAAACACCAAAGAAAGAGCCACCTCTCCTCTGAGTGCACTATCCTGGGCCTCTGCTGTGGGGTAGAGAATGTGGTGTCCTGGCTTAAGGAGCTTCAGTGTCAGCCATGGCTGAAGACACGGAACAGAGACGTTCCGAGGGAGGGAGATAGAAAAAGGGAGGTCAGAAGAGAAAGAGCAGGCAATATTAATAGATTGTCAAATGGAAAGAGTGGGAGAGGAAGAAGGGTGAAAAATATAGGACAGGAGGAGAAAGGGGGGTTGAGAGAGAGGAGGTGCGTGGGGTGGCAGTGGGGAAAGGTAAGTAGAAAAAGAAGTGAGAGTGAAAGGTGAAAAGGGCAAGGTTAAAAGGAAGGAGGCTCCCTCCTCTCCCTCTCCCTCCTCTCCCTCTCCCTCCTCTCCCTCTCCCTCCTCCCTCTCCCTCTCCCTCTCCCTCTCCCTCTCCCTCTCCCTCTCCTCATGGTCTCCCTCTCCCTCTCTTTCCACGGTCTCCCCCTGATGCCGAGCCAAAGCTGGACTGTACTGCTGCCATCTCGGCTCACTGCAACCTCCCTGCCTGATTCTCCTGCCTCAGCCTGCCGAGTGCCTGCGATTGCAGGCACGCGCCGCCACGCCTGACTGGTTTTCGTATTTTTTTGGTGGAGACGGGGTTTCGCTGTGTTGGCCGGGCTGGTCTCCAGCTCCTAACCGCGAGTGATCCACCAGCCTTGGCCTCCCGAGGTGCCGGGATGGCAGGCAGAGTCGCGTTCACTCAGTGCTCAATGGTGCCCAGGCTGGAGTGCAGTGGCGTGATCTCGGCTCGCTACAACCTCCACCTCCCAGCCGCCTGCCTTGGCCTCCCAAAGTGTCGAGATTGCAGCCTCTGCCCGGCCGCCACCCCGTCTGGGAAGTGAGGAGTGTCTCTGCCTGGCCGCCCATCGTCTGGGATGTGAGGAGCCTCTCTGCCTGGCTGTCCAGTCTGGAAAGTGAGGAGCGTCTCTGCCCGGCCGACATCCCATCTAGGAAGTGAGGAGCGTCTCTGCCAGGCCGCCCATCGTCTGAGATGTGGGGAGCGCCTCTGCCCTGCCGCCCCGTCTGGGATGTGAGGAGCGTCTCTGTCTGGCCGCCCCGTCTGAGAAGTGAGGAGACCCTCTGCCTGGCAACCGCCCCGTCTGAGAAGTGAGGAGCCCCTCTGCCCGGCAGCCACTCCGTCTGGGAAGTGAGGAGCGTCTCCGCCCGGCAGCCACCCCGTCTGGGAGGTGAGGGGCGCCTCTGCCCGGCTGCCCCTACTGGGAAGTGAGGAGCCCCTCTGCCTGGCCAGCCGCCCCGTCCGGGAGGGAGGTGGGGGGGTCAGCCCCCCGCCCGGCCAGCCGCCCCATCCGGGAGGGAGGTGGGGGGGGTCAGCCCCCCGCCCGGCCAGCCGCCCCATCCGGGAGGTGAGGGGCGCCTCTGCCCGGCCGCCCCTACTGGGAAGAGAGGAGCCCCTCTGCCCGGCCAGCTGCCCCATCCGGGAGGTGAGGGGCGCCTCTGCCCGGCCGCCCCTACTGGGAAGTGAGGAGCCCCTCTGCCCGGCCACCACCCCGTCTGGGAGGTGTACTCAACAGCTCATTGAGAACGGTCCATGATGACAATGGCGGTTTTGTGGAATAGAAAGGGGGGAAAGGTGGGGAAAAGATTGAGAAATCGGATGGTTGCCATGTCTGTGTAGAAAGAGGTAGACATGGGAGACTTTTCATTTTGTTCTGTACTAAGAAAAATTCTTCTGCCTTGGGATCCTGTTGATCTGTGACCTTACCCCCAACCCTGTGCTCTCTGAAACATGTGCTGTGTCCACTCAGGGTTGAATGGATTAAGGGCGGTGCAAGATGTGCTTTGTTAAACAGATGCTTGAAGGCAGCATGCTCGTTAAGAGTCATCACCACTCCCTAATCTCAAGTACCCAGGGACACAAACACTGTGGAAGGCCGCAGGGTCCTCTGCCTAGGAAAACCAGAGACCTTTGTTCACTTATCTGCTGACCTTCCCTCCACTATTGTCCTGTGACCCTGCCAAATCCCCCTCTGCGAGAAACACCCAAGAATGATCAATAAAAAAAAAAAAAAAAAGAGTCAACAGAAAAAAAAAAAAAAAAAAAAAGGAAGGAAAACTTTCCAGAAGAGAGATGTGTCTGGCACAAGAGAAGAGGAATAGTTCTGAGCCTGGAGGATTATTTTGCAGGAATCTCACAGGGCAGTTCCTAATGCAGGAGAATTAAAATAGGCTTTTCCTGGTGTATTTCTTGCAAACATTTTGGGCCAAGTGGCCTTCCCACACCCTCACATGAGCCTGCTTCCCTCCCACTCCTCTGTCATCAGGGCATTTCTGTTTAGGAACAGCAGGTCTAATATTGACTTAAATAAAGCAGACTTGACAGAAATTTGGCCATGAACTCTCATTCATTGCAGCCCTGGGCCATGGAGGGCTTTTGAGTTCTTGATAACATCATTCCATTATATTATGAATAAGCAAGAGTTGATCATATTTTGAAGGGTGTTGATTTCTCACTCAAATATCCTGCTGGTGGGAGTTGTCAGGGGACTTGGCTGGGGCCTGGGCAGGGGGAAGAAAGGAGGTGAGGAGGTGGCATGTGTGGCAGGGTGTGCAAGATGTGTCCTGGCCTGAGTGGGAAAACTGTTCCATCTGCAATGAGAAAGGTGTGTGGAAACTTGGGCCCACACTGCACTTAGTCTCTTTGGGGCACCGTGGTCAGTTCTGAGGTCCTGGGAAGGACTGCATAAGAGGCCTTGTCTTGTGGTTGCTGTGGGTCTGACTTAGACAGGAGGGGAAAGACCCTACTGCACCCCCTACTCTGGAAGCTTCTTAAGGGCAAAGTGCTAGCCCAGGTCCTGGCACAGAGCAGTTGAGTCAACATTGGTTGGAATGGATGCCTGTGGACCCTGCAGGACCCTGCAGAGATCGGGAGCAGGTGGGGTACCTCTGTGGGGACCTTCTGGAGGCAGAGGGATGGACAGGATGACCTCATAAGCCACTTCCTGCTCCTTGTACCTCCTGCTGTTGATTTTGTGTGTAGGACGTCAGTAAATATCAAGCCTTGGAGCTGGGAAGCTTGAGGGCTTGAGGGGAGTGGCAGTGGAGGCAGGTGCATGGCTGCTGTGACTCTCCTTGGTGGGCCATCTCTTGGAGACAATGAATATGTTGGAGCTGCTGTGACTGCTGGTCACAGCTGGACAGCTGATGCCACTGCTCCTGTTGTTGTGGCAGAGGCCACTGCTGTGGCCACCCCCACCCACACAGAGGACGCTGCCCCCACTGGAGCCTGTGGCCCCAGGGGAAGAGACCTCAGCTGTGGAGAGAGGGCTCAGGATATGTTGGCAGGTTCTTCCCATTTCCCACGACGCCCTTCCTGGGTGTGATCCCCATGCCTGCTCCCCTCCCGCAATGCCTTGTTCCAGGCAACCCTCCCTTCCCTGAGAGCCTCGGGGAACGCCTGAGCCAGTGTGAGAGAGGGTGGGCGTGGACTCACCACCCCGTCACACGCTACCTTCTCATGAACCTCTGCACAGGGCATCGCCATACTCAAGGCACATTCACAGCTGTGACCATGTGGATCTCAATGGGGCTGAGAGGACACCATTACTACAATAACCCCCATTTTGTAGAGGAAAAAATGAGGTGCAAAGAGATCAAGTGGCATACCCAAGTCCACGCCCACCAGAAGCCAAGGCTTTTAGCTCCTGTGCTGGGTTCATTCCCCTGTCTTGTAGGCGGCTGTCACATTGGATGGAAGAGGAGGCCTTGTATTCTGGAAGGGAGCCATAGACTTCCTTTTCGAAAGAGGCCTGAAGGCCACCTGGACGAGCCTCCCCCAGTACCAGAACCCCTCAATGACATTGCCAAGATACAATTGTTCAGCTTCTGCTTCAATATTTTCAGCAACGGGAACTCCCTACTTGGATGCATCTTTGCAAGCCAGGTAAACATTTGGAAACGTCTCATTGATTTCCCCTCTTGGCGTCCGTTTTTCCTGGTGAGGCATTCCTGCCCCTCTGATGGGTTGGTTCCAGGCTCTCCCCAATCCTGGCAGGCCAGCCTCTCTAATGTGATCTGACCCACATGGGTCTCAAGGGGATTCTACTCCCATGACCAGGACTCAATGCTCCCATTAATGCCGCCTATGATGCTGAGCTTTTACACACAGCCCCAGAGCCCTGGTGGGTCACTCTGTGAGGTCACTGCTGCTCTCCCTCCTGTGAGTTGAGGCCACGCCAGATCAGTCACTGTTCTATTTGTTGAATTCATATGCTTCAATTCTAAATATAGGCCTTTACATTTAATCTGTTTAATAGCCTCTTATTTGTGTTAGTTTGAGTTCCTGACAGCACTAGCTGAGAAATCAGGCATTCAGACTGGGGACCCACGATTGTTTGAATAGTCTTGTCCTGTCACTGGGATCTTCTGGGACCAGCCCTGGGGGTGAGGGGTCACCTGCAGATTAATCGCCACAGTTTTTGTGGAGATTAAGCCAGAGTGAGGAGAAAGTTGTTGAGCTCCTTAGTGACATGGAATGTGCCCCTTTTGAGTTCTCTTGACCTCATGGGGAAGAAGGGCACAAGAAGAGTCCCCATAGAGCCTCCAAGAGGGTCTTTGTGACATCCCTGCCCCTGCCTGCTCATCTTTGACCCACCAGACCCTCAAGAGTGATGCTCCCAGCTTCCATTGTGCCCCCCACTTTTCTACCATTCCAAGACATTGACTCACAGGTACTGACGGCTCTGACACCTTCAGTGAGTCTGTGACCGCTAGGGAGAGAAAGAGTCATTTTGTTTGCTGAGAGGTTAAGGGGCCCTGGGTTCTTTGTATTTAAAGTTATGAGCACAGAGTGCTTACATGTATCAGGCACCGTGCTTGGCAAGCTCTCCCCTCAGCTTGCTAGCCTTGGGAAGCTCAAGTGCATCTGTGAGGAAAATCCAGGAGAGAGAACGAGTCACAAATACAGAGAGAAATGAGAAGAGGCAGCTGTGGTAGAGAGGTAGTGCGAGACCGTCAGCTTGCAGGGCAATTCCAGAGCCCCTGAGCCTTGTCCCAAGCATGATTGCATTTCTCACAGGACTTGGGAAGAAAGGGTCTTGCTTAGCGTCCCTTCCTTGACCCCTTTGACCCTCACCCCTGCCCTGGGTCCAACAGCTGTGGGAGGGGCTGCAACTGCAGGACGCCTTTAAGGGAGCAATTGCATTTTAACCCTGTTTCTGACCTGGGAGCTTCATCTGGAGGGCTGACACTGTGGCGCTCATGGGGCCTCTGTGGCATTGCTGTCGTGGTCTGGTGCATCTGTTTGGGTGGTAGTGGGAGGGGAGGGGTGGCCCACCTGCTCTTCAAGCCCTCCAGCAGCTTCCTGTAGGTGGCGATCTCAATGTCCGGGGCTAGCTTGACATACATTGGCTCCTGGTACCTGCACAGCTGCTGCGCCATGTCCTGCTTGGCCTTCTGCAGGGCTATCTCCAGCTCCACCAGCTTGTTCTTAGTGCCAGCTTCCCATGCTGCTTGGCATCAGCAGGCGATGGTGGCCTGGGGCATGGCACACTGCCAGGTGGCGATGAGAATGTGTGTGACATTGTTCATGGAGGATGCAGTAAGATCCTCTATGAACTTTAAGTTGAAAATATGAAAGAATTCCCTGAAGTGGATTTAATGCAAAGGAGGTTGGAGCTGCATCATCTTTAAAACTAAGATTGATTTCTGTCCACCTTGGGTAGTTTGAGACTTAGCCAGAATGGAGAAAATGATGTTCTGAGGTCCTTTTCTTTCTTTCTTTTTTTTTTTTTTTTGAGATGGAGTTTCACTCTGTCGCCCAGGTTGGAGTGCACTGGCACGATTTCTGCTCACTGCAACCTCCATCTCCCAGGTTCAAGCGATTCTCCTGCCTCAGCCTCCTGAGTAGCTGGGATTATAGGCGTGCACCACCATGCCTGGCTAATTTTTGTATTTTTAGTAGAGACGGGATTTCACCGTGTTCGTCAGGCTGGTCTCGAACTCCTGACCTCAGGTGATCCGCCCTCTTCAGCCTCCCAAAGTGCTGGGATTACAGGCGTGAGTCACCACACCCAGCCCTCTGAGGTCCTTTTCAATGCTGAACTTTTCTGGATTGCGAGTAAGTAAAGCAAGCCAAAGTTTTGCCATTTACTCTTCCAGAAGAAAGTGCCTTTCTCGCATTCTTCAATCCAATCAAGTTGACAATATTAACCATTGCACTAGGTGAATGCATATTTATATTCCTGGAAGGCCACTCATCTGGGAGGCTTCTCTCTGTAGGGGCTGAGTGAGGCCCAGGCACAAGTCCACCTGGAAGCAGGAGCATGGATGGAAGGACACCTGGGAGCTCAGCCCTACCTGCTTCTACAAGTTATCAATCTCAGAGTGCAGCCTCTGCATTACCAGTTTATCTCAGAGATCTCCATCTTGGTGGTGTGGAGGTCATCCCGTGCAGGCTAGCAGAGTGCTGTAGCTCCTTGTACTAGGAGGGAGGAGAAGCAGACCTCGGATGGGGGATGCGTGCAGTGGGCAGGGACAGCCAGGCCAGGGAAGAGAAGGCTGTGGCTTCCCACAGCCCCATAGGCTTTCATGTGCGTCTGAGAGCCTCCCTGCTGGGCCGCCTCTGGCCCAATCAAATTCATCTGCATTTTCTCTTGACTCTGTCCCTCACTTTCTATGCCCACTGGCTTCACCCTACAGCTGGACAGCTGTGGCTGTGCTCTTTCCCTTCTTCCTATACCTGGTCTTTCTTCCCTTTCCCTCGACACCATGCATCTCACCCTCCCAAACTCAGCATCAGGTAGGTGCCAATCACTTTTCCTTTGTTCGTGTTTTCCTCGGCATTGCAAATTATCATCCCAACGACTCCCAGGGCAGAATGTTTGCTCTCATCTGGAAAATCCCAGTCTGTGACTTAGATTAAGACTTTACCCTCCAGCCCCTGGGCCCCAGCCAGTTCCGCCTTTCTTCTCTGGATCCTCCAGCCTCCTCCACAAGGGGTTAAACTTTCCTCTTGTCCCCACCCTCCCTCTCTGTTCCTCCTGTTGGCACTGATGGCTGGAACTGTCCAGCTGTCCCTTTTCTCTCTGATACAGGGCATTGGAGGTGTGTCCATCTTCCTCTTGGCAGAGGGACTGACCACCTCCTGCCTTTATCTGGCTGTTCCCCAGGTCCTGACATGCTTCCCCCAGGTAACATAGGGTGAGCCCCAAGCTGAACTCAGATCCCTTGACCCTATCAGACTGGGACATCTGAGAGGACATGGCTCTTATCTTGTTTGCCTTTGAAATCTCGGTTTTTTGTGCTTGTTTAATGAACTTGACCTTGATGTCTCACTTTGGTTTAGTACCAGAACTCAGCCTCAGCCCTGCTGTTGTTGGCGATGTCTTCATGCTGGGCCTTGACTTCAATGATGATGCTATCCAGGTCCAGGTTGCAGTTGTTTTCCATCAACAGAAGGACCATGGAGGTTTCAGAGATCTGGGCCTGAAGCTGAGCCAGCTTTTGTGGTTGGGTCCAAATGAGAGAGCTGAGGCAGAGTGTGCATGTGCATGTGTGTCCGTGTGTGTGTGTGCAAGTGTGCATGTGCGTTCGTATGTGCATGCGAGTGCATGTATGTGTGTGCATGCATGTGCGTGTGTGAGCATGTGTATGCATGTGTGTGTGGGGGCATGTTTTGGGAGGCTGTGATCTGCCCCCTGGAACAGACCCTGGCATTGAGGGTCTTGCACGGTAGGGATGGAGTGGCCTGTGTAGGCTGAAAGGGCTGGGAAGAACATTAGGGAGGTCATTGAGTTTATAGCTGTTCTTTGTCATCAGCTCATCTGCGTGGAGGGAACAGCAGCACATGTAACTCCAGCCAGCATTCTCCAGAAGCCACTCTGTTGTCACAGGAGCACACCATGTTGTGACCTGTCAGTATCACAGATGTCTCATGTTCTGAGAAAATACAGCCCTTCACACCAAATAAGGAAAATATCTTGTGAAAGAAAACTGAGTCAGAAGAAGCCAGAAAACTTGGCTACTTTCCAGTTGCGTTTCCCAATTTGGCTCCTCCCTGCTCCTTGGGGATAGGATGGGAAATGGAAATCAGCTGGAAATAGCAGAAAGGGCACCCAACTGACAAATTCGAGTCTTGTATCTGCCAATCACATTTAAATAGCATCCCAGATCTCAGCAAGGCTGATCATAATACTGGCCTCAAATTAATTTGTGGAGATTAAATGACATCCAGATAAGATGGTCTGGAAACAGTGAACCCACAATTAATTTGTTAATGGTCCATTTTCAGGATCATCTAACTCAGTGGTTCTCAAAATGTGACCTCAAACCAGCATCAGCATCAGCATCACTGGAAACTTGATTGAAATGCAACACTGTGGGCCCAGCCCAGACTTACTAAATCAGAATTGGTGTTTAGCAACACTTCTAGAAGATTCTGATGCTCTTTAAAATTTGAGAATCAGTAGGCCAAAGCAGAAGTCTAAGTAAAAATATTCCTTTTCTCTCTTTATTGATGACTGATTCATACATTTCCCGTTTCAACAAATTATTATTTTCTTATTGTGCTGCGGCTTGTTTTTCCCAAATAGTTTTTCCTGGCAGCAGATCTAGTTCAAAGGTCTTGTCCCACAGGCTTGCTGGCTGTGGGCTAGTTCAGAATTCGGAGGCAATATCACCCTGGTTGTCAGCATTGAAGAGAACAAGTAGAGAGGGGGCTGGTTATCCCCCTGTGGGTTGTAAGGTGGAATTGGAGCCCACCCAAACAATCAGAGCTGAAGCCCCAGGTCCTGGAACAATGTGACCAGCTTCTGTTGGGCATCACGTGTGTGTGACCCTATGGGCATATCACCTGTCCTTACCAGGCCTACCTGGAGGCACTCCACTCACCCTACACCCCACCTTGACACTGCTGGCCCTATCTTCACCACTCTCCCCTCTGCCCCAGCCATACTGTCCTCCTCCTGGCATTCCTGGATCACACCCGGGGGCATTTATACTTCCCATTCCTTCTTGCTGGAGCACTGCCCCCACCCACCATGCCTTCCTGGCTGACATGCTCAATTCCTTCAAGTTTCTTGTCCAGTGTCACCCACCCACTGCCTATGATTGCTTTCTACTGTCATTTCTCTTCATTGCCTCTGTAGGGCCTGAAATAGTACAGTGATTTGATTATCTCTGTTGTGCCTTTCTCCTGCACTATACTGTAAGCTTCAAGAACTTACAGGCCCCGTTGTATTTGCTCAGCACTGTGCCTGCAGCTCTGTGGAGGACACAAACGGAGAACCAGGCAATTGTGCTGTTTGCTCCCAGAAGCACCTGAGGGCTCACTAATTGCCACTTGATTTGTGTAATTGCATCACCCTGCAGTTGCTCTAGGAAGAGCAGCAGGTAAATTTTGGCAGGGCAGGATGAGCCAAGTTGCTCAGAAAGTTCTATGGAAATCCATATTTTAATGACAGGTGGTCCATTTTTCTGCCTGCCCAACAGAACATGCTTGATCCAGATGGTTAAGGCTGAATTTTTCATCTCTCCTGACCTGCCAGCCGCTCTATGGAACCTCATTTTCTCCTGTGGTAGGGGAAGTGGCATCTGCCCTGCAATACGCAGGTGGGATAAGGAGCAGAGAGAAGACCAGGGAAGGAGCCCACAGGCTCTGTGCCCAGCTGAGGCTCTAAGACCCAGCCCCCAGCCCCCCTGTTGGAGGGGGCACCGGGCACTCTCACCGCCTTATAGAAAGTGCTCAGGAAGTTGGTCTCCTCCATCAGGGCATCCACTTTGGCCTCCAGCCCCACTTTGTTCATGTAGACAGCATCCATGTCCCACAGAACATGCTATCACTCTGGGCCTTACCCTTCCAGGGATAACCAGCCCCCTCTGTCTGTGAATTAGGTGGGAGAGCTTCAGTTCCCAAGGACAGAGCATCTGTCTACTCCAGGCCATGGAGTAGAACTTAGAACTTGGAGAGGAGGGAGGGAGTAGAACTTCCAAACTCTGTGAAGACCAGGGCCTTCAGGGGTGCCCACCTGCTCATCAGCTCTGGTGCCACATTGAAAGGTCTCCTGCATCACCTCACATTGTGAGGACAACCCTGTTCTGGCCCTGGCCACCAAGCAGGAAGGCCCAGGACTCCGTGGAGCTGCTTCTGGGCTGCCCTGTCCTCCTGAGCCTGACTGGGTGCCTAGAGACCCAGCCCAGGACAAGGCCCGTTTTGCTTCCCCTGTCTCCACACTGGACTCCACACGGCGGGGGCTGGTGTTGGGATTTGCAGCTCAGACTTTGGAGTCCTGGGTCCTGACTCACTCCTGATTACCTAGGTAGCCCTGGGCAAGTGTCTTTACCTCTCTGAATTGCAGTTTTCCCACTGTTAAAGTAAGACCTACTTCTAGGCTTGCTGTGCAAATTAAATAAGGCCTTGTATGAGGCCACTGGGAGCTGGGCAGGAGGAACTCTGTCCACTCATCTTGAGCACCACAAACTCATTCTCTGCCTCAGTGCACCTGTTGAGTTCTTCTTCATACCTCTGGGAAGGATCAAGAAGTGGTTTGGGGTTGGATTGGGCGCTGGTAGTGAGGTCAGAGCAGTAGGGTGGAGGTGGACAGGCAATGGTGGGTCTGCAGAGCAGCCTTAGCAAATGCTCCACTGTAGCCTGGCTCTCCTATGACACACATGGCCCCAAATCCCAAATCAAATAAACCACCAAACACAACCCAAACCCAAAACAACAAAACAGATCCCCTCTCAGTCTACTTGAGGTTTCTTTTCTCACAGCTCAGCTCCTTGGAGTATTTGGGTCCCATAAAGGGGCATATACATTTCCTTTTTTTTTTTTTTTTTTTTTTTATGGTCTTGCCCCAACCCAGGGCAGGGAGGAGAGGAACAGGGAGAAAGGTCAGAGGCCGGCAGCCCCTCACTGTACAACACTCGCATTTCCCTCACTCTGTTCAGGCACACTGAACTGTGGCCTAAGGAGCAGAGACTTCAGGACCATAGGAACCCTCTCCCCCAAAGGTTTCTCATTCTTCAATTTACCTGTAGGCAGCAACCCCACCCTGTCTGTCCCCCAGGGGCATGTGGAGGTGCCTCCTGCTCACTGATCTCTGGGAAGGAAGTTTTGCTTCTGTTCCAGGTGACCCATTCCCCACCCAACCTACTTGGGTGCATCAGCACACCCCACCCTCGTGGTGCTAGACAGCTGTGGTTTTGATCTCAGCTGCTCTGCCCATCAGCCATATGACCTCTCAGAGGATCTTTCTCTACTATGTAATGGAAAGTTGTCATTCTTTTAAAACCACAGAGTCCCATCACACATGACTTACATGAAGCAGGATCTTCCTGGCTTTTATATTTCCTCTGCTGCTCTATAGGATCTGAGAAAATCTCTTGCTTGCCATTGAAATTTCAGTATTGTGCTTTCTCTCAGTGTTCTCTGGGAAGAGCAATTTGGTTTTCCTCATCGTTTCTTTGAGTTGCCTTTTAATGAACTCTGAATGTCTCTTCTTCACCTAACTCCATACAACTGTCCTCGTCTTCCATGTGGCCCAGCTCACAGTCCCTCTGCTGAAGGGCAAGCATCGCCTGGCCCTGCACAGGCCACTTTGATGCCACAGGAACACTGCCTGGTCATTGACTAGGAACACACTCTTCAACAGATGCCCTACCATATCCCTCCCCTGTGCCTTCTTCCTTTTCAATGCTAAGCTTTAGCCTTCTCCTCCAGGAAGTCTTCTTGTATTGAAACACTGTTAGTCCACGCTTGCATACATGTTATAAATTACCCATCTGCACTTGCTTCTCTTGTCTGCGTCTGTATCACTACACATACCTAATCATAAATACAATAAACATAGCTAACACTTATTAACAACTTACTATGTGCCAGGCACTGTGAACCCTACCAAGCACCTTACATGCAAGTTTTGATTTAATAATCTCAATGCTCTTGTGAGGTGGGCACTATTGATGTCTCTTTTAACAGATAAAGAACCTGGGGCTTTGAGAGATTAAATAGTTTTCTTAAGGTCATTCAGCCATTAAGTGGTTGAGCCAAGATCCTAAATCCACTGACTCTGAAGTCTATAGTGCTATCCAGGAGAACTTTCCACGATAACAGAATTGCTCTGTATCTGTGTTCATTACAGGATCCATTAGCCATGTGTGGCCATTGAACACCTGAAATGTGGCAAGTGTGACTGAGGAACTGAATTTTAAATTTTATTTAATTTTAATTAATTTAAACTTAAATAGTCATCTGTGGCCACTGGCTCCTGGCTACTATGTTGGACAGCACAACTCTAAAACCTGAACTTGTGCTAGAGTATACAAACAGTGTTAACCAAAACTCATGATCCAGTTACTAATTTTGGTTAGACCAAGAGAATTAAAAATAATTAGAACCAGAAAAATAAGAAATAAAAATAAGTAAAAACAATAAAATCAAGAAATTTGTATCTACAGGCATGAGCATTTGAGCATCTCATTATGTTTAGTGGTGTGTGTGTGTGTGTGTGTGTGTGTGTGTGTGTGGTCCTGGGAGAAGGCAGCAAATGTGTCCTTTCTTTTTTGTTCTCCAGCCTCTTTGCCTGGATTAGAGTGAATATGTGAACACTGTGCAAATTAGCAGTGAGATTTAGTTGCATTCATGTGAGAGTGAGATTCTATGGGATTCATTCTTAACTCCTGAGTTGCCACTTTGTGTCATCTTTGGTATGCTATCTCAGAGCCTTACTTTCCTTATCTGCAGAGTTTGAAGAATGCTGTGTGTATCATGCTTTTTGTACCTATGTTAGGTATCATCATCTACAATCCCAGCCCTTCACTAAAGCCTCAGCATTCTTGACCACAGGGTGGGTCCCAGTTCTCTTGACACTTTTATGTTTACTTCTGATTCCACCTCTGTGCCCTAAGTGTGTTCCGTTTCCCCACTAGACTGGACATTTCTGGAGAGCAGAGGCTGTTTCTCCTGCCCCCTCTGACCTCCCCTGGAGCCCCAGGGCAGGACCCTGGCCCAGGCACTGGCTGAGCGTCTGCTCACTTGTTCTTGAAGTCCCCTACCATGTCCTGGATGTTCTTTAACTCCACATCCAACTTCACATACCCTCCACCCAGGCAGTCCAGCTGCTGCTTCATGTTGTCGATGTGGACATCAAACATGGGCTCAAAATTGGCCCTGGTGGTTTTTTGGCCTTGCAGGAAGCTCCATTTAGTCTCCAGGACTTTGTTCTCCTGTTCCAGAAACCACACCTGCCCCAGTCAGAGGTAAGAGACTGAGAGAGCTTCCATGCAGGAGCCTCCCAGAGGGCTCTGGGATATGGGATCCCTAACAGTGCAGGGAGCCTCTGCACAACCTGGATCTCAGAGTCCAGGTGGCAGGCTCTTCCTCCTCTTCCTCAGCCTGGAAGGAACCTGGAACATAGAGAGCCAAGCAGATGTTGGTGCAATGGGGTTGGGGGACAGATGGTTTTGTTTGGAGAGGGGAGAAGCAGGAAGAGTCAGAGGGGCTGGCACCAACCAGGTGCATGTGTGATAATTCAAGAAAAGAACACGCCACCATCATATTACTGGGTGAAGTTTTGAATTCCATTAAATGGGCAGGAGGTCCTTGGCAGAAAGTTTAATATGTCCATTTTCTTTCTGACATGATCTCTCTAGACCTAGAATCTGGACTCAGTTGTCCATATACTCTGGGAATGCTGCAATGGGTCACACTGGAGTTGCATTGTGAGGACGCAGGTATGTCCCCAGCCAGGTCCATCATGAGCTGTGTGGCCTAGGGCCAGCCCCCACACCCCTTCCTCTGTCTGCTCTCTCGAGTCCTTTGTGGTCTTGTGCAGCCAGTTTGGGTTTCTTGAATAACCCTTATCTCACCTCAGCATGGAAGACAGACTTGGGAAATACACACAATTTTTCCCCTTAAATAAAGTCCCCAGGACAAGATCTGGGGATTGGAGTCTGGAGCAGACTTGGAGCAGGCCTGGGGGTTTCCGGGCCCCCTACCCACGCAGGCTTTCAGCCACACATTGTGGACACTCCTGTAGCCTCTCATCTGAACTCCCTTCTCTATTCCCAGGTCTTGGGCTCTGAACCCAAAGTCACTAAATTATGCTCCTCCCATTCTGTTCACTTATGATTTCTAAAAATTCATTTATTGGAGATTCAGTCTGTGCCACACCACACGACAGGTCAGCCGCAAGCATGATTTCATTTAATTCTCATAATAACTTTGTGAGGGTGGATGATAAAAATAAGGACAATTTTGAATATCTTTTGAGCAGCCACTATGGGTAGCTGGTTTCCATGTATCTTCTTTAATCTGAAATAGCACTACAGGGGTTGCCGTTAAGATCCTTGTTTGACAAAGGAGGCCGATTGAGACACAGTGTAGTTAGGCACCTTTGTTGAGGTCACATAGCTAGTGAGCACTGGGGCCATTGTCAGAACCCGGACTCCTGGTCCCATGCCCTGAATCATTGCACCCCACACAGTTGGGAAGATCAGGCTCAGAGATGAGAGCCAGCTTGGCCAGTGGAGAAAGCCTGAGGATGTCACTGCAAATTCCTGTCCCTCCACTTCTCTCCTCTCTTGGTCTGAACTCGCCCTCACCCCAACACCAGGGATTTCACAATTGTTCTCAGTGTCATTTCTCTCCTTCCTGCCGTCCTCCCTCTCCCGTCCACTCCAAATTTTAGCCCCTGGTTTTACACTCATCTTCCCTCCTGATTCACGGCCTCCCTCTCCCCCGACTTCACTTCCTGCTCCTTCACCCTGGACAAGGGTGTTTTAGAACCCTGTCCCAAGTAGCTCACATCAGTTCCTGAGCATTGAACTCACTCCCTCCAAGCCCACATCGACTGCCCCACTCTGGGTGAGCCCACTGGGCTATGCCCCAGCTCAGGCCTGATGGGAGGGGTCCAGGAGACTGTAAACTCAGGAATGTGGGAGCTTACTGGATATCTCACTGCTGCCTGCAATTATGGGCTAAATGGCTCCTCTCCTTGGTGAAAGCGTTGCTCCCAGGGCTGCCTTTTAACTCCTCTTCGTGGCCTGTTATTTCTCTGCTGGGTCTGCAAGTTTGAAACTGTCAGGGAAAAATCAGCCCCTCTGCTGGGCCGCCCACCCGGCGTCAGTATTCTGGAACACTGGTTTGGAATGGGGACGGCACTAACAGAGCAGGGAGGCCGGTCTGGGCTTCTCCCAACAGCTCCGGCTTCCCAAACAAGGCATGCCAAGGAGAGGGAAAAGGAAGTCTGGCCAGCCCTGCACTCCCTGCACCTCTGCAGCCCGCCCTCCCTTCCTCCCAGCCAGCTTTCTTAGCTCAGAGGGAAGGGGCAAGGGCTGATGCCTCTGAGCACTGGTTGTGTGATCCCCATGCTGGGAGCAGGCCTGGGAGAGGAGGAGAATTGCTTTGGGTCAGTCACCATTCCAAACAGAGGGCCAGACACCAAACAGGTGACACATGCATTTAATAGACACATTCCAGGGAGGGAACAGAGGGAGCACTCACTCCCAGCAGGCCACTTATAAACACTATGAGACAGGTGGGTGACAACCTGGCATTGAGAGACTCCCCAGCCTCTGCATCTGGAGGGAGGGAGGGAGGTGGAGCTGGAGGAGGACTTTCCAGCTGCCCGGGCCTCGCAAGATAGGCTGAATGAGAGCCTTAGGAGAGAGCAGGCTTTGGTTTCACATGTGTAACAGACGGGTGCTGCTGGCAGTCTGGGCACTGTCAGGAGGGAGAGGCTGGCTTAGGCCTGGGAATGGGTATAGCCAGTACTCCAGGCTCCCAGCAGCACAGGTGCACCTTACAAGGAGAGAGGAAGGAGGAGGACCCTGGTGTCCAGGTGTGACTGCAAACAGGCCTCAAGGCAGGGTAGAGGGAGCCATGGGGCTCTCTTAGTGCGTGTAGCTCTTCTGGCTGGAGGATGTGGTGGAGACAAACTTGACGCTAGAACCACTGCCCCCTAAGCCCCGGTTGCTGGTGGCACTGAATCCAGAACCTCCCAGGCCTGCACCCAGGCTATGCCCACCACTGGTGGTGAAGGAGTAGCCGCTGCCCCCACCGAGGCCCAGGTTTCCACCTCCAATGCTGCTGCCGCTTCCATAGCCACTGGAAAGAGTAGAGGTGACCACAGCTGCCGGGAAGAGAGGAGGTGTGGTCAGATCAAGTGCAAGCGAGAAGACAGCTGGGAGTGTGAGGGCCTGTGCCCTGGAGTCCTTGGGTGGGGAGGGGGTGGTCTCGTCAGCCAGCAGTTTGCCTCCTTCCAATGTCCCCTGCTTAGTGAGATCACTGCCTGTGTTCCTGAGCTGCAGCTCCAGGCAGCCTCTTAGGCTGGAATGGCTTCCTCCTCCCCTTCCAGAACCTACTGGAGCCCTCTCCTCCTGGAAGCAGCTCCAGTCCACCTGCTTTCCCTTTGATCCTCCTGCTGTGCCGTCTGGGTCTGTCTCCCTGTCTGAGCCTGACTCCAGAGTTTCTCTTCCTTCTGGATGCTTATGGGGGGAGGGGCACACTCCTCTTCCCTCAGCGTCTCCCAGCCCCACACTCAGAATCCCAGGGTGGAGGCTGGAATATTCTTGATGGATCAAGTGACAGATTAACCTGTTGGCCAGTGAACTCTGCCCCCGTTCTCCTCCCAACCTATTCTTCTCCTAATTTATAACTCATCCCCTTACACATTCTAGCACCCTACTTTGGGTCCTGCCGAAGGAAAATCAAATTTTAAAAAAATAGACTCCGTTATAGGATGAATTGTGTCCTTCAAAAACCTATGGTGAAGTGTTAACACCAGTATCCGTGAATGCAACCTTATTTGGAAATGGGATCGTTGCAGGTATAACCAAGTTAAGATAAAGTCTGTAGGGTGGGCCCTGATCTAACATGACTGGTGTCCATACAGAAAGAAGGAAGACATTCATCTGAAGCCACAGACACACAGGGACACGGTCATACAATCACAGAAACAGAGAGTGGAGGGATGCAGCCACAAGCCAAGGAACACCGAGGATGGATGGCCACCGCCAGAGCTAGGAGGAGGCTGGAGGGGGGCTGGGCTGCCCATGCTGCCTCCGTGTTCCAGAACACTATCTGGTTTGGAGAGGGGATAGTGCCACCCTGCATGATATACAGAGCAGGAGGCTGGTCCAGGCTCCAAGTTTCAGAGGGACCAGGGCCCTGCTAACCCTTAATTTCAGCCTCCGGAACTGTGAGACAAGACATTTCTGTTGCTTTAAACCACCTGACTGGTGGTACTTTTTGCAACAGCCCTGGAAAACTAATACAGACAATTAGGTGTTTTCAAGAGAAAAGGAGCTTCAAGGTTATGCTTGAAGGCCTGTCCCCAAAATTAGCTTTGAGGGTCTCTGGCACCACTAGACAAAGACATCAGGGAGGAAGGACACCTGGGTGGTTCAGAGGGCTCTGCCTTCTAGAATCATTGGCTAATATAATGAATTGCCCTTATGAATGCCCATCAAGAAAACCAAACTCAAACTCACTTGTAGAGGGTGAGTTGTAAGAGTCATTTCTGTTGCCCTTGTGATGCCAGCACTGAGCTCTGCGAATGACCACTTCTTCTCTCACCAGCACAGGGCCATGCCAGCTTGTTAATACCTCTCCTGTTTTAGAGCTACTGTAGCCAACTGCCATATTTTATGCTGCCCTTACTGCCTTGAAAACCCTTGGCATCCTTCTGCAGTTATACTCGGCAGAGTTGAGCCAAGCAGTGGAGCTTCTTCTCAAACTGTTTAGGAGAGAAGCTGCCTAGTTGGCAATGCTCTTGTCCACAGCATGAAGGCTCCCTTCAAAGGTCCAAGCCAGACCAGGAATTTTCATAAATCCCGTCTACATCAAGTGCTCACCTCTGTGCTAGGCTTGCAGCCCCAACAAAAAGGCAGGGAATTCTGGGAGGTAGGAGATGTGGCCAGGATCTTTTAAACCCACTCAGAACAATGACATCAAACCTCTCATCACCCCTTCTGTGACACCCTCACTCTCAAAGAGGAAAGAACTGTGACATTAAAGACTCCTAATATGGCTTGCTTTTTAAGGGACCCAAAACCTCAAACCTTCTCCAAATGAACGCTGTCTGTGAGATCCCGTCTAACCCGTCATATCTTCACCCTCTGGCAAGCCCACCACATCCCCATCCCCTCTACCACACACACTCCAAATGGCCCAAGAAGTATGTCATACTCACAAATGTTAACTGGAGAAACTCCCTCTCCACTCAACCTGATTGGGAAGAGCAGGGAGAAGGAAGGTTACCAATGTGGCCAGCAGCTTAAGGGCCTTTGCAATGACACTTTTGTAATTGTTGACAAAGCATTTAAACATACTTTATTATTTTTATTGCAGAAGTAATGCAGGTTGAAATTATTTGAGAACTAGTAGTATTAAAGATAATATTAATAATCTAATGAATAAAATAAGGTGGAGTTTGAGGTTCACAGGAGCAAAATCTATAATCTCAGAAATACAATTTTTGGTTTAAACTAGTTAGATGCCTTAAGGAAATTAAAAGTAATCATATACTGGCATCAACTGGAAAGAAGGGCCTGTCCTATAATAAGATTTGTCTCTCAACAAGGGACCATTGTCATGCACTGAGCCAGGGCTGAGCTTATTGTATATAGGTGTGGAGAGGCGTCTGAGTCATAAAAATAACAATAGTAATATCAGTTTATTATTATCTTAGCAACCAAGTAACTTTGCTTTAGCATCTTCAGGACAGAACTGGCATTCATTCATAAACACATACTGAGAAACTTAACAAGAGGTAACAGCTGTTGATTACCTGTTACTTATATCACACCACTTAGTTCTCTCAACAACCCCATGAGGTAGGTATTATTTGCTCACTTTTATAGAGGGAGAAATGGAAGCTCAGACAAGTTAACTAACTTGCCCATAGTCGCAAAGCTGGACTTGAAGACAGATTCATCTGACACCAAAGCCTATGTCTTTGGCCATGAAACTGAATGATAGCTAACATTTATCGAACACGCTGTGTACCATGCATTGTTCTAAGAGCTTTGTGTGTATTCCCTTATTTTAACCCTTTTAATAATGTGAGAGTTTAGAACTATTGTTATTCACATTTTATTGGATGAGAACACTGAGAGGTGGAGAGGTTAAGTATCTGCTCTTGGCTACACAGCTCCTAACTGGCAGAGCACAAAGCTCCCATGAAGCTTTGCGGATCATGTAATCTGACCTTTTCATTTTATCATTGAAGAAATTGAGGGCCAGAGAAGGGAGACTGACTTTCCCAAGGTTATGTAGCTACTTAGTGTTAGATCTGTAAGCCCAAATCCTAGGACTGTTTGTTCTCAGCCCATGGCCTTTTAGACCACATTTCGAGAGCTGCCATGTAACCAAATGTCTCCTTTGGTAGAATTCAGTTACTTAGACCTGATCAGGTTTTAGGTTTCTATGGGGATGCTAACTGTAGTTGCACCTCAAATGATTTACTAGCCTGGAAGGAAATTAAAATTATTTTTTTGCCATAGCCCAATTCTGAACTGCATTTTCTTCCAGGAGAAGAAGGGGCTGCAACAGCCCGAGCCCCTAGGAATGCCCAGGAAGCTGAGGTGAGCTCAACTTGCTTTGAGGATGAAGTTGGTGCATCTGCCTCACCTGCACTCCTCGCCTTCCAGCAGCTTGCGGTAGGTGGCGATCTCCACGTCCAGGGCCAGCTTGATGTTCATCAGCTCCTGGTACTCACGCAGGAGCCGAGCCATGTCCTGCTTGGCCTTCTGCAGGGCCTCCTCAAGGTCCACCAGCTTGGCCCGTGCATCCTTGAGAGCCAGTTCTCCCCGCTGCTCTGCATCAGCAATGGCCGTTTGCAAGCTGGAACACTGTAAGGACAGGAGGAAGCCATGAGTCCTGCTGACAGCCCATGGAGGTGTGGTGCTTCTTGGGGAGGAGTTCTTAAAGATGGCAGAAAGGCCCAGAAGAAATGAGCATTTGAGGAGCTCTTGGCCCTGCCAAATCTTTACCTGCTTCTTGACGCTGTCAATCTCAGCTCTCAGCCTCTGGATCATGCGGTTCATTTCAGAGATCTCTTGTTTGGTGTTTCGAAGGTCATCCCCATGTCTGCCTGCGGTGACCTGCAGCTCCTCGTACTGAGAGAACCAGAGCAAACCCAGTCACTGAGTCAAATGCCTGGCCCAGGCACTCGCTGTGCACACAGACCCACCCTGGGTGCCACAAGCAGGCTCATTCATTCCTGGTCATTCACTCATTCCCCCTGAAGCTTACAGTTTATTGGGGGACATAGACATTAACTGAATTAGCATATTATCAAATGTATAGTTCCACACTAAGATAAGTGCCCTTAGGAAATGAACAGGGTCCTGGGAGAGTGTAATGAAGGAATCTGACCTAGATTTGGAAGTGGGAAGTGGTGGTCAGAGAAGTCTCTCCAGAGATGGAGATGCTTGAACTGTGGTCTGAAGGATGAGAAGGAGGGACCTAAGTGACCAGTTGTGGGGGAGAACATTCCAGACAAAGGAAACAGCCTGCATGAAGACTCTGGGTCAGGGAAGGAACATGGTGAGTTCTAGGAGTGAGACGGTGATTTGATCAAGGTCCCTGGGTAGTTCCTGGTCACAGAGCGTGCATCCAGACCAACTGTGCCCATGAATTTTGGTAGCCCTCCAAACACCAGTGCTGGGGAAACAGGGAGGAGATATGGGGGAATGGTGTGGGATGGTGCAGAGGCTGTGGAAGGCACAATTTTGAAGACTTTGTAAAAGTATTCCCAATCTCAGGTAGTTCTCAATCTAATGGTGCATATCCAGGACATGTGAATTTAAGAGCAATAATTACACCCTGTCTCCTCCAGCAGACTGAAGTGAAACCTACACCTTTCCCTGACAAAAGGAGATCCCCTGCCAGAGTCAAGATCTGTGGGGTTCTTGAAAGTGCTGAATAGCTCAGGTTCCCGCTTCTAGGTATACATGATTAAATGGAGCAACAACCCAACAACATGAGGAATCGTTTGCTATCGATTTCAACCACTTCACCTTGGGGTTAAGTGCATCATGTTTCCTTTCACCGTCAAGGCGCTGCCTCTGCCCTGTGGAACCCTGGTCCCTGCTACCCACCTTCCTTTCCACCACACTCCTGACCAGAAGGGATGAGGCAACGTATGGAGCAGGGAAAGAGTTGGAACCTGCTCGTAGGTGAGAAGCTGCCCCAAGAGGGGTCTGGATTTGACAGGGAGCTGGTATCATGGGTCAATTGTACCCCGCAAAGCCAAACTTCTTTGCGGCTGTCTGAGCTCTGGGCAGTAGCTGTTTGTGTTTATCCCAGCCTTCCTCTTCCTGACATAAACTCCCTTGCTTGTTCTTGCCTGCCAGCTCCTTGTTCAGCCTTAAACCTCTCCCCACTCCTCAGCAATCTTTTGTCCCTCATGGCTTCCCAACTGTACAAAGCCCCCATGTCTTCCTGGAAGCTTTTTATTCATGCTATCTTTTCCCTTCCATGATTGTCCATTCACTTCATGGCCTCCCAGAGCTTGGGTTCTCTGTTTGCAGTTTATTTATTTGCAACCCTGTAACCCTGATTGGCATACAGCAGGAGCTCAGAAAATATATAGAGAATAAATAAGCCTTTTAGAAACTGCTTCATGACTGTGTCTCGGTTGTCCTGGTGTCTCACCCTGCTCCCACCCAGATCTTGAGGAATGTGGGGCCAGTGGATGTCCTGAGCTCCCAGCATTGGGCTGACCATGTATTAGTGTGTCTGGTTCGGTTTCCACATGCATTTCAAGCTAAGTTGTCATAGCATCAAAGACATGCCTGCTAAGTTGAAATAAACGAATGTGCTCACACGTTTCCTGAGGCTGAGTTAAGTGATAATGTGGAGCCTCAGAGAACACTAACCCTGGAACCTCTCATGGAGGTGTCCATGCTCACCTTGGTCTGGTACCAGGACTCAGCCTCGGCCCGGCTGCGGTTGGCAATGTCCTCGTATTGTGCTTTGACCTCGGCGATGATACTATCCAGGTCCAGGTTGCGGTTGTTGTCCATGGACAGCACCACGGATGTGTCACCGACCTGGGTCTGCAACTGGGACAGCTCCTGCAGGGCAGTAAACTCAGCATCACCAAGGCATAAGATGAAGAATCTTAAATCTTCGTGGTTAACTACCCATCTAGGTCAGGAATCCTTTCCTTGGTA
This sequence comes from Homo sapiens, assembly GCF_000001405.40. Lineage (NCBI taxonomy): Eukaryota > Metazoa > Chordata > Mammalia > Primates > Hominidae > Homo > Homo sapiens. Next base: position 52,430,805 of record NC_000012.12, read on the forward strand.
TTCCTGGCAGATTCTCCCAGCTATTCCCTAGGTATTCCCATTCATCCCAAAAGATCAGTGTGGTGAAAATCTTTCCCAGCCTTACTTCTCAAGGCTCCCATCTGTGTGCTTTCCCCAGGCATGAGGGTGGGTAAGCATCCTCTGAATTGGAATTACATAGATTTGAATGTGACACGTGTCTGTTCAGTATGCCAACATAAACGGCTTCTTTAAGAGCATTGGGGACATCTGGGACACTGCTTCCCCCTGCACAGTGTGACTCCATCACTTTCTACCTCTCTCTCCCTTTCCACAGACCCAGGTCTCTGCCTTTGGAGGGGTAGCGCCCAGAATGAGGCATCTTCAAAGGGTAGGAAGCCCCCTGACCAATGAGCTGAGGGACAGCTTGCCTTTTTTTTTTTTTAATACTTTTCAGGGAAGGGGAAGGGAGCAGGTATGTGTTGATTCCTTGGGAAATTACCCAGTGTCCTAGAATTTGGGAATCAGTACTCTCTCCTTGTTAGATGTTGTCCTGCCATGGGATAAGGGAGTTCGGGGGAGAAGCATCAGAGCTGGGGTAGTTTAGTATGACAAGGCTCCAAGTGGTTCTCCCTGGTCCCCCTACCACCCAAGCCCCAGCTTGAAGTATCCAAGCAAGATGCTGGGCAGAGGCACTGAATGAATGAATGGCACAATGCATCATCCTTTTCTTTCCAGGCTCCAGACCTAGGAGAGACAGAAATACTTGCAGACTCTTACTGCATCAAAGACTGAGTGGATGAAGTTGATCTCCTCGGGCAGAGATTTGACCTTGGCTTCCAGCTCCACCTTGTTCATATAGGCAGCATCTACGTCCTGGAATGACAGCGCAGGATGCTCCTTTGAGTCTGCAGCCCCAAGTATCTAGTCCAAAAGAAGCTGAGCAGATTTCTCCCCAGCCCATCTAGTTTGGATTTTAGAAAACTCTGGGTCTGGGTGATTTGGGGTTGGGGATGGGTAATTACGGAGAACTGGGGGCTTGAATTCCCTGAGCTCACAGAAACCCAAGTAGGGCTAATGGGGCCATCAACGTAGAGGGAACATGTTGGGAGGTTTGAACTCTGCAGATATTCTCAAGGTTGATGTGACATTTCTTGGGTGGCCCAAGGGTCAGAGGTCAGGTTACCCCACACTCCAGATTCCATTTTAAACCTTCTCCTTTGAGAGAAACATCCCCACTCACCTTTTTCAGGGCTACAAATTCATTCTCAGCAGCTGTGCGCTTGTTAATTTCATCTTCGTACCTATAAGGACAGAGCGGGGGGTGTGCTGTTGAGCAAGTCTGCATTGAACTCTTTCCAGGCTGGTGTAGCAAGAGTTAAGAGCCCTCAAATCATTTCCAGCTCTTCTGCTGACCTGGGCATGACTTTGGGTGATTCATTTAACCTCTATTTCTCCCTCCATAAAAGGGGGATAATTTCTTCTGCTAGTTTTTAATAAACTTTTCTAAGAGTAGAAGGTGAGCATGGAACTTAAAGGAATACAAAAATATACTTATGCAACTCCATCTTTTGATAGATATGCAATGCTAATCTAAAATGTTTTTCCACCTCAAGTGTCTACCGAAATCGTGGAGTAAACTTTATCTGTTCAGCAGGCTGTTTCGGGTAGATTTTGATATATTTTCACTGAACCTCAGGGTGGCCCCTGAGAAATATGCTTTTTGTAACTAGGGGTAGCTCAAGCTTAGAAATAAGGGCAAGCTGGCTAATGGGTTAGTCTGGACCAAATCCCTTTCCACTGGATACCTCACCTACTGCAGCCTGGATGATGTGCAGTCAAAAGTTTCCCCCCACAAGAAAAGTCAGATTGCCCTCCTTTAAACTCTTCCTTGTTACCTCTCTTCACTCTACAGTGAATGCCATCCTGGAAATGCAAACCATCTCAATAATTGAGCCCATGTCCAATGGAATTAAACAATATGCTGACTGTGAAATTACATTATGATTTCTAGAGTGAGTAGCAATATTTTGTCGGATGATGTTGATATCCCTTTGCAGTCATGTGAACAAATAGGAATAGGATCTTCATAGCAATACACAAGATGAAGGTCCTTGTGCTACCCCACACAGTGCTGTCTCCACCTTGCAGGATAAAGGCTGCAGTTCCAAAGCTCCCGGCTGATATCGGCATTTGCTCCTTTGCACCTCTCTGGTCCTCACACAAAGGAGCCTTCAGATGGCTGTGTGTGGCCAGAAGCCAGTCTCCCACTTACCTGACTTTGAAATCTTCCACAACATCCTGCATGTTCCTCAGTTCAGCTTCAAGCCTGCCCCTCTCGGTGGTGATGCTTTCCAGCTGCCGTCGGAGCTCACTGGTATAGGAATCAAAGAGGGGCTCTAGGTTCTGCCTCACAGTCCTGGAGCCCTGCTCCTGCAGGAGGGCCCACTTGGTCTCCAGGACCTTGTTCTGCTGCTCCAAGAACCTCACCTGGAGGGAAGAAGAGAGAATGAAACCTTGAGAAGTTGGAGAGGCAGAGTTAGACACTCCTATTAATAAGGGAGAGAAGAAAAAGATATTTTTTTCACTTGGCACCCATTGACAATAATGTAACTGACAACTCCAACCCAAAAGGAGGCAGTCCATGGAGCTACCGCAAAGTTCCCTAGGGCTTGCATAGGATTCGGGTGGTGGGGCCTAGAGGCTTCTGTTGGGGAGCTGCTCTTGGGTTAAGTTTCTCAACACCACCTACTCTGGGTTAGGGTAGTTTGCTGAGCAGCAACTCTCCTGTAGAGAATCAACAAAACTCTTCCCTTGGTGTTGACTGAACCAGCCCATGTGGCTCCGAAAGAGAGGAAATTTCTACCAGGTCCTGTGGGGCAAGCTGGCCTGACTTGGAAGGGTCTCAGCCCCTGGGAGCCCGTGCTGAACAGTGCTCATTCCCACAGTGGGGTCATTGCATTATTGCTCTCCCCCCATGGGATGGCCCTTCCAAGAGTTTATTTGATCCCAAACCCAAGGGGGTGGATGAAGCCCCTGCTTACCTTGTCGATGAAGGAGGCGAACTTATTGTTGAGGGTCTTGATCTGCTCGCGCTCCTCGGCCCGCACCCGCTGGATGGTGGGGTCGATTTGCAGGTGAAGAGGAGTCAGGAGACTCTGGTTGACAGTGACCTCTTGGATGCCTCCAGGGGGACACACGGGGAAGCTGGGGCCACTGAAGCCTCCTCCAACTCCACCCCCATAGCCAAATCCACTGTTGACTCCAAACCTGTTGCTGGCCCTGCCACCAAAGCCACTTCGGCAGCTGCTGCCACACCCATTGATGGAGACCCGCTTGGCACCCCCCAGGTTGTAGAGGCTGCGGCTTCCAAAGCTGGCCCCAGCACTGCTGATCCTTCCCAGGCCCCCACTCCCTGCTGCAGAGCGGGCCACAGAGACAGAGCTGAAGCGGGAGCGGCCAGCTGCCGGGGTGATGGCCGAGGTGGTGCTGAAGCCCCTGCGGCTGCCAGACTGGAAGGTGATGGAGGACTGCCGAGACATGGTGGGTGAGGAAGGCCGGCGAGAAGGCACCTGAGGTGGGCTGGTACAGGCAGTGGAGAAGACAGGTGGCTGGAGAGCCCTGGTCTCGTGGCTTTTATGAGCATCCTGTGGGGGCGGGGCACTGCTAGTGGAGAGGGCCTTCTGATGGCATTCCCTGGGCATCCGCCAACCCTGAGCTCACACTCGGCATCCCTCGGGAAATGGTGTAAGGGCCACTGGCTGGTTCCCTGGCACCCCCTCCCCACAACGTGCAAACTCCTTTCCAGTTGCAACTTGATCAGCATATGAGTAAGAAGCAAGTTAATTGCTTTCCGTCATGTGCTAATGATGCATCTTGTAAAGGACTCAGCAAACACTGCCTCATTTCTAAACCGCTTTCTTAGGCCTGGGACCAACTCCGTCCTGTCCAAACATCTTGTGTTAATACAAGCCACTACACTTCACTGTTTCCTTGGGGTGCTTCCTATTCCCTAAGCATTTTCTCAGCACCTACTGCCTGGTTCCCCAAGCCCCATCAAGCTGTCTTTCCAAACCTTGAAGGTCGCGCTCTGTAATCATCTTCCTTAGGAATCCACCCCATTTTGATTGCCCCTTTATTCTGCTCTTAAGCTTCCGTGTCTATTGTGTAGGTCACACATGGTTTTCTGGAGTGTATGTGTGCCTGTGCCCTGCCCACTGCAATATAATGTGACTCTCAAGGCCAGCCAGTGCTCTGTCTCCTGGGAAGAGAGGTTGTGAGAGGAGAAAGACTCGGGTTTGAATCTCAGACCTGCTCATAGTTGTGGGACCTTGAGCAAGCCATGAAACTTTTCTGTGCCTCAACTTTCATGTCTGTAAAATGGGGTTTGTAATGAATATTCACATGTGAAAACTTTCGCAATGCCCGGTATATGTAAGTGCTGAGTAAATGTCTATTGAGGCTCCCCTCTTTCTGATACAATCAAGTAATATTAAGGAAGTGCCAACCATGTCCATCCTGTGACTAGTCCTGTGGGAATTCAAAAGAAACACAATGCACATTATTTATCTTCAACAAGCTCATGGTCCTGTTGGGAAGATAAAACTGTACAAGATGGTGTACCATGAATCATCACCTCCAAGCTGCATTTGAGGCTGCCTATCCCAGAAGTCTCCCAGGCAGTTTCCTCCTCCTCCTGAGGACCAAGAATTCCTAGCTCTCCAGTCCTTCATCAAAAGAGCTCCAACAGCTGCACCTAGCAGAGGATTCGTTCCTTCCCTGTTTCTCCTGTTAACCTTGTAGACTGTGCCCTACATTCTATATTAGTCTACAAACCGCAAAGAAGACTTCAAGGCACCTCATCTCTCTGTTCTGCAACTCATTGCCCCATCTCTACCATGGGAAGAGTCAAACCAAAACATTGCTGAATCTTCTTTTTTTTTCTGCCTTGAGACAGGGTCTCACTCTGTCACCCAGGCTGGAGTGCAGCAGCTCAATCTCGGCTCACTGCAACCGCCACCTCCTGGGCTCAGGTGATCATCCCACCTCAGCTTCCTGAGTAGCTGGGACTACAGGCATGCTCCACCATGCCTCTCTAATTTTTTTACTATTTTGTAAAAACTGGGTGTCGACATTTTGCTCAGGCTAGTCTTGAACTCTTGAGCTCAAGTCATCCATCCTCTTTGGCCTCCCAAAGTACTGAGATTACGGGCTTAAGCCACCGCGCCTGGCCTGAATCTTCTTTTATCTTGCTGCCTGCTTTCTTCTTGCTGTGGTTTTGAAGCCTGGGAGAGTAAGAGAGGAATTAATCAGCATTCAGTCTCCATTTCGTGGATGAGGGCATTGAGCCCAGAATGGTTAACTAGTCAGACAGACCCACAAGAAGCAGAGCCAGATTCCATGGTCTTTCCACACAGGTGTCCTTTTAGGGGCACACTGGTAACCGACCATTTGGCAGATGTTCTCACCTGCCTGGAATGGCAGCTTGGCACTTGGAGCGGTAGTTCTTTGTTCTCTAAACTGTTTCCTCCTTGGGACTGAGGCCCGGGGGTAAGCCTCTCCCCCATCTAGAGATTATTTGGGAGTCTCAGTTTCCACAGGAAAGATATGAATCATAGCTTGTGTTGATACAGGCCAGGAAGAGCAGAGGAGTTCCTTCACCTGGTTCCGTTGCCAACCCCAGCCAGGGTGGTGCATGGTTCTCAAGTGGAAAGAATAATTATGTTTGTTTTCTGTACTCTTCATTGCATGATAATCTGGCCCCCAGAAGAAAGGACACTTGTTTCCTGAGCCATACTGAGCAAACGCTTGCAGAGCTTTCCACAAAACAAAGGTCTTGGAGGGTCCAGGCGTGGTGAGTGGCTGGGCCAGCATGCCCACGGGAAGGGAGGTCCCCAGCCTTCTCTCACCATGCTTCCCACGTGGGAAGCAGGCTCCAGGCTGCCTTCCCTCCCAGCCATTCCTTTCTTTCCCATGTCCCCTGCTGGAGCCCTCTTCCCAGGCACTTCATCTCATTCTGTTTCCATTCTGGTTTTTCTCAGCCATCACCTCTTGCCTGGGGCTGCTCATTTATTCTTTTCCTCCTTCCCCTCTAGTTTTTCCAGGACTGTTGTTTCTGAAGCTAGACGGTCTTACTCACAGGCTTTGCCGAGTTAGATTGAAATAGAAAGATCGTTCACCTCCCTTCCTCCTCCACTCCCTCTTCTGTGACCTTTGACCTGCACAGTGACCTTTATCCTGGTGGTCAATATCTAGAAGAGTGCCTGGGACACCTGGCTTCCCTGACAACTTGTGTCACCACCCTTTTAAAAATCTCAAAACTCAAGGATTGTTAACAACTTCTTCGCTTTCTGACATTTTTGTTTTGTTTTTAACCTCTTTGTAATTCTGCTTACAACTTATCCCTAAGAAGTCATCGAAGGTGAACTGGGCCCAGCACTACCCCTTAACGCTGTTTGCCTGGAATGCCTGTGTCTGGCATGCCCTTTGATGTCTTCGTTTTCTGGTGGTACGAGTGTTGGTCCACTTCTGAGGGTTGGGCGTTTTCCTCCCAGCTCTGACTAGCCTCCTAGCCACCCCAGATAGAATTGTGGCAGAAGTCTGTGTGATTCAGGCTGTCTAATTTAAAGAAGAACTACACATTCCTTTCTGTTCTCCAGTCTTTCTGCAGCCCTCTCCATCTCTGTGTTATTGGGTCTATCTGAGAGGAGTTTTCTTGAGTTTGGAGAAGTGCTGGATTCAGGGGCCATGGTTTGTGCTCTGGTGCGTGAGGCTGGGAGAGGAAAACTCTTCAATTTCCCTGTTCTCCGCCCATCCTGCTCAGGGTGATCTCTGTTATCCTGGGAGGAACACTAACGTCCTTCGCAGGTGGTGGATCCCAGGACATGGGGCCAGGTGGCGATCAGGGCTGTGGAGGAGGAGAGGAAGTGGGTGGGGGATGCCTCTTCCACAGATGAGGAGTGGGGAATGCCCCAGGGAGCTTTGGCTTCCAGCCAGGCCAGGGCCAGGGCGGGGCCACCAGGGCTAAAGACCATGGGGCAGCAGGGGTTACCTCCCTAGAGCAGGCTGGCCTGAATCATAGAACCAGGGGCCTGGGCGCAGCATCTGAGGACTTAGGCCACAGCCACCTGCCCCCGATTCCTCGACTGCTAGACTTCCCAGACTTCTCCTACTCTCTGTGGAGTCCTGGCTTTAGTGAGTAACTATTTATTAGCATCTATAATATGCCAGGCACTCGCTGTTCTAGCACAGGAGATACAGCAGTGAAGAAAGCAGCCACAACTCCCTTCCCTCCTGGAGTTTATATGGAAAGAGGAGGGGAGCAGAGGTGATTTGGAGGGGCAGACACAATCCGGGTCTCCCAGCTGACACTCCCAGGGGCCGAGTGTGGAGAAGGTAATTCTGTTGTGGACACTCCAGGGGCCGAGTGTGGAGAAGGTAATTCTGTTGTGGACACTCCAGGGGCCGAGTGTGGAGAAGGTAATTCTGTTGTGGACACTCCAGGGGCCGAGTGTGGAGAAGGTAATTCTGTTGTGATGGCACCTGAGACATGCTGGCCAGAAATGCTTTGCCGTCTTCACTATTTGTGCTGGGGTGGCCGCACTTCCTCAATGTTTGGTGTGTCTAATAGGCACTGCCCAGCCTGCCTCAGATCTTCCACCTTACAGCCCCCTTTGTGCCTGTAGTCAGAAGCAATAATTGCTCCCCAAAGGGCACTACAGGTGCCAGCTGATCTGAACAAACTGCCAAGGTGCAGGACTTTGGACATCTGCTTGCAAATGGCCACACTCACCTGATCCGCTCCTGCCCACTGCCAACTCAACAGCCACTTCACATGGGCCCAAATTTGATGGGCAGACGTAGAGCCTGTGCAGGTAGGCAGACAACCTCCCCTCTCAGTCCATTTCAGCAGGAAAGTGGTGTGCTGTTTTTATTCAAACTCAGGCTTAAGAAAGTGTGATGAAACTGTCCTGTCCCTCCGTAATCCAGCCCTTCAGACACACCCAACAGGTGTGCATGTACAAGGTAGACACACAGACACATATGTCTTCAGAACATTCACAAAACAGCAATCTGCAAGAGTGTGGTGCTGCCTGGGTGTGTCAGGATACAGAAGTGAAGGAGCAGAATTAGTCTTTAAAGCCTGGAGGAGCCCTAGAGATGAGGAAACTGGGGTCAGAGAGGAGAGAAGAACTGTCGAAGGCCACACAGCTGTTTGGTAGCTGGGCCAGAACTCCTGATCCCTTCTGCTGCCCCACATTAGCCCTGAGGCTTCTCCATGTTAGAGAGCACAGCAAGAAACCTCCCTGTTGCCTGAGAGGCACAGGTGGGGCCCTCCTCGAAGGAGGGTGTTGGTGAGATGCCAGCCTCTCAGGGGCCCTCCCAGGGCACCCTGACAGGAGACTGAAGAATTCCAGGTGTATCTTGGCCATTCATCTCCAACCTTTTTGTTTGTTTGTTTTTTGCTTTTTGTTCTTGTTTTTGAGACAGGGTCTGGAGTGCTGTGGCACAATTACGGCTCACTGCAGCCTCAACCTCCCGGGCTCAAGCTATCCTCCTACCTTGGCTTCCCAAAGTACTGGGACTACAAGTGTGAGCCACTGTGTTTGGCTTCTTCAGCCACTTTAATGGCCTCGTTTGTTCCCAGGGTTAGGATGCTTCCTCCACAAAGTCTCTCTGTGGCTTGTGCTGGGGAGAAGCTGCCACACAGGGAAACTGCAGGGAGGGAAAGTGGGAAGAAATGGGATGCTGCTCCAGCTCTTCCTCGGGGTAGGGACCCAGAGGCCCTCTCTGAACTGAGGAGCGCAGGACCTAGAAACCAGCCTGGTGAACACTGGCATGGAGTTCCAGCCTGTGGGTGCAGGCTCAGGGGCTGGTGATCCTGGCACGCCGCGGGATGCTGCTGAAACCTCCCCAGTGTCACAGGGTCTGGTGGTTGCTGTGGAGGCTTGGGGGTGTTTGTCACCTGATGGGAAGTCCGAGCTGAAAGCGGCAGCCTCACCCTCGTGCTGGGCTTGGCACTGCCTCAGTGTCTCTTGCACACTGAAAACTTGGACATTCTGAAAAGTCTTCCCTCTTTCTTGCTTGCCAGCCCCCTTTCCTCTCCCAGTTACATCTGAGAGACATAGCTGACCTGAGCCTTCAAACAAGCTGCCTTTGCTCAGCATTTATTCTTTCAAGAAGTATTGGCTGGGGACCTATGGCACGTGAAGCACTGGGATACAGCAGTGAGGGAGGCACAGTCCCAGCATGGTGACAAGGAAGTGAGTCATTAAGAGAGGTTGTCACTTTAGGGGTAGGTGCAGGGTGTGCACGGGGAGCTCATGATACCTGGGAGGCCATCACCCCATTGGTGGCCAGGCTGTGGCCATGCAGCCTGGTGGCCAGGCCTTTGCTGTTCACTGCAACTCCAAAAGAGCTCAGAAAGCACACATCATACAGATCCCATATTTCATGGATGAGGAGTGTGAGGCCCAGAGCCTGAGAGGAACCTTAGAGTAAAACTGCAATAGGACAGTTGTCTCCTGTCCCCCAGAACAGTGTTTGCCCCGTGCCACACTGATCTGTGTGCTGGAGCAGATGGTTAAGTGTTCTCCATGAGTTCCGCCCACTAGGGGCTTGGGCTGTGGGGAAGATAGAACCGACACATGTGAAGCAGACATCATGTAAAATGGTATATAACAGAATTTAAAAATATACGCCGGGCACAATGGCTCACGCTTGTAATTCTGGCACTTTGGGAGGCCGAGGTGGGCAGATCGATTGAGCCCGGGAGTTTGAGACCAACCTGGGCAACATGGCAAAACCCCATCTCTACAAAAAATACAAAAATTAGCTGGGCATGGTGGTGTGCGCCTGTAGTCCCAGCTACACAGGAGGCTGAAGTGGGAGGATGGCTTGAGCCCTGGGAGGTTGAAGCTGCAGTGAGTTGTGATTGTGCTACTGCACTCCGTCCTGGGTGATAGAGTGAAACCCTGTCTCAAAAATAAAAAAAAACAATGAAATTCAGACTGTGAGTGATGCAGTCTCTGGATGGGCCTTGAGGGCTTCAGAGGATCCTTGCTCTCCTGCTGGCTCCAGATGCCCCATCTCGGGCACACACAGTAGCATGGCGGGAAGCAGCGCTAAGCACAGGAGGTGAGGCTGAGGTAGCTGGTTGGGTCTAAACATTTCCCAGGGATAAATCAGAGTGGATCCACCCACAGACACTTCAGATGGGATCACTGAATGCATTCCTGCCTTGTCTCTGTAAAGCTGTGTCTGACATGAGGCATCCGGGTGATGCATTGTTTGCTTGTGTGTTTCCGTGAATGAGAACTTCTGTAGCCATGGAGCTGTGTTTTCCATGATCTTGAGAGGACAGGTCCCTTTGGCACCCAGTCTTGGCCTAGGAATTCTTGCCTCATTCTGAGGTGCATGGCTCCCAGCTGACCTGTAAGCACTAAATCAGCACACACTGATGATGAGGATGGTGACAATGACAATGAGGTCAGGAGAGCCATTATGCTAGGAGTGACTGACTCAGTGTAAATGGAGAACAGAAACCTCTTCCTGCTCTGCTTTAAGAGGTGTAGATATTTGAAAGCCCCGACGCAGGGGAATGAAAAATTAGGGCCCATGACTCATTCTTGACAAAGAATTAATCTCTTTGAAGGAAGACTCAGCAGAGGGCTCTTCTAATCAGCCAGCTCTCTTTGTGTGTGTTCAAAGTGCAATTGATTGGCATGTCTCTTGGAGGAGGGTTTCCAGAGTGTAAAACCAGATATATGACCGGCATGTCATGAGTAAGATAGTTTCCACTGAACAGACCAGGGCTGTGTCTGTGATGCAGGTTACATCCGAGCAGCCAGGACGCCACTTTCCTCCCTTCCCAGAAAAGGGTAAAATGGCTTAGAAGGCCCACAGGCAGACGCCAGGATGACCTCTGCATGATCCTACCTGTGGATATTCCGGCTGTTCTCCCATCTGGCCGTGAGGGAGAGGAATTCCCTTTAAAGGAAATGCCTGAAAGTGCTTTTCATTCACCCCTCAGCACTGGTTTATTAAGCAAGAGTTAGTCAACCTGGGGTGAGCCCAGAGACTAATGAAAATGACCAATGAATTGGGAAACAGAGGTGGGAACAAAGGGGGAAGGAGCTATGACGGGAGACCAATGTCTTCCTTTGTCGTTGCTGCTCTTACCATCAGGGAGTAAACTTAATTGGCAAGAAGGATTCCATTGAGGACTTCTATGTTCTAATGGTGAACAGAAAAATATGCTTCTAAGGGAAGTTGTAGAGATTTCTGTAGATTCTTCCTGGAATGATTTAGGGGGTGTGATTCTGCAATAAATGGAAGTTTAAAAAAAATCTTTAAGATAAGCACCTATACTCTCTACCCTGATAATGCTCTTTAGGCATCATGGTATTTTACAGATTTAGGATGGAAATAGGGTTTCCCTGCACCTTTCAAAATTTCCCCCGGAAGGGACATGCCCACAGAGCCCCTCTGAAGTTGGACCTGCCATTGTTCATGTTCCTTCATTCTTTGCATCCATTGCCCTTGCCTCTTGGTTTATGTGGAGTGTGCTTACGTGTTCATGGGTATATTTCTGGCTCTGCCAGGTGAGAGGGATTTTTCAAAGGTAAGCACATAATTCAGTTGAATTCAACATGCATCTAATAATGTACCTACCCTCTTTTAATTTGTTCTGAAGTATTCAGGACCCTGCTATGCCACAGGTAATCTTAAACTGTATTGCTGAGTGACTTTGCGGGGTTGCTGAGTGATATAGGGCACCTCTGAACAAATAATGAACTTTTGAAGACATTTTCCAAGGCATAGGTAACACAGGCTAAAGACAGTCACAGTTCACTCATCACTTTCTCATCACCGAGGAATGAACAAGAAGTCAAAGTAGGGGAAATAAAGCTTCAGAGACTAGCATAGGCTCCCAGGGTAAGGAAAGACAAAAGCAAAGATTGGAGGGAGTCCAGAGCTGGGGGAGGAGAGAACAGTCGGCTGAGCCACCTTGGGGGAAAAGCAGGCATTCCTCTTTTTCCCAATGTGGGCTGGAATTTCCAGGCTAAAGGGCGAGCATTGCACTGGCTGATGTCACCGTCCAGTAGATGCCTAGTTTAGGCGAGGAGCCAGCTCTGGTGTCTGCTGTTAGCACCCAGAGCAGTAGCTCCTTCACTAGAGGGCAAGCAAAGCAAGGAAAGACTGGAGTGGTGGGGAATGCGGTCAGTCTCATCTTGTTCATGCTGGCAGCACTCTCCCTCCCTCCTGGGGCCAGAGTGGGAGCTGATGGAGTCAGATTCCCTGAGTAAGACCACACCTCCCTAGCAATGCAGAAGAGCAGAGTTCCTAAGATGAGGCAGGTTGTTCCTTGGATCCTGGCTCTGCCTCTTACCCACCAAGTTAGTTAACTTTTCTGAGGCTTGGTTTCCTCATCTTTAAAATGAAGATAAAGTTTAGCAAGGCAGTTGGGTACAAGACCAAGGTACAGAAATCAATCATTTTCATGCATTACCTTTCAGTAATTAGAAAACGTGATGGAGAGAAAGGAGAAAGGAGTTCTAACTCATAACACAAAAACTCTGAGATGCCTAGGGATACCTAACAACAACAACAACAATAACAACACAACAAAATGCACAAGAATAACCAGAAAACATTGAAGACAAACAATGAGTAGGACTTGCTGTATAAGAAACCAACATGTAAATAACAGAGTGAATGTCACCAAGATGGCAGAATACAAGGTAACCTGTTCATATCCCCCCACAAGATATTCTGCACCCAACCACAGTCCAAAATCTCTCTGCAGGTTCAGACATCATTGCACATCCTTGAGCATCGAGGATGTTCATGGAAAAGACCTCACCAAATGGACAAAATAAGGCACCAGAGACTGACCCTAAAGTAATAGAGAAAGCAGCATGTAATATAAAGATCTAGTAATCACAGTGGTGTGATCAGACAAAGAGATCAATGACACAGAAGATAAAGTGTATGAATTCAGCATGTAATAAAAATGGCATTTCAATGGTGGAAAAAGTAGGATGTTGATCTTTATGTAGCAGAAAAGTATGAAAATGAAAATAGCAATTACCCAAATTCATACTCCTCAGAATTAATCACTATTAGTATTTTGTCCTGGCAAGATGGCGAACCAGCTGGGGCTGTTATCTTCCTCCCACAGGATGAATCCTGAGAAACTGTAGAAACACATGAAAGGCACGGATACTAGGACGTATGAATTTTTGTTGTTTATCTGTAGTTCAACTTTAACTGAGGTTTCAGTGCAGTGGTTCATGCCTATAATTCCAGCACTTTGGGAGGTTGAGGTGGAAGGATCACTTGAGCCCAGGAGTTTGAAACCAGCCTGGACAAATAGTGAGACCCTAACTCTACAAAAATTACAAAAAAGAAGAAATTATCTAGGCATGGTGGTGCATGCCTGTGGTCACAGGTACTCAAGAGGCTGAGGCAAGAGGATCACTTCAGCCTGCGAAGTCCAGTCAGCAGGGAGCCATGATTGCACTACTCTACTCTAGCTTGGGTGACAGAATGAGACTATGTCTAAAAAAAAAACACAACAAATTTAACTGGGCTTCCTCTATTTTGTCTGGACAACCCTATTCACAGGAGACTGGGATGCCTGCTCCAAGTCTCAAGCCAGCTGGCATCTAGCTGGCCTCTCAGAGAGGGTAAGCATCTGGATTTCACTTGAGGGTAGTGAGGGACCCTGCCAGTAGCCTGCTGTCCTCGAGCTTTTTACCTGAGGGGGGAGAATGACTTTGCCTGGCACACTGGGAAGTTGTCCTAACAGCTTTTGGGACTTGAACAACGTGGCAGTTCCTACGCTCTGCTTCCACCATGCCTTTGACTTCAAACTCTAGACTGCAATGATAGAAAGGGAGGGGGTCACTAATTCCCCAAAGTCTCCTCCCGCTCCAAAGCTTCTGCTAATGACCTACTCAGTGGCAAGACGTTTGCTCACCCACAGACAACCATGGGAAGAAGGCCAGACCTCAACTACAGTAGTGACGCATGGGAAAGAGTCTCTGCTGTGGCATCAAATGGGCAAAATATGACCATAACTGAAAGAGTTATTGTTGTTCTTCAGGAATTTTCTTTCACTTTGTATTCTTCTGCTCACGGATAAGACCTGATTAGCCAGTTTCTAGAATAAGCTTGTGTAAACATGGCCTAAAAGATAGAGAGTCTGTTTCCGTCTAAAAGTGAAAATTACAACCCTGATGTTGATATCTGGTCAATTTGAATGAACGTCCAACCATCAATTTTTGCTTGTCAAAATTATCATGAAAGTTTACAGTTAAAATGTGCATGGTTTTTTGTTTTGTTTTGTTTTGTTTTTGCATCCTATCATCAAATGAGGAACTCCCTTAACCTTCATCATCCAGGCTGGAGTGCAGTGTTGCAATCATAACTCACTGCCACTTCAGACACCTTGGCTCAAGTGATCCTCCTGCTTCGGCTTCCTAAGTAGCTAAAACTACAGGTGTGCACCACCATGCCCAACTAATTTTTTAGTTTTTTTGTACAGACAGGGTCTGGCTATGTTGCCCAGGCTGGTGTCACACTCCTAAGCTCAAGTGATTCCTGCCTTGGCCTCCCAAAGTGTTGGGATTACAGTCATGAGCCGCTGTGCTCAGTCCCCATGTTGATCTGAGTGTCGTCTGTCAGCGTGGACCATGTTGTCTCATGGACCATGTCATCTTTGCCAGCAGCACCTCAAAACAAACTCTCTAATTTTATAAAGAAATTTTATGAATTTATTTTATCTTTTTTTACAACTTCACTTTTTCTAAGGGTTGTTGAGGTATAATGTACAGACAGTCAAAGTCACTGTTTTTAGGTGTACAGTCATAAACATTCTAACCAGCCTTTCCCAAGATAAGTTCTTTTTTTCTTTTTTTTTTTAGATGGAGTTCTTGCTCTGTTGCCCAGGCTGGAGTGCAGTGGCATTATCTTGGCTCACTGCAACCTCCACCTCCCAGACTCAAGTGATTCTTGTGCCTCAGCCTCCTGAGTAGCTGGAATTACAGGTGCATAACACCATGCCCAGCTAATTTTTGTATTTTTAGTAAAGACGGGGTTTCTTCTTGTTGACCAGGCTGGTCTCAAACACCTGGCCTTAAGTGATCCACCTGCCTCGACCTCCCAAAGTGCTGGGATTAACAGGTGTGAGCCACCAAGTCCGGCCCCAGGATAAGTTCTTAAGTTCAGCCCATGTATCTTTGAGTTGTGTCAAAACCATTCCAAAACATATGGCACTGCATGGCTTTAAATCCATACACTGAGATTTGAGGATGCTCCTTTACTGTATCTATTAGTTTGAATGATGGATTTTAGAAGTTTATATCAGAGCAAGCATTGGTGGCAAAAGTCTTAATAATCATAGAGTCAGGGCAAGCACCTGCTTCTTACCAAGTGTTTCTGATCTGCAGGGTCAGTGCAATATTTCCCTGGTGGTGGGGAGCCGGGGAGAGAGGGAGTCTCAGAGATCAGTGTGGGGTCAAGCCACCAAATGATGGGGCTGAAAAATAAAAAATATAAATGAATCTTAGTTATCAGATTATGCTGATCCAGATTCCAGGAATTAGCTTCCCTTTTTGTTCTGATGCTTTATAAAAGACTCCATTTGTGGAAAAATTCCCAAGTGGTGAGGGCTGAGTAGTTGGTGATTGTCCACCGGAGTGTCCGACAGAATCACATAATGTTGACTGATGGAGTAGGCTGTGGAGGGGGAGCTCCCGACTCATCCTCCATGATGACTGGTCAGTGGGGAGAGCAGCAGTTCCCCAAAGATAAGAAACCATTTGTGGGGTGCGAATGTTTCTAAACCAGGAAGTGGTCAGCAATACAATCTAACACAACATGTTCACATTCTCAATATGCTTTATTCAACAGAACAAAAGAAGGCAAAGAGAGCAGAGAAAGCAGTGCAGGAATGCAGACTGCATCAGAAGGTACATCACTTGCCATTCAGGGACACTGCAAGAGAAGATCAGGACAACTGACTTGTCAGATGAGAACTCCTGAGTGTAGCTATAATGGGCAGGATGGTTAGCAATTAAAGAGAGGACTCCTCATCTGCAGCTGGACCTAGACTGAGTTTCAGTTCTTATGGGGATATAGGTCATTTTCTTCTCAGAATTATGGCAGACTCAGATACCTGTAATAATACGGGAACTAAAAAGGACATTCGCATGTCTGAGTGCTGATAACTGTTGACTTGATGGTAAGCAACAGGAGCTCAGTGGAACAGGTATTGATGAGAAGAAAAGTGAGGGCATCCCAGCTCTACCCGGGAGGGCAGGGGAGACTGGAGGCCAGGGGAGGACAAGCAACCTGAGGAGAGGGCTCTGCTGCCAGAGAGGGGCCTGAGAGCTGTGGGACTGAGAGCTGGCGGCAGCACTTCAGTGCTTGTAGCTCTTCCTGCTGGAGGAGGAGGTGGTGGTGTACTTGATGGTGGAACTGCCGCCTCCAACAGAGCTGAGGCCACCCCCAGTGGCTCTGCCGCTGCTGGAACTAAAGCCGCCTCCAACGCCAAGACCACTGCCATAGGAGTAGCTGCTTCCTCCACCCAGGCCTAAGCCACTGCCGACACCGCTGGCACCGCCATAGCCACTGGAGACGGTGGACTGCACTACAGCTGTGGTGGGGAGGGGACAAGGACACAAGAAGCCACAATGAGTTCATCCTGCCGGCCTGAGCCCAGTCAGGAGAGTGCAAGGGCAGGGGAGGAAGGCAAACAAAGGTACTTACAGATGTTGACTTGTCCAACGCCTTCGCCATTCAGCCTGTGGAGAGGAACACAGGGAGGGTGAGACCTTCCCTGGACGAGCATGGGAAGCCTCAGTGGGTGGGAAAGTCCATGGGAAAACTTTTAGTTTTCTCCCAAGAAGAGCAATTATGGCCTTGGGCAGTGCACCTTAAAGTTGTGCTCAGTGCCAGAACCTTGAAGATGGACTCAGCTGTTGGAGGAAGTCGCGTCAGTTACCCACCTGCACTCCTCGCCCTCCAGCAGCTTGCGGTAGGTGGCGATCTCCACATCCAGGGCCAGCTTGACGTTCATCAGCTCCTGGTACTCCTTCAGCAGCCGGGCCAGGTCCTGCTTGGCCTTCTGCAGGGCATCCTCCAGCCCTTCCAGCTTGTTCTTAGCATCCTTGAGGGCCATCTCCCCACGCTGCTCAGCATCAGCAATGGCGGCCTGTAGGTTGGCACACTAGGAGGGCAAAGGAAGAGAAAGAACTTGTCATCTGGTCTTCCAGAGAAGAATAAACCTGGCTGGTTCTTTTCCAGTGAAGAAGGCACCAGGAACCCAGAACTGATGGTAAATGAGCTCTGACTCTTCCTGTCTAGCCTTTTTACTGTCTTCAAAGTTTTTACGTCTGGAGTCACATGATAAAATCCTGTGCCCTTTCTGTTAACTCCACTGCCTAAAGATGTGGGTGATGACCAATGGAAGATGCCACAGTGGACACAAGACCAAGGACATTAAGTGTTGGCTCCAAAGCAAAAAAACCAAAACCATTTTTGATGACCTTACATGGATGCCACAATAATTTGCAAACGTTGTCAACTGAGGTGATGAGTTTTCACATGAGGCTGTTGTGACCTTGCCTTCCTCCTGCCTCACATCCTCTCACCTGCTTGGGCCACGTTTTCCTTCCTCATAGCCCTGGTTTCACTTGCTTTTTCACCGTGAACCTTGAGCAGATTTGCAGCAATGTTACTGATGCTTTCTGACCTGACATCTTGCCCAACTTGGTCCTTTGCAATTCCAAAGTCAATCAGTCTTCTTACATAAGCCCTTCCAATGCCTCTAGACTATACTTTTACAGCTTTGACCAGCTGAGAGTGCTTCTGCCCAGGTGATTGTTTCATATCCTTGGGTGTGATCCATGTCTCTGAGCCAGAGTGTTCTCACTGAGCCTAGGAACTGCATGTCTTTCCTTCTCTGCTTATCAATCAATTCCCAAAGAATTTTACTAAATGATGGGTGACTACTGCCTCATGACCTAATAAAAAAAATGATGCTTTTCTCCTCCATTGCCCCTCACCATACCTGCTTCTTGACGTGGTCGATCTCAGATCTCAGCCTCTGGATCATGCGGTTGATCTCAGCAATCTCCTGCTTGGTGTTGCGCAGGTCGTCCCCATGTCTGCCTGCTGTGATCTGCAGCTCCTCGTACTGCAGCCCAGAGGTGGAGAGAGAGACAGTGTCTACGGGTTCTTACCTGGGAGCGATGACTTTCACTTGTGTATCATGAATGTCATGAAGTGGACCTAATGGCTTCTCCCCAAGAAACTTGAGGAAAAGTTGATGTTATGTGGTGGGTGGATACTAAACACTGGAGTCACAGACCATCCTTATTATGGCACCACTGCCTGCCTAGTTTTCTTAGGGAGTAGAAATGTTCTGTACCAATTTCTAAAAGTCAGCAACCAAGGTGAAGCTAAAAGCACAGATGACTATGTCCTTGTCTATCGTAGCTTGCCTCCTGCATTGGGTTGTTTTTCCTCCTTGACTTGGGCATAAGTTCCGCAAATGTCTACTCTAATAGTGCAGAGTGCATGTCCTGTGAGAGGACCCCAGCTTCCTGTCAGGGGATGTCCCCAGTGAAGTCTGCAGTCCTCTGGTATTCAGGGATGGACACAAGGATTCCTCAGCGGCTGTCCACTCCGTGCTCACCTTTGTCTGGTACCAGGACTCAGCCTCAGCCCTGCTCCTCTGAGCAATCTCCTCATATTGGGCCTTGACCTCAGCGATGATGCTGTCCAGGTCCAGGTTGCGGTTGTTGTCCATGGATAGCACCACGGATGTGTCTGAGATGTGGGTCTGCATCTGGGACAGCTCCTGCAGAACAGAAGGTCATAAGATCAACTTCACTTCTGACATTTACAGAGATGCCCAGCCCTGTACATCTTCTCCCCTTTGCAGACCCCATCAGAGTAAACAGAAGGATGGTGGAGTTGCTTACTGCATCATACAAGGCTCTCAGGAAGTTGATCTCATCTGTAAGAGTGTCTGCCTTGGCTTGCAGTTCAACCTTGTTCATGTAGGCAGCATCCACATCCTGGGGAAAGAGCCAACAACCTGGAGTTGCCTGAGCTCACCTTTCCAATCTACCCATCTTCTAGTCCTCCTGCCAATTCTCCTCTCCCAGGGGAGCGAGGACACAGAGCCACTTCTCTCCTTCTAAATGAATTTGAACCCCTGGCTTCATCTGCTCACCTTCTTCAGAGTCACAAATTCATTCTCTGCTGCTGTGCGCTTGTTGATTTCATCCTCATATCTACAGGAAGAAAGGCATGGGACACATTTGAGCCAGTGGGTAGGATGAAACAGAAAAGCAGCTTGGGATTCAACATTTTCCTGAATGGAATATATTCTAATTGAGCTTTCCTGCCACAGAGAGCCAAAGAGATGAATTTTGCTACTACTAAATTTGCCATTTCTTTAATCTCCCCATCCTCCCATAACCATCTGTGGTTCTTGCAGGTTTGCTCCTAGGGACTAATTTGTGCTTTTCATTTCCATGGACATGGGTTGTTAGGAATCCTACACACATCTGGCCCTGGTCACCCAATAGTCTTGAAGTGTGTGCTGCAGGAAATGGAGTCCTCACTTGTTCTTGAGGTCCTCCACCAGGTCCTGCATGTTTCTCAGCTCCGAGTCCAGACGACCCCGTTCCCCCACGATGTTGTCCAGCTGCCTCCTGAGGTTGTTGATGTACTGCTCGAACAACGGCTCCAGGTTCTGCCTCACAGTCTTGGTGCCCTGCTCCTGCAGCAGGGTCCACTTGGTGTCCAGAACCTTGTTCTGCTGCTCTAGGAACCGCACCTGGAGGGGAAGCAAAATGGTCATTTTCCAGGAAAAGGAAGGCAGAGAAAGTGTCTGGTATCCAGTTTCCTGGAGGTCTGGGAGGTCCCCATGGTGCTGGGCTACTACAGTGCATGTAGAGAGGCTCAGGCTGAGCTCTGCTCCCCCAACTCCTTCTCCTTTGCACCCCACCAGTCTCACTAGAGAAATTGTCCCACGGACCACTGAGGTGTTCTCGCACTGTAAGCTATTGATCATCAGTGAGTTTCAACATTTCTTCTTTTCTTTTTCCAAGCACAATCACAAATCTAGTTTAAAAATACTAATTACCTGATATATTGTACACAGTTTTTTTTACCGAGAGGATCTTAGTTAGGAGGGATATTAGATGTTGACTCATGATTACATTTCAGTCTACTTTCCCATTTAGTGTCTCCTCTCAAATATTCTGATGTTATGGTCATTCTCTGTTTTTAAAATTAATTAGCATTTATCCATGTTTTACAGTTGTTTCTATGTCCCTTTTTTTCTTAATCCAGCCAGATTATCTTTTCCTTTTCTTTCTAAATCTTTTTCCTCTTACCCAGACCCCAGAGTGTAATTTACCAGCCCATATACTCCTGGCATTTGCTTTGTAATCTCTTAAACACTTCAGAGGGGAGAATTAACCTACTCCACTCTCTGATGGCCTCATCTGTGCTTCAGGGTTATGAAAAGTTATGGCTCTCCCTAGGCAGGAGTGAGGGCCACTCCAGATATCCCATGGGGGAGTGATGCCCATCTGTGCTGCCTCCTGTGCACCGAGAGCCACCTGCACTCTCTGCAGAGCTGGGCTGAGTCCCCTTCTCCCTCCCTCCTAGGGTCTCTCCGGCAGGAAGGTGTTGCTCTTCTGGTCTGGGGACCCTGAAGTGCCCGATGGAGGGCATGGCACTGGCTCACCTTGTCGATGAAGGAGGCAAACTTGTTGTTGAGGGTCTTGATCTGCTCACGCTCCTCGGCCCGCACCCGCTGGATGGCGGGGTCAATTTGCAGGTTGAGGGGAGTCAGGAGACTCTGGTTGACAGTGACCTCTTGGATGCCTCCAGGGGGGCACACAGGGAAGCCAGGGCCCCCAAAGCCACCAGCAAGGCCGGCTCCACCACCCAGACCAAAGCCAATGCCGGCTCCACCACCGAAACCAAATCCACTCCCGGCGCCACCAAAGCCATAGCTGCCTCCGGCTCTGCTGCCATAGCCGCCACTGATGGCACAGCTGCCCCCTCCAATGGAGATCCTCTTGGAGCCCCCCAGGCCATACAGACTGCGGCTGCCAAAGCCAGCTCCTCCACATGCGCCACCCAGGCCACCACTGCCCCTGGAGCGGGACACGGAGATGCTGCTGAAGCCAGAGCGGCTGACCCCAGGGAGCCTGGCTGAGTTGGCACTGAAACCCCGGCGGCTGCTGCTGTGGCTCCTGATGGTGGTGGATGTGCTGGCCATGGTTCCAGGAGATGAGAGGGCTTAGGAGAGTGTGAGAGGCTGGAGGCGAGAGGGAGGAGAAGCAGGACGAGGAATCGGACTCCAGTAGCAGCTTATATATGGAGAGCATGGGCTGGGCCCAGTCCTGGAAGGTGAGCTTGCAGGTTGGGAAGGGCTGGGCTTTACAAATAGTGAGATCACACCTGCATTATTACAAAAGTTATGAAATACCGAGATTGCATTTTTCGCTTCCTTTAGTCAGGCAAAATGTTCCTGCCTCCAGCTTTGACTTGAGATCTCAGCACAATAAGAGTATTCTCAATTCATGAAGTTGGAATTAGTCACTGTCTTCAGCAAAGGTTCTGCATGCTAGGCTGTTTATCGACATGCCCTGAGTGCCCTCCTCTTCCCAGTCTGACTTTCTTCCAGCCTTGCTGTTGGAGATCACAGGCACTGTATTGTGAATTCCTTAACAGAAATATTACAATTTCCCCATAATTGTTTCACCTTTTAGGTGCAATTTTAAACAGGTAGAGAAGCAGAACACTGCAATGGGCCTGTATATACCTGTCACCTGCTTCCATGATGATCATCTCATGGCCAGCCTGATTTCTTTCATACTTCAACCCTATTTCCTCTTCCATTCTAGATTGTTTGAAAGGAAATTCCAGAAGTCATATTATGTCTTCAATCAATAATTCAATATTAATATCTAAATAATAGGTCCTTTAAAAAATCAAAACACTATTTTTATATCTTAAAAATTTACATACTAATTAAAATGAACAAGTGTCTATTTAGTCTTCAAGCAGTCCTATTTTTGATATATATTTCTTATATTTTGGTGTCCCAATCAGAGTCAAAATAAGCTCTATAAACGTTGTATTTGAGTGATATATCCTTTAAATCATTGAAATTTAAAAATCTCCCTTCATTTCTTACTTTTATTTGTTAAATAAAACAGGTTAACTGTTCATTGTACTTTTTCATTCTTGGGATTTTTCTAATTGCATACCCCTATTGTTTCCTTTAATATGAGACTCTAACCTTCATATTTCATATTAAAATTAGAAGCTTATTAAGATTCTGTCTATATTTAAACATTCTAGAAGTAAATGTAGTAGATTGCCCATTTAAATTTTGAATAGTACTATTTGCACAATTATTTACATGTTTACAAATTGAATACATGATACATGTTTTAAAAAATTTTTTGTAAAACATGCTAAACAACAAAATAATATAGCTCAAGGCCATTCCCCAGTTACCCAATTCCTATCTATGGAGGAAGTAATGTTAGCAGTTCCTTGTGTATCCTTGTATCTTTACTTGGATATTTTCCTGTGCTTTTCCTGGGCCATGGGTGACATGTCTGTGCATATGTGTTTGTGTCAACGTGTGTTTGTATGGGTGAGGAAGAGGTGGAGGGAGTTGGCATATATAGAGAGGGAGCCTGCATTGTAGAAAGGTATATAAATAAATACATGAATGTTTTGTGTGTATGTGTTTGAGTGTGTTTTATGTATATAAAATATTTCATGTATTCATATGTACAAAACATAAAAATATTGTCTTTTTCAATTGTGATTGTGTTGTGTCTGCTTTGTCTCCCACATCTATGTTTTCTGATTCTCTTTTTAACAGTCTCTAGTCTCTTTTTCATAGCTGTTTGCTTTTCCCAGTTATTCGAGGACATTTCTCCCAAATGTCCATTACTGTCTGTTTACCAATGTCTTTCCTCCTTATGCCGCTTTCAATTTGGGCTTCATTTCTTTTTTCTTTTCTTTTTTTTTTTTACACAGAGTCTTGCTCTGTCACCCAGGCTGGAGTGCAATGGCATGATCTCGGCTCACTGCAACCTCCGCCTCCCAGGTTCAAGTGATTCTCATGCCTCAGCCTCCCAAGTAGCTGGGACTACAGGTACCTGCCACCATGCCCGGCTAATTTTTGTATTTTTAGGAGAGATGGGGTTTTAGCATGTTGGCCGGGCTGATCTTGAACTCCTGACCTCGTGATCCACCCGCGTTGGCCTCCCAAAGTGCTGGGATTACAGGCGTGAGCCACCGCACCTGGCCAATTTGACCTTCATTTCTAAGCAGGACTTTGTTGTTATCTCTACCCCTTTTCTGTGCTCCACAAATGAATATTTTATCTTTTACCTGTCTCACTATATTTTGTCTTCTTTTTCCCACTTTATAGTGTTTATTTTTTAGTATTTTATTGTGCCTTTTTCTGTTGAGAGTTTTTATGAGTCTTTTTTTTTTTTTTGCCTATTTTTTTCAATTTTGAATGCACAGACCTTTTCTGAGTCCTGGCATGGTTCCTTTCTGACTAGTGCTTATTTTTAATGAGATGAGCCCCCTCTGGACCTGCGGTTTGTAGAAAGTATTATGGGTGGATGAGCCAGGGCCATATCCAGGCTAACAGGAGTTCTGATTGTGACACAGGGCTGTGTGAATAGTTCTTTTATTCTTTCATTCAGCCAAACCAATAAAGATCACTGCAGAGTGGCTCACAATTTACAGCCTCTTTGTTTTCTTTGCCTCACAATAAAATGCTACTAGTTGACCTTGTCTCTCTTCTTATTCAAATTTGCCTTCATAGTTTCTTGAAACTTCATGACAAGCAGGGTCCTGGCTCGTGCTCACACACCCAGTTGTGATAGTTGCAAATAAGGGATTCTTGGATTTTCACAGGAGGACATGCCCTTTACATTGATTTAGTTGAGGAAAATGAGTCAACTGTGCCTGGCATGTAGTAAAACCTCACTGTTAGGCTGTGTTTGGTTTTCCTTTGTGGTTACTGTGTTGTTTGATTTTGATCTGTTTATTTGTGAGTGTTCTCCACTGGCTTTGTCTGAGATTGGCAGCCGTGGCATCTGCTCTCTGAGTTTTCCTAACAACCTTGTTTGTATTTCTCTATTTATGTGAGGACATTCTATTATTATTATTATTATCATCATCATCATCATCATCATCATCATCATTTGGTTTAGGGATTTTAAGATCTTTTACTTCTGGTTTTTGAGGGTAGAGTCTGCCTTTATGTTTTTTGTTCTCTTTGTTGTTTTTAGGCAATTTCTGAGAAGAGGAAAGGGCTTCCCTTTCTTCCACTAGATTAAGTTCAGAAGCCACTCATTTATATTTAAAATATCATATTATGTAAAATGTTAATCCAATAACCTAAGTTTGAAATATTATTTTTTTCCTCTCTTGCACTTTGTTAATATAGATGTTTCATTGTTCTGTAGGGCCTCTATCTTCCCTTGAGCTGTTTTTGAGTAACTTGAATGCTTTCCATAAAACATCATTTTTACTATCACTAGAAATTTAATCTCAAGCTATATTTGTGTTTTTCTCAGTGTAATAAGCCACTTCATTGCTAAAACAAACTTTGTATTATTGAAAATTTCCAACAGGTAAAGAGAACAGTATATAAACCTCCATGAATGAATTATGCAGATTAAACAGTTATCAACATTTTTCTCATTATTGTTCCATTTAACTCCCCTAGTCTTTTTATATCTAACTCCCCTACTTCTTTTCTTAAAGTATCTTAAAGGAAATCTAGACATCAAGACATTTCACTTGTCAATATTTGTATATATAGCTGAGTAGTAGTGAATTTATAATCTAGTTGTGTAACAGTATTAAATCTATCCAATACCTCCTTCATATTTTCATTTCTCTGATTATCTCAAAAATTTCTCTTTGTAGCTGGCTTATTCCAAGCAACAACCTAATTAGGTTCATATATTACATTCGGCTGCCATGTCTTTTAAGGTTATTTATTCTGTAATGAACCCTGTCTTTTTCTTTTATTTGCCATTGATTTGTGGAATTTTTGTTTGTTTGTTTCTATAGAATGTTCATATTCTGGATTTGACTCATTGCTTCCTGTTGGTATCACATAACGCCTTCTCTCACCTAGTTTTTCCTATGTGTTGGTAGTTGTAGTGAAGACTTGATTAGATTTGTTCCCATTGTGGCAGGCAAGATTATGCAATAGCTGGTGCTATGTACATCCTCTTGCACCATATCATAAGATATGTAATAGTAATTGCCTACTTTTTGTGCTGTTAAGACTGATTAGGGGATTTCAGTGGGTTCAACCCAATCCCTCCATTATAAACCACTGCACACAATACAATTTTCATCTGATATATTAATATTCATTGATTCCATCAATTTCCAGATTCACTGCTTCATTAGAGGTTGCAAAATGGCATCTTGCTGATTTTATCATGCCTTCTGTGTTTATTAGTTGGGATTCCTCTACAAAGAAGGACTCTTCATCATTTACCTTTTAGGTAACCTAACATTTAATTCATACAAGAAACTTAGAATAAGTGTTTGACTCTTTCCCTTTATTTATCAGTTTTCAGATAATAGATTGGTTCTCTAGCAATCTTCAAAGGTAACCAAGAAGGTATTTTTGTTGTGATATAATTATAAATTCACAGTTTAACAAAAAATATATTTGATATGTTTCAGTCCACTGCAGTCCATTCATTCTTTTGGCACTTAAATGGTCCTATTTGAAGCAATGGAAGTTCTTTAGATTGGCTTCTGTGTCCTTTGACAGGACCTCATTTGGTTTCGATAGGTTTCTTGTTTTCTAGGACCAGATGTCTCAGGCCTACTTTGTACTCATGCAATGGACATGAAATCACCTATTTCTCCTTGTAGATCTAGTTGCTTTTATTGGGAAATGATATACATCAACTAGAATTCGGCTGCTAGGAGCCCTTTTTATTACTGAGTTGCCTTTGCTGTGAAGTCTTTTCAATGGTCGGAGCTAGGAAAATGTACAAATATGTTTAAAAAGATAGCAAATCAGAAGCTTATACTGATATTTCAATTCAAATAGAAGATTATATTAGGTTGGTGCAAAAGTTATGGCAAAAACAGTAATTACTTTTGCCCCAACCTAATAGAATAATGCATACCTGTATTTAAATTTTCTCACACTGATAAGTTTGGCTCTAAATGACATTAACATATGGTTTATCTGCTTTATCCTACAACATACTTATACTAGTATCAAGATAATAATTTATATTCCTTAGGGTATATACCCAGTAATGAGAATGCTGGGTCAAATAGTATTTCTGTTTTTAGGCCTTTGAGGAATCCACATATCTTCCACAATGGTTGAACTAATTTACACTCCCACCAACAGTGCATAACCATTCCTTTTTCTCTGCAACTGTTATTTTTTGACTCTTTAATTCTGACTGGTGTGTGATGGTATCTCATTATGGTTTTGAGTTGCATTTCTCTAATTATCAGTAATGTTAAGCTGTTTTTCATATGACTGTTAGTCACATGTATGTCTTCTTTTGAAAAGTGTCTGTTCACGTGCTTTGTCATTCTTTAATGGGGTTGTTATTTTCTTATAAATTTGTTTAAGTTCCTTATAGATGCTGGATATTAGCCCTTTGTCGGATGCATAGTTTGCAAAACTTTTTCTCATTCTGTGGGTTATTTGTTCACTCTGTTGATAGTTTCCTTTGCTGTGCAGAAGCTCTTTAGTTTAATTAGACCCCACTTGTCAATTTTTGCTTTTGTTGCATTTGCTTTTGGTGTCTTTGTCATGATATCTTTGCCTGTTCCTGTGTCCATAATAGCATTGCCTAGGTTGTCTTCCAGGGTTTTTATAGTTTTGAGTTTTACATTTGTCTTTAATTCATCTTGAGTTGATTTTTGTATATGGGGTAAAGAAAGGGTCCAGTTTCGGCCTTCTGCATATGGCTAACCAGTTATCCCAGCACCACTTATAGAATAGGGAATCCTTTCCCCATTGCTTGTTTTTGTCAGGTTTGTCAAAGATCAGATGGTTGTAGGTGTGCAGACTTATTTCTGGATTCTCTATTCTGTTCCATGTGTCTGTTTTTGTACCAGTACCATGTTTTGGTTCCTGTAGCCTTGTAGTATAGTTTGAAATTGGGTAGTGTGATGCCTTCAGCTTTGCTCTTTTTGCTTAGGATTGCCTTGGCTATTCAGGCTCTTTTTTAGTTCCATATGATTTTTAAAATAATTTTTTTCTAGTTCTGTGAAGAATGTTGTTGGTAGTTTGATAGGAATCACACTGAATATAATCCAATGTGATTGAATCTGCTCAAATTGCTTTGGGCAGTATGGCCTTTTTAATGATATTGATTCCCCCTATCCATGAGCATGGAATGTTCTTTCCATTTGTTTGTGTCATCTCTTATTTCTTTGAGCAGTGTTTTGTCATTCTCATTGTAGAGATTTTTCACCTCCCTGGTTAGTTGTATTCCCAGGTATTTTATTCTTTTTGTGGCAATTGTGAATGGGATTGCTTTCCTGATTTGGCTCTCGGCTTGGCTGTTGTTGGTGTACAGGAATGCTAATGATTTTTGTATGTGGATTTTGTATCCTGAAACTTTTCTGAAGTTGTGTATCAACTGAGGGAGCTTTTGGGCCAAGACTATGGGGTTTTCTAGATATAGAATCATGTCATCTGCAAACAGGGATGGTTTGACTTCCTCTCTTCCTGTTTGGATGCCCTTTATTTCTTTCTCTTGCCTAATTGCCCTTGACAGGACTTCCAATACTATGTTGAATAGGAGTGATAAGAGAGGGAATCCTTGTCTTGTACAGGTTTTCAAAGAGAATGCTTTCAGCTTCTGCCCATTCAGTATGATGTTAGTTGTGGGTTTGCCACAGAAGGCTCTTTTTATTTTGAGGTATGTTCCTTCAATACCTAGTTTATTGAGAATTTTTAATATGAAGCGGTGTTGAATTTTATTGAAAGCCTTTTCTGCATCAATTGAGATAATCATGTGGTTTTTGTCTTTAGTTCCGTTATTGTGATGAATCACATTTATAGATTTGTGTATGTTGAACCAACTTTGAATCCCGGGGATAAAGCCTACTTTATCATGGTGGATAAGCTTTTTGATGTGCCGCTAGATTTGCCGGTATTTTGTTGAGGATCTTTGCTTCAATGTTCATCACAGATAATGTCCTGAACTTTTCTTTTTTTGTGGTGTCTCTGCCAAGTTTTGGTATCAAGATGATGCTGGCCTCCTAGAAAGAGTTAGGGAGGAGTTCTTCCACAATTTTTTGGAATAGTTTCAGTAGGAACGGTACCAGCTCTTCTTGTACATCTAGTAGAATTCAGCTGTGAATCTTCTCTCTTTTCTTTTTTATTACTCCAGCTAGTGGCATACCTATTTCATTAATTTTTAAAAAAACAGCTCCTGGATTTATTGATTTTTTTTTTTGAGACAGAGTCTCATTCTGTCACCCAGGCTGGAGTGCAGTGGCATGATCTTGGCTCACTGCAACCTCTGCCTCCCAGGTTCAAGTGATTCTCATGCCTCAACTTCTCCAGTAGCTGGGATTACAGGCATGCGCCACCTCACCCGGCTAATTTATTTATTGATTGATTTTTATTTTTTAAGTAGAGATGGGAGTTGCACCATGTTGGCTAGGCTGGTCTAGAACTCCCAACCTCAGGTGATCTGCCCACCTTGGCCTCCCAAAGTGCTGGGATTGTAGGTGTGAGCCACCACACCTGGCCCTAATCTTTTGAATGGTTTTTCGTGTCTCAATCTCCTTCAGTTCAGCTCTGATTTGGGTTATTTCTTGTCTTCTGCTAGCTTTGGGATTTGTATGCTCTCAGTTCTCTAGCACTTTTAGTTGTGATGTTAGGTTGTTAACTTGAGATCTTTCTAACTTTTTGATGTGGGCATTTAGTCCTATAACTTTCCTTCTTAATACTGCCTTTGCTGCATCCCAGAAATTCTGTATCTTTGTTCTGATTAGTTTCAAAGAACTTCTTGATTTTTGCATAATTTTATTATTTACCCAAAAGTCATTCAGGAGCAGGTTATTCAAATCCCATGTAATTGTCTGGTTTTGAGTTAATTTCTTAGTCTTGATTCATAATTTGTGCTGTGGTCCGTGAGACTGTTTGCAGCTGGCTTGATTTTCAGATCAACTGTCAGGGTATCACAGTACTTGTGTTCAGGAACCCCTATTTTACTTAAAATACTAATAATAACTTAATTATTGGTTATTGTTGGTTTCTCTCTGTGCCT